>NC_000001.11:25599163-26849163 GCF_000001405.40 Homo sapiens | reverse complement strand
TTTTTCAGTACAGCTGGCCCTGGGCCACTGGACAGTAACTCATTCTTTCTGGCCCAAACACATCTGGAATGTTATTGTTCCAGTCTGTTTCCTGGGAGCTTGGACCTCTTGAGGACCGGGCTGAAGCCTGGGAGAAGGGTTCAAAGCCTGTCTGTCTGCCCCACACCTCAGAGCTGGGGGAAGGAATCCACCAATCCTGAGCTGAAGCCAAAACACTCCTGGTTATGCTGAGGGCCCCTCCCCTGGGCCCTCCTGAGTCAGGGCAAATCTGGGTGAACCAGACCCCCTGCCCAGCCCTGGGTATTTCAGACCCTGCCCACGCCATCCCCATGCTTGATGCCCCCCATCCCCACGACTCAGTCTCTCTCAGGAATCCCTGCATCCCTCCCTGCTGCCTCCTACTCACCCACACAGTTGTCGCAGACACTGCAGTGTGAGGTTCGGGGTGGCCGGAACATCTTGCAGGTGAAGCAGTACTTCAGCTTCACCATCTGCCCGTTGATCAGCACCTCCCGGGTCCGAGGGGGTGGCCGGTATGTAGAACTGCCTGTGTTGTCTGAGGGAAGGAGGAGAGAAAGATGGGGAATGCCCAAGGCAGCCCAGGGCCCGGATCCCCAGCAGGGGAAAGCTACTGCTGCCTGGCCAGTCCAGGAGAAGCCTCAGGGTAACAGGTTCCCAGGAACAAACATTGGAGTAAAATGTCTGGCCTAAGGCAGGGACAAATATTAGGAACTGCCACCATGTACTGAGACTGCCTCTGTTCATACACCTGCCGGCCTTACCCACTCTAAGAAGGGCTGTCAGAGAAGGAGACTCCCAGAAAGCTTAGTGAGGGTTTTTTTTTTTTTCCTGAGGCAGAGTCTCACTCTGTCGCCCAGGCTGGAGTACAGTGGCGTGAATCTCAGCTCACTGCAACCTCCACCTCGCAGGTTCAAGCGATTCTCATGCCTCAGCCTCCCGAGTAGCTGGGATTACAGGAGTGTGCCACCACGCCCAGCTAATTTTTGTATTTTTAGTAGAGACAGAGTTTCACCACGTTGGCCAGGCTGGTCTGAACTCCTGACCTCAGGTGATCTGCCCACCTTGGCTTCCCAAACAGCCAGGATTATAGGAGTGATGCACCGCGCCCAGCCAGTGAGGTTTATTTGCATCTCATCAAGCCTAGACCTATGTCCCAGTTTACAGGAGGTTCAGGAGATGGAGGAACAAAGTGAGTAACACAATGAGGAAAAAGTCAGATCTAGAATATGAGACATTTACAAGACTGCTGGCCTGATCTCTAACAAAAGTCAATGTCATTTATAAAAAGAGAGAGGAGGTCGGGTGCAGTAGCTCACACCTGTAATCCCAGCACTTTGGGAGGCTGAGGAGTGAGGATCACTTGAGCCCAGGGGGTGAAGGCTGCAGTGAGTCAAGATCACGCCACTGCACTCCAGCCTGGGCAACAAAGCCAGAACCTGTCTTAAAAAAAAAAGAGAGAGAGAGAAAGAGAGGCAGAGAGGAGATGATTCTAAATTAAAAGCGATTTAAGAGACATAAACAAATGCAATACATCATGGATCTTATTTTGAAAAACAAAACAAAACACAGCAACAAAAGACATTTGGAGGGCAACTGTGGAAATCTGACTACAGATTAAAAACTACGAAACAGGCCGAATGCAGTGGCTCATGCCTGTAGTCCCAGCACCTTGGGAGGCCAAGATGGGAGGACTGCTTGAGCCCAGGAGTTCAAGATGAGCCTGGGCAAATAGGAAGACCCTATCTCTATAAAAAATGACAAAAATTAGCCGGGTATGACGGCGTGTGACTATAGTCCCAGCTACTAAGGAGGCTGAGGTGGGAGGATCATTTGAGCCCAGGAGTTCCAGGCTGCAGTGAGCATGAGCCAGGATCACTCCATTGCACTCTAGCCAGGGTGACAGAGCAAGACCCTGTCTCTAAAAACAAACAAAAATTAGGGAACAATTGGCCAGGTGTGGTGGCTCACATCTGTAACCCCAGCACTTTGGGGGGCCGAGGCGGGCGGATCATGAGGTCAGGAGATCGAGACCATCCTGACCAACACGGTGAAACCCCGTCTCTACTAAAAATACAAAAAATTAACCGGTTGTGGTGGCGTGTGCCTGTAGTCCCAGCTACTCGGGAGGCTGAGGCAGGAGAATCGCTTGAACCCGGGAGGCGGAGCTTGCAGTGAGCCGAGATCATGCCACTGCACTCCAGCCTGGGCGACGGTGGGAGACTCTGTCTCGAAAAAAAAAAAAATTAGGAACAATGAATTTTCTTAGGTATGATAATGGAATTGTGATTATGTAGGAGATTATCCTTAGATTTTTAAGACATATGTTGAAATATTTATAGGTAAAGTATCTATGATGTCTATAATTTACTATGAAATAGTTTGAGAAGAACAAACATATATATGCAAATAAGATGCACTATCAACTACTATTCAATCTAGATGGTGAATGTACAGGAATTAGTTGTACTATAATCCTTCCTGCTTTTTCTGTGTGTTTGAAATTTTCATAATAAGAAATTTAAGGCTGGGCATGGTGGCTCACGCCTGTAATCCCAGCACTTTGGGAGGCCGAGGCAGGCGGATCATGAGGTCAGGAGACCATCCTGATTAACACAGTGAAACCCCGTCTCTACTAAAAATACAAAAAAATCAGCCGGGCATGGTGGCGGGCGCCTGTAGTCCCAGCTACTCGGGAGGCTGAGGCAGGAGAATGGCGTCAACCCGGGAGGCAGAGCTTGCAGTGAGCCGAGATTGGGCCACTGCACTCCAGCCTGGGAGACAGAGCGAGACTCTGCCTCAAAAAAAAAAAAAAAAAAAAAAAAAAAAAAAAAATATATATATATATATATATACACACACACACACACACATATATCTCTATAGAGATATATATCTATATATCTCTCTCTCTATATACACATATATATGTATATACGTGTATATATGTATGTATATAGATATATGTGTATATATAGACATATATACATGTATATATATACACACATATATATACACACACATATATATATACACACACACAAAAGAAATTTAAGAGAAAAAAAGGCAGAGATATAGCATATTCATGGATTGGAAGACTGAATATTATGAAAGGATTTATTCTCCCTAATCCACAGATTCAACATAATCCTAGTCAAAAATCCCAGTAGGTTGTTTTTGTGAAAATTGACAAACTCATTCCAAAACTCATATGGAGGTGGCTGGGCATGGTTGCTCATGCCTGTGGTCCCAGCTTCTCAGGAGGCTGAGGCAGGAGGATTGCCTGAGCTCAGGAGTTTGGGGCTGCAGTGAGCCATGATTGTGCCACTGTACTCCAGCCTTTCCAACAGAACAAGACCCTGTCTCAAACAAACAAAAGACACAAAGGGGCTAATCATAAAAGAGCAATTTGATAAACTGCATTATATCAAAATTAAATTTTTTTTTCATTTAAAGGTAATCATTAAGAGAATGAAGAGTTTTTTGGGGCTGGATGATTAAAAAAAAGAATGAGGCCGGGCGCGGTGGCTCAAGCCTGTAATCCCAGCAATTTGGGAGGCTAAGGCAGGCAGATCACCTGAGGTTGGGAGTTCGATACCAGCCTGGCCAACATGGTGAAATCCCATCTTTACTAAAAATACAAAAATTAGCTGGGTGTGGTGGTGGGCGCCTGTAATCCCAGCTACTCAAGAGGCTGAGGCATGAAAATCACTTGAACCAGGGAGGTGGGGGTTACAGTGAGCTGAAATCATGCCACTGCACTCCAGCCTGGGTGACAGAGAGAGACTGTCTCAAAAAAAAAAAAAAAAAAAAAAAAAAAAAAAAGAATGAAGAAGTAACCTTTAGAGCAGGAATGGATAATTACAAGATGTTTACATCTTGTAAACAAAGACAAAGGACTTGTATGAAGAATATGTAAAGGGCTGGGCGCCTTGGCTTAAGCCTGTAATTCCAGCACTTTGGGAGGCCGAGGCAGGTGGATGACCTCAGGTCAAGAGTTCGAGACCAGCCTGGCCAAACTGGTGAAACCTCGTCTATACTAAAAATACAAAAATTAGCCGGGCATGGTGGCGCATGCCTGTAAGTAATCCCAGCTACTTGGGAGGGTGAGGCAGGAGAATCACTTGAACTCAGGAGGCGGAGATTGCAGTGAGCCGAGATTGCGCCACTGCATTCTAGCCTGGGTGACAGAGCAAGACTCCATCTCAAAAAAAAAAAACCAAAAAAAAAAACCATGTAAAGAAATCCTGTAAGTCAGTAAGAAAGTCAGACAACTGAATACAAATACGGACAAAAGACTTAAGTAGGCATCTCATAAAAGAGGCTGTCCAAACAGCCAATAAACACGTGAAAAAGTGCTTATATTCATTAGTCAGCGAGGAAATGCAAATTAAGACCACAATATGCTACTATGACACATGCACTAGAATGGCTAAAATGAAAAAAAATAAAACATACCAAGTGTTGGTAAAAAAGTAGAGCAACTAGAAATCTCATATGACCGCTTTGGACAACTGTTTGGCAACAGCTACCCAAGCTGAACATATGCACGCCCAGAAAACCTGCTCCCAGGCATCTACCCAACAGCAATGTGCATGAGATAATGTGCTCTGAAAGACATGCACAAGGATGTTCACAGCAATAATTCTCATAATAGACAAACTCCAGAACTACCCAAACACCCCAGTAGTAGAATGGATGTTTTTAAAAAGTAGTATATTCACACAGTGGAATTCTATATAGCAATGAGAATCGAACCATCGTCAACTACACACAATAATATTAATGAATCTCATAAACATTGTCTGGCCGGGTGCAGTGGCTTACACCTATAATCCCAGAACTTTGGGAGGCCAAGGCGGGCAGATCACTTGAGGTCAGGAGTTCAAGACCAGCCCGGCCAACATGGTGAAACCCCATCTCTACAAAAATACAAAAATTAGCTGGGCATGGTGGTGTGCACCTGTAATCCCAGCTACTCGGGAGGCTGAGGCAGGAGAATTGCTTGAACCCAGGAGATGGAGGTTGCAGTGAGCTGAAATCACGCCATTGCACTCCAGTCTGGGTGACAGAGCGAGACTCCATCACAAAAAAACAAAACAAAACAAATTGTGTAAAGTGAGGAAGCCAGACATACAGTACAAAATGTTCAAAAATAGGCAAAAGTAATCCATGGTGTTAGAAATTAGGATTGTGTAACCCTTGGAGAGTGACAGTGATTGGAAGGGGGCATGAGGGGGCTCCTGGGATGCCAGTCATATACTGTTTCTTGATCTCAGTGCTGATTACATGTGTACATTCAGTTTGTGAACATTCATCAGACAGAACACTTAAAATTTCTATACCTTTTTTTTTTGAGACGGAATATTGCTCTGTTGCCCAGGCTGGAGTGCAGTGGCATGATGTCGGCTCACTGCAACCTCCGCCTCCCAGGTTCAAGCAATTCTCCTGCCTCAGCCTCCTGAGGAGTTGGGATTACAGGTGTGTGCCACTACGCCCAGATAATTTTTGTATTTTTTTGTAGAGATGGGGTTTCACCATGTTGGCCAGGCTGGTCTCGAACTCCTGATCTGAAGTCATCCACCCACCTCAGCCTCCCAAAGTGCTGGTATTACAGGCATGAACCACCGTACACGGCCACAACTTGTATACTTTTGATAAGCCCATTATACTTCCATAAAAAATAAGAAATAGAGAAAAAAGGAGGCCGGGCACGGTGGCTCACGCCTGTAATCCCAGCACTTTGGGAGGCTGAGACGGGTGGATCACCTTAGGTCAGGAGTTCGAGACCAGCCTGGCCAACCTGGTGAAACCCTCTCTACTAAAAACACAAAAGTTAGCCGGGTGTGGTGGTGCGTGCCTATAATTCCAGCTACTCGGGAGGCTGAGAAAGGAGAATTGCTTGAACTCGGGAGGTGGAGGTTGCAGTGAGCTGAACAGTCGCCATTGCATTCCAGCCTGGGTGATAAGAACGAAACTCCGTCTCAAAAAAAGAAAAAAAAAAAAAAGAAAGAAAGAAAAAAGGAAAGACTTAAGTAAGTTATTTAGGTCCTGCCCTGGTATATCGGCAGAGCAGGACTCTAACCTAGGTGTGTCATATGCAAAGCCCAAAACTTCACCCATTGAGCCTCTGGGTACCCCAGGGCACAGAGAACCTGAACAGTGGCTCCTTCCAGAAAGAAGTCTGAGTCTCCTGGGGCAGCCTATACCCCCAGCCCTCCACCATGCACCCTGCCATTGCTTCCATTGCATTGTTTGCCAGATAATGTCTCCAGTTTGGCCACTGGCCTCCAATGATTATTTACTGAGTGCCTACCAATGTGCCAGGCACGATTCTAGGCACTTGGCATATATCAGTGAAGCAAACATGCTTCAGTCTCACATTTTCAACTACCAAAGGTTTACTTTGTTAGGTTGTTTCATCACCACCTTGACTACAGCATGTTTAAAATGGAACTAAGCATCTGAGCATTTCTTCCCTAAAATGGGCAGCATGAAGAAGGGTGGGGGATTTAGAGGCCAATGGCCACACTCTGAACCCTGGTTTTGTCATTGACTGGTTGTGTGTAAGGCTGAAGTCAAATGAACTTCTCTGAGCCTCAGTTTTCTCATGTGTAAAACAGGAATAACAGGTAGAATAGCTAATGAATCTAGTTCCACTCCACTTCTGCCCAGCTGGGTTTCTCCTGATGATATCATTTGCTAAAAAATCATATAAGCTCTTTGTGCCTCAGTTTCTCTAATCACTGAAATAGAAACGATAGTAACTCACCTTCATAGGGTTGTTGTGAGAGTTAAATGAATCAATATATGTGAAATGGCACAAAGCAAATGGTTAGCAAGTGTGAGCTATTATTATTAACTCACAGGGCCAAGCATAGTGGCTCATGCCTGTAATCCCAGCACTTTGGGAGGCTGAGGCAGGAAGATTGCTTGAAGCCAAGAGTTTGAGACCTGCCTGGGCAATAAAGGCGGACCCTGTCTCTCTCTCTCTCTTTTTTTTTTTTTTTTTGAGATGGAGTCTCGCTCTGTTGCCCAGGCTGGAGTGCAGTGGCGCGATCTTGGCTCACTGCAACCTCCACCTTGCAGGTCAAAGCAATTCTCTGCCTCAGCCTCCTGGGTAGCTGGGATTACAGGTGCCCGCAACCATGCCTGGCTAATTTTTTGTATTGTTAGTAGAGACAGGGTTTCACTATGTTGGCCAGGCTGGTCTTGAACTCCTGACCTCATGATCCACCCACCTTGGCCTCCCAAAGTGCTGGGATTACAGGCGTGAGCCACCGCGCCTGGCCACCTCAGTTTCTTTATCTGTAAAATAGAGATGGGTCAAGTCATACCTTCATAGGATTGTGGTGAGGGCTGAATGAGATGCTTCCACAGCCCTGAGCACAGTGCTAGCCTCCCAGGAGCCACTGACATTGCTCCTGACCAACTGTTCATGCCATGACCCTCCAGGATGCAGAACCCCCAGCAGCAGCTCTTTCCAAAGCTGGTGATACTACTCCAAACCAAACCCCTAATCCTGTCCCACAGGCCCCAGAGTCCCAGCTTTTGGCTCCCCACTCACTGCTTCCTTGCTGACTTGGACATAGGCTTTGGAGCCAGAAACACATGTAGGTATAAATCTCACTCCAATCACTTACTGGCTGAGTGAGGTGGGTCAAATCACTCAACTTCTCTGTGCCATCATCTGCTAAATAAATAAAATGGAAGGCCAAGCATAGTGGCTCATGCCTGTAATCCCAGCACGTTGGGAGGCTGAAGCAGGAGGATTGCTTGAGGCCAGGAGTTTGAGATCAGCCTGGGTAACATAGTGTGAGACCCCATCTCTATAAAAATAATAATTTTTAAAAATTAGCTGGATGTGGGCTGGGCGTGGTGGCTTACACCTGTAATCCCAACATTTTGGGAGGCCAAGGCAGGTGGATCACCTGTCTGAGGTCAGGAGTTCGAGACCAGCCTTAAACATGGTGAAACCCCATTTCTACTAAAAATACAAAAATTAGCCAGGTGTGGTGGTGTGCACCTGTAATCCCAGCTACTCGGGAGGCTGAGGCAAGAGAATCACTTGAACCCGGGAGGCAGAGGTTGCAGTGAGCTGAGATCACGCCACTGCACTCCAGCCTGGGTGCCAAGAGCAAAACTCTGTCCCCCCCTCCCCCCAAAAAATTAGCTGTATGTGGCATGAACCTGCAATTCTAGCTACACGGGAGACTGAGGCAGGAAGTCAAGGTGGTAATGAAACAACCTAACAAGAGAGATAACTACTACAGTTGAAGGGAAAGTTGAAGGGAAAGTTTAGGAGTTCAAGGTTGCAGTGAGGTATGACTGTGCCACTGCATTCCAGCCTGGGTGACAGAGCGAGGCTGTGTCTCTAAAAAATATTTAAAAGTTAAAATAAATAGGCTGGACATGATGGCTCACGCCTGTAATCCCTGCACTTTGGGAGGCCGAGGCAGGCGGATCACCTGAGGTCAGGAGTTCAAGACCAGCCTGGCCAACACACTGAAACCCCATCTCTACTAAAAATACAAAAATTAGCCGGGCATGGTGGCGCATGCCTGTAATCCCAGCTACTCGGGAGGCTGAGGCAGGAAGAATCGCTTGAACCCAGGAGGTGGAAGTTGAAGTGATCCGAAATCGCGCCACTGCACTCCAGCCTGGGTGACAGAGCAAGGCTGTCTCAAAAAAATAAAATAAAATGGAACATCATTGAGTCCATCTCAGGGGGCTGCTGGAAGGATTAGGTGAGAATTCACCAAGTGGCTTTAGCAAAGTGGCTAACGCTTGACAAGGGCTTAACAAATATCAGCCATTATTATGACTTTTGTTTCCACAAAACATTGCATTCCAAACAAACAATGGAGTTATGAAGAAAACTTCAGAACACAGCCCATCTGTGAATGAAGGACAGCCACAGACCCTCTCCAGCACTGACAGAAGTTACTGGAATCCTCAGTGGAATCCCACAGGTCTTCCTCAGGGGAGAGGGGAACCCAAGCCTCTCCCCAGGACAGGGAGGGAACTGCTAAGCATGTTCTGGTCTCCAGCAGCCAGGCTTCTTTCTCTCCAGCACTCTGCAGAAGAGCAAATGAAGCTCTGTACCCCGGCTTCCTGAGGCTGCCAGGAGCCAGGGGAGGCAGAGCGCTGTGTCATGCTGGAGCAAGAGTCCACCTGGTGCTAAATCAAAGTCGCCAGAGTTGGGACAAAGGAGGCTCTGCAGGGGCTGCACCCTTCATGGGGGAAGACAAGCAGCTCTCCCATTGCTGATTCTCAGACCGGACAGTGCTGACCCATCACCGCCCCAAACTCAGCCTCAGAATCCTCCTCAACCTGCTCCTCCTGGCAGCCACTACCGATGGCAGCTTGTTAGCACCTGGAGCAAGTCCACTCTCCATTCCTGACCAAAAGACTCAAGTCTCTTCAGTTTCAATAGAGAAAAGTGACTTACAAAGTGTGCTGACATTCCTAGTCTCACTCAATCACAGAGACTGCTCTGGGCTAGGCAAGGGGATCCGTGCCTGTGAGTTACAGATGGGAAAGCAAGTTCACTCCAATAATAGAAGGTGGGGCTGAAACTAGGACCCTTGTCTTCCAGGGCACTCATTTGTTCACTCTTTCACACATGAGCACCTACTATGTGCAAGTTACTGTACAAGGCCTGGGGGTGGCAGGGAAGGTAAGGGGCAAATTCATAGAAATGAGTCAAAGATATTGGTTTTGTTCACCCTGTGCCTGCCTGACATACTGTGGATGTTCAAAAAATATTTGTTGTAGAAAAGAAGAAAGAAGGGAGTGATGGTAAGTGATGCTATCCCTGCCCTCAGGGAATCTAAGATCTACTCCAGGGCTGTTTCTGCTATGCCAGGCTCTTCCCAAGTAAAAAGGTGCCCTTATGCCAGCAAGGCCCTCCTGCTGCCTTCCAGGCAGAAACCAAAGCTCTGAGGATGTGAAAATGAGACGAAAAGCAAGGCTACTCGTCACTGAATGGCTGTGAGGGCAAAGGAATTTCCCCACCCTAAGACAGCTCTCGGAGAGGAGCAGGCAGGCCTTCTGCGGTCAGAGCCTGAAAGGCTGGGGCTGTGGAAGTTCCCCAGGGCTGGCTGCGGGCTGCTGAGAAGGCCCTGACTGCCCTCTGCCCTTCCACTGTTGTCACCTGCAGAGGAAACAGCTGCAGGACTGCAGTCTCCCCGCCTCTAAGGCCAGCTCAAGGTCAGCCACAGCTCCCAGGCCTCGAGTGCTAGGTCACCATAACCCTCCCAGACCACTTCTGTCCATCTCTGGGGTTCATGGGGCCTTCACCACATACCAGGCTTAGTGCTAGGCCTGTGGATACAGGAAGAGCCCGCCTGAGGGCAGAGTCAGACAGAAGTGGATAATTAAGAGTCCTCCTACAAGGCAGTGCCTCTGTGTGGTGACTCTGGGCCTGCCTAATCTTATTTTGAACCCTGGCATGGCCAATTGTTAGCCTGTAAACTTAAGAAGCTGATCAATCTCTAAGCCTCACTTTCCTCACCTGTAGAATGGGTAATGATGACATCAACCTTGTAAAATTTTACACAAATCAGAAATAACATAATATCAAGATCTGACCTAAATAGCTATTCAATTAATGACATTACTGGTGCCTATACTCAATGCCTCAAGAACACAGAGGGAAATATGTGGGGTGGAGGCAGGAAGCAGCATTCAAGAAAGCAACAGGCCGAGTGCAGTGGCTCGTGACTGTAATCCCAACACTTTGGGAGGGTAAGGCTGGAGGACTGCTTGAGTCCAGGAGTTTGAGAGATCAGCCTGGGCAACACAGCAAGACCCTGTTTCTACAAAAAATAATTTAAAAAGAAAGCAAGGGGCCAGGCACAGTGGCTCACACCTGTAATTCCAGCACTTTGGGAGGCTGAGGCGGGCGGATCACCGGAGGTCGGGAGTTTGAGATCAGCCTGACCAACATGGAGAAACTCCATCTCTACTAAAAATACAAAATTAGGGTGCATGGTGGTGCATGCCCATAATCCCAGCTACTCGGGAGGCTGAGGCAGGAGAATCGCTTGAACCCGAGAGGCAGAGGTTGTGGTGAGCCGAGATCTCACCACTGCACTCCAGCCTGGGCAACAAGAGCAAAACCCTGTCTTAAAAAAAAAAAAAAGCAAGCAACAAAAGAAGTAACAGCAAAGCTGGATCAGAAAGAATGAGCACTCTGGCTCACCACGGCAGGCGGGGACAGCACAAGCACAAGCAAACGCACTGAGGCATCCAGTGCACAGCGTGGCTGGGGGTGCCAGGGACCAGTAGGAGAAGAGCAGTGGCTGGGGTAGACTGCAGCTTGCCTTAATCTCATGAGTGAGTTTTCAAGAAGATAGAAGAGGGGCTGGGCACGGTGGATCATGCCTGTAATCCCAGCACTTTGGGAGGCTGAGGCAGGTGGATCACCTGAGGTCAGAAGTTCAAGACCAGCCTGGCCAACATGGTGAAACCCCATCTCTACTAAAGATACAAAAATTAGCCAGGCATGGTGGTGCATGCCTGTAATCGCAGCTACTTGGGAGGCTGAGGCAGGAGAGTCACTTGAACCCAGGAGGTGGAGGCTGCAGTAAGCTGAGATCACACCATTGCACTCCAGCCTGGGTGACAGAGCGAGACTCTGTCTCAAAAAATAAATAAATAAATAAATAAATAAATAAATAATATACATAATATATTAAATATGTTAAATATATTATACATATTAAATATATGTTAAATACATATTATGCATATTAAATATAGATGTAAAATGTATATTATACATATTAAATATGTTAAATATATTATACATATTAAATATGTTATATATTATACATATGTAGTAAATATATAAATGTATATTTTATATATATATATATATATTTTTTTTGAGACAGAGTCTCACTCTGTCGCCCAGGCTGGAGTGCAGTGGCGCCATCTCGGCTCACTGCAAGCTCCGCCTCCCAGGTTCACACCATTCTCCTGCCTCAGCCTCCCGAGTAGCTGGGACTACAGGTGGCCGCCACCACACCCAGCTAATTTTTTTTGTATTTTTTTTAGTAGAGATGGGGCTTCACCTTGTTAGCCAGGATGGTCTCGATCTCCTGACCTTGTGATCCACCTGCTTCGGCCTCCCAATGTGCTGGGATTACAGGCATGAGCCACTGCGCCCAGCTGCATTTAATATATATTTAATGTATATGAAATATATATATTATACATATATATTTAAAGATGAGCCATTTAGGAGGAAAATACTAAAGAAATGAAGGTACAGCCAGATGCGGTGGCTCATGCCTGTAATCCCAGCACTTTGGGAGGCTGAGACGGGCGGATCACAAGGTCAGGAGATCGAGACCATCCTGGCTAACACAGTGAAACCCCGTCTCTACTAAAAATACGAAAAATTAGCTGGGCGTGGTAGCAGGTGCCTGTAGTCCCAGCTACTCGGGAGGCTGAGGCAGGAGAATGGCATGAACCTGGGAGGCAGAGGTTGCAGTGAGCTGAGATTGTGCCACTGCACTCCAGCCTGGGCAACGGAGCAAGACTCCGTCTCAAAAAAAAAAAAAAGAAAAAAAGAAAAAAAAAGAAATGAAGGTACAAGGCGGGATGCAGAAGGAAAAATCACAAAGGCTGGACTCATATCACTGATATGCTGAGGGCACCAGAGAGTCACCCAAATTCTGTGGGGTTTGTGGGGGGACAGGGCAGGGGTGGGGAGAACAAATTTGGGATCTTGGAGAGATAACTACAATTGAAGGGAAAGGCCCAGTCAGGGCCTGTTCTGCAGAGCCCTGAGCCAGTTCAGGTGGAACACGAGGCAGGTCTGTCCAGGGGAAGTGGGCAGAGACGTCCTGGAGACAAAGGAGATGGGGTCTGGGAGCTGGTGTATGGCAGTGGAGAGAGACGCAGCCTCTGTGTCCGTCATGTGAACTGTAACAGGGTCTAAGTGAGCATCTGTCACTTGGATTTGGATGTCTCTATCACCTCCCATCAGACCAGGAGCTTCTGGGAGCAATATTGCTCTTCCCAACTGCCTAGAGCCTGCAGGGTGAGCCAGCTGCACAGCCCACCAGCCGGCAAGACAGGATCTCAGATGAGGGTGACCGAGTGCCCTGATTTTCCTGGGATTGAGTGGTTTCCTAAGACAGGAGACTTTCCAGGTGGTCCTGGGTAAACTGGGAGGAGCTGGTCACTCTACCTCAGACTGTCCCCACAGGGCAGGAGCCCTGGGCCAGACCTGTTGGGCTGGAGTTGCTGGGCTGGGGTGCCAAAGGGAAAAGCCCACACTGTCTACATGAGCCTAGGACCAGGTAATCAGTTCATGCTCACATGAACAGCACCACCTGCCTCAGAGACAGCTCCCAACCTTCTGGAAAAGGTTCAGTGATCTTAGTCCTGATCATTTTCGGGGAAATATGTTTTTGGTTTTTTTTGTTTTTTGAGACGGAGTCTTGCTCTGTCACCAGGCTGGAGTGCAATGGCGCAACCTTGGCTCACTGCAACCTCCGACTCCCTGGTTCAAGCGATTATTCTGCCTCAGCCTCCTGAGTAGCTGGGATTACAGGCACACGCCACCATGCCCAGCTAATTTTTGTATTTTTACTAGAGACAGGGTTTCACCATGTTGGCCAGGATGGTCTCAATCTCCTGACCTTGTGATCCGCCCGCCTCGGCCTCCCAAAGTGCTGGGATTACAGGCGTGAGCCACTGTGCCAGCCCTGGGAAATATGTTTTACTTTAATTAGTTAGAAGTCTCCTGGTCACACCCAAAAATTTGGCTTCTATTCAAGTTTGAGAATTCAAAGGCCTCCAAAATGCCACTTTTGCACTTTGCACCTGTTCGCCAAGAAAAGTCTTAGGGACATTCAGCGCCCTACAAGATTGATTCCACCCCATCCTTCCAACTGGAATATCTCTAATATCCCTAACTATCTGAAGTGCTCCTCATATTCTAGCCAACGTGGCCTGCTCAGTGGCCCGTTCCCATCCCTCCTCCTTCCCTCTGCCACTCTCTCTTCCCTCAGCTTTGTCTGCCTGAAGGGCTGCCTCCGCACAGCTCCTGTGCTTGAATTCCACCCAAACTTAAAGACTTAGCTCAAGCATCACTTCTCCAGGAAGCTTCTCCAGTCCCCCAGGCAGAAGATGCTCCTGACTCCTCTGACCCTCTTCTAAAGCCTGATCTCACTGGCAGTGGCTGGTCAGGGCTCCCACCTGGGGCCAACTTGTCTGGAACCCATGAGAGTAAGCTCCTATCAGATTCATTGTTGGCCCCCACCTGCCTTCACTCTGCTGTCAGGGGTCAGCATATAGAATTAACACACAAATGAACAAACCCATGATGCCCAACTGGGAGATGTCCTGACTGTTTCCTCACCTGTCACCCTGACAGAGCAAGGAGGGCCTTCACAGAAGCTCACCTATTCTTCAGTCATTCATTTACTCATTTAGCCAACGTCACTGAGCCTTCTACATGGCGACAAGGTGAACAAGATGCTGGAATTCCATGCCCTCACAGGCCAGCAGAAAGGATGATTTTGTAATGACCACCGTTGCAGCACAGGTTCAGAGAAGGAAGGAGAAGGTGCTCTGGGAATGTGCAATGGAAGGCCTGGCCCAACTGGGGTCAAGAAGGCTTCCCAGAGCACAGGAAACAAGTGGAGAAGAGGATGAAGGAGATGTGTCCCTGCTGCCATCTCAGAAGAGAAAGCAAGGGGTTTGGGAGTGAAAGGCACACACTCTGTCTCTGCTTCTTTATCCTGGCCCTGTGATCACCTGCCTCCGTTTCTCCATCAGTACAATTGGTTAACAGGGTCGCCCTCACTGGGCTGTTGTGAAGATTTGTGGGGATAATAGATGGAAAGCACTCAGCACACGGCCAAGCTCTTTCCAAGAAGGGGATTACTGCTGTCACTGTGATCCACGCAGCTCACAGGAGGCCGAGGATTCCAGGCAGCCAGACCTCTGGGTCCGGCTGAGCTGGACAATAATCCTGCCTCATGATTAGCCCTGACCAGAAGGGGAGGAAGAACGGGGCACAGCTGGGCCTCCCCAGCTGCCAGGTGGGCCAGCCCAGGTCAGACCGTGGGATCCTGAAGGAGTGGCCAGGGACCCAGAGTTTGAAGGGGTAGGACGCTGGATGTAGGTGAGAGGAGGTGGCCCTCGCAGGCGTGGCTGAGGATGGGGCTGGGCAGAGGAATGAGACAAAGAGCAGACAGAGCCCAGAGAACATCCTCTCCAGCTGCTCGCCCTCCCTCCCTCCCTGCTGCACAGAGTATTAGTGAAATGATTTCTAGCGATGGATGCAGCAGGGCTCTGACATTTACAGGCCACTAGATGTCTTCAGGGCCAGCTGGGTGTTTAAAAGCCTGTGTGAACACCATGCTGTTAGGGGAAGGAGCTAACCACGGACCGGAAACCCCCGAGGTGTGCAAGTAGCCACGTCACTTCTCAGCAGGAAGAGCTGGGGTGCAGCAAGCTGAGATTAGGGACCTGGCCCAGTACCCCGCCACCCCGGAACCCACACAGCAGTCTGAAAGGAATCAAGGGCCACCTGGGCTGCCTGGGAGCACAGGGTCTTTCCAGCCACTGCCGTTCCTCACACACGCCCAGGCTGTTTGCCACTCTGGGCTTTGGCCTTACTTTTCCCAGATCCCCGTATTTCTACCACACTCATCTCCAGTGCCGCCTCCTCCTAGAGGTCTCCCCTGACCACCTGACCTAAACTAGCCCACTCCCCAACACCTACTGGGCTCTTCCCTAGATAACCCCACCGTCAAGCCCTCATCTGTTCAGGCCGGTGCTTCTTTGCTCAGATGTCACCTCCTTCACAAGATGTTCCCTGGCCACCCTATGTAAAATCACACACCCTCCCTGTAGCCTTCATCCTCCTTCCCTCCTTTCTTCTCTGTCTGATATCCTAGATATTTAATTATTTGTTATTTATTGTCTCTTTCCTCCTCCTCAACTGTCAAGCTCCATGAGGACAGGGACTATTGTCAGTTTTGTTCACTGCTGTATCACATCTAGAAAAGTGCCTGGCACATAGTAGGGGGTCAATAAATGTTTGATGAGTGAATGAATAAGTGTATATGAATGTTTAAGAGCAGGTGCTCTAGACTGAGGTCTCATCTCAGCTCTTCTACTTACTTTGTGATCTTGGACCCTCTTTTGCCTTGATTTAATTAATCAGTAAAAGGAGAATGACAACAGTACCTACCTCATAGGATTACTGGGGGATTAAATAAGATCATGCATATAAAGAGCTTAAAACAGTGCCTAGCCCCCAGGAACTACTCAGCTCCACGCTGGCTGCCATCGGGGCCTTTGCTGGCTGGCCAGCATTTCTTGCTTACTTATTTGCTCACTTGTTGATCATCTGTCTCCCTCTGTGCCAGTGTCAGCTCCAGCCTGCCTTGCTCACGACTGCATCCCCAGTTCCTAGTATAGTTTTGGAAGAGAAAACCAGGCCTCCTCCCAAGTCAGGGAATGTGGAGCTATGGAGACCCAGCTTCAGCTGGGAGTAGAAACCTCACCGATCTGTTTCTCCAGGGCGGCTGCTTCACAGACAGTGGCCCGGGGCAGGATCCCAGGGTCGGTGAAGCTTGTCTGCAGCAGGCAGCTCATGACGAAGAAGAAGAGGATGGCAGCGATGATGGGGATGGCAAGGGTCAGCTTGCGAGCCAGGTAGGGACAGCTAGAACGAGAGATGGAGAGAGATCAGCAGACACCCCAAGGGCTCCCTGCGGCACAGGGCTACAGCACGTGGCAGGCGCTGTCATTCCAACAACCACCACCAAAATCTTGAATACAGCCTCGCTCTGAGGCAGAGGCACAGCTCCTTGATGAGTGCAGCCACTCCCCAATAAGTACCGGGAACAGACATCACTAATTGATCCTTGTGATATACTTTCCTCCAGAGCACATGGCAGATGTGTCCAATAGATCCCAGCACTCCTAACCTCTGCATCCAGAGAATCCCTCTACACACAGAGCTTCAGGCAGACACTAGTGGACTGTCACCTGAGACAAACCATCCTGCAGTGTTCATTCACTCATTCATTCACTCACTCAGTCCACAAATATTTACTGAGGTCTTCTCTGTGGCAGGCAACACCTTCAATAAGCAGCAGGAATAATGACGACGGATAAGACAAGAGTCCCTCCCCCTTGTGGCTTATGGTCTAGTGGGGAAAACAAGACATGTAAACAGGGAATTGCCACACAGGGTGATGTGTGCTCTAGTGGGGGAGGGGAACGCAGTAGCACAGTCAGGAAAGGCAACCTGAAGGAGACAATCCTAAGCTCCAACCTGAAGAATGAGTAGAGGGCTGGGGGAACTGCATGGTCCAGCCACTGTCACTGTGACCCAAGGTAGGCAGGTATCCCCAAGGCAGTGCTTTCAGACCCCCTGACCCTGGCTGCCTCAGAGAATAGCCTGTGCCTGCTGAATGGTCATGCCTCTGTCCCCCAGGGAGGCTGCCTACCACAGCCCTCTTCAAGCTCCCTCCTCCATCTTAGGGCTAGAACATTCTAGAAGTTCTGGACACTGGTGGGAGAATGGCTTCATGATAGTGAAGCTATCAGGGCTCTCTCTCTATGGCCAATCCTCTCTGTTGTCACCTCACTGTCCACCCAGAAGCCAGAGCCACTTTTGGAAATGTCAATCAGATCATGTCATTTCCCTGCTTAAAACCTCCCAATTGCTTTCCATATAGTTTGAATACAATCCAAACTCCCTACCATGGCCTTCTAGGCCAGGCATGATCTGGGCCCTACTGAGGACTTCAGCCTCATTCTACAAAACTCTCGTCTTGCTCCTGCTCCTCCCATCACAATAGCCCATGACAGTTCCTATAACAAGCCTGGCTCTCTCCTACCTCAGGGCCTTTGCACTTGCTGTTCCTTTTCTCAGATTCCTCTTCCCTCCTCAGAAGGACCTACCTTGACAACTCTGTACACAGTGAACTTCAATGCTCTTTCTTTCCTGTATAACATTTAGTATAGATTTCAGCTACTTGTCTATGTGATGGCTATTTTTCTCTCACTAAAACATAAGCTTGGCCAGGCGCAGTGGCTCACGCCTGCAATCCCAGCACTTTGGGAGGCTGAGGTGGGCGGATACCTGAGGTCAGGAGTTCGAGACCAGCCTGACCAATAAGATGAAACCCCATCTCTAATAAAAACAGAAAAATTAGCAGGGTGTGGTAGCATGTGCCTGTAATCCCAGCTACTCAGGAGGCTGAGACAGGAGAATCACTTGAACCCGGGAGGCAGAGGTTGCAGTGAGCCGAGATCGTGCCATTGCACTCCAGCCTAGGCAACAAGAGCAAAACTCTATCTCAACAACAACAACAACAACAACAACAACAAACAAACATAAAAAAACATAAGCTCCTCTGTGGGTATAGACTATGTTCTCTTGTTCAGCTTTATATTTCCAGCACACTGCACAGCACCTGGCACCAAGGACGTACCCGGTAAATAACTGCTGCCAGGGGACAGAAAAATAGCTACCATCTTTTGAAGGCTTACTATGTGCCAGACACTGCCCTAATTAATAAACTACTGTTAGCAACATCCAAAGTACAGATAGTTACTGTGCTATGTACAGATAGTTACTGTACTATGTAGATAGTTACTGTACTATCTACAGATAGTTACTGTACTACTGTACCTGGATGGGCCAGGTACCAGGCTAAGCAGTTCCTGTGTACTTTCTCATCAAATCCTCACTGGGACCCTGTGAAGTTATGCTCCCCACTTTACAGATGAAGAAACTAGAGCTCAGAGAGTTTAAGTAATCTGCCCAAGGTCACATGGCTCAGGAGTGCTAAAGTGGGACCCAAGCCAGGTCTGACTTTGAGGTTCATACTTTTAACCATCACCCCATAGCCAGAGTAGCACCTGATCAGGTAAGGAGATGACGGGGCCCTGGGAGGCCTGAGATCAACCAAGCTTCCAGGAGTGGCACAGTAGGCACACACCTGTGGGCACCTGCATGCTGCTTCTGAAGTCTCCGTCATCAGATGCTCTGGCCTTCAGAGAAGCCCTTCCCCTGAGGAGCAGACTGCCAAGGCCAAGGGCTCCCAGTGGGTCACACTCTGCTCCATACATCTCAATGGTTTCTGGGTCTGACCCTCAAACAGAACCAGTGGGCGCTCAGTGTCACCCACATGGCAATGAATCCAGTTCATATGCAATCAGACTTGTGTGGGGGGACAGAGAAGACTTGAAATCTAAGACTTGTAGAGCCTGCAGGAACCACCAAGTCCTAGCCTCCTGATTTGCCAGAGGCTAACAGCTCTCCCAGGCCCACAGCTAGGTTCAAGGTCATCTAGCCAGCCAATGACAGAACTAGGGTTTCCAGCCTCCCAGCAAATACACTGTCAATTAATTCAAATACACTGTCAATTCATTCATTCAATAAGTATTGAGCACCTACTGCATACCAGGTGCGAGTTCTAGGCACTAAGGGTGCAACAGAGGAGAATGTCCTGCTCTCATGGGCAAAGACCAGAAACTAACAAGTATACCATAATATGTCAGGTGGTGGCAAATGCTTCAGAGAGCGATAAATGAGGGGAGAAGAGAGGTGCAGGAGGGGAGTGGTTTGCTATGCTGTGCGGATGGACAGGGGAGGCCTAATGTGAGAGAGTGAGCCATGAGGCCACCTGCAGGAAGGGGATTCCAAGCACTGGCCCAGAGGTAGGAGTGTGCACGGAGGATGACATGCCTGGAGGGAAGACGGGGACAGAAGACAGCAGGGGACAGAGGCCAGGGAGGATTCAGGCCTGAGTTAGAATCAAAAGGGCACTCTGGCTGTTGTGTGGGGGCGAGAAGTAAGGCAGAAGTTGGGAGCCCTGCTGGAGGCCTGTGCAACAATCCACCAAGCCAAACAAAGAAGCAAAGCCATTCATAGCAGGAAAGGCTTAGAGAGCACCTTACCTTTTCCCAGAGCAATGGGGAGCATCCAGTCCAGACCCAGGTGAGCTCTCGGCCCAAACCCAAACTCTTCTGCCAATCTACCAGCCCCCAATGAGGACAAGCGGGGACAAACTGCAACATGGTTCACGAGCTCTCCCCAAACCCAGAAGTCCTTGCTTTCTCCCTCGCTGGGGACAAAACAGTCACCAGTGAAGATACCCGGTCAACCCAGAGAAGGTCCTGCTTCTAGTTCAGAAGTTAGGCCAGATATCACACTGCAGGGTCATGTGGGTCAACCACGGCAAGTACTGCTTCCTCCTGCCTCGGCTGCAGCCCTGGGTGTGGGGACTGAGAGGGCAGCCCAGGGGATACTAGAAAAGGCATTTCCAAAACACTCATGTGGCCAGCCCAGGGAAGTGGATCTGAAACTCAGCCCAGAGCTGAGCTCTGGGCCCCCCAGAGCTTCTGCTTGTAAATCATCCCTGAACTTTTTATCCACCCTACTCAAAAAAAAGGGCAGAGTGTGTGGTTAAAGGGTAAAGGGAGAAGCTAATTTATAGGAAGTCTTCACCTTGCTTCAAGGGGAAACCCAAAGTTGCAGATACATGATCTGGCAGCTAGAAAGGGTACCTGGGGGCGGGTGTCTCTATGATAGCCTTACCATGGCCACATGCCCTTGGGAAGTGTTTTTTGATAAAGACAACACAAGTACTAATAGCAGCCAACATAGTGTGCTTGTTACTGGGCTAAAAGCTTGCATGTGTGACCTCATGCCACCCTCAGGACAACCTTACGGGGTGGGTACTATTATAAATCCCATTTTACTGATGAGGAAACTGGGGCACTGAGGGGGTGAAGTGACTGCCCTGAGGTCACGCAATTAGTGGGTGGTGGAGCTGGGATTTGAACCAGGTCTGTTAGAGTTCTTAACTACACTGTATAATTAAGAGGAACAACCACAAAGGATGGGGAGTTGGGAGGGGACAGCAGGGCTTATGAAGCAAGGGTGGGTGGGTGGGCGTGTGAGTGTGTGTGCAAGGAATCACAGTGCAGGTGGCTCAGAGGTGGGTGGAAAACTTCTAATACAAATATATGACCCTCCATCCATAAAATGGAGATTATGTGTGGGCCAATCCTGGGTCACCGGGGGATATGAAGAGGACAAAAACCTAGGGGGGCAAATATGACCTGTCACACGAAAGCACTCCGAAGTCTTTCCTGAAAAACAACAAGGCACCGCAGCTGTTGCTGATGTGGAACAGGCCAGAGGGACGTTCCAGAATGTTGAGCAGGGAAAGAAAGCCAGGTGGTCAGCAGGGGGGCCAGGGGCCTGGGAGCCGGCTGGGTGGAGGCGGGCGGGATCTGAGGGAAGGACAGGAAGCTCTGGAGAACCTAAGGAAGGTTCTGGAGAAGGAAAGGGGGCCCGAGAGGCCCAAAGATTTTGAGAAAAGATGCCTTGGGGCCTAGGGTGTGCGTGGCTGAGGGGAAGCAAAAGCGGGGTTGGTGTCTGAGACTAGAGAAAAGGAGGGGACCCTGGAGGGACCCGGAGAGGGCAGCGAGGATGACTAGGATGTTTATGGTGGGTGTGCACAGCCAAAGGACACACAAGATCTAGAAGTGGTCAGGAAGGGATACAAGGGTCAGAAAGAACTTGGGGGGTTGGCAAGAGATGGTCCAGGGATGGGTGAGCAGGAGGGGCCTGTTCAAGAAGCCCTGGGGCAGGTTCTGAGAGGGCAGCGAGGATGGGGGCCGTGGAGGGGCATGGAGGCTGGTGTTCCTGGCAGTGGCAGGCAGACAGGTGCCAGGGTGGGGTCAGGGAGAATGGAGGGGCTGGGAGGGTGGAGGGCACCAGCGCGGATGGGGTACCCAAATGGACCAAGGAGGATGGGGCATCTGGCGGGGATGGGGGTGCGCAGGGGCCAGGGGGGCAGACAAGAGGCCCGAGGAGGATCCCAAAGGGGCGGGGAGGATGAGGACCAGGGAGGCGAAGGGGAAGGCACGGAGTGCCCAGCAGGGATTGGGAAGGTGGGGTGCGCGGCAGGGGGCTGGGAGGGGGCGCCGAGGCAGCGGAACTCACTCAAAGACGAAGAAGAGGCCGGTGGTGGTGAGGATGAGCAGCAGCGTGAGCGCGAAGACGCCGCCGTGGCCGGCCAGCATGAGGCGGCCGCCGCAGTAGAAGCGATTGCGACCCGGGAACACCTCCCACTTGCGCCGTGGGCGGCGGCCGAGGCTCCCGCTCCCGCTGCCGCTGCCGCTGCCGCTGCTGCTCCAGCGCGGCGGGGCGGGGGCGGCGGGCGGCGCGGGCCCGGGGCCCGGAGTCGGGGACGCGGCGGGGCCGGGACGGCGCGCCCCCGGGGAGGCGGGCAGCGGGGCGGCCCCGGGGCTGATCTGCTGGTACTCGCAGTCCTTCATGCAGCCAGCCGCGGGCCTCGGCTCCGCGCCCCGCGGGCCGGCCGGGCCACTCCGGGACCGGGCCGAGCAGCGGAGGTGGCAGCGGCGGCGCGCGCGGCGCTCGCTCGCTCACTCACTGGGGCGGCCCCGCCATCGCTCCGCCCCCGGCCCGCCGCCACCGCCCGCCGCGGCCTCCCGCCGCAGCGCCCCCTCCGCCTGGGCCCGGGATGGCGCTTGGCCGGAGGCCCAGCTCTGACCCGCGGCGGGGCCCCGCAGGTCCCCGGCCCTCCCAGTCTCCCTTTTCCCTTCTGCACAAAGAGGGGGCCAGCAGACGCGCACTCGAGGGCTCTTTCTGTTCTGCAAGCAAGCCGTTTGTTGGGCGTCCACTGTGTACCAGGCACGGTGCCAAACGCCGAGATTCAGGTGGTGGACTTCGTGATCTACTTCTGGCAGTCTGTAATTCCCCAGGCTTCGCCCATCTCTGAGGGTCGAACTGACAGGCATTTGCAGAGGCAGGCAGGCGCGGGGAGGTGGGGCACACGATTTGCTTTGAAAGCCAGGACCTCTTCTACCTTGAAGTCCAGAGTGCCCACTGGAGGTGTGTGGCACACCCTCTGGCCTCGTTCACCAAGTTCTGTGTCCTGGGCCCAGGCCCAGATTTTCCTAGGTAGCACATAATGTAGAGGGGTCATGCCTGAGGGCCCCAGTGTTTTTTCAGGAATTCTGGGAGTATTCATTTTCTACTGCTGTGTAACAAGTTACCACAAATTTAAGGCTTAAAACAAACATTATCGGCCGGGCGCGGTGTCTCACGCCTGTAATCCCAGCACTTTGGGAGGCCGAGGTGGGTGGATCACAAGGTCGAGAGAGACCATCCTGGCCAATATGGTGAAACCCCGTCTCTACTAAAAATAAAAAATTAGCTGGGCATGGTGGCACGGCATCTATAGTCCCAGCTACTCGGGAGGCTGAGGCAGGAGAATTGCTTGAACCCAGGAGGTGGAGGTTGCAGTGAGCCGAGATTGTGCCATTGCACCCGGCCTGGTGACAGAGCAAGACTCCGTCTCAAAAAAAACAAAAAACAAACGTTATCTAACAGGTTCCAGGTCAGGAGCCAGAGAACAGCTTAGCTGGGTCCTCTGCTTAGTCTCACAAGGCTGCAATCAGGCTGCATTCTCATCTGGAGACTCAGCCAGGGAAGAATCCACTTGCAAGCCCATTTGGGTTATTGGCAGAATTAACTTCCTTGCGACTGTTTAACTGAAGAGGGCCTGGGATTTTTGCTGGGTGACTGTATAACTGAGGAGGGCCTGGGATTTTTGCTGGGTGTCTGCTGGAGGCCTCTCTCAGGATCCAAAAGCCACCTGCAGTTCCTAGAGATTATCACATTTCCTTGCCATGCAGGTTTCTCCTACATAGCCACTTAGTTTCTTGAAACTGACAATGAGGGTCTCTAGCTCCAGACTATGATGATAGAGTTTTATATAACTTACTATATATGTGACAGAGTGGCATCCCATCATCATTGCCATCTCCTATGGTTAAAAGCAAAGCACAGGAGCCATCTGCACTCAAGAAAAGGGAATCACACAAGGCGTAAATACCAGGAGGCAGGAATCATTGGGGGTCAGCTTAGGGTATGTCTGTCACACTGTGGTTACTGTAAAACCTAAGGAAAAGTGCAAGGAAAAAAAGAACTGGAGACTAGGAGAAAGTAAAAAAGGAAGTAAAAATATACAATGGGGAGGAGTAGGAAGCCGACAACAGTGACCTTAAGGATCAATAATTGATATATATGCCAAAGGCTGCTCAGCCGTGCCTTTGGTGCCAAAGGCTCTCAATATGATGAGCCCCATCTTGAGCAAACCACATGGTGAGCTTCCTCCCTTTTTGCTCCTTGGCTGTGGAACAAAGTCACAAAACTAGACATACTGGTTCCAGTACAGATTCCTGTTGTCCCACCTTAACTGGGTCCTCTTGCAACCTGAAACCTTTTCTTTTTTCTCGTCACTTTACAGAAACCAAAGCAATCCTACTGGATTTTCAGTTTACCTCCTCTCTATCTCATAATTTCTCTTTATTTGCATCTGTCCTTTCTTCTTTTTTAGAAGATGTGGGCCTCCTTCTGTCCATGGCCAACCCTCCACTCATATCCTTATTTTATTTTATTTTTTATTTTTTTGAGATGGAGTTTCGCTCTTGTCACCCAGGCTGGAGTGCAATGGCATGACCTCGGCTCACTGCAACCTCTGCCTCCTGGGTTCAAGTGATTCTCCTGCCTCAGCCTCCCAAGTAGCTGGGATTACAGGCATGTGCCATCATGCCCGGCTAATTTTTGTATTTTTAATAGAGACGGGGTTTCACCATGTTGGCCAGGTTGGTCTCGAACTCCTGACCTCAGATGATCCGCCTGCCTCGGCCTCCCAAAGGGTTGAGATTACAGGTGTGAGCCACTGCACCTGGCCTCTTTTTTTTTTTTTTTTAAGTAAGGCTGATGGAACTCCATTTTATTTATTTATTTAAGCCCAATAGAACTCCAAACTCATGTCCTATCTCTCTTCCTGTTCATTAATACCGCAAACACATGCTCAATTCTACATCAATTAAAAAGCAAGGCTGGGCGCAGTGCTCACATCTATAATGTCAGCATTTTGGGAGGCCAAGGTGGGAGGATTGCTTGAACCCAGGAGTTCAAGACCAGCCTCAGCAACATTGCGAGATGCCACCTCTACAAAAATAATTAAAAATTAGCTGGACATGGTGGCATGCACCTGTAGTTCCAGCTACTTGGAAGGCTGTGGTGGGAGGTTTGCCTGAGTCCAGGAAGTCAAGGCTGCAGTGAGCTGTGATTACGCCACTGCACTCCAGCCTGGTGACAGAGCAAGACCCTGTCTAAAAAAAAAAAAAAAAAAAAAAGCCAGGCGTGGTGGCTCACATCCCAGCACTTTGGGAAGCCGAGGCGGGTGGATCACAAGGTCAGAAGTTCGAGAACAGCCTGGCCAACATGGTGAAACCTCATCTCTACTAAAAAAATACAAAAAATTAGCTGGGCATGGTGGCATGCGCCTGTAATCCCAGCTACTCGGGAGGCTGAGGCAGGAGAATTGCTTGAACCTGGGAGGCGGAGGTTGCAGTGACCCGAGATCATGCCATTGCACTCCAGCCTAGGCGACAGAGCAAGACTTCGTCTCGAGAAAAAAAGAAAAGAAAACCCTAAAAAACCCAATGGAGCTTCCCATGGTTGGCTACCTTCTCACCTTAGTTCAGATTTATCTTTCTCATTATCATTAGGATCATATTAAAGAGTTGCTACCAGGCAGGGCATGGTGGCACATGCCTGCCATCCCAGCACTTTGGGAAGCTGAGGCAGGCAGCTGGCTTCAGCTCAGGAGTTCGAGATCAGCCTGGGCATCATGGCAAAATCCCTCATCCCCTATGATTTCCTAACTTTTTACAAGTTGGCCCCTGTCTACATCACTCCCCTAAAACTTATCGTAAATGTCACCAATGAGCCATTTAATGTAGTATAAACCTCTTGTTCTCACCAATACCTATAGTTCCCGGCTTCTTTAACAGACAGATGTGGCCATGCGAATGAATTCTAGCTAGTGGAAGTGAAAGGTACTACTCCCAGGATGGCCCACAAATCTCCCAGGTGCTGATCCTTGCCCTCCTTCCTATCTGCTAGCAGAGTAGAGGAGATTCTGAGAACCTAGAAGAGGGTGGAGCCACAAGATGGAAGGAACTTGGGTCCCTGCATAATTGTGCAGAGCAGACCTTTCCTCTACTATGACTAACATATTAAACACTGAAGTGAGCAAGAAATACAGTTTTGTTATATAAGCCAATGAGTTTGAGAGGTTGTTTACTACAGCAATTAACTGATCCTTATTAATACAGAAAGTTGTATCAGGAGTGGGATGTCGATATAATAAAAACAAAAATATATGGCACTGAATTAATGGCCAGGCAGTGGATTACTGCCTGATCTTTAATTCAGTGCCATATACTAGATTAAGTAAACCAGGCTGGATGGCTGGAGATCTCTATTATGCTGTAGCAAAATATTTGGTAAAATTGTCATCTTCAATAATGTGGAAGGTAAATGCTATGCCCACTCACCCTGCAACTATAAGGGAAGGAGTTGGAAAGAATCAGAGTAGGATATGGTTGGCCACTGTTGGTGTCTGAATCAGTCAGACTCTAGTCAGGAGACAGAAACCATCCCAGTTGTTTGAACAGAAATAATTTAATATAAAGAATTGGCCAGGCACAGTGGTTCACGCTTGTAATCCCAACATTTTTGGGAGGCCAAGGCGGGAGGATCACAAGGTCAGGAGTTCGAGACCAGCCTGGCCAATGTAGTGAAACCCTGTCTCTACTAAAAATACAAAAATTAGCCAGGCATGGTGGCACACACCTCTAGTCTCAGCTACTCGGGAGGCTGAGGCAGGAGAATTGCCTGAACCCTGGAGGCAGAGGTTGTGGTGAGCTGAGATCGCGCCACTGCACTCCAGCCTGGGCAGCAGAGTGAGACTCTGTCTCAAAAAAAAAAAAAAAGAATTATTTGCAGCCTGGACAACATGGTGAAATCCTATCTCTATTAAAAAAAATACAAAAAAAAAAAATTAGCTGAACATGGTGGTGTGTGCCTGTGGTCCCAGTTACTCAGGAGGCTGAGGCAGAGGGACGGCTTGAGCCCAGCGGGGTGGACGTTGCAGTGAGCCATGATCACACCACTGCACTTCTAGCCTTGGCGACAGAGTGAGACCTTGTCTCAAAAAAAAAAAAAAAAAGAAAAGAAAAAAAGAAAAGAAATACTTGAACTGAGTTCCTTGAGCAAAATAAAATTATAAATAAATAATTGTCAATTTATATAAAAAGTAAGGGCTGGGCACAGTGGCTCACGCCTGTAATCCCACCACTTTGGAAGGCCAAGGTGGGAGTATTGCTTGAATCCAGGGGTTCAAGACCAGCCTGGGCAACATAGGGATACTATGTCCCTACAAAAAAATTTAAAAATTATCCAGACCTGGGCTGGGTGCAGTGGCTCACACCTGTAATCCCAGCACTTTGGGAGGCCGAGACAGGCGGATCACGAGGTCAGGAAATCAAGACCATCCTGGCTAACATAGTGAAACCCCGTCTCTACTAAAAATACAAAAAAATAGTTGGGCGTGGTGGTGGGCACCTGTAGTCCCAGCTACTCGGGAGGCTGAGGCAGGAGAATGGCGTGAACCCAGGAGGCGGAGCTTGCAGTGAGCCAAGATTGTGCCACTGCACTCCAGCCTGGGCGACAGAGCAAGACTCCATCTCAAAAAAAAAAAAAAATTATCCAGGCCTGGTGGTGTGCATCTGTAGTCCCAGCTGTTCAGGAGGCTGATGTGGGAAGATCACTTGAGCCCAGGATAACTGAAAGGTTACAGTATCGCAGAGGCAGTAACAGCAGGAAGCAGCTATGAACTCCTTGGCTGAGGGAACAAAGAAAATAGGTTGGAATTATTACAAATTAGAAGCTTAGAGCAGAAACTAAGGAAGAGGAAGAGTGCCAACCAGATTATGGTTTTTGTTTATTTTTTAAAGAGGTGGGGTCTTGCTATGTTGCCCAACCTAGAGGGCGGTGCCTATTTATAGGCATGACCTTAGCACACTACCAGCTTTGAACTCCTGGGCTCAAGCTATCCTTCCCCCTCAGCTTCCTGAGTGGCTGGTTCTATAGGTGCACACCACCGCATACAGCAATGCTGGTGTCTTTGAGGTGAGGCATGATAAACTTGGTTCTGCAATCAGAAATACCTGCAAACTAAAATCGGCTCTACTGCAGAAAAGTACTACTTCTGTCAGGGATGAAGGAGCACTGTTAGGTTCACTCATAGGAACTGAAAGTAATAGAAGGAGCCAATCTCTTCTTCCCTTCCAGCTCTGCGGTCTCCCTCTAGTGCCCCCTATTAGCAGAGCCAAACATAGATCTAGCTGGTAAAGCAGAAGTGTGTCTTGCAGAGCCCCAGCCTCAGTAACTCAAAGCTGAGTATAGACAGGCTGGTTTGGAGCTCAGGTAATAATATTGGGCACAGTCCACCTCTTTGGCTACTCAGTATCCACATGCACTTGCCTCTACATTATTATTATTATTATTTTTTGAGACTGAGTCTTGACGTATCTCCCAGGCTGGAGTGCAATGGCGCGATCTTGGCTCACTGCAACCTCTGCCTCCTGGGCTCAATTGATTCTCCTGCCTCAGCCTCCCAAGCAGCTGGTGCCCACCACCAAGCCCAGCTAATTTTTGTATTTTTAGTAGAGATGGGGTTTCACCATGTTGGCCAGGCTGGTCTTGAACTCCTAACCTCATGATCCGCCCACCTTGGCCTCCCACAGTACTGGGACTACGGGAGTGAGCCACCGCTCTTGGCCTGCCTCTACATTTTTGAACCTCCATATAACAAGGCAACTCCAGTCTTCCACCTAACAAAGTGCAACTATACAACTATCTTTTGTATAAGTACATTCTCACCCACTCCACCAAAATGAACAAATGTGGAATCTGTTTTTTGGAGACAGAGTCTTGCTCTGTCACTCAGGCTTGGAGTGTAGTGGCATGATCTCGGCTCACTGCAACCACTACATCCCAGGTTGAAGCGATTCTCCTGCCTCAGCCTCCCAAAAAGCTGGGACTACAAGCACACGCCACCATGCCCGGCTGACTTTTTTTTTTTTTTTAAGACAGTCTTGCTCTGTCACCCAGGCTGGAGTGCAGTGGCCCAATCTTGACTCACTGCAACCTCCACCTCCCGGGTTCAAGCGATTCTTCTGCCTCAGCCTCCTGAGTAGCTGGGACTACAGGCACGTGCCACCACACCCAGCTAATTTTTGTATTATTAGTAGAGACGGGGTTTCTCCATGTTGGTCACGTTGGTCTCAAACTCCTGACCTCAAGATCTGCCCGCCTCAGCCTCCAAGTGCTGGGATTACAGGCATGAGCCACCAACCGGCCTTTTTTTTTTTTTTTTTGGGATGAGTCTCGCTCTGTTGCCCAGGCTGGAGTGCAGTGGCGCGATCTTGGCTCACTGCAACTTCCACCTCCTGGGCTCAAGCAATTCTCTTCCCTCAGCCTCCCGAGCAGCTGGGATTACAGGCGTCCACCACCACACCCAGCTAATTTTTGTATTTTTAGTAGAGACGGGGTTTCAGCATGTTGGTCAGGCTGGTCTGGAACTCCTGACCTCAACTGATCTGCCCACCTCAGCCTCCCAAAGTGCTAGGATTACAGGCGTGAGCCACCTCGCCCAGCCAATTTTTTGTATATTTAGTAGAGATGGGGTTTTGCCATGTTGCCCAGGCTGGTCATGAACTCCTGAGCTCAGGCAATCTGCCCGCCTCAGCCTCCCAAAGTGCTAGGACTACAGGCATGAGCCACTGCGCCTCGCCAGAAATGCGGACTCTCAACAGTCATTCTATCTATCTCTGGGATATGTTTTTTTTTTTTTTTCCAAGGCAGAGGAATTTTTCTTAGTGCAGAACAAAATGAAAAGTCTCCCATGTCTACTTCTTTCTACACAGACACGGCAACCATCCGATTTCTCAATCTTTTCCCCACCTTTCCCGCCTTTCTATTCCACAAAGCCGCCATTGTCATCCTGGCCCGTTCTCAATGAGCTGTTGGGCACACCTCCCAGACGGGGTGGTGGCCGGGCAGAGGGGCTCCTCACTTCCCAGTAGGGGCGGCCGGGCAGAGGCGCCCCTCACCTCCCGGACGGGGCGGCTGGCCCGGCGGGGGGCTGACCCCCCAACCTCCCTCCCGGACGGGGCGGCTGGCCGGGCAGGGGGCCGACCCCCCCACCTCCCTCCCGGACGGGGCGGCTGGCCGGGCGGGGGGCCGACCCCCCCACCTCCCTCCCGGACGGGGCGGCTGGCCGGGCGGGGGGCCGACACCCCCACCTCCCTCCCGGACGGGGCGGCTGGCCGGGCGGGGGGCCGACACCCCCACCTCCCTCCCGGACGGGGCGGCTGGCCGGGCGGGGGGCCGACACCCCCACCTCCCTCCCGGACGGGGCGGCTGGCCGGGCGGGGGGCCGACCCCCCCACCTCCCTCCCGGACGGGGCGGCTGGCCGGGCGGGGGGCCGACACCCCCACCTCCCTCCCGGACGGGGCGGCTGGCCGGGCGGGGGGCCGACACCCCCACCTCCCTCCCTGATGGGGCGGCTGGCCGGGCAGAGGGGCTCCTCACTTCCCAGTAGGGGCGGCCGGGCAGAGTCGCCCCTCACCTCCCAGATGGGGCGGCTGGCCGGGCGGAGGGCTGACCCCCCCACCTCCCTCCCGGACAGGGCGGCTGGCCGGGCGGGGGGCTGATCCCCCAACCTCCCTCCCGGACGGGGCGGCTGGCCGGGCAGAGGGGCTCCTCACTTCCCAGTAGGGGCAGCTGGGCAGAGGCGCCCCTCACCTCCCAGACGGGGCGGCTGGCCGGGCGGAGGGCTGACCCCCCAACCTCCCTCCCGGACGGGGCGGCTGGCCAGGCGGGGGGCTGACCCCCCCACCTCCCTCCCGGACGGGGCGGCTGGCCGGGTGGGGGGGCTGACCCCCCCATCTCCCTCCCGGACGGGGTGGCTGGCCGGGCTGAGGGGCTCCTCACTTCCCAGTAGGGGTGGCCGGGCAGAGGCGCCCCTCACCTCCCGGACGGGGCGGCTGGCCGGGCGGGGGGCTGACCCCCCCACCTCCCTCCCGGACGGCACGGCTGGCCAGGCGGGGGGCTGACCCCCCCACCTCCCTCCCGGATGGGGCGGCTGGCCGGGCGGGGGGCTGACCCCCCCCCACCTCCCTCCCGGACGGGGTGGCTGCCGGGCGGAGACGCTCCTCATTTCCCAGATGGGGTGGCTGCCGGGCGGAGAGGCTCCTCACTTCTCAGACGGGGCAGCTGCCGGGCGGAGGGGCTCCTCACTTCTCAGACGGGGTGGTTGCCAGGCAGAGGGTCTCCTCACTTCTCAGACGGGGCGGCCGGGCAGAGACGCTCCTCACCTCCCAGACGGGGTCTCCGCCGGGCAGAGGCGCTCCTCACATCCCAGATGGGGCGGCGGGGCAGAGGCGCTCCCCACATCTCAGACGATGGGCGGCCGGGCAGAGACGCTCCTCACTTCCTAGATGTGATGGCGGCTGGGAAGAGGCGCTCCTCACTTCCTAGATGGGATGGCGGCCGGGCGGAGACGCTCCTCACTTTACAGACTGGGCAGCCAGGCAGAGGGGCTCCTCACATCCCAGACGATGGGCGGCCAGGCAGAGACACTCCTCACTTCCCAGACGGGGTGGCGGCCGGGCAGAGGCTGCAATCTCGGCACTTTGGGAGGCCAAGGCAGGCGGCTGCTCCTTGCCCTCGGGCCCCGCGGGGCCCGTCCGCTCCTCCAGCCGCTGCCTCCCGGGCGGCGCTCGCTGGCGCGGCGGCAAAGACTGAGACAGCTCCGCTGCCCGCTGAACTCCATCCTCCCGGCGGTCGGGCGGCGGCGGCTGCGGTCGGTCGCGGCAGCGGCTCCGCTTCATATCTGCAGCTGGGGCCCGCGGGCGTCAGCGCCGCGACTGTCCCGGCTCCGCACTGCCCTGGGATATGTTAATAACTCCTCAAAATCAGTCACTTTCCTGTCTGGAAATGCTATTACTTAAAACTGAATTGTAAAGTTAAACAAAATTTGCATAAAATAATAAAAGGAGAAGAGAAAATTATATACATGTATTTATTTATATATTTATATATGTGTATGTATAACTACAAATTATTTATAAATATATTCATCTTATATTTATTTTATAATTAAAAAAATTTTTTTTTGGTAGAGATGGGGTTTCACCATGTTGTCCAGGCTGGTCTTGAACTCCTGGGCTCAAGCAACTCACCCACCTTGGCCTCCCAAAGTGCTGGGATTACAGGTATGAACCACCATGCCTGGCCTATAATTATTACTTTTTTTTTTTTTGGAGGCAGAGTCTTGCTCTGTTGCCAGGCTGGAGAGCAGTGGCGCGATCTCGGCTCACTGCAACCTCTGCCTCCCAGGTTCAAGCAAGAGCCTCAGCCTTCCAAGTAGCTAGGACTACAGGCGTGTACCACCACGCCCAGCTAATTTTTGTATTTTTAGTAGAGACGGAGTTTCACCATGTTGGCCGGGCTGGTCTCTAACTCCTGACCTCAAGTGATCCGCCTGCCTTGGGCTCCCAAAGTGCTGGGATTACAGGTTTGAGCCACCGTGCCCAGCCGATTTACAGAATTTGGACCACCAGATAGTTCTCTGAAGTACCAGGCCCATGAGTTTTTGTGATATTTCCCTCCCATCCTTTATTTCATGTTTTATTAAGGCATCTAAAAGTACTTTCTACTTCTTTGTTACGTGCTAGGTCAAGATAATCAAGGTCTCTGTGGACTACATCATGACAGAGAACCAAGAAGTTGACACAAACTTCAGGCAAGACTGTGCAAGTGTACTTTGGGCTCTAAAATGTAAAAGCAAATGGCTTCTGGTCTTCCCTTCCCTCTGCTTCCCTTCCCTCCCCTTCCCTCCACTTCCCTCTCCTCCCCCTCTTCCTTCCTTTCTTTCCTTTCTCTCTCTCTCTCCCTCCCTCCCTCTTTCTCTTTCTTCCTTCCTTTCTTTCCTTCCTTCCTTCCCTCTCTCTCTCTCGCTCTCTCTCTCTTTCTTTCTTCCTTTTTTTGAGATGGAGTCTCGCCGCACTGTCACCCAGGCTGGAGTGCAGTGGCGCGATCTTGGCTCACTGCAACCTCCACCTCCCAGGTTCAAGCGATTCTCCTGCCTCAGCCTCCTGAGTAGCTAGGATTACAGGCACCTGCCACCACGCCCAGCTAATTTTTTTGTATTTTTAGCAGAGACAGCGTTTCACCATGTTGACCAGACTGGTCTCGAACTCCTGACCTTGTGATTCACCCGCCTCAGCCTCCCAAAGTGCTGGGATTACAGGTGTGAGCCACCGCGCCTGGCCTTCTTTCATTTTTTTTTTTTTTTTGAGATGGAGTTTCACTCTTGTCGCCCAGGCTGGAGTATAATGGCGCAATCTTGGCTCACTGCAACCTCCGCCTCCCAGGCTCCTGCCTCAGCCTCCTGCGTAGCTGGGATTACAGGCTTGAGCCACCTCTCCTGGCTAATTTTGTATTTTTAGTAGAGACGGGGTTTCTCCATGTTGGTCAGGCTGGTCTCGAACTCCTGACCTCAGGTGATCCGCCCGCCTTGGCCTCCAAAGTGTTGGGATTACAGGCATGAGCCACCATGCCCGGTGGCTCCTGGTATTTCTTACAAACTACATGGAGGAAAAAAATCATGTGCCAGGTCAACAGCTGAACACCAAATGCCAGGTGCACTGCTACAACTGGAACAGCAGCTGTAATTGGAGTTATTATTTGATAAAATTTATTATACTTTTTTTTTTGGAGACAGGGTCTTACTCTGTTGCCCAGGCTGGAGTGCAGTGGTGCGAACATGGATCAATGTAGCCTCGACCTCCTGGGCTCAAACAATCTTCCCACCTTAGCCTCCAAAGTAGCTGGGACCACACGTGTGTACCACCATGCCTGACTAGTTTTTAAATTTTTTGTAGAGACAGGATCTCCCTATGTTGCCCAGGGTGGTCTTGAACTCCTGGGCTAAAGTGATCCTCCTGCCTCAGCCTCCCAAAGTGCTGGATTACAGGTGTGAGTCACTGTGCCTGGCCACTTTTTTTTTTATGACAAGCACCAGGGTCTTACTATGTTGCCCAGGCTCAAATGCAGTGGCTATTTACAGGTGCTATCTCAGTATTGATCATCACAGGAGTTTTGACCTGCTCCATTTCTGACTTGGGCTGATTCACCCCTCCTTAGGCAAACTGGCGGCCCCTCGCTCCCAGGAGATCACCATATTGATGCCAAACTTAGTGCAGACACCCTATCAGAATAGTGCAGTATAGCTCAGAACTCCTGAACTCAAGCAGTCCTCCTGCCTCAGCCTCCTGAGTACCCGGGACTACTTTCATTCTCCAAGATCCAGTTGCCTTATTTATTGGCCAAACATGTGTGTTAAATAGGAAAATGACAGAATGCATCACCTTAGCATCTTTCAAGTCTTTGATGGTGACACTAATATCTGCAACTCCTCCAACGTATTAGTCAGCTAGGACTGCCAGAACAGAATGCCACAGGCTGGGTGATGTGAAGAACAGAAATTTATCTTGTCACAGTTCTAGAGGCTGGAAGTCCAAGATCAAGGTGCCAGCAGGGTTGGTTTACAGTGAGACCTCTCTATGGCTTGCAGATGACAGCCTTCTTACTCTATTTTCACATGGCCTTTTTTCTGTGCACAAATACTCTAAGTGTTTCTTCCTCTTCTTGTTTTTCTTTCTTTCTTTCTTTTTTTTTTTTTTGAGACAGAGTTTCGCTCTTGTTGCCCAAGCTGGAGTGCAATGATGCAATCTCAGCTCACTGCAACCTTTGCCTCCTGGGTTCAAGTGATTCTCCTGCCTCAGCCTCCCAAGTAGCTGGGATTACACGCATGTGCCACCATGCCCGGCTATTTATATATATATATTATATATATATAATTTTTTTTTTTTGAGACGGAGACTTGCTCTGTTGCCCAGGCTGGAGTGCAGTGGCGCGATCTTGGTTCACTGCAACCTCTGCCTCCTGGGTTCAAGCGATTCTCCTGCCTCAGCCTCCCGAGTAGTTGGGACTACAGGCGCATGCCACCATGCCCGGCTATTTTTTTGTATTTTTAATAGAGATGGGGTTTCACCCTGTTAGCCAGGATGGTCTCGATCTGCTGACCTCATGATCTGCCCGCCTTGGCCTCCCAAAGTGCTGGGATTACAGGTGTGAGCCACCGCGCCCGGCCTTAATTTTATATTTTTTTAGTAGAGACGGGATTTCACCATGTTGGTCAGGCTGGTCTTGAACTCCTGACCTCAAGTGATCCACCCACCTCGGCCTCTCAAAGGGCTGTGATTACAGGGGTGAGGCACCGCGCCCGGCCTCTTTCTCTTTTTAGAAAGACCCAAGTCCTATCGGATTAGGGTAGGCCCTATCTCTAGATACAGTCACATTGGAGGCTTAGGGCTTCAACATATGGATTTGTAGGGGGTGTGGAGGGTGGTCACAGTTCAATTCACAACACCCAGGTATGCAGTTTACTTCTAGTTTGCTGTCTTCACAGAGAGGGGGAAGGCCCAGAGGCATCTACTTGGCCTTTCCCACCATAAGGGCCCTTACTCTATGGGTCAGAGAGCCAACTGAACCCATGTTAGTTGTTAAATATGTCAATTCCACTTATAAATTCAGAAACTTGGGAGATAACCCCAAGATATGTCCAAAGAGGCCACCAAGAGCCCCTACTTTAACTGGTAGGCCACAGTGGCATTTTGGGTCCCCAGGAATTAGCATCAGTTCAGAGCCAATATTTAGTAATCCCCTAAAGGTCTGGATGTTTCCTTTTCCCCACCGCACAGTTGCTCTAGAAAAGGGTTATAGATGTTATGAAGAAAATTTGAGGGAAAATTTACCATATATATTTCGGCAGTGTTGCTGGGTCCTTTCTTAAGGGGACTTGGCCTCCCTTTCAATCAAGGGGCTCTAGGTCTGTTAACTGACTTAGGTCTAAAAACTGGATAAGAGGCCATGCTTCCCCATTGTTGGTGATTCAAATCTTATTTCTAGCCACTAGATTCTCACAAAGACTCTACTGCTCTTGATGGCAAATGCATCTACCTTGTCTTTGTCGGTTAAGCACTACTACTTGGCCTCTGATACTCTGAGATCCTCTCGTCTCCACTGAAACTAGGGAGCCCATCTCAATGGCAGAATTTCCAACTATCATTCTTGAATCACAGAGGAGAGTCCCCACAGAGCTTTCTGAGAATGCAGATGCTCCCCTCACCAATACATTTCTCAATGCTGGGGTGAACAGAGTGTCCTCTGGGCCCTCTTGGGAGACAGAGAGGACACAAAGTTCACATAGATAAATTTATTACAACATTCTTTTCTCTCTGGTCCTTTGAATTTTGTCCTCTCCAGTGAATTCTCCCCATCTTAGCCTCATTAAACATAGGTACTAGCTGGGCACAGTGGCTCACATTTGTAATCCCAGAACTTTGAGAGGCTGAGGCAGGTGGATCGCCTGAGCCCAGGAGTTTGAGACCAGCCCAGGCAACATGGCAAAATCCCGTCTCTACAGAAAAGACAAAAATTAGCTGGGCGTGGCTGGGTGCGGTGGCTCACGCCTGTAATCCAGCACTTTGAGAGGCAAAGGCGGGTGGATCACCAGAGGTCAGGAGTTTGAGACCAGCCTGGCCAACATGGTGAAACCCCGTCTCTACTAATAATACAAAAATTAGCCAGGTGTGACGGTGCATGCCTGTAACCCTAGCTACTTGGGAGTCTGAGGCAGGAGAATTGCTTAAACCTGGGAGGTGGAGGTTGCAGTGAGCTGAGATTGCGCCATTGCACTCCAGCCTGGGCGACAAGAGTGAAACTACATCCAAAAAAAAAAAAAAAAAAATTAGCTGGGCGTGGTGGCACACGCCTGTAGTCTCAACTACTCAGAAGGCTGAGGCAGGAGGCTTGCTTGAGCCTGGGAAGTCGAGGCTGCAGTGAGCTGAAATTGTACCAGCCCGGGCATCAAAGCAAGACCCTATCTCAAAAATAAATACATAAATAAAATAAAATAACAGAAATAACATTAAGTCAGATTTTCAGTCAACCAACCAAGTAAGCCATTAGAGCCACTTGCAGCTATGTGAAGTAACACTTTAAATTCAGAATCTCTGACAAGTGCATACACATCAATACATTTGGCTCAGTCCTGTGTTATATTTCATCCTTATAGGTCTAACATTCTAAGAATCCACTCCCATGTGTATTCCCCAGATTTCTGTCTATATGTCAGCAAAATCTTGAAATGATTGTGATGTGTAAGTTATTTCCTTCTGAGTCAGATTTTCTACTTGCCTCCTTGGAGAATGCTGAGATTGCATCCTAGTTGTGGGTCTGGTGGCAACAAGGGGTGGCTTGGGTGGATCTTGGGGAGAATGGCATATCTTTGCAAGGTATATATCCTGCCCCAGAAGTTATTACAAGATTTTTCAAGCAAGGGAAGCCAGGTTTCCTGAGACACAAGTCAACAAGATGCTTCTACTAGCAAAAGAAGCTCAAAGAGAAGGATAAATCTAAGATTTTCACATTTGTCTGAGTCAAATCAGATGTCCTTATTCCAAGTTTCAGGGTCCTACTCCTGAATCACAGGAAAGACTTAGTTAAACTGAATTCAGCTGATGGAATTCTGCAATATGCACAATTTTCATGTTTTATTTGTAGCAAATCAGTCTGGTGGCTACAGGAAATAAGAGATTATTTTATGGCTATTAGAGAAGCCCTACAGTTCTCTGACCACGAGTTCAGCTGAGAGTTTAAAGACCTGAGCTGGTAATTTTTTTTTTTTTTCCTGCAAGGCCCATGATGCAACTGGAAGAATCGGTCCCATATCATAGTCCCTATAGTCATTATCACTGCCATAACAGTTAGTGCAACCACCATTTGGGCCCCCGAGACACTTCCTTTGGTTGGCACTTCATCACAAATAACCACAGGCGATGATTTCATTAATTATGAGGCCACAGCATGCTATGGATCACATTCTCATTGGCAAGGAGCTCAGCACATTCAAACCCAATGACACAGCCAAGCTGATTTCCTAATCCCATCTTTTGGGGTCTTTTTCCTGGGGCCACTCCTAGTACCAATTTCTGTATCAGTCAGGGTCCAGGCAATGAGAGAGAAACCACATCAGTCACTGACAGAGAGAATTTAATATAAAGAATGGTTAGAATAGTTAACTAGGAATAAATTGTTAACTAGATAACTCTAAGGGTAAAAAGAAAACTAAGATATCATGGAGGCAGCAATAGACAGCAAGAAGCATCTGTAACTCCTCGGGCTAAGAGTACAAAGGCAAGAGTTTGGAATTACTCAAAGTTAAAACCTTAGAGGAGGGCCTCTGCAGAGCTGAAACTCGGACCTCTAAGTCTGATGCTCCATCTAGTCTTTGAGCTTGAAGAACTCAGACCTCTGAAGACAGGATACTACCCAGCTGGTGCTGGTGTCTCTGAGTGGAACACAATGGAACTGGTTTGGCAATTGTTGGGAAAAACTACAAAGTGGATTCAGCAGCTGCTACAAGAAGGACCTGCTACTGTCTGGGTAAAGGAGTGTTGCCAGAGTGACCCTTACAGGAATAGGAAGCAAAAAGAAGAGTCCCAGCTGGGCGCGGTGGCTCACACCTGTAGTCCCAGCACTTTGGGAGGCCGAGGCAGGCAGATCACCTGAGATCAGAAGTTCGAGACCAGCCTGGCCAACATGGCGAAACCCTGTCTCTACCAAAAATACAAAAATTAACCGGGCGTGGTGGCGGGCGCCTGTAGTCCCATCTACTCGGGAGGCTGAGGCAGGAGAATCACTTGAATCCAGGAGGCAGAGGGTTGCAGTGAGCCGAGATTGTGCCACTGCATTCCAGCCTGGGTGACGGGAGGGAAACTCCATCTCAAAAAAAAAAGTGTCCCTTCTTCTTCCTCTGGCTTCACTGTCTCCCTCTGGTGGCCCTTATTGGGAAAGCCAAACACAGAGCCTACCCAAGCAAAAACGTGATTTTCAGAGCCCCAGCTCCAGTATCTCATTGTAACGAATATGTGGGTGGGTTTGGAGCTGAGAGACAGTAACTTAATAACTAGCACTGTTTTTTTTTTTTTTTTTTTTTTTTTTTTTTTTTTTTTTGAGACAGAGTCTGGCTCTGTCTCCCAGGCTGGAATGCAGCGGCCCGATCTCGGCTCACTTCAACCTCCGCCTCCTGGGCTCAAGCAATTCTCCTGCCTCAGCCTCCCGAGTGGCTGGGACTACAGGCGTCCGCCACCACGCCCAGCTAATTTTTGTATTTTTAGTACAGACGGGGTTTCACCATATTGGCCAGGTTGTTCTCGAACTCCTGATCTTGTGATCCGCCCGCCTCGGCCTCCTAAAGTGCTGGGATTACAGGCGTGAGCCACCGCGCCCGGCCCTAGCACTGTTGTCTTTATAAAGTATTCCAAGAAAGAGGTGAGTTTAGGTGAGAATATGCTGGATTTCAACAGAAATAGAAAATAGAGAAAGAACAAAGATCATAGGTCTTTCAGGGTTGGAAAAGCTGACTGCTTCTGGACAACAAATAGTACAAAGTAAGATAGAAAAGGTTTTAGGGCAGGGCGCGGTGGCTCCTGCCTGTAATCCCAGCACTTTAGAAAGCCGAGGCAGAAGATCACTTGAGCCCAGGAGTTCAAGACCAGCCTGGGCAACATAGAGAAGTCCTGTCTCTACAAAAAAAATCAAAAATAAAAATTAGCCAGGCATGTTGGAGCATACCTATACTCCTAGCTACTTGGGAGGCTGAGGCAAGAAGATCACCTGAGCCCAGGGAGGTGGAGGCTGCAGTGAGCTGTGACTGTACCACTGCACTCCAGCCTGGGCAACAGAGTGAGACCCTGGCTCAAAAAAAAAAAATAAATAAATAAATAGAAAAGGTCTTGAACAACATGAATTTAAATATGCAATCTTTTTTTTTTTTTTTTAAAAACCACTGTCTGGCTCTGTTGCCCAGGCTGGAGTGCAGTGGCGCAATCTCAGTTCACTGCAACCTCTGCCTCCTGGGTTCAAGTGATTTTCATGCCTCAGCCTCCCAAATAACTGGGATTACAGGCACGTGCCATCACACCCAGCTAATTTTTGTGTTTTTAGTAGAAATGGGGTTTTGCCATGTGGCCCAGGCTGGTCTCAAATTCCTGGACTCAAGTGATCAGCCTGCATTGACCTCCCAAAATGCTGGGATTACAGGCATGAGCCACTGTGCCTGGCCTAAGGATGCAATCTTTCTAAGGTAAATACCAGGTTAAGAGTGTGGCCTGCATGGCCAGGTGCAGTGGTGGCATGTGCCTGTAGTTCCAGCTAATTAGGGGGCTGAAGTAGAAGGATTGCTTGAGCCTGGGAGGTTGAGGCTGCAGTGAGCTGTGATCACACCACTGCACTCCAACCTGGGTGACAGCATGAGACCCTGTCTCAAAAACAAAAAAAAAAAAAAGCAAAAACTATAAAACTCTTAGAAGAAAACATAAGGAGAAAACTGCATGACATCAGATTTGGCAATGATTTTGAAAAGGCAACTCACAGAATAGGAGAAAATTTTGCAAATCATGTATCAGATAAGGGATTAATACCTAAAATATATAAAGAACTCCAACAACTCAACAACAATAAAAAAAAACAAAACCCCAAAACAGGTAAGGTTAGGAATAGATATTTCTCCAAAGACATACAAGTAGCCAATAAGCACATGAAATGATACTCAATACCACTAATCATCAGGAAAATTTAAATCAAAATACCACTTTACACACACCAAGGTGGCTAGAATTAAAAAACAGAAAATAACAAATGTTGGTGAGGATATACAGAAATTGGGACCCTTTTGCATTGCTGGTGGGAATGTAAAATGCGCAACTGCTGTAGAAAAACAGTATGGCCATTCTTCAAAAAAGCAAACATGGAACTACCATATAATCCAGCAATTCTACTTCTGGCTGTATACACAAAAGAACTGAAAGCAGAGATTTGAACAGATATTTTTATATCTGTTATATAAAATATTCATAACAGCACTATTCATTATAGCCACAAGGCAGAAGCTATCCAAATGACCATTGACAGATGAATGGATAAACAAGATGTACTACAATGGAATATATGCAGCCTTAAAAAGAAATTCTGGTGGCCGGGCTCGGTGGCTCACACCTATAATCCCAGCACTTTGGCAGGCTGAGGTGGGCGGATCACGAGGTCAGGAGATCGAGACCATCCTGGCTAACACAGTGAAACCCCATCTCTACTAAAAATACAAAAAAAAAAAAAAAATTAGCCAGGCGTGGTGGCAGGCACCTGTAGTCCCAGCTACTCAGGAGGGTGAGGCAGGAGAATGACATGAACCCGGGAGGTGGAGCTTGCAGTGAGCCGAGATCGCGCCAGTGCACTCCAGTCTGGGCGACAGAGCGAGACTCCGTCTCAAAAAAAAAAAAAAAAAAAAAGAAAGAAATTCTGATGCAAGCTACAATATGGATGAACCCTGAAGACCTTATGCTAATTGAAATAAGCCAGACACAAAAGGACAAATATTTTATGATGCCACTTATATGAGGTACCAAGAGTAGTCAAGTTTATAGAGACAGAAAATAGAATGGCAGTTGCCAGGGGTTGGAGAGCAGGGGGAATGTGAAGTTATTGTTTAATGGGTACAGTTTCAGTTTGGGAAGATAAAAAAGTTCTGGGCTGGGCATGGTGGCTGATGTCTGTAATCCCAGCACTTTGTGAGGCCAAGGTGGGTGGATCACTTGAGGTCAGGAGTTCAAGACCAGCCTGGCCAGCGTGGCAAAACCCTGTCTCTACTAAAAATACAAAAAATTAGCTGAGTGTGGTGGTGGGCACCTGTAGTCCCAGCTACTCGGGAAGCAGAGGCAGGAGAATCGCTTGAACCCAGGAAGCGGAGGTTGCAGTGAGCCAAGATCGTGTTACTCCACTGCAGCCTGGGCGACAGAGCAGGACTCCGTCTCAAAAAAAAAAAAAGTTATGGAGATAGGTAGTGGTGTTAGTTGCACAACAATGTGAATGTACTTAATGCTACAGAACTAACACTTAAAAAGTTAAGATGGTAATTTTGTTAGATACATTTTAGTGCACATACATACACAGTCTGACTAGTTGAGACTTAAAATAACTTTAGGCTCCCTTGTTTTCACCAGTAGGAAGTGGCTTGGTGACACCTGAGCATTCTCCAAGGAGAATGGTCATAATTCGCAAAGGAGAAGGTCATAATCCCCAAAGCCAATCTCAGATGTGGCCATGAAGAATAATCAACAAGGAAGAAGTCAGGCCTGTAGTAGTTGTGTGCCTGTAGTAGTTGGGGCTACTTGGGAGGATAAGGTAGGCAGATTGCGTGAGTCTAGGACTTTCAGGCTGCAGTGAGCTATGATCCTGCCACTGCACTCCAGCCTGGACAACAGAGTGAGACCCTGTCTCTTCAAAATAAAATTTTAAAAAGGCAAGGAAGAACTTCCTAGAAAGTCACATCCAGGAGCCATGGAGTACAATGGACAAAAGAGTCCATCCCAGGCCGGGTACAGTAGCTCACGCCTGTAATCCCAGCACTTTGTGAGGCCAAGGCAGGGGGATCACGAGGTCAGGAGTTCGAGACCAGCCTGGCCAACATAGTGAAACCCCGCCTCTATTAAGAATATAAAAATTAGCTGGGCATGGTGGCGCATGCCAGTAGTCCCAGCTACTCGGGAGGCTGAGGCAGGAGAATCACTTGAACCCAGGAGGTGGAGGTTGTGGTGAGCCAAGATCGCGCCACTGCACTCCAGCCTGGGCAACAAAGCGAGTCTCAAAAACAAAACAAAACAAAACAACAACAACAACAAAAAAGTCCATCCCATAACAAAAACAAGGTCTAGGCTGGGTGTGGTGGCTCATGCACATAATCCCAGCACTTTGAGAGACCAAGGCAAAAGGATTACTTGAGGCCAGGAGTTCAAGACCAGCCTGGGCAACATAGCGAGACCTTATCTCTATAAAATATGGCAAAAATTAGCCAGGCGTGGTGGAACATGCCTGTAGTCCCAGCTACTTGGGAGGGGCTGAGATGGGAGAATCCCTTGAGCTCAGAAGTTTGAGATTACAGTGAGCTATGGTCACACCACTGCCTTCCAGCCTGGGCTGCCTTCCAGCCTGGGCAACAGAGTGGACCCTGTCTCTAAAAAAAAAAAAAAAAAAAAAAAAAAAAAAAAAAAAAAATCAAGTTCTAATCCAGGAACTCCCTGCAGTCCAGGGACGGGGACTTTGACCTACCTGAGCAGTGGGAATTCAAAACTGTTTTGGACCAGTGACTGTGGCACTTCTTCCATGCTTTCCTTTTCTGACTGGGAGTTTGTATTGAGGCTATCCTTTTCTTGCTCTACCAATGTATACTGGGTATGTTTGTGAAGTGCAGATACCTTGCTTTTTCAGTTCACAAATCACCATAAGGAACCACACTGAAGCTGACTGAGAGACTCTGAGCTGAATACAGTGACTAGATGGGATTTGGGGCTATTTCCCCTGGGCAAGGGTAAGTGTATTCTGTGAAGAGAAACAGGTATTTGGCTCAGAAAGGCAGACTGTAACATACAATTATCTGTGTTCTCTTCTTGAACTCACAGCCAGACTTCACTTCCCAGTAGGGCTACCAGATATAGCAAATAAAAATACAGGATGCTGGTTACATTTGAATTTCAATTAAGCAAGGAAGAAATTCTTAGAAGTACGTCCCAAGCAATATTTGGAATGTAATTATACTGAAAAATAACTTGTTTACCTGAAATTCAAATGTAACTGGGCATGCTGTATTTTATCTAGGAACCTACTTCCCCACTCCTTTGCGGTTAGACATGGCCATGTGACTAAGTTCTAGCTAGCAGAATGGAATGATGTGCTGACTCTTCCAGGCTGGCTCCTTAAAACTTTTCCGGGAGTAGCCGGGCACGATGGCTCACACGCCTGTAATCCCAGCACTTTGGGAGGCCAAGCCGGGTGGATCACGAGGTCAGGAGTTCGAGACCACCCTGGCTAATACAGTGAAACCCCGTCTCTACTAAAAATACAAAAAATTAGCCGGGCGTGGTGGCAGGCGCCTGTAGTCCCAGCTACTCTGGAGCTGAGGCAGGAGAATGGCGTGAACTCAGGAGGTAGAGCTTGCAGTGAGCAGAGATCGCGCCACCGCACTCCAGCCTGGGTGACAGAGCGAGACTCCGTCTCAAAAAAAAAAAAAAAACACCTCCCGTCTCCCTCTCCCTCTCCCTCTCCCGTCTCCCTCTCCCTCTCCCGTCTCCCTCTCCCTCTCCCGTCTCCCTCTCCCTCTCCTTTCGACGGTCTCCCTCTCATGCCGGGCCAAAGCTGGACTGTACTGCTGCCATCTCGGCTCGCTGCAGCCTCCCTGCCTGATTCTCCTGCCTCAGCCTGCCGAGGGCCTGCGATTGCAGGCGCGCGCCGCCACGCCTGACTGGTTTTCGTGTTTTTTTGGTGGGGACGGGGTTTCGCTGTGTTGGCCGGACTGGTCTCCAGCTCCTAGCCGCGAGTGATCCGCCAGCCTCGGCCTCCCGAGGTGCCGGGATTGCAGACGGAGTCTCATTCACTCAGTGCTCAATGGTGCCCAGGCTGGAGTGCAGTGGCGTGATCTCGGCTCGCTACGGCCTCCACCTCCCAGCCGCCTGCCTTGGCCTCCCAAAGTGCGGAGATTGCAGCCTCTGCCCGGCCGCCACCCCGTCTGGGAAGTGAGGAGCGTCTCTGCCTGGCTGCCCATCGTCTGGGACGTGAGGAGCCCCTCTGCCTGGCTGCCCAGTCTGGAAAGTGAGGAGCTTCTCTGCCCGGCCGCCATCCCACCTGGGAAGTGAGGAGCGCCTCGTCCCGGCCGCCATCCCATCTAGGAAGTGAGGAGCGTCTCTGCCCGGCAGCCCATCGTCTGAGATGTGGGGAGCGCCTCTGCCCCGCCGCCCCGTCTGGGAGGTGAGGAGCGTCTCTGCCCGGCGCCCCCCATCTGAGAAGTGAGGAGACCCTCCGCCTGGCAACCGCCCCGTCTGAGAAGTGAGGAGCCCCTCCGCCTGGTTGCCACCCCGTCTGGGAAGTGAGGACCGTCTCCGCCCGGCAGCCACCCCGGCGGGGAGGGAGGTGGGGGTCAGCCCCCCGCCCGGCCAGCCGCCCCGTCCGGGAGGGAGGTGGGGGGCTCAGCCCCCCGCCCGGCCAGCCGCCCCGTCCGGGAGGTGAGGGGCGCCTCTGCCCGGCCGCCCCTACTGGGAAGTGAGGAGCCCCTCTGCCCAGCCAGGAGCCCCTCTGCCCAGCCAGCCGCCCCGTCCGGGAGGGAGGTGGGGGGGTCAGCCCCCCGCCCGGCCAGCCGCCCCGTCCGGGAGGGAGGTGGGGGGGTCAGCCCCCCGCCCGGCCAGCCGCCCCGTCCGGGAGGGAGGTGGGGGGCTCAGCCCCCCGCCCGGCCAGCCGCCCCGTCCGGGAGGTGAGGGGCGCCTCTGCCTGGCCGCCCCTACTGGGAAGTGAGGAGCCCCTCTGCCTGGCCAGCTGCCCCATCCAGGAGGGAGGTGGGGGGCTCAGCCCCCCGCCGGGCCAGCCGCTCCGTCCGGGAGGGAGGTGGAGGGGGGGGTCAGCGCCCCCTCCCGGCCAGCCGCCCCGTCTGGGAGGGAGGTGGGGGGGTCAGCCCCCCGCCTGGCCAGCCACCCAGTCCGGGAGCTGAGGGGCGCCTCTGCCCGGCCGCCCCTACTGGGAAGTGAGGAGCCCCTCTGCCCGGCCACCACCCCGTCTGGGAGGTGTACCCAACAGCTCATTGAGAATGGGCCATGATGACGATGGCGGTTTTCTGGAATAGAAAAGGGGGCAAGGTGGGGAAAAGATTGAGAAATCGGATGGTTGCCGTGTCTGTGTAGAAAGAAGTAGTCATGGGAGACTTTTCATTTTGTTCTGTACTAAGAAAAATTCTTCTGCCTTGGGATCCTGTTGATCTATGACCTTACCCCCAACCCTGTGCTCTCTGAAACATGTGCTGTGTCCACTCAGGGTTAAATGGATTAAGGGCGGTGCAAGATGTGCTTTGTTAAACAGATGCTTGAAGGCAGCATGCTCGTTAAGAGTCATCACCACTCCCTAATCTCAAGTACCCAGGGACACAAACACTCTGCCTAGGAAAACCAGAGACCTTTGTTCACTTGTTTGTCTGCTGACCTTCCCTCCACTAGTGTCCTATGACCCTGCCAAATCCCCCTCTGTGAGAAACACCCAAGAATGATCAATAAAAAAAAAATTAAATTTAAAAAAAAAAAAAAAAACACTTTTCCGGGAGTAGAGGACTCTAAGGAGCTAGAGCAGGACAGTCACAAAATGGACAAGACTGGGTCCCCAATAATTGGGCGGAACAGACCTCCCTTCCTAAACCTGCACTAGACTATGAAGTAAAAAAGAAAGGAACTTTTATTATTAAGCCACTGAGTTTTGGCGGTTGTTTGGTATCGCCGTTAGCCTACCTTGGATAATATCCCTAATCCCTAAATTCAATAGTTTTTCTCATCCTTTCCTTAACAGTATATGACCCTGCTAACCATTTCTTTCTTCTTGAAACTTTTTTCTTGAGACAGGGTCTCACTGTCACCCACATTGGAGTGCAGTGGTGTGATCACTGCTCACTGCAGCCTTGACCTCCTGGGATCAGGTGACCCTCCCACCTCAGTCTCCCGAGTAGCTGAGACTACAGACGCCCACCAGGATACCTGGCTAATTTTTGTATTTTTTGTAGAGATGGGGTTTCACCATGTTGCCTAGGCTAGTCTCAAACTCCTGGGCTCAAGCGATCCACCTACCTCAGCCTCCCAAAGTGCTAGGATTACAGACATGAGCCACTGTGCCTGGCCTTGAAACTCTCTTTTCCGCCAATGATACAATTTGTTTCTGGTCCTTTAATGATAATAATGATAATACAATAGCTACCATTCATGAAGTTCTTGCCATACAGGCACTGTGCTAAGTGCTTTATCTTCATGACTGCCCATGTGGTAGATGCTATCACCCCCACTGTAGATGAGAAAACAGGCTTAGAGAGGTTGAGCCACCTACCCAAACTCTTTTTTGTTTTTTGTTTTTTTTTTGAGACAGAGTCTCACTCTGTCGCCCAGGCTGGAGTGCAGTGGCACAATCTCGGCTCACTGCAAGCTCCGCCTCCTGGGTTCACGTCATTCTCCTGCCTCAGCCTCCCGAGTAGCTGGGACTACAGGTGCCCGCCACCACACCTGGCTAATTTTTTGTATTTTTAGTAGAGACTGGGTTTCACTGTGTTAGCCAGGATGGTCTCGATCTCCTGACCTCGTGATCCGCCTGCCTCTGCCTCTCAAAGTGCTGGGATTACAGGCGTGAGCCACCGCGCCCAGCCAACCTACCCAAACTCTTACAGCCCCTCTCTCTTCTCTCTCCACACTCTTTTTTTGACAATCCCATCCAACAGCATGGCTGCTGTAATTACCGTGTCTGTGTGCATGGTTCCCTGACCACTCTCTTGGTCTCCAGTTCCACATTTCCTGGCACATAAATGTGCTGCTTGGTATCGTAAACCCAACATGTCCAAAATGCAGCTATTGCTTTGTTAGCACTGTTCTCAACACTTTTCATATGGTAACATTTAATTCCCACCACCACCCTATGAGATGTTATTATTCTTTTATCTATGAGCTAGATATTATTATCTACATTTTACAGATGAGTAAACTGAGGCTTAGAGAGTCAGTATCTGGCTCAAGTTTACACAGTTAGTACACAGTAGAGCTGGGCTTGGGGCTGATTTCAAGGCCTAGATTAAGACCTCAGCTCCATTCACACTGGTTTCTCCCTGTCCTATCCTGTTCCATTTCCTGCCTTCTATATTCATTCTGTACCCTGAACTTTCAAATCCTCCCTATCATTCAAAGTCTAGCTCAACTATCATTGGTCCATGAAGTCTTTTCAGGTATCCCAAGCTGGAAGGGATCTCCATCTCGTGTAAACTTACAGAGTACATGCTCTCTGCCTCACTTACCTTTTTCTAAGCACACAAATAAAACTTGAATTCATTCTAATCATAAAAAGTTCAAGTAGGGCTGGGCACGGTGGCTCATGCCTGTAATCCCAGCACTTTGGGAGCCCAAGGAGGGTGGATCACGAGGTCAGGAGTTCGAGACCAGCCTGGCCAACATGGTGAAACCCCGTCTCTACTAAAAAATACAAAAATTAGCTGGGCGTGGTGGCGGGCACCTGTAATCCCAGCTACTAGGGAGGCTGAGGCAGGATAATTGCTTGAACCTGGGAGGCGGAGGTTGCAGTGAGCCGAGATCGCGCCACTGCACTCCAGCCTGGGTGACAGAGCAAGACTCCGTCTCAAAAAAAAAAAAAAAAAAAAAAAAGTTCAAGTAGTGAGATACAGAGCAAGAAGCTTCAGTGTCCTTTCACTCCCCAGAATTTATTGCTTTCTGCCTTAATGTTTCTGTGTCTGCTAGCAACTCTTATTAGACAGTTATTTGAGGACAGGAGGCATAGCTGAGTCATCTTTATTCCCCTAAAATAGGCATTAATAAACAATTACTGAAAGAATCAATCAGTTTCAAATCCCTTGAGCCTGCACATATTACATTTTCAGATGACAGTGAGAGGGTCTATTCAATAAAAGTAACATTTTTCCAGGAGGACTGGTAAAGGTATGTCAAACACTCTCCTCCCACCTTCATTAAAGAACAAAAAAAAGCATCTACTTCTAGGTACGTGAGGCTGAGGCGTCTGGTTTCTGTTTTAGCAGGGTCTCAGAAGGAAATGACTTTTCTCTGAAACTGTAGACACCCCACCTAGCTGTGGCATTGTTAGGCCTCAGGGTAAACAGGAAACTTCCTGCCTTGGGTCCTTCATGTCCCTCTCCCAGACTATTAAAGAGACTGTTAATAGGATGGTAAAAGGACAGCTGCTGGTCATAAAATCAGCCCATTCCTTAGCTCCTTAGAGAACAACTAAATCCCTGCAAGGTCAGAGAGAAAACCTTGTCCAGCTCATGCCAGGTGCACCCACCTAGCTGGGCTCCTGTTACAAGGTTTCTGGGCATGATGAGATCTAGTGTGAAGGTTAAACTGAGACTGCCAGAGCAGTGACATCACACCTACTCTGTGGGGTCTGAGTCACCTCTTCCAGTAGAGGAATAATCAGTCCTGATTATCCCCCAAAAGGAGGCAAAGAGGAGAGCGAAGAACCCAGTGCTCCTACCTCGGCAATAAAGAGCTGAAACAGGACCCCAACACTTCCTGCACGCAAGGTGGAAGTCTCTGGATTTGCAGCTGTTGGCAAGGAGAAAGGGAACAGTTTCTGCCAACTAACTGGAGGGACACTAGGGCAGGGGTGATCATCGTTTGCCAAGAAGGGCACTTGGTGTCTTGGCAGAAGGCAGAGGGCTGCCCTGATCTGTGTGTACATTTTCAGAAGCATTTGACTCTGAACCAAATTCTCTCAGCTGTCCTAGTGCTGGGGCGATGGATGGGAAATGCTTATTGGCCAGGCTGACCAGAAGCTCCAACAGAGGGTGCTGGGGCTCAGCCAGGAGCTTCCCTTCAGCTGGCAAGTTGAGCTTTCTGTCATGGTCAGAGGGAGTGTGTCAAAATTCCAATTCTTGAGGCTTTCCAGAAGCTGCTTATGATTACCCATCTGTTTTGAAGAGTTTCTGCTTACTGGATGTTTTGGCTTAAATGGGAAATAAAAGAGGTGATGGATGATACAGAGCCAAACTCTCGTCTGGCTCAAGGAATGGGCAAAAGTAGCTCAGCAGGGGCCAGTGATCTTACTACCATTATAGTGATAGGCTCATGACCAAACGGGGGCCAGGAAGCAGGGCAGATACCATTTCATTCCACCTTGGACTTACGTACAATTTACCAATTCCTGCCGCCGTGTTGGCGCCTCTGACCCATGTCTACTGATCAAGTAAGCAGGCATCTGAGAACGGCACAACAGGCACCTTATCTGCCAGATGTTACTGCTTTCCCTCATTGAAAGGAAAGACCACCTAAATTACTCCCAAGAGTTGCACTCGGTGGAGGAGGAGTTTCTTCTAATTGCTGAAAACAGGAGAACTGGATATTTTCTCCTAAAATCACACATTTAAGCCTCTACATTAGCATTTAGACTGGGGTGATTCTGTTGTTTAAGGCAGTTCTTAAGATGTTAGAGCAGAAAGGGACCTACAAGAGACTGCATCATTCACCACCACCCCCTGAAGAATATCATCATTTCCCATGGTTTCAGAGGTGGTAACTAAGGTTCTGAAAACTCTCCCAAGTCACATGGCTGGTAAATGGGGTTTTACTGAGAGGACTAGAATCCAGGGTTCCTGATGCCTTCTTCTTACCCTTTTTTCCCCCAGCTGATTTATATTATTTTAACTTTTTAAAATTATTTTACTTTTTGCCACATGGAAAGATTTGTATTATTTTTATTTTTTACTTTTTTTGAGACAGAGCCTCACTCTGTTGCCCAGGCTGGAGCGCAGTGGCGCAAACTCAGCTCACTGAAACCTCCGCCTTCCAAGTTCAAGCAATTCTCATGCCTCAGCCTCCCGAGTAGGATTACAGGTGTGTACCATCATGCACGGCTAATTTTTGTATTTTTAGTAGAGACGGGGTTTTGCCATGTTGGCCAGGCCGGTCTCAAACTCCTGGCCTCAAGTGATCTGCCCACCTCGGCATCACAAAGTGCTGGGATTACAGTGTGAAACGTCGTGCCTGGCCTGTATTATTTTTAAAAAGGCAATTCATTGCATGTATAACTGAAAGAAGTTTAATTTGCATATCTTTGTAAGTTTTTTTCATATAAAAATACATGCACAAATCATAAAAAAAAACATCAGAAACAATGTCGCATTTGGAAAAAATGGTCCCACTTTATTACTGCCACTACACTGTTCAGGCCTATACCATCTTGTGTGGACTGTTACCAGCCTGTCAGCTAATGCCTTTGATGAAATTTACACTTCAATAAATTGACATTTAAATTTACACACAGGTCAATGGTAGGTTTAAGACTGTCTCTGCTATGTTGATTGACTAGACAGATCCAGGTGTATTTTAGACTTGGAATACGACAATCTTCACTTACAGAGAAAATAGTTGTCTAAAATTTGCCCTAGCCAGGACCAGAAGGGGCTCTCTAGTGTCTGACACTTCTCCCATTCCTGACCAGCTTTCAAAGAGAAAGAGAAAGATTATAATGGACACAGTAATGATCCCAGGGCAGCAGAGGCAGTTCCAATGTGTATTTTTACTTTCAGACCCCTGGGTTAAGTTGGCTTCCAACCTGTCCCTGGAGAGTCCAGGTCATGTCCAAGGCAGGAAGTTGCAATGTAGGAGTAGTCCCAGGAGCCAGTAAGTCAGGAAGTAGCCTAGAATGTATCGTGTGACTGGAGAACAGGTTTTCCAGTGATACAAAAGTCCCATGATAGGATTTCTGGGGACCTTTTGTCCTGGTGGGGAGTCCTCTGCAAGAGGCTTCCAAGGCACAGTCTTTAAGGATCTCAACAGCGGCTCTTGATCCTGAAGCAAGTGAGCTGGAAACCAGTACATAATAGGAGTGGAGGAGCCCAAAAACCTGGTGAGAACCTAGAAATCATGAGAGGGGAATATCCAGACATTTACTGGAATGTCACTGACTCAAATTGGACCAGCCCGGGGACTTCTCTACTGCTGGGTGAACTATGGTCCTGTGACTAGAAATGTATTACACTGGAAAAGAAATTGAACACAGCTTAGGATCTGTCTTAGAAAGATGTATGTACAGCAGACAGGCATCCTCCATATTACAAATAAACATAGCTACAGACTAATTACATTAATTACTATTAAAATAATGGGCCAATTAATACTAGAAACTCTATGGGGTCTAATTTTAGCCGAGGGCCTGGACTCTAAACTCTGTGATATTGATTTGGGGATTGGGAACCTGAGGTGGTTCCCTTATCCCATGGGATGGCAAAGCAGAGGGAAATGGGCAGAAGACCCATTGCTTGAACATTCTCTCTCCTATTGGAGTTCAGACACAAGTTTCCAAATGGCCTCCCTCAGCTAACCTGGAAACTTTAAGCTTTGCTGGCACACATTCTACGATTTAATCTAGCTAAAAACACGGAATGCTACTTTCTATTTCCTCTGTGTCTCTTATCCATACAGCTTGGAGAATTTTAGAAACAGCCAATGTGCAACTCCAACAGGAAGAAACTGCTAAGAGGTCGGCATGGGGAAAAAAGATGTCCCCAGGGTGGGGCCACAGCCAAGAACAGAAAATCAGATATAAGATCAAACCTTTCCCATCCCTCTCTATCACCACCGCCACCACCCAAAACATTGGTTAAGGTTATCTCCTCTGGAAATTGGGGGCCTGCCTGAGTTGAGAACCTCCTGAAGTCAACAGTCAAGAAACCAATATGGATATAACTATAACTGTGTATTAGGGAAAAAGATCCCAGAGATATCCTCCGTGCTTATTCCTGTATCTCAGTCCAATCAGGTCCTTTCACAACCCTCGTGTTTTTGCATATGCCCTTCCTTTTACCTAGAATGTTCCTCCTCTGCTTCTTATATGGAAAATCTCATTCTTCAGGACCCAGCTGAAATATGATGCCTTTCTCAAGTACTCCAGTGAGTTACCTACTTCTTCGCCTCCATAATACTTTATCTGAGCTTTAAAAAAAAAAATCTTGCTGGGCGCAGTGGCTCGTGCCTATAATCCCAACACTTTGGGAGGCCAAGGCGGGTGGATCACGAGGTCAGGAGATCCAGACCATCCTGGCTCACACGGTGAAATCCCGTCTCTACTAAAAATACAAAAAATTAGCCAGGCATGGTGGCAGGTGCCTGTAGTCCCAGCTACTCGGGAGGCTGAGGCAGGAGAATGGCGTGAACCTGGGAGGTGGAGCTTGCAGTGAGCTGAGATCATGCCACTGCATTCCAGCCTGGGTGACAGAGCAAGACTCCGTCTCAAAAAAAAAAAAAAAAAAAAAATCTCAGGCCGAGCGTGGTAGCTCACGCCTGTAATCCCAGCACTTTAGGAGGATGAGGCGGGCAGATCACTTGAGGTCAGGATTTCGAGACCAGCCTGGCCAACGTGGTGAAACCCCATCTCTACTAAAAATACAAAAATTAGCTAGGCGGTGGTGGCAGGCGCCTGGAATTCCAGCTACTCGGGAGATTGAGGCAGAAGAGTCGCTTGAACCCAGGAGACACAGGTTGCAGTGAGCTGAGATCGCACCACTGCACTCCAGCCTGGGCAACAGAGCGAGACTCCATCTAAAAAAATAAATAAATAAATAAATAAATAAAGTAAAATAAAATAAATCTCAAAATAGCACTCCCTTTTCTATCCCACTGTACTATAATTTATGTCAAATGTCTGTCCTCCTATTTATACCATGAGACCCCCCAAGGCAGTAATTTTTTTTTTTTTTTTTTTTTTTTTTGAGATAGAGTCTCACTCTGTCGCCCAGGCTGGAGTGCAGTGGTGCAATGTCAGCTCACTGCAACCTCCACCTCCCGGGTTCAAGCAATTTTCTGCCTCAGCCTTCTGAGTAGCTGGGATTACAGGTGCCTGCCACCACGCCCGGCTAATTTTTGTATTTTCAGTAGAGACAAGGTTTCAACATCTTGGCCACGCTGGTCTTGAACCCCTGACCTTGTGATCCACCCACCTCAGCCTCCCAAATTGCTGGGATTATGGGTGTGAGCCACCGCGCCTGGCCGCAATTTTGTCTTATTTATGTTTCATCCTTAGAGGTCTGACCCAGAGTCTGGCATAAAGAATAACCCTAAATAGTCATTGAATGAATAAATTCAGTATGGATCACTCAAACGGGAGATGTTAGCTGCCTTCCCTGTCCTTGGCCAAGGGGTTTTGCCTGTATTCACATCCTTATCCCAGTCAGGAATCCACCTCACCTGAACATGCATGCACAGACCTCCAAACAGCAGCAGCACTGCAGCGTGGACCACGTACACAAACACCTGAGGACTGAGGAATCCAAGATCGGGCTTCTCTAGGGTCTTATTGTTCTTGCTCCTTTGCAGCCCAAGTGTAAGGCAGAGCCAAGGGTGAGTGGTCACGTATGTCCAAGTTGCCCAGGCAACCAGTATAGCCACTGGTGCAGCCAGTAGAAAATTGGGCACCTGCTTGAGCTCATAGTATTTCAAAAAGCCAACATTCCAGTAGACATCCTGGATATAGCTGTATATTAGTGGAACATCCCAGAAGCACCAAGGCGGTTCATTTCCCTCTGCAATCCGGTAGCCCTTGTCTACAGCTAACTGTACCAAAGGCTCAGGAATGGGGCGGGCTGAGCCTGGCAGACAGAATTGGGTGTAGGCATAATACTGAAAGAGGGCAAAGGGAAGGCCAAGTGTGAACACCGACAGAAACAGAGAGGCCATCAGCTTAAAGAGCTGTCTCAGAGGATTCAGCATCGTTAGAGAAGAGAAAAAGCCTTGGCATTGAGAATGCATGAGGAAGCCAACACTGACCAGCCCGTTGGAGCGTACCCCAGTGGCAAAGGCAAAGAGGAGTACACTAGTCCAGACTCGGCCCCTCTCCAGCTGCCCCATGGCACTGAATGTCAGGAGGGCAAACAAAGCTTCTGAGTAACCAGCTGCCAGGAAGACATTGGCAGGGCTGAGACAGAAAAGCAGAGCTGCATAAAAGGACTGGTGGGGACAGTGCAAAACCAGACAACCCAGGTCATGAAGTGCAACTGCAGCCAACATGAAGAACAAGAAATTGAGTGATGCTACCGAAATCAGCAGGCAACTGCGTAGACTCAGTAACCCCCGTAAGGGTCTCAACAGTTCAGTCCCCACCAGCAGGGCCAAGGGGAAACCAGGAAAGAAGGCAAAGTTGTGCTCATACAGGTAGCCATGCTCAGCAATGAACAAGAAGTGTTCAGCATCCCAGTGAGACAGGCCGCCCAGAAGACCTTCCACGAGTTGGTCCACAAAGCCTGAGGGGGCCAGGCGAGGAGGAGAGAAGGCTTCTGCATGGTGATCTGGGATGATGGCATTGAAGAGGGCCTGTGGAGTAAAGAAAAACCAGAATTTTGGTTGAGTAACTGGAAGAAAAGAATTGCCATTTAATAAAATGAGGAAGAAGGCCAGGCTCATGCCTGTAATCCCCACTTTGGCAGGCTGAGATGGGAGGATTACTTGAACCCAGGAGTCCATGACCAGCCTGGGCAACATAGCAAGACCTTGTCTCTATAAAAACTAAAAAAAAAAGTCTGAGCACAGTGGCTCACGCCTGTTATCCCGGCACTTTGGGAGGCTGAGGTGGAAGGATCACTTGAGCCGAGGAGTTTAAGACCAGCCTGGGCAACGTAGCAAGACCTTGTCTCTACTAGAAATAAAAAAATAAAAATTAGCTGGGTGTGGTGGCACATGCCTGTAGTCCCAGCTACTTGGGGGGGCTGAGATGGGAGGATTGCTTGAGCCCAGGAGGTTGAGGCTGCAGTGAGACATGATTGTGCCACTGTATTCCAGCCTGGGTGACAGCATGAGACCCTGTTTCAAAAACACTTAGAACTCTTCTTGAGGACTGAACCCTGGACATGTTAACATCTGAAGGCTAGAAAGAGGATGAAAATCCAGCAATAAAGAAAAAAAGGAACAGTCAGTGAGGTGGCAGGGAACCCAAGAGAGCATTAGAACCAAGGGAAGAAAAGGAGTGATCAACTCTGTTAAATGCTGCTGGTAGGTCAAGTAAGATGGGGGCTGAAAACTGACCACTGGATTTAACAATGTGAAAGTAACTGGTGACTTTGACAAGGGCTATTTCAATGGAGTGGAAGAGAGAGAAGTCTACCTAGACTGGGTTCAACAGAGAATGGGAGAAAAGAAACTTTGAGGAGTTTTGCCATAAGGGGAAGCAGAAAAATGGGGCAGTAGGTGAACAACAATGTGGGGTAAAGTGAAAACTTTTTTTAAGGTGGGAGGTAAAGGTTTGTATGCTAGTGGAAATAACCCAGTAAAAGGGTATGCAGGAGAGAGGGGAGAATTGCTGGGTAGGCAAAAAGGGTACAAAGGTAGAGGAGCCAGCCTTAGAGAAGAGGACAGACGGTTCATCCAACCTTCAGTACTGAAAGCACAAAGGTGCAGACATAGGTAGGCTGAAGAATGTGATGGGCGCATATGGAAGGTCTCTTCTAATGCCTTCTATTGTTCTGAGTTGTCATTTAGGAAAACAATTTGTTACATGTTACATGTTTTTCTCTTTCCTCAAATCTCTAACACCCTTTCCCCAGAACTCACACTCAAGTGATAGACTCTTTTCAGGACACTGCACACATCATCTTCATTAATAATGAAATCACCAGGAAATCAATAGAAGTAGTGCTGGGAAGAGTGACAGTGAACCAGGAGCCAAAACCGTCAAGGATTAGCTGTCACTGACAGAGACGACAGCAGCAACGAAGGGTAACTTAGGGATATACTCTGATGGCTTGAGCATTGGAAGTGGGGGGATGATAATTAAATCGCATTTACTGTTAGATTTCTTTTTGCTGGCCGGGCGCGGTGGCTCACGCCTGTAATCCCAGCACTTTGGGAGGCCGAGGCAGGCAGATCACGAGGTCAGGAGTTCGAGACCAGCCTGGCCAGCAAGGTGAAACCCGGTCTCTACTAAAAATACAAAAAATTAGCCGGGCGCGGTGGCGGGCGCCTGTAGTCCCAGCTACTCGGGAGGCTGAGGCAGGAGAATGGCGTGAACCCGGGAAGCGGAGCTTGCAGTGAGCCGAGATTGCGCCACTGCAGTCCGCAGTCCGGCCTGGGCGACAGAGCGAGACTCCGTCTCAAAAAAAAAAAAAAAAAATACAAAAATTAGCTGGGTGTGGTGGCGGGCGCCTCAGCTACTTCAGAGCCTGAGGAGGGAGAATCATTTAAACCTGGGAGGCAGAGGTTACAGTGAGCCAAGATCGCGCCTTTGCACTCCAGCCTGGGGGGACAGGGCGAGACTCTGTCTCAAAAAAAAAAAGTCTTTTTGCCCTATTAGATCATCAGCTACTTAAGAGAAAAGAGACCATGTCTTTTTACACTTACCACCTAGCACAGTTCTTGGAACGCAATAGGTACTTTAAAAATTTTTGGTGGTTGAATGAACTGCCTAGAGGAAATATACTGTTTCCAAAATTACCACCCGAATTAGAGCCCAGCTGTCCTGGTTCCCTATCCTGGATGCTGACTTGCAGCATTGCTCCTTTGGTTCTGCCAGTAACCCAGCTGATGCTGGTTGAGAGACATCACTGAGTAAGTCTCCCTAGCCTGGCAACAGGAGCATAGCACCATTTTTAAGGCTTTTTAACTTTTTGGTCAGTTTCCTTATCAGGCCACTTCAAACAGTAAAAACAAACAGGATAGGAGTGACAGTCACAGATAAACAGCCCTAGCCTGCAGGTGGACACGTTTAACTAATCTCGAAACCCAGCAGAGTCTGCCATGCCTTATGTAGTGGGAAAGGAGAGAGGAAAGTTTCCACAAAGGGACCAGTTATGAGCCTCAGAGAGAATGGTACAGGGATAAAAGGTACACATCATTATGTGAATCTAACATCCCTAGGGTGTTGACATACATTCAACAACATTCATTCATTTATGAACATACTGAGCTAGGCACCAAGCACTGTGCTAGGCAGCAAATAATTCATATATACGTGATATTTTATTAAAATGTGTATCAAGGGGAGCCTCGGAGGGAAAAGGGAGCTGCAAACGGGCAAGTGCACTGAGAGTTGTGTGTGGGTGAGGCAGGAAGGGCAGGCACTCGGGGGAATAGGAGGAACTATTACATATCCAGATGGTTTTAGGACTTGCACATTGCCACGTTTCTCCCACTCAACTGACACAATGCTCAGTCTCCTAGTAAGGGGACACAGGGCAATACTTTGAGCTGTCCCACCCTATAAGCATCTCTGGTTACGGAACATCACAGTCTGTTGGAGAGACCACTAGCTCAGGAGTTAGGAAACATGGGGTCAAACTCCAGCCCTTCTCTATCTTGCTATGTGGCTTTGGGGATGTCACTTAACCTTTCTGGGCCTCTGCTGCTTCATGGGTAAAACAAGATCAACAGACCGTGTTTCTAAGATTCCTGACAACTTTTCAGCTCTAAAGTCTATGTCTCTGTGGTTCCAACCACATGGAGGGGCACACCTGAGAGGTGGAAAGGAGATGGGGACACTTCTTACTGCCTAGTCCAGTCATGTAGCAATAGCACATTCAGGACAAAGGATGGGAGACTGACCTGCAGCATCAGAGTCAGGATACGGCAGCTGACTGCAAACCTCAGCACCTCCTTCCGGGATGGGTCCTGGGGCCACATCCTTTCACCACCAGGAATTCAGGGGTGTTGCTACCAGGATTGAGCTCCCTCAGGCCTCTAAACCCCAAAGGAGGAAAATGTCACACATCGAGTGAAAGCAAATTCTTGAAAGCATTCGTCACTGGAACCTCCCCTCTCAGAATTACTATGACAAACTTAACCAACCACCTAACTTCCCAGATGAGGGGAAAGCATCTTGACAGCAAATGGGTTCAGTAGGTGTCACTGTGAAGCCCTGAACTGTCGTTGGTAAAGTTCCATACAGCTAAGCAAGTAGCTGGAAAGCTAAGGTCACAGAAATCTTTTAAAGCCTATTGGATGCACTTCTGCAGGAACTAAAGATCTGGGTTCAACTCCTGACTCTGTCACTTACAAGTTCTCATTAGTCCCTCTGAGCCTCAGTTCTTTATATAAAAAATGGGAGCAGACTTTTTTTTTTTCCTATCTCACAAAATTGTCATGATGGTGAAACAGACCAAAGTGTGAAGTTCTACTCAAATCTGTGTTGTGGTTGCTATTATTTGGCGTGTGCCCTTTTCCTCTTGCCCAGAATAATAAACTAGGTCCCAAACCAGAGTCCCCAAAGTGGGGCATAAAACCATACTAGAAGACCATAATGACTCCACACTCTAGCTTAGCTCTCTGATGTGTGTTCAGCTGGTCTGTTAAATTAAGTGGGGAAGGAAAAGAAAACCACCACTCAGCAGGACCTCAGCCAGCTCACACTGCTGAAACAAACTGAGGGTGAAGACAGAGTAGACTACCAGGGATGGAGAAAACTGTTATTTGCCATCTCTTTGTTGGGATGGTAGCAACGTATAAACAATCGCAAAGCCACTCCGAGGCAGGGAATGCACCTTAAGGCATCTTTTATAATTCCTTGAGCTAAAAGGAGTCATAAAGGCTCCTCAAGAACTTTCAAACACCAGCCTGGGAAATTTGAAAGGAAAGCAAAAGCATCAGAGGCAGCTCATCAATTTGGGATGAAGAACTATGCCTAAAAGGAAAAAAAAAATTTGAACTGAGAAATTTAAGGAGGACGGCTGGAAGACTCTTTTTCTTCTCTTATCTGGCGAATACCTAAAAAACCTGTATCACTTGTTTCTGGAATTCTCTGATCCTCACTAGACAGTGTGCTATGCCCTCATTACATTCTGCCCTATTGCCGTTATTGCTATTGCTTATTTAAGTTGCTAAGGGCAGGGGCTTTACATCACAACTATATCCCAGGGCCTAGAACACAAATAGGCATCTTAAACCTGTGTTCTGAATGAATGGAAGTGGTAGGGACAGGATACAGCATCAGCAGTTCACTGACTCTAGATATGAAATCAGTGCCCCAAGTATTCTTCCCATCATATCTCATGTCAAGAGCAAGACGACAAAGTCACAGAAGCCACAGGAAAATAAAATTTCCCCAGAAAGGGAGCCAAGTTGGCCAATGGCAACAGTACTCTTTCCTTGGCACAAGGGGGCGCCTGCTGCTTACTCCATCGCCAGGAGGCCTGGAGGAAGGGAGGGGCCCCCAATTCCACACCGGTTGGCTCACGAAAATTCGGTTCAAAGGCAAGCTTCTGAAAGCCCCAGACAGTAACGATAGTTTGTGAATCTAAACGTTTCCAACGTATGACTCGCTGAATCGAGAGAAATCACGGAAATGGGCATACTCAACCTCACGCGGCTACTCCTTCCCTATCCTAGGGCGAATTCACTCTTTTTTCCTCTTCCTTGGCTTCCCACGCGCATGCAGAAGAGAAGCTGGGATCAGAAAAGCACCTAACCCACCTCTGCCACTTGACCATGCTTGCATTCTTCCTTTCCTCTCTCGAGTCAAGCTCTAGCCTCAGCGACTACAGATGTGTGTAGCCCACACTTTGCTTACAGGTAAACCAAGTAAAAACAAAGCTAGTCAATTCTCCCTCTCAGCTAATTGCCCACCTCACTTCCCAACAACCCCTTTGCCAAATCACAGACTCTTAACTGGCAGGACACTTACAGATCAACTAGTTTCACTCTTCAAAAATTTTCCCGTGAGATAAATAGGCTCCAGAGATCTCATCAGACACTGTGAGGCTAGTATAATTACCATCGCCATTTTATGGATATGGAAACTGAGGCTCACTGGGGTCAAGTGACGTACCCAGGGCTACTTAAAGAGGCTGTCATGTTTTCTGCTTCTTAAACCTCACGGTACCAGCCCGCATCCCTCGCCAAAGGGTACGCGCCCTTTCCGAGCCAGGATTATGACCCAGGTCACCCAAACGCCTAGCCCAGTACTTCCATGCCGCAGCCTGCCCTTGCTAGGTATGCTTAGGGTAGTTGGGCCCTATCTGAGAATCTGGGACATCCTGTTGAACGGCAGCTCTGGACCCTCTGGGTAAGACTAACACCCCCTGCGCAGGCTGGAGAAGTCGCTCTGACCCAGGGTCCTCAGAGCCAAAGGCCTCGTGGGGGCTGCCTTCTGTCAGCCCAGCCGTGTCCGCAACCCGTTTCTGGCCGGCTCCTTTTGGACACAGTCCCTTCTGGGTACTAATCATCCACGCTCACCCCAGAGGGGCCACGGCCCAAGGACCACTCCCGAGGGAGCCTGCAGAGCCCCACCAGGCCACAGGGCCGGAAGCAGACGAGGGCGGGAGGCTGGAAAGGAAGAGGCGGCGCCCGAGGCTGCTATGGCGGAGGGGCGGGGCTCCCCGCTTCTCCGGGCGTCTGTCTCATTTCTACCGGCTTCCATTTGACAGCTTCCCTCCCGCCAGAACTCCAGGGCTCCCAAGCTGGCGCGGGGTCCTCAGCCCCTGCCCGTCCCGACCTCCCCGGCGGGGACCGAACCTCAGCTCCTCCATCCGGGGCCCACGCGGCCCGCGCCTGCGCGCTGGCTCCGCCGACGGCGTCCCCGCCCCGCTCCTGCCCGGACTTGGAGCAGCCCCGCCTCCCTGCGCGGCGGCCATGTTGACTCCGGGCGAGCGGGATGGGGGTCGCCGCTCGGCGCCTCGCCTCGTAGCACCTTCCCACCTTGGTGACACCTGAAGAGTTCTCTCGCACTTCGCTCTCCTTCAAGGCCCCCCGCCACCCCGCCTTCAAATAGTGAGCGGAGGCTGCTGTCTCAGAGTCAGTGCTCTTGCCCCAGCTCCCGCTGACGTTCACTGAGTTCCCGGTGTGGGCCGAGGCTCTTGTAGTCGGAGGCTGACCCGCAGCCTCTTCACAGAAACCAGAGCCGCGCTCTTCCTGCTGTCAGGCAACAACAGCTCAGCACAGGGCCTGACACACAATAGATGTCCTCTGAATAGCCAAAGAAAAACATTCTTGGGGTTTCTGTGGCCGGCAGCGGCACCCTGCGTCCTGGGTGTGAAGAAAGTGGGGGATCCCCCTGATTTTCCCCTCCTCTATCTACCAGAGACCTTCTGTCCTACTTTAGTCCTCAGCCCCACCTCAGGTGGCTAATGAGGATGGTGAAGAAAACCTCAGAGAACACCCTCCAGGGCTCCTTTCACCTCCCTCACCCAAGCAGTTTCTCTCATAGGAAGTGGGGCCAAAAAAAGAAGAAAAAAAAAGAGGCGAACTCAACAAAACCGTCTATTGGGGGGAGCGGCCAGTTTGTACCCTTGTAACGGAAACTGTTAGAACAACTTTGCACCCTCCTTAAAGGAAACAGATGATAAATCCTTCTCCGTTGGTGGATTTCTTGTTTCTCAGGATTCCAAAGCCTTATGTGGTTTCAGTTATCTGCCCTCCAAACGAAGCCAGGGGCCGGGTTAGCCTCTGGCCACAGCCTGGCTCAGGGAGGGGTTTATCTTCTGCAACGGCTACTCATGTGGGTGGGAACAAAGAGATGGTTGCTACCTCTCCAGGCGAAGACCAGCCCACATCAGTCTGTGGGGGCCTGGGACTGTATCTCTTGACTCTGTAACTCATTTCAGGCCCTGAGACCTAAATTGCCTTCAGATATCTGTTGTGTGCAAGGTGGAGAAAAGGCAAATCATATTTAGTCGTTGTGTGTTGGAGAAGGGGGAAAAAATGGAGTTTCATGGCCCTTCCCCCAGGTTTTTCAGTGCCACGCACTTGTTCTCAGCTCCAGAGGCCTGTGAGTAACGTGGCAAAGCCTGGGGACACACTTGTGACTGGGGCCTAAGGCTGTGACTTGAATCTCTAGAAGTCCACCATGAGGCTCCAAGCAGCACTCTCTCTGCAAAGACAAAACTGAGAAATGAACTGTCCTTGCTCTGTAAATTCACAAGGGGAAAAAAGACATGCATTCTCAGGGTTCCCTCTGTCCACATCAAATTCTCTCAAAAATCTATTTGTAAAAAGGCCAGGGGTCTCTCAAGACAAGTCAGAATGTTTTTTAAAAGCTCAGCTGTCACCCTGTAGAGGTAGAACTTTATCCAGATTTTCAGCTGTACTTTCCTGCAATTTCTCTTTTCCTTCTCTGCTACCCAACCCCCTCCTCTTCCGCTCTGTTTCCTGTTTCATTTTCTGACTTCTGCTCTGACAGGAAAACAAGGAAGCTGAATCTTGTGCTCTCAAAGCCCTGACTCCCTGGTTTCAGATTGGAAGAAGGCTAGGTGGGATAGGAGGGGATTCTGGGACTCCAAGGCTTTGAGTAGTGACGGAGGCAGCCTCTCAGTGTTCTTGTAGAGTCTGCAGCTAAGATGGAGCCTGCATCTACCCAGGGAGCCAGCTGAGCTACCAGAACTGTGGAAAGCAAGTGAGAAAGAGCCATATCCCAGGCTCCAGAAAGACTCCACACTTCCCAGCCATTTCCATTAAGAAGCACATATCCCACATCACCAAGAAACAATATCACATACAAATCCCTAACCAGAACAATGCAAGCAATGCATTACTATTCTAGAAGCTTAGGATTTAAGAGGGTTACATCATTTCTGTTCTTTGAACTTGCCTGGCTCTGCTCTTGCTATTTTCCCTGCTTGAAGCACTCTACTTCCAGACCACCCTTTGGCTAGCCCATTATGTTTGGGTCTCCGGAGAGAAGTCACCTCCTTAGAGAGGCTTTCCCTGTACTATCCCATCAGTCTGTTCTGTTTTTTTTTTTTTTTTTTTTTTTTTTTAAAGATGAGGTCTCACTATATTGCCAAGGCTAGTCTGGAACTCCTAGGCTCAAAGGATCCACCCACCTTGGCCTCCCAAAATGCTGGGATTACAGGTGTGAGCCACTGCGCCCGGCCTCTGTTTTCTTCATAGCACTTAACACTATCTGCTTGTCCTGTCCATGAATTTTACTTGTTTCAATGTCTGTTTCCCTATTCTAGAATGTAAGCTTCTGAGTGTAATGGAGGAGCAAGGGCTTTGTTCACCAATGTATTTCCAGTTAGAACAGTGCCTTGCACACTGTGTGTCTTCAATAAAGATCTGGTCAATAAATCAATTTCTTTAATCCTATACCTATATTTTATGGATGAGGGAGCTAAGGATCACAAAGGGTAAGTGACTGGCAAGAAGTCACATAGCTAGTGGTAGCGATGGGACTTGAATTCAGGTCTCCAGCCTCCCAGGCTGGTTCTCCCACTCTACACTATTTTAATCTTTCACAGATTTACCTCTTTCCCTCTCTTCCATTTTTCCCATATGTAAGAGTCTTTACGGGCTATGCTAAGATGGGCACACCAAGTCTTAACAGCTCTGACCTACTCTTTCCTCCATCAAATTCCTATCTTATCTGTTTGATTTGTTCAACAGTACAGGAATGCCTACTATGTGATGGGATGAAGATGCAACACTGAGCAAGATAGAAACAATCCTTGCCCTGGTGGAGATGATATCTACCTCATAGGATTTATAGTGCTTGGCATACAATGCTCAATAAAGATGGGCTATTACAACTCACTGAACAAAAAAGTGATTTTCCCACTGAAAGTGTAGAGAAGGAAGTTAGGTGGTTCTCACAGAACACTCACTTCCCTGGAGCAACTGACATTTCTCTCTGTAGCTGCCTTGCCTTGCTCCTGCCTCCACTTCTGGAAGTGGCCTTGGCCCCAGGCTGGGCAGAGGACCAGCCCAGTAAGTAGCCCAACTACTCTCAGCAGTTCAGTTTCTAGAAGCTAAACTTTCCATGGCCCCAGTCCTATGGGATTGGAATAGCTGATCCTAATCTGGGATGCTGGCTCTGATGTCATGCCATTGTGGGGCGAAAGTGACCATACTGGCCTGCTGTACTTTACCAGAACTTTATGCTACTTCTTTTTGCTGTGGGATAAAAGGCATTCATTGGCAGTTTCCAAGATGCTGGGTGACATTTACATCCATCCTGACACTTGGGGTGACACCAGTCAGGTCTCATATACCAAAAGCATCCTTTTTGGCCTCTGCCCGATCACTTGAAGATGCCCATCCACCCAAGGACAAAGACTCTGCCTTGCCTCCAACTGCAGTACCCAAACACTCATCATTTAAAGCCCATGGTCACTAGGTATTTTTCACCATTCCTTCAGTGTTTGCCTTTCAGTGGTTAGAAAACCTTGACCCCACTGAGAGGCCTAGTGGGAAGGCCTTAGCCACTTGGGGGTGGCAGTGGCTGCAAGGCAAAAGAGCCAATGAGGTTGAGAGTATTGTTTAGGCTGGACTTGGCTGCTCTCCAGCTATGAAAGAAGGTTAAGGTCATTTGGGGGGTGGGGAGGGAGGAGCCTGGGAAAAGAACTACTGGCCACACCCCTGGGTTCTCTGCTGGCTAGGTTCTATTTACTTCTCAAAAGCAAATTACTCACAGCTCACTGGCCAGCAGTTCTCTTGGCCATGGTAACTCCAGTCAGAAACTGGAGACCAGGCTAGGCTCTCCCTGCATTGCAGGAGAGCAGATGAAAGGAACCCAGGAAACCGAACTCCTAGGTAATGCTCCACACACAGCCCAGATATGCAATTTCTAGACTAGCAAACGGAGCTCGAGGCCTAGAACAAAAATAGCCATTAGCAATATTGCTTACCAAAATTGTAGATATGAAAAGCTTCCCATTTACCTTTTTCTAGAAGAATCCTAGGAACGCATCTTGGTTGACAAAGGTTTTCCTCTCTCAATTGAGAAATACTAATTATTCAAATCCTGTTCCTGACCCAAATATTAACAGCCACACTTAGTCTGATGAACACTTGATTGAAATTCTGAGGACAATTTTACCTCGTGCTAAAGACAATAAAAACAAATCTTGCTTGCTGAGCTCCACAGCTAGATCCCTTACTCCTGGGTTGGGTTCTCATCCAGAAAGGAGGTAGTGTGGTATATTAAGAAAAGCATGATCCTTGGAGTCAGGTGGAACTTGCTTGGTGTATGAACTTAAAAAGCCTTTCACTTTTCTTAGCCTCTTTCTTCAACTGTAAAATGGGAGCCACATACTGACTTCACAGGCACAGGATTGTTGTAGGATTGTGATGTGCTATGTCCAGAATATAAGTAGGTACACAATAGAAAACTGTTGTTTCTTGTTTCAAATTTCACTTCTAAGTGTCCACAATGATAGCATTTTTTCTCTTTCTGCTTCTGATTTCTCCTGAGGAACTTGAGGCTTCTCTATTGTTTCCCTAAGGAAGGGGGTGAACAGAGAAACTATATATTGTGACATTAGCCTCATAAAAGCAACTGCATCTAGCCAACATCGACAGTATCATTCAACTACTACTTAAGTAGATGCTATGTGCCAGTCTATGTGTTAGCACCAGGATGCAGCAGTGAACAAAACACCCCTCCCACCACCCTCAGTTTACATTTCAGTGGAAGGTGACAGGTAAGTACAACACACAACAGGCCAGACAGTAACAAGTGCCACAGGAAAAATAAGGCAGACAAGGGAAACATAGTGGGGGGCAGAGATTGCTATTCTAAGTAAGGTGACCATGAAAAGCCTTACTTATATATTTGGACAAAGACTTGAAGCAGTCGAGGACTTGAGCCATGCAGTTATTTGGTGAGAGAGTATAAAGTACAAAGACTCCAAGGTGGAAACATCTCTATACAGTGGGGTGAGCAACGGGCAAGACAGATGGTGCAGGAAAGGTAGAGGTAAGCTAGATAACTCAGGGCCTTGTAGGCCACTTTTTAAGAGTCTGGATTTTTACTTACTGAGTCAGAAGCACTGAAGGCGTTTGATCTGACTTACCTTTTATAGGGGTCCTTTTGGTTGCTCTGTTGAGAATAGGTTCAACCAGGCAAAGCAGAAGCAGGGAGGCCAATTTGGAGGTATTTCAAGAATCCAAGATATGACAGTATCTTGAACTACAGTAGTGTGGGATTGAGGATTATTTTATGAAGAGTGCTAACAGATTGGATGTGGAAGTGAAAGAAGTCAAGGATTTTTTTAGCCAAGTGATAGAATGGAGTTGCCATTTACTAAAAGGAAAACACAAACAAAAAAACCAAAACTATGGGAGAAGCAGGTTTCTAGTGGGGGAAGACAGGACATTTTAGCTTTGGCATGTTCAAAGTAAACTTCCAAGCAGGGATGACAAGAAAGGTGGCTGAATGCTCTAGTCTGGAGTCAGGGAAAAGAGCCAGTCCAGAGATATTATAAGTGATTAAGTTGGAGATTGCCTCCAGATAAATGGTTGTCTTATTTTGGAATATAGTAAATAAATGACAGGGTCCAGGAATGCCACTATTTAGGGGAGATCTCACACTAAGGGAGGTTTGCAAAAACAGGACTATCCCCCTGCCCCCCGACAAAAGGTCAAGTTTTAGTTTGAAAACAATAAAAAGCTTCACAAAAGTCTTACCAAGATTTAATGTACATTTATTCTTAACACGTGGAACATATAGTATAAAGATTTCATACTGAATAAATGATATTCATTAAGCCAAAAAAGGAAAAAAAGGAGGAATTTACATCAAGTTTTAGCTACATTGTTGAAATACAAATATGCAGATTTTATCACTGAAAAAATCTCAATTGTGTTTCTTCATCAGAACTTCAACTGAACCTAGAACTTTTTCACACCTCGATTAGAAAGAAAACAAAACAAAACAAAAACCCAGAAAAAAATAAACTATAAGTTGATTGGCTGCTGAGACAGCAAGGACTTTTTACAGAGACCTGTACAGCATCGCACCAAGAGGGGCGATATCTGGCAAGAGATTAAATAGCTGTGTCTCGCTTTGTGCAGGTCACCAACTTGTTAACTCGTCATACTATAAAGGGGTAGCTGGGAGGAGGACCAAACTGTGGGGATCCAAGGGTATGTGCAATGTACAACGTCATATATATACACACGTGGCAGCGTAGCCGCTGCAGCTAAAGGTTAAAACCAGTTCTAAGAGGTGATCTCAGGGTTATTCATACAATCAAGGAGGAGAGAAAGAGGTCAGGGTGTTGTAGGTTCACACATGATACTTTGGGGGAAAAGCCTTTTTTTTTTTTCTCCTCAACGTTTAACTAAAAACATTTTTAAAAACTACAGCTTGCTGCTGACCCAGCGTTTTCTGTTTCCATGTGAGACATTATTATTACAGTATGTTTACAGTATCAGGTGTACAGTACAGTACATGAAAGGGTCTACACTCTACTGCACAGGCCTCTCCAGTGAACAGGGTCTGTTCACAACTGCGAACTTCTTGGCTCCTGCAAGATTGTGAATGTACAACAATAAACCACACACAGTTCAGCAGTCACCTTTTTTGTCCTTCAGAATTTTTTTTTGTATTTTTTTTTTTTTTTTTTACCATTAAAAACAGTTATGAAATGTGGCATCCCGTTGATGCAAGGACTGGGAAAGCCATTTTTATTTTATTTTTTTTCCCCAAACTCACTGTAAACAACAGTAACTTTGGTTAAAATAAAAAAAGTCTTCTATGTAGGCAGAGCTTTGTCTTTTCAAAGAGGGTGGGGTAGGGTCCTGAGGGGAGTAAGGTGAGGACAAGGAACAGAAAGGCGTGAGGTGATGGAGGGAGGGGAGGTGGAAGGAGGAGAGAGAAACAGGAGAGACTTTTTCCCAAGGGAGAAGCTGGACAGCACAGGGTAAACTGGATTCTGAGGTGGTTTTGCATAAATAAAGGGCAACAGTCAGTTTCTAAGTTCTCCACACACGCACACACACACGGGGGGGGGAGGTGTCCCACGGCTGTCATGACTGGCCAATCAAAAACAGTACATCACAAATGACTTGTGAAACCAATGAGTTCATCAACGGTGATACCGAGATGTCCAACAGCCGTGATTCGTACAGAGTAAACTCTGAGTGGTTCTCGTCCACCTTGGCCAAGGCAAGCAGCGCGCGGGCAGCCCGCCGCATCATGTCCACACTAGTTGGCTCAAAGGGTGGGTTCTGCATGTGGAGGAGGCTGGCCTGGCTCTGCTGGAACTGTGTGGCGGCAAGGCTGTCCTCTAGGAAGCCCAGGAGGTTGCCGATACTGCCCTTCTGCACTGCAATGGCACGAGCTGCCAGGCTGTCCCCCTGAGCCAGGTTGGCCAGCAGTACCACAGCCATCTCCCGGCACACCGGGTTCTTTCGGTCACTGAGGAAGCGCACCATAGTGCTATACAACTTCTCCAGGCGGCTGAAGGGGGGTGTGGCCAGAATCAGGTCCACATTGTTGTCCTGGATGCTGAGTTTGCTGAGGGTTTCCAAGACCAGTCTCTGCGGGGAAAGGACGGCATTGGGGCCCAGGGTGGAAAAGGGGTCCTGGGCTTCAGCTGAAGGGCAAACTGCCCAGTGTAGGAGTCCGTCCAGGACAGGCAGGCAAATGCTCTCGGGGTATGGAGATAGGTCCAACTGCCCCGAGATGTTGGCGAGTGTAACCAAGGTGTTTTCCCGGAGCATCTCCAAGCAGTCCCACCACCACTCCACTTTGTTGCAGCTCACCCCTTGGTCCTGTTCCTCCTCCTTTTCATAAGTTAGTGGTGCCTGCTTCCGTTCTGGGTGCTTGTGGTGCAGCAGGATCAGCTTGCCCAGGATGAGCAGCAGCCCTGGGTGTTTGGACATCTCAAAGTCATTGCCTGGCACAAATGACAGGCTTCGAATGGTATTGGACACACAGACGCAGCGCTTGGCAAGAGAATCCTGCCAGTCCAGAAGGGTACACAGTGGGGTCTCATCCTTACTGTGGGGTTCGTCCTCTAGGATCTTGATGTTCCGGTGGCTCTGTGCTGGGCTAATGCCAAATGGAAACTTGCTGCTCTCCTTGATGGCCTCTGAACTCTTAGCTCCATCCTCGGTCAAGGTGCTAGACCGAGTAGACAACATGTCATCCATAGTGGCTGTGATCCGTTTTTCTGGAGGTCCATCAGGTGGGGGCCCCTCCTGGTCTGTTGTCCCTGGTGTACCCTCTGCTGTTGTCACATGCTTCCGAGGGGCTGGTGGGCAGGGTGCGTGAGGCCGGGAAGGCAGCAGCTCTGTCTTGCTCTCGAAGTGGGTCTGGATATGCTCAGTGGTGTCCCCCCCACCAATCCGCCAGTGCAGCAGGCCACTGTCAAACTCCTGCACACGCCCAAGCTTATCTGAGCAGTCCACCACAAATGGATCATTCTTCTGTACGATCTTTACTGGAAGCTTGTCAAACTTACTGATCAGCTTCTCCTCACTATTCTCTGAAGCTGGCTTGTCCTTGCCTGAAAAGGCTATCTCCTCATCATTTTCAACTACTTCCTCTTCTTCTTCCTCTTCTAGTTTAGGACCTAGAAGTTCTTCTTCTTCTTCCCCACCCTCCATGGGAGCTGGACTAGACACCTTGCTGAACCTCCCAGGATCCAGTAGCGTTCTCTGTCCTGGGTCACCCACCTCATACTCCTTTAAAATGCCAAAGATCTCAATCAGGCATCGTCGGAAATATTCTACAAGGAGCTCTAGCAACCCTGGGAGCTAAAAAGAGAAAGAACAGGAAATAAATTAAGGGAGAAAAGTGGCCTAAGAACAGAATTATTGACTTGAGAGACCTCCCCAAGTCTTCTGTATCAGTTGGGAGAGGCAGAGTTGCTCCTTTCCCAAAGGTTCTCCACAGAGCAAATTGTTCATCTTAATCTCTTCTATGCCCAACACAAAGTTCTTTCTTCTGCCCAACCTACCTTCACGTAAGCCTATCTCCAGGAACACTAGCCAACAGCTTTGCACCTCACCCACCAGGGCCAATCATCTCTTAGCCTTCTCTTTTCCCAATTAATCTTCTGCTTTTCTTCACCAGGCCAGTTTTCAACCTGGTGGTCATTGCCATTATCTCTTTTAGGACACTCTCTCCATCTCACTGCCAAGTGGAACCCAAGCTTAGGCATGGTGACTTAAGCTAAGAGAAGAGAATGCCATGTGGGCAGATGTTCATGGCTCTCTTCTCCAAGCTCCCCACAAGTCCAGGGGGCTGGAACTCCATGGATCTTGCAGCATAAGGAGTGGGACGAGGCTTCAGCTCTCCAAACACTGGTCCAAGCTGGTGCTACAGAGACCCAAATTCCACCTTGGATAATATATAGGCCATTTATTTACCTCTAGAAGAAAACACTCCTCTCCAGTCACAATCTTTGGCTGAACAGTAGAGCAGATGGAAAAAAAAATAAGGGCTTTCGAATTAGATCTAGGGGCTGGAAGCAGTGGCTCACACCTGTAATCCCAACACTTTTTTTTTTTTTTGAGATGAAGTCTCACTCTGTCATCCAGGCTGGAGTACAGTGGTGTGATCTCAGTTGGCTGCAGCCTCCGCCTCCTGGGTTCAAGCGATTTTTCTCCTGCCTTAGCCTCCCAAGTAGCTGGGATTACAGGCGCCTGCCACCACATCGGGCTAGTGTGTGAGAGTGTGTGTGTGTGTATTTTTTTTTTTTTTTTTTTGAGACAGAGTCCCGCTCTGTTGCCCAGGCTGGAGTGCAGTGGCACGATCTCAGCTCACTGCAACCTCTGCCTCCTGGGTTCAAAGTGATTCTTCTGCCTCTGCCTCCCAAGTAGCTGGGATTAGAGGTGTGTGCCACCAGGCCCGGCTAATTTTTATATTTTTGGTGGAGATGGAGTTTCACCATATTGGCCAGGATGGTCTTGAACTCCTAACCTCAAGTGATCCACCCACCTTGGCCTCCCAAAGTGCTAGGATTACTGGCGTGAGCCACTGCGCCCAGCCTAATTTTTATAGTTTTAGTAGAGATGGAGTTTCACCATGTTGGCCAGCTGGCCTCAAACTCCTGACCTCAAATGATCCTCCTGCCTCGGCCTCCTGAAGTGCTGGGATTACAGGCGTGAGCCACTGCACCCAGCCAGTAATCCCAACACTTTGGAAGGTTGAAGTGGGAGAATCACTTGAGCCTAGGAGTTTGAGACCAGCCTGGGCAACACAGTGAGACCCTGCCTCTATAAAAAAATAAAGAAGTTATCCGGGGCCTGGAACGGTGGCTCACACCTGTAATCCTAGTACTTTGAGAGGCTGAGGTAGGTCAATCACTTGAGCCCAGGAGTTTGAAATCAGCCTGGGCAACATGGTGAAGCCTCATCTCTCAAAAAAAAAAAAAAAAAAAATTAGCTGAGCATGAGCATGTTTGCACGCACCTGTAGTCCCAGCCACTTGGGAAGCTGAGGTGGGAGGATCACCTGAGCCTCGGAAGTTGAGACTGCAGTGAGCTGTGATTGCACCACTGCACTCTAGCTTGAGTAATGGAGACCCTGTCTCAAAATAAATAAATAGCTGGACATGGTGGCATTTGCCTGTAGTCCCAGCTACTCAGGAGACTGAGGCAAGAGGATCGCTTGAGCCCAGGAGTTTGAGGCTGCAGTGAGCCATGAGGGCACTACTACACTCCAGCCTAGGTGCCAGAGTCTCTTAAAAAAAAAATTCTGGCTTTTCCAGGAAGTAGCTGTATAAAATGATAAAAATTCCTAAACTTTACAGGGTTGTTCTGAGGTGTAAATGGGAGATGTCAAATACCTGGCATATGAAAATTGCTCTATCAAAATTTTTCCTTTCTCATGGTAGGCAATATTATGCAATGGAAATAAAATCAGGCTTAGGAATCAGATAGATTCTACTGACAGCTATGTGAACCTCAACAAGGATAAGACTGAGCCTATTTACTCATCCCTAAATGGCCATACCTCCTACCTCTGAGGGCTGTTGCTAGGATGACATGAAACAAAATATTAAGGACCTGGCACAAAATAAGAGCACGATAAATGGTAACTATTAATAAGTCAGCTCCTTGATATACAGGTTGGTAGGTACTAAAGATGATCAAAAGAAAAAGAGTAGGATGATGCAGCACAAACTCTTTCCAGCACCTCCACTAGTGTGCACATCCTATGGAGGGTGGGTCTGAAGAATCAGCTTTGTAAGAATATTGTAGGGCCGGGCGCGGTTGCTCACGCCTGTAATCCCAGCACTTTGGGAGGCTGAGGCGGCTGGATCACGAGGTCAGGAGATCGAGACCATCCTGGCTAACACGGTGAAACCCCGTCTCTACTAAAAATACAAAAAATTAGCCGAGCGTGGTGGCGGGCGCCTGTAGTCCCAGCTACTTGGGAGGCTGAGGCAGGAGAATGGCATGTACCCAGGAGGCGGAAGTTGCAGTGAGCTGTGATAGCGCCACTGCACTCCAGCCTGGGCGACAGAGAGACTCAGTCAAAAAAAAAAAAAAAAGAATATTGTTAAACAATCAAATCCCCCATCCACTCTACATCTAAGGAAAACTGGGATCAACAAAGGCCCCTACTGTTCAGAGAAGAAAGGGAAAAATGGAAAAAACATACTCTGCTCACTGATAAAAATTTGACCACAGATTCAGGCTGGGCCTGGTGGCTCATGCCTGTAATCCTAGCACTTTGGGAGGATCACTTGAACTCAGGAGTTCATGAACCTCGGCAACATAGTGAGACCTCGTCTCTATTAAAAAAACAAAAAAACACAGATTCTTCTAGAAAATGTGGTGTCCCCACTGGCATCGATTGAATCTGAATTCTTACTAATACCACAAAGTGTCTCCCAAATTCCTTTTGAAGTCAATCCTGTGTTAAGGTTATCATGTAAACAAATTATTATTGCTGTCAAAATCCTGGGCCCGTGCCCAGAGGCAAAGGAAGCAAAGTACTGGCATGGAAGATATCTACAAGAGAGAAAGAGAAAGACCAAGGTGGCTAAAGATGAGACATTCCCATTGTCTACACTAAGAAGATCCCAAACCCTCTCAATCTTCCCCAGGCACTGATACTCACCTGACTGAGGTTGAAGGTCATGATGCTGTTGTCATCATACAGCAGGATGTTGATGGTATCTAATGCCCATGTGCTCTCTGCCAGGAGACCAGACTTGAGGGACATCATTACCCGCCATGCCTCCGGGGTTCCTGAAATAAACCTCCATGTCGTCTATCCACCAAGCCCAGGTTGGCTGGAGGCACCCCTAGGGCTGCCCCATCAGTGAAGCTACTCTGAAGATAACACAAGGTGGAAGGCAGTTTCTGTCTGGGAGATGAAACACACCAGCCCCTCATGGCTTCTAAGCTGTCTGTCTAGGACTTCATTGCATGGCAATGAAGGAGAACCTTTAGTTAGCTTATTTCTTCCTTTTCCAAAGTTCTTTGGTTCTATTTTAGTCAACACTGGACCAGATTCAACCTCATCCAGAATAGTAAGGTGGAGGGAACAATGGACAAGATGGAAAGGGGCAGATTAGGCAACCGAATGAGGAAGATCTCCTTACCAATGTCTTTCATTGTGAGCCGCCTCCTCTGCTTCAACACAGGCTGTGTGGCTTCAACAGAGCCAGGTGGGAAGGTGATATCCCGCCGAATCATGGGGGGCTGCACAGGGGCAGGTGCTATGTGCGAGGCAGGTACTGGGGGACCTGCCTTCTGCATTTTCATCCCAGAGTGCAGGAATGGAGACTTGCTAGGAGAGGTGCGGTTCTCCATTGGCCGGGGCAGGGGAGCAGGGCTGGATACCTGAGGAATGTGATTCTGCATGCTTGGTGGGGGCTGGTAGTTAGATGGAGGGGGCCTTGTCATGGGGGGCACAGGGGCAGAGGGACCATATGGGGGCTGGCGTGTGCCATGGGAAGGCCACGAGCCTTCGTGGTTGGCCCTCTGATCTGTGTGCAGCATTTCATCTGTTCGGTTCACGCCATGATAGGCGGGGCCCTGGGGGGCAGAGCCCGTGCTCTGCCTGTTGGCATAATTATAGGTCATGTCATTACGCCCCTGCCACATGGTGCCTTGCTGAGCAACCTCAGCTGATGCCTGTATGGGGCCGCCCATCATTTGTGGTGGCATGTTTTGCTGGGCATTGGTGCCAGGGGGTGCAGAGACACGGTCTCGGCCAAACTGGAATGGAAATTGGTTCTGGGGGCCGCCTGCTGGTCGGCGCTCAGTAGCAGCTGTGGCAGTGGCAGGATAGGCATTGCCATACTGGTTGTATACATCTTGCTGAGGGGAAGGCTGGGCAGCTTGTTGCTGGCTGGCAGGCTGGGGCTGGGCTGGGGGCAACTGCTGCTGCTGAGGCTGCCCCTGCCCAGTGCTGTATGGCACGCTGTACATCTCCCCTTCGTGCCGCTTGGCAGGAGGGCCATATGTGCCATCCATTGGCCGCTTGTAATTCTAAGGCAGAGACAAGCAGAGGGGAAGTTAATACTCTGCACTCAGGGACATAAAGCCCACAGATGCCAAGATGGCTACAACCAGATGCTTGGTGGACACAGACTCCAAGAAAACATGGGAATCACCTTAACAAATTGTCTTTTGAAGTTGTTTCCAAAAGCAACCACCACTCTTTCTTCCCTTCCCTTGCTTAAGTAGAAAAATATACAAAACCTAAAAATCAAAATAAGGTCTATTTCTAGCCCCTTCCAACTCCAAATAGAGAAGAGATTGAGGACGTGGCTCTTCAGGCAGGACTGGCCAGTCAGGTGAGAGAAGAATGCCAAAATATCTAAAGTGAGCTTCTTAGACTTCAACACGTTAGATTAGTTTACTAACTAGTTTTCAAGGCGAACCTGCATGCCAGTCCATTCCCAGCTACCCTCCTCACCTGCTGTTGCTGTTGATACATTGTAGTCTGCTGGCTGGGGAAGGGGCTGCCAGAAGGGGTGCCTTGGGTGGAGAACTGATTGCCATAGGAATCATGTCTATAGGAGGCAAAGAAACACAGGATTAGGGTGGGCAGTGGCGAAGCCTGATCCATAGCAGCACCGAGACCAGGCTTTACTCACCGTTGCTGCTGCTGCTGCTGCTGCTGCGGGGGGTAGCGGCTAGGAGAATACATCCCCGAGTCTGGGTTGGAAGGCATGAGATTCGGCTGTGGGGCCCCAGTGCTCATGTTTCCCTCAGGCCCTATTCCAGGCTCCGTCCTAAACAAAATTGGAGAGGCAGATTGAGCCCACTATAGCTTCAGGGTGCTGGGGGAGTGGACAGGAGCTGGGGTCATGCTTACCTCACTCTGTCATAAGGACCTCCATAGGGATAGTGCTGTCGTGGTCCCATCGCCACATTTCCTAGCCCAGGGCCGGCAGCACGACTGTAGGGGTCACCCATCCCGCCGTTGGGGCCCTGCCCTGAGGACATGAAGGGATCACTCCCTGGAGCTGAGCGTAGAAAGGCAAGCGGTGAACAAACTGGTAAGTTGACAAGCCTGGTAATCTACCCTTTGACCCAGGCCCTCTTCAGAGTTCAGGTTTGATCTCATTGTTTTCCAGACAAGTTCAAAACAGAGATCTAAAGAGGCCCCAACCAGCGAAAAGCATGTACTTATTAAGGGATGACAAGGTGAAGCCAAGGAGAAGACAAGAAAGGAGGTAAGGATGAAGAGGGGTAGTTAGGGCAGGAAATGCATTATCTCAGAGGATGGCTCCACAAGAACCCTGAGCCATTCTCAAGATTTCCCCCCATTTCACTGGCCCTGTCTTTACGAGCACAAGTTCAAATAGCAATCAGATCAGTCACCTTTCCTCATGCTGCCATAAGGATCCTTATTTGGCTCATAGGACATGCGCCCCATCATGTCAGAGGTATTCATACTGGGCTGATACCCAGGGTTTGGAGTCATGGAATTCCGCTTCTGGAATGTGGAGTCACTTCCATCATTAAAGGCATCCTGGATCCCAACTGAATTGCTCCTGCTCCAGAGTGAGGAAAACCAAGTAAACCACAAATAAACCAATTCCTCCAATATAACAAAGGACACGCAGGAGTCACTGGCTGGGAAGGCAGAGGCAAGGACCACCTTGGGCTGCAAGGAGTTCCCATGCACTTATCTTCAGCCATCCTCCCAACCATCTGCCCCTGCTCTTGGCCTTACCTCATGCCTGGCAATGGGGGGATCTGACTGTGTGGTGTGGATGCTGGAGTTGGTGGCTTTAAGTCTCCTCCTTCTGCCATGGAACTGCTGGTTGACTGGGGAGTCTGGGGCCCCTGCATAGATCCTGATCCCGCTGTGGACAGAGATACAAGTTGAGTAGTTTGCTTGGCATGACAGTGTTTAACTCTCACACAAACACACGAACGACCCAGAATCTCTTTGGGAAAGTTCTTCCTAAGGCCTTTAAAGCCTGATCACCCTTCTTAGCAGAGGATCTACAAGGCCAGGTCATAAAGACGGGAATCTGAGGGTTTTGTAGCTCTTTGTTTTTGTTTTACGTGTAGAAAAGAGGAGTGATGTGGCCATGACATCACCATGCTGGTGATTCCCTGAGTCATTGCCAGCTTCCCTGGCTATTTCTCTTCACTCCGCCAAAGGACCTTGTCTAACCTACTAAACCCTGTAATGCTGGTGCATGAGCTCCAGTCAGAGCCTCCCAAGTCCTGGGTGGGAAGGGGGTCCCAAATCTGGGATGCATTTTAGGAGTCTAGGAGCTCCTGTTCTAAAGCATCCAGCATGGTGTCACTCCTCAACTTCAAATGTTCTTCTAAGCTGATGAGTACAAAACTACTAGTAATTAATGTTTCCAATAGTTACCATTCCCAGCAGTAGATATCCCACTGCTGAGGCCTCCCCAGCTGATGAGTCATCTCAGGCACTCATTACACCCTCAGAGGTCAACACCAGGGCACATGTGTTTACACCCACCTTCCAGGCACCCTGGCCTTCTTCCCTCTCTAGGCTCACCCTAGGCCTCAGCCTCCTCTCAGAAAGGAGGGTGAGCAGAGCCACTCCCATCAGGGAGTTCCATTCATAACCCTTCCCCACTCCCTCCTTCCCATTCATTACCATCTCAGCTCCCTGGGGAATTCAGGGCTCTAGTCTGAGCTGCATTCTAAGGTGCTGACATCAATAGGCCAAAGCTCCCAGATGGCCCTGCCTTGCTGCCATTTATAAGTTCCACCGACTCCTCTTGTGCCCCTCCCATTCACCAGTTTACAAACATTTGGCAAGTTGTCAGCTGCACAACAAAAATTAAAACTTAAGAGCTGCCGTAGAGTACCTCCCAAGGGAGTTTCCACTGCCCACTCTCTAGTCAGCCAACCTGTTAAGCCCTGTGGTAGGGCAAGGCAGAGCACAGATCCTTGGCATATCCTGTTGGATAAGCCTCTTATTCATATCCTGAATAAGAGGCCAGGGCAACAGGCCCTCTCAGCCTTGGTGGGGCCGCTGACCCCATCCTTACCAGGAGAGGGAGGCTGGATCTTGGGCTGGGACTTCTTGGAATCAGCAGCTGCAAAGATGTCTGGGGGAGGGTCTTCTCCCCGTTCAATCTTGCATTCAAAGGCATAGAGACACTGGATATACTGCTTTTTCAAGGAGCTGGCAGCACTGCTTGATGTGCCCACATTGAGGTTGGTTGCAAGTTCCCGCCATTTTTTGTTCTTGTTGACCTGTATAACCAAACCAAAGGAGTCGAGGTATATCTCCCGCCTGGTTTTCCTGCCCATAAGCCCCAAGCCCCATCAGGCTGTAAGGTATTCATCTTTGTAGAACCACAGTTCTTAGGTAATTGAAAAAGTTAATCTTGCTTGGTGGATAGTCCACAAGAAGTGTTAAATCTGCAGCTGGCTTCATTTTACCCTCAGGATGTTCCACTGCAACTATCAGACTGTGCTTATTCACAACAGGGCAAATTTCACATTACTACTGGAACAGAATTCAGAGTCCGGTTTTTTAGTACGCTGCTAAAAAGTGGTGTACAAATCATCTGGATATCTAAATCCTATTTTATTTATTTATTTTTGAGACAGAAAAAATAAATCTCGCTCTGTCGCCTAGGCTGGAGTGCAGTGGCGTGATCTTGGCTCGCTGTAACCTCTGCCTCCCGGGCTCAAGCGATTCTCTTATCTCAGCCTCCCGAGTAGCTGGGATTACAGGTGTGCACCACCACGCCTGGCTAATTTTTGTATTTTTAGTAGAGACGGGGTTTCACCATGTTGATCAGGCTGGTCTCAAACTCCTGGCGTCAAGTCATCTACCCGCCTCAGCCTCCCAAAGTGTTGGGATTACAGGCGTGAGCCACCGCGCCTGGCCCTAAATCCTATTTTAGATGCACTAATAAAAACTAACATTTTATAAAATGGAGACTCATGATAATATCAGTGACCACCCTGCTTGACTTGCTTTGTCAAACTTGGGATTTACTCATATTTTTTTCTTGGGGTGGTGGCTCCCTGCAAATTTGACATTCTTGTGCCACTGCTCCCCTACATATCTCATTGACAAATAACCACAGGTCCCTTTCCCTTACCAGTCACTGTCCTGATGGTCCGGGTGTTCAGGGTCTTATTTATTTAGAGACAGAGTCTCACTCTGTCACCCAGGCTCGAGTGTAGTGACGCCATTTCGGCTCACTGCAACCTCCGCCTCCCGTGTTCAAGTGATTCTCCTGCCTTAGCCTCCCAAGTAGTGGGACCACAGGTGCCTGTCACCACACCCCACTGATTTTTATATTTTTAGTAGAGACAAGGTTTGGCCATGTTGGCCAGGCTGGTCTCAAACTCCTGACCTCAGATGATCCGCCCGTCTCGGCCTCCCAAAGTGCTGGGATTACAGGTGTGAGCCACTGCGCCTGGCCCGGGGCCTTATTATGACTTTTGTACCTCCCGAGCAGCCAACCTACAGTTCTGCCTCCTTCCCTCAGCTTCAGGGCACACTGACCAAGCCCATTCCCCAGATGCTCCCTACAATTAGTCTTTCTGCTCTAGCTGGACAGGTCTCCTTCTTCATGTATTCTTATGCTTATTCATCTACCATATGGTAAGCCTGTTCCCCCAAGGCCTGGGAACAAGGGTTTTCAAGTCCCTATACACAAAGGAAGTTCAATAGGTTGTAATGTCTGCTGATATGATACCTATGATACTAGAAAGAAGAGTTTAAAGAGGCACAGAGGGGGACAACCTAGAGGGGCAGAGGTGACTAGGAATACTTCTTAGAGTGGGTAACACCTGAGCTAAGTCTTCATGGTTGGAGATGGCCTTGGTGGGAAATATCTAGACTCTCTCCCATCTCCGTGGCATCTAGGCCAGTCTACTGGATTGGCCACTCTTCCACCTAAACCCTACTAATCCTTTAGATAAGCTCAAGATTCAGCTTTGCTTTCTTGGAGCCTTCACAAACTAACTTATAAATAGCACTCTTTTGCCCCTGAATTATCACTGCCTTTATAAAAGTTCAGTTACAATCACGGCATTTTAAAGGTTTGCATCCTTTTCCAATCTGGAAGACAGGCTCAGGCATTAGAATTCTCTCTGTACCTCATCCTAGGTTCAGTGAACCCTGAAGCCCACCCAATCAGAAGTGAGCGAAACCTAACCCAATGCTCCCTTTCCCTATAGACAGGGAAGGCTTGACTATGAGATCTGAGTATCAGGGAGAATGGCAGGAATATGCATGGAGTCACCTCAAAAGCCTTCCGTGGCTTTGCTTCTCATGCCAGTTATGTGGCAGTATGCACGTGTCTTATTTTGTTTTGTTTTCCTTTGTGGGGGAGGGGAATAAAGCCTGAAGGGAGAAGGAATTCATAACTGACTGTTGGCTGGCTTCATTCCAACCACTTTCTTTTCTGCTGGTGACAGCTGTTTTCCTCTTCTGATTTAGAAGGTTTGGAATAAATCCCTCCCTGCCACACCTCCCCGAGCTCAGCCACAAACTGATCCAACAGCAGGCTTCTGGTCTGGTGACTACAGAACATACACAGGAGGGAAGTCTGCAAGGCACAGTCTGCTGTCTGTCTGTGCTGCCTCACCTGTTTGCTTCCTGGGCTGAGTCTACAAAATTGTAAGGTATCAGAGTAGGCACAAGCTCTGGGTGGTGTCCAATTCAGGTTTTCATTTAAGTTTCCCATACAGAATAACTAAACACATAATTTCCTACTACTTCTTCCTTTATTATAAACTATTTCTACTAAGCAGTTCCTGAAATCCTATCTCTACTGGGAAGCTTCCAGGAATGGGAAGATCTACTTCTACTCTGGCTGCCTCTGTACCATCTTGCAGGCCGATTTATGTGGCAGAAACCTTGCTGAAAGCCAAAGTTATTTCTAACTTTTGACAGTCTAGTGGGTTATATACTGTTACATACTGTTTGTATTTTACAAATAATGAAATTAAGGTTCAGAGTGGTTACACACCTTAAGGTCATATATGTTATAAGTGGCCAAGAAGGGATTCAAAACCAGGTCCATCTCTCCAAATCCTGTCTTTGCTACTATGCCAAATTGCCTCCCATGGAATCAGAATGCCCACAGACTTTCCCTAGCTTTACACCTCAGTGGGACCATAGATACACGGTAAACTTACTGCTAATACCTCATACTACCAGGGAGGTCTCTGCTTCCTGCCTTATCTTCTGGGAAACCTGTGCTCCCCGGTCTATCAATATTAGACTCAGAAAGCGGGAGAGGGGATGATGTCCCTGTGGGATGCATGGTACCACATGAAGCCAGTGAGTACCTAGAAAGGGGTTTGTGGAAACCACAGGGGCAGTCAAGTGTCAGGCGCCCACTCACCTGAGTCAATCCACCAATCTCCTTCACAGACACATAGAGGCGATAGAGGTCCAGAGGTTTCCTACCCACAGCAGGCAGATTTGTCATGCCCATGGCCTTCTCCTCAGTGAAGGCCAGATAACGGTCCACCCACATCTTCCTCTCAGGCTCACCACCCAGCTCATACAACTTGGTGATCTTCTCATTGGTTGTAGTAGAAGAACTGGATTTCTGGAAGGTTCAGGTCAAAATTCATAGGAATGGGTCAGATTCAAAGCCTGTGCTAAGGGTCTCAGAAGTCTCTTGACTGGAGCAGTGTTAAAGCTTCTTACTCTGGGGTGGTTACTAACACCTGTCCTACCTTCATAAGGTTGAAGGGCCAAAAGAGAACCAAATTTTTTTTTCCTATAAAGGAAGGAAGCTAACACTAAATATATGTTATGTACTGGGTGCTGTGCTAGATGCCTTTATATATTAGGTATTATAAAATTATCCCCATTTGTAAAGATAAGGAAGCAGGCACCAGGAGGCAAAGCCTAAGATCTCACAGCTTTTAAGTGGCAGGCTGAGTATCAAATCCTTGTCCACCTGACATCAAAGCCACTACTGCTCCCACACTACTACCCAGGAGCCTGAACATACTTAGGTACTATGTTTTAGAGAAATCGAAAAACTCACAACATGATCTTGAGGCAATGGGATGGACTAAAATGAAAAGAAACTCTTTGCCTCTTCTAAACAAAGGAAAGGTTTCCCACCTGGTTGAAGGGCTTTGGATATTATCCTGTACAAGACAGGAACGTGGTCAAAAGGGCTGGGAGCCAGAGGTGAAGACTCACAGGAATTAACAGCTATGATTTTTATTTTCCCTATGTATACAGATAGGGAAAGTGAGGTATGGCCAAGGACAGAAATATTACAAATGACCCAAATGCTGAGTAGGACCCTTTACTACCGCACAGCCTAACAGTACACCCAGGACCAACCTAAGGGAAGCCAAGGACTCAAGCCTCATCTGCCTTATCTCCTTCTTTACAGAACACAGGGTACCATTCCTGCTGCTATGAGTAAGGTTCAGGAAGAGAAGAGCAACTAGTTGCCCATGGCACACCCCATCTATCAATGCTTGAGTATAGGAGGCACGGTTTCACAGAGGGCACCAGCCAAACAGTACAGAGAGTTTGATGCTGCAGTGTCTGGCATTTCCCCCATAACAAACAGCTGTGAGAATATTATGTTATTTACCAGGATCCCTTAGACCAACCCAGACCCAACTCACTGAGCTATTATTCTGGGACCTTTCATGATAAGAGGAGGCAACAGCAGCTTTTTCAGAGACTATCTAGTCCGGTGTCATAAAAGGCTGGGATCTTGTCACTCTCTTTTCTTTTTCCTTCCTATCACTGAAAAAGATAGGACACAAAGTTGAAAGGAGTCAAGACAAAAATCACTACCTTGGATTTGGATTCTGTCTTGGGTGTCCCATCTGCCTTGTTGTTCATTTTGGTGGCTGGAGTTAACTTTACATCCCCAAGGCCCATCATCTCTGGGCTGGCTGCCATCCCTGTAAAAGAGAAAAAAATTCTCAAGTCCAGTAAGTTTAGCTGTGATGTGACTCTTGAAGAAATCCCTAGTGAGAATGACTAGCACTTACCTGCAGAATTGTTGGCCATGGTTCCACCCATGGAATATGGGGGTCCCTGAGGGTTGATCATGCCAGCCATACTATTAATCCCTTGTCCATAAGGAGGTCCAGTTCCCATCATGCCCCCTTGATTCATATTGGGGTAGCCTGGCGGCCTAAGGAAGAAGATGGAAAGTGAGAGAGACAAAGGTTAGACTCTGAGCTTTTAGATTTGAACTGGAGCCAAATAGTGCTGTGTGATCATCTAGTAAGGATTAAAAGGAAAACATTTATGGGTCCCCAAAACTAGAACTATGCAACATCCAGATATTATTTTTCTTTAATTTATTTTCTTGAGACAGGGTATTGCTCTGGCACCCTGGCTGGAATGCAGTGGTGTGATCATAGCTTACTGCAGCCTTAATCTCCTGAGCTCAAACAATCTGCCTTCCTCAGCCTCCTGAGTGCCTAAGACTATGAGGCATGCACCACCATGTCCAGCTAACACCCAGATTTTCTTTTTTTTTTTTTTGAGACAGAGTTTCACTCTTGTTGCCCAGGCTGGAGTGCAATGGTGAAATCTCGGCTCACTGCAATCTCAGCCTCCCAGGTTCAAGCAATTCTCCTTTCTCAGCCTCCCAAATAGCTGGGATTACAGGCATGTACCACCACACCCGGCTAATGTTGTATTTTTAGTAGAGATGGGCTTTCTCCATGTTGGTCAGGCTGGTCTCGAACTCCTGACTTCAGGTGATCCACCTGCCTCGGCTTCCCAAAATGCTGGAATTACAGGCATGAGCCACCGAGCCCGGCCAACACCCAGATTTTCTTATCTTCTACCTCCCACGAAAGATACTAAGAGAGTTCAAGCTCTAGATAGCAAACAATAGTTCAATTTTTTTTTTTTTTGAGATGGAGTCTCGCTCTGTTGCCCAGGCTGGAGAGCAGTGGCGCGATCTCAGCTCACTGCAAGCTCCGCCTCCCGGGTTCACGCCATTCTCCTGCCTCAGCCTCCCAAGTAGCTGGGACTACAGGCACCTGCCACCACGCCCGGCTAATTTTTTGTACTTTATTAGTAGAGACAGGGTTTCACCGTATTAGCCAGGATGGTCTCGATGTCCTGACCTCGTTATCCGCCTGCCTCAGCCTCCCAAAATGCTGGGATTACAGGGGTGAGCCACCATGCCCGGCCAATTTTTTTTTGAGATGGAGTTTCACTCATCTCCCAGGCTGGAGTGCAATGGCATGATCTCGGCTCACTGCAACCTCCGCCTCCCAGGTTCAAGCCATTCTGCCTCAGCCTCGTGAGTAGCTGGGATTACAGGCGCCCACCACCATGCCTGGCTATTTTTTTGTATTTTTAGTAGAGATGGGGTTTTGCCATGCTGGGCAGGCTGGTCTTGAACTTCTGACCTCAGGTGATCCACCTGCCTCAGCCTCCCAAAGTGCTAGGATTACAGGAGTGAGCCACCGCACCCGGCCACAATAGCTCAATTTCAAAGGGTGTAATTCTTTGAAGCAGAGCCCTGCTGTGTCCTTTAAGTACTGCCTTCCTCAAAGCCACCTCCAAAGTCAAGTTGTATTTCCATTTAAGGGCCCTGTCTGTGGCAAAAGGCATAGATGAAATGCTGAACTGTACCACTTTTTGTCATGCTAAATCCCAACCAGACTGGAACCCTCAGCATAGCACCCAGAGGTGGCTTTGCATTATTTCTTGAGGGGCCCAATGCAAACTTTGCACTTCCATCATTCTGAAGTTCTACCAAATCCACCTCTTTATAGTCAATCGCCCTATTCTACCTTGGTTCATCAACAACAACTCAGTAAGATTTAGTGGCTAAAGAAGTTGTTAAACCTAATCACATGAGCCTTCTGTACTCTAGCACCAGAGTCAACACGTAGGACCACATAAAACAGTAGGAGAAATGGCAAACCACAAGCTTACCATTTGCTATTTCTAACACCAAAGATCCAAGACATATGTATCATTAAGAATCCTTTTGGAAACCAAAAAGTTGACTGATAGAAGTTAAACCACCTACTCTGAACACTTATTTTGCACATCAAAATAAGCAGTCTTTAGCCCTGGCAACACACTGAGACCCCATCTCTATTTAAAAAAAAAAAAAAAAGGCCGGGCATGGTGGATCATGCCTGTAATCCCAGCACTTTCAGAGGCCAAGGCAGGCAGCTCACTGGAGGTCAGGATTTTGAGACCAGCCTGGCTAACATGGTGAAACCCAGTCTAAAAATATAAAAATTAGCAGGGCATGGTGGCGGGTGCCTGTAACACCAGCTACTTGGGAGGCTGAGGCAGGACAATTGGTTGAACCTGGAAAGCAGAGGTGGCAGTGAGCTGAAAGTGTGCCATTACACTCCAGCTTGGGCAACAGAGTGAGACAGTCTCTAAATAAATAAATAAATATAAAAAATAAAAAAAATTAGCTGGGTGTGGTGGTGTGTGCCTGTAGTCCCAACTACTCAGAAGGCTGAGGTGGGAGGATCACTTGAGCCTGGGAGGTCGAGGCTGCAGTGAACTGTGGTCATGCCACTGCAATTCAGCCTGGGGAACAGAGCAGGGTCCTGTCTCAAAAGACCCCAAAATAAAACACCCCACAAAACCCCTTTTTTCGACAGTCTCGCTCTGTCGCCCAGGCTGGAGTGTGGTGGCGCAGTCTTGGCTCACTGCAACCTCTTCCTCCTGGGTTCAAGTGATTCTCCTGCCTCAGCCTCCCGATAGCCGGGATTACAGGCGTGCGCCACCACACCCAGCTAATTTTTGTATTTTTAGTACAGACGGGGTTTCACCATGTTGATCAGGCTGGTCTTGATTTCTGACCTCATGATCTGCCCGCCTTGGCCTCCCAAAGTGCTAGGATTACAGGCATGAGCCGCCACGCCCGGCCAAAAACCTGTCTTTTATAAAGCTCATTACATATGATGTTTAGTCACGTGAAATTTCAGACCCATCTAAGGTATGTAAGAATTAACACTTCATACACACACACCCATTTTCCCCCCCTGGTTTAGGTCCAGAAGCATCTCAATAATCTGAGTGGGTCTATAATACATTTTCTTGCACTGACACCCTCTCTGCTTCCCAGGCCTTACCTGTTTTGGATAGAGTTGGCAGCAACATGCATGGCGACAGCAGTTTCTTGGGTTTTCCGGTTCATGCCCCCTGGTGGGGGACACATCCCTGACCCAACCTGAGGTGGCATATTGGCCATGTTAGGGCCATAAGGCCGGTTGCCCATGGAGGCGTGACTCATCCTCCCTGGAGGGAGTGTGCCATAAGGTGGGATGCCAGGCTGTCCATGCATTTGACCTCCGGCACCCATGGGGTTTATGCCTCCAGCCATGCCTGCACTGGGGTAGTTGGCATTGGGCAAGGCATTATAGTTTGGCTGCCTGGGGTAGCCACCTGGGAGGGGAGGAAGACAAGACTTGGTTAGTCACTCACTAGCAACTCACTAATATCTCTCAACTCTAGAACACCAAACAATGTCATTCAATATTTTGGTTAGGAAAGAGATCAACTTCATGGTAGCCTTTATCGCCATGAGAAAAAGGGGGGGATTCCAGAAGCATGTAAAGGCAGGTCAGAGCAAGGCTGGCTTTGCTGCCACACAGGCATTTCAACTTCCAGAAGAAGATAACTTCCTTTCTATTTCCATGCTCTGTGTAAGATTCTCAACTTTTGATCAGCCTAGGGCTGCAATTTTGAGCAAAGATCTATTCCATTATGACTTATTCACTAAAAATAATTAATAAAAAAATAATAACCAAGAGCTACCATGTATAAATTGTCTGTGCTCAATGGTGGAGTAAACACCTAATCTCCATTTTTATAAATGAAACAGAGGCTCAGTGAAATTGAAAGACTTTCTCATGGTGACAGAATAAGTGGAGACAAATGGAATCTTGCCTTGCCCTACTTCAGGGCCTGGGCTGGGTGGATTAAAGGCAAAGGACAGCCCTTCTCTCACAAGGTTACAAGCTAGATGGCAACATATCAGACAAGGAACTGTTTTCTCCTCTCACCCGTATCTACTCCTAACTGGGTAGTATACTGACCTTGTGGGCCATACTGACCCCCCTGGGGACCATAGCTCCCCATGGAGTTCTGCTGGTAGGAGCCCATGCCTGTGTGTATCTGTCCTCCGGAAGGCTGACGCGGAGATAAGGCTGAGCCGGGCTGGGGGGAACTGTACTGGGGCATCTGGGGGTTCCTCTGCATATAACCTATTTGTGGGTAGCATCCATATAGTTATTAGCTTTATACAATGCGAACAAATGCTCTCCATCCTTATCCTGGGACTTTACCATCTACATTTTCTTTAGCAGCCACTTGCATGGAGTCTCTATCTGATTTTCTATATAGTGGTGTGTCATTTTAGGCACCTTCAGAGTGACATGAACCATTAACCAGGGCATGCCAGCTGTTTCTACTAAATGGAGGTTTGAAAAGACAAAGAACAATGACAAAAACCAAAATGAATGACTTGATGAGTGAAGACCGAACATTGAGTCTTCAGCAACTGCCGACCAAATGAGGCAAAATGTAAGGGGGCAACCATCAAAACACAGACAAGTACTGTGAAATGGAGACATTAACACGGCCAAGCCCACTCTAACTTCACAATTTGCTGCTGGGTCTCAGCACAAAGAAGTAATAAGTGTTTGAGATTATATATCTGCTAATTACCCTGATCTGATCACTATACGTTACTTCTATTGAAACATCATTATGTACCCCATAAATGAGTACAATTATTACGTCAACTTTTAAAGAATATAAAAACAATTTGCTGCAGGGATTGTCCTAAGCTTCATGGTCAAACAGCTCTCCAAAAGCTACTGCATAGGGCACTCAAATGTCTGCCCTAGCTCCCTGCCCCTCCCCAACACCCAGGCTCTCACCTCGATCTTGGGCAATGCTTGATTGGTTCATGGAAGGATGCATGATGCTGTCCGACTGGCCACTGGGTGGCCGAGGTGGCATCTGGTTGCCTGCTCCAGACAAAGAACAACATAAGCATATCATGGCTAAGCCTGGGAATTCTAACTAGGAAGTTAATTCAGAGCTAGAAATGGCTCATGAAGAGGCCAAGTACCTCCCAGTATCACACACAAAGAGATCCAGCCAACAGGTTCCAATCTCCTTCTCCAAATGCTAAGGGGAAACTATGCAGGCATGAGCCAGAGATGCTTTCTCTGCCAGTGGAAGACTAGGGCTCCTTAATATTACTGGGGGCAGTCACCTTTCCCTCTCCCTAAAGCCCAGCACTTGAGGGTACCTGGCACTGCAGCAGGCGAGAGTGGTCCTGAGCGAGACTGAGCAACACTGGCGGGAGAGCCAACAGGGGACGGGGAAGGGCCTCGGATGCCAGGCAGGTGAGGGGAGGTATGAGGAGAGAAAGGAGACTGAGCTGGATTACTCTGCTCTCCTTGGCTGCTGGAAATCCCTGATGTGCTCACTCCAGGACTCAGAGCTCCTTCTGTCCCCATGGGGAGGTCATCTATTGAACCAGATAGATCCTAGAACATATATATAAGAACATGGATTAGTAATATTAGGCAGAAAGATTCTACTTTCAATAATCCTACTACTTGCTTAGCATTTTCCTTAAACAACCAAGAGCAAATACATCACACACGTTCTTTAGTCATGATACTATTTTTATTAAAAAAAAAAATTTTTTTTTTTGAGACAGTGTTTCACTCGTTGCCCAGGCTGGAGTGCAATGGCACGTCTCGGCTCATCGCAACCTCTGACTCCTGGGTTCAAGCAATTCTCCTGCCTCAGCCTCCCGAGTGGCTGGGATTACAGGCAAGCACCACCACGCCCGGCTAAATTTTTGTATTTTTAGTAGAGACGGGTTTTCTCCATGTTGGTCAGGCTGGTCTTGAACTCCCGACCTCAGGTGATCCACCCTCCTTGGCCTCCCAAAGTGCTGGGATTATAGGCGTGAGCCACCGCGCCCGGCCCTAGTCATCATACTATAACTTACATATGGCAAACTCTGTTAAGGACCAGGTGGAATATATATTAGACCTTTGTGGGCCATAAAGCCTCCTTCAAAACTACTCAACTCTGACACTATAGTGCAACAGTAGTCAGACAATATACAAACAATGGTGTGACTGAGTTTTGCTGACTCCTATTCTATCCCCTCAGAAGCAGATCTAGCACTTTTGTCTTCTTTCCCAGTCATAACTTCTACAGTCATAAGAAAGCAACTATTTCAGTGAGGCTTTAGTTCTTTTCTAATAGCAAAACTTTACAAAATGCTGCCAGGATGGCACCAGGAGCTACAAGAGAATGTTAACAAGTTTGGGAAACATTTATAGATCCCCTCTCCTTCTATTATATATTACAATGATGATTATTACTATAGATTATCACAGCCTCCATTTGCCAAGGACTCACTCCAAGTCACCATACTTTGCAACATAAGGGGTAGGAGGTAAGAAAGAGAGACATTGGATGAGAAAGACAATTTCTTAACTGCCAAGAAGGTCTGGGACTACACTCCTAACACCTGGTCTATAACAGTAATCAACAAATGTTTGCCAATTGAACAAATTCTGTTTTTTTCCCAGCTTTTATGTTTTTCAGTGAGAACTTGGTATTTGTTTGTAGGCTTTGCTTGTCTTCAGTTAATCAATAAAGAGTTCACTCTAGGTCAACAAACTCCAGTATTAGCAAACAGGAGCTCAATATGAAAAATATTCACCCCAGAAAATGTACCCTAACTCCATCCCCTGCCCCATGTTCATTCTCTAGCAACATTACTTCAGGCTGGGAACTAACTGTAATTGAAGAAAGGATGAAAACCCTGATACTTAAATGGTAAATAAAGAGTTCTCTTAAAGAAACACACTGGGCCACGCGCAGTGGCTCATGCCTGTAGTCCCAGCCTTTTGGGAGGCCGAGGCGGGCAGATCACTTGAGCCCAGGAGTTCGAGACCAGCCTGGGCAACGTGGCAAAAACCCTGTCTCTACTAAAAATACCCCCAAAAATAAGCCAGGTGTGGTGGTGTGCAGCTGTAGTCCCAGCTACTTGGGAGGCTGAGGTGGGAGAATCACTTAAGCCCAGGAGGAGGAGGCTGTAGTGAGCCGAGATTGTACCACTGCACTCCAGCATAGGTAACGGAGCAAAACACCATCTCAAAAACAAACAAACAAACACACAAAAACAAAACCGAAAACACCACACATCTCAAGGAGGAGGAGATCCAAGTTGGTTTGATTTGAGTCTATTCCTGCTCACACAAACAAGCTCACCCGGGAAAGATCGGCTGAAAGTGACTTTGACCCTAAGATCTGACAGTTAACACTGGAGGTCAGAGGGCAGCTTTTAGGCTCTCCTTCAAGTATCCAAGCTGGGTGGACCTTCCACAAACCACTTGGGTACCTCATTAGGCTGGGAGCATTTCTGCTGAGCTCTTGGAGACAAAGTTTGCTCTGAAGGCAGGTAGGTAGGTGTGCATTTGTGCCTGTGTCCAGCTTTCCATGTTAGCTGAGAAGTCAGAAAATGCTAGCTTTCTTGTTGGTAAGAAGTAGGCCAGGTATGCCATAGCATACTTTAAAAATGCAATGAGAATTCGTTCCAGCATAGAATGATTTCAAGAGGCCAACCACAAGGTAACAGCAAAGGACATCCTCCTTTCTCGAAGGACTAAAGTACCTGGAGCTATGAAGAGCCCCATGTTAATCCCAAGATAGAGGGATTACATCCTTGGTTCTTCTTCTTCTTTTTTTTTTTTTTTTGAGACAGGGTCTCACTCTGTTACCCCAGGCTGCAGTACATTGGCATGATGCCAGCTCCCTACAGCCTCAACCTGCCCAACTCAAGTGATCCTCTTACCTCAGCCTCCTGAGTAGCTGGGACTACAGGCACGCACCACCACATCTGGCTCTGTATGTGTGTGTACAGGCAGGCGCCACCATGTCTGGCTGTGTTTGTGTGTGTGTAGAGAAGGGATTCTGCCATGTTGCCCAGGGTGGTCTCAAACTCTTGGGCTCAATCCTCCCACATTGGCCTCCCAAACTCCTGATATGATAAGCATGAGTCACTGTGCCCAGCCCCATCCCTGTTTTGATGGCTAAGTTATACCATGGACATCTAGCCTCTGAGCCAAGAACAAACTAAAAGAGGCAGCAAGATGACAAGGAGAGCCACTGTAAGTAGAAAGGGTCTCAAGAAGCACTCGTTAGGCCCTACAGTCTATATAGCAAATTCCACAGCTCAATGCTGTTTTAGGGACCAGAAGGTTCCCTCACCCACTCCTTCCTACAGTCTCCATTCCTTATCAAACTGCCAGCTTCTGGTAATAAGAACTTTCCTGCTTACAGGAAAAAGAAGTGTATTTCAGAACAGAATAGGAATCAGGGATCCATCCATCAGACGAGAACTTGGTTCAGTTCAAATCGCTTTGAAAAATTATATGTTGGCCAGGCGCAGTAGCTCATGTCCGTAATCCCAGCACTTTAGGAGGCCGAGGTAGGCGGATTACGAGGTCAGGAGTTCAAGACCAGCCTGGCCAACATGGCAAAACCCGGGCGTGGTGGTGGGCACCTGTAATCCCAGGTACTCAGGAGGCTGAGGCAGGGAGAATTCCTTGAACCCGGGAGGTGGAGGTTACAGTGTGCCAAGATAGCACCACTGCATTCCAGCCTGGGTGACAGAGTGAGACTCCGTCTCAAGAAAAAAAAAAAAGTTTTGATTATTTTTGTCTTTATACAAGTAAAACATGAACATTCTCATGATAAAAACATTTCAGATATTACAGGTGAAGCCAAAGTCTCCGACACCAAAGTTCCCCACAGCTGTCCTTCTGTTGCCCTCAACAGAGAAACCACTGTTCAATTATTTGGTGCGTATCTTTGTGCGTTTTTATTTCCTTTTTTTTTTTTTTTTGAGACGGAGTCTCACTCTGTTGCCCAGGCTGGAGTGCAGTGGCGCTATCGCGGCTCACTGTGACTTCCGCCTCCTGGGTTCACGCCATTCTCCTGCCTCAGCCTCCTGAGTAGCTGGGACTACAGGCACCCGCCACCATGCCCGGCTAATTTTTTTTTGTATTTTTAGTAGAGACGGGGTTTCACCATGTTAGCCAGGATGGTCTGGATCTCCTGACCTCCATCCGCTCGCCTCAGCATTTTTTTTTTTTTTTAAGAGACAGGGTCTCCGTCTGTCGCCTAGGCTGGAGTGCAGTGGCATGATCTCAGCTCACTGCAACCTCCACCTCCCAGGTTCAAGTGATTCTCCTGCCTCAGCCTCCTGAGTAGCTGGGATTAGAAAAATTAAATGTTTTGTTTTGATCATTTTTGTGTCTTGTTATACAAGTAAAACATAAACATTCTCATGATAAAAACATTTCAGATATTGGGCCGGGCGCAGTGGCTCACACCTGTAATCCCAGCACTTTGGGAGGCTGAGGCGGGCGGATCACAAGGTCAGCAAATCGAGACCATACTGGCTAACACGGTGAAACCCCGTCTTTACTAAAAATACAAAAAATTAGCCAGACGTGGTGACGGGCACCCATGGTCCCAGCTACTCGGGAGGCTGAGGCAGGAGAATGGCGTGAATCTGGAAGGCGCAGCTTGCAGTGAGCCGAGATTGTGCCACTGCACTCCAGCCTGGGCGACAGAGCGAGACTCCGTCTCAAAAAAGAAAAAAAAAAACATTTCAGCTATTATAGGTGAAGCCAAAGTGCCCCATGGCTGTCTTTCTGTTGCCCTCAATAGAGAAACCGCTGTTCAATTTGGTGTGTATCTTTGTGGGTTTTTTTTTGTGTGTGTTTTTTTGTTTTTTTTTTTTTTAAAGAGACAGGGTCTCGGTCTGGGTCTGTCACCCAGGCTGGAGGGCAGTGGTATAATCTTGGCTCACTGCAACTTCCACCTCCTTGGTTCAAGTAATTCTCCTGCCTCAGCCTCCTGAGTAGCTGGGATTACAGGCGTGCACCACCACACCCAGTTAATTTTTGTATTTTTAGTAGAGACGGGGTTTCAACATGTTGGCCAGGCTGGTCTCGAACTCCTGACCTCAGGTGATCCGCCCACCTTGGCCTCCCAAAATGCCGGTATTACAGGCATGAGCCACCACGCCTGGCCCCCCGGCTAATTTTTAAATTTTTTTGTAGAGATGGGGCCTTGCCATGTTGCTCAGGCTTGTCTCGAACTCCTGGGCTCAAGCGATCTGCCCTCCTCAGCCTCCTAACGTTCTGGGATTACAGGCATGAGCCACTGCCCCTGGCCTTGGTGTGTATCTTTGGACATGTACTGAAGCGCTAAGAAAAAAAAACAAAAACAAACAACAAGAAACAAAACAAAAAACCAAAACTTGGCCAGGCGCGGTGGCTCACGTCTGTAATCCCAGCACTTTGGGAGGCCGAGGCAGGAGGATCACGAGGTCAGGAGATCGAGACCATCCTGGCTAACATAGTGAAACCCTGTCTCTACTAAAAACACAAAAAAATAGCCAGGTGTGGTGGCAGGTGCCTGCAGTCCCAGTTACTCGGGAGGCTGAGGCAGGAGAATGGCGTGAACCCGGGAGGCGGAGGTTGCAGTGAGCCGAGATCGCACCACTGCACTCCAGCCTGGGCAACAGAGCGAGACTCCATCTCAAAAAAAAAAAACCAAAAAACCAAAACCCACCAACCACTCCTATCAGCTCAGGGCAAGAACTGAGGAGGTCCTTTCAGCCACACTTTCAGTTAAAAAACCAGGCTCACCATAGATCCAAAAGGAGAATGCCCCTGGTCCACCTGAGGGATCCTAGGAGCCTAAAGAAAACCTCTGTAGCTCTTGGGGCTGGGGTCTCAGAACTCTGGAGGCATCTGTGGCTGGCAAAGAGGTGGCTTCCCCTTCTTCAGGAGAGCTGTCACTTTTGGTAAAGTGCCCTGAGCTTCTTGGAGAAAAAGTGCTAAATAAACCACTGTCAACAGTAGTCCCACCTGGCTGGGATGCCTGGGTATAGAAAAATACTAGGGAAGGAAGAGCATTAATCTTCTTATCTCTCTGATTTGGTTGGCTTGAGGCCAACCTCTCAAACTGTCATTTTCATTAGATGGCAACTGGTCAGCATCAGATAGTTGGTTTCAAATAATTTTAAGAGCCAAAATGTTAGCATAGAAAGGGGTAAATCATTTACGATTAACTACAGCTACCATTTAAGCATCTACTATATGCCAGACACTTAGCAAAGTTACCCAATTTTCTACAAGTCTTGGTTATAGATACTACTACCATTACCATTTTGGTTTTGGTTTGGTTTTTTTTGAGTCAGGGTCTGGCTGTTACCCAGGCTGGAGTGCAGTGGCACAATCTTGGCTCACTGCAACCTCTGTCTCCTGGGTTCAAGCCATCCTCCCACCTCAACCTCCAGAGTAGCTGCGACTACAGACACCTGGTTAATTTTTTTTGTATTTTTGTAGTGGTGGGGTTTCACCATGTTGCCCAGGCTGGTCTCAAATTCCTGAGCTCAAGCAATCCTCCTACCTTGGCCTCCCAAAGTGCTGGGATCACAGGCGTGAGCCACTGTACCCAGCCACATTACCAATTTGAAGATGAGGAAGCTGATGCCTAAAGAGATTGGATTACATGCTTAGGTCATCTGGCAAGTGGTGGAAGCCAGATTTTAAACCCGGGACTGCTGAACCCCATAGGCCATGCTGGCTTTCTCTCTCCATTATGTTGTGACACTATATGAACTGAGGAGAAAGGTCACGCCTCTGAGTTAGGAAACCAAGGCCCAGCTTTTGGTACTTATCAGTTGTGACCTTAGGCAAACTGGCAACAAGTCAGGCTTCAGTTTTCTCACATATACAATCAGAGGGGGCTGGATAAATCTAAGTCTATGACACCCCTGGGGCATATGCATGAATCCCCCCTAGCACCATATGGTCAGGGTCAAACGACCAGCAGCAATATTCTGGAATGAGAGATATAACAACATACCAGCAATATAAGTTCTAAGACATACCCACCAGTCCCAGTGGCTAGTCATAGTAAATATTTTTATTGGGAAATGGGAGGGAGTGGTAAGGGCAGAAGTCTCCAAAAGATGTCCTGCCCCTCTATCTACATGAACAGATATTGCTCTCAGCTCCACATCCTTTTATTACACAGGACACACCTCTGCTTTCTACTCTACAAAAAGCCAGTTTTTCAGGTCTTTTGTTCCACAAAAAGCCAGATGTCTGATTGTTGAGTCAGACCTCAATGTTCCTAACAGTTCAGTTTTCTACAACACATTTATCATTAATAAAAAGTTCAGTCGGGCCAGGTGTGGTGGCTCATGCCTGTAATCCCAGCACTTTGGGAGGCCGAGGCAGGCAGATCACAAGGTCAGGAGACTGAGACCATCCTGACTAACACAGTGAAACCCCATCTCTACTAAAAAATACAAAAAATTAGCCAGGCGTGGTGGCGTGTGCCTGTAGTCCCAGCTACTCGGGAGGCTGAGGCAGGAGAATGGCATGAATCCAGGAGGCGGAGCTTGCAATGAGCCGAGATCACGCCACTGCAATCCAAGCCCCTATTCTCCCTGGTGAGGGATGCCCTTGGCATCTCAGGACTCTCAGGTTCTCAATTCTCCCAAAAGAGCACACCTAACAGGCATCTTCTGGAAGGACTGCGGAAATAACTGTAGCAATGCCCCTTTAATGGGAAGATTTCTTTTCCCGGGTTTGTTCTCCTCCAAGTATAATCCTGCTGAGAGATGGGAGGTGAGGATCAGCCCACTCAGTGCCCTACCAGTTCCAAGGAAGCAGCAGGGCCAGGAGAATTTCCTCACGTGTTTCCAATGTGTTTTGTGCATTTTATTGCTCATCTACCATGCAGATCAAAAGCGCTGGAGCAGATCCAACTATTTCACACAGAATCTCACACTCCAGGCTGGCTACAGCCCTGAAAGCCTTCATTTCTTCAGTTGAAATACTGCCCAATGTTATTTTGGGATGTGACCTGATAGAGGAAGCCCATAGGGACTCCATGACGATAACCGTCCCAGCTGTGATTGGTTGCCCAGCCCTAGTGAGTGCCAGCATGAGTTTGTCAGGCTCTGCTAACAAACAGAACTCAGCAGCTAAACACCTTCTCTTCACACCACAACAAAACCATGCCTGAAATCACACAGTCCATACCTTATTTTGTGGGGTAGGGACGGTGGGGGTGCTGGTACTCTCACAGGAAGAACTGCAAGTTCTAAGATGAATTGGCTGCCCACTGAAGAATATTTTTAAGCAGGAAGACACCAGATCAGGGTTAGAGGAGGGAAGTTTAAATTATCTCCCAATAGAGCCACATGAGGATGACATCAGTTCATTTTGCTGAGCAGGTTAAATGGCAACAGGTTAAGTATAAAGAATAGGCTCATGGCAATGCTCAGATTTAGGGTTTTCCCATAAATCTGGCTAAATCCTTGGGGAATCCCAGATGGAGTTCTTGTACCCATTTAGTTGGGAAAAGCTTTTGCTGAGTTGTGCTGATACTGGCAGGTAAACCACCCGTCATGAGAACCAGGTAAATCCTACGCACATGCCTGTAGTAAGTGTGTGCACTGGGAACCTTGCAGCTCAGCCATCCCCACTTAAATGACAATACTTGAATAAAAAATTCCATAATGACCAAATCTACACTAGTAATTTGTCAGTCCCTTATCCCCGCCCCGCCCCTAGGCTGCTCTCATGCTGAAGAATGGGAGGAAATCCTGAAGAACACAGAAGAGACTGGGAAACATAACCCATGAAGAAAAGGAAAAGGTAGGAGAGGAGGCAATAGCCTTAAACTCTAAGGAAGAAAAACTGAGACAAAATTAATTACTTAAGGCAAATAAGTTTTTGGGAGACTTGGCTTTTCATAAAACCTTCCTTAAGCAACAACTTGTTGAGGGTAGCAGAGGAGAAGGGACTACCTCTACTGAACACTTGTACAATAAAGTTTCAGTCATAAGTTCTTTTTTTCTCCTTAGTCTTTGCTATAAATGTAAGAAAGAGAAATTTGACCCACCCCAGACTGGTAGGGACTCCAAAAGTTACAGAACTGCTGTGACATTATTCCACGGAGTGGTCTCAATCCAACAGATTAACTGCCACCTATGCATAGAGAGCAGGCTTGCTGATGTTAACTGAAATGCCAAGAAAGAATCAACACACAGAATAGGCTGCCTTTCACACCCGGTGGTAATTCCAGGTCAGAAGTTAATTAAGCAGGTACTAAGGAACGGGAAGAAAAGATGCAGAGGTTGACACTACCCTTTTAGTGTAGGACCAAGCCCTATCACCTACATGGACTACCTCCATGGTTTGGAACAGCAGAAACTACTCCAGGAAAGGTTTAGAAAAATGTGTTTCCTACTTGCCCCCGTCAAGTTTCCAAAAACTTGGTTTGTATCTTAGAAACCATTGCATAGGATGAAATCCCCCACCAAACTCCCTCTTCTCTTTTTCTACATAGGCTATTGTTCTGAAGATAATGATTCATTCTTCCTGATACCTTTTGGCCACCTGACGGGGAAGACACAGGAGAGAAGGGTTAAGACTCTTCTTGTCTCCAGAATGCTTTTCAGGGGCCCGTCTCCAAGAGGAAACTCCCTATATACACATCAGAATTCATAAAGAAAGCTCTGGAGACCAAATCTCCAAATACAAAGGATGTTAGATAAAGTTAATAAAGTTCCTTTATATATTCCTTTTGAAAGGAAGCAGAATTGACATGAATATGTGACTATCACATATTCAACCCTAAGGTGAGTGGTTGACTCTCATTTAATTTTCACAATCATCTTCTGATATAGGTATTACCCCCATTTTAACAAAGAAGCAGGTTCAGAAGTGACTTGCCCAAGGACAGACAGCTATTAAATAGACCTGAGGTTCAAATCCATTATTACTTTACACTCTTTCCATAAGGTATTAATAGAAGCTTGACATGATCAAAGGCTGGGTTCCATGCTCCAATAGAGGTAAGGCCAACAACCTATATCACCAGACATGCTGCGTGATTAGCTACTTGACTCAACTGGCTAACCTCACGAGGCTCACTTAACTCCTTTATTGAAGGAAAGACTTACACTAGATAATCAAACTCTACAAATCTGTGATGCTATGTGTTCCCCTGTCCTTTTTTTTTTAGACGGAGTTTTGCCCTGTCCTCCAGGCTGGAGTGCAGTGGTGCAATCTCAGCTCACTGCAATCTCCGCCTCCCAGGTTCTAGTGATTCTCCTGCCTCAGCCTCCCGAGTAGCTGGGATTACAGACCCTCGCCACCACGCCCGGCTAATTTTTGTATTTTTAGTAGAGACGGGGTTTCACCATGTTGATCAGGTTGGTCTCGAACTCCTGACCTCAAGTGATCCACCCGCCTCGGCCTCCCAAAGTGCTGGGATTACAGGTGTGAGCCACCATGCCCGGCCCCCCTCTTTCCTAATTACTCTTGCTATAACTTTCAGCCTTTATTTCAAATCAGCCCTTTCACTGATAACCTTCAACTTCAACCTAATTTTTCTATGCTAAATTAAAGGGTACAGTACTTTTTCTCACCCCTGGGTTTTCTGTAGGGTACTTAATGTGTAAGAGGACAGAGGGCTGTGGGGAGGGTGACTTTGAATGTAGGGAAACAAGCAGAAGTCCCATGAAGGTAGAAGTCCCATGAAGGTAGGAGCCTGGTCTCTGCTGGGTATTCAAACTGAATATGTTCTAAGCCTTTTATCAATCACAAGGGTGTGGCTCACAGAGAAAAAAAAAATCAAGATATTCCTGGCCTCTAGATGGCCTCCTCTTAGGCCACTTCAAACCCTCACACTTTCCTCCTCACCCAGCACTGCAGCCACCCTTCCAAACTGCAGGATGTTTGGGTTTTGTTTAGGGACCCCACTCTCCAAGCTACAAGACGGGAAGGCTCCTTTCTAGAGGCTTTAAAAGCCAAGCAAGCTTCAACCCTCTGGCCACAGAGGTGCTCCAACAATAGGGCAACTGAGCTCTCCTTTCACACACATCAGGCTGGCTGGTTTCCCAACCACCAGAGTAGAATTGGCATTATAGGTACAACAACTAAAGGCTAAAATTGTTTTTTAGCCTTGGGAACTTCCAAGATGAAAACAGTTTTGTGGAGGCAGTGAGGAATCAGAAGCCTCCATGCTCCAAGCAGAGATCTGCTAGCCATTCTATTAAACCATCTATTTTGACCCAAGTCACAGGACTAGTTCCCTACTCTCACCCTATAGGCAGGGCACAGAGTTCCTCTGAGGCTCCTCTAGAAGCAGTGTTACAGGACTGATGGCACTGTGTTCTATCCGCCCTTTTTCTCCACTAGCCTGTGGGACCAGAGCAAGATCAGGCTATTAGTGACCAGAAAGATGCCAGACACACAAACGACAAGATGCTTGATAAATGTTGCTCAATGAATTATCTACTCAAAAGCATCCTCTTTAGACACAACCTCTATTAGTCCTCTTTCTTTCCCTTAATCTCTATTCCCCCATCCTATACCCCAGTACCTGAATTCTAGACCTCCACAAGGGAGGGGCTCTTGGGTGCTGGTATCAAGAGAATTGATTCTCCTGTTTAAAACTCAGAAGTACAACCCCGAATGGGTTTTGGCAACTTGGTAAGAGCTGTTGCTAGAACTGCAGCAGTGCAGAAAAGGAATGTCTGGAAAGGAGGCTGCCAGAGGCAGGGCTCTGTGTCACTGGAGAAATTTCAATCTAATTGTGAAAATACGAGAACGTGCTGTTCTAACCCACCTCTGCAAAATCTCTTGAGGCAGGTCTGACCCTCTGGGTGGAGGCTGAGGGCACTGCTGAGGTAAAAAGGTGGGGAGAAGAAAGACTGCTGGGCTGCTTGCATTCCTGTGGTGGTAGCCCCTGCAAACAGCGGCTGGGTCACTGCAGCAGCCATTGATTTTCCAGGGGTCGATATTCTACTCCTACAGATCTGCTCAGCCGGAGGTTTAATCACATCGAGTGCTTCTGCTCAACATTTCCCCTGTCGCTCCCCGCCGCCCCCCAACAAACAAATAAAACAAACACCAAACACAATGAGAACTGGCAAAGGATAGATGAGAAGGTGCTCCTCACAGCTGTCCCCTACCCCCGGAGAAATTCTAGGCACCAGCTCAAAGGGAGTAAATCCAAGAGAGAGCCAAAGCTACACGGGGCAGTCCACAAGACACTGCAGGGACAGACCCACAGACCCCAGAGAATTATTATTATTATTATTTTTTGAGACGGAGTCTCGCTCTGTCACCGAGGCTGGAGTGCAGTGGCGCGATCTTGGCTCACTGCAAGCTCTGCCTCCCGGGTTCACACCATTCTCCTGCCTCAGCCTCCCGAGTAGCTGGGACTACAGGTGCCCGCCACCATGCCCAGCTAATTTTTTGTATTTTTTAGTAGAGATGAGGTTTCACCGTGTTAGCCAGGATGGTCTCCATCTCCTGACCTCGTGATCTGCCTGCCTCGGCCTCCCAAAGTGCTGGGATTACAGGCGTGAGCCACTGCGCCTGGCCGAGAGTTTTCCAAAAATAAAAATAAAAAAAAAGATGATGATGATGATTCTGGAACTCCCATAGGCCGCTAACTGGTTGAAACCCTGCTTTTCAGTTTGTCACAGTCCCCATCAGGCCTGTATAATACCATGTTACCTGCCCGACCAGTCACCCTGCCCCCCAAAGGCTTCTGTCTTATCCAGTCAGTAACCACTTTTTGGCCAAAAATGTATGAAGTGTTTTGAGGGTCACTAGTTAATAGACTCAAATCTGACAAAAAAAAAAAAAAAAAAAAGAATCTGGGTCAGAGCTGGGCCTGAGTTACAGCAGCCAAGAGCAGTGCATATTTATGGAATAGGGCTGTTCTAATCCCAGCAGGAAGTAAGAGCACTGTAAAGCTAGAGAAGGCAAAGAAGTTAGGAACCCCCTACTTTCTCAAAGCCAAGCATTCCCTGTTAGGAAGGTCAACCAAACAGAGTTTGTTCTATTATGAAGATCATCAGCTATAATCTTAGAACTTGAGTAAAGAGGGCAGGAAAGGGGAGTGAGAGGAAAGGAACACAGAAAGCAAGCAGAGTTCTGGGTATGAGAAGTGTAATAAGGAGGGGGTGTTGCCTTAGGCTTCCACATCATCTGGCTCTCCTCTCTACAGCAAGCCTGGTTGCCCCTCAGAATTACAGCAACCAGAAAGCAAGCAAGGACAGCCAGGGAAGGCAAAGTTGGCACTGTGCTGAACATGGCTTAGAACTAGGGGCTGGATGGCCTCCTTGGTTTTGTAAACTCTTAAATTTATACTTGTCAGTGGTCTTCCCTACCTTAGCCTACTGGTCTATATAAAATCCAAATATTTAGGGGGAGAGGGTGGAACAAACAGATCTGAGAGTGAGAAATGGATAGAATCTTAAACCAGAATACAACCTCAAAGGACTTTGAAAAGAACAACTCTGAACACAAGGGAGCTATAATCAAGTTCTAGAAAATAAGAGGGATAAAAATCCAAATATTCTTGATAATGGTTCCTCTGAACATTGACCTATATTATTTGTTTGTTTTTCAGATAGGGTCTTGCTCTGTCACCCAGGCTGGAGTGCAGTCGTGCAAGCATAGCTCAATGCAGCCTCAAACTCCTGGGCTCAAGCGATCCTCCTGCCTCAGCCTCCCAAGTAGCCAGGACTACAGGCATGCACCACCATGGCCAACTATTTTTTTTTTTTTTTTTGGTAGAGATGGGGATCTTGCTGTGTTGCCCAGGGTGGTGGTCTCCAGCTCCTGGCCTCAAGCAATCCTACTGCCTCAGCCTCCCACACTGCTGGGATTACAGGTGTAAGCCACCACACCTGGCCACTGATCCCTTTCAGTCTAAATTTGGTTTCTCTTACCTTCCCCAAAATGTCAGGAAAAATTACCTCCACCCATCTCCATCTCAGTAAACAATATTCAATATTCTTCCCACATCAAAGCTGGCCTTAAGGGACAGGTTCGCTGACTCTCAAGATTAAGCCTTCAACCCCTAGTTCCCACCTTCAACAAGGCATGGATTCTTAGCTTCTTTGGGAAAGGTCAAATGGGAAGGAAGCTAGCAGCTTGGAGGTAAGCTCTGCCTCAAGGCAATCAGATTATGTCACAATACCAACCAATTCTATGCTGATAACAGGCAGGGAAGATGAAACACTTTCAGGCCATCGAGTAGGGGGATTAGGAGACCAAGCACTGGTCCCCAGAGGGATGGCAACAGAATACATATCGATTTCATCACAGCTTTCTAGTATGTCGTAGACACAAAGAAAAAAACAATAGGGCTAATTCTACGCTTGATTTATCAGGTATGGTGTTGTTTTTTTTGTTTGTTTGTTTTGTTTTTTTGACACGGAGTCTTACTCTGTCACCAGGCTGGAGTGCAGTGGCGCGATCTTGGCTTACTGCAACCTCTGCCTCCCGGGTTCAAGCAATTCTCTCCCTGCCTCAGCCTCAGCCTCCCAAGTAGCTGGTATTACAGGTGCCTGCCACCACACCCAGCTTATTTTTATATTATTTAGTAGAGATAGGGTTTTACCATATTGGCCAGCCTTGAACTCCTGACCTCAGGTGATTTGCCCGCCTTGGCCTCCCAAACTGCTGGGATTACAGGCGTGAGCCACCGCACCCAGCCCACACCCAGCTAATTTTTTGTATTTTACTAAAACAGGGTTTCACCATGTTGTCCAGGATGGTCTTAATCTCCTCACCTTGTGATCCACCTACCTCGGCCTCCCAAAGTGCTGGGATTACAGGCGTGAGCCACTGCGCCTGGCCAGATATGTTAACATAGCTCCACACCTACAGGTCCTCCCCTCTGGGCCAAGTTTGAAGAAACAGATTCTCACCTTGGCTTAAAGGACCCTAGTGGTTTCTACAAAGATAGTATTTCTGGGTGGACTTGGCTCATTTTCTGTTCAAAAGACCCAAGTCTCCCCAAGGGCAGACATGAAACAGCTAAGCAACCAAACATCTGGGGGCTGGTTTTCTGGATTTTGGTTGATCTTTTTGGACAGAAAAGCACCAACAGCAAAAGAAAAGGCAAGGGGGAATAGGTGAAGGTGAGCCACTGTCACTACAACAACTGAGTTCATCCATGATGACTAAGGAATATCAGGACATTCTAGTTTTTGAGAATTCTTCCTTTCAGAGTAAATGCTTCTTATATCCTTCTGGAGAACAGAACTAAATCCAGAAGCTGTAGTATCATTAACTTTGCCTAGAAATCTAGAAATCTCAACCTCATATCTGTTCATAACTCCTTCCCTTTCTCCAAAGAGAATACGGAAGGCAAAGTCCATTTTCTGAATATGGCATTTTTCCTTTTCTATTTTTTTGAGACAGAGTTTTGCTCTTGTTGCCCAGACTGGAGTGCAGTGGCACAATCTTGACTCACCGCAACCTCCGCCTCCCAGGTTCAAGCGATTCTCCTGCCTCAGCCTCCCAAGTAGCTGGGATTACAAGCACATGCCACCACGCCCGGCTAATTTTGTATTTTTAGTAGAGACGGAGTTTCTTAATGTTGGTCAGGCTGGTCTTGAACTCCCAACCTCAGGTGATCTCACCGCCTCAACCTCCCAAAGTGCTGGGATTACAGGTGTGAGCTACCGTGCCTGCGGCCTTTTCTTAAAGGATCTTTTTGCTGGTCTTGTACAGGAGTTGGTCCTAACAGTAAAAGCAACAGTAGAACCACTGGACTAGCAGTCAGAGAATCCAATGTTCTCATTTACTGAATGACCCTGGACAAGTCTCTTGCCCTTTCTGGGCCTTAGGTTCGTCATATGTAAAGTTGGGGGTGGGAGGGGAGACGGGAATGGGGTGTCAGTATTGTAAATATTCTGTTGGGCTAGTTCATGCAGCCTCCATTCTATTCTTTCTCTAATTGTAGAGGTTAAAAAGCTTAAAAACGAAATTTCCAAGAATCCCTTGGTTTTGGATACAATTCAGCTTCTGCTAATGAGAAGCTGACTCATGAGATTAGATCAAAGTAAGCAGAGACCATATTTCTGTCTCCTTTACTTGTTTCTGCAGGAGCATTTTGGTTCCATCCTCCACTTAACTGGGTGCTGGTTCTGGCGGCAGCAGCTACTGCTTCTTGATTCCAGTTTACTGATTCTGGACCACAGGTTTAGGGGTATGATTCAAGAGCAATCAATCTAATAGTAGCTCCGAGATAGACGTTCCCCTGGTAGGTCAAATCTAGGTTAAATCTGGGTCTGGTTTCTTGGAGGCCAAGCCTAGAGCAAGCTCCCTCACTCCTTCCAGTTGTAAGCCCAAATTCCCTATATTAAATCTCTCTCTTTTAAACATAGCTAGACCTAGGGTCCAGTACAGAAATCCTCTGACTCAGTATTATCAAATGATCCCAAAAGAGTGGCTGTAAAGGAAGAGAAAAAAGATTTATTCACGAAGCATATTTTTTGTAGGAAATGGGCAAGAGGGGGGAGCCTTAGGCCTTTAAATACATTTGTCCAGGACAACCTCCTTCACTTCTTCCCTTTTTACAACCTCACTGTACTTTCTCTCTCTCACCCTAAGCTCTGAGGGGGTGGGTGGGGGGTTTGAATTGCTCACACAGGATGGAGGGTTGAGTCAGCACACGCTTTCTTTTCCATCCCTATGTTTTCTGCAGCCTGTTATTCTGCTGAGGATGGCATAACCTGCCCAACTCAAAATAAGTATCACCTGGGCTTCAGGGAAGCTTGGGCCAGAGAGGATACCAAGTGTCTTCTTGAGTAGTAGGAAATACATTTAAAAGCTCCAGGTACAAAAGAATCAGGACATACCAGTCCCGATAGCTCTGTGTACTAATAAGTGAGGACAAGTTTGGCCCAACTTAACTTCCTACAGCAGGGCTGACGACAAACTGAAAAACAAGGTAAAATTCAAACGGTGTGCTTAATGGGGAAGAGGTACTTCCAGCCAGACCTCTGTAGGACTAAGTGACTCAAGAGCCATCATACTAGAGTTAAGGCTCAGTTGCTTTTCAAAGATTGAGGCTGTTCCGAAGGAAACAAAAGGTTCCAGCAAGAGGAATCTGTGTGAGACACACAGGCAGGAAGCAGAGCTGAGCCACCAGCGACTAGAATAGAAACAGGAAATGGGCCCAGGAACAAGCATACAGTAATCTGCTGCAAGCAGCACAGGCTCAGGCAGTCAGCAGGCAGTATCAGGGTTGGAACAGTGTGACTAAGATGGAGAAGCGGATTGGCCAGTCCAGCCCAGAGAACCAGCGTTCTAGAGAAGGGATGGCTACATGCACAGGGTACATGCTGCTCTTAGCAGTCTGGGCAGATATGACAGAGGGGGTGGGGATTTCCTTTTCGAGACTCTGAGAGAGCACCTGGGCTATAATTCAAGGGGAGCAGGCACAGATACATGGTCAGCTATAAAGAAAACAGGTCACCAACCTCAGAAAGACCCTGCTTCTCTGGTTACCAAAATCGCTAGTGACATTTCTGTTATCTTTTTGAAAATCAACCATCAAAAACCTAGATAAGGACTGTGGGCCCTCTCTCCTTCTATCATGAAATGAACAAAAGGGAACAGAAACTGTGTAAAATTAAAATCCTTCAAATGTTTTAATTTTTTTTTTTTTTTTTTGAGATGGAGTACTGCATCCTCTGCCTCCCGGGTTCAAGCGATTCTCTTGCCTCAGCCTCCCGAGTAGCTGGGACTACAGGCCCCTGCCACCACACCTGCCTATTTTTGTATTTTTAGTAGAGACAGGGTTTCGCCATGTTGTCCAGGCTGGTCTTGAACTCTTGACCTCATGATGACCCGCCTCAGCCTCCCAAAGTGCTGGGACTATAGGTGTGAGCCACCGTGCCCAGCCAAATGTTCTAATTTTTAAAGCATTTATTGAGAGGATTTGTCACTCCTCTCAATAAACCTAAACAACAAAACGTCAGCTCCCAAAGCTCAACTAGGTAGCAAGAATCTAGGAGGTATTCAACAAAGGTTTACAAATATCTGCCTGTTCTGGGCACAACATGACAGATGTCAGATACAGTTCAAGCAGAGGTACCAGCATAAGGCTATGCCAATATGAAAATGGGGAAGAAGTCTCAGAGAGAGTATTCCAGCTAGGTTTTGAAGCCAAAGTAGAAGTTTGCTGAGCATGACAGAAAGAGAGAGAAACAGGTATACATCCTAATCAAGAGGACCAGGAATTGTGAGGAGCTTAAGGTACAAATGAGTGGCTGGAGATGAAGTTGCAGAGGTATGCTGGGAGCTGTGGATGGCTCCACTATGGGTTCTGAACTGGGTAAGGCACTGGGAGCCAGGGTCCCCAAAACACGCACGAAACAACTGGTGGTGGTCTCCCACACTCAGAGATTACTTAAATATTACTGGATACAATCTGTAAAATTTATGACGTTCCAAAGCCCCAGCTTGATATTTTTTATATTTCTTTTTTTGAGACAGTCTCGCTCTGTCACATAGGCTGGAGTGCAGTGGCGCGACCTCAGCCCACTGCAACCTCCGCCTCTCGGGTTCAAGGGATTCTCCTGCCTCAGCTTCCTGAGTAGCTGGGATCACAGGTGCATGCCACCACGCCCAGCTAAATTTTTATATTTTTAGTAGAGATGGAGTTTCACCATATTGGTCAGGCTGCTCTCGAACTCCCGACCTCATGATCCACCCGCCTCAGCCTCCCACAGTGCTGGGATTACAGGTGTGAGCCACCGTGCCTGGCCTACCAGCTTGATATTTCATTTGAAAATTTTACTCTCAGCTCTCAGGGTCTCTGTGCTTCTAAACCATTAGACACATGAATCACTTAGAGATCTTATTAACAGTTAGATCCAATAAATCTAGGATGGGGCCTGAAAATCTACATTTCTAGCAAGCTTCCCGGTGATGTTGGTGCTTCTAGACAATGGACCACACTGAGTAGCAAGGATCTAACTGATTAAAGTTAGCACTGACCAGGACAGTATGTTCTAAGAAGACAGACACAGAACAGGGCTTGCTCTCATCCCACACAGGAACCAAATAACCAAACTCTAGTCAACGGTTCACTGTTTGAGGCGATTCCCTAGTTGGCTAGTTCCTCCAAGCAGGTCCTATAGGTTTGGCTATCTTTCCTACCACTCGCTCTTTCCACAGCTCATCTGTGCCTCCATCACAGGGATGTCTGGGAAAACAGAAGTAAAATGGAAATCCATTGACATTCCTTTTAGGACAAGTCTAGCAAATGCTAAATGGCAAAGAGTTGAGTTTTTTGCCTAAAAATGAAGAGAGGATCAGATTGTCCATGTCTTTCCTCTACTGGGTGGGATGCTGGAGGAAATATTTCACCTGAAATATCAGAGCTAGATTCAAATCTTGATTCTGACCCTTGGTTTTTCATATGTAAAACAGGAGTGGGTATTCTGTACCTTCCAATTCCTATCTTTTCAGAATAACTGATGTTGACTGTAGCTCCTTGCCTGGCCTTACTCCTGCCCTCTAAAATCTGGATTCTACAGGGACAGCATAGCTCCCTCGCATTTCCTCTTTCTAGACCAATGTAATTCCAAGATCTCAGCGTCTGAGAGCATTACAGAAGTAAAAATACGAAGGGTAATAGCTAAGATGTTAAGTGAAATCTAAAGAATGGCTCAGAAACTCAAGGGATAATTTGATAGACATTACAGATCCTAATTCTGTTCTCCACCTCCCTCCTGATATCGATAACATTCACTCCTACCTAACCTGAGGAAATGAGTATGATCCAATCTTCAACAACAGTCTTTAAGATTACCTTTTTTTCAGCCAAGGGTATAGCGTCCCTTAGAAATTAATCCAGTGGATGCCTTTGATTCCTTTTTCTCACAACTCCAGAAAGATGTGCCTGTTTATACCCTCCTAATATTCTGCCAGCACCTTCACTTTTCCCTCTTCCATCTGCCTTATACACATGCGGGTCTTTGGGATGAAGCGGAGGAATTGGACTGATTCAGCCAGACTCTCCTTTTTCTCAGTGCATTTCAAGAGTGCTCTTTCCCTTTCCCTTGCTCATTTCCTTTTCTCAAGCCCTCAGAAATAAGGCCTTTTCCTTATCTAAAAAGGATCCCAATAAAATGCTTTATGACAAACCCAACTACCTATTTTCTTTGAAATATAAATTTGACTTCGTCCCTCCTCCCTTGGCTTCCAGAAATATTACACAATCCTGGTCCTTCTCCGATCTCTCCAACTCTCTGTTGGCTGCTTCTACCTGATGGCCTCCGGCATCGTCCAGAGCTCCATCTGGCTTCTATCTCTAAACTCCAGTTTAGGAGGCCTGTTTCATTCTATGGTTTAACTATTAACTACCACACAGGTAACTCGCAAACTTGTATCCAGACTCAGGTCTTACCCAAGTTTCAGTTTCTTATCTCCAACTAGAAACTGGACATTTGTTTTCAGAAATCTTACTATATTATATTCCACAAAATAAATATGGAATTTAACTTTTCCTCAAAAATGAGACTCCCCCTGCCCACCAGTCAATCAAAATCTTTAAATATTCCACCACACAGAACCCACTTATTCTCAGTCCTGTATTCTTTCCTGCATGTTCCACATGTGGGAGCAGGTGGCTATGCAAATGAGACAGAAGGACCAGAACTCCATACCTCTTGCCAGAAGTAGTTCTACGGTTTAACTTATTCCACTGCTTTAAGACTCTCCCGTTTTCAAAGCATACTACAAACTAATGGATCATTTTTGTAAAACATTAGTTTTATCACATGATTGCCCCAGTTACCTATCTGCAAGCCCATAAGATCAGATCTAAATGGCTTAAGCTCAGCAGGATCCCTGTGATCTAGCTTTCCTTCCTGTTACTTCCCACCCCTGGAAGCTGACCAGCCCCCAAGTATCTATACTGCACCTCATCCCCATCCCTGCATGGCCTCTGTTCAAGCTGGACTTTCCCTTTGTAACTAACCACTTAAATACATCCACATCTAGCTCATACTGACTGAACTTCAACATGACTTCTTCCTTCAACTATTGAGACATAAATGGATCAGTGACTTCACCAAACTCTGACAGCACTCATTATAACATACAGGCACATGGTCTTCTGTTTTATGTCTATTTTACTAATGAAACACAGGAGGATCCTTTAGGAATCATCGTATCATATTCGGAATCATGGACCCAAGAGTTCAAATGACCTCAGAAGTCACACAAGTTCAACCCTTGTCAAATGTCTGTTTGTCTTCTACATAACACCCATAGCAAAAAGTGTGCCAGGTTTTACTCCAGGGACAGGAAACTTACCTACATCTCTCCTCATCCTCCAGATCCCAAAAAAACTTACTTGTATGTCACACTTGGACTTAAATCTACAGACAACACGTAGCCAGGTTTTAAAGCATTAACATAACTTGGCCAGGTTTTTTTTTTCTTTTTTTTTTTTTTTAAGATGATCACTCTGGTGATTATGCTGAGGACAGACTTGGAAGGAAAAGAGGAAGAAAAGAAACAGAACAGTCAGAAGTTTGTGGCAAGACACCAGGTGAGAGATAACAGGGACCCGAAAAAACAAAAGGCAGTGGAGAAAGAGAGGGGAAACCAGATTCAAAAGCAAAAACCATTTCTGTGGTAGACTAAGATTTGGTGACCAACTAAGTTTGGCCCCACTAAAGGAAGGGATCCAGTGATGAGCACCATAGAGCAGAGGAGCTCCCAGGGTGGTACTGGCAGGGCAAGGGCTCCGTTACCCAGGAATAAACTGCACTGAGGCCACAGCTACAGGAAGTCTAGTTTCTTTCAAGTCTCTTTTCTTTCTACCATTCTTAACCCACAGTGTGCCTTCCAAATAATCAAGAGTCAAACTACAGTGTAAATCACCACTATTATTCTAGTTACCGCTGTGGCTTCCTAGTCTAGTAATTTTTTTTCCTTCCCTTAAAGGTGACTACCTACTTCAGTCTCATTCCAATTGTGGTCTTCTGAACTGGCAGCATCTGTACCACTTCAGAGCTTGTTAGAAATGCAAATTCTTAGGTCCCAGCCCACACCTACTGAATCAGAATTTCTCAGGTAGAGGCAGTAATTCAGGTGATTCTTAACACACGCTAAAGTTTGTGAAGCACTAGCTAACCTCTTCAGATCACAGCTTTCAATCCTGTATCCATTTTCCATTACTCTATCCTAGGTACACTTTCAAGACCAAAATGTAAATTTACAAATGTGTCTCAGTAAGAAAAGTTACAGAAGCTGGGCCGGGCGCAGTGGCTCATGCCTGTAATCCCAGCACTTTGGGAGGCCAAGGTGGGTGGATCACAAGGTCAGGAGTTCAAGACCAGCCTGGCCAAGATGGTGAAACCCCATCTCTACTAAAAATACAAAAAAATTAGCCAGGCGTGGTGGTGGGTGCCCGTAATCCCAGCTACTAGGGAGGCTGAGGCAGAGAATTGCTTGAACCCGGGAGGCGGAGCTTGCAGTGAGCCCAGATGGCACCACTGTACTCCAGCACTCCAGCCCTCCAGCCTGGGCAACAGAGACTCTGTCTCAAAAAAAAAAAAAAAAACAAAAGAAAAGTTACAGAAGCTGGGCGCAGTGGCTGACGCCTATAATCCCAGCACTTTGGGAGGCTGAGGTGGGTGGATCACTTGAGGTCAGGAGTTCGAAACCAGCCTGGCCAACGTGGTGAAACCCTGTCTCTACTAAAAATACAAAAACTAGCCGGGAGTGGTGGCGCACACCTGTAATCCCAGCTACTCAAGAGGCTGAGGTAGGAGAATCGCTGGAACCCGGGAGGCGGAGGCTGCAGTGAGCCAAGATCGTGCCACTGCACTCCAGCCTGGGTGACAGAGCAAGACTCTGGTAATACAGTCAAGCTGCTCCTGTCAGATGTATACTTCCTGAATGAGCACTATAATGGATGCTGCTCAGGTTCATCTATTCAGTAAGTTGGAGCCTACTATATGCCAGGCACTATGGCAATAAGCAACCAGATGCCAGGCACTATGGCAATAAGCAAGACAGCAAGTCAGTCCTCAATGAACTTGCATTAAATAAGTAATTTAAATTACACTTGAGATAAGTACTAACAAGAAGTATGGGTGCTAAGAATTTACTATAGGCTGGGCACCGTGGCTCATGGCTGTAATCCCAGCACCTTGGGAGGCCGAGGCGGGTGGATCACCCAGGTCAGGAGTTCGAGACCAGTCTGGCCAACATAGTGAAACCTCGTCTCTATTAAAAATACAAAAATTAGCCGGGTGTGGTAGCGGGCGTCTGTAATTCCAGCTACCTGGGAGGCTGAGGCAGGAGAATCGTTTGAACCCGGGAGGCGGAAGTTGTTGTGAACTGCGATTGTGCCACTGCACTCCAGCCTGGGTGACAGAGTGAGACTCCATCTCAAAAAAAAAAAAGAGTTTACTATAGCAAAGGAACCTCATACAGTCTGGAATAGATCTCTACCTGCAAATCGGGATTCACCTGGGACAGCTGCTAACCACACCAATGCCCAAACCCCACATGAAACAAATCAGAACTCTGTGAACTCTGGGCATTAATTTTTTCTTTTTTTTTTTTTGAGACGGAGTTTCGCTCTTGTAGCCCAGGCTGGAGTGTAATGGCACCATCTTGGCTCACCGCAACCTCTGCCTCCCAGGTTCAAGCGATTCTCCTGCCTCAGCCTCCCTAGTAGCTGGGATTACAGGCGTGTGCCACCATGCCCAGCTAATTTTGTATTTTTAGTAGAGATGGTGTTTCTTCATGTTGGTCAGGCTGGTCTCAAACTCTCGACCTCAGGTGATCCGCCCACCTCAGCCTCCCAAAGTGCCGGGATTACAAGCGTGAGGCACCGTGCTCGGGCCTGGGCATTAATTTTTAAAGATAATACACTCCCCTGGGTAATTCTAACATGCAGACACAGTAGAGAACCACTGGTCTTGGGCATCACATGATAGGTACTGGGGGCACAGAGGTCAATAACACAGTGCCTGCCTTCCAGGAACTTACCATTTAAGTAAGTAGAGTCAGGCCAGGCAAGGTGGTGCATGCCTATAATCCCACCACTTTGGGAAGCCAAGGCGGGCAGACTGCTTGAGCTCAGGAATTCGAGACCAGCCTGGGCAACATCGTGAAACCCCATCTCTACTAAAAAGTCCAAAAATTAGCTGGGCATGTTGACTCACACCTGTAGTCCCAGCTACTCAGGAGGCTGAGGTGGGAGGATCACCTGAACCTGGGGAGGTGGAGACTGCAGTGAGCCGAGAATAAACCACTACACTCCAGCCTGGGTGACAGAGAGACCCCCATCTCAAAACAAACAAACAAAAAAAAAGCAAGCACAGGTAGAGGGCATTGGCAAAATGCTCTGTCAAATACAGGATGGTGCTTACCAAGAGGGATAAGTGATCCCAGAGAGCTATATAAAGTTTTACCTGTGTTAGCAAGGCTTGATTTCTACAGATGGGTACTCAGGTACTGAACTGTTCTTTATAGTTTTTGTAGGCCTTATATATTGTGCAGGGTTTTTTTTTTTTTTTTTTTTGAGACAGAATTTCACTCTTGTTGCCCAGGCTGGAGTGCAATGGCGTGATCTTGGCTCACTGCAACCTCTGCCTCCTGGATTGAAGCAATTCTCCTGCCTCAGCCTCCCGAGTAGATGGGATTACAGGTATGCACCACCACGCCTGGCTAATTTTGTATTTTTAGTAGAGACGGGGTTTCTCCGTGTTGGTCAGGCTGGTCTCAAACTCCAGACCTCAGGCGATTTGCCCGCCTCGGCCTCCTGAGCCACTGTGCCCTTTTTTTTTTTTTTTTTTGAGACAGAGTCTCTCTCTGTCACTCAGGCTGGAATGCAGTGGCACAATCTTGGCTCACTGCAATCTCCGCCTCCCGGGTTCAAGCAATTCTCCTGCCTCAGCCTCCTGAGTAGCTGGGACTACAGGTGCCCGCCACCACGCCCAGCTAATTTTTGTATTTTTTAGTAGAGACAGGGTTTCACCATATTGGCCAGGCTGGTCTCGAACTCCTGACCTTGTGATCCGCCAGCCTCGGCCTCCCAAAGTGCTGGGATTACAGGTGTGAGCCACCGCGCCCAGCTATACTTTTTTTTTTTTTTTTTTTTTGAGATGGAGTTCACTGTCAACTAGGCTGGAGTGCAGTGGTGTGATCTCGGCTCAATGCAACCTCTGCCTCCCAGGTTCTAAAGTGATTCTCTTGCCTCTGCCTCCCAAATAGCTGGGACTACAGGTACCCACTGCCATGCCTGGCTAATTTTTTATATTTTTAGTAGAGACGGGGTTTCACCATGGTTGCCAGGATGGTCTCGATCTCCTGACCTCGTGATCTGCCCGCCTTGGCCTCCCAAAGTGCTGGGATTACAGGCGTGAGCCACCACGCCCGGCCTTTTTTTTAAAGGTAAAATAACAATGGCCTTTAGTCAATGAAGTCATCATAGAAGTTATTTAAGGTGCGTCTTGAAGCTTGATTAGGTAGTAGTTTTCTGAAGGAACAATCTTTAAGATATAGTCTGAAAGATGAACAGGAGGAGTTGAGGGGAAAAGTATGAGGCAAAGGGAAGGGTGTGTGCAAAGGTCTGAAAGCAAAAAATAGCATATGGTGCCTTAGAGAAACTGAAAGAAAGCCAAGAGCAAGGCAGAGAAAAAAGAATAAAGTAGAGGTTCTCAAAGTGCCATCCCTGGTCTAGCAGCAACAGAATCACAGAGGAACTTGTTAGAAATGCACATTCTTGGGCCCCACTCCAGACCTACTGAATGAGAAAGACACAGGGGATGGGAGCTGAGAGGGAACAGCAATCTGTGTTTCTGATGTCTAACATTAAAGATTCTGGATTTCAGGCCGGGTGAGGTGGCTCACGCCTATAATCCCAGCACCTTGGGAGGCCAAGGCAGGTGGATCACCTGAGATCAGGAGTTTGAGATCAGCCTGGCCAACCTGGTGAAACCCGTCTCTACTAAAAATACAAAAATTACGTGGGCGTGGTAGAGGGCGCCTGTAATCCCAGCTACTCGGGAGGCTGAGGCAGGAGAATCACTTCAACCTGGGAGGCTGAGGTTGCAGTGAGCTGAGATCGTGCCATTGCACTCCAGCCTGGGCAACAGAGTGAGACTCAGTATCCAAAAATAAATAAATAAATTAGTTGGGCGTAGTGGCGAGCACCTGTAAACCCAGCTACTCGGGAGACTGAGGCAGAAGAATCACTTGAACCCAGGAGGTGGAGGCTGCAGTGAACCAAGATCGTGCCATTGCACTCCAGCCTGGGCAACAAGAGTGTGAAACTCTCTCTCCCCCCAAAAAAAAAAAAAAAAAAATTCTGGATTTTATTCTAAGATTAACAAAAAAATAATTGAGAGGTTTAAATATAGGGATAACATGATCAGGATAATAGCACCCAAATGGCTTGGCATCAATAACTGAGCACAGACTCCTCAAAATTTAATTTTTGTAATATTCAAGGGTCACAATCATAATGCCTTTAGGGCCAGGAAGGTAACGTGAATGAGTAAGGAGAGCAATGTGAAATCTGAGGGGCTGCTCTCCAGCCAGCCTGGAATCTGCTCTGGTGCCAATAGGTACCTCATAAACATTTGTTTAGTGAAGCAATGCACTGGCAAACCTAGGGATCCTTTAACACGACTGGTTAAGAAAGGAGAGGGCTCTTGTAGGGAATCCAACTTGTCATTTCTTCAGATGGGGCTGCTTCCTAGCCTGCGTAGGCAAATCTGGCATCAAACCAAAATTTCAAAGAATAACCACTTTTTGATGCCTGCCCAAGTAGCAAAGGGATAAAAAGCAATTCAAAAAACAAGATGCCAATAACCCAGCCAGCTTACCTCCCACATGGAGCTTCTACCACTGAGCAAATGACCCATTTGGATGAATCTTTAGAAAAAGCCCAAACGTGGGAATGTTCCTTGTGATAGCCTTCCCAGGAACAACCATCCCCTGGGCCTAAAAGGCTGCCAACACCTTCACCTTCACTTCAGTGGGTCAGATAAGAAGTTCTTAAGATTCCCAACCCTTACAAGGCATGTAGCATCTCTGGATACAAGCCTTCTCAGGACCAAAAAAAAAAAAAAAAAAAGAAGCCAAATACAGATCTATCAAAAGGTCACCAGAAGCAAGCAAAAACTTTTTGGAATGAAGCAACTTACAGCACTGACAGAAATCCACCGATTTGGGTTCTTGACACAATAGCACCTCACCCAGATTTAGCCACAGACCACAGATGATGAGGGAGTGGTTACACATTCTGACTGAATCAGGTTAAAAAGCACATTCCAATGAAGTTCAGGATGCAGAAAAGGATTGCAACAGACACTAATGAGAAGGGAACAAAGAGTGATCACTTTATTAAGGCACTTCCTTCCCCCAATTCCTCAGTTGAGAAAGTCAACAATCTCAGACGTCCTATCTGCATTCTGGCCTCAGAAGCCTGAACACCAGGTACTAAGGGACTCTGCAGACCTTGCCCTATTGAGGTGTCTCAGAGACCTTCAGGGGAATCCATGGGAGGCTTCATGATGAAGAGAGTTCCCGCCTTCTGCCTATTTCTTAGAGATCCTGAAACCATTTCTCTCAGGTCAGAATAAATGAAGACACAGGCTTTACATCCAAGTAGAGTCAAAATTCCAAAAGATTCTTATCTGGGTATGTGGCTGAATTTCCATTTCCTAACTGAAGCAGGATTTGTCATGGTGGGTTTGCTACCCACCATCTTACTAGATGACTAGATTTCAGAGTAGCCTATTTTATTTCTGTGCCCAGCAGATTAACTTTCAGAGGCTGAGTAACTTGCCCACAGAGCTAAGACTAACAGTAAAGGTTCCTACAACCACCTAGTATGGTGTTAACTGCCTTTCAGGTATAAAGCACAGTCCCAATGCCCTCTGAGGCGATGATTACAAAGGCTGACATTTATGGAGTGCCTACAATGTGCAGTGCTCGTGTGCACTCTCTAGTAACCTATTTAATGTTCACCACCACCCCTATGAAACAGAGTTGGTGGCAGAAGCTAGAGCCAGGAACTCTGGCTCTAGAGCCCAAGTTCTTAATCACTAGACTATACTGCCTGTCTCAGGATATGGTCAGTCCATCCCATAAATAAGTACCTGATTCCATAACTTAAGCACCTGGGCATCAAGTACTCTACCAAAAATAAAAAAAAAAAGTATTCACACAAAATCACCACCAGAAAAACTGCTTTTGCTCCAGCCACGCTCAATGTGACAATGCATGCTGAATTGCTCCAGGATCCTACCTTGTAGCTAAACATTAAGCCAAAAACCTAAAAATTAAGCCTGTAAGAGTAAAGTCAAGAAACTGATATTTTTCTCAACTTTGATGGAGAGCAGACAGTGCTTCTGATATCTCCATCTTCTCTGCCCCTCATGTGGGTCCATGTCTAAAAGCACAAGACTTAAAAAGACAAAAACAAACTAAACAGATCACAAACCTATTCCCTGGGCAGGGAGACAGAACAGACATCTACAAGTCAGCCTTTAAGTTCCTTGAATTCAAGAAATAACTTATTCATTTAGGTCAAAATTAGCTAAACTTCCAACCAGAAACTAACTAGTTTGCATTGGTTTCCTCTCTGCCCCTATCACCTTTCAGAAGGTGCAGAAATACTCACAGGCAAGCTGGAGGGTCTTGACTGAAGGCTCAGGTTCATATCTTCTTGCCCTCCCTTACTGGAGGTCATTGAGGGGGCTGAGGATGCCTGAGACCCAAATGAATCTTGAGATAGCTCCTACAACAAGAAAAACAAAAGCTGTGATGGCCTGGTATTGATAAACCAGGCAGGCTTACTTCACTGTGAAAGGGTTATGGGACTGTCTCTCATGAGTGTGAGAGAAAGTCCAGTTGCGAAAAGTATTATGTGAAGGCCAGAAAAATCCAAGCTGTGACTGGTAAGAATGTCAACAGTGGACTCTTTCTGACAGAATTGTCACCCATTTATTGCTGCCTACAGAGGGCTGTTTCTTGGGGTTAAATGCTAATGTCTGGCCAACTTCAAGTTAAATCTATCAAGGAATGAGACCAATGAAACCACAAAAAAATCATGCTAGAACCTCTGCATTAAAATGAGTACTGCTTCATTCAAAGACATCACCTTGGGATGAGATATTTATTCCAACAGTGCCACCAATACATAAACTTTTTAGTGGACCTGTCATCACTCAGTCATCTCTTTTCTTTGGGCTCTACAAAAATAAAGCCCCAAATGCTATTTTAGGCTCTATTACCTACATCTTGTTCACCAGACATAACTCCAAATGAATTTTTGCTATTTCCCCAAACAAAATCCACCCACAAAAAATAAGATTTGCCACCACTGAGAGTATTCTAAAGAATGTGGTATCAGCTCTGGTGGCAATTCCAAATGAAGGGATCCAAGTATTTTGAGCGATAGCAGAATGGAATGGCAGTTGGAGTGAATGTACAGTACTGCCTCTCAAAGTGACTGTTTTGAAAAAAGACCAACTCACTTAGATGCTGAAGTTCTGATGTTGATTTACAAAATAAAATAAAATAAAATAAAATAAAAAAACCAGTCCCATTATCTTTAATTTCTTATCCATCTATGCAACTTTCCATTGCCCTATTTCTTCATCATTAAGGAGAGCTACAGGTCTTTATGCAGTTAAGGAGGTTATGCCTTTATTAGTTCAATCAATCCAGTTATCATGTTTACCCAGAGTTTAATTGGTCTTTAAGTGCACGTTAGAGAACCACTCTGTACAGCAAAGTTCTCATGACACTAACCCCCAAGCTGTCTGTAGTCACACACAGGGAAGGGCAGGAGGCAGGGATATCTTACCTGCGGTGGAGGGAAGCGCTGCTGGGAATAGGCAGTTTGCTGGGACTGCTGAGACTGGGGCTGAGGATACGCAGCCTGCTGGGAGAGCGTCGAGGGTGCTGGCTGCTGAGGTTGCTGCTGCTGGTAAGGAGACTGAGCCTGTGGCTGTGAGTAGGGGGGCTGGCTCTGGGGGTGCTGCTGTGTCGTCGACTGCTGGGAGGGGTATGGAGCCGGGGACTGCTGATGTGGAGGCTGGGATGGCTGCTGGGAGTATGGAGGCTGAGAGGACTGGAGCTGTGGTGGTTGAGACTGTGGCTGCTGCTGATACGAAGGTTGGGCATGAGGGGTCTGGGACGGTGGTTGCTGGGAGTAGGGTGGCTGCTGCTGCTGAGGGTGAGGACTTTGCTGGTTGTAATATGGAGTCTGGCCCTGTTGACCATACCCGCTGGGGCCTTGTTGTCCATAAGGAGGAATCTGTAGGAAAGGAAAATATACTTTTAGCACTGACTCTCCTGCATGAGGAAAGATGAAGTGTTTTGTGAGAAGCTATGCACTGATGATGAGTATAGAAAGCAAGCATGCAAGGCCTCATACTTAGGAGGCCCAGGGTTTTTCTCTCACCCTGCCTAAACTGAGCCAGGAAGGACGGCCAAGCTGGGTTTTTAGGTGGTTTGTTTACAAGTGGACTACATTTATCCACTGAAAATTTACACTATTTACTATTTGGGCAACATAAGTTTGAGAGCAGCTGTTTCTACCAGTGAGCCTAACTCTTTTTATCACGGCCTAGACTGTTTTTATAAGTGTTAGGAATCTGTACCCTAACCACAATGAATAGTCAATAGCAGCCTGGCTCAACCAACTGAAAACCTAAGGTTTAGTAATTCAGACAGTGTGAAAATCACTAAGCTACTTTGGTTCTCTCTTTCATTTAGTTTTCATTCAAAAAAAATATTTGACAGCCTACTCAATTACTTGTACCAGGCACTATTTTAGGCACTGGGGATATATTTAGTAAGCAGGCAAAAAAATAAAAAAAATAAATAAAATTACCTCATCTCTCCTCTATTGGAAAAAAGAGACAATTTTCTATATTAAAGGCGTACTTTGCTTTAAAGTCTTAGAAGTAAAATTTGTTTTATATTCTCTCCCTATTTTCAGTATGAGTATCACTCAAAGATAAATGATAGAAAACTTTGTCAATACAAAAATGACAATAAAGAGATAATGATGTGAATGGTTCGACAAAAAGAGATGGATAAGGGGAAATCTTAACATTTGTATCAATGCTGTTAACATCTTTTCTGTTTAATCTTCCCCTTTTCTTCTACTCCCAGTCACATTCATTTTGAACCAGAAGGCAGATATGTTAAAGGTATTCAGAAGCATAAAGGGCCTCTTCCGTCACCAGGGCACATGATATGAATGGTTTTCCTAATAGTAGCAGTGCCTACATGTTCAGCCACTGCCTTTCATCCCATCTCATTCAGAGATGACCACTCACTAGGTATAAGCTGGCCAGTCAGGTCAAGAGAAAAAGAGATACGTACCTGTGACCAGGGAGTAAGTAGTTTTCCTTGGAGCACACATGGAACGGTGCCTATAGCTTTGGCTTTGTTAGTAGCACTCTGTAATTAACTGAGCCAACAGGTCTACATTCCTGTCAAGAGGCTTGGAAGCCAAGGATACATTCTGATTCTATAGCTCACAGATCAGATTTTGGACAGCAACAAGGGTCAAGGTAATCACAATCACCATCTACCTGCTGTGTATAAGAGAGGCCGCCCATGGCACTCTGCGCCCGGCCCTGCATGGTCATCGGGTACCGCTGCGGGGTCTGGGACCCGTATGGCTGCCCTGGGTACCCATGTCCTTGCTGCGGTCCTGACGGAGGTCCCTGTTGCTGCGAGTATGGGTTAGTCCCGCCATATGGCTGAGGTCTCATCTTGCCCATCTGATCCATTGGACTGGATGGCTACAAAATAAAGAGCATTTCATTAACCTGAGCTTTGATGGCCTCTGGCCACTGAATATATAACCCAAGTACACAGGTTTTTTTAGTCTGTATGCTATAAAGAAATACAGTTACTTTGAAAGAGCAATGAGACCAACCTAGTAACCTTTAAGTCAACTGACCCGCCTCAGAACCCTAATTTTGTCATTTGAAAAATGAAAATACCACCTATTTGTGAAAACACCTTGTAAGCTAAAAACTACTTTGTAACTGTGGTACTGCTTGAGATCCAAGGGACAGGCCGGGTATAAACAAAGGCCCTTCAGTTGGTAGAGGACGGTGCTGCTATGCACTGCCATCACCTTGTTACACACCAAAATTGATGCTTCAATACCATGACGGGGAATTCAAATACACAAACATCTAGATGTTTCTATTCTTCCAATAGTGGAAACTCCCCTTACACATCTATAGCCTGTTTGCACTATGGCACAGTTAAATTTATGCTTTCTTCCAAATAAGCAAAGCAGCTAAGTGACAGTTGAGGGAATGGGAACTCTGAATTAAGAGTCTTGTGCATCTCAACTGAAAAGCTCATTTCCTTTAATATTCAAGAGTTTGAAGATATAAGAAGAACAGAACTTTTATCTCTTTGAGAGACAAGAAGATTCAATGGTAGGCTGTCATGGAAGTTAAAAAAAAAAGAGCAAGAAGACAGAGAGGTACAGCTAGCACCAATAATGAAAGCTCAAAATTCAATTCACAGGTATTTGATGCAACAGCTTTCTTTCCAGCTCTTTGTGGAGCAACAGGTTCAACCAGCTCATTCACTTTTTGATATGCCTTTATCCTACTGGCACTCCAGAGCACACTTTCCCCTGCCAGAAATATCTACCTATATCTATTGGTGGTGTGCGGGGAGGGGGAAGTTTCTCTAAGCACCTTTAAGACACACACAAGATGGAGAGTAGGCATGGGTCTGATATAAAACTTAAAAACTAGCTCTTACATTGGGGGTGAAATAGATACTGATACTCTAGGCCTATCATTAACCGTCACATGAAGGAGTTCAGTGGTTCATTGATTTTAGCATGCATCAGAATCACTTGAAAGGCTTGTTAAAACAGACTGCTAGAACCCACCTCCCAGGACTGGTCTAGGTTATCCCTAGGGTTCCTTCCAGTTCTATTATTCAATAATTAATAAGCTATTCTATAATTTAAGCTGTTAAGACCTTAAACAACAACAAAACCTCCAAAATAAAGGAAGGGGAGATCCAAACAATTCGTTCTCTGTACGTGTTTGTTTTTTAATAATGCTATTAAGTGTTTTATAGTAGAGGAAGTAGAGCTTTCATGAAAGAAAACAGGTAAGACAATAAGCCACAGAGGCTGTTCTTCTTAATATCAAAGGGAAAAAAGAGAAGCAGAGTTATTTCTTAGGCTATATCTGAAATCTCAGCTAAATTGGTGAGTGATGATGGGAATACTCCTCCCCCATGTTTCTAAACTGTACAAAGTCATAGTAAAACTGTGTCCCAAATCACTACTACATGTCAATATTATTAAAGTACTGTTGCCAACAATCCTAACTAAACAATTTTTGCCCAAGTCTTTCATCCATATCAGAAGCTCCAATAATGTTCCCTATCATAATTTTAGAGCTACATAGATTTTAGGGTTACTTAGGAAGTTCGAATTTAACAACAATTAATAAATAGCATACGGTCCTCCCCAATACACCTGGCAATGGAGCCAAAACATCACCATTCTCCCCTGTAAAGAGCTTGGGGGCTTACATGGCCATATCATGCCACATATCACACTGAGGTCCTCATCTCATCACAGACTGCAGCTGCTGTCCATGTGGCCTCCAACTGGAGAGACTATTTTGTTGAACAAAGAGATCAGCCTGCTCTGGGTATCTCTGTCAGTCTAGGTCTCCCCACAACATGAGGGGCAGTCATTACCATGGTTACTATAGAGCTTCTAGAGCAGTAGCTATTAACCAGGGCTGCAGATTAGAATTTTCTGTGAAGCTTCACAAATGGCTAGGCCTCTCCCTAGAGATTCCAATTTACTGGGTCTGGAAGGGCTTGTGCTCTTCTCCAACCTCCTTAAGATCTTTGAATGAGTCTGGTGTATACTATTAGCTAAGAACCAGTGATCTAGAGAAGCACTGGCCAATAACATTTTCTGTGATGGGTAACTATTCAACACTTGAAATATGACAAAGGAACTAAATTTTTATTTTTATTTACATTTAATTAATTTAAATTCACATAACTACATGTGGCTAGTGGCTTATTATGTTAGAGCAGTTCTAGGACAATGCTGTTCCCAAATCACTTCCACCACTCCCTGGTCAATAATAGTTCCAAACTTCCTAACTACTAAATCCTGCACAGTATTATTACATAGAGGGTAGTGTAGTAATTTGATAGACTTGGGTCCAAATCCTACCTCTCTCACCATCCTACCTTGAACACATCAGTTCTTTAAATGCACATAACACACTTCACACAGTGCCTGGTATTTAAATGTCCAATAAATGGTAGCGATTATCAGTAATGATAAAACAGTGCTTTTACCTGGCTCTAAAGCCCTCTACAATGTGAACCAGTTTTCCACATTTTTTCAGTCTCACTCCAAGATTCCCCACATACTGTACATGCCCAGCTCTATGCAATGGCATCCTGCCCTGCCCTCCTGTCCACAGTGGCTTCTAGTAACAGAAACTTGACCTTTCAAAATGAAGCCACTTCCCATATCTTCAGTACACTTTGATCTCTAACATTTCTAAATGCCCTATTGTAAATCCAGTTAGCATCCTAAGATTTAACACTTAGTTGCAGCTAACTATTCCAACTAACTGATTGCATTTCTCAAGACTAACTTCTGGGAAGCCAGAGATCAGGTGTTTTATCTTCAAAGCTCTCCCAAATACCAAAGTACAGAGCTTGGGCTCAGTGACTGTTCAATGTGCAATGCTGTCCTATTCCAAAAAAGGGTAGGAGACACTATGGGGACAAAGCCCAAATCAAACTATCTAGCCATAAAGCCAGGGTCATAGCCTAAATCTAACCCTAACACAGGGGTTATGACTTTGAAGGTAGAAAAAAAGTTGGACTGAAGTGAAAGATGAGAAAGAAGGATGAGAATATTCAAGGGAGAACAAGCACACTTTAAGAATAACCTGGCTGGGCGCAGTGTCTCACGCCTGTAATCCCAGCACTTTGGGAGGCCAAGGCAGGTGGATCACTTGAGGCCAGGAGTTGGGAGACAAGCCTGCCTAACATAGCAAAACCTCATCTCTACTAAAAACACAAAAATTAGCTGGGTGTGGCGGCACATGCCTATAAGTCCCAGCTACTCGGGAGGCTGAGGTATGAGAATCACTTGAACCTGGGAGGCGAAGACTGAAGCGAGCCGAGATCGAGCCACTGCACTCCATCCTGGGCAGCAGAGCAAGAGTCTGTCTCAAAAAAAAAAAAAAAACAAAAAAAAACAAACCCAAGGCTGGGCGCAGTGACTCATGCCTGTAAATCCCAACATTTTGGAAGACTGAGGCAGGTGAATCACTTGAGGTCAGGAGTTCCAGACCAGCCTGGCCAATATGGTGAAACCCCGTCTCTACTAAAATACAAAAATTAGCCGGACGTGGTGGCGCACGCCTGTTAATCCCAGCTACTCAGCAGGCTGAGGCAGGTGAACCACTTAAACCCAGAAGGCAGAAGCTGCAGCGAGCGGAGATTGTGCCACCGCACTCCAGCCTGGGCAACAGAGTGGGACTCTGTCTCAAAAAAAAAAAAAAAAAAAAGGTTTATACCAGAGAGAATTTCAGAACTGCAGGGGCATCCTCATATACACTGCTTAAAAACAAAAGGCTAAGGACAAGTCACCTTTTCCTCTCTCACACGGAGGCCTGCGCTCCCAATTGAGTACAGCTACTTACATGGGGGCTATAAAGGGTTCAAGGAATGTCCCACCTCAACTTTAGGAAATCTTTGTAGACCAAAAATAAATGTACATCAAAGAAATTTTTATTCTAAAAATAAAATTAATATGCTTTCTTTTTCTGGTCGTCAGATTTTTGACTCCCTCCCATCACAAAAGGCTTATGATCAACAGAATATGCAGCTTATTTGGCAAACTAAATATATATTCAGTTCAAACAATCAGATTATTCTGATCTCATGTAAAAGTTAGACATCTGCTCAAATCAGAAGGGGAGGTGAGCAGGGACATAACTCACACTTATGACATTTAAAACCATCGTGAAATATTTGTGATTTGCAGTTACAGATGAAATGCCATCTCCCAATCTCTCGTAACAGAGAAGGGGCCTTAAATATTCACTAATCAGTTTTATTGGAAAGTAGCAATTTCAGACCAGAAAAATCCCTACATGCAAGATACAAAAGCCAGTATCAGCAGTCTGCAGGCACAAGGCAGGGGATGGAAACTCCAAACCCTAGCTGCAAAAAGCCAGAGATTCCACTCTGGGAAAGACAGAGGAAATCCTTTCAATGGGAAACCACAGGAGTAGATTACTGTGATTACACTTCAAAAGCAAAGGCTCTGCCACAGAGACACATAATTGAGAGGAAAATGCTGCCCCTTGATCAGCAAAGTCGGGCCCCCTGCTATATACTCTCCTGCATTCATAAAAAATAAAAATAAAAAAGGGGGAAAGAGCCATAAGAAAACTCCTCATCTCCATCTACCACTTACCACCTCCTTCCAGATCACTGGCCATGTTATAAACTGCCTGCCAAATGAAATGTATCAAAAGATGCAGTTTAGGGGCATCAAAGGCAAGGATGCCTAGCAGCTTGTCCTTCCGAATATATTCAGAACAAACAGCTAGCAGACAGACCCCTTGCATAGGGAGTTCCCCTGCTCCAAGCCAATAGAATTACAAGACCCTCCAGACTAGCTGGCTACTGGAACCTCTTACAACTTCTTATTGCATCAAGGAAAACCAAAATGACCCCCAAAAACGGCTGAAATAACAGACTAGACTTTTAAGGTAGACCTGGGCTGAATGTCTTATAACCCAAAGTAACCACTTTGTGAAACTCACAGATTAAAATAGCTGCAAATTCTCCATCTGACCATGACCGAGGAGAGAGCAGAGAAGACAGAGCCAAGAACTCAAAACTTCTAAGCAGAGATATACCATTCACAAAAATGTACCACCCGTGGCAGTGGCACCAGGAAAGAGAAACTTCATAATTTTATTTAAATAAAAGTCCAACTGAGGAAAGCTCCAGTTCCAATCCAAGGAAATAGAAAGAAGTGACCAGGCGGCAACCCTAAGGAGCTAAATTTAGTACTCAACAGTGCCAAGGGCCAGCAAGAATAAGAACAGAGAGGGTTGGGCCAGGAGCTGCCAAAAAGGTGTCCATCAGAGAGGAGAAGTCTTGACCACTACTCATTTTATCATCCTAAATGCTAACTAGTTGGGGCTAGTGTAAACCTAGAGCTATAACCTTGGCTTTTGGACATTTAAGTATTATTACTCCTTGTGCTTTCAATTTATTCCTGGCTAGATTTGTTATATGACTTTTAATAATAATAATTAAAAAAATGCATCCCTGGCTCTTTAACCAAAAGAACCCCCCTAATTGATTCCCACAGTAATTAACCTGCATTTTACCTCAGAGAGCGGTAGTTAAGGAAGTCGGCACTGCTATTTATAACTCATCTCAAATTGAGGGCAGACTGCCTAAAATCTAACACATCCCAGCTGTACTCCTGTTTGAACTGGGGCCAAGGGAATTTTTTAAAGCAATCTTGGCACCGAATGAATGACACCAACAGTATGAGAGCGCGAGTGGTTGTGTTGTGGTGACGTAGCATTGGAGGTGGAATGGAGAGGGGGGCCAGTGTACTGTGATCCCTCTGGTGCATGCCTGCTGCTTGCTGAGTCCCAGTACAGTAAGCTGGGAACCGCCCACTGAGAGCCAAACACAGGAAAAGGCTTTTCCTGTGGAACGCCTTGAAGTGAGAAACACATGGCTAATCTGCATAAACTCGAAGCCACACCGCCCCTGCCAGGAAGGTTAGTGCTCGTAATCTCTGGCCATGAAGCTGGCTGCCTGGGAGGACTTGGACTGGCGCCTGATAACCCAGAAAGAGCCGAGAGAACAGATGGGTAAGGACCCCAGCAGAAAACAGCCCCAGGTCACATGACTCGCCACATGGCCCCGCCAGCACAAACTATTGTCTGGCTTCAGAGCTCCCTATACAAAGGCACCCCGTCCTCCGCTTCCTGTGATTCCAGGGACAGGCGACAGCTGTTGATCCAGTTCCAGTATGGGACCCTCCCCTGTGATAGGGCATTCCAGGCAGGGGCAAGTGTAAAAATTAAGGCCTCTCCCAACCAACAGCTTTCAGCTTCCTGCCAGCTGCACGTGGCTCACTTAGATCTCAGGAGTAATATCTTAGGACAGACTAGGCTTCCACCAAAAAAATCACCCTATGTACCCTGGTACATAAAATGACCAGCATAAATCATTCTCATTGTCCCTTCTCTCCCCAGCCAGACAACTGTATCTAACGCCCCTTATCCTGTCTTTTCTATATCCCCTAGTATTTCAGACCTTCTTTGAAGACTAGTCAAGAACCCCTAGCCCCCAATTGAGGAGAAATTGTCCAGAAACATGTTTGTCTTAGTTTTACTCCTAGACCCCGCCTCCTAAAATAAGGAGACTACCTTCATCTTGTTTTAAATAGTGGGGAAACATGACTTTTTATATGACCTAGGACAATAAGAGATTTCTAACCTCCTATTTGGCCTCAACAGAGACAACACTAAAGATTTCCTGAAGCCAAGCTGATGACAGGAAAATAAAAAAATCTCATTAGATTATACCAACACCTGTCACAGGGAATCAAACCCACTCAGCCTATGATTCTCTTCATTCATAACCTAGGAACCATAACTCAGTTTTCTACTTCACAATTCCTTCATTCTAGTTCATTCAAGTTCTAAACAAACTGACCATCTGCCTTTGGTGAGAGAGGAATCAACAACTAGTTTGCAACTACCACTCCCCAAAAAAGTTTTGTTTTTTAAAAATTCTTTCAAACTTCCATAAATTTCCAAGTGGAATAAAAATTGGCCAGACGCAGTGACTCACGCATGTAATCCCAACACGTTGGGTGGCCAAGGCGGCAGATCGCCTGAGGTCAGGAGCTTGAGACCAGGCTGGCCAACATGGTGAAACCCCGTCTCTACTAAAAATACCAAAATTAGCCTGGCATGGTGGCACGTGCCTGTAATCCCAGCTACTCGGGAGGCTGAGGCAGGAGAATCGCTTGAACCTGGGAGGCAGAGGTTGTAGTGAGCAGAGATCACACCACTGCACTCCAGCCTGGGTGACAGAGCAAGGCTCTATCTTGAAAACAAACAAAAAAAACCACCACAAAAATCAGTGAAAAGTTCTATCTACCCCATTCTGCTTACAGAAACCATTCTAGAAGATCAGACACATTCCCCTTTGCAGACTTAGCCCATTCCAATGATATCCCCTGAAGCACTAGCCTGATCAAACCTCCAGGAAGGCGCTTGCAACCAGATGTCAAACCAAGAACATCTAGAAAGTGATGTAAAACAAGACAAAGGCCTCATTCTCTTCTGGGCTTAGAGATATATAGACTACCATATCTCTATCCTTCCAGACCAGAAGATAAGAGAAAACTCACTAAGGTTAGAAGAAGGAGACCAAAAGGGGAAGAGTCATTGAATCATGTAGCAAAACTCAATCAGATTATGAGAAACAACCATAATAACCACCTCACAGCTGTCTACCAAAAAGAGGCATGCCAGAAAAACCACAACCAAGTGACTGATGCTTCTTCACTTCTTTGGCACCAGAAAGGGCCCTTCAAATAAAGCAGCTACAGCATCAAACTAATGAATCCCAACAAATGATAAGTCCTTCTCTCTTCATCCAGGGCACTTTCATTAGCCACATTTTCCATAACAGGTGGCTATCATCATTTCCAGAGAAAATGCTCTTCCTAAAATGATGAAGATCACTTTTTCCTAAGACTAAACTTAACCAATTTCTCCCTATTTCAAACAAATTACAAAAGCCACTAAGGAAACCAAGTAACTTCTCTGGAAAAAATCCTTTCAGGTACTGCTTAAAACCAAGGGTTGCCAGGCGCGGTGGCTCACGCCTGTAATCCCAGCACTTTGGGAGGCCGAGGAGGGCGGATCATGAGTTCGAGACCAGCCTGGCCAATATGGTGAAACCTGGTCTCTACTGAAAATACAAATATTAGCCGGGTGTGATGGCACGCGCCTGTAGTCCCAGCTACTTGGGAGGCTGAGGCAGGAGAATCACTTGAACCTGGGAGGTGGAGGTCACAGTGAGCCGAGATCGCACCACTGCACTCCAGCCTGGGTGACAGAGTGAGACTCGGTCTCAAAACAAAAACAAAAACAAAAACAAACCAGGGTGACCAAAACAATAGTAAGACCCCAAGAAAACTATGAAACAAGAACCAAAATGTCATCTCATAAAATTAAACGTCCCCTTCTTTACAACTTTTTATCTCAAAAGGCAGCAGTACAACCAGGTGCAAAGAGCAGTAAACTGAGAGGCAGTAAGTACATCTGGGGTCCAATCCCAGTTCTCAGACCAACTTCCTGAGGGAGTGGTCAAGACAATCAACCAGGTTGAACCTCAACCTCCTCAGCTACTCAATCCAATTCTACCCTCCAGATTCTTAATTAGCAGGTCTGGGATGGGGGCCGGGCCAGGAATCTTTTTTTTTTTTTCTTTTGAGACAGGGTGTCTCAATCTGTCACCCCGGCTGGAGTGCAGTGGTGCAATCATGGCCCACTGCAGCCTCAACCTCCTATCCTGGGCTCAGGTGATCCTCCCACCTCAGCCTCCTGAGTAGCTGGGACTATAAGCACATGCCATCATAGCCAGTTTTTGTAGAGATGGGGTTTCACCATGTTCCCAGGCTGTTCTTCAACTCCTAAGCTCAAGTGATCTGCCAGCTTCAGCCTCCCAAAGTGCTGGGATTATAGGCATGAGCCACTGCGCCCAGCCAGGAATCTGTATTTTTAATCTTAAGAGAGTCTCGTATCCAGTCTGGGAGCATTTGGGCTACATGCCCAAAGGTTAACTGACAATCAAATAAATTAAGGTTGTACCTTTTTTTTTTTTTTGAGATGGAGTCTTGTTTGCTCTGTCGCCCATGCTGGAGTGCAATGACGCCATCTCAGCTCACTGCAACCTCCACCTCCCGGTTTCATGTGATTCTCCTGCCACAGTCACCCTAGCAGTTGGGATTACAGACCTGTGCCACCAGGGCCTGCTAATTTTTTTATTTTTGGTAAAGACAGGATTTCATCATGTTGGCCAATCTGGAAGGTTGTACCTTTTTTTTTTTTTTCGAGACAGAGCCTCGCTCTGTCACCAGGCTGGAGTGCAGTGCGTGACCTCGGCTGACTCCAACTTATGCCTCTCGGGTTCAAGCAATTCTCCTACCTCAACCTCCTGAGTAGCTGAGATTACAGGTGCATGCCACCATGCCCGGCTAATTTTTGTATTTTTAGTAGCAACGGGGTTTCACCATGTTGGTCAGGCTGGTCTCAAACACCTGACCTCGTGATCCACCTGCCTCAGCCTCCCAAAGTGCTGGGATTACAGGTGTGAGCCACCACGCCCAGCCCAGTTGTACCTTTTTTTTTTTTTTTTTTTGAGACGGACTTTCACTTTTGTTGCCCAGGCTAGAGTGTAATGGCGCGATCTCGGCTCATTGCAACTTCTGCCTCCCGGGTTCAAGCAATTCTCCTGTCTCAGCCTCCCGAGTAGCTGGGATTACAGGCGCATGTCACCATGCCCGGCTAATTTTTGTATTTTTAGTAGAGACGGGTTTTCATCACATTGGTCAGGCTGGTCTCCAACTCCTGACCTCAGGTGATCTGCCCGCCTCAGCCTCCCAAAGTGCTGGGATTACAGGCGTGAGCCACTGTGCCCGGCCTCAGTTGTACCTTTTTAAAAAGAAAAAAAAAAAAAGTATAGAGTTTCACACCACTTTAAGCAAGTCACTTCATCCCTTGGCACCAGAATCATCTTTAAACAGGGATTAAAAACTGTTTAACAAAAATATGAGACAGTTCAAACGATAAGTATGTGAAATGCCTGTTATAGTGCAAATCCATCTCCAGCACAGAGTGTCTCTAGAATTCAGATGTACATTCGTTTTCCTTAGCCAAACAATGGTCTGAAGAGGGCAGTGCCTGGCCAGTAAAGAAAAGCTAGAAATGCACCTCAGATTCCCAAATGAGCAGCACTTTCAGCCAAAATCAAGCTTCCCCAAATTCCTATACTCAGTCTCAGATTTTTCTGGTTCACCTGGGCAAGTATCGTAACATACTAATGCTTTACTTATTTATCTTGTTTGCTATCTGTATCCTTGACTAGAATATAAATTTCAGGTAGGCAGAGATAAGAGATATGTATACAAAACAAACAAATGCTCCCCTATGCCCAAAAGCAGGAAAGGAAAGGGGAATGTAGAAGAGAAAGTGAAACTCTAGTGGCCTGGCAATTCCTGTCCCTATTAATGCTGAACTGAAATGCTTTGGATCTACAGGAGTACCCCCCATTATCCTTGATTTTGCTTTCCAAGGTTTCAGTTACCCACGGTCAACCACAATCTGAAAACATTACATACAATAAGATATTTTGAAAGAGAGAGACCACAATCACATAACTGTTGTATTTTATCATTAGTTATTGTTAATCTCTTACTATGCCTAATAAATTAAACTTTATCATAGGTATGCATGTATAGGAAAAACAAAGTACAGTCAAACCTTTGTATCCATGGGTTCTGCATCCACAGATTCAGCCAGCCTCAGATCAAAAATGTAGTTAGTAGGCCTACGATGGTTGTGCCTGTACTGAATGTGTACACTTTTTTTCTTGTCATTATTCCCTAAACAATATAGCATAACAACTACTTACATAATATCTACGTTGTATGAGGTATTATAAGTAATCTAGAGATGATTTAACGTATACAGGAGAATGTACGTATTAATGGTTTATATGCAAATACCATGCAATTTTATATATTCCACAAATTTCAGTATCCTCAGGGAGTCCTGGAACCAACCCCCTACGGATACCGAGGGGCATTTGTACATATAGGGTCTGGTACTTTCAGGCACCCACTGGGGGTCTTGGAAGATATCGCCGCACAGATAAGGGAGGACTATTGTACATGGCCAGTTCTAGGCAGTGGCTTAAGAGCTCTGCCCCTGCAGTGCCTTCAACTTTTGTCTCTGTTTCCTTATCAACAGAACAGATAGTAGTACCACACTTCAGGGTCGAATAAAGTAAATAAAGAACAAAACAACGGCTGGGTGCGGTGGCTCACGCCTGTAATCCCAGCACTTTGGGAGGCGGAGGCAGGTGGATCACCTGAGGTCGGGAGTTCGAGACCAGCCTGGCCAACATGGAGAAACCGCGTCTCTACTAAAAATACAAAAATTAGCTGGGCGTGGTGGTGCATGCCTGTAATCCCAGCTACTCAGGAGGCTGAGGCAGGAGAACTGCTTGAACCTGGGAAGCGGAGGTTGCGTTGAGCCAAGATTGCACCTTTGCACTCCAGCCTGAGCAACAGAGCAAACTTCATCTCAGAAACAACAACAACAAAAATAAATAACAACAAAAACAAACAAAAAAACTGTTCCTCAAATCAGCTGGGCATCCTCTAGCCTCAGAGCCTTTGTATTCATAGATCCTTCTACCTGGAATACTTTCTTCACCCAGATATTAGTATAGCTCACTTTCATGTCAAATATCACTTCAGTGTGGCCTTCCCTGGTGAACTCCTCTAAGATTTTAACCCTGCACACTCCTATACTTGGTTCCTGATTAACTTTTTCTCCCAAGCATGTATCACTAGCATACTATATATATGATTCACTTATTTATCTTGTTCAATCTATATGTCCTGTGTATGTTTAATTCACTGCTGTATCCTCTAGCATCCAGAATGGCAGCTATCATCATCCTACACAAGTGCTAAGTTTCTGGCAGTAGAGCTTGGAAATTTGTAGAACAATTAATGTCTGTCCCATACACTTAAGACCAGAAGTCCAAAGTCATCAACTAGAGGTTAACTGACAATCAAATAAATTTAGGCTGTACTTTTTGAGAAAGAAAAAAAAGTATAGTTTCACACCACTTTGAGCAAGTCACTTTATCTCTTAGCACCAGAACCATCTGTAAACAGGGATTAAAAACTGTTTAACAAAGATACAAAACAGTTCAAATGGTAAGTATGTGAAATGCTTGTTACAGTGCCAGTTCATAAAGCACACACACAATACTTCTCTCTCTGCACCCTCAATAGGAGAAATGGCAAAATGGGGTTGAGAGCAGTTTCAAAATACCTACTTAAAAAACATGAACACACAAGTCAGACACCAAAAGGGTTGGCCAGTCCAAGTCTCAAGCACCACCTACTTTCAGTCTGTTCTCCCAGAGGATTTTGTTCAAAGCTCCTTCCAAGAATCCTGACAGTACAGCCAGTAGTATTCAACCGGGGCAATACCAACCACTGAGAAGTGTTTGGAAATAAATGTATGAAAGCGCCTTTTTTGGTTGTCACAGCAACTCTATAGTGCTACTGGCATTTATTACCCGGGGAGCAAGATGCCAATGTCCTGCAATATAGCACCACAAAAAGAAGAGCCTTCCTGGCCAGGCACAGTTGGCTCACCCTGTAATCTCAGCACTTTGGGAGGGCGAGGCAGGCAGATCACCTGAGATCAGGAGTTCAAGACCAGCCTGGCCAACATGGGAAAACCCTGTCTCTACTAAAAATACAAAAATTAGTTGGGTGTGGTGGTGCATGCCTGTAATCTCAGCTACTCGGGAGGCTGAGGCAGGAGAATGGTTTGAACCTGGGAGGCAGTGGCTGCAGTGAGCTGAGACCACTGCACCTCACCCTGAGTGACAGAGTAAGACTCCATCTCCCCGTAAAACAAAAACAAAAACAAAACAGAAGAGCCTTGCTGAGGAACAATGAACTCTAGCCCAGCATGCCTCAATGGATAACTTCCTATAAAACTTGACCCTAGAGGGAAAGGGACTCAGAACTGACCAGCACCCATCCTAAGATCTCAAGACTACAAAGCCACCCATCAGACAAGGTAAGCATAAATAAAAATTTAAAAAAACAGTTGTGTTGTTCTCCAATGCATTTATTACAACTGTAACTACAGTTATTTGTGCTTATCTGCTTACATATTTTTCCCCACTAGAAAGTACTCCATGGAGGCAGGAATTATGAATCCTATGTTCATAACATACTATCTGATTCACTGTAGAAGCTCAGTAAGTGTTTTTGCATTAATGTAAGCAACTAGCATGTGGCAGATACTCACAGGTTTTTTTCTTTTTCTTTTTTTTTTTTTTTTTGAGACGGAATCTCGCTGTTACCCAGGTTGGAGTGCAGTGGCGCGATCTTGGCTCACTGCAACCTCTGCCTCCCGGGTTCAAGTGATTCTCCTGCCTCAGCCTCCTGAGTAGCTGGGATTACGGGCATGCACCACCACTCCTGGCTAATTTTTGTTATTTTTAGTAGAGATGGGGTTTCACCATGTTGATAAGGCTGGTCTCAAACTCCTGACCTCATGATCCGCCCACCTCAGTCTCCCCAAGTACTGGGATTACAGGCGTGAGCCACCGCGCCCAGCCTGATACTCACAGGTTTTTCAAAAAAGATTCTGCCATATGACTTCTTACATTGGCAAGGCCCAACTATTTTATGTTTTTTTTTTTAAGACGGGTCTCCCTACATTGCCCAGGCTGGCCTGGAACTCCAGGGCTCATGTGATCTTCCTGCCTCAGCCTCTGCAGTAGCTGAGATTATAGGCGTGTGCCACTCTCCCCAGCATATTTTATGCTTTAAATTAAACAACATTTCAACAACAGGACTGGGCAATTAAGTGAACTTTAAAAAGTTCTTATCCTAAAAATTCCTGAGAAATGGAAAATATCATCAAAGTCTAGGAAATCCTGATGGTACGCAAAGACACACTGGTATACTGCATCCCAATATATGCTCAAAAATTAGAAAATTTGTCCCCATGTGAGGTGATATAGATTGAAATCAGAAAAAGGTACTTCCTCCCACAGACCATCCTCTGGTGCTTCTACTAGGAAAAGGTCCTTGGTATGGATGGACCACATGCCCAACTGAATATTGCTGTCCTTTTGATGTTTTCTGCCCTACTTATCATTACCTACCATTAAGTGATATGGTACACTTAAGGAATACATGGAGGGGCAAGAGTAACCTTACAGAGCTTTACCCAGGTGTGCACATTCCAACTTTTGTTCTAAATGCATCTTCTGATCTAGTTTCTAAAATACTCCTCCCTCTTCCATGTTAAACTAATTTGCAGATAAGTGCTAAAAACAAACAAACAAATAAACAAAGTAAATAAAGATAAAAACTGCCCCTAGCCACAAAACTTCAAAGCCTCGTTTTCTTTCTCTAACTTCTCCCATTCTTTTTATTTTATCTACAACTGCAAACTTGGGCTGGTCTTTCAGTTATACAAAAAAGACGCTAAATTTCTCTAATACATAGTTCTATATCCCGCCAAAGAAGGTATCTGTGACAGATCACTGAGCTGTAGGAACTGAAGTTACATGCAGTCTGGGATTCTGTTTGTCATCATGCTTGTACATCAATCCAATCAAGTACTGTATGTTGATAAAAACACCAAGAAGCAGCAGCAATGCCACTGTTTATTTCATTAATTCCTAGGGCTGCCTTGGACTACTTCCCCAAAATACCAGTCTTTCACTAGGTCCCCCTAAGTCCACTCTGAACTATAGCAGGCACAATTAAATAAGTTAAAGAACGGCCCAGGGAATAGTCAACCTTATTAAGATTATATATGCGGCGCGGTGGCTCATGCCTGTCATCCCAGCACTTTGGGAGGCAGAGGCAGGTGGATCATGAGGTCAGGAGTTCGAGACCAGCCTGGCTGACATAGTGAAACCCCATCTCTACTAAAAATACAAAAATTAGCCCGGCATGGTGACACACCTGTAGTCTCAGCTACTCAGGAGGCTGGGCTGAGGCAGAAAAATCACTTGAACCCAGGAGGCGGAGACTGCAGTGAGCCGAGATTGCGCCACTACACTCCAGCCTGGGCAACCGAACGAGATTCCGTCTCAAAAACAAACAAACAAACAAACAAACAAACAAAAAAGATTATAGATGCATCCAAATCCTCAGGTTTTAAGGTCAGCAATTCCCTGGATGGAAAACCAGAGTACTACAAATTCTACAGTTCTTCTCAAAGTTCCAAAAGTATGCTGGTACATACCAACCTCATCTACACCACTGTCTATACAAACTATACAAGTATGTACAGGAGACCCTCACTTCATGATTTATCCCAGGAGTATACAGGGCCATACCAGTCACCAGCTGTCTTTTCAGAACCTTATTGTCTCTATTCTTTGCCATCTCTGGCCAGTATAACCAAGTTGGGATGGACACTTGGCATTCTAAACTAGCCAACATTTAACTCTCTTTTTCCCTAACCACTTCACAGTCTATGATGCCTCAAAATTTCCCTTTGGTAAATGTGTTTGGCTGGGTGAGCCCAGCTATCTTAATTTCATTTTAACCCAAAATACCATAATGAGACCACATATTGGTCACTTGAGGTTTTATGTTGGAGTTTTAAAGAAGCCAATTCAAAGTGGCATTGGGAAAGCAGAGGATTGAAATCACAAACTGTAAAGAAAAACAATGTTACAAATCTGTACTGGGTCAACAGAACCCCAAAAACAGATGAAGGAATCTGTCTCCAGACCAAAGACAATAAAGTGGGAAATGAGAAGAGGTAGAGACCATTTAGGAACTTGTTAATCAGACATAGACATTTCCTGCCTCTAGTTAGCCAGGCTTTTCCAAGAAAGGAAAGCAGATACTAAAAATCTTCACAGGCTGGGCGCACGCCTGTAATCCCAGCACTCTGGGAGGCCGAGGCAGGCAGATTACTTGAGGTCAGGAGTTCAAGACCAGCCTGACCAACATGGTGAAACCCTGTCTCTACTAAAAATACAAAAAAATAGCCAGGTGTGGTGGTGGGCGCCTGTAGTCCCAGCTACTCGGGAGGCTGAGGCAAGAGAATTGCTTGAACCCAGGAAGTAGAAGTTGCAGAAAGCCAAGATCACGCCATTGCACTCCAGCCTGCGCAACAAAGCAAGACTCTGCCAAAAAAAAAAAAAAAAATCAATCTTCACCAAAATGATGTTAGTCTGAAACTGGTGTATGTTGTATCTCCATTTTACCAGCTCTGGTGTGGTAAAGTTACTGGAGTTTCCATGTGCTCTGCATTCTACTAATGCAGAGTTAGACATCAAAGGAGAAAATGAAAAAGGAAAAAAGAAAAAGCCAAGAACAGAGAAAATAAAGCTTAAAAGTGATAGAGTTTAAAACACACATGCACACACAAACATAAGATTCCTTACTAAAGTATTCATCTGTACATACAAATATGAAATCACAGATCAAACTGTAGTCTCCTCCTGGAAACCACTGCCTTCATTGCAGCTAGGTCCCAGTGATCACAGCTACGCTTCTCAGGCAGGAGGAAAAAGAGGCCTGGTAGCAGAATACTTGTTTTTAATGGGAAGGACAGAGAAACCACATAAGGTGTTCAGAAAGTCCAAATGAATTAGAACACTGGTTCTTCACTTGGTCTTCAAACTGTTAATATTTATCACCTGACCACTTCTGTAACTCCCACATCTGTGCCAAGCACAATCCTTATTCATTAAGTTATACAACTGGAGACAGGTCTTGGCTCAAATGTCCACCCCTCAGAGAGTCCTCATTCACTGCAGAGATGAGGTGGCTTGTTCAGGAATCTACTTAGAGGGTTTATTTTTATTTGAGACAGGGTCTTGCTCTGTTGCCCAGGCTGTATGTAGTCCAATAGCACAATCAGGTCTCACTGCAGCCTCCAATAAACTCCTGGGCTCAAGTGATCCTCCTGCCTCAGCCTCTCAAGTAACTGGGACAATAGGTGCATGCCACCAGGCCCAGCTAATTTAAAAAAAATTTTTTTTAAGAGAGACAAGGTCTTGCTATGTTGCCAAGGCTGGTCTCGAACTCCTGGGCTCAAGCAATCTTCTCATCTCAGCCTCATAAAGCACGGGGATTACAAGTGTGAGCCACTGCTCTCGGCCTACTTACAGGGTTTATTTACTAAAACTTCACAAGAAGAGACACAAGGAAAGGAATTCACAGCAAAACTCAGACTGGCCACTAAGAAGTAGGGGGTGAGGGAGAGAGGTCAATAAAGGCTTACTGTGAGAACACCAAATCACCCAACGCCCTGTTCTCAGATCAGACAGCCATCACAGGCAAAAGGGACATCATGGCATTTAATTAGTGCTCCAACACTGACCTTTAAGTGGCATTTTCAAGAATCACTTTCTTGGAAAAGTGTACTGTATTGGCCATACTTGGAGACCACCACAGTCAAGATCCTATTTTTTTTTCTGTATATAGACAGGGTCTTGCTGTGTCACCTAGGCTGGAGTGCAGTGGTGCCATCATGGCTCACTGCAGCCTCAGCCTTCCTTGCTCAAGTGATCCTCCCATCTCAGCCCCCACGTAGCTGAGACTACAGGCGCGCATCACCATGCCTGGCTGATTTTTTTGTTTTTGTAGAGATAGGGTTTTGCCATGTTGCTCAGGCTGGTCTCGAACTCCTGGGCTCAAGCAATCCGCCCAGCTCAGCATCCCAAAGTGCTTGGATTACAGGCATGAGCCACCATGCCCTGCCAGTCAAGATCTTAAAATACCTTTCCCACCTTCATCAAAATCCCAGGACCACAGGTCCAGATTATCTTCATGCCATATTGCCGAAGAACTAAGAGAAAGAGAAATGGAAGGCAGGGAGCCCCCAAGTCCTATAAACAAGCAGACGTGTTTTGTGACTAGAACTTATCACTGCACTAGTAAAGGTCCATCTCAAAAGTATTTTCTTTCTTCTCCTGTTACTGGCTGAATGTTTATGAAACCCTGAAATTAATGTTGAAGCCCTAACCTCCAACGTTACGGTATTATTAATAGGAGGTGGGGCCTTTGGGAGGTAATTAGGGTTAGATTAAGTCATGAGGGTGTGCCCCCATGATGGGCTTAGTGCCCTTATAAGAGCAAGAGCCGGGGGCGCTGGCTCACGTCTGTAATCCCAACACTTTGGGAGGCTGAGGTGGACAAATGGCTTGAGGTCAGGAGTTTGAGACTTGCATGGCCAACATGGTGAAATCTCGTCTCTACTAAAAAATATATATAAATAAATAAATAAAATTAGCCGGGCGTGGTGGCGTGGACCTGTAATCCCAGCTACGAGAGGCTGAGGCAGGAAAATTGCTTGAACCCAGGAGGCGGAGGTTGCAATGAGCTGAGATTGCACCACTGCACTCCAGCCTGGGTGACAAAGCGAGACTCTGTCTCAAAAAAAAAAAAGAGCAAGAGACATAAGAGGCTAAGAGGGCATTAATTGGGGTGGTAGACCGGCAAGAAGACAGAAGACAGTTGCCTACATGCCAGGAAAATGACTGTCACCAAGAACCCGATCTGCCAGCATTTTGATCTTGGACTTCTCACCCTCCAGGACTTCAAGTAGTAAATGTTTGTTGTTTAAGCCACCTCGTCTATGGTATTTTGTGACAGCAGTCCAAGCAAACTAACACACTCCCCTAGCCTCAAGCATTTTAACCTTTTCTCCATTCATTAATACTTTTTTCATAGGAGGGCACATAGACATAAAACATCAATCTATGGTATAATTTAGAAGCAGCCCCTCAGGTAATCTGGATATACTCTGCAGCCCAGTTGAGTGTAAATGTATAAATCTAGTAGTTCTCAAACTTCAGTGTTCATCAGAATGGCCTAGAGGACTTGTTAGAACATATTGACAGAGTTTTGGATTCGATAGGACTGGCCAAGGGTCTGTGCTTCTTAACAGGACCTAGTAATGCTGATGCTGGTGGCTAGGGACCACACTGAGAACCACTGCACTAATCCACTTCTCAAGCTGGAACAACAAGTGGTGTGTGTGTGTGTGTGTGTGTGTGTGTGTGTGTATGTATTATTTTATTTTTTGAGATGGCATCTCGCTCTGTCGCCCAGGCTGGAGTGCAATGGTGTGATCTCGGCTCACTGCAACCTCTGCCTCCCAGGTTCAAGCGTGATCTCGGCTCACTGCAACCTCTGCCTCCCAGGTTCAAGCGATTCTCCTGCCTCAACCTCCCAAGTAGCTGGGACTACAGGCATCCGCCACCACGCCTAGCTAATTTTTGTACTTTTAATAGAGACGGGGTTTCACCATGTTGGCCAGGATGGTCTCGATCTCTTGACCTTGTGATCCACCCGCCTTGGCCTCCCAAAGTGCTGGGATGGCAGGCATGAGCCACCGCACCCGGCCTGTGTGTTTTAATGCACTGATAGGCCGGGTGCGGTGGCTCACATCTGTCATCCCAGCACTTTGGGAGGCCCAGGTGGGTGGATTACCTGAGGTCAGGAGTTCCAGACCAGCCTGGCCAACGTGGTGAAACCCCGTCTCTACTAAAAATACAAAAATTAGCCAGGCGTGGTGGCACACGCCTGTAATCCCAGCTACTCGGGAGGCTGAGGCAGGAGAATTGCTTGAGCCCAGGAGGCGGAGGTTGCAGTGAGCTAGATCATGCCACTGCACTTCAGCCTGGCCGACAGAGCGAGATTCTGTCTCCAAAAAAAAAAAAAAGTAAGCAAGCTAGCCCTGATAGCTGGCATAGTGACATGTGCTTGTAGCTCAGCTACTTGGGAGGCTGAGGAAGGAAGATTGCTTGAGGTCAGGAGTTTGAGAGTGGGCTATGATTGTGCCTGTGGATAGCCACTGCACTCCAGCCTGGGAAACAGAGAAAGACCCTGTCTCTAAACAAATTTTAGTTTAAAAAAAAAAAAAAAAAAAAAGCATTACAGTAACTCAGATGTAGCTAAAAACTAGGGAAAATTTTGAATTCGGTAAAGACCAATACTAGCTTTAACCACTCAATTCTATCTCTCCTGAATTGAGAAGCAGGGCCAGTGGGAACCTGGGGTCCTGGGTCGGGGGTGCTGTTGAGAACTTCCATGGTAGTGCTGCAATCTTCCTACATCACCCTTCTGGCCTCCTGGCTGGAGCAGGGTGGTAGCATTCCAGGGGTGCTGGGTGCAGGGGAGGAGAATGTGAGGTAGATTGGTGGATGCACAGGAGGAAGGTGGGAATAGTGGTATCAACTCTCCTGGAGGCTTGCTTCTGAAAAGGACGGCTGGAGAGTGGGAGAGATAGTTGTGGGATTGACCAATCAGGAGTCATGTTAGAATTGTATTTGATAAACGAATAGTACTTTCACATATCTAATATTTACCATAGCTTCAAGGTAGATATTTTTCCTCATTATATAGTTGAGAATACAGATTCAGAGAAGTGACTTACCTAAAGTCATACTGCCCTAAGAGAACTTTAAACCTAGGTTTTAGAGATGACTCTGCTATGAAACTTTGTATGTGGCACTCAACTTTATGTGTTCATTTCCCCCAAGTGGCAAATTAAGACAATAATCCGCTGGGCGCGGTGGCTCACACCTGTAATCCCAGCACTTTGGGAGGCCGAAGCGGGCGGATCACGAGATCAGCAGACCGAGACCATCCTGGCTAACATGGTGAAGCCCCATCTCTACTAAAAATACAAAAAAATTAGCCGGGCGTGGTGGCGGGCACCTGTAGTCCCAGCTACTCGGGAGGCTGAGGCAGGAGAATGGCGTGAACCCAGGAGACGGAGCTTGCAGTGGGCCAAGATCGCGCCACTGCACTCCAGCCTGGGCGACAGAGCAAAGACTCCATCTCAAAAGAAAAAAAAAGACAATAATCCCTGCCTCTTCAGCAAGTGCTCCAAGTTTCTGGAAAAGTAATATCACTCTGCATATACTTTCATAATTCAAGTCACTTTCACTCAGATCAAAGTGAAAGACTCTGGCTGGGTGCGGTGGCTCGCACCTGTAATCCCAGCACTTTGGGAGGCCGAGGCAGGTGGATCACAAGGTCAGGAGTTCAGGACCAGCCTGACCAACACAGTGAAACCCCATCTCTACTAAAAATACAAAAAATTACCTGGGCGTGGTGGTGGGCACCTGTAATCCCAGCTACTCAGGAGGCTGAGGCAGAAGAATCACTTGAACCCAGGAGGCAGAGGTTACAGTGAGCCGAGATCACGCCACTGCAATCCAGCCTGGGCGACAGTGCAAGACTCCGTCTCAAAAAAAAAAAAAAAAAAAAAAAAAAAAAAAAAAAAGTGAAGGACTGTATCTTAAAGGCTGAATCTCACTCTCAACCCCAAAAGATCCCTCTTGAGAAAGAGAGGACCGGGGACCAGAGGACCAGATGCTGCCAGTTCTCACCAATGGAATCACAAGGCAGCTATAAACCAAGTGCCATGGCCATTCATCGGAAATCCAAAACAACAAAACCCTAAGTGGAAGGGATGGAAGGGAATGACAGGACAGAGCTCTAGGCACGATGTCAAATTGTTAACTAATGGCTTTTCAGTCTTTCACCCCATTTAAGAGTTTCAGGCTATTGTAAAAATAATGTCCTAAACAATCTTGGTGCCTGAGTAATTTATTTTGGAGAAGCAAAGTTAGTATTTTAGATTGTAATACCTTTGAAGAGTCAGACAAACCTTGTCTACCTTGTCAGACAAACCCAACTCTACCTTTTACCAGCTATTTTCCCTAGGGCAAATTTCTTATCTTACTCTATTTCCTCATTTGTAAAAGAGGAAGATTAATAATAGAACCCACCTCCTATACAGTTTTGAAGATTAAATTAGGAAATTCATCAAGAGGACTAAGCATAATGCTTAGCACATAATAAGTACTCAAATGCATGGTGGCCATCATTTGAAAGTCAGGATCCTTGCCAGGCACAGTGGCTCACGCCTGTAATCCCAGCACTTTGGGAGGTCAAAGCCGGCGGATCACCTGAGGTCAGGAGTTCGAGACTAGCCTAGCCAACATGGTGAAACCCCATCTCTACTAAAAATACAAACATTAGGCCGGGCGTGGTGGCTTATGCCTGTAATCCCAGCACTTTGGGAGGCCGAGACGGGTAGATCACGAGCTCAGGAGTTTCAGACCAGCCTGGCCAGCATGATGAAACCCCATCTCTACTAAAAATACAAAAATTAGCAGGGCGTGGTGGAAGGCGCCTGTAGTCCCAGCTACTCGGGAGGCTGTGGCAGGAGAATCACTTGAACCTGGGAGACGGAGGTTGCAGTGAGCCGAGATCACACCACTGGACTCCAGCCTGGGCGATAGAACAAGACTCCATCTCAAAAAAAAAAAAAAAAAAAAAAAAAATTAGCCAGCCGCGGTGGCGCATGCCTGTAGTCCCAGCTACTCAGGAGACTGAGGCAGGAGAACCCCTTGAACCCAGGAGGCGGAGACTGCAGTGAGCTGAAATTGCCCCACTGCACTGCACTCCAGCCTGGGTGACAGAGCAAGACTCCGTCTAAAAAAAAAAAAAAGTCAGGATCCTGGTGAGGATCTGTGACCCAAGAACAGATAAACTACCTACAGAATTGTTCCCCAAAAGCTTTGTAATATGGTTCTCTTTAGAAGCCTAAATTCCTAAACAAGCACAATGTTAGAAATCTGGAGACTAAAAGCCGGTTATCCAAACCTAAATTACCAAGAGTTTCACATAACGCTAGATCAACCTGTGAACTCCAACACCTTAGGACCAGAACAGAATGTTGTCCAAAGGGCAAGAGAAAAAGACATACATATTTGCCAAAGAGACACAGTAATAAACCAATTCCCAGCATTTCTGCCCTGTTCTCTAAGGACAACAGAAAGCAACAATGTCTACCCCAGACAGGAGAAATCACTGGGCAAGAAGAGCCCAAAGATATATCTGTTTCTTCCAAAAGGAAGCATCCAACACTATGTGGCCTTTAATCCCTCTACCACGTGGCTGAATTTGCACTTTTCTTAAAGTCAAAGTACACGGCAGTTGAGAGTAAACAGCTGGGCCCAAAGGCACTCATGCCCGGCAAGCACGTTGTGACCTCAAAGAAAACATGAGCAAAATAAAAACACCAAGCACACACCAAATGGGCTTTTAATTGACTGATATCACAACAACCCCCAAGCACCCCTGGTGCTAGATCTTAAGGGGAAAAGAAGGGTTCCTTTTAACAGAGATGCCTATAAACAAGCAAGCTGAAAACGAACAAGTTTAAGAGAGAAAAGCATACAAAAATCTTGGCTGCTAGTGATGAGCCATGGAAAATCATGAATCTGCCAGTGCCAAGGGAGGAGGAAGTCTAATATCTAACTTTGCAGACTTGGGAACATAAAAGCAACAAAGCCATAAGGAAGCCCAAATGCAAAAGAGAGAAAAAAAGGCACATGGCACATTTCCTCTTCATATGGGTAGCAATTCAAGCAGCGCTTTGGGCCTGCAGAGCACTTAGCTCAGTACCCAAAGCCCCTTAGTATTTATATCAACATAACTTCCTGGAGGGTGACAAAAATCTGTCCTGGATTACTGGGTGATTTCTAATATGTACCATGACCAACACTAAGTCAACATTTTAGGGATCAAATTTCCTACTCTGCAGCATGTTGGAATGCATTCTTGGCATTAGACTTCTTCCCATTCCAGTCCACCCTTAGAAAATGCAGAAGCCACTGGGAAATAGACTCAACCTGTCCCAAGATAATATTCCAGCTATGCACAAGTGACTAACAAAAACAAACAGAAGTTCATTCAGATGTCCCTTCACATTCAGTAAAAAACTAATTTCATCCATTTAAATGGAGAGGAGGGGTAATTTCAGGAAGAATACTCAAGGCTACTAAGTCAATATTCACCCGAACTTGGATTCCTCTAAAACCTGGGAATGATCAGAGTTCAAGCCCCTAAACACCTGTAATCCATAGGAGGTTAACTATGGTGCCCAATTCTGAGTAACTGAAAACCCACTTTTGCAAAATGCCAAAATGGCAAGGCAAAAAAAGTGGAAAAGGTATTTCTAAACCAGAATGTTTATCCAAGACTCCAGTACTTTCAGCAGGTCATGGACCATTACTTGAGGGGGGGGGAAAAAAAAAAAAGGCTGGGCGTGGTGGCTCACACCTGTAATTCCAGCACTTTGGAAGGCCAAGGTGGGTGGATCACACCCGAGGTTGGGAGTTCAAGACCAGCCTGGCCAACATGATGAAACCCCACCTCTACTAAAAATACAAAAATTAGCCGGGCATGGTGGTGGAAGCCTATAATCCCAGCTACTCAGGAGGCTGAGGCATGAGAATCGCTTGAACCTGGGAGGCAGAGGTTGCAATGAGCCAGATTGCACCACTGTACTCCAGTCTGGGTGACAAAGTAAGACTCCATCTCAAAAAAAAAAAAAGGTCTGCAGTACTTCTGTACTGGAGCAGTGTAACCAATCCTTCTCCAGGTAGAAGCATTACAGTGGCCTGGCACTGGACATGCCATGCATCTTCAGCTGTTAAGCATCCACTGATGATCCTTGACCGGTGAAGTGCCAAGGCCCAACCACAGATCGACCAGCAGGTAAAGAAACCAAAATCACTATATTCCAGAGGCTCCACAAGGATTAAGCATTGGTGAGCAGCATTTGTTAGCTGCTTGGCCATAGTAACCTAATAAAAAACAAATTTTTTTTTTTTTTTTGAGACAAGGTCTTGGCTCCATTGCCCAGGCTGGAGTGCACTGGCGTAATCATGGCTTACAACAGCCTCAACCTCCTGGGCTCAAGCAATCCTCCTGCCTCAGCTTTCTAAGTAAACTGCGACTACAGGCACGTACCACCACATCCAGCAATTTTTGTGTCTTGTAAAGATGGGGTCTCCCTATGTTAATAGCCTGGTCCCAAGGCTGGTCCTGGGCTTGGGCAATCCTCCCACCTTGGCCTCCCAAAGTGCTGGGATTATAGGTGTGAGCTACCGCGCCCGGCCAAAAACAGTATTAAAGGCCATTTCTATGAATAAATGGGCAGACTGCATATGTGCAGGCTTACCTAACCCATCAACCTCAATATAAGGTCTAACACAAGCAACTTGACTTGAACACAGCTCCCAGCTCCTCAGAAATAGCAGCCTAAGAGTCCCAACAGATACTTACTTCGTGGCTCTTGTTTTAAGAAAGGTCAACTAACTCTGCCAAGACAGACTCACCAACAAAGTTGAACCACCATTACTACAGAGCTGTCCAGGGCACACAACTCTGAAGGTGACATGACCTTCCAAATCCAAATTTACTAGAAAAGTGCCCCTGAACTAGCCAAGAACTTAACAGTCTGTACCAAAGGCTCTACCTGACCACAAGAACCACTAAGACCCTGGAACCACTCTTTCAGGGAGTTTTATGGTTAGAGTCCAAATTCTCAAAGTCATTGGAACACTGAGACAGCTACTGGTCTGGAGATGGATGTGCAATGTGGATTCTATCAAGCCCATGGAACTTAAGAATAGCATTATGAAAAGGCAAATTAGTATTCTAAGTTTCTTGAACATTTAGCTTCACAAAAAAAGCCTCTGAAAAGCTGTCCCAGGTTAACCCTGCCAAACTGATTGAACCTTTTCCTCTAATTCCTTCAGCTCACATAATTAGTGTGGTCTACATCCATTTATGAAACCTTGCTTTTCAAGTTTTCCAGATGTGTGCACATAAGCATGCTTTCCTAAGAAAACTAAATGCCTCTGAAGGAGATATTGTTTCTACCTTTTAAATCTCTTCCTAGTACCTAGCTGGTGTAATCACATAGGGCTATTTCCCATCCCCATTGGAATTTCCTGATCTCTCTGACTTAGAAACTATGCTCTCAGCAATAAGTCTGAAGTTCCTAATACCCTCACTACCAACATACTGGGAAAGGACCATGCAATATTAAGCAACCTATGTCAGTGCCAATCCAAGTTTTTGTGTTTTGTATTAAAACAAGCTGATAGCCTTTGGTAGTAAGTTAGCTGAACCTAAAAATCATAGTCAGGACCATAATTACATTCATATTCCCTGCTACTATATAAACAGCTAAGTCAAAAGGGCACTTCCAGGACTCTGGTGTAAAAAACACTTCTTATAAAGAAAACTGGTGTCAGAATCAATGAATCTAGTTAAAAAAGACATTCTGAGAAGGCAAATCTGGTCATCTCACAAGGCTACCAAAGAAGAGGACCACAGACAGACAGCTAAAATATTCATAGATTCTTCTTCTTCTTCCATAAAAAGAATGTGTCACTGAAGGAACCCAGATATGTTTTTAATCCTAAAATGGCAATTTCAAAAACAAAGACTGTATCTACTCACATAATCCTTCAAGTAAGATGTAGTGAGTCCCCAAATATTTGGACTTTGTACTGACCCAGGAACAGAGTGTAAAGGCATATTAATTTTATCATAAGTGATACACAGAAGTCCAGTAAAAACTGTATAAATAAACCCAGGCCATTGGGTAGTGGACTTATAATCCCCAGCACAACAGCAAAATTGAGGATAAAGATCACACTCAAGTTGCAGTATCTTTTTTCTCCTTTCTAATATTCCAGAAATGCAAACCCAAGCCAAAAATAATCTCACCAAGCTACCCTTTAAACCTCAAAGTCTCATAAGCCAAGTGTCTGGGGTAATACTTACCTTACTATTGACAGTCAGGATCTTCTTTCCAAACTTCTATTTTCACTATGAAACTGCAATTGACTTTAACAGGATACCACATGCCCTGAACTTAGCACGCAGCCAGGGCCACAGAGGTTTCACTACCAGGGCAGCATCTTTCCATTTCAATTTTTTTTTAGATCACTTCTTATCTCCACACTCACTGCCCCCCAGCACTACCCTTTTCCTATCCCCAAGTCTTTTTCCCCAATGTTATTTTACTCCACCACATGAGGAGGCTAGCATTATCTTTGCTTGAAAACTGTTTATTAATTTGCCTGTCAAACATTCTATAGAACAGTTTACATCTTACTACAGAAACCTCCTGGGTACATATTGACAGCTCAGCAAGTATTTACACAAAGCTCTGAAACATTTGGTTCCTTCAGAGACGATAGAAGATGCTGTGTCAAGCACAGAATTATCAAACACTGTTCCCTCTACCCTTTTCCCTCCTTTATAAAGGGAAGCTTCCTTCCTCTAATATACCTAAATTACACTTCTAAACTACTAAGCCAGGAAGAGAAAGAATGGAAATTCAGGTGTGCTGGAGAAGAGAAAGAATAGCATTTCCAGGACCACGTGCAAAGCACACCATGTAGTTTTTTAAACCATAGCGATGAGAAACAACAAATGCACCTATGAAATTGACCCTGAAACGCAGCTTTTCCTCTTCCAGTCTCAGGAACATTTGCTTCTCTCTCAGCAAAACTTACAGGGCAAGTCCAGGCACTCAGATTACAACCAACTGCCCAAACCAGACCTAGACCTGCCCAAACACCAGGAGTCTGGAGAGCTTAATGCTCCCTCTCTCTCCCTACCCCTCCCCAAAAGCAGCAGAATATCAACACTGAACTTATGAATATCCATTCCTCACCCCAACCCCAAGTGCAAAAGCCTCCTGGGGATCCTGAAGCAACTATTTTTCAAGTCTTGCTTTAATGAAATCTACCTAACTTTCCAACGACTATTTAGTGTTTTAAAACCACCAGCCAGGTGGAATGACTAATGACAAACAGATTAACAGTTTCAAGGCAACAGTCTGGTAGAGCTTTTTCTGTAAAAGTCTACAGACCACAATGGCACCCAACTGTTCAGAGCTTGTTCCTGTGAATCCCAGGAGAAAATAGCTTTGAGTTCCTTCAGTCCAGGGGAAGAAAGATGGTCTCAAGACCCCTGATTTATGTACAGAAAGCTGCCTTCATAACAAGCCAGCTATGGAAGCACAGATATGTAGCATCTTAGAGTGAGAAGGCCATGCAGACCAACTTCATTTTATTGATGAGGGAGAAAATGAAAAATAGAGAAAGCAAATGACCTGCCCAGGGTCACACAGCTTAATCTGGAGCTGTATGTGGAACCTAAGCCTCCTCCTTCCTCCTCCTGTTGTGAGTCCTGTGCTCTTTACCACTAACGCAACACACAACTCAAGTATGCATCAGTAATAACAACGTAAGTGTGCGTCAGTAATGATAATGACCAATCTAAACAAGGAAAAACCCAGAGATAAAAGCCACAGGAATCAGGACTCCATTCAAGCCCCAGGTATTACAGCTCACTGGCAGAAAAGAACTACTCGGTGCCAATATATTTGAATACCACATTTTTACCATATTTACAAGCTTCAGTTGCTTCTAGAATTTTGAGAGTTGAAGCCAATCAATACAACCTTTTGAGGGATGGGAACAGGAAAGAGCCCTGCCTATTACTTTGTTAGCCTATTCCCTCATTCTAAAAAAGTTCACTAACCTCTTTGCAAAAGGTCTACTGTAGACATTACACCTACAGGAGTCAATCCAACATATTAATGTTTAATGCAATCCAAGACATCCTGTTTCAGCAGGTGCTGCTTGTCATGGTTACTCATGTCACACACAAAGAAAGGAACCTAAAAAGTCCTCACAGGGCCCAATACACAAGAAGCCAAACCTGGTCCTGGCTGCTTTCTCTGTTCTCACACCACCATCTCAATCCTCATCACCCCAGCTCTCTCATGAACAGTAGAGAAACATGAAACCCCCACAACTAAAGTGCCATCTCAGTGTGGTTTTCCTGGTCCCTCCTACTTGAGAGAGCTCCAAGAGTCCTGTATTTCAGCCAGCCTAGAATTTCTGCCAGTAGGCATTCCCATAATAAATCTAGGATTCCTGTATCTGTTTCCCAGGAGTCAGAAATATCATTTGATGTTTCCGTAGTAGAAACTAACAACCAAACTTCTACAATAAAATCCAACTTGTTCCTGGACTATTTATTGTATTTTATTTTTTACCTTGGTAAACTGGTATTACTCTCAAAGTATTATTGCTAAAAAGCGTCCCAATAAAAAGCCTTAAATCAACTTCATGTGTGTAAGTAATCTAAAACTATTTCATCAGTACCGGGATTCAACACTTGAGATACACTACTTATGAAAAGGAATAAAGTAAAAGTTTGTCTAAGATCTTCCCAGGTCCTGTGAAAAAGACATAGCCACAATACACACACTTACCTAAACTTTATTTCATAAGCGCAGAGTCAAATGAAAACGTTATCACCTTAGCTGTGTTAATTAAGTCTCTGCAAAATATTCTTAATCTAAGACTGCGCCAGGAAAAGATGGAGACAGAGCAAGACTTTTTAATTTAAGAATGTTGAAGAGTAGAGCATCATGGTCTGAAAAGAGGTTTATCAAGTAGCAAAGAGAAATTCAGAACAAAGTCTGAACCTACAACCCTCACCTAGACTACTACCACACACCTGAAGCAGTCCACAGAAGTGGAAGCTGCACTGTCTCTTACACAACTGAATGCTCACCAGCCCATTCCCTGGGTCTCTGGGGAGTAGACAACTGAGCTGAAATTAATTAGGAATCTATGTTGTGTGGGTCTAGTGATAATAAAAGAGATCAGAAAATTCATCCAAAGGCAGCACAGACAGGCATCCAAACAGGGACTGTATCTATTCTCCTATCATCTACACAGAAAGTGTTCCATAATTTACTGACTGAAAAACAAAAATCATTATACCAAAAGAGTTGGCTTTTTCTTTAAAACCTTTGACTAAATATTTCCAAACCAGCAGAATTCCAATCAATTTTGCTTTTAAATGAACCCTGACTTACTACCCCAAATGACTTATTCTAATAGTTTTCAAGAAAAGTAAAATTTTCAGCCAAAACCAAACAAAACAAGGGGAATGAGAGGAAAGAGGTTCAGACTATAGGATGACCCAGAGACAAGAGGATGCTGTCTTTTAAGACAAAACTTTTCCTCCAGACACTAGAAAAACAATGTAACATTTCCCTATTTCTTGTCCAGATGCAGAACATCATGGAAGATGTAGAATCAAGGCACAGAGCTCCAAGCCCACCATCTAACACAGCTAATTTCAAAATCCCCAGCTCAAAAGAGTAGTAAAGTAGCTCTAGGATGGGCTGGGAATACAGCTAGTAAGTGAACAAAATTTCCTCCTAGCACAAAAGCGCAAGGGGTTTGGGAGGGGATGAATGGAGCTTCCCCCTCTTTGAAAACATGTATGACTCCACAGAATACTCAATATCCCTGACCAAAAGCACTGCTGACAGAGCATGATGAAGATGGAAGAAAAGCAACAAAATAAAACAAGATAGAATAGTGTAACAAGGTACTCAGAAGTTGCAATTTCTAAGCAAATCTTAAGTGTCATTCTAGGTCGTATCTTCATATCTTGGAAGACAAGAAAAAAAGTGGAACATACATTAAAATGCAAAGGAATAAACTGGCCAGTCTCTATTTCAAAGCTCTAAAATGACTGATGACAAAACAGAAAACTAGACTTTTTGTTATTCCAGGAAAAAAACAATTTCACCAAACCAAGCCTTTAGGAGAAAGTCCCTCAAGATCATGAAAGACACCAGCTTCCCTTTAAATTAAGCTGCTATTCCAAAGTTCAATTAACAAAAGAAAGTGTTAACAAGATTCAACATGTAAACAAAGAATGAGGCCAGTCTTCCTTAAAACAGACCGCTTGAACCTAATATAAAATTCCTCAGAAAGCTCCCAGTTCTAAAAAAAATAACAAAAACTGTTTTCTGGCCCCCCATAAAGATCCCACATTTGCCACTCAATAAAAAGCCCAGTAAAATCATTTCAATTCTGCAAAGCAACCAGTGTCAAAATTACTCAAGATAAATGCATCTTCAGAGCCATCAAAGAAGTCATTTATACCATCAGGAAAGTCACAAAACCAAAACAAACAGCAAACCCATTGTAGAGAAAAAACTCAGCTACTGTTCTGACAACACAGAATTCATTTCAGGCTGCATAAAACATAACAAGCAAAATAAATCCAAGGTACAAGCAAAATGCCATTGCCTCCTCTTTTGTTTGGGCACAATGTAACAAGGGCAGGCTGTCTGAGGCTTTGCTCTTGCTGATACAGTATTGCTACTTAAACCTCCCTCCTCAAGGTCACAGCCAATTTCAGCTCTGGAATAAAAGGCAGATAGTGGCAGCGATAGTTTGGGTTATCACTGGCAGAAAAGCAGAGTGTAAAAGTTTATGAGCTCATCAGGATTGTTGTACCATTACATCAGAGGCAATTATAAATGGCCAAGAGCAGGAGATGGGGAGCCAATCAGATCACAGATAGGATGTCAACCTAAGACCAACTGTCTCCTGGCTTTGACAGAAGGATTTTACCTCCATAATTCAAATCCCAAACCAAAGCAATCTGCACTTACTACTCCAATCACTCAGCTGTTTACCAGCACTTCCAGGGAGAAGCCCAGGCCACTGGGCCGGCGGAGCCTAAGACAGGAGATGGACCGGGCTGCCCTAGGTGAACCGCAGCCGGCCTCTAGCAGCTCCCAAGCAGTCCCCTGCCCTCCCCTCGAGGTCCCCTCGAGCTCTAGGGGCCCTCTTTGAAAGCACAGATGGGGGGCGGCCCAGAGGAAGGCCGGGGGACGGAGAGGAGCGGCAGGTGAGCAAAGAAACGTTCATTCAACTCCTGGGCTCCTACCACTGCCTACACTCCTAACCTGAGCCCCCAGCGCCCCCTCACCCCCTCACCCCCGGCCAGGCCCTTCCCCGCACACTCTGCCCCGCACCCCCATCAAGACCCCTGGAGTTCGAAGGGACCAGGGGAGAGGAAAAAGAGGAGCAGACACCTCTGGAAAAACCCAACACAAAGGCTGAAGGAGGGAAGGAGAGGAAGGCAGACAGGCAGCCATTTTAAGAGAGAAGAGCCAGACAATGGCAGCTCCCCAGCAGTGGGGGCCCGGGACTGAGGGGAGCCCAAGGCTGTGGCCCGCTCACCGCAGCCGCCACCCACCCCCAGGACCACGCTCGCCCCAGCCCCCTCCCCACTCAGCTGTGTACCTGAGGGGTCCGGGCGAGCGGCTGCCCCCCGCCGCCGCTGCTCCCGGGGCTCATGGGCGCGTGGTGGCTCCTTTGTTGGGCCCCTCCCGAGGCGGCCGCCGCCGCAGCTGCCGCCGCCGCAGCCCCCCAACACTGCGAGGCCATGTCCGCCGGGCCCTTGCCGGCGCCCCCGTCCTGGGGCCCGCCACTGTAGTCGCCCCCGGGGTAGCCCTGGTAGCCCCGGGCCGAGCTGGGCGACGTGAGCAGTTGGTTGAGGGTGGGGGTGGCGGTGGGCTGGGGAGTTCCCCCGCCGGCCGCGGAGGGGCCGCCTCCCCCCATGGCCCCGAAGCGCTGCTGAGCGAAGGACGAAGACGACGAGGAGGCGGAGGCGCTGGAGGAGGGAGGCGGCTTGGAGCCGGCAGCCGCCGCCGCGCCGGAGCCCGGAGTGCCACCTCTCGGGGAGCTCAGCGCGTAGGCCGGGGCGGGCGGGGGGTAGGCGCTGCGGTTGGGGTAGTAGGAGTTGTACTGGTGGTTGGGGAAGCCGTGGTCGTGAGAGTTCTGCTGGGGCCCCGCGTAGGGCTCCAGGCCCCCGCCGCCGCCGCTCTGCAGCGCTGCCAGGCCAGGGCTTTGTTGTCCGCCATGTTGTTGGTGGAAGACGGCGGCCGCGGCGGCGGCGACGGCAGACGGGCTCCGGCCGTAGGGTTGCCCGAAGCCGTAGGCTGGGGGCGGCAAGGCGGCCGCGGCTGAGTGAGGAGGCGCCCCCACCCCATCGCTGCTGCCGCCACCGCCGCCGCCGGGCGGCTCCGTGAGGTTATTGTTCAGGGCGGGCCTAGGGCCCGCGTTCCCGTTCGAGTTCTTCAGGTCCGGCTCCGCGCCGGGCCCGCCGCCGCTGCCGGCTCCGCCGCCGCCGCCACCCCCATTGCTCTCGGCCCCGTCCTGCAGCTCCTTTCCCAGCGGCTGCGGCGGCCCCACGGCGGGGCCCTCGCTTTCCTGCCCGGCGGCTGCCTTCATTTCCCCGCGCTCGGCCGCTGCCGCCGCCGCCGCCTCGCCCCCCGCCTCCTCCCGCTGCTGCTGCTCGGCTTTCTTCAGCTCCGAGGGCGGCGGCGGCGGCGGGTTGCCCAGGCTGCTGGCGGCGGCGGGGGCGACCTGCGCGGCCATGATCCCCGCTGTCTCGTCCGCGGAGAGACCCGGCCCTGTCTTCGTCTTCTCCCCCCCTCCCACCCCGCCCCGGGGCCCAGTCCCCCGGGCTGCCCTCCCCACCCGCCCGGGCGGGCCTCGCGGGGCTCCGCTGCTGCGCTGCGCTCGCTCCTCTCCCCCCCGCCCCGCCGGCTCAGGCTCCGGGCTGGCGGCGGCGGAGGAGGAGGAGGCGGCGGCGGCGGCCGAGGCGCCGGCGGCTCAGCTGCTCCCGGCTCTGTAGGCTCGGGACCCGGCTCTCCCGGCTCATTCCCCCCAAGCCCTTGCCTGGGAATGAGGGGGGCGGTGGAGGCTCCGCTCCCCAGGGCCTGGCCCCGCTGTGACTCTCCGCTTTCTGCTGCCGGAGAAAGGAGGAGGGAGGGAGGGAGGGAGGCGAGGGGGAGGGGGCGGGGAGGGAGGGAGGGAGCGGGGGGAGGGGGACCCGGGACGGGCGGGCTGGAGGGCGCGCGGCAGCAGCCGGGGCGCCGGGAGCCAGAGTCAGAGCGCGGGCCGAGCCCGGCGCCCTGCCTCCCCTCGCCAGCTGCGGCTTGGGTCGAGGCTGCTGCGCGGCAGCGGGCGGGCGAGCAAGCGGTCGGCCGGACTGAGCGGCTAGAGCGCCCCACTCTCCTCCGAGTCCCCCTCACTCCGACACGAGGCTCAGCACTGCCATTTTACCCAGCGCCGTCGCGGCCGCCTGGCAAACCCGGAGTGGAGAGCGGAGCGGGCGCAGGCCGTGGAACGGACTCGCTCCCTTCCCTTCACAAAGGAGGAGGGGAGAGAACAAGCCGCGGCGGCGGCAGGCCCTCAGCCGCTTTCGCTAGGCAGCGCCGCCGCCGAAGGCTTCGGAGAAAACCCGGCCCGGAGCCCGCGCATCTCTGGAGCCTGCGCCGCCTCCCTCCCGGCGTCCCTATCCAGGTCTGTCCCCTCCCGGCCGTACCGAGGGGAGCGGGCAGCGTGAACTTTACCCGCGGCTGCAAAATTGGCCAGAGCCTGAGACCGCGGCCGCCTCGGCCCAGCCCTGACCCCCTGGCAGCGGGCCCGGTCCGTTGGCTGCTGCTTAGCACCTCTACAGCACTTTTCGTCTTCAAAGCCTTCTACGGACCCCGCTAAAGACCCAACCTTTTTTACCCTCTTTGCAAGCCCGAAAGAATGACTGATCATTGTTCAGACGATTCGTTTCCCACTCGCCTGCCCTCATTAGCCGGTCCTTACAAGGCTCTGGGGGCATGAGGTCCGGATTATCCCCATTTTACAGAATTGAAAGAGAGGGGAGGGAACTGCCTGTCACTTAAAGTCAGAGGGCAGAGGAGGGTGACTTTAAAAAGAAGTGGAGTCACCAAAGCTGCCTTCGGTCTACTTGCCTTTAAAAAAAAAAAAATCAAGTTGTGAGCACATTCAACAATGGGATCAGAATATCAAAATGGATTTGAAGTCAAAACTGATCATCTCACCACTAACTTAAAATGGAGGCCACTGAAGTTGCTTTAGGAGCATAGAACAGTTACCCAGCAGGAAAACCTAAACACCGTTTCTCACTCCCTCTTAAGAAAACTTAGCCTACCATGACAAGTAGCCCCAGTCTCCAAAGACAGTACCTTCTAATACTGAAAACCCACAGAAGAGGCTCCAGGGACTGCAGGAACCTGAGTGTTCAAACCATTACAGAAGAGAGATGCAGAAAATGGAAACCATTTTCTCCTTGAAGAAAAGGCACAGTCCAACAAGTCACTTAGAAAATGGATGCTTGTCAGATTTGTTTTCTATCCTGTAGCGTAAAGATTGTTTAAAGTTTACCATTACATTCTAAGAGACCCCGATTGAGCTGGAGTTGGGTAGAAGGCCAGGTTTATCTGAAAAGATCGACATACACAGAAAGCTCCAGTGTTCTCCTGATCTACAGGCCCCACCAAATCCCAGCAGCAGCCTTTTCTTCCTCAGGCTGACTTGGAATGTTCTGATATGACAGGCTACAAAAGCCAGAGGGGATTCCAGCTCCTCACCAGACCCAAGGCTGCCTTGGGAAAGGCCCAGGCCAGTGTTCCTAGACACCAGGATCTCTTTTCCCCCTCAGATTTTGTAAAGGGAGACTTCATGGCCACAGGAGCATTATCTTAGATTATGCAGGACCCGGGAGTGCTGGCAATGTCCCTGGTCACTATGAATAATTCCAAAGCCTGAACTCATTTCTCTCCCCAAGAAAACTTACTGCATCCTACACCAGAAAGGCAAAACCTTCCTGTTAATCTAAGAGTGATGAGATTTAAAAAAAAAAAAAATCCCACAGTTTTATTCTTCTCCCCTCCCCCGGCCTCAAGCCAAGAACCAAACCAGCCTACCAAGAAGATCCGACTGACTGGTATGGGCCAGTGCCCTCTTTTCACTCACAGTCCTCAGGGGCAACAACTCTCCCCGGTGCATTAGGTCCTAGAAACCAAATTATAGGCTGCCTCATAAATAGAGCTTGGCTATTTAATCAACTGCCCCTGAGCTGGCAAACAGTCCTGAGTCCTGCACACAAATGAGGATTTTTTTACATGCCATTACTCTGCCATTTTCCTTAGAGCTGGGGTGTAATGGGAAACCTGGAGCCCAGTGAAAATCTGGAAGCTAGAATGGATTTCTCTCCAAAGAAAGCCCTCATCCCCTTTCTTCAATGGCTGTGAAATATGGAAAGCGCCAAAAATCTCCTTCCCTACACGTGGGCAAGCTGTTTTGAAAACAGTCACCATTTTTCTCTAGCAATAAGGTAAAGTGCACAAAAATCTATCCACCTGGGTTGGAGGAGATAATGTGGAATTTCTCTACTTTTTTTTTTTTTTAATTCACTAGGGTTCTCTTCCACTTTTACTTTTAGAGCCCCACACCACGATCCCAGGAAATGTTGGGCTGAGGGAACTTTTTTAGAAACTGGCCCATCAGCTTTCCCTAGGGGCAGTGGCAACGGGAAAGCGGGGGAGGGGAGGAGCTGGGCACGTGGCTGGCCCGAGCAGCGAGACCCCGGCTGGGGGCAGTGGGTCCTCCCTTCGGTGGAGTTTTTTCCCCCACGGCCCCTGCCTTTTAACCCCACACCCAGGCAGCTCAGGAATCCCGGCGCAGATTGGAGAACTAGGACTAGGACAGCGCTACCCTCGCGAAAGCACCTCGGCCAACAGCCTGATGGCAAATATGGACTGAATCGTTGACATGGAAACCGGACTAAAGTCTCGCTAGCTCTCCCTCACAGGAGAGTTCTTATCGCCGTCCCCGACCGCACGGCACTTAGCAAACGCGGACTGGATTTGAGGCCTGGAGGATCAGGCGGAGTTTCTGGGCGTATTAACTCCAGCGGCAGAGCAGCCAAGGAAGGGGGCAGGGCTGCCAGGACAAACCGGCTGAAAATGGCAGAGGATGTGCTCCCATTTTATCCGGCTGCACAGCGTGCATGGATTGGGCCCGAGGACAAGGGAACAACCTATTAAAATCCAGAGAGTCAACTGCAAAATGTGGAACCGAGGCCTGGAGGGTTTGCTAGGAGAGGGAAACGTTTGCAGGGAAGACAGCCCTTCCTTTCTCGCAATTTGCTTCCCCTAAATGTCTGAAATACAAAACTCAACAAACAAACAGAAGATCGGGCTCGGCTCCTTCCTCCACCCAATCCTTGTGGGAGAAGTCGTCTTAAGCCCAGGGACCCTAGCGAGGGTTTGCTTAGATTCCTAACTAAGGCGTGGAGAATCGCTGGAGCGCCAGGTTGTTGCCCCCACACGTTCCCGCCGCGGAACAGCAGCAGACACCCAGCAGAGCTCTCTCGAGTGCGAACTGGAGCTGCGAGTTTGAGCAAAAGGGCAACTATGTCAGTTGACGGAAGCCAGAAGCAGAGTTCAAAGCCTGGCGTGGATTTCCGTCTGGAGCTGTCTGTTCTTAAAGTTTGTAACTCCGTGTTAAGAAACAGCCCCAGCGGAGGCTTTGGGATCGGTGTGAAAGTCTAGCACTACCATCTGACAGCGAGCTGCAAAACTTTGGGCTGCATATTAAGCGAGGAAAGTGGATTGAAGCGAGAGTCAAGGCAATTCATTATGTTACCGGCTCCCATACGGGAGCTGTAAAATACGAACTGGATGCACACACGGAGAAAAATGGAATGAACTCGGAATGGCATTCAACAGCTCTTCGCGGTAAAACTGTGACTGCCAAGGATCTAGAATCCCAAAGGAGCAAACCAGGAGGCCTCAAACTTGGTTGGCACACAATAAATGCTTTTCTAGATCTTTTCCCCACTCATCTCAAACTCTTAAGCAATTTGGGGTCATTTATATTTCAGAATAAGGAACACATTTTGAGAAATGTTAATTTCTGAATGAGACTTTTTTTCCCCAAAGTAGCTGTGAAAAAAAGAGCCTCAGGCATAAGTCAGCCAGCTTATTTTGTCTCAATATAAATTAAAAATTACCCTCACCACCACCTCCACCAAAACTGAAATAAAAAATAAAATAAGTAAAAGTCCAGGCTGGTCTGGCTTGTGGCAGGTTTCAAACAAAAATAACACCCAGGGCCAGTCTAATATGAGGAAAAAGATACCAAGGCTTTCATATTCTTCTAAGTACAGCCTCACTCACCAGTCTCACTGGTGAGCTTGCTGACCAGTGAGCTTATTTTTGTGGAAAAGACTGAGTAAAGCTACTACTAATATTTTTTAAAAAAACAAAAAACAAAAAAACGGGACTGGGGTTTCATAAAACCACTGGGCAGATCAGGAAATTTGGATTTCTTATTTCTGCTGAGCTCATTGAAGATTTGTATTCACCAACTAATACAAAAAATACTGTATGAAAAACCTACTTAAAGCTTGAGCCGCGCGTGGTGGCGCACGCCTGTAATCCCAGCACTTTGGGAGGCCGAGGCAGGCAGATCACGAGGTCAGGAGATCGAGACCATCCTTGCTAACACGGTGAAACCCCGTTTCTACTGAAAATACAAAAAATTAGCTGGGCGTGGTGGCACCCGCCTGTAATCCCAGCCACTCGGGAGGCTAAGGCAGGAGAATCGGTTGAACCGGGGAGGCGGAGGTTGCAGTGAGCTGAGATGTCGCCACTGCACTCCAGCCTGGGCAACAAAGGGAGACTCCGTCTCAAAAAACAAAAAACAAAACAAAACAAAAAAAAGCTTGATAGCCTCTTCATAGTCAATCAAAAGAGAAACTTAACAATTTTGTGCTTGGTACTTATTACACTAAGCTGTTTTTAGATCTGGAAGGCTAAGCACCAACAATATTACCAAGGTAAGGTCACCAATCTTAGCACAGAAGGCTATTGCCCAGGAACAGGAAAAGTCTGTTATCTAGGATTTCCCATGTTAAACCAATGTAGGTTGCTTTTGTTTTGTTTTGTTCTTTAAAACCAACCTAGGGAAATTTCACACATATAAAATGATTATAAGGGAAGTTTTTGAGAGTTGACAAGAAAATCAGAAGGAAAAATCAAACACTGTATTCTAGGTGGAGATTTCTTTCAGCCCTTGCCTGCATAAAGCTTTCTTACACTGCCATTTTACTGAGTTAGGAAAAAGAGTCAGTGGGGAAGTTTCTCACAGCAACTCTGGAATGGATCTGGAATGGAGTCTTTTATTCCAACACAAGTTCTGTAGAAGAGTTGGAAAGAGAAGGAAAAAACAGTGTAAGCACAGACAAAATGGAGGGAGGCAGGCATGCAGTCCTATGAAATAGGATAGGTGGCTAAAAAAGCAAATGTGCTGTCTGTTCTCTGCAAAGCAACCACCTTAAGAGAATCCTCCAGCATGATGATACTGGGTGTTTTTGTATAAGAATCAAAGAAAATCCAAAGAAATCTATTAGGTATAAGACAGGAATTGAGTGGCCCCTAATGAAAAACATTCTGACTAGCTTTAATAGGGTTTAAACCCATCTATCCCTACAGAAAATGCCTATTCCTAAAGATAAAATGGACCAAACAAAAAAGTCAGGCGTGGGAGTGACTACTATAGTCATAGTAGCAGTGTGGCACTCCACTCCAGTGAAATGCGGAACTTACCAATGACACCAAGGGAAAGCTGCCAGGAAAAATCAGACTGAGTTTTGGCACTTTTCCACATTATCACTTTCTTCCCTGAAATTTAACAATATTGAAACTGGATTCAGAAGTCACCAGAGGGGTTGGGGGTAGGGACCAGCAGGTTGGTTCTTATTGGCCTACCCCTCCAAAGAGACTACTAGAGACCTGTATAGAAGTGTGTTGTTGCTCTTCTAGTCTTGCTGTGGGAGGGAGAGAACAGGAGACAATGGAGGAAATAATCCAGCACACTTCATCAAGCCTATCCAACAAGCCATTTAAAAACAATACGGGAGGCCGAGGCTGGCAGATCACTTGAGGTCAGGAGTTCGAGACCAGCCTGGCCAACATAGTGAAACACCGTCTCTACTAAAAGCACAAAAATTAGCTGCGCATGGTGGCAGGCACCTATAATCCCAGCTACTCAGGAGGCTGAGGCAGGAGAAAATCGCTTGAACTCAGGAGGCAGAGGTTGCAGTGAGCCGAGATTGTGCCACTGCACTCCAGCCTGGGCAACAGAATGAGACTCCGTCTCCAAAAAAAAAAAAAAAAAAAAAAGCACGGAAACACACACACACACCTCTATCACAATGTGTATTCATTAATATAACTCATCCGCAAACTACACTCAAGAGCACACAGTGTTGTGCAACATTAGGCACTATTTTTGCCCCAAACACCAAAACCAGGATGGAGATTACACATTTTTACTAGGCCCTTTCGACTTCAGAACAAAGCCCAAGAGCTCATTGAAGTATTTTTCTCCTAATCACTCACAGCTACTTAAAAATATGGATACTCTAATTAGCTGGGCGTGGTGGCGGCCGCCTGTAGTCCTAGCTACTCAGGAGGCTGAGGCTGGAGAATGGCGTGAACCCGGGAGGCAGAGCTTGCAGTGAGCCGAGATCACGCCGCTGCACTCGAGCCTGGGTGACAGAGCGAGACTCCGTCTCAAAAAATTAAATAAATAAATAAATAAATAAAATATGGATACTCTGTCTAACAAAAACCCGAGTTTGTGGCTAACGTGTTTGCCCCTTTAGCCCAGATAAAGTTGGAAGTCCAAAGGGTTTAGAAAAGAGGGATTCTAGTTGACTCCACCACACCTACCTTCCAGTTCTTTATGAAGTAGTAGCCAGTGTTTCCAAGGTGGAATCAAGGAGAGTGGAAGTACCACACAACCTTCGGAAAGAAAATATTCTCTAGGAAAAAGCTTCAAGGTGAAGGAGGTTGCAACCTGATTGGCTACTGAGGGTTTTTAGGAGTCCATCATTATTAGTACAATTTGTCACTGATTGTAGAGAGGGTCGACAGAAACCATTTTATAATCTCAACCAAGTAATGTAGACCAAGACCGCAGTCTCTACCCTAAATACTCACCTTTCATGATGAAGCAACTTTACCCTATGCACTTGTTCATCCTCAGCAATCCTTGAGTTGCACATGCTCTTCTGACCCACTTTCCACCAAAATCGGTCTTCTCCTAAGACTTAGAAATTTTTGTGAGCCTGTTATTCTTTCAACTAGAAATTAACAGTATGATGATTGCTAATAATAACCATTCCAAAGCTGTATTTTAAAACTTCATTAAGTACCTTGTTCCTTGATTTAACTACCTCCTGGAATACTTATTAATGCTATAGAAATTACATTTAGCGCCGGGCACTGTGGCTTACACCTGTAATCTCAGCACTTCGGGAGGCCAAGGCGGGCGGATCACCTGAGGTCAGGAGTTTGAGACCAGCTCAGTCAACATGGTGAAGCCCTGTCTACTAAAAATGGAAAAATTAGCTGGGCGTGGTGGCGGGTGCCTGTAATCCCAGCTGCTTGGGAGGCTGAGGCAGGAGAATTGCTTGAACCCAGGAGGCAGAGGTTGCAGTGAGCTGAGATAGTGCCACTGCACCCGAGGGCAAGACTCTGTCTTGGGTGGGGGGTCGGGGGGGGGGAATTACATTTAGCTACTACTTGGCAGTAGAATTTTATTTTACTTTATTTTATTTATTTTTTGAGACAGGGTCTCACTCTGTTGCCCAGGCTGGAGTTCAGTGGTGTGACCATGGCTTACTGCAGCCTTGACCTCCCTGGACTCAGGTGGTTTTCCTGCTTCAGCCTCCCTAATAGCTGGGACTACAGGCATGTGCCACCACATCCAGGTAATTTTTAAAAATTTTTTCGTAGAGACAGGGTTCGCCATATTGCCCAGGCTGGTCTGAATTCCTGGGCTCAAATGATCCTCCCACCTTGGCCTCCCAAAGTGCTGGGATTACAGGCATGAGCCACTGCACCCAACTGGCAGTAGAAATTTCTGAAATTCCACAATAAAATTCATAGGAGAGCCCTGCAATAGCAGTAGTGCTAGGACTAAATGCAGTGTCAAACAGGAGCAGTCATGCTGTGCCATAACTGTTCACTGACATCACCTTTTGACTGCCTGTGAGTGATTCATATTCTCAGTTATCTGCTAATGTGAAGATTAATTAATTTAGTAGGTTCTTCACCATTGCACACCGTGCTATAGGACCAAGTCTCCCCCTCACCTCCACCACACACATGCACACACATACACACAAACCTCTGGCATCATATTTTTGTGTGTGATGCCAAAATATGAGAAATATTTAACAGGAACAACAGGAGAAACATTTTCTTTTTTTCTGTTTTTTGAAATGGAGTTTCACTCTTGTTGCCCAGGCTGGAGTGCAATGGCCCGATCTTGGATCACGACAACCTCCACTTCCCAGGTTCAAGCGATTCTCCTGCCTCAGCCTCCCAAGTAGCTGGGATTACAGGCATGCGCCACCCCGCCAGGCTAATTTTTGTATTTTTAGTAGAGACGGGGGTTTCTCCATGTTGGTCAGGCTGGTCTCGAACTCCCAACCTCAGGTAATCCACCCGCCTTGGCCTCCCAAAGTGCTGGGATTACAGGCATGAGCCACCATGCCCGACCCAGGAGAAACATTTTCTAAACAACTAAAAATATGCAGGGGACCTGGATAATAAGGGAGGTTTGTTTTCTATTGTGTTTAAGGTTTTTACTTCTGTGTTTTTAACCCCAGAAAACACACACTCGCTCTCTCTCTAAATATATATATATTTTTATATATATATATATGTATGTATACTTTTTTTTTTAGGGATCAGAGACGCTGGCCAGGATTAAGGTTATACCAAACATATTCCACACTGCCATTTTCCAAACTAAATGAAATAGCAAAAACGTGGAGAAGGAATTTACAGGAATGGAGTACTACAAAGACAGATGAAAACTCTACAGAGGTGTTCTTCTTGGAAGTGAGTGGGAGTAGGAGATGAGGAAAGGAAAGTTAAAGGCTTATGCCCTACTCAGTATTCAAAGCAAGGAGCATATAGTTTGAGAGCTAGCTCTACTTTTGAGACAAATGTCTAGACTTTCATTCTAAGTCAGGTTTCCAAATGGCTGTATCCATTCATAAACTGTAATAACCAGGATTTCAAATAGACTCACAAAATCCAGTTATAAGGACTATGTCTGCTTAGAAGCATCAGAGCAGAGGGTCCCCTCCAGTAGAATAGCCATCTCTTCACTATGATATTTTGAAACCAGTTTGCCATTTTCCACTTTTTGGTTTGGGATGTCAATCCTTTCATTCAGTTTACTATAAATGGGAGATCCTCTTATAATTACTCTACTATGATATACAACATTGAGTATACACTACTGTTGTACCTCCCATAAAGTACATTATAAGCTGATATCTACTTAAAAGGAAAAACATACCTCCAAAATAGTACAAGCCTGTTGGATTCAATATTTGTTTATAAGTTCCTAGCACTCAGATCAAGATCCCTCATTTTGTCAGGTACAGTGGCTACTCGGGAGGCTGAGGTGGGAGTATTTCCTGGGGCCTGGAATCCAAGGCTACAGTTCGCTATAATTGTGCCTGTGAATAGCTACCACACTCCTGGGCAACACATGGAGATGTCATCTTTAAAACAAAAACAGGCCAGGCCCGGTGGCTCACACCTGTAATCCCAGCACTTTGGGAGGCTGAGGCGGGCTGATCACTTGATGTCAGGAGTTCAAGACTAGCCTGGCCAACATGGTGAACACCCGTCTCTACTAAAAATACAAAAATTAGCTGGGCTTGGTGGCAGGCACCTGTAATCCCAGCTATTTGGGAGGCTGAGGCATGAGAATTGTTTGAACCCGGGAGGAGGAGGTTGCAGTGAGGCAAGATCGCACCACTGCACTCCAGCCAGGGTGACACAGCAAGACTCAGTCTGAAAACAAAACAAAACAAAACAAAACCCTCATTTTCCAAGAAAGCCCATGAACAAAGAGAAGAAAAACAAGGAAAAACTGAAGACATGGCAACTCCTATTTTATGGGAACTTAAAGAGGTTTTGGTGAGTACAAGGAAAATAATGAGGTTTTTTTTGTACTTTGAGGTCACTGGTATAATTATCAAAGGTATTAATATCAACATTATTACTACTCTGATACTCAGGTTCACACATTAGTCATTTTTTTCTTGTAGAGGATAAGATAATTAAAGTAACTTATCCTTTTCTTCTGCTCTTCCCTTTCCTTCTCGCTCTTCTCTTTTTTGTTTTTCTTTCTTTTTTTTTTTTGAGAGGGAGTTTTGCTCCGTTGCCCAGGCTGGAGTGCAGTGGCGCGATCTCGGCTCACTGCAACCTCCACCGTGCCCGGCTAATTTTTGTATTTTTAGTAGAGATGGGGTTTCACCATGTTGGCCAGGCTTCTCTCAAACTCCTGACCTCATGATCCGCCTGCCTTGGCCTCCCAAAGTTCTGGGAATCACAGGCATGAGCCACTGCGCTGGGACTTTTCCTTTTTTTTTTTTTTTTGTCTCAGGGTCACTTAGGCTCTCACACTGGGTGATTATACTTGGACTAAATAGCACAAAAATGTACACAATGTAAAATTTATACCACACCGTATGCTCTCAAACTCAGGCTCCTGTACATAACAGTGCTCATGCCAAGGATTCCTGCATGGTTTTGAAACCCAGTGCTCCTAAGGCAGCTATGTGGAATCATAAGATATTTGTTCTACTGATTCAGCTAAGTCTGGGTTTAGAATGGTCCTTGGTCTTTGTAGCAAGAGAAACATCTGTCCACCAAAATGAATGGCTAAGATGCGCCAAATCAAATAATTTCCTTAATTGGACAGATGAGAAAGGAAAGAGCAAGCCCCACTTAGAGTCCCTTTCATTGGAACTCCCCAACAGAATCCTGGTGCTAGGTGAGGAAACAGAATAAAGTCTTCCAATGAGGAAACAGAATAAAGTCTTCCAATCTTTCAATCCTTGCTACTGAAAGACTAGAATTTGATCATTAGATCAGTGTTTGGTGGGTTTCAAAATTAGTGACCTGGGAAGTCCCAGACTGGCAACCAGCACTTCCTCACTCCATGAAAGTGTGGCTGTCCCTTTCAGCTAGTTCGTTCCTTCAGTTCAGCCTTTTTGAGTGCCTCACCTAGCAGCGACACAAAGCAGAACAGTTACCTGAAGAAATTTTAAATATTCAAAGCTGCATTGACTATGTAGACCCCTTGTTTTATTTTTCAAGTTTGAAAATATGTGTTCAACAGAATTCTCTATTTAAAAAAAAAAAAGATTTTAGGGCAGGCGCAGTGGCTCATGCCTGTAATCCCAGCACTTGGGAGGCCGAGGTGGGAGGATCACGTGAGGTCAGGAGTTCAAGACCAGCCTGGCAAACACGGCAAAACCCATCTCTCCCAAAAATACAAAAATTAGCCGGGTGTGGTGTCATGCGCCTGTAGTCCCAGCTACTTGGGAGGCTGAGGCAGGAGAATCACTTGAACTCGGGAGGTGGAGTTGCAGTGAGCCAAGATTGCGCCACTGCCCTCCAGCCTGGGTGATAGAGAGGGACTCTATCTCAAAAAAAAAAAAAAAGTTTTTAAAAAATGGCATCTCCAAACTCAATTTTCTTTTTATTTCTTTTTTTTTTTCTTTTTTTTTTTAAATTGACATGGGGTCTCACTCTGTCACCTAGGCTGGAGTGCAGTGGCGTGATCTCAGCTCACTGAAGGCTCTACCTCCTGGGCTCAGCAACCCTCCCACCTCAGCCTCCTAGTAGCTGGGACTACAAGTGTACACCACCACACCTGGCTAACTTTTGTATTTTTGCTGGAGATGGGTTTTTGCCATGTTGCCCTGGCTGGCCTCAAACTCCTGGGCTCAAGCGATCCTCTCACTTCAGCCTCCTAGTAGCTGGGACTACAGGTGTACACCACCACGCCCAGCTAATTTTTGTATTTTTGGTGGAGACAGGTTTTTGCCCTGTTGCCCTGGCTGGCCTCGAACTCCTGGGCTCAAGCGACCCGCCCGCCTGAGCCTCCCAAAGTGCTGGGATTGGAAGTGTGAGCCACCATGCCTGGCCCCAAACCCAATTGTCTGTTATAGCATTTGTAAAAGTATTTGTTAACTATGTGATGTTTACCTTAAACTCAAAACATTTACCAGTTGACAGCATTAGACTCCTAATAATTTAGAAAAGAGAAGAAAACAAATTCTTAAGTTCTATACTGCTTAGGCATTCATATGGGTAGTGCTGGGTACACAGTAATAGAAAGTTGTTGGCAAGAGGTCAAATTTATAAAAGTATATTGAAAAATTATTTTAAAAGGAAAAAGCAAGGTCCAGCATGGTGGCTCACACCTGTAATCCCAGCACTTTGGGAGGCTGACGGTGTAGGATCACTTGAGTCCAGGAGTTCGAGACCAGCCTGGGCAACATGGTGAAAAAACCCGTCTGTATCAAAAATACAAAAATTAGCCAGGCATGGTGGCATGTGCCTGTAGTCCCAGCTACTCAGGAGGCTGAGGCAGGAGGATCACTTGAGCCCAGGAGGCAGAGGTTGCAGTGAACTGAGATTGTGCCACTGCACTCCAGCCTGGGCAACAGAGTGAGACTCGTCTCCAAAAAAAAAAAAAAAAAAATTGAAAAAAGGAAGAAGCAGGCTGGGCATGGTGGCTCGCCCCTGTAATCCCAGCACTTTGGGAGGCTGAGGCGGGTGGATCATCCTGGCTAACATGGTGAAACCCCATCTCTACTAAAAAATTAGCTAGGCATGGTGGAGCGCACCTGTAGTCCCAGCTACTCAGGAGGCTGAGGCAGGAGAATAGCTTGAACCTGGGAGGTGGAGTTTGCAGTGAGCTGAGATCAGGCCATTGCACTCCAGCCTCGGTGACAAAGCAGGACTCCATCTCAAAAAAAAAAAAAAAAAAAAAGGAAGAAGCACATTTCACTAACATGGTATGGTGTGCTAGAAACTTGCCTGTGACAGTATATGTCACATTTTCTTCCCTAGACGAGGAAAATCAGGGAGATAAGGTCAGCCTAAAAGTTGAAAGAATATAAAAACAAAATGAAAGCAAACAAATTGGGCAGCCTCTTGGGTCTGTCATTATAACACTCAGAGGAGACTAGCTCAAGTATTACATGGGAGGACAAGGTGCCTGGGTGATCACCTGGTGCTCCAGTCTGTGAATCTCCTGGGTCAGAGTGCCTCAAGAAGGAAGCCACAGTCCTCACTCCAGACCAAGTTGTGTGCCAGTGATGTACAGTACTAGGAATCCTTCTTCCATGGGGAGCTATTGAGGAGCAACTCAGTTCCAAAACAGGGTTTTCCAAATTGCCTCACTCTATAAGCTTCCCTGAGGGCCAGGCATTAGGAGAACTTGCCTGGTGTACCTGTAAAGGAAAAGGAAAACAACAGAGGCCACAAACCACAATGATGTAACTAAGTATGAAAGAATTTGTAACAAAAATAAAAATAAATTTTGTTGAATTATTTCAGCTTTACACTTAAAAATCAGAGACCAAAATTCCTTTTTGAATTTCTTTTTCTTTCTTTCCTTCCTTCCTCCCTCCCTCCCTCCCTTCCTTCCTTCTTTCTTTCTTTCTTTTTTTGTTTTGTTTTTTGTTTGTTTGTTTTGTTTTGTTTTGCTTTTGAGATAGAGTCTCTCTCTGTTGTCCAGGCTGGAGTGCAATGGCATGATCTTGGCTCACTGCAACCTCCGCCTCCCGGGTTCAAGTGATTCTCCTGCCTCAGCCTCCCGAGTAGCTGGGACTACAGGCGAGTGCCACCACGCCCAGCTAATTTTTTTTTTTCTTTGTATTTTTAGTAGAGACGGGGTTTCTCCATGCTGGCCAAGATGGTCTCAATCTCTTGACCTCATGATCTGCCTGCCTCGGCCTCCCAAAGTTCTGGGATTACAGGTGTGAGCCACTGTGCCTGGCCTTTTTTTTTTTTTTTTTTTTTTTTTTTTAAGACGGGTCCCGTTTTTTCACCTAGGCTGCAGTGCAGTGACTGGAATGCAATGGTGTGATCATGGCTCACTGCAGCTTCGACCTCCTGGGTTCAAGTGATCCTCCCACCTCAGCCTCCCAAGTAGCTGTGACTACAGGAGCACACCACCACACTGGGCTAATTTTTCTGTTTGTTTTTTTGTAGAGATGGGGTCTCACTATGTTACCCAGGATGGTCTCAAACTCTTGAGCTCAAGCAATCCTCCTGCTTAGAGGTGTGAGCCACTGCAACTGGATCCTTACTGAATATTCTAAACTTTTACTTTGTTTTTTTTTTTTTTTTTTTTTTGAGACAGGGTTTCACTCTGTTGCCTAGGCTGGAGTGCAATGGCACAATCTTGGCTCACTGCAACCTCTGCCTCCCGAGTTCAAGTGATTCTCCTGCCTCAGCCTCCTGAGTAGCTGGGACTACAGGCAGGTGCCACCGCGCCCAACTAATTTTTTTGTATTTTTAGTAGAGACGGGGTTTCACCATGTTGGCCAGGCTGGTCTCAAGCTCCTGATCTCAAGTGATCCACCTGCCTCGGCCTCCCAAAGTGCTGGGGTTACAGGCATGAGCCACTGCACACAGCCTAAGCTTTTACTTTGAATCACTTTATTTATTTATTTATTTATTTAGAGACAGACTCTTGCTCTGTTGCCCAGGCTGGAGTGCAGTGCCATGATCTCAGCTCACTGCAACCTCTACCTCCCAGGTTCAAGTGATTCTCTTGCCACCGCCTCCTGAGGAGCTGGGATTATAGACGCACACCACCACGCCTGGCTAAATTTTGCATTTTGAGTCGAGATGGGGTTTCCCCATGTTGGCCAGGCTCGTCTTGACCTCAGGTGATCCACCTGCCTTAGCCTCCCAAAGTGCTGGGATTACAGCTGGGCCCTTTTTTTTATTTTTATTTTTATTTTTTTTTTGAGACAGGGTCTCACTCTGTTGCCCGAGCTGGAGTGCAGTGACATGATATTGGCTCACTGTAGCCTCAACATCCTGGGTTCAAGTGCTCCTACCACCCCAGCCTCTGGAGCAGCTGGAACTACAGGCACACATCACCATGCCTGACTAATTTTTGTATGTTTTGTAGAGACAGGGTTTTGCCATGTTGCCCAAGCTGGTCTTGAACTCCTGACCTCAAGTGATCTGCTTGCCTCACCCTCTCAATGTGTTGGGATTACAGGCATGAGCCACTGCACCCACACATAGGTGTGTGTTGTCTTTTATTTGGATTGGTTCCAAATAATACATCGCTTCCAAATGATACAGGCTGGATGTGATGGCTCATGCCTGCAATCCCAGCACTTTGGGAGGCCGAGGTGGGCAGATCACCTTAGATCAGGAGTTCAAGACCAGCCTGGCTAACATGAAGAAACCCTATCTCTACTAAAAATACAAAAATTAGCCGGGCGTGGTCATGGGCCCCTGTAATCCCACCTACTTGGGAGGCTCAGGCAGGAGAATCATTTGAACCTGGAAGGCAGAGGTTGCAGTGAGCCCAGATCCTGCCACTGCACTCCAGCCTGGGTAACAGAGCAAGATGCCATCTCAACAAAAGAAAAAAATTATATTCCATATAGATATTACTAGAGGTCTAAACGACAGTGATGTCTTCAAATGAAAGAAGAAAAAATATCTTAGGGAAGCATCTCTTACAGAACCAAAATTTGAAGATTTGGGAGATTTAGAAGATTTAAAAGAAAATATGGAGTAATATAAACATGAAAACGAAAGTGTGGTAGATCCTTCATCTCACACAAATTTTGCCACATTGATAGATGCTATCTTGGGCCAGGCATGGTGGCTCGTGCCTATAATCCCAGCAATTTGGGAGGCCAAGGCAGGGGGATTGCTTGAGGCCAAGAGTTTGAGACCAGCCTGGGCAACATAGCCAGACTTAATCTCCACAGTAAAAAAATTTGCCCAGCATGGTGGTTCATGCCTGCAGAACCAGCTACTGGGGAGACTGAGGCAGAACTGCTTGAGCCCAGGAGTTCGAGGTTACAGTGAGCTATGATTGCACCATTGCACTCCAGCCTGAGTGACAGAGCAAGACCCTGTCTCAAATAATAATAATAATAATAATAATAGAAGCTATCTCACAAGTGACTATTATGTGTGTGCTATATAGTCTCTAATACTCACAAAAATCCAATAAGAGGCATTATTATGTCCTATATAAGCAAAGAAACTGAGGCTCATATAGATTATGTAATTTAAGGTTACAATACTGGTAAATGATGGAGTCAGGATTCAAACTCAGCTCTCTTATAAATTCTGAATTCTGAGGTTTTCAATAAAAATGTGCAATAAATCCAATAATGTTAGAAATGTACTTTTTCAAGGTACTAATATTAACTGTTAGTAGAAGCATCTGTGTGTGTGTGTGTGTGTGTGTGTGTGTGTGTGTGTGTGTGTGTACTGATCCCAATCAAAGAATATAATTTCTTTGGGTCTCTTAGAGCTTCTCATTTCTGAGTGTGATCCTAGGATTAGCAGTTTAAACCTCACCTTGGAGCATCTTAGAAATGCACAATCTCAGGCCCCACTTCAGACCTTCTGAAACAGAATCTGCATTTTGACAATATTCCAGGTTATTTTTCTGCAAATTAAAGTTTGAAGCCTGGCCAGGTGTGATGGCTCATGCTTGTAATTCCAGTGCTTTTGGAGGTCAAGGCAGAAGGATTGCTTGAGGCCAGGAGTTTAAGACTACTCTGGCCAACAGTTATATAGAGACCTGGTCTCTAAAATAAAATAGTTTGAGAGGCACGGTCTTTTTTTTTTTTTTTTTTGAGACAGAGTCTCACTCTGTCACCAGGCTGGAGTGCAATTGTGTGATCTCTGTTCGCTGCAACCTCTGCCTCCCGGGTTCACGCCATTCTCCTGCCTCAGCCTTCCAAGTAGCTGGGATCACAGGTGCCCGCCACCACGCCCAACTAATTTTTTGTATTTTTAGTAGAGACGGGGTTTCACCGTATTAGCCAGGATGGTCTCAATCTCCTGACCTCGTGATCTGCCCACCTCGGCCTCCCAAAGGGCTGGGATTACAGGCGTGGGCCATGGCGCCCGGCTGAGAGGCACTGTCTCAAGGATGGGTGGTTCCCTTCCAGTTACTAAGGAGGCTAAGGTGGGAGATCCCTTGATTCCAGGAGGTAAAAGCTATAGTAAGCCTAGAATAAAAAAGCGAGACCCTGTCTCAAAAAAAAAAAAAAAGATGGGTGGTTCCACGAAGAGGGATGCCTCTTACTCCCATTGTGGCCATCCACATTCATAGGACCAGGGAGGGGAAAGATGGTAAGAATGCACTCACATTATAACCTTTACTGTCTGATTTTTAAATAAATGTTCATCAGTCATTTTTTATGACAGCTTTGAAATATAATTACAATTCACCCATCAAATTGTACAATTCAATGGTTTCAGCATATTCAGAGTTATGCAACCATCACCACAATCAATTTTAGAACATCTCATCATCCTGAAAAGAAACTCCATACCCTTTAGCCTCCTCTCCCCATTCTCCCCAGCTTCAAGCCCTAGGCAACCATTAATCTACTTTCTGTACGCCAGGGGTGATGGCTTACACCTGTAATCCCAGCACTTTGGGAGGCCGAGGTGGGCAGATCACCTGAAGTCAGAAGTTTGAGACTAGCCCGGCCAACATGGTGAAACCCCATCTCTACTGAAAATACAAAAATTAGCCAGGTCTAGTGGCAGGCACCTGTAATCTCGATTACTTGGGAGGTTGAGGCAGGAGAATTGCACGAACCCAAGAGGTAGAGGTTGCAATGGGCAGAGATCGCAAGACTGCACTCCAGCGTGGGTAACAGAGTAAGATTCCATCTCAAAAAAAAAAAAAAAAAAAAGAAAAGAAAAGAAAGAAAAATATCTACTTTCCATTTCTACAGATTTGTGTATTCATGGACATTTTTTAAAAATGGAGTCATATAATATGCAGTCTTTTGTGACTGGTTTCTTTCATTTAGCATACTGTTTTCAAGTTTCATCCATGTTGTTCACCTGTCTCAATCCTTTCTCATAAGTGGTAGCATTCTTCCAACAGATGTGTGGGTGCCAGACAGCAATGTGACCCTCTCACCCACTCCTCCCAGTGGAGTTCCTGACTACCGTCGTTCCCCTACGAGAAGCCTTTCTCCTCCCGTTACTGACTACTCTAGTAAGGAGGACTTTAGCAGAGTTCTTTTTTTCCATTTTCTCCCTGGGACTTAGCAGCTCAAGTGCAGCTGGCCCTTGGCCAAGCTTCCTCTCCAAGACACCTGCAGGTGCTACCAGTGCTGCCACCTTATGCCCATTTCTTGAAGTAGTGGACACTGGATCAGGCACTGTCTTCCTCCCTGAGAGCCCTGCTCTTTGCTGTGTTCACAATCAAGGTTGTGACTCATGACAGAGTGTGACCAGGAGAGGTCGAGGGTGTGCTGTGTGGGAACTCATGCCTGGTACCTTGAAACAACCAAGAGGCAGAGAAAGAAGCAAGCGCAAATGCACATGGAGCTCAAGAGGAGCGTGATTTTAAATCTCTCTTCCTGATTATCTTGGCTGTTTCTTCAGCTTCCACTTTTCTTCCTCTCTTCAGTTCACTTTCATTTCCCTATGTTACTCCTCAAAGAATAGGGAACCTACACGTCTCTCACTGTTCATTTCCACCTGGATTGTTTTCTCTTGTCACGTCAAGGGGTACAACTGTATACTTAGACATTTGGGTATGCTTAAGTTACTTCTATAAAAAAGAATCAGTCTAAACATTCTGCCCTGCTGAATGGCAAAACAAGGAAAAGGTTTTCTGTTTTCCAAAAAAATAAAGATGTTCTTCCTGAATAAATAAAGCTACCCAAACACAAATTTTTAAGAAACACACTTAAATTATCAGTCCCAAAGAAAAACTAGCATAGTAATTAAAATACTTTCCCTAAATGTTCATGCCTGAATCTGGGACCTTGTCAAAGTTCATTCTGGGGTGCATAGTTCCATTACAGATTATCATGCACGACCCTGAACTCCCTGAGTAGACCGTATATCTCCACTTCAAGCTCTTATTCCTGGGAAAATCTTTCCAAATTAAGGCTGCAGGCACTTATCTACCTCAGACTCTCATTGCCACTCTATGATATTTATTCAAGAAATGTTTGTATACTACCACATGCTAGCCTTGTGCTATACACAAGACAGACAAGGTTCCAGCTCCCATGGGGTTTAGCTTCTAGGTAGGGAAATGTAACAGTAGACTGCAGCCCTAAGACCTGTGGTGTGCTTGGCTGAGTCCCTCAGTGTGTCTTGATGAGTCCTGTTACCCCTAAGTAAAACAGGCAAGAAACACCTTGCTGTCTTAGACAGCAAAGAAGAAAAGCAGATGGACTGGGTGTAGTGGCTCACACCTGTAATCCCAGCACTTTGGGAGGCTGAGGCAGGCTGATCATTTGAGATCAGGAGTTTGAGACCAGCCTGGTTGAAATGGTGAAACCCCGTCTCAATTAAAAATACAAATGTTAACTGGAGGTGGTGGCGGGCGCCTGTAATCCCAGCTACTGGGAAGGCTGAGGCAGGAGAATCACTTGAACCTGGGAGGTGGAGGTTTCAGTGAGCCGAGATCGTGCCACTCCACTCAAGCCTGGGCGACAGAGTGAGACTCAGTCTCAAAATACAAAACAAAACAAAACAAAAAACAGAAGAAAAGCAGATGGGCTCAGGTGGTCTTGGCTGATAGCCTCACAGAATCTTCTGCCTTCATCTTACTTTGACCTTCCAATAACTCCCTGAGAGCCTCAGAAGCATCCCAAAGTGATAACCATACCATTAATGGATTTCATGACCTTATTAAATTCTTAAACTTTTTTTTTTTTTTTTTGAGACAAAGTCTCGCTCTGTCACCCAGGCTGGAGTGCAGTGGCGCGATCTCGGCTCACTGCAAGCTCTGCCTTCCAGGGTTCACGCCATTCTTCTGCCTCAGCCTCCCAAGTAGCTGGGACTACAGGCACCCACCACCACGCCCAGCTAATTTTTTGTATTTTTAGTAGAGACAGGGTTTCACCATGTTAGCCAGGATGATCTCGATTTCCTGACCTCGTGATCCGCCCGCCTCGGCCTCCCAAAGTGCTGGGATTTCAGGCGTGAGCCACCGCGCCCAGCCTTTTAAACACTTAAACTCTAGCATATATGTATGCTATAGTTCTAAGCAATGCCATATATGTGTGCTGTAGTTCTAAACAATTTCTAAGCAATGTCATATATATATATATATATATATATATAATGCATAAGCCACAGAATTGTTTTCATATATAATCTTTGTTAATTTATATAGTTTTGTATTATTTAACAGTATAAACATTACATTGTGGGTTGGTTTGTATGACCATTCCTTAATCCTTGAGAACTCAGAACAAAGTATGACATGCCTTTCCTATTTTCTACTCATTTTGTCTTCCGAGGGGCTGAGCATATCAATGGGATCTTTTTAACTTTTACTGTTAATCAGCTTGTAGGGAAATGCATTATTTATTCTCTCTTCCTTGGGGGTCAAAGCAGCCAACCAGATCTAAAGACACATTTAGAAGATATGTCAATGTAAACAGGTATGTATTTACTCTGACTTTGCTATTATAATTCATTAAGGCTTCATTTATCTGACACCTTTGGATAATGTGAAAAGCCTGAATTCATTTTCTAAATAATTAAAACTAATCCCTTTCAGTATAAAATGTTTTAAAATATGACTTTAATGAAAATTTATTTTAAATAAAATAGATCCCTGCCTTCTTGAAATGTATAGCAAATATAATTTAAACTCTTCTTATTTTCTTGGTCATTATTAGCATTCAGAATGAAACTCCAAAGTAATGCATCTCTGAGAAATATTAAAATATGCTATGCTTTTTGCCCTACCCAAAATGATCCGAGGCTAGTGTGATTTTGAGTTCTTTTATGTCCTTCCAATAATTTTCTTTCTGTTTTATCCCATCCTTTGTTAAGATATTAGATAATACCACTTGCTACTTCCTGGGTGCCTGGCTTTAGCAATTCTCTTCCTAATCTGTGTCCTAGGAAACTAGGTAACAAAATTTATTAGCATTGTGTGTAAAGTAAGAGCAAATAGGCTTTGAATCTGACAGTCTTTCCTGGAAGTGAATAGTATTAGCTTTTCAAGCAGTTCAATGGTCTTTTTAAATTGCTCTAGTATTCTCAATTCCCCTACTGATACCCTAGATTGTTGGATAAATTACCTTCTATAGAAAATTGAGACGTTAACATAGTCCTTTTCTTTTTGTCATTGTTGTCTTTTTTGAGACAGGGTTTTATTTCTGTCACCCAGGCTGGAGTGCAATGGCACGATCTCAACTCGCTGCCATCTCCGCCTCCTGGACACAGGCGATCCTCCTGCCTCAGCCTCCCAAGTAGCTGGGACTACAGTTGTGCACCACTACACCTGGCTAATTTTTTCTATTTTTTGTAGAGACGAGGTTTTGCCATGTTGCCCACGCTGGTCTCCAACACCTGGCCTCAAGCGATCCAGCCACCTCGGCCTCCCAAAGTGCTGGGATTACAGGTGAGAGCCACTGCGCCTGGCCAACATAGTACTTTTTTGCTTATATAATTTAGCTAGATACAACTTTTTCTACCAACCTTCTCCTTTGATTGGCTGGGTGTGGTGGCTCATGGTGTAATCCCAGCACTTTGGGAGGCCAAGCAGGGTGATTACCTTGAGCCCAGGAGTTCCAAACCAGCCTGGGCAACATGACAAAACCTCGTCTCTACAAAAATACAAAAATAAGCTGGGCGTAATGGGTGTGGTGGCGTGCACCTGTAGTCCCAGCTACTTGGGAGGCTGATGCATAAGAATCGCTTGAGCTTGGGAGGCGCAGGTTGCAGTGAGCTGAGATCCTGCCACTGCACTCCAGCATGGGCAACAGAGTGACTCTGTCCCAAAAAAAAGTTCTCCATTGGTTCTATTCTTTTTAGGTCCTCCTAATTTCTGATTTCAGACCATTAGTCCTTTCAATCCTAAATCTAAATAGCTGGACAGGGTGGCTCAACCCTGTAATCCCAGCACTTTGGGAGACCAAGGTGAGAGGATCATTTAAAACCAGGAAAAGGTGTGGCGCAGTGGCTCACACCTGTAATCCCAACACTTTGGGAGGCCGAGGCAGGCAGATCACTTGAGATCAGGAGTTCGAGACCAGCCCTGCCAACATAGCGAAACCCCCTCTCTACTAAAAATACAAAAATTAGCTGGGCATGGTGGCGGGCGCCTGTAATCCCAGCTACTTAGGAGGCTGAGGCAGGAGAATCACTTGAACCCAGGAGGCGGAGGTTGCAGTGAGCCAAGATTGCACCACTGCACTGCAGCCTGGGCAACAAGAACGAGAATCTGTCAACAACAACAACAACAAAAAAGAAGGAAAGAAAGAAAGAAAGAAAGAAAGAAAGAAAGAAAGAAAGAAAGAAGGAAAGAAAGGAAGAAGAGAAAATAATTTAGAAACCTGGTAAGATTTAAAGATCTTCTTATAGATTACAGGGAGCCTTCCAAACACAGTGGGTTTTTGTTTGTTTTTCTGACATAAAAAAGACCCAATTTGTAGTTTTAAGTTATTTCAGCTTTAAGTTAATAACAACATAGGCCAGGCGTGGTGGCTCACGCCTGTAATCCCAGCACTTTAAGAGGCCAAGGTGGGCAGATCACCTGAGGTCGGGAGTTTGAGACCAGCCCAACCAACATGTAGAAACCCCGTCTCTACTAAAAACACAAAAATTACCCAGGCATGGTGACACATGCCTGTAGTCCCAGCTACTCAGGAGGCTGAGGCAGGAGAATGGCCTGAACCCAGGAGGCGGAGGTTGTGGTGAGCCGAAATCGAGCCACTGCACTCCAGCCTGGGCAACAGAGCGAGACTCCATCTCAAAAAATAGTAATAATACAAATAAATTAAATAAATAAATAAAACCAACAAAACTAAAACCAACGTACCCGGTGGGGTGTGGTGGCTCATACCTGTAATCCTAGCACTTTGAAGGGAGAAGGTGGGAGGATCACTTGAGCCAGGGAGTTTAGGAACAGCCTGGGCAATATAGTGAGACCCTGTCTCTACAAAAAAAAAAAAGGAACTTAAAAAATTAGCCCAGTGTGGTGGCGTCAGCCAGTGGGAGGATTGCTTGAGCCCAGGAGTCAGAGGTTGCAGTGAGCTGAGATCTTGATGCTGCACTCCTGTCTGGGCGACAGAGAGACCCTGTCTCAAGCAAACCCCCAAAACCAATGTACCCAATTTTTAAAATGTAACATCATTTAAAATTGAGTGTCCAGCCGGGTGTGGTGGCTCACACCTATAACCCTAGCACTTTGGGAGGCCGAGGCAGGTGGATCACTTGAGGTCAGGAGTTTGAAACCAGCCTGGCCAACATGGTGAGACCCTGTCTCTACTAAAAATATGTATATTTTTTTGAGACAGAGTTTCGCTCTTGTTGTCCAGGCTGAAGTGCAATGGAGCGATCTCGGCTTACTGCAACCTCTGCCTCCCTGGTTCAAGTGATTCTCCTGTCTCAGCCTCCCGAGTAGCTGGGATCATAGGCATGTGCCACCACACCTGGCTAATTTTGTATTTTTAGTAGAGACGGGGTTTCTCCATGTTGGTCAGGCTGGTCTCAAACTCCCAACCTCAGGTGATCCGCCTGCTTCGGCCTCCGAAAGTGTTGGGATTACAGGCATGAGCCACTGCGCGTGGCCAGCTCATCCTTTCTTCAGGCCCTCTGCCCCATCAAAGTTGGAACCAAAACTCAGTTGTGGTCAAAACTCAGTTAACTAAACGTTTACAAACGGTAATAAGTGATCATGCAAAGATTTGCTTTGGGCCTTTGTGTGAGGAGGAGGGGAGTGGGGATGTGGGCCGTGAGCTGTGCTACCATCTTGATGCTGTGTCTCGTGTTTTCCTGTCAGTGTCTTGTTGCTTCAGGTCCTGTAGTTGTAAGCTGCAGTGATGGAGAGTGGGGTTAACCTAGTGCAGTTTTTACTTCAATGAATGATTCCTCTCTAGGATGTTACTAACATATCTCTTCATACCTTTTCTCATGCTGCACCTTTTTCAGAAGTGCTCCTATGGTGTCCCCATGTCTCATCTTAAATATCACCCCTTTAGGAAGCAATCTCTAACTCCTCTAAACCTGGGGTCAGCACATTTTTTAAATAAAGAAGCAGATATGTAATCCCAGCACTTTGGGAGGCTGAGGCAGGCAGATCACCTGAGGTCAGGAGTTCGAGACCAGCCTGGCAAAACCCCGTCTCTACAAAAAATACAAAAATTAGCCGAGTATGGTGGTGTGCACCTGTAATCCCAGCTACTAGGGAGGCTGAGGCAGGACAATCGCTTGAACCCGGGAGACAGAGGTTACAGTGAGCCGAGATTGCACCACTGCACTCCAGCCTGGGCAACAGAGCAAGACTACTCAAAAAAAAGAGAAGCAGATAGTGGCCAGGCAGGGTGGCTCACGCCTGTAATCCCAGCACTTTGGGAGGCGAGGCGGATGGATCATCTGAGGTCAGGAGTTCGAGACCAGCCTGGCTAACATAGTGAAACCGTGTCTCTACTGAAAATACAAAAATTAGCCAGGCATGGTGGCAGGTGCCTGTAATGCCAGCTATTTGGGAGGCTGAGGCAGGAGAATCACTTGAACCTGGGAAGCAGAGGTTATAGTGAGCCAAGATCACACCACTGCACCCCAGCCTGGGCGACAGAGAAAGACTGTATGTGTGTGTGTAAACATACATGTGAGTTAAAAAAAAAAAAAAAGCAGATAGTAAATATTTTAGGCTTTAGGCTTTACAGGCCAAGAGTGGTGAGAGTGCACTCCAGCCTGGATGATAGAGTAAGACCCTGTCTCAAAAAAAAAAAAAAAAAAAAAAAAAAGACAGCAGAAACATGTTGAAAATTTCCTATTGGAAATGCTTGGGACCAGAAATGTTTTGGAATTTTTAAACATGAAATTCACTTATGTTTCATATACACCTTATAAACATAGCCTGAAGCGAATTTTATTTTTCCCTTGGGGATGCTGTATGTTGTGTACCTGCATTTTGACAGTGGCCCATCATATAAGGTCAGGTATGAAATTTTCCACTTGTGGTGTCATGTCAGTGCTCAAAAAGTTTCACATTTTGGATAATTTCAGATTTCGGAATTTCAGATTAGGGATGTTGAACCTTTAATAAAAAGTGTTGGCTGGGCATGGTGGCTCGCACTGTAATCCCAGTACTTTGGGAGGCTAAAGCGGGAGGATCAATTGAACTCAGGAGTTTGAGACCAGCCTGCACAACATAGGGAGACCCCATCTCTACAAAAACAAGTTTTAAAAAAGTCAGATGTGGTGGCGCACACCTGTGGTCCCAGCTACTCAAGAGGCTCAGGTGGGAGGATCATTTCAGCCAGGAAGTTCTAGGCTACAGGGAGCTGTGATCACACCACTGCACTCCAGCCTGTCTCAAAAACAAAAACAAAACAAAGAAACCCCACCAACAATCAAGAAAGACGTGTTGATGAAGATGTGGAGAATTTGGAACCCTTATACATTGTTGGTAGTAATGTAACATGGTGCGGCATTTTGGAAAACAGTTTGGCAATACCCCGAAAAGTTAAAAGCAGAGTTACACTATGACCCAGCAATTCCACTTCGAGGTATTTCTACAAAAATAAAAACATGTATCCACAGAAAAATGTGTATGCAAAAAGTTGTACATAAATGTTCACAACAGTGTTATTTATAAGCAATCTAAATGTTCATCAACTATCAAATAGATCATTGAAAGTAGGCCACACATGGTGGCTCACGCCTGTAATCCCAGCACTTTGGGAGGCCGAGGCGGGCGGATCACCTGAGGTCAGGAGTTCAAGACCAGCCTGGTCAACATGGCAAAACCCAGTCTCTACTAAAAATACAAAAATTAGCTGGGCATGGTGTTGCACGCCTGTAATCCCAGCTACTTGGGAGACTGAGGCAGGAGAATCACGGAGGTTGCAGTGAGTCGAGATCGCGCCACTGCACTGCAGCTTCAGCAACAGAATGAGACTCCATCTCAAAAAAAAAAAAAAAAGAAAAGAAAAAGGAAAAGAAAGTGATATATTCATTCAATAGAGTATTATTCAGCAGTAAAACAGAACCAAGCCTGGGCAATGTGTCTCATGCCTCCAATCCCAGAACTTTGGGAGGCCGAGGCAACAGAATTACTTGAGCCCAGGAGCTCAAGACCAGCCTGGGCAATGTGGTGAAAACCCATTTCTATAAAAAATTTAAAAATTAGCTGGGCAGCCTGGGCAACATGGTGAAACCCCATCTCTACCAGAAATACTATATATATATATATATATATATATAAATAAAATATATAATTATATATATATAATATATTTTTTATATATAAGTTAGGCATGGTGCTGTGCGCCTGTAGTCTCAGCTACTCGGTAGGCTGAGGTAGGAAAATTGCTTGAGCCCAGGGAGGTGGAGGCTTCTGTAAGCCATGATTGTGCCACTGCACTCCATCCAGCCTGGGCGATAGAATGAGACCCTGTCTCAAGAAAAAAAAAAAAAAAAAGAAAAGAAAAGAAATCAAATATTGGTATATGCTATAACATGGATGAACCTGGAAACATTATGCTAAATGAAAGAATCTAGTCACAAAAGACCACATATTGTAAGATTCCATTACATGAAAAATCCAGAATAGATCCATAGAGACAAAGTGAATTTGGTTCTACAGGATGGGGAGTGACTAATGGGCAGGGTGTTTCTTTTGGGGATGATTAAAATGTTCTAAAATGTGGTGACGGTTGCACAACTCTGTGAATATATTAAAATTATTACATTGTACCCATTAGCCAGGTGTGGTGGCTCTCACCTGTAATCCCAGTTACTCAGAAGGCTGAGGTGAGAGAATCACTTGGGGCCAGGAATTCAAGACCAGCCTGGGTAACCGAGTAAGAGCCTGTCTCTTTAAAAGAAAACTGTAGGCCAGGTGCGGTGGGTCACACCTGTAATCCCAGCACTTTGGGAGGCTGAGGCAGGCAGATCACTTGAGCTCAGGGGTTTGAAACCAGCCTGGGCAATGTGGCAAAACCCTCGTTTTGACAAAAAATTAAAAAATTAGCCAGGTGTGGTGGTGTGTGCCTGTCATCCCAGCTACTCAGGAGGCTGAGGTGGGAAGATGGCTTGAGCCTGGGAGGAGGAGGTTGCAGTGAGTCGAGATTGTGCCACTGCACTCCAGCCTGGTCAACAGGGCAAGACTCTGTCTCAAAAAATAAAACCATACACTTTAAATGAGTGAATTTTGTGGTATGTGAATTATTTCCCAAGGAAGAAACATTTAAAAAACAAGACATGTACAAAAATATAGTCAGATACAATGAATAAGATCTAGTATTTGACAGCACAACAGGATAACTATAGTCAGCAATAATTTGTTGTCCATTTTAGAATAACTGAGGGAAGCCAGGCATGGTGGCTCACGCCTCTAATCCCAGCACTTTGGGAGGCTGAGGCAGGTGGATCACCTGAGGTCAGGAGTTTGAGACTAGCCTGGCCAACATGGTGAAACCCTGTCTCTAATAAAATTACAAAAATTAGCTGGGTGTGGTGGCGGGTGCCTATAATCCCAGCTACACAGGGGGCTGAGGCAGGAGAATCACTTGATCCCGGGAAGTGGAGATTGCATAGAGGCGAGATCACACCATTGCATTCCAGCCTGGGCAACAAGAGCAAAATTCCATCTCAAAAAAAAACCCAAAAAAAAAAGAATAACTGAGGGAATACAATTGGAATGTTCATAACACAAATAAATGATGAGTGCCTAAGGTTATAGATACCCCATTTACTGTGATGTGATCATTACACATTGTTTGCCTGTATCAAAATATCTCATGTACCCCATAAATATGTACATTTACTATGTATCCATAAAAATTAAACATTAAAACATTAAAAATATATTTAAGTCCAGCGTGGTGGCACACGCCTGTAATCCTAGCATTTTAGGAGGCCAAGGCGGGTGGATTGTCTGAGCTCAGGAGTTTGAGACCAGCCTGGGCAACATGGCGAAACTCTGTCTCTCCTAAAAATACAAAAAATTAGTCAGGCATGGTGGTGCACACCTGTAATCCCAGCTACTCTGGAGACTGATGCAGGAGAATCGCTTGAACCTGGGAGGTAGACGTTGCAGTGAGATGAGATTGTGCCACTGAGCTTCGGCCGGGGCGACAGAGGAGACTCTGTCTCAAAAATTAATAAATAAATAAAAATTTAAAAAACAAAACAGGCCGGGAGCGGTGGCTCACGCCTATAATCCCAGCATTTTGGGAGGCCGAGGTGGGCGGATCACCTGAGGTAAGGAGTTCAAGACCAGCCTGGCCAACATGGTGAAGCCCTGTCTCTACTAAAAATACAAAAATTAGGTGGGTGTGGTAGAGGACGCCTCTAATCCCAGCTACTCGGGAGACTGAGGCAGGAGAATCACTTGAACCTGGGAGGCGGAGGTTGCAGTGAGCTGAGATCACACCACTGCACTCCAGCCTGGGGGACAAAGTGAGACTCACTTTGAGTCTCAAAAAAAAAAAAAAAAAATTGCATAGCAATGACTTGAGGAGCAGAGAAATAAAACTCTAGAAGTGACTTATTTTACATTTCCATTTGGGATTCGATTCTAAATACGTCTGACTCCAAAGGATGTATGTTCTTTTTTTCTTTTTTTTTGGGGGGGGGTGGGGACGTACCCAGCCCAAACATGTATGTTCTTAACCACTCTACTATACTGTCTCCTAAAGATTACTTCCTTAGGTTAGATTGCCAGATGTAGAATTACTGAGACAAAGGATATGAACACTTTTCCAGAACAGCTGAATGAAGTCCATGCAGCCAACTGGGCTTGCCATGTACATGGCCCCCTTCTAGGTAAAGTGAGATGCTGTTCTTGCTCAAGTGCGATGACTCATATGACCTGTTTTGAATGAAACAAACCCAGCTATCACAGCTGATTAACCAGTAGCTTAAACATAAGTCAAAGGCCACTATATGCAAGCTACCTACTGCCATTGAGGCAATAGGATATTTTGAACTTCAAAAAATAGCTGTTCAAAAGCAGCACTCAATGTCAAGTAATGGCAAATCAATCCAATCAAATTCTCTCTTTAGGGACATATAATATAAATGCGAAGTGAACAAAGAGAAGGCAAATAACTCAAACTCAAGTTGTTGAGCTTTTAGCATCTGTGTGGTAAGTGTAGAAAATGAATTATTTGGCTGGGCACCGTGGCTCACGACTGTAATCCCAGCACTTTGGGAAGTGGAGGTGGGTGGAACACGAGGTCAAGAGATTGAGACCATCCTGGCCATCATGGCTAAACCCTGTCTCTGTTAAAAATACAAAAATTAGCTGGGCGTGGTGGCACACGCCTGTAATCCCAGCTACTCGGGAGGCTGAGGCAGGAGAATTGCTTGAACCCGGGATGCGGAGGTTGCAGTGAGCTGAGATCGCGCCACTGCACTCCAGCCTGGGTGACAAAGTGAGACTCCATTAAAAAAAAAAAAGGAAAAAAAGAAAATGAATTATTTATGGAGAAGCTTTCAATTGTCATCCAAAGAGTGAACCCAGGCCAGGCGCGGTGGCTCACATCTGTAATCCTAGCACTTTGCGAGGCCAAGGTGGGTGTATCACTTTGGGTCAGGAGTTCGAAACCAGCCTGGCCAACATGGTGAAACCCTGTCTCAACTGAAAATACAAAAAAATTCGCTGGGCATGGTGGTGGGCGCTGTTAATTTCACCTACTTGGGAGGCTGAGGCACAAGAATCACTTGAACCCTGGGGGTCAGAAGTTGCAGTGAGCCGAGATCATGCCATTACACTCCAGCCTGGGCAACAGAGCGAGACTCCATCTCAAAAAAAAAAAAAGAATGAACCCAAACACTTCTTGAAAACAAGCTCACCCTGCTAGGAGCCCAGGTATAGCACATTGAGGCCAAGTCATTTATACTGTCAGAAAAATATAACCATATGATGGTTGGGCACAGTGGCTCACACCTGTAATCCCAGTACTTTGGGAAGCCGAGGCCGGCAGATCACATGAGGCCAGGAGCTCGAGACCAGCCTGGCCAACATGGTGAAACCCTTTCTCTAATAAAATTACAAAAATTAGCCAGGTGTGGGCCGGGTACAGCGGCTCACACCTGTAATCCCAATACTTTGGGAGGCCGAGGCAGGCAGAACACCAGAGATCGGGAGTTTGAGACCAGTCTGACCAACATGGAGAAACCCTGTCTCTACTAAAAATACAAATATTAGCTGGGTGTGGTGGCACGAGCCTGTAATCCCAGCTACTCAGGAGGCTAAGGCAGGACAATCGCTTGAACCCGGGAGGCAGAGGTTTTAGTGAGCCGAAATCGTGCCACTGCACTCTAGCCTGGGAAACAGAATGAGACTGCGTCTCAAAAACAAAACAACAACAACAAAAAATTAGCCAGGTGTGGTGGGGCACACCTGTAATCCCAGCTACTCAGGGGGCTGAGGCACAAGAATCACTTGAACCCGGGAGGCGGAGGTTGCAGTGAGCTGAGATCATGCCATTGCATTCCAATCTGGGCGATAGAGCAAGACTCCATCTCGAAAAAAAAAGAAAAGAAAAATATAACCATATGAACCATTCCTTAAGAAGAAAGAAGTTTTCAAAGGGAAACAGAGTCATTCCATCAGATCAAATCATTATACTGATAAAAACTTTAAATAAATTTTCTTTTGTTTCAAGGGGGGAAAATGAAGTTAGAATTGCTAATCAACCTGGCCTCTAAACCTCTAAACTCCATCTCTCCTCAAACCTTAACAGCTTTTTCCTGCTCTGCTCTCTCAGCTAACGAATTTGCCTTTTACGTCATTGGGAAAACATAGGCAAGCAGATAGGAACTTTGTCATCCTCTCACCACCAAATCCCCCAACCTACCTGCATCAGAACCCATATCCTGTCTTCCCTCCTGTGACAAGGGGAGAAGTGAGGCTGTTCCAAAGCCAATCATTCCATCTGGGCTCTGTTTCCCATCCCCTCTAGCCTAGTCATGGGCTTTGCAGCTGAAAATTTCCCAAATCTCTCCTGATTCATCAATTTCTTCCTTTCTATTGAAAATATACAAGCATGTTCTAGTTTCTCTTTCCCAATACTTAAAAAACTCTTCTGGGAAATTAAGGGAAGAAAAGTAACTTTCGAGTGGAGGTGGTTTTTAAAGTTTGACACAAAACTTGGATAAATTCAACTATACAAGAATAAAAAATTTCTGCAGGAAAAAACAATCACCATTAACAAAATGAAAAGACACTCACAACTCACATGACAGAGGGATAATGTGCCTAATATATTAAGAGCTCCTATAGGCTGGGCTCAGTGGCTCACGCCTGCAATCCCAGCACTTTGAGAGGCCGAGGTGGGCGGATCGCTTGAGCCCAGGAGCTGGAGACCAGCCTGGGCAACATGGTGAAACCCCCCTGTCTCTACAAAACACACACACACACACACACACACACACACACACACACACACACACACACACATTAGCTGGGCACAGTGGCACGCCCTTGTAGTCGCAGCTACTCTGGAAGCTGAGGTGGGAGGATTGCTTGAGCCCAGCAGGCAGAGGTTGCAGTGAGCTGAGATCACACCACTGCACTACAGCCTGGCCAAAGAGCTACAAATCAATAAGAAAAAGACCAACAATTCATTAGAAAAATGAGCAAAGGGGCCAGGCGCGGTGGCTCATGCCTATAATCCTAGCACTTCGGGAGGCTGAGGAGGGCGGATTACTTGAGGCCAGGAGTTCCGAGACCAGCCTGGCCAACGTGGTGAACCCCATCTCTACTAAAAATACAAAAATTAGCCGGGCGTGGTGGCGCACACCTATTAATCCCATCTACTCGAGAGGCTGAGGCAGGACAATTGCTTGAACCCAGGAGGCAGAGGTTGCAGTGAACCGAGATCATGCCACTGTACTCCAGCCTTGGCAACAGAGCGAGACTCTGTCAAAAAAAAAAAAAAAAAAAAGGAAAAAGAAAAAGAAAAGAAAAATTAGCAAAGGGTAGGAAGAGACAATTCAAAGAAAAAGGAATACAAATAGCTTTTAAAGTTTTGGAAATATGTTCAACTTCACTCAAAAGAAATTAAAATTAAATAAGTACACCAAAAGACCATTTTTCACTTATCAGATTGGCAAAGATAAAAAACTGAGGCCTGAGAATCGCTTGAACCTAGGAGGGGGAGGTTGCAGTGAGCCAAGATTGCACCACTGCACTCCAGCCTGGGCGACAGAGTGAGACTCCATCTTAAAAATAAATAAATACGCAGTGGATCATGCCTGTAACCCCAGCACTTTGGGAGGCTGAGATGGGCGGATCACTAGGTCAGGAGATTGAGACCATCCTGTCTAACACGGTGAAACCCCATCTCTACTAAAAATACAAAAAAATAGCCGGGCGTGGTGGCGGGTGCCTGCAGTCCCAGCTACTCAGGAGGCTGAGGGCAGGAGAATGGTGTGAACCCTGGTGGCAGAGCTTGCAGTGAGCAGAGATGGCGCCACTGCACTCCAGCCTGGGCGAGAGTGCGAGACTCATCTCAAAAAAAAGATAAAAAATTGATAACACACTATATAGGGAAGCAGGCCTTCTCATCATTGCTGGTGGGAGAGACATTGGTACAAATTCCACAGAAGCTTTTTTTTTTTTTTTGAGATGGAATCTTGCTCTGTCACCCAGGCTGAAGTGCAGTGACACAATCTTGGCTCACTGCAACCTCCATCTCTCAGGTTTAAGAGATTCTGCCCACCTCAGCCCCCCTAGTAGCTGGCACTACAGGTGCATGCCACCATGCCCAACTAATTTTTGTATTTTTTGGTGCAGACAGGGTTTCACCATTTTGGCCAGGCTGTTCTCAAACTCCCGAACCCAGGTGACTCACCCGCTTTGGCCTCCCAAAATGCTGGGATTACAGGCATGAGCCACCGCACCCGGCCCCATAGAAGCATTTTGGCACCTTATCTATCAAAGTCGCAAATGTACTTACCCTTTGACTCAGCAGTTCTTCTAAGTAATTTTATCCTACAAATACATTGCCACACATATGAAATACTCTATGTAAAAAATTATTCATTGCACCTTTACTTGTAATAGCAAAAGATTGGAAACAACCTAAATATTCATCAATAGGAGTCACTAAGGGATTGAATAAATAAATTAAGGTGTAACAATACAATGGAGCCATAAATAAAGCAATTCAGAGAATCAGCGAAGCAGAAAAAAAAAAAGAAAAAAACTTCAAAAAAAAAAAAAAGAAAGTGAAAGACCTTTCTATATAAATATATGGAACAATCTCCAAGATAGATAGATAAGTAGAAAAGCAAGGGACAGAAACAGTGTGTACAATGAGTTGCCATTTGTGTATTTGTTTAGAAAGAAGGAAGGTAGAAGAACACACACACAATTGCTTGTATATACAGAGAATATTTCCAGAAGGATTCATAAGAGCCTAGAAATATTGAATTCAGGGAGAAAAACACTGTGGCTGAAGGAAAGGTGTGTCAGTGAGACTTTTCACTGTATATCCTTTGGTATCTTTAAAATTTTGTACCATGTGATATAATCTATTCAAAAACTTGTTTTTGGCTGGGCATGGTGGCTTACGCCTATAATCCCAACACTTTGGGAGGCCAAGGCAGGCAGATCATTTGAGCCCAGGAGCTGGAGACCAGCATGGGCAACATGGCGAAACCCCCCGGTCTCTACAAAAAATTTAACAATTAGCCGGTCATAGTGGTGTGCACCTATAGTCCCAGCTACTTGGGAGGCTGAGGTGGGAGGATTGCTTGAGCTTCAGAAGTCGAGGTTCCAGTGAACTGTGATAGTGCCACTGCACTCCAACCTGGGCAACAGAGTGAGGCCCTGTGTCTAAATAAATAAATAACAAAACAAAAACAGTATTCAACCCTGTTGACTACTCTCCCCTTGAAATAACTTCTTTCTTTCTGGTATTTTTTAGATACAATGTCTCACTCTGTCACCCAGGCTGGAGGGCAGTGGTGCAATTCACTGCAACGTCAGGCTCTGGGCTCAACCGATCCTCCCACCTCAGCCTCCCGAGTAGCTGGGACTACAGGTGCAGGCCATCATCCCCGGCTATTTTTTATTATTAATTTTTGGAGAGATGGAGTTTTGCCATGTTGCCTAGGCTGGTCTCTAACTCCTGAACTCAAGCAATCCTCCCTCCTCAGCCTCCCAAAGTGCTGGGATTACAGGCATGAGCCACTGCGCCCAGCCAAAATAATTTCGTTCTCACCTTCTAGGGCACCATTCTTCTGGTGTTCTTCTTGCCTCCTTGGCCACCCTCAGTCATCTTGGTTGGATCCTCTTCTTCCTTGACCTAACTTCTAAACATTCACTCTACCTTTTGCTCTTTTCTACTCTATCCATAGTTTGCCCTAGGTGATTCCATCCAGCCCCATACTTTAAATACCATCTATCTTCCATTGACTACCTAATTTATAATCCAGCCTTACCTCTTTTCCTTGAGCTCCTAGTCTCATATATTAAATACACATGACGAATCACTGACATATCTAGTAGGCATCTCAAACTACTTAATATATCTAAAACAGAACTTTTGATTTTTCTTCCTGGAACCTCTATCTTAATCTCAGTCTTCTCTAGCTCAGTAAAAGGCTCTTCTGAATATTCAAAGTTGCTTGAGTCAAGATCCTAGGAATCACCTTCAATGCTTCTTTGATACCTATATCAAATCATCAGCAAGTTCGTTCAGTTTTGCTTTAAAAATATAGCTTAAATCCATTCACTTTTTTTTTGGTGGGGGGGGATGGGAGTCTCGCTCTGTCGGCTAGGCTAGAGTGCAGTGGTGTGATCTCAGCTCACTGCAACCCGCCTCCTGGGTTCAAGTGATTCTCCTGCCTCAGCCTCCCAAGTAGCTGGGATTACAGGCATGCGCCACCATGCCCAGCTAATTTTTGCATTTTTGGTAGAGATGGGGTTTCACCATGTTGGCCAGGCTGGTCTCGAACTTCTGGCCTCAAGTGATCTGCCCTCCTCGGCCTCCCAAAATGTTGGGATTACAGGCGTGAGGCACTGCACCTGGTGATTCACTTGTTATGTCTACAGCTTTCTAGCCTGAAGCACCATTATCTTTCTAGTGTGGTACTCATCTTTTTGCTATTATTGATAATTTAGTATTTCTACCTCCCTAAATAGACACTGAACCTGTCAAAAGGAGAGCCCATGTCTCAGTTGTCTAGTTACAATACAGTGCTTAGTATGTTATGCCCTACATAATAATAAATATTTAATAAATATTTGCTGAATAAATAAATAAATACATGATTGGAGGAATAAATGAGTGAATGGTGACAAGAACACCATGACTCAGATAGCTAACAGCACCCATAACTGGTGTCTCTGACATTTCCTTGCAGTTCATTGCTAGAAAGGTAACATCTTTACTAAAGTTTATATAGTAGGCACCCATTAGGTTTTCTGTCCAGCATCCTGTTTTCTGGAAACTCCTTCTACCTACCACCATACTAAATTCACCTGGTAGCAGCAGTAGGACTCTGGCAGCCATTCTGTGAAATTTGTGCGTATCAAAAGACAACGTAAACTAAATCAAATGAAAGGCAATATTTGTAGACAAAAGACAAATACTATGAATGTAAAAGGAACTCCTATAAATTAATAACAAAAAGATAAACAATCCAGCAGAGAAAAATGGACAATGAATAACAGCAGGCAATTTATAAAAGATGAAATAGAAAATGTCAAAAATCAGATGCGCAACTTCACTAGTAATCATGAAAATACAAAATACTTTTGGCTAGGCATGGTAGTTCACACCTGTAATCTCAGCACTTTGGGAGGCCAAGGTGGGCAAATCGCTTCAGCGCAGGAGTTCGAAACCAGCCTGGGCAACATGGTGGAAAGCCTGTCTCTACAAAAAACTTAAAAATTAGCTGGATATGATGGTGTACCCCTGTAGTCCCAGCTACTTGGGAGGCTGAGGTGGGAGGATGGCCTGAGTCCAGGAGGCAGAGGTTGCAGGGAGCTGAGATCATGCCACTGCACTCCAGCCTGAAAGACAGAGGAAGACCCTATCTCAAAAATAAAATAAAAGTCGGATGTGGTGGCTCACGCCTGTAATCCCAGCACTTTGGGAGGCTGAGGCAGGCAGATCACTTGAGATCAGGAGTTCAAAACCAGCCAGGCCAACATGGTGAAACCCCGTCCGTACTGCAAATACAAAAATTAGCTGGGTGTGGTGGCGCATGCCTGTAGTCCCAGCTACTGGGGAGGCTGAGGCAGGAGAATCACTTGAACCCAGGAGGCAGAGGTGGAAGTGACCTGAGATCGTGCCACTGCACTCCAGCCTGGGTGACAGAGCGAGACTCCATCTCAAAAATAAAATAAAGGGCTGGCCACGGTGGCTCACGCCTGCATTCCCAACACTTTGGGAGGCCGAGGTAGGTGCATCACCTGAGATCAGGAGTTTGAGACCAGCCTGACCAACATGGCAAAACCCCATCTCTACTAAAAATACAAAAATTAGCCGGGTGTAGTGACAGGCGCCTGTAATCCCAGCTACTTGGGAGGCTGAGGCAGGGAGAATCGCTTGAACCCCGGGAGGCAGAGGTTGCAGTGAGCTGAGATCATGCCGTTCCACTGCCCCCTGGGCAACAGAGCGAGACTGTCTCAAAAACAAAAATCAAAAACGTTTATAACATTTTAAATTTATCATTTTAACCTCCCCCCTTTTTTTTTGAGATGCAGTCTCGCTCTGTCGCCAGGCTGGAGTGCAGTGGCGCCATCTCGGCTCACCGCAACCTCCGCCTCCCAGGTTAATGTGATTCCCCTGCCTCAGCCTCCCCCTGCCCCCATTTTTTTTTTTTTTTGAAACGGAGTTTCACTCTTGTTGCCCAGGCTGGAATGCAATGGCTCGATCTTGGCTCACTGCAACCTCTGCCTCCTGGGTTCAAGAGATTCTCCTGCCTCAGCCTCCCAAATAGCTGGGATTACAGGCATGCGCCACCATGCCTGGCTAATTTTTTGTATTTTTAGTAGAGATGGGGTTTCACCACACTGGTCAGGCTGGTCTCGAACTCCTGACCTCAAGTGATCCACCCCCCCCCGGCCTCCCAAAGTGCTGGGATTACAGGCGTGAGCCATCACGCCCGGCCAGTTTTAACCCTTTTTGATTGTACAATTCAGTGGCAACCATCACCATTACCCATCTCCAGAACATTTTTGTCACCAAAACTTAAACTCTATACCCATTAAACAATAATTCTTCTGGCCGGGTGTGGTGGCTCATGATTGTATTCCCAGCACTTCGAGAGGTTGAGGCAGAAGGATTGTTTGAAACCAGGAGTTTGAGATCAGCCTGGGAAACTTGGCAAAATCTCATCTCTACTAAAAACACACACACACACACAAAATTAATTGGGCATCGTAGTGCATGCTTATAGTCCCAGCTACCTGGGAGGCTGAGGTGGGAGGATCACCTGAACCTAGGAGGTCGAGGCTGCAGTGAGCTGTGATCACGTCACTGCAGTCCAGCCTGGGCAACAGAGTGAGACCTTGTCTCAGAAAAAAATAAAAAATAAAACTACTAATTCCCTTACCCCCAGCCCCTGGTAACTAGTATTCTGTCTTTTGTCTCTGTGAATCTGACAATTCTAGGTACCTCACATAAGTGGAATCATGTGTTTTTCCTTTTGCATCTGGCTTATTTCACTTAGTATAATGTTTTCAAGGTTCATCATATTGTAACATGTATCAAATTTTCATTCCTTTTTTATTTTTATTTATTTATATTTTAATTTTTATTTTTGAGATAGAGTCTTGCTCTGTCACGAAGCTGGAGTGCAATGGTGTGATCTTGGCTCACCACAACTGCTGTCTCTCAGGTTCAAGTAATTCTTCTGCCTCAGCCTCCCAAGTAGCTGGGACTACGGGTGCACATGCGCGTGTGCCACCACGCCTGGCTAATTTTTGTATTTTTAGTAGAGACGGGGTTTCACCATGTTGGCCAGGCTAGTCTCAAATTCCTGACCTCAGGTGATCCACCCACCTCAGCCTCCCAAAGTGCTAGGATTACAGGCATGATCCACCTCATATTTATTTATTTTTAAGATTGAGTCTCACTCTGTTGCCCAGGCTGGAGTGCAGTGGTGCAATCTTGGCTCACTGCAGCCTCCCCCTCCTAGGTTCAAGCGATTCGCAGGCCTCAGCCTCCAGAGTAGCTGGGATTACAGGCATGCGCCACCACACCAGGCTAATTTTTTTTTTTTTTTTTTTCTGAGAGGGAGTCTTTCTCTGTTGTCCAGGCTGGAGTACAATGGCACAATCTCAGCTCACTGCAACCTCCATCTCCCAGGTTCAAGCCATTCTCCTGCCTCAGCCTCCTAAGTAGCTGAGGCTACAGGCATGTGCCACCACGCCCAGCTAATTTTTGTATTTTTAGTAGATGTTGGCCAGGCTGGTCTCGAACTCCTGATCTCAAGTGATCCACATGCCTTGGCCTCCCAAAGTGCTAGGATTACAGGTGTGAGCCACCGTGCCTGGCCTAATTTTTGTATTTTTAGAAGAGATGGGGTTTCACCATGTTGGTCAGGCTGGTCTCAAACTCCTGACCTCAAGTGATCTGCCTGCCTCGGCCTTCCAAAGTGCTGGGATTACAGGTGTAAGCCATCATGCCTGGCCTTATTGATTCCCTTTTAAGGCTGAATAATATTCCCTTGTATGTATGTATATACTACATGTTGTTTATCCATTCATCTGTTGATGGACACTTGGGTTGCTTCCACCTTTTGGCTATTGTGAATAATATTGTTATGAAATTGGGGCCAGGTGTGGTGGTTCACGCCTATAATTCCAGCACTTTGAGAGGCCGAGGTGGATGGATCGCTTGAGGCCAGGAGTTCTAGACCAGCCCGGGCAATGTGGTGAAACCCCATCTCTACTAAAAATACAAAAATTAGCCATGTGTGGTTGTGGTGGTGACTGCCTGTAGTCCCACCTACTCGGGAAGCTGAGGCAAGAGGATCGCTGGAACCCGGGAAGCAGAGGTTGCAGTGAGCCGAGATCATGTCACTGCACTCCAGCCTGGTAACAGAGCGAGATTCTGTCTCAAAAAAAAAAAAAAAGAAAAAAAGAAATGGCTATGAAATTGTTATACAAATATCCGTTCAGGGCCCTGCTGTCAATTCTTTGGGATATAATATACCCCAAAGTGGAAGTACTGGATCATATGATAATTATATTAGGTTGGTGCAAAAATAATTGCAGTTTTTGCCATTCCTTTCAATGGCAAAAACTGCAATCGCTTTTGCACCAACCTTAGTATGTTTAATGTTTGAGGAATCACCAAGCTGTTTTCTAGAATGCTGCACCATCTTACATTCCCATTAGTAATGTATGAAGGTTCCAATTTCTCCATATCCTTACCAATACTTATTATTACCTATTTTTTTGATTAGCATCATTCTAGTGGATGTGAAGTGATATCTCATTGTGGTTTTGATTTGTATTTCCCTAACATTTACTGATGTTTAGCATCATTCATGTAAATTATTGGCCATCTGTATAGCTTCTTTGGAGAAATATCTATTCAAATCCTTCGTCCTTTTTTTTTTTTTTTTTTTTTTTTTTTTGAGACAGAGTCTCGCTCTGTCGCCCAGGCTGGAGTGCAGTGGCACAATCTTGGCTCACTGCAACCTCCGCCTCCCAGGTTCAAGCAATTCTCCTGTCTCAGCCTCCTGAGTAGCTGGGACTACAGGCGCACGCCACCACACCCAGCTAATTTTTTGTATTTTATTAGAGACAGGGTTTCACCATGTTGCCCAGGCTGTTCTCGAACACCTGAACTCAGGCAACCTGCCTGCCTCGGCCTCCCAAAGTGCTAGGATTACAGGCGTGAGCCACCACGCCTGGCCTGTCCATTTTTTTAGTTGGGTTTGTTTTTCAGTCAGTGAGTTCTAGGAGTTCATCATGTGTTCTGGATATCAATCTTTTATCATATATATGATATTCAAATATTTTCTCCCATTCTGTGTGTGGCCTTTTTACTTTGTTGACAGTGTTCTTTGATGCACACAAGTTTTAAATTTTGATATAGTTCAATTTATTTATTTTTTTCTTTTCCTTTTTTAAAAATTTGTTTATATACAGGGTCTCGTTCTGTTGCCCAGGCTGGAGTGGTCAGTGGTGCAATCATAGCTAACTGTAACCTCGAACTCCTGCATACAAGCGATCCTCCCTCCTCAGCCTCTCGAGTAGCTAGAACTGCAGGCACACTCAGAGATGGGATCTGGCTAACTTGTCCAAGTGGTCTCAAACTCCTGGCCTCAAGTGATACTTCTGCCTTGGCCTCCCAAAGCGCTGAGAATACAGGCATGAGCCCCATGCCCCAATCCTCAATTTATCTATTTTTTTCTTTTGTTGCCTATGCTTTTGGTGTCATATTCAAGAATCATTGCCAAATCCAATGTCATGAAGCTTTTCTCCTATGTTTTCTTCTGAGAATTTTCTAATTTTAACTATGATATTAGATCTTTGACCCATTTTGAGTTCATTTTGTATTCAATGTAAAGTAAGAGTCTTTTGCTTATGGATATCCAATTTTCCCAACACCATTTGTTAAAAAGACTGTTCTTTCCCCTATGAAATGATTTTTTTTTTGAGACAAGGGTCTCCCTCTGTTGCCCAGGCTAGAGTGCAGTGGCACGATTATGGCTCACTGCAGCCTCGACCTCCCAGGCTCAAGAGATCCTCCCATCTCAACCTCTTGAATAGCTGAGACCACAGATATGTGCCACCATGCCCAGTTAATTTTTGTATTATTTGTACAGATGAGGTCTCATCATGTTTGATCTTGAACTCCTAGGCTCAGCTTCCCAAAGTGCTGGGATTATAGGCATGAGCCACTGTGCCCGACCCCATTAAATGATCTTGATACCCTTGTTGAAAATCATTTAATCATATACTTGAGAGTTTATTTCTGGGCTCTCTATTCTATTCCATTGGTCACATCTGTCTTTATGCAGAATAGACTTTTAAAGATACCATTTTAAACTATTTGGGTTATCAAATCATTCAGTACTAGAAAAAATGTGGGGAGATGAGAATTCTCACACATTGCTGGGGGAAATAAAAATTGCTATCTCCTTCTGGAAAGTACTGTGGTAATATCTTTAAAAATGTAACACATAATTTTAATGCAGCAATTTCACTTTTGGGAATCTTTTCTATAGATATAAAAACACCAAGGGAGGGAGGGGAGGCAAAAAAAATTAAACATCAATACGTAAGACTATGCATACAAATATATTTATTGTGGCATCCTTTTTTTTTTCTTTTCTGAGACAGGGTCTCACTCTGTTGCTTAAGCTGGAGGGCAGTGGCATTGTAGCCCACTTTTTTTTTAGAGACAGGGTCTTGCTCTGTTGCCCAGGCTGGTCTCGATCTTCTGGCCTCAAGCAATTCCTCCTGCCTCAGACTCCCAAAGTGCTAAGATTACAGGTGTGAGCCACTGTGCCCAGCTTCTTGTGGCATCCTTTGTAGTGGGAAGAGGCTGAACCGGAAAACAGTCGAGTACCTACTCTCTCTCCATCTTTCTTTCCCTGGAGTCACATGCATTTTAATCTCTGTTTCTTTTTGTATTTCTTCCTGAACTTGTAGGTGGACCAACAATATCAGTAGGCTGATTCTCTTTGATCTTTACATATTTCAGTGCTCACTACTGTCTCAAGCTAGAGTTTCTATTTTGTTCACTTATAAATCTACTATTAATATATTTATATTTATTTTTATTTTTAGAGAAGGAGTTTCACTCTTGTTGCCCAGGCTGGAGTGCAATGGCGTGATCTCGGCTCACTGCAACCTCTGCCTCCCAGGTTCAAGTGATTCTCCTGCCTCAGCCTCACAAGTAGCTGGGGTTACAGGCACCTGCCACCACACCCGGCTAATTTTTTGTATTTTTAGTAGAGATGGGGTTTCACCATGTTGGCCAAGCTGGTCTTGAACTCCTGACCTCAGATGATCCACCTGCCTTGGCTTCCCCAAGTGCTGGGATTACAGGCATGAGCCACTGCGCTCAGCCAATATATTCCTTTTTAATTTCAGTTTTTATAATTCCAGTTCTCTGCCAAATCTTTCAAGTTTGGCTTTGATCTCCTTAAACATAGTACACAGAGTTGTTTATAGTCCGTATCTAGTCATTGCAGAATATGGAATCCCTGTGGGTCTGTTTCTATTATCTGTTATTTGTCCTCCTTATTTCTGGTATTTTGTCTCCTTGTGTGCCTGGTTGTCTTTTTGTTTAAGCTATTTTGATTCTTGTTCCTAGAAACCTGGTTATTCTTGTACTGAACATTGTATTTGAAAGAAAATTATAGGCTGGGTGCGGTGGCTTGTGCCTGTAATCTCAGCACTTTGGGAAGCCAAGGCGGGCGGATCACTTGAGGCCAGGAGTTTGAGACCAGCCTGGCCAACACAGTGAAACCTTGACTCTACTAAAAATACAAAAACTAGCCGGGCGTGGTGCACACACCCGTAATCCCAGCTACTCAGGAGGCTGAGAGGCAGAAGAATCATTTGAACCCAGGAGGCGAAGGTTGTAGTGAGCTGAGATCGTGCCACTGTTCTCCAGCCTGAATGACTGTGTCTCAAAAACAAACAAAAAAGAAGGAAGGAAGGAAGGAAGGAAGGAAGGAAGGAAGGAGAAATAGGAAGGAAGGGAAAGAAAGAAAATTACAGAAACAATTGAGGCCTGGGATGATGTTATTTTTTCTCCAAAGTGGATTTGGTTTTACTCTTGCCACTAGCAATTAGGGGCAACTTAATGTAAGTTCAGGCCTTGAGATTTTTCTGGGCCACTTAGATGATTTGAATTCAGTCTGCAGTCTACATGAGAGTTACTTTACTTGTACTCCCTTATACCTACAATGCAGGGTTTTAAAGTCCTAGGCCAAATCCGAGGGTGATATAGAAGGGCTGCCACCCTTTATTAGTCCTGGACTCCAACTTTTGTCCCCATGGGCTCTTAAGGCTGCCAAACATACATCTTAGCTTTCTAATTACTTGTTCTGCATCAGCAAATGCCTCAGACAAAGCATCGAGTGCTAGCTCCTCACTTCAAATTCCTTACCAATCCAAAATCTTGGCCCAGTTAATTCCTCACTATTTCGTTAGTTATGATATACTTTTAGAGGATGCATTTTATTTTTCATCCAGCTGATTAGCTGTATTCAGTAGGAGGGCTGGCTGAAATTACATTGTATGCCATTAACAACAATGAAAGTCTATACAGTTTACTTTATTCCTGAATGATAAAAATCTCGTTAGCTCTAGTCAAGGGCTCATTCCTGATTTTGTGGCCAGGACTACAGAGCCATTCAATATATAGGGTATCCACTATGTATTGACTTTGGGAAGGGCAGGTTGCTAAGAAGGGGATGCAAGTATAGGAGAAATGACTGGCATCTCTTATATACCAAATTACATTCTCTTCTCTAAATATACCCTCCTATATCATATTCCAGTGCTTTTTCATATGCTATCCCTTCAGCCAGAATTTCTTCCCATCCTGTTCACCGGGTAAACGCCTGTTCCTTTTTGAAGACTTAGCTCAAGTATTGCAACTTCATCTCAAAAACAAACAGGCTGGGTACAGTGGCTCACACCTGTAATCCCAGCACTTTGGGAGGCTGAAGCAGGCGGAACACTTGAAGTCAGGAGTTCGAGACCAGCCTGAGCAACGTGGTGAAACCCCGTCTCTATTAAAAATGCAAAAATTAGCTGGGCATGGTGGCAAGTGCCTATAATCCCAGCTACTGGGGAGGCTGAGGCAGGAGAATCGCTTGAACCCAGGAGGTGGAGGTTGCAGTAAGCCAAGAATGTGCCACTGCACTCCAGTCTGGGTAACAGAGCGAGACATCATTGCAAAACAACAACAACAACAACAACAACAACAACAACAACAACAAAAAACCAGACAACTCTTCATCTGTATGCCCTTTGAAACTTGCATAAAGCTTTTCATAGCGGTTATTTTATCCTTCAGGATCGGAACTATTTTTTCACCTATGTGACCTGAGATTTTGCCAGGCACACTCAACAAATACTTGGTGAATTAATAAATGAATGAATGAGAGGGAAGAACACTAGATTAGTTTTATGAGACAATTTCCAAGTTTCTTCAGATCTTATGTTCCATGATTCTATGAAATTCAAGCTCAAAAAATAACTTAATTCACTGGTTTGTCATTCACTGGACCTTAATACTTACAAAAAATAGTTCCTCTTCCTTCTAAGAATAAATAAACAGGTGTGTAGGCTTGATGCGGTGGCTCACTCCTGTAATTCCAGCACTTTGGGAGGCTGAGGCAGGTGGATGACCTGAGGTCAGGAGTTCGAGACCAGCCTGGCCAACATGGTGAAACCTCGTCCCTACTAAAAATACAAAAATTAGTCAGGCATGGTGGCGGCTGCCTGTAATCCCAGCTACTGGGGAGGCTGAGGCAGGAGAATTGCTTGAACCCAGGAGTCAGAGGTTGCGGTGAGCCGAGATTGCACCATTGCACTCCTGCCTGGGCGACAGAGCAAGACTCCATCTCAACAATAAATAAATAATTAAATTAAATTAAATTAACAGGTACGTTTTGAGAAAGAACTGACAATGATATAATTTAGAGGCAATTTCCTAATGTCTTTTACTCTACTAGACTTGGCACTCTCAGATTCTGAACGAGTCATCAAACACATTAGTTAGCTTTATGGCTACTTCACACTTTTCCCATCTCCCTCTCCATCCTTACAAATTCCTATTTTTTTTCTTCTCACATTTTCATCCCTTTTAATTTTCTTTTTTCTCTCTCTCTCTCTTTTTCTTTCTTTCTTTATTTTATTTATTTATTTTTTTTAGACAGGGTCCTGCTCTGTTACCCAGGCTGGAGTGCAGTGGTGCGATCTCGGCTCACTGCAACTTCCGTCACCGGGCTCAAGCGATTCTCCTGCCTCAGCTTTTTGAGTAGCTGGGACTACAGGTGTGTGCCACCACTCCCGGCTAAGTTTTGTATATTTAGTAGAGACGGGATTTCACCATGTTGGCCCTGCTGGTCTTGAACTCCTGACCTCAGGTGATCTGCCCGCCTCGGCATCACAAAGTGCTGGGATTACAGGCATGAGCCACCGGGCCCGGCCTTCCCTTCTAACTTTCTATATTTTCTTCCATACAAATAATATTTATTATTATTATTATTATTTTTAGACGAACTCACCCTCTTGTCCCCCAGGCTGGAGTGCGATGGTGTGATCTCAGCTCACTGCAATCTCTGCCTCTTGGGCTCAAGCGATTCTCCTGCCTCAGCCTCCCAAGTAGCTGGGATTACAGGCACCTGCCTCCACGCCCAGCTAGTTTTTGTATTTTTAGTAGAGATGGGGTTTCACTGTGTTGGCCAGGTTAGTCTTGAATTCCTGACCTTGTGATCCACCTGCTTTGGCCTCCCAAAGTGCTATGATTACAAGTGTGAGCCACCGCACCCCCCACCATAAAAACTTCTTAATAAATTGGCCAGGATGATCTTGTTCTTCTCTTCTAGCCATCTGTTAACATTCTACTACCAGTGTTTCCTGAGCCAACCATATTCCTTGAAATAATGCTAGGTGTTCAGGGTGAAGTAAATTTAGTAAATACTGCATATTATATCCCTCTCTTGGATATAGTCATAATTCATATTAGTATAATAAAGGCCCTCAGAAGGTCTACAGTGAAAGAAATCTGCTTAATTTTGTTTAGCTTATTGTACTTAGTAAATACCTTTTTTTTTTTTTCTGAGATGGAGTCTGGCTGTGTTGCTCAGGCTGTAGTGCAGTGGTGCGATCTTGGCTCACTGCAACCTCTGCCTCCCAGGATCAAGTGATTCTCCTGCCTCAGCCTCCTGAGTAGCTGGGATTACAGGTGCGCACCACTATGCCCGGCTAATTTTTGTATTTTTAGTAGAGGCAGGGTTTTACCATGTTGGTCAGGCTGGTCTTGAACTCCTGACCTCGTGATCTGCCCATCTCGGCCTCCCAAAGTGCTGGGATTACAGGCGTGAGCCACCATGCCTGGTCTATACTTAGTAAATACTTTCTAAGTGGCAAGTTGCAATTCAAATGTCACTTTTTACATGAATCTTTTTTTTTTTTTTTTGAGACGGAGTCTTGCTGTCGCCCAGGCTGGAGTGCCGTGGCGCCATCTCGGCTCACTGCAACTCCGGCCTCCCAGGTTCACGCGATTCTCTTGCTTCAGCCTCCTGAGTAGCTAGGATTATAGACACCCACCACCATGCTTGGCTAGTTTTTTTGTATTTTTAGTAGAGACAGAGTTTCACCATGTTGGCCAGGCTGACCTCAAGTGACTTGCCTACCTCGGCCTCCCAAAGTGCTAGGATTATAGGCATGAGCCACCGTGCCCGGAATGAATCCTTTCATGACTCCCAGAGGCAGAATTCAACGTATCTACCACTGAATTCACATAGCTCAGAGTTACATTATAAAGTGCTATAAAAATAATGGTTTCTGATCAGGCATGATGGCTCACACCTGAAATCCCAGCACTCTGGGAGGAGTTTGAGACCAGCTTGGGCAACCTTGTCTCTACAAAAGAAAAAAAATTTAATTAAAAAATTAGCTGAGCGTAGTGGCGTGCACCTGTAGTCCCACCTACTGGGGAGGCTGAGGTGGGAGGACTGCTTGAGCCCGGGAGGTTGAGGCTGCAGTGAGCCATGATCACGCCACTGTACTCTAGCCTGTGTAACAGAATGAGAGTCTGTCTCAAAGAAAAAAAAAATAGTTTTCGTTAATATTGTGGTGTAATATTTTTATAGCAAACAACAGAAAAATCATCTTGAAATATCTCTTTTTTTTTTTTTTTGAGACGGAGTTTCTCTGTCGCCCAGGTTGGAGTGCAGTGGCGCGATCTCGGCTCTCTGCAGGCTCCGCCCCCCGGGGTTCACGCCATTCTCCTGCCTCAGCCTCTGGAGTAGCTGGGACTACAGGCGCCCACCACCTCGCCCGGCTGATTTTTTGTATTTTTAGTAGAGACGGGGTTTCACCGTGTTAGCCAGGATGGTCTCGATCTCCTGACCTCGTGATCCACCCGCCTCGGCCTCCCAAAGTGCTGGGATTACAGGCGTGAGCCACTGCGCCCGGCCTCGAAATATCTTAAACAATTAAGGGAATTTAGTCATCAGCTGAAAATTCAGGCAAAGCTTTGTCCTCAGTGTTAAGGCTCAATGATGTTACCAAAGACCTGGTTTCTTTCCATTTCTCCTTCTGAAATATTTGATATCCCTAAATTTGTGTGTGTGTGTGTGTGTGTGTGTGTGTGTGTGTGTGTGTGTGTGTGTGTGTGTTGGAGACAGAGTCTCCCGCTGTCGCCCAGGCTGGAGTGCAATGGCGCAATCTCAGCTCACTGCAACATCCGCCTTCGGCGTTCAAGCAATTCTTCTGCCTCAGCCTCCTGAGTAGCTGGGATTACAGGCACCCACCCCGCACCCAGCTAATTTCTGTATTTTTAGTAGAGACAAGTTTTCACCATGTTGGCCAGGCTGGTTTCGAACTCTTGACTTCAGGTGATCCACCTGTCTCGGCCTCCCAAAGTGCTGGGATTACAGGCGTGAGCCACCACGCCCGGCGCCTAAATTTGTTCTTTTGTGACGTCAGTATGGTTACAGCAGCTTCTAGAAGGGCTATCTGTGTTTTCTTCACCTCAAATAGGAAGATAATATCTCTCAAGGAAACTCCTTCAGAATAACAAGAAAGTATGCTTTCCAGAAGCCCCAGCAAAGGTCTTTTTATATCTCACTGGCCTGAATTAAGGTCACCTGTTCATCACTGATCTAGTCAATGTCTATGGGGATAAGCGTGTGCCGGGCTTAAGCCAAGTTACCCCTGGATGTAAGAGTGGAGTCAGCTTCCTTATGTGGTTACACATAAGAGAATACGCATCCTGTTACTAAGAGGAAAGAGAAAGACTGTTGGGCAGTCAAAACCAACAAAAATTCACTGCATGATGCTGACCACATTCAACTACTTCTGTATTAATACTTTGGTTAGTACACTAATGAAAATTTCTGTATAAATTAATATTCACACAAAAACTTGTACATGAACATTCATGGCATCAATATTTTTTGTTTGTGTGTCCATTTTTTAACTCAAAGACTTTGTTTTATTACAGTGCATAGACTGGGATCGATGGGAAGATGTAGATGTCGTGGGCAACCATGGTTAGCATCGTTAGCCCATCCCCATCGTCATGAATGTATCAAAGATGCCTCTACTCTGCATCATGGTTTTCCCAATGCCGCCCATCACCTCCTGATCCTGCATCCCAATCCTGAGACAGAGGGTGCTGAGGAGCACCGTGGCCACCATGGCCACTGTTCAACCCATTATCAAAGCCTATCTCCATGCAGTCAAAGCAGCCTGGCTGAGACTGTCCCTAGGGACCCACAACCACTGGCATCTCGCTCTCAGCCTTGGTCGCTCAGCTCTCCATAGCATTGAATTCATAATAGCCAAAAAGTGGAAACAATTCTAGGGTCCATCAGCTGATGGATAAACAAAATGTGACATAGCCACAAAATGGAATATTATTCAGCAATAAAAACGAGTGAAATACTGATACCTGCTATAACATGCATGGAACTGAAAACATTATGCTAAGTGAAAGAAGCCAGTCACACCAGGCCACAAATTGTGTGACTTATTTTATATAAAATATGTACAAAGTAGATTAGTGATCACCAGAGGCTAAAGGAATAGGGTTTAGGGCATGACTGCTAATGAGTAGAGGGTTTTCTTTGGGGGTGAAAGAATGTGCTGGAATTAGGTAGTGGTGTGAATATACTCAAATCACTGGATTGTGCACTTTATTTTATTTATTTATTTTTGAGACAGAGTCCCAGTGAGTTGCCCAGGCTGGAGTACAGTGGCGTGCTATTGGCTCACTGCAACCTCTGCCTCCTGGGTTCAAGTGATTCTCGTGCCTCAGCCTCCCAAGTAGCTGGGATTACAGGCATGTGCCACCATGTCCGGCAAATTTTTGCATTTTTAGTAGAGACAGGATTTTCCACGTTGGTCAAGCTGGTCTCAAACTCGTGGCCTCAAGTGATCTGCCTGCCTCAACCTCCCAAAGTGGTGGGATTACAGGCATGAGCCACTGCGACTGGCCCTCTTTTTTCTTTTTTCTTTTTTTTTTTTTGAGACGGAGTTTCGCTCTTGTTGCCCAGGTTGGGGTGCAATGGCGCAATCTTGGCTTACCGCAACCTCTGCCTCCCAGGTTCAAGCCATTCTCCTGCCTCAGCCTCCCAAGTAGCTGGGATTACAGGCATGTGCCACCATGCCTGGATAATTGTTTTCGTATTTGTAGTAGAGACGGGGTTTCTCCATGTTGGTCAGGCTGGTCTCAAACTCCCGACCTCAGGTGATCCGCCAGGCTTGGCCTCCCAAAGGGCTGGAATTACAGGAGTGAGCCACCACGCCAGGCCTATTGTCGTTTTTTGGAGACAGAGTCTTGCTCTGTTGCCTAGACTGGAGTGCAGTAGCACGATCTTGGCTCACTGCAACCTCTGACTCCTGGGTTCAAGTGATTCTCCTGCTTCAGCCTCCCCAGTACCCACCATCACACCCATCTAATTTTTGTATTTTTTGTAAGGATGGCATTTCACCGTGTTGGCCAGGCTGGTCTCGAACTGCTGACCTCAACTAATCCGCCCGACTCAGTCTCCCAAAGTGCTAGAATTACAGGCGTGAGCTACCACGCCCGGCCTAAAGAACATTTATTGATCACACTACTGGTTAAGTGGTGCAAAAGAAACACACAACTTTTTATCTACACAGTTCTATAATTTTTATGAAAATCAGGGACCTTGAACATACATCATGTTTAATAAGGAATCAAAGCAATTGCTAACAAATTCAGAGCATTCCTCTGGACTCCTTCAACCGGTTCTAACAGTTGCTCTCCAAGGTAGAGATGGCAAAATGTTGTGATTACCAAGGAGCCACCTTTGAGAAAGATTAAGAGGGCAGTGTGGCCAGATAGGCCATCAGCAATACATTTCATCAGAATAAGGGAAGAGGATGCATCTGTTTAACCATATTCCCAAAAAAGTAGAGACTGGAAAGAAAAACAGAGAGAAAGCCAATAGTGTTAGCAGCTCTTTCAGGGGGAACAAAAAGAGAAGATGAAGTGTGACCAAGTGTACAAAGCTGGAAGGATGCAAGAAAAAATTGCCATCTAGTAGTTGCTTCAGCTCTTTTTTTTTTTTTTTTTTACATATTTCAACTGTTTTATTTGCTTTCTGGGGTGTCAAATGTGAGCGCTCTCAGGGTCCAGCCCCAAGCAGTGTCCAGCAGATTCTTCTCCGCCCAAGGGTCCTGGACATGGAGGTTTCAGACAAAAGGCACTGGCTGGAGCTCTGGAAGTCAGGCAGAAGCCACCCTGAAGCTGGGGGTCTCAAGTCTGCCTTTGGGGAGAGAAAATACATTCACTTTGGCAGGATTGGTTTTTCACTTTTGGATGAGGTCAGGGTCTGAGTCCTCCCAGCTCTCCTTGTCTTGCAATGTGTTCTGCAGATCCTGGTGGCATTTCTGCAACTCCTGGAACCTGGAGACATATGGATCAGAGTGCTCATCCAAGGCAGGAACCCCAGAAGGTTCTCCCCGGGCAAAGGCAGGGCGCTCCACCCTCCAGGGTACCTCTGACAACATCAGTAATATCAGCAGCATCTGAGAGCAACGCCATGGCACAGGTCCTGGCCTGCGCGTGATGGTCCTGGTGCTGGTTGCTATCTAGTTGCTTCAACTTTAATGTGAATATATCCACTGTCTCTAGAGAAGGACCAGTAACCTAAAACTAAAGGAGAAACTAAATAAAAAGAATAATACAAGTTTACCAAAGACTAAATCACAAAGTGGATTTCCTTTTTTCCTAAATTAGCAATAGTGAGAAATGGCCGGGCGCAGTGGCTCACGCCTGTAATCCCAGCACTTTGGGAGGCCAAGGCGGGCGGATAAGAGGTCAGGAGATCGAGACCATCCTGGCCAACACGGTGAAACCCTGTCTCTACTAAAAATACAAAAAATTATCCGGGCGTGGTGGCAGGCACCTGTAGTCCCAGCTACTCGGGAGGCTGAGGCAGGAGAATGGCATGAAACTGGGAGGCGGAGCTTGCAGTGAGCCAAGATCGCAGTGAGCCACTGCACTCCAGCCTGGGCGACAGAGCAAGACTCTGTCTCAAAAAAAAAAAAAAAAAAAGCAACAGTGAGAAACTTCCAGTGTTCCAAAAGTACTAATTTAAACCATTTCTTTAATCCTTTGAAAGGCTTCTTTTTCACTAGTTGCTGCCGTTATCTCCCAGAAACATTAGTGACAACCCATGTGACTTTAATATAATTTCTCAAGGTCTGCATGGGAATTTTCAGTGTATTGTGTTCAAGAAACTCACCTGCTCCAACGCAATATTTGTAGCGAACTATAGAAATGATCCCTGAGGCCAGGTGTGGTGGCTCACATCTGTAATCCCCGCAGTTTGGGAGGCTGAGGTGGGCAGATCACTTGAGGTCAGGAGTTCAAGACCAGCCTGGCCAACATGGTAAAACCCCATCTCTACTAAAAATACAAAAATGAGCTGGGCATGGTGGTGGGCACCTGTAGTCTCAGCTACTCAGGAGGCTGAGGCATGAGAATCACTTGAACCTGGGAGGCGGAGGTGGTTGCAGTGAGCCAAGGTTGTGCCACTGCACTCCAGCCTGGGCGATAGAGCAAGACTCAGTCTCGAAAACAAAGAAGAAATGATCCCTGAAAGTATAGTCTTCAAACCAATATTTGTATTTTTGTACACAGAAAAAAAGTTTTGAAGCTTGGGGGTGGGCTAAAGAAAAGTGAAAATAGACAATACACTTTTTTTTTTTTTTTTTCTGAGACAGGGTCTTGCTCTGTCACCCAGGTTGAAGTGCAGCGGTGTGATCATAGCTCACTGCAGCCTCAACTTCCTGGGCTCAAGCAATCTGTTCACCTCCGATTTCTGAGTAGCTGGGACTACAGGCACACACCACCACACCCAGCTAATTTTTGTAGTTTTTGTACAGACAGGGTCTCATTATGTTATCCAAGCTGTAATACTTTTTTTTGTTTTTTTGAGCTCGTTCTGTCACCCAGGCTGGAGTACACTGGCGCGATCTCGGCTCACTGCAACCTCCACCTCCCTGGTTCAAGCAATTCCCCTGCCTCAGCCTCCTGAGTAGCTGGGATTACAGGTGCACGCCACCATGCCCGGCTAATTGTTTTTGTATTTTTTTTTTTTTGAAACGGAGTTTTGCTCTCGTTGCCTCGTTGCCTAGGCTAGTGGTGCAATCTCGGCTCACTGCAACCTCCACCTTCCGGTTTCAAGAGATTCTCCTGCCTCAGCCTCCCAAGTAGCTGGGATTACAGGCGCCCACCACCACGCCCAGCTAATTTTTTTGTATTTTTAGTAGAGACGGGGTTTCACCATGTTGGTCAGGCTGGTCTCGAACTGCTGACCTCGTGATCCGCCCGTCTCGGCCTCCCAAAGTGCTGGGATTACAGGTGTGAGCCACCGCACCTGGCCCTTTTTTTGTATTTTTAATAGAGACGGGGTTTCACCATGTTGGCCAGACTAGTCTTGAACTCCTGACCTCAGGCAATCTACCCGCCTCGGCCTCCTAAAGTGCTAGGATTACAGGCATGAGCCACCACACCCGGCCTGTAATAAATTTTTAAAGGCCTCTTTGGCAAATGTTTGGTAGATGAACAAACGGCTAGCAGTGAAGAATTGGGAGGGATATCAGGGACAGAGCAAGTGGCTGATTACCCTTTGAGCACACTCTTTTTTTTTTTTTTTTTTTGAGACAGGGTCTTACATTGTCACCCAGGATGGAGTGCAGTGGCACAATCTCGGCTCACTGTAGTCTTGATCTCCCAAGTTCAGGTGATCCCCTGCCTCAGCCTGCCCCCTAGTAGCTGGGACTACTGGTGTGAGCCACCACACCCGGTTAATTTTTGTAATTTTTTCTTTCTTTTTTTGAGACAGAGTCTTGCTCTGTCGCCCAGGCTGGAGTGCAATGGCATGATCTCAGCTCACTGCAACCTCCGCCCCCCAGGTTCAAGGGATTCTCGTGCCTCAGCCTCCCAAGTAGCTGGGTCTACAGTCATGTGCCACCACACCCAGATAATTTTTGTATTTTTAGTAGAGACGGGGTTTTGTCATGTTGGCCAGGCTGGTCTCGAACTTCTGGCCTCAAATGATCTGCCCGCCTCGGCCTCCCAAAGTGCTAGGATTACCCTACCAGCCAAATTTTTGTACTTTTTGTAGAGATGAGATTTCACTATGTTCCCCAGGCTGGTCTTGAACTCCAGAGCTTAAGCATCCCAAAGTGCTAGGGTTACAGGTGTGAATCACTGAGCCTGGCCTGAGCACATTCTTTATTGAACAAGTGGCCACTTATATAGTATTTTTGCCAAAAATATTTACCTTTAATTATAAAGAAATAATCAGATCATTTTGTAGTTCATAAGCATGATGATTGGGCATTCACATGGATGTGTGAAATGTGCCATCCACAAACATTGTTATGATGTTGGCACATTACCTGTCTGACATGAAAAAGAGGAAAAAGGGCTGGGCGCAGTGGCTCACGCCTGTAATCCCAGCACTTTGGGAGGCTGAGGCGGGCAGATCACGAGGTCAGGAGTTCGAGACCAGCCTGGCCAAGATGGTGAAACCCCATCTCTACTAAAAATACAAAAATTAGCCAGGTGTGGTGGCAGGCGCCTGTAATCCCAGCTACTTGGGAGGCTGAGGCAGGAGAATCGCTTGAACCCGGGAGGCGGAGGTTGCAGTGAGCCCAGGCAATGCCATTGCACTCCAGCCTAGGCAACAGAGTGAGACTCTGTCTCAAAAAAACAAAAACAAAAAACAAGGTAATAGTGTTTTTAAAACAATGTAAATATTATAAGCAGTAATCAGACAAAACTAATTCAAAGCTGTAGCTGAACTCTTTGCTTTCAAAGTTGAAAAGGAAATGAAAGCAATTTTTTGCAGGTAAATCAGTAAAATAAATACTATGGAAATGAGGAAAACATGGACTAATCAGTTCAATTCTGTAATGATATGTGACCAAATGGCATCTATGCAAGTGACAAATCACAAAATAAACCAACTAAAGAATAATCTTCAAATGTACTTTTAGTTCTTAGCTGCAAAGATGCTGGTCTGCATTCATGTGCATTGCTAATTTAAGAAAGAGAGCCTGGGCCAGGTGCGGTGGCTCACACCTGTAATCCCAGCGCTCTGGGAGCCCAGGGCTGGCATATCACCTGAGGTTGAGACTTTGAGACCAGCCTGACCAACATGGAGAAACCCCGTCTCTACTACAAATACAAAAACAATTATCCAGGCATGGTGGCGCATGCCTGTAATCCCAGCTACTTGGGAGGCTGAGGCAGGAGAATGGCTTGAACCTGGGAGGCAGAGGTTGCGGTAAGCCAAGATTGCACCATTGCACCCCAACCTGGGCAACAAGAGCGAAACTCCGTCTCAAAAAAAAAAAGAAAAAAAAAGAGGGCCAGTCGCGGTGGCTCACGCCTGTAATCCCACCACTTTGGGAGGTTGAGGCAGGCAGATCACTTGAGGCCACGAGTTTGAGACCAGCTTGACCAACATGGAAAATCCTGTCTCTACTAAAAATGCAAAAATTCGCCGGACATGGTGGCACATGCCTGTAATCCCAGCTACTTGGGAGGCTGAGGCACGAGAATCACTTGAACCCAGGAGGCAGAGGTTGCAGTGAGCCAATAGCACGCCACTGTACTCCAGCCTGGGCAACTCACTGGGACTCTGTCTCAAAAATAAATAAATAAAATAAAGTGCACAATCCAGTGATTTGAGTATATTCACACCACTACCTAATTCCAGCACATTCTTTCACCCCCAAAGAAAACCCTCTACTCATTAGCAGTCATGCCCTAAACCCTATTCCTTTAGCCTCTGGTGATCACTAATCTACTTTGTACATATTTTATATAAAATAAGTCACACAATTTGTGGCCTGGTGTGACTGGCTTCTTTCACTTAGCATAATGTTTTCAGTTCCATGCATGTTATAGCAGGTATCAGTATTTCACTCGTTTTTATTGCTGAATAATATTCCATTTTGTGGCTATGTCACATTTTGTTTATCCATCAGCTGATGGACCCTAGAATTGTTTCCACTTTTTGGCTATTATGAATTCAATGCTATGGAGAGCTGAGCGACCAAGGCTGAGAGCGAGATGCCAGTGGTTGTGGGTCCCTAGGGACAGTCTCAGCCAGGCTGCTTTGACTGCATGGAGATAGGCTTTGATAATGGGTTGAACAGTGGCCATGGTGGCCACGGTGCTCCTCAGCACCCTCTGTCTCAGGATTGGGATGCAGGATCAGGAGGTGATGGGCGGCATTGGGAAAACCATGATGCAGAGTAGAGGCATCTTTGATACATTCATGACGATGGGGATGGGCTAACGATGCTAACCATGGTTGCCCACGACATCTACATCTTCCCATCGATCCCAGTCTATGTACTGTAATAAAACAAAGTCTTTGAGTTAAAAAATGGACACACAAACAAAAAATACTGATGCCATGAATGTTCATGTACAAGTTTTTGTGTGAACATTAATTTATACAGAAATTTTCATTAGTGTACTAATCAAGGTATTAATACAGAAGTAGTTGAATGTGGTCAGCATCATGCAGTGGATTTTTGTTGGTTTTGACTGCCCAACAGTCTTTCTCTTTCCTCTTAGTAACAGGATGCGTATTCTCTTACGTGTAACCACATAAGGAAGCTGACTCCACTCTTACATCCAGGGGTAACTTGGCTTAAGCCCGGCACACGCTTATCCCCATAGACATTGACTAGATCAGTGATGAACAGGTGACCTTAATTCAGGCCAGTGAGATATAAAAAGACCTTTGCTGGGGCTTCTGGAAAGCATACTTTCTTGTTATTCTGAAGGAGTTTCCTTGAGAGATATTATCTTCCTATTTGAGGTGAAGAAAACACAGATGGCCCTTCTAGAAGCTGCTGTAATCATACTGACGTCACAAAAGAACAAATCTAGGTGCTGGGCACAGTGGCTCACGCCTGTAATCCCAGCACTTTGGGAGGCCAAGGCGGGTGGATCACGAGGTCAGGAGTCCAAGACCAGCCTGGCCAAGATGGTGAAACCCCGTCTCTACTAAAAATACAAAAATTAGCTGGCCGCAGTGGTGGGCACATGTAATCCCAGCTACTCAGGAGGCTAAGGCAGGAGAATCGCTTGAACACCAAAGGCAGAGGTTGCAGTGAGCTAAGATTGCGCCATTGCACTCCAGCCTGGGCGACAGAGCGAGACTCTGTCTCCAAAACACACACACACACACACACACACACACACACACACACACAGGAATATCAAATATTTCAGAAGGAGAAATGGAAAGAAACCAGGTCTTTGGTAACATCATCGAGCCTTAACACTGAGGACAAAGCTTTGCCTGAATTTTCAGCTGATGACTAAATTCTCTTAATTGTTTAAGATAGTTGGAGATGATTTTTCTGTTGCTTGCAATCAAAATATTACACCACATTATTAAAGAAACTTATTTTTTTTTCTTTGAGACAGAATGTCACTCTGTCACACAGGCTAGAGTATAGTAGCATGATCTTGGCTCACTGCAGCCTCAACCTCCCGGGCTCAAGCAATCCTCCCACCTCAGCCTCCCCAGTAGGTGGGGAGTAGGCACCCCAGTAGGCACCCCAGCAGGTGCACGCCACTAAGCTCAGCTAATTTTTTAATTAAATTTTTTTTTCTTTTGTAGAGACAAGATTGCCCAAGCTGGTCTCAAACTCCTGGGCTCAGGAGATTCTCCCACCTTGGCCTCCCAGAGTGCTGGGATTTCAGGTGTGAGCCATCATGCCTGATCAGAAACCATTATTTTTATAGCACTTTGTAATGTAACTCTGAGCTATGTGAATTCAGTGGTAGATACGTTGAATTCTGCCTCTGGGAGTCATGAAAGGATTCATTCCGGGCACGGTGGCTCATGCCTATAATCCTAGCACTTTGGGAGGCCGAGGTAGGCAAGTCACTTGAGGTCAGCCTGGCCAACATGGTGAAACTCTGTCTCTACTAAAAAAAAAAAAAAAAAAAAAAAAAAAAAAACTAGCTGAGCACGGTGGTGGGTGCCTATAATCCCAGCTACTCAAGAGGCTGAAGCAGGAGAATCACGTGAACCTGGGAGGCCAAGGTTTCAGTGAGCTGAGATGGCGCCACGACGGCACTCCAGCCTGGGCGACAGAGCAAGACTCCGTCTCAAAAAAAAAAAAAAAAAAAAAAAGATTCATGTAAAAAGTGACATTTGAATTGCAACTTGCCACTTAGAAAGTATTTACTAAGTATAGGCCAGGCATGGTGGCTCACGCTTGTAATCCCAGCACTTTGGGAGGCCGAGGTGGGCGGATCGCGATATCACGAGTTCAAGACCAACCTGACCAACATGGTAAAACCCCGCCTCTACTAAAAATACGAAAATTAGCCAGGCATAATGGTGTGCACCTGTAATCCCAGCTACTCAGGAGGCTGAAGCAGGAGAATCACTTGAACCTGGGAGGCAGAGGTTGCAGTGAGCCAAGATCGTACCACTGCACTCCAGCCTGAGCGACAGAGCGAGACTCCATCTCAAAAAAAAAAAAAAGTATTCACTAAGTACAATAAGCTAAACAGGCCCGGTGCCATCTGGCTCACGCTTGTAATCCCAGCACTTTGGGAGGCCGAGGTGGGCGGACCACGAGGTCAGGAGATCAAGACCATCCTGGCTAACAGAGTGAAACCTCGTCTCTACTAAAAATACAAAAAAATTAGCCAGGCGTGGTGGCAGGCGCCTGTAATCCCAGGTACTTGAAAGGCTGAGGCAGGAGAATCACTTGAACCTGGGAGGTGGAGGTTGCGGTGAGCTGAGATTGCACCACTGCACTCCAGCCTGGGCAACAGAGCGAGACTCCGTCTCAAAAAAAAAAAAAAAAAAAAGGGGTTATAGGAGGAAGAAAAAGATTAACTAATAAAAGAAACTCAAAGACTATTTCTAGAAAAGCCACATGGCAGAAGGAGGAAAATCAAAAACATTGACCTTTCTCTTTAGAAGTAAAGCCTCCCCCAACCCCAAAATAATAATAATAGTAACAATGATAGGCCGGGTGTGGTGGCTCATGCCTGTCATCCCAGCACTTTGGAAGGCTGAGGTGGGCAGATCACCTGAAGTAGGGAGATCAAGACCGGCCTGGCCAACGTGGTGAGACCCCATCTCTACTAAAAATACAAAAATTAGCTGGGCATGGTGGCGCATGCCTGTAATCCCAGCTACTCGGGAGGCTGAGGCAGGAGAATTGCTTGAACCCCGGAGGCGAAGGTTGCAGCGAGCCAAGATCACACCATTGCATTCCAGCCTGCGCAACAGAGTGAGACTTCGTCTCAAAATAATAATAATAATAATAATAATAATAATAATAAAATAAAATGAAAGAAGTAAAACCTCCCTTGACTTCTTACATCTATCAATCAGTACTTATCCAAACTGTTACCGGAAAGGGGTCCCGATCCAGACCCCAAGAGAGGGTTTTTGGAACTCTCGAAAGAAAGAATTTGAGGTGAGTCCATAGAGTGAAGTGAAAGTAGGTTTAATAAGAAAGTAAAGGAGGCCGGGCGCGGTGGCTCACGCCTGTAATCCCAGCACTTTGGGAAGCCGAGGCGGGAGGATCACGAGATCGCCACCATCCTGGCTAACATGGTGAAACCTCGTCTCTACTAAAAATAGAAAAAATTAGCTGGGCATGGTGGCGGGTGCCTGTAGTTCCAGCTACTCGGAAGGCTGAGGCAGGAGAATGGCGTGAACCCAGGAGGCGGAGCTTGCAGTGAGCCGAGATCGTCACTGCATTCTAGCCTGGGAGACAAGGAGACTCCGTCTTAAAAAAAAAAAGAAAGAAAGAAAGTAAAGGAGTAAAAGAATGGCTACTACATCGGCAGAGAAGCAGCATGGACTGCTCGACTGAGTATACTTATGGTTATTTCTTGATTATGTGCTAAACAAGGGGTGGATTATTCATGAGTTTTTCAGGAAAGGGGTAGAGATTTCCCAGGAACTGAGGGCCCCTCCCCTTTTTAGACCATATAGGGTAACTTCCGAATGTTGCCATGTCATTTATAAACTGTCATGCACTGGTGGGAATGTCTTTTAGCATGCTAATGCATTATGATTAGCATATAATGAGCAGTGAGAACAACCAGAAGTCACTTTCATTGCCATCTTGGTTTCTGGGGGATTTTTGTTTGAGACAGTGTCTCACTCTGTTGCCCAGGCTGGAGTGCAGTGGCACAAACACAGTTCACTGCAGCCTCAACCTCAGGTGATCCTCTCACCTCAGCCTTTTGAGTAGCTGGAATTGTAGGCGGTTGCCACTACACTTGGCTAATATATATAATATATAATATTATATATATTATATATTTTATATATATTTTTATATATTATATATATTTTTATATATTTTATATTTTATATATAATATATTATATATGTTATATATATTATATGTTTTATATATATATAATATATATAATATATATATAAACTTCTTGTAGAGATGGGGTTTTGCTATGTTGCCCAGGCTGGTCTCAAACTCCTGGGCTCAAGCAGTCCACCTGCTTCAGCCTCCCAAAGTGCTAGGATTACAGGCATGAGCCACTACGCCTGGCCACCATCTTGGTTTTTGTGGGGCTTGGCTGGTCTCTTTACATCTTATTTTATCAGCAAGCTCTTTGTGACCTGTATCTTGTGCCGACCTCCTATCTCATCCTATGACTAAGAATGCCTAGCCTCCTGGGAATGCAGCCTAGTAGGTCTCAGCCTTATTTTACCCAGCCCCTATTCAAGATAAAGTCACTCTGGTTCAAATGCCTCTGACATATTTCTCCCCTCCCTTTTACAAGGGGACTCTTAATCCTAAGGGTTTTAGAGGGACAAAAATCCATCTTCCGTAACTTCTTCAGGCTAAACAGGGACAATGATATTCCTGCCTAACTACTAGGGTCTCTTGTATTCAGGGTAGAGAGGAGCTCAGTCAGGAAGCATCAGTATAGTAAGGACCATTCATAACTATGAATTTCGACAAAAGGGGATATCTGGAAGATTAACAAGGATTAAATTTAAGAAAACATTGAGGGGGAGGAGAGGTTGGAGGAAAAAAAGAAAAAAGAAAACATTGAGTAAGCTTATCCTGCATTCCTACACAAAGGGTACAACAGCAATATATTCCACAACAGTAAAGCAAAATAAGAAAAATTATCCCAAGTAAACTAAATAAGAAGGCTTTCCATTAACTGAGCAATTGCTGGAATCAAGCTAATATGGAATCACTAGCTGATTCCAGTACGTGCCCAGAATTAGAATACTGATCCAGATTTTTACACTATCCATCCCTCTTGTTTCTTCTGAGCTGCAGTCAGAGATCACTGGTTGATTGGCAGGAATAACCAGGGTTGGTATAAATTGCAGAAAAAAAACCCTCAAAAACAACTGATGAGACTAGACTCTAATAACAGGTGTAGCATATTTCTTAAAACATAATTTTTTGGGCCGGGCGCGGTGGCTCACGCCTGTAATCCCAGCACTTTGGGAGGCCAAGGCGGGCGGATCACAAGGTCAGGAGATCGAGACCATCCTGGGTAACACGGTGAAACCCCGTCTCTACTACAAATACAAAAAATTAGCCGGGCACGGTGGCAGGGGCCTGTAGTCCCAGCTACTCGGGAGGCTGAGGCAGGAGAATGGCATGAACCAGGGAGGCAGAGTCTGCAGTGAGCCGAGATAGCGCCACTGCAGTCTGGCCTGGGCGAAAGAGTGAGACTCTGTCTCAAAATAATAATAATAATAATAATAATAATAATAATAATTTTTCGGCTGGGCGCAGTGGCTCACACCTGTAATACCAGCACTTTGGGAGGCTGAGGCGGGCGAATCACAAGGTTAAGAGTTCGAGACAAGCCTAGCCAACATGGTGAAACCTCGCCTCTACTAAAAATACAAAAAATTAGCTGGGCGTAGTGACAGGCGCCTGTAATCCCAGCTACTTGGGAGACTGAGGCAGGAGAATCGCTTGAACCCAGGAGGCAGAGATTGCAGTAAGCTGAGATTGTGCCACTGGACTCCAGCCTGGGCGACAGAGTGAGACTCTGTCTCAAAAAATACAAAAAACAAAAAACAAAAAAAAACTACACATAATTTTTCTCTCTCCAGTCCTCATTTTTATTAAAAACAAATCATGATAGGACTAATTTGTTTGCAAAATAAGCTTTAGTCTTATTATACTTGGCCTGATTATTTGCATAAAGCACAGCAAGAATAATAATTTCCCATATAGGCTCATTTGTAAATTGGCTTTGATGGAACTTTGTTCCATGAGAAATCTCAGGTAAGAATTTTTTTTTTTTTTTTTTTGAGACAGAGTTTCGCTCTTGTTGCCCAGGCTGGAGTGCAATGGTGCAATCTCGGCTCACCTAAACCTCCACCTCCCGGGTTCAAGTGATTCTCCTGTCTCAGCCTTTCAAGTAGCTGGGATTACAGGCATGTGCCACCATGCCTGGCTAATTTTTTTGTATTTTTAGTAGAAACGGGGTTTCACCGTGTTAGCCAGGATGGTCTCGATCTCCCGACCTCAGATGATCCACCTGCCTCAGCCTCCCAAAGTGCTGGGATTACAGGCATGAGCCACCATGCCTGGCAAGATAAGACTTTTTAAAGCCTTAAGCTCGGCCATGGGTTTGTGCCATCAAATACCTATATGAGTAAGGTAAATTCCTCTCCTCTTGAGGTCCAAAGATAACATGGGGTTCCTAGGCTTGTCAGAACGTGACATTCTTTACTTATCATCATAGGTCAGGAACCCTGTAACCCTGCACAGGGCCTGCGTAGACAAGGTATGAGAACATTTTTTTCCCCAAGTGTTTTTTTTTTTGGAGACAGAGTCTTGCTCTGTCACCCAGGCTGCAGTGCAGTGGCATGATCCCGGCTCACTGCAACCTCCGTGGCCCAGGTTCAAGCAAATCTCCTGCCTTAGCCTCCTTAGTAGCTGGGATTACAGGCATGCGCCACCATGCCTGCCTAATTTTTGTATTTTTAGTAGAGGTGGAATTTCACAATGTTGGCCAGCCTGGTCTTGAACTCCTGACTTCAGGTGATCCACTCACCTCAGCCTCCCAAAGTGTTGGGATTACAGGCGTGAGCCACCGTGCCTAGCCCCCAAGGGTTTTTTGTTTGTTTGTTTTTTGAGACGGAGTCTCACTCTGTCGCCCAGGCTGGAGTGCAGTGGCGCGATCTCGGCTCACTGCAAGCTCCGCCTCCTGGGTTCACGCCATTCTCCTGCCTCAGCCTCCTGAGTAGCTGGGACTACAGGCACCTGCCACCACGCCTGGCTAATTTTTTGTATTTTTAGTAGAGACGGGGTTTCACCATGTTGGCCAAGATGGTCTTGATTTCCTGACCTCGTGATCTGCCCACGTCGGCCTCCCAAAGTGCTGGGATTACAGGCATGAGCCACCGCGCCCAGCTCCCCCAAGGGGATTTTATTAGCTCTATAAGTCAACTTCAATTCCTTAAAACAGTCTGTTTGTACCTGAAAGCATGCCATTTCAGTCAAAGCCTTGATAAATTAATGAGTATCTCCAACTGTGTTCTGTTACAAAAGACAGATTTTTTTTTTTTTTTTTTTTTGAGATAGTCTTGCTCTGTCACCCAGGCTGGAGTGCAGTGGCACGATCTCAGCTCACTGCAACTTCTGCCTCCCGGGTTCAAGTGATTCTTCTGCCTCAGCCTCCAGAGTAGCTGGGATTACAGGCACCTGCCACCACACCCAGCTAATTTTTGTATTTTTAGTAGAGATGGGGTTTCACCATGTTTGCCAGGCTGGTCTTGAACTCCTGACCTCAGGTGATCCACCTGCCTCGGCCTCCCAAAGTGCTGGGATTACAGGCATGAGCCACCACGCCCAGCCAAAAGACAGATTCTTATTGCACTTATGCAAATAACTGTATTGCCATAAGTAAGAATACTTACAAACAGTTTCCAAAGTTTGGAGAAACCAGGGAGAAAGGAAGATGCTCCAAATTTTGTTTGTAGGAGTATACTTTAAAAACAATTCAGTTGACTGAGAATAAAAGAACTTTTTTTCTTCAGAAAAATAAGATCCAAGAAGTGAAAAAAGCATAAAAACCTTTTAATATATGCATAGTTTGGATATCTACTTTTAATTAAGCTGACTTAACCAAATCTTTTATTATCAGACTCTAGCTAGGCCAAACAGCCTATATTTCTGGCTTTTGAACTTTACCAAAGGTAACCTCCCAGGTGTTCAGAGAAGAAAAAATTCAAGATGGGAAGTCAGAAGTTGTACATAGAGGGGAAGGAAATCAACAAGTGGCAAAGGTCACACAAATATCAACCAGAAAGTATTTATTCTCTAGGCTGAAAATTTAACCCAGGGTGCCATTGTGAAAAGACAAAACCTTAGCTACTAAGCTACAGCATTAGGCAGTTTCCATTGCTCTTCCCAGACGGAGCCTAGAGCAGTCAATTTTGAGCTTGCAAAGGCTTTTAACTACTCAAGATAATTTTTAGAGCTAACTATGACATGAACTCCAAAATTCCTGTCCTCTGGATGGCGGAAACCAAGAGAAAGTACCACCACGTGGTTACAAGGTCAAGCTCCCAAGGACATAAAACAAGACAAGAGGGAAATTTTATCCAGTTTTTGTTTCAGGGACCTCCAACAAAGTTTGTAACTGACCAGTTTGCCAGGCTGGCTTGAACAGCAGGCTTATGAGGCCCTAAGTCCATGTTCTATCCTAAGGTACTTCTTTTTATGACAGAACAATACAGAAAGATAAATTCATAGCACAAAGCACACCACATTTGCTATAGCTTAAGACTAGCCTCATGAATCTTTAATTAATCAAAAATTTGCAGAGGAGACAATGATTTTTACTGTTCCCACAACCAGTTTGCACAGAGGAGAGGCCAGAAGTCTGACTGGTAAGAAACTCTTACCCTTTTGCCAGCATGCCAGGTTTCTGGGGTTCCCTTTTCCTTTTTTTTTTTCTCTTTTGTGAGATGGAGTCTCACTCTGTCACCCAGGCTGGAGTGCAGTGGCACGGTCTTGGCTCACTGCAACCTCCACCTCCTGGGTTCAAGCGATTCTCCTGCCTCGGCCTCCCAGATAGCTGGGATTACAGGTGCATACCACTATGCCCAGCTAATTTTTGTACTTTTGTACATGTTGGCCAGGCTGGTCTTGAACTCCTGACTTCAACCTGAACCACCACTCCCAGCCGGGTTCCCTTTTCCTGAGTGGCCCTAGCAACCCTGCTTGCTGCACCATAGCCCTGGGGGCCTAGCCACAATACAAAGGAAAATCATCGCTGGGCACAGTGGCTCACGCCTATAATCCCAGCACTTTGGGAGGCTGAGGCGGGCGGATCATGAGGTCAGGAGTTCCAGGCCAGCCTGGCCAACTTAGTGAAACCTGGTCTCTACTAAAAATACAAAAATTAGCCAGGCATGGTGGCGCATGCCTGTAGTCCCAGCTAGTCGGGAGGCTGAGGCAGGAGAATTGCTTGAATGAGGAAGGTGGAGGTTGTCGTGAGCCAAGATCGCGCCACTGCACTGCAGCCTGGGCAACAGAGTGAGCCTCTGTCTCAAAAAGAAAGAAAGAAAGAAAGAAAATCATCGTTTTCCATTTCACGGAACCACAGGCAAAAGCCTCTCAATTTTGCAAGATGCCACCCAACTAGCTGCATGGGGGAACCAAATTAACCTTTCCCATTCCAACCAGAGCAAAATACGTGTCACAAAACATAGACATTAGCCATTCCCCTTAGTGGCCAATATTTAACTGGCAAAGCTCAAACTTGCCTCCGGTTGGGCCCTGTCATCTTTGATCCACTCAGTATGGGGTGGAATGACCTCCAACCAGGAATTTCAACATGTGGTCTCTGGGCAAGAAGGAAGAATAGACAGTTGCCCTGAGTACAGAAAAGACAGGAAAGGGAAAGGAGTCAGAGAGAAAGAGAAGCATTGCCTGCAGTGGGGTGGGGAAGGCTAGGAGCTAGGGAGGCCAGAGAAAGGCCCACCCATTGCAGCGACACTGAATCAAAAGCTCAGGTGGCTGCTTGTGAGTCAGGAAGGGATTTTTTTTTTTCCAGCAGTCCCATCAGCTCTCAAGTTTCTCCCTTTGGGGAGAAAAAAAGCTCCCCATATCCCGTGATTCTATACTTGCCTAATCCTGTCACCCACAGCCATCAGCAAAGATTGCAAGGCAGATTAATCCAAACAGAATGGTGGTTAACATCCCATAGTGCCAAATCCACTTTTAACCAAGAGGGACTTTACCGAGGGAGGCCTTGTTTTTTTATAAATTGAGACGAGGTCTCACTATGTTGCCCAGGCTGGTCTCAAACTCCTGAGCTCAAGTGATTCTCCTGCCTCAACCTCCTAAAGTGCTGGGATTACAGGTGTGAGCCACCGCACCCAGCCTAACCCCATAAATCTTAGGAAGGACTCTAACCTTCCTAAGTTGGGAGGCTGAGGTGGGAGGATCACCTGAGCCCAGGACGTCAAGGCTACAGTGAGCCATCATCACACTGCTACACTCTAGCCTAGGCAACAGGGTGAGACTGCATCATAAATAAATAAATAAATAAATAATCTAAGGTCCAGATAGAATGTGGGTGCTGAGAGGCTGGGCGAAGTGGCTCACACCTGTAATCCCAGCACTTTGGGAGGCCGAGACGGGTGGATCATGAGGTCAGGAGTTCAAGACCAGCCTGGCCAAAATGGTGAAACCCCATCTCTACTAAAAATACAAAAATTAGCCAGGTGTGGTGGCGGGCACCTGTAATCCCAGCTACTCAGGAGGCTGAGGCAGGAGAATTGCTTGAACCCAGGAGGTGGAGGTTGCAGTGAGCCAAGATCGTGCCATTACACTCCAGCCTGGGCCACAGAGCAAGACTCCGTCTCAAAAAAAAAAAAAAGAAAGAAAGAAAAAGAAAGAAAAGAAGGCTCCCAGGTGGTGAAAGCTAATGTAAGCCAAGATGGAAATTTGGAGGAATCTGAAGCCTAGCAAGAATCTCATAGCGATTGTCAGCATAGAAGAACAGCCAAGGTAGGGAAAGAAAACTGAGAAGTTGGAGAATAAAGAGCAGGTGACTCTTGAGCTGTCTTTAAGTGCTTCTACTAATGAAGTAAGAGAAGAGAAAATATGCCACTACTTCGTAATATCATTACTGATATTAGGTTGAACCATATGAAATTGTTGATATTCGATTGCTATGAAAATGACAATTTCATATGGTCTAACTTAATATTTTACATTATCTCATTTGGAGACAAGGAGTGCTCACACTGACGACAATTAGCAGTTAGCCGATTTATGTGGAAAATGATAGATTTGATTTCTTAATTTTTTGACAAAGCTGATATTACTCAGTTAACCACTAAAACTATTAAGTTCTATTATTGTGATTAGATTAAACCCTTTAAGAATGTAATTTTGATGCAACCATAAAAAAGAACATGATCCTGTCTTTTGCAGGAACATGGATGGAGGTGGAGGCTATTATCCTCAGCAAACGAATGCAGGAACAGAAAACCAGACCGCATATTCTCACTTATAAGTGGGAGCTAAATGATGAGAACTTATGAACACAAAGAAGGAAACAAGAGATACTGGGGTCTATTTGAGGGTGGAGGGTGGGAGGAGGGAGAAGAGCAGAAAAGATAACTATTGGGTACTGGGTTTAAGCAGAAAAGATAACTATTGGGTACTGGTTTCATCCTGGGTGATGAAATAATCTCTACAACAAACCCCCATGACATGAGTTTACCGATGTAACTGATATTTACATGTATCCCCAAATCTAAAATAAAAGTTTAAAAAAAGAATATAATTCTGAGATGCTATATTCTCCTTTTTTTCAGTATATTATGCCTTAGTTGTCTACCAATTAAGGAAACTGAGTCATAGAATCACAGAAATGAAAACCATGCAATTATCTTTTTATTTTATTTTATTTATTTTTTGAAATGGAGTCTCTCTGTGTCGCCCAGGCTGGAATGCAGTGGCACGATCTCGGCTCACTGAAACCTCTGCCTCCCAGGTTCAAGCAATTCTCCTGCCTCAGCCTCCCAGGTAGCTGGGACTACAGGTGCACACCACCACGCCCAGCTAATTTTTGTAATTTTAGTAGAGATGGAGTTTCACCATGTTGGCCAGGCTGGTCTCGAACGCCTGACCTCAAGTGATCCACCTGCCTCAGCCTTCCAAAGTGCTGGTATTACAGACATGAGCCACTGCACCAGGCCAATTATCTTTAGAGTAGATAATATTTATGAGACCTTGAAATGCAGTGGCTTACAGAAAGAAATTTAAACAATAATACATCATTATATGGGAGAGGGAGTACAAATAATACCATATAAAAGAAACAAACCATATGCAGGAAAAGGCTGGCAATAAGAAAGACATTGAGCCTACAAAAGGTAAAGGATATTCCAAACTCCACAGCTCAAAAACTTCAAACTGATCTTTGCCTAATCACGAAGGAACTGAAAGAAGCATTTAGTTACGTTACTCTGGTTCCCTAATAAAAGGAACTAGCTCTAAGGAACTAAAAAACTAAAAAAGAGAAGTAAAAAGGGGTGGCTCAACCTTTGCCATCCAAAAAAACACCAAAGGATTCAGTTGGTGTTGTAAAACGAGGACTGACTTCTGCAGATCTGGGTTTTGGCCCTAACTCTGCCACTAAATTGTTGTGTGACCTTCAGCAAATCTTCATCTTTCAAAATCTGAATTTTCACCTCTTCAAAATGAAGATGTGGAACAAATGATCTAAAACAATATAATTTCCAACTTAGAGAAAAATTTCAAGAACAGTACAAGAAACTCCCAGAAGTCCTTTATCCAAATTCATAAATTAATTACATTTTGCTCCATTTGCTTTATTATTCTCTCTTTACATACATAGTTATAAATATATGCACATTTTTTCCTGAAATATTTGAGATATATTCGAGACTCATTACCCCTGAGTGTATTTCTTAATAACAAGGTCGGCCGGGCGCGGTGGCTCAAGCCTGTAATCCCAGCACTTTGGGAGGCCGAGGCAGGTGGATCACGAGGTCAGGAGATCGAGACCATCCTGGCTAACACGGTGAAACCCCATCTCTACTAAAAATACAAAAAAATTAGCCAGGCGTGGTGGCGGGCGCCTATAGTCCCAGCTACTCGGGAGGCTGAGGCAGGAGAATGGCGTGAACCTGGGAGGCAGAGCTTGCAGTGAGCTGAGATCGCGCCACTGCACTCCAGCCTGGGTGACAGAGCGAGACTCCGTCTCAAAAAAAAAAACAAAAAAAAAAACAAACAAGGTCATTGTCTTATGTTACCACAGTATAGATATAAAAATCAGGACATTTAACATTGATGTAATACTATCAACTAATTCATAGTCCATATTACATTTCGTTAGTTGTCCTAAAAATATTATTATTTTGATAGAGACAGAGCCTTGTTCTGTTGCCCAGCTGGAATGCAATGGCTGAATCATAGTTCACTGCAACTTCAAACTCCTGGGCTCAAGCAATCCTCTTGCCTGCCAAGTAGCTAGGCCTACAGGCATGTGCCACCACATCAGGCTAATTTATAAATTTTTGTTGTAGAGAGTAGGTCTCACTATATTGCCTAGGCTGGTCTCCAATTCCTGGCCTTGAGAGAGAGCCTCCTGCCTCAGCCTCCCAAAGTGCTGGGGTTATAGGCATGAGCCCTAAAAATATGATATAAGACTATTTTTTTCCTGGTCTGGAATCAAATCCAAGATCACATACTGCCTTTAGCTGTCATGTCTCTTTTGTCTACCTTAATCTGTACTAGTTCCTCAGTCTTTTCTTTCTGTTTTCTGACCTCGACATTTGTGAACAGTACAGGCCAGTTATTCTATAAAAGGCCCTCAGTTTGGGTTGGTCTGAGATTTTCTCGTGATTAGATTCAGCTTGTGCATTTTGGGCAGGGTTACCATTGAAGCAATGTTGTGTCCTCAGTGCTTCTTATTAGGAGGCCCATGGAAGTCAGTTGGTCCTAATATCAGTGATATTAGGTTTCATGACTTGGTTAAAGCAGTGGTAATGAGGTTCCTCCACTATTTTCCCTTGTAACTATTAAGTAACTTATGGACAGATACTTTCCTATGTAAATAACCCTCTCCTTATCAAACTGCCACCCACTAGTTTTAGCATCCACGAATAAGTTTCTTACTCCATCATTCTATCTATATTTACTAGTTATCATCCTATTGTAAGGAAAACCTTGCCCTTTCCCTACATTTATATTATTATTCACCTAGAGGCTGATGATAAAGGAAATGTCTGAATTCCATTATGATAAAGCTGACAATTGCTATCAATTTTTCTATAGGTGTTGGTCTACAATGTGATTTTCCCTCAAGAAATTAAATAGTGCCACTGCTCTCCAGTTCAGTAATACATGAACCACAGCATTTTGACTCTAATGTACATGGGCCATTGTTGTAGGTTATGAATATCAATACAGTAATATACAAAGGTTCTTAAAATTAACCTTGGATTTAATAAGAGGTAACACATTTTCACATATAATTTTTTCATTTTACTTAAGAAAGACAATGTTCTTGGGGTTCTTCCGATTAAAGTTCTGAATTTAAATATTAGAAATAAAATAGGACTGAAAACCCAGTTACATTATCTTATAGCACCAACCCCATAAGAGGTATCAGTTTGCAGACCAGGATGTAACAATGAGGTTGAAGTTGCAGTGAACTCTGGACACAGAGGCAGAAGCTTGGCAGAAATATTTTAAAGGAGCCAAAAGAAACTAAAGCTCATAAGGTCACATCAGAAAGGTAAATTTGAAAAATACAGTTTAAATGCAACGCTTTCTAAATTGGTCAAAAAGTACTTAGGTTTCAGTTATATGTTCAATCACTTGACTGTAAAGTGATTTTCTTTCTTTATTTAATTTTTTTTCTTTTTTTTTGAGATGGAGTCTTGCCCTGTCGCCCAGGCTGGAGTGCAGTGGCGTGATCTCGGCTCACTGCAACCTCCATCTCCCAGGTTCAAGCAATTCTCCTGCTTAAGCCTCCCAAGTAGCTGGAATTACAGGAATGCCCCACTATGCCCAGCCAATTTTTTTGTATTTTTAGTAGAGATGGGGTTTCACCATGCTGGCCAGGCTGGTCTCGAATTCCTGACCTCGTGATCCTCCCGCCTCGGCCTCCCAAAGTACTGGGATTACAGGCATGGGCCACTGCACCCGGACCTTTAATTTTTTTTTTTTTTTTTGAGACGGAGTTTTGCTCTTGTTGCCCAGGCTGGAGTGCAATGGCGCATCTCGGCTCACTGCAACCTCCACCTCCCAGGTTCAAGCGATTCTCCTGTCTCAGCCTCCCGAATAGCTGGGATTACAGATATGTGCCACCATGTTTGGCTAATTTTGCATTTTTAGTAGGGCTAATTTTGTATTTTTAGTAGAGACGGGATTTCTCCATGTTGGTCAGGATGGTGTCGAACTCTTGACCTCAGGTGATCCACCTGCCTCAGCCTCCAAAAGTGCTGGGATTACAGGCGTGAGCCACCGTGCCCGGCCTCTTTATTTAATTTTTATACAGACAGGGTCTCACACTGTTGCCCAGAGTGGAGTGCAGTGGTGTGATCATACCTCACTGCAGCCTCCAACTCCTGGGTGCCAGCAATTCCCATGCCTCAGCCTCCAAAGTAGCTAGGACTACAAGTGAGCACCACCACACCCAGCTGATTTTATTTTTATTTTTATTTTTTTGTAGAGACAGGGTCTTGCTATGTTGCCCAGGATAATCTCAAACTCCTGGGCTCAAGTGACCACCCCCCAACCTTGGCCTCCCAAACAGGGATTACAGGCATGAACTACTGTGCCTGGCCTGTAAAGTGGTTTTCTTTGAGGGGTGAATGGATAAGAGCTTGGGGTCTGCCAGGCACGGTGGCTCGCGCCTATAATTCCAGCACTTTGGGAGGCCGAGGCAGGTGAATCACGTGAGGTCAGGAGTTCGAGAACAGCCTGGCCACCATGGTGAAAAATATCTGTACTAAAAATACAAAAAATTAGCTGGGCGTGGTGGCAGGTGCCTGTGGTCCCAGCTACTCGGGAGGCTGAGGCAGGAGAATGGCGTGAACCCAGGAGGCGGAGCTTGCAGTGAGCTGAGAACAGGCCATTGTACTCCAGCCTGGGCGACAGAGCAAGACCCCGACTCAAAAAAAAAAAAAAAAATTGGCTGGGCGCGGTGGCTCACTTCTGTAATCCTAGCACTTTGGGAGGCCGAGGCGGGCGGATCACCTGAGGTCGGGAGTTCCAGACCAGTCTGACCAACATGGAGAATCCCCATCTCTACTAAAAATACAAAATTAGCCAGGAATGGTGGCGCACGCCTGTAGTCCCAGCTACTCAGGAGGCTGAGGTACCAGGAATGGTGGCGCACGCCTGTAGTCCCAGCTACTCAGGAGGCTGAGGCAGGAGAATCGCTTGAACATGGGAGGCGAAGGTTGCAGTGAGCCGAGATCGTGCCATTGCATTCCAGCCTGTGCAACAAAAGCGAAACTCTGTCTCAAAAAAAAAACAAAAAACAAAAAAATTAGCTGGGCATGGTGGCGGGTGCCTCTAATCCCAGCTGAGGAAGGAAAATTGCTTGAACCCGGGAAGCGGAGGTTGCAGTGACCCGAGATGGCGCGACTGCACTCCAGTCTGGGCAACAAGAGCGAAACTCTTGTCTCAAAAAAAAAAAAGAAAAAAAAAAAAAAGGTTTTGGGCCTGTCAAACCTAAATCAAAGGGTTCTGCCCCCTTCCTACTTTAGGAAAGTTTGAAATCCAGTGTAAACTAGATTTAATACTGGTCTTCCTTAGAACTCCTCATCAAATCTATGTATGTAGGCAAGTGCTTAAATCCAAGACAATTTCATCCTTCCTCAATTAAAAGCTATGTATGTGAACACATATGTAAAGCTAAACAGTACATAATTCCTAAGACTTTACCATCTTTCTTCAGTATTTTAAATCTTAGCCGGGCATGGTGTCTCATGCCTGTGAACCCAACACTTTGAAAGGCCGAGGCAGGAGGATTGCTTGAGGCCAGGGGTTGGAGATCAGCCTGGGCAACATGGCAAACCTCCCCGCAATCTCTCCAAAAAAAAATTTAAAAATTAGCTGGGCATGGGTTATGATTGAGCCACTGTTCTCCAGCCTGGGCAACAAAGAGAGATCCTGTCCCTAAAAAATTAAAAATTAAAAGTTTTTGGAGAGCTGGCCACCCTTACACTTACATTTCTCTTTCCTGCCATTCATTCCTATCATCTTATTTTTTAACATCGGACTGTGTCATCATTCTTCATATTCCTATTACATCACTGCCTACTCCTGTTTCTTTCTATTTGGACAATTCTTAGTTATTTACTGTTCCCATCTCTTCATCTACATATTCAGAACCTGAGCCTGGCGCGGTGGCTCACGCCTGGAATCCCAGCACTTGGGAGGCCGAGGCGGGCGGATCACGAGGTCAGGAGATAGAGACCATCCTGGCTAACACGGTGAAACCGCGTCTCTACTAAAAATACAAAAATTAGCTGGGCGTGGCGGCGTGCGCCTGTAGTCCCAGCTGCTGGGGAGGCTGAGGCAGGAGAATGGCATGAACCCGGGTGGCGGAGCTTGCAGTGAGCCGAGATCGCGCCACTGCACTCCAGCCTGGGCGACAGAGCGAGACTCTGTCTCAAAAAAAAAAAAAAAAAAGAACCTGAGAGCAGCACTTAAGGAGAGAAAAAAGCATTTTGGAAACCTCCAATTAATATATAACTTAAGCGATAAAATAATGGAATATTAAGGCTGGGCACGGTAGCTCACGCCTGTAATCCCAGCACTTTGGGAGAGCGAGGTGGGCCGATCACCTGAGGTCAAGAATTCGAGAACAGCCTGACCAAAATGGCGAAACCCCGTCTCTACTAAAAATACAAAAATTAGCCGGGGCCGTGGTGGCACGCACCTCTAATCCCAGCTACTTGGGAGGCTGAAGCAAGAGAATCGCTTGAACACGGGAGGTGGAGGTTGCAGTGAGCTGGCGCCACTGCACTCCAGCCTGGGTGACAGAGGGAGACTCGGTCTCGAAAAAATAATGAAATACTCTAGACGAAAACAATGAATTTTTACCCATATAAGCCTGTGGTGGAGAAAAGTTTTATCTCTACCACTAGATTGATTACTTTTTAAAAAATTTTTTATAAATAAAACCAACCATATTAACAAAAAGGAAAAGGTATCTTTTATTTTATTATTTATTTATTTATTTATTTTTGAGATGGAGTCTTGCTCTGTCGCCCAGGCTGGAGTGCAGTGGCGTGATCTCGGCTCACTGCAAGCTCCGCCTCCCGGGTTCACACCATTCTCCTGCCTCAGTCTCCCGAGTAGCTGGGACGACAGGCGCCCGCCACCACGCCCAGCTAATTTTTTGTATTTTTAGTAGAGACGGGGTTTCACTGTGTTAGCCAGGATGGTCTCTATCTCCCGACCTCGTGATCTGCTCGCCTCGGCCTCCGAAAGTGCTGGGATTACAGGTGTGAGCCACCGCGCCCGGCCAGGAAAAGCTATCTTTTAAAATTAAAATGGTAGTTTGGTGTTTTTTTGAGGGGTCACATTTCATGAAAATGTTCTCAAACCCTAAGGAACAGTGTTGAGCCGGGACAGCGAATAGGATAATTACAAAATCTAAGAGAAAGCATTACACATCGTGCTTAAAAACGACTTTACGTTTAAAAGATAACCTGTCTCACGTCTATAAACCCCGTATGCCAGCTAAAATCTCTCACTGGCCCTTCTTCTAACGTAAGTCATCGTTACACAGTTGACCTGCGATGTACATTATTTCTATGGCTTTTGCTAACTGGGCTGGTGGTGTTTGGTCAGAAAGCTTGAGGGTCCTAAGAGGAAAGGTTTAGGCGCTGGTTTTCTAAGGTTGCTTAAATTAGAGAAAGTCGAGGGTTTATCCTTCTAGCGGCAGTTACGGTGCTGGATTTCGGGAACTCGAGGAGCCTTTAGGGGTCAGGCCGTCAGAGCCGTGGACCTTAATTTCCCCATCTCTAAAATGGGGAAGGAGGCTGCTCTCTGAGGAAGGCAGGAATACAGGATCATAACCCGCCGCCCAGCCAACGTGAGAGCAGCCATCCAGTAAGAGCAAGGAGGCGGCGGGGCGGAGAGGAGCGAGAACAAGGCAGTTTGCAGGAAGTGCTTCAGGGTTGGGAGGGGAGACTGAGGGCGGAGGCGGGAATGTGAAAGCTGAGCTCTAGCTGCGGAGTTTGTACCGAAGCTCAGGAAAGGCGGGTCGAAAAAACTGGGGTGAAGGGGTTATTCAGTGGATGGGCAAGACGGGCCGCCTCTCCCGAAGAGAGAGAGCTGGATGCGGGGAAGGCTCTGAGGTGGCGGCTGAGGAACGTGGGGGAAAGGGGGAGGTGAACGCGCTCAGAAAAGGGGCGGGAAGCGCGCGCCCAGCACCTCTAGTCCGCAGACCCGGGTTTCTGACCGCGCGCTCAGCGTCGACGGTGCGGACGCTAGAACGGCAGCCGCGCGGCCCTCCTCGCCCCGCCGGGATCTGAGAGGCCCGCAGCGTGTCCCTCGAAGTGGCGGGCGGGCTCCTGTCTCCTCGGCCGGGAGTTAGGAAGCCGAGGAAGGGAACACGTTGTTCTCTTTTGCTCTTTTCGTTCCCCTCCCCCACGAAGAATAGGGCAGGAGGCCCTGGGCGTGTCGGAGCGAGTCCGCTCCGGGTTTTCCCGCCCACTTCAACTCTGTGAGCCCTTCGACCGCGCGGCGCTTCACTCCACCGGGCGCGCCCGAGCCCTCCGCCGGAACTCGTTCCGCCTCCCCCACACATCCTTCTCCAGGAATGGAAGTGGGCGCTCAGACCTAACTACCTGAGATCCTGCTGGCTGGGCCGCTACCCCTTATCTCTTCGGGGTTCCAACTCCGACAGCCCCTCGCAACTAGAATTCCCCTCTAACAAGGTCGCTCTGAGGGACTACTTGATGTCTCCGTGCGCTCGGTGGTGCGGCCGCGCTCTGAGCTCTTCCTGGAAACTCCCGCCTCGGGGAGCCAGGAGAGCCGGGCCGGGGGGAGGGGTGCGGAGGGGACGCACACGCCCCCTGTCCCGCGGGAGGGCTCCGCGCCCCCGCCCTTCTCTCCGCGGATGGGAGGGAGGGCGCGAGCGGGGGAGGGGAGGGAGTGGGGCGCGGAAACGGAGGGGGGGCGGCTTCCCGCCCCATCCCCCGCCTCTAGAACAACGGGTTCCCGCTGCTGCCCCCTGCCGCCCACAGTGCTCTGCGCCCCTGCGGGGCTCCGAGAGGGGCGTCGGGGGCGCAGCTGCCGCCGGGGCCGTGGGAACCAGAGCTGAGAGACACAAGAACTGACCGGTTTCCTGTCAGAAAACTTCCAGTTACTTTAGAGAAGCACGTTGGGCCAACTTGTCCCAGTCTGCGTGGGCCACATTTCACTCGCCTAGTGACCTCCCTTCTACTTTAAAACAACGGGGAGTAATCTTGGGGGAAACGGTCGGTTGGTAAAACGAAGAGCAACAAACGCCACGCTGCTCTGCTCTGAGCCAAATGAATTAAAGTACTGATTGTGGAGAATTTTTAAAGGGCTACCAACAGAAGGAACTCGGGTTTTTCGAGTGACAGCTTTTCCCCCGTCTGTACACTAAGATTTAAGTCACGAGAGTTTTTTACAGCAGTACATTCGCTTGTAAGCTTACTTGAGTTTGTGATTTTTAAAAACCTCATGAACTTTTCAAAAGAGAGGCGTTTGTTTCTGAATCCAACAGGAAAAACACGAATTCGAAAGAGCCTGAAAAAGTTCAATTAGAATAGCAGCCACATTTCAACATTTCCCAGATTTTGCAATATTAAACTGTGAGGGTTTGTGCCAAATGTTAAGGCAAGAATTCTTACTGCCAAATTACAAATTTCTCAAAATGAGGGGTGATCAACCAAATTGCTGCCAGACCCCATAAACAGGCACTAACAGCACTGCTATAATTACACCTTATTATCTCCCTCGCAGCCTTATTTGATTCACTGCCGGATAAAATTTTCATCCCGGGTGTCACTAGCTGGCCTTTTTCTGGGGCTGAACAATCGCACACCTCCCATGCCTCAGTTCGTTCAAGGAACCCAATAACCCGTCGCCCTCTATTCTATTCTCTAGTACATCTCTTCCTCAAATGCAACTCCAATCAGATAGGATATTTTCACCCAACGTCCCTTGGGACTGAAAAATGAAAACAAACTTATCAGAATCACAGGAAAATTTCTTCTTTGAAGAAAAAGATTTAGGCCAAGAAACCAAATTTGTTGTTTAACTTGAGCCCCCTAAGGGGATTTAGCATAGTGGGCTGAATGCGGTTAAACCAGCTTAATCACTTTCTTTGTTCTGGGCTCTTTGCATTTATTTAATGTGTTTTAACACGATTTAACACAATCTAAGCTAATTTCTTCAGTGTTAGTGTAGCATCTATATTGTAGACCATACAACACAACCAAACGTAAGTTTCTGTGGAACCCATGACATTTTGTAGACTTCTGTACTAAACTGCTATATGACCAAGACTTTAAAAGTGGGTTTTATTCGGGGGCGGGGTGGGGGGGCGGGGAGTGGAAGGAGGTCATGTTTTCATGTTTTTTTTTAATCCAAATATTTAAAAAGCACAAAATATTGTCCACGTAGACCACTTAATTCTTCTGTTAGATCAGCTAGGAGCCACAATTACACATTTTTGTCTGAAAAAAAAATTTTTTTTTTTGCAACAGGAAGAAAAGGAAGAGATCATGCTGGATCTCATCTGATAGATTATGATTCTTCTGGCATTTACGCTCCCTCTTAAATAACAGTTCTACCCTGCTCTTAACCAGCCCAAGATTGAGGGGCATTCATTCACAAATGACTCTTGAGCCTCTTTCTGAATGTCTACTTCCTTATAAAGCCAAAACCTCAATACCAACGCTTCAGTAATCCAGGCTTGTAAAGATGCAGGCAGAAAACCCAAGTGCCTGGAAGAAATAATTTTTCTGTTCTACCTTTAACTTATCTTACAAACATGCAGGAATAATAATAGCTGTGAGCCAGACACTGTTTGTTCTAAGCCCTTTATAAGAATTAACTCCTCAAATCGCTTGAGCCCAGGAGTTCGAGACTAGCCTGGGCAACACAGTGAGACCTTGTCTCTATTAAAAATAAGAAGTTACCCAGGTGTGGTGGTGCATGCCTGTGGTCCCAGCTTACTCAGGAGGTTGAGGCAGGAGAATTGCTTGAGCCCGAAAGGTCGAAGCTGCAGTGAGCCAGGTTGGGGCCACTGCATTCCAGCCTGGGTGACAAAGGAAGACCCTGTCTCAAAAAAATAAAATTAGGCTGAGTGTGGTGGCTCATGCCTGTAATCCCAGCACTTTGGGAGGCCGAGGCAGGTGGATCACCTGATGTCAGGAGTTCGAGACCAGCCTGGTCAACATGGTGAAACCCCGTCTCTACTAAAAATACAAAAGTTAGCTGGGCACGGTGGTGCGTGCCTATAGTCCCAGGTACTCGGGAAACTGAGGCAGGAGAATCACTTGAACCCAGGAGGTGGAGGTTGCAGTGAGCCGAGATCGTGCCACTGCACTCCAGCCTGGGCGACAGAGTGAGACTGACTCAAAAAAAAATTAAATTAAAAATTATTTTAATTAGCCCAAACAGGGCTAAGAAGTGAGTACAACTGAATTGTTGCCACTATTTTACAGATAGTACATGGAGACACAGAGCAGTAAGCTGGCCCAACAACACCTAGCCTGGAAGGAACAGAGCTAGGATTTGAACCCAGACTGTTTCCATTATGTTTTCCACATCACCCAAGCTGTTTATAAGTTTAAATGTCCATAGAGTGAAGAGTATCATTAATTTACCACCTTTTGCATTCATAATATCTCCTATATGAGTAAGTCCTGGGCCATATTTTTTTCCTTTGGAACTCTGATAAAGTGAAATATGTGGAGATCTACTTAGGAAAAGCATTCCCAAATCAGATTACTTTCTTGGAAGCTAGCCTCAGACTGTCAGGATATGCATTGTAAGTGCTAAGCAGGACAAACACACCCAGCCTCACTGGTTAATAATGTTTCAAGCTGGGCACAGTGGCTCACGCCTATAATCCCAGCACTTTGGAAGGCTGAGGCTCAGAGGTCGCTTGAAGCCAGGAGTTCGAGACCAGCCTGGCCAACATGGTGAAACCCTGTCTCTACTAAAAATACAAAAATTAGCCAGGCATGGTGTCATGTACCTGTAGTCCCAGCTACTTGGGAGGCTGAGGCATGAGAATTGCTTGAGTCTGGGAGGCAGAGGTTGCAGGGAGCCGAGATGGTGCCACTGCACTCCAGCCTGGGTGACAGAGTGAGACTGTCTCAAACAAGACAAAAATGTTTCAGAACACGTCTACCTTACATTATAAAAAAGCAAGACAGTTTTTCTGACTTGGATTCTCTGATGTTGGAAAGGTAGAAACCAGGAGGTAAAGTGGGATGAGAGAAGGCGATGGAAGGAAACTGAGAGAAAATAAGTGTAACATATGTGCACATGGAGAAATCAGTACCACATGCAAAGAATGAGGATCAAGGTCATGCAGAATAGAAGTGTGTGGGTGTGTTATGACAGAACTAGAAGAGGAGCATAAACATGAAAATCAAGTACATGGCAAGGGGAGGTGGTGGGGAGTCAGGTTGGTGGTTTTCTTCAAATAAGTGATGGTATTAGAAGATGAGACCAAAAGAAAAAAATTAATTCAAATTTTAGCCTGTATTAATAGAAATATAGCATCTGGAACATGGAAAGAGCCTCAATTTATTCTGTATTAGACCACACGTAAGCAATATGTTCTCTTTTAGAAGGATGTAATAGAACAACCAACCAAGATGGTGAGGGAACTTCTTCACAAACCCTGGCTTATGAAGAAGAGTTGAGAATTCATGAGTGATCAAAGACCATCTTGAAACACCTGATGGACTATTATGTACAAAGAAATTAGACTTGTCCTGGGAGGCCCCAAGGCTCCGGAACTAAGAGATAGGAACTTCAGAAACATATGTTTTAGCTCAGAATATGGAAGAAGTCATGTGAATATGAAATAGGCTGCCTTGGAATGTAACAAGCTGCACATCACTCAGTGGAGGCAAAGTGTGAATTGTCACTGTCCTATATAATGTTTAAGGTGCCTTTCATCCTTATTCTGTGCTTCACTTGGACACTGTAAAGAGGGGGAAAATAACATAACCTACCTCATTAGGTTGTTGGAAAGCACCTAGCACTCTCCAAAAGTCAGCTGATAACATTCTTGAAGTTCTAAGGTTCAATATTTCTGAATTTATCAGTGGGTAATTATCCTGTGTTTATAGATCACTTCTCTGACATTATCAATATTATCCTGAATGGTGGCTTTGGTATCACTCAGCATCCTTGGGATATTCTTGTGTACCTAAAACTTACTTAGTAGTGTCCAGGGAGCAATATTGTGACTTCTACACCACTAGAATCTTAAAAATTGAATTGTGGCCAGGCACAGCAGCTCATGCCTATAATCCCAGTACTTTGGGAGGCCGAGGTGGGCGGATCAGTTGAGCCCAGGAGTTCAGGACAAGCCTGGCCAACATGACAAAACCCCATCTCTACTAAAAATACAAAAAAAAATAGCCGGGTTTGGTGGTGGGCGCCTGTAGTCCCAGCTACTCGGGAGGCTGAGGCATGAGAATCGCTTGAACCTGGGAGGTGGAGATTGCAGTGAGTGGAGATCAAGCAAGACTCTGTCTCAAAAAAAAAAAATCGAATTGTAACACCACACTGCAATTCTAGAGGCCAACAACATGTTAAAATAATGTGGGCAGGGCACAGTGGCTCACACCTGTAATCCCAGCACTTTGGGAGGCCAAGGCGGGCAGATCACGAGGTCAGAAGTTTGAGACCAGCCTGGCCAACATGGTTAAACCCTGTCTCTACTAAAAATACAAAAATTAGCCGGGCATGGTGGCGTGTGCCTGTAGTCCCTGCTACTTGGGAGGCTGAGGGAGGAGAATTGCTTGAACCCAGGAGGCGGAGGTTGCAGTGAGCCGAGATTGCACCACTGCACTCCAGCTTGGGCGACAGAGTGAGACTTTGTCTCAAAAAAAAAAAAAAAAAAAGAAGATAATGAAAAAAGATAATGTGAACTGGCCAAGAATCGCTTGAACCCAGGAGGCGGAGGTTGCAGTGAGCCAAGATTGTGCCACCACACTCCAGCCTGGGCAACAGAGTGAGACTCTCTCTTTCTCAAAAAAAAAAAAATAATAATATTAAATAATCAGGTAATGTGAAGTGAGTGGCTATAGGAAGGGTGAGGAAAATAATCAAATCTGGCAGACTAAGAGAACTCAAGCAGTGCAGCTTTGCGTGGATGGTTGAAAAGCAGTAGCAACTGAGATCAGCCTTATACTTCACATACAAAAATCAGATGAGATGACTCATCTTGAGCAAAAAGTGTCATGAAGCCCATGAAACCAACTAGAAAAGCTGGGTACTGGGAGACAAAGACAAGCCAACCAGTGAGCTGGTTACCTGTTCACCCTGGGAAACTGGTTCTCTAAAAATTGTTATTTTATGGAAAATAAGGCTGACCTCAGCAGCATCTTTAGACAAAAATAAGACACCCATGACTGTTAAAAGAAACAATGAAGTTGTCTTAACAATCAGAACCAAATTCTTGGTTCCTCCAATCCAAAAGGGAAAATTGAGAGGAGGCAGTATGGCTCTGTAGTCAGACAAACCTGAGACTAGAATCCCACCTCTGCCTCTGCTAAGTGACTAGAGCAAGTAGCTTTACCACTCCAAGCCTCAGTTTTGTCATCTGTAAATGGGAATAATAACACAAAGCATGTTGCAAGGATTATTTGATACTTTAAATGTAAAGCATACTTAGTACAGTTCCTGACATGTAGAGCCCAATGTTATCAAAATAAAGTTTTATTGGGGGGAAAGGGGAAGAAAATGTGACCATATTAGTGTTTGTGATATAGACTCTGCTATATAGAGATAGTGACATTATACAAAGGAAATGGAGAGCCATGATCTCCTATCTTAGGTGATCACTAAAGGGCCTAACTAAAGCTTAGAATTTCCATAGCTTGTGGGAGAAAGCCAGCTGAAATAGAATTGCAAGTGTCCTTGCTCCAAATGCAAGGTAAATGATTTCCCTTCTTTCTCCTTTGGTTCTGTTTTTCTCTTCATGCTTTAATCATTTTGACACCAAGCTGTACAAAAGTAATTTGAAATTAACATGTCTGACACTTGGTAGCTAGCAGAACCTGATTCTGAACCCTGCCCCCTCTCCAGGGCAGCCAGAAGTCATCTTTCATTGGTTACTGGTCCTGCAGCAGCTGATGAAGGGCCCAGGAAAATACATCCAACAATTAATTTGCTAATTTAGTTTTCTGTTTAATCTGAAACCAGAAAATCTTCTATCACCCAGAAGCTTGGCTTTCTGGCTTGAACATTGACTTCTGAAACTTCTTGTTTAGTGAGCAAAGAAATAGAAGAGAAAGGGAAAAAGCCTAACTACTTAGGTACATATCGTTACCCCTGTGCCCGTCTATTTTCAAAATGTTTTTCTGTAGGATCATAGAGTTCACAATTTCTTTTTCTTCTTCTTCTTCTTCTTTTTTTTTTTTTTTTTTTTTTTTTTGGTTAGAGACAGGGTGTATGTTTCTCAGGCTGGAGTGCGGTGGTGCAGTCACAATTCACTGCAGCCTCAATCTCCCAGGCTCAGACAATCCTCACACCTCAGCTCCTTGAGTAGCTGGGACCACAGGTGCGCACCACAATGCCGGGCTAATTTAAAAATTATTTGTAGAGTGGGTGCGGTGGCTCATGCCTGTAATCCCAGCACTTTGGGAGGCCGAGGCAGGCGGATCACCTGAGGTCGGGAGTTCGAGACCAGCCTGACCAACATGGAGAAACCTTGTCTCTACTAAAAATACAAAATTAGCCAGGCGTGGTGGCGCATGCCTGTAATCCCAGCTACTCGGGAGGCTGAGGCAGGAGAATCACTTGAACCCGGGAGGCGGAGGTTGCGATGAGCTGAGATCACGTCATTGCACTCCAGCCTGGGCAACAAGGGCAAAACTGTCTCAAAAATAATAATAATAATAAATTAAATTAAATTATTTGTAGAGTTGGGGTGTCCCTATGTTGCCTAGGCTGGTCTTGATCATCCTGCCTTGGCCTCCCAAAGTGCTGAGAAGCCACTGTGCCCAGCCTTTTTTTGTTGTTGTTGTTGGGGGTGGGGCTGGGGGGCGTGAGGTACAGGGTCTTGCTCTATTGCCCAAGCTGGTCTCAAAGACTTGGCCTCAACTGATCCTCCTGCCTTGGTCTCCCAAAGTGCTGGGATTACAGGGGTGAGGTACTGTGCCCAGCCCCACGAGTTATTTTACCAGGAGAATTGGAAGCAATACCTTCATATTCAGTGTAGGTAAGTGCTTTGTGAGCTATGGAGAATTTCCAGACCAATATATGTTTAAGATTTAGAAAACTACTTTAGGGTTTCGAACAGACCCAGATGAGTTTCTAACATTTGAAGTAAGTATTGCTCTAAGTTGTAAAGCAGCTTTCAGCTTCCCTGGAAACTTTCCACTGATTTCAATAGGAAGAGGCAAAGGAAATTTGTATCAGAGATTGAAGAGATTTGTATTTGACTCTTGGCCCAGAAGACAGACAACAGGTATGCTATGACAGGTTCCTCTGGTAAGTTTTCCCTTACTGCCTTACTGGAGAGTAGTTCAATTAACAGGAAAAAGGGGCAGGCTTAACTTTTTTTTTTTTTTTTTAAAGAGATGGGATCTCGCACTGTCACTCTGTCACCCAGGCTGGAGTGCAGTGTCACAATCTCAGCCCACTGCAGCCTTCGCCTCCCGGGTTCAAGTGATTCTCCTGCCTCAGCTTCCCAAGTAGCTGGGACTACAGGCGTGTGCTACTACACCCAGCTAATTTTTGTACTTTTAGTAGAGATGGGGTTTCACTATATGTTGGCCAGGCTGGTCTTGAACTCCTGACCTCAGGTGATCCGTCCTCCTCAGCCTCCCAAAGCACTGGGATTACAGGTGTGGTGTGAGCCACCGTGCTTGGCCCGCTTAACTCTCTTTCTTTCTTTTTTTTTTTTTTTTTTGAGATGGAGTCTCATTCTGTCACCCAGGCTGGAGTGCAAGTGGCACGATCTTGGTTCACTGCAACCTCCACCTCCCAAGTTCAAGCGATTCTCCTGCCTCAGCCTCCTGAGTAGCTGGGATTACAGGCATGCACCACCACACCCGGCTAATATTTGTACTTTTAGTAGAGATGGGTTTTCGCCATGTTGACCAGGCTGGTCTCCAACTCCTGACCTCGAGCGATCCACCCACCTTGGCCTCCCAAAGTGCTGGGATTATAGGCATGAGCCACCGCGCCCGGCCAGCCCGCTTAACTCTTAAGTATGTACCAAAACCCATGCCCTTTCTATTACTCAGAATGTATTTTACTCAGTTGGTGATTTGATTTTACTTCCTATTTTCCCATCTCAGTCACGTTAGACTTTTTTGCCTGACTTCTAAGACCTTGTGTATTCTGTCCCAACCCTACTTATCAATCACTATTTCTAACTCTTCATCAAAGTGTCTATTCTAATTTGGCCAAACTCACCGTTCTGAGAACGTGCCCCTATGTTCCTGCCTCCGAACCTTTGTTCATTTCCCTACTGATTTTCCTCCACATGCTTCTCTCTCCTTTATTCAAATCCTATCTGAACCTTGAGGCCCACCAGGGTCTTATTTCCTCAACTCAGTCTTCCCCACTACTAATTTCTCCCTTCCTGTACATCGATAGCATTATGTAGTGTTCCAAATTGTTGACCACTCTAGTGAAAATCATGTTCAGTTATTTCATATCTCAGGTCTAACTTTACAAATAAACTATATTTTATATACCTTTATAAAATATATAAAGGTATTTCTTGGGTATCCCTTACAGGGATTCCTCACTGGCCATTCATGATAATCACTGGATGCTTATTTAAAAAATAGATGATCAGGTTGTATCCTCCCAGAGATTTTGTTTTGTTAGAACTAAGATGGGCTAAGGAATCTGTATTTTTTGCATACATTCAGGTACCTAACTAATCCCCTGATAGGAGTTGGAGAATCACTGCTCATAGCACTTGCCATAGAAGACACTCAACTTGAGTATAAACATTTGGGTGTTAATTACATATACAGTATATACTTATTTATACTACATGGTGACCTCATAGGTGGGCACTCTACAACCAAGTCTACACTTTAGGGCACAAGTTGGAAGGCAGATAATCTGGTTCACTCTCCGTGGCACCGGTTTGGTATGTTTGAAAACAGAATCTCCTTTAGGTCTGTGATCTCTTGGTAATTACGTTTGCAGAGTAGAACAGGTTGATAGAATTGTAGCTGATTAAAAACAGTTTCCTATTCTCAATCAATTGCAGTCTGTAGCATTTGTTTGTGGAGTGATATTTAGGGGGAAGGAGACTGATGTGGGAAAAAGCTGGTCAAATTCTGCCCCAGGCATTACAAAATTAGTAAAATGAATCTTCCTGCCCACTCCTCACCTCATATCCTAAATCCAGCTCAAGTGTTAAACGAAGAAGGATTAAGCTGTGATTCCCCTCCTGGGGTACTTGTGTTTTAGAGGGAATCCTCTGAAAGTGAGAAGAGAGGATTATCTTAATGACCCCCAATCTTACTTGACAGGCAGACTGCCCAGAGCCCGAGATTTGGGAGAGCATTCTCTTACAAGATGACCCCCTGGACACCACTCTGCTTCTTCCTATAGTTTACAATTCTAAGTAGAATAAACAGTGACTAAAAAAGTTTCCATTATTCTCAGAGCTGAGCAATTTAGATGTGGACATGCTGGTCTGCTATGGGTATTGTTAGAAGAAACATTTGGGTTGCAAAGTCCCATCACTGTTTTGCTGAAATGCCATATTGTGGATTTTCCATATTCTCACACTATTAGATTCAAAGAGAAAACTCATGAGTGTTCTTTATATTCGTTCAGCAAATATTGAGTGCCTATTATGTCTCAAGTATTGTCCTATATGCTAGGGATAAAACAGTGAACAAAATTCATGGAGGTTACATTATGGGAGAGACAGCAAAGGGGTGATGAGAGAGATATATAAACAAAATAATGATATATGTTAAATGATAAGTGCTGTGGAGGAAAAATAAGCAGAGAATGGAAATGAGTGTTGGGGGAGGGTTTAAATTTTAAATTGAATGGGCAGGGAAGATCTCACTGAGAAGGTGACACTACAGTAAAGAAGAGGGTGAGGAAGCAAACAAGCTATGCACATATCTGGGAAAACAAAGTTCCTAACTGGTTTAATACTTCTCAGATCCTAGGTTAAGACCTTTAATTTGTTAATTTGAACCTAATTCTAGCACCATTGCTAAATGCATAATTTTCCCTTTGAAAGCTACTCAGTCATCAAAAATATAAAGTCCCATGAGTCTTGGTTGAAAATTTCATATCAAAAAGTAAATTTTGGCCAGGCACAGTGGCTCACACCTGTAATCCCAGCACTTTGGGAGGCCGAGGCGGGCAGATCACCTGAGGTCAGGAGGTCGAGACAAGCCTGGCCAACATGGTGAGACCTCGACTCTACTAAAAATACAAAAAATAATAATAATAAATTTTCTTTTTTTCAAGATGGAATCTCACTCTGTAGCCCAAGCTGCGTGCAGTGGCGCGATCTTGGCTCACCACAACCTCCACTTCTGAGGCTCAAGAGATTCTCGCGCCTCAACCTCCCAACTAGCTGGGACTACAGGCATGTGCCACCATGCCCAGCTAATTTTCTTGTATTTTAGTAGAGACGGGATTTCGCCATGTTGCCCAGGGTGGTCTTGAACCTCCGAGCTCAGGCGATCCACCTGCTTTGGCCTCCCAAAGTGCTGGGATTACAGGCGTGAGCCACCATGCCCGGCCAGTTTTGTGGGTATTTTTTAAGTAAAAAAAAAAAAAAAAAAAAAAAATACCAGGCCAGGCACTTGTGGCTCACACCTCTAATTCCAGCACTTTGGGAGGCTGAGGCAGGACAATCACTTGAGCCCAGGAGTTCAAGACCAGCTTGGAAAACATAGTTAAACCCTGTCTCTACAAAAAAATAAAAATAAAAATTAGCCAGGTGTGGTGGCATGTGCCTGTAATCCCAGCTACTCAGGAGGCTGAGGTGGGAGGATCCCTTGAGCCTAGGAAGTTGAGGCTGCAGTGAGCTGTGATCACAACACTGTACTCCAGCCTGGGAATGAAAAAAATAAACAAACCAACAAAAGAATACCAATAAGAGCCTTATATGTCGCTCAGCATTTCAGCAAATATTTATTGATAATCTACTATGAGCCAAGTATTGTATTAGGCATTGGATATACACATGGTGGTCCCTGCCTTCATAGAATTTACAGTCTAGAGGAAGAGACAGACAGTAAACAGGTAAACAGAATTATAAATTGTGATGAACTTTTCTGAATGAAAAGAACAAAGCCTGAAAGAGAGAATAATGGTATGAACCTCCTTCAAGATTGATGGTCAGGAAACGCCACTCTGAGGAAGTAAAATTTCTGGCAGGATGAGAAGGCACCAGGGTGAGGGTCATTCCAGGCAGAGAGAAGAGAGTATGTGTAATTTTCTGTTTGTTTGTTTGTTTTTGAGACGCAGTCTCACTCGGTCGCCCAGGCTGGAGTGCAGTGGTGTGATCTCAGCTCACTACAACCTCCACCTCCTGGGTTCAAGCAATTCTCCTGCCTCAGCCTCCCGAGTAGCTGGGATTACAGGCGCATCCACCCGGCTAATTTTTGTATTTTTAGTAGAAACGGAGTTTCACCATGTTGGCCACGCTGGTCTCGAACTCTTGACCTCTGGTGATCCACCCGCCTTGGCCTCCCAAGTGCTGGGATTACAGGTGTGAGCCACAGTGCCTAGCCAGTGATAGTTCTTAAGATGGAAAGTTACGGCTAGGCATGGTGCCTCACGCCTGTAATGCCAGCACTTTGGGAGGCTGAGGAGGGTAGATCACCTGAGGTTAGGAGTTCGAGACCAGGCTGACCAACATGGTGAAACCCTGTCTCTATTAAAAATGCAAAAATTAGCCGGGCATGGTGGCACACACCTGTAATCCCAGCTACTCGGGAGGCTGAGGCAGGAAAATCCCCTGGACCTGGGAGGCAGAGGTTGCAGTGAGCCGAGATCGCACCATTATACTCCAGCCTGGACAACAAGAGCGAAACTCCCTCTTGAAAATAAAAAAAAAAAAAGATGGAAAGTTATCAAATTCTGGCCGGGTGCAGTGGCTCATGCCTGTAATCCCAGCACTTTGTGGGGCCAAGGTGGGAGGATTACTTGAGCCCAGGAATTCAAATGGGCAACATAAGGAGACCCCCCAGTGTCTACAAATATATATATATATATATATATATTTTTTTTTTTTTTTTTTTTTTTTTTTGAGAGGGGTCTTGCTCTGTCTCTCAGACTGGACTTCTGTGGCATGATCTCGGCTCACTGCAGCCTCTGCCTCTTGGGTTCAAGCGATTCTCCCGCCTTAGCCCCAGAGTAGCTGGAACTATTGGCGCGAGCTGCCACACCTGGCTAATTTTTTGTATTTTAAGTAGAGACGGGGTTTCACTATGTTGGCCAGGCTGGTCTCAAACTCCTGGCCTCAAGTGATCTGCTTTCCTCGTCCTCCCGAAGTGCTGGGATTACAGGCATGAACCACTGTGCCCAGCCTACAATTTTTTTTTTTTAATTAGTTGAGTGTGGTGGCATGTGCCTATAGTCCCGGCAATTCAGGAGGCTGAAGTGGGAGGATCACTTGAACCTGGGAGGTCAAGGCTGCAGTGAGCTGTGACATGATCTCTGATCTCACTTCTGCACTTCAGCCTCGGTGATGGAGCAAGACCCTGTCAAAAAAAAAAAAAAAAAAAAAGAAAGAAAGAAAGAAAGAAAGAGAGGAGAGGGGAGGGGAGGGCAGGGGTTGGGTTACCAGGTTCTATTTGTTACCAGACGAACACAAAAAGAAGCTCAATGTAGCTGACAGGTTGGAGAGGTAGGTGAGGCCAGTCCATACAGGGCTTTCTTGGACCTCAAAGGAGTTTGTATTTTATTCTAAATACAGTGAGAAGCCATTAGAGAATGGTAAGTTAACAAAGAGAGAATTGAGAAGATCCTAGAGCCACAATATTTCAAAAGGTTTCTTACTGATGAAGAAACTGATGCTCAGAGAGGTTCGGTGACTTGCCCAAGATTACACAATCCATAAACCGTGGAATTGAGATTTAGTCTCTCACAGCCTCTGATTCAAGGACTCTGTTCTTTCCACTATTATCTAATACTTGCTTGGGCCAAAAGCTTCACAATATTCTTGACTCCTCTCTATTTCTCTTATATTCCTCATCATATCCATCAGCAAATCCTGGCACCTCTACGTCCAAAATATGACCACTTGTCACCACCTGCACTGCTATCACCCTGACCCAAGCCACCATTATTTCTTGCTTTGATTCCTGCAATTGCCTCCTAACTGGTCTCCCTGCTTCAGCTCTTCCACTCCTACCTTCTATTTTCTACACAGCAGCCATAATAATCCTTTAAAAACATAAATCATATTTACAACTATTATGTACCCATAAATTTTTTTAGAGGCTGAGTGTGGTGGCCTGTGCCTGTAACCCCAGTGTTTTGGGAGGCCAAGACAGGAGGATCACCTGAGGCCAGGAGTTTGAGACCAGCCTGGGCAACATAGTGAAACCCGATCTCTTCAAAAAAATTTTAAAATTAGCTGGCATAGTGGTTCACACCTGTAGTCCTAACTACTTAGGAGACTGAGGCAGGAGGATCACTTGAGCCCAGGAGTTCAAGGCTGCAGTGAGCTATGACTGCGCCACTACACTCCAGCCTGGGTGACCCCGTTGTAAAAAAATTAAATAATTTTATGTCATATCATAAAACATAAGTCTTTCCCCTACTAAAAACCCTCCAGTGGCTTCTCATCTCACTCAGAATAAAAAACAGAGAGGTCGAGCACAGTGGCTCACACCTGTAATCCCAGCACTTTGGGAGGCAAAGGCGGGCAGATCACTTGAGCCCAGGAGTTCAAGACCAGCCTGGCCAACATGGTGAAACCCTGTCTCTACTAAAAATATAAAAGTTAGCTGAGTGTGGTGGTGCACACCTGTAATCCCAGCTACTTGGGAGGCTGAGGCAGGAGAATCGCTTGAACCTGGGAGGCGGAGGTTGCAATGAGCCAAGACTGTGCCACTGCACTTCAGCCAGCCTGGGCAAAAGAGCGAGAGTCTGTCTAAAACAAAACAAAACAAAATAAACAAAGACCCCACAATGATTTACAAGGCCTTACAAGTCTGTCCCCTCCACTCCCACTTTCCTGACCTCTCTTACATCTTTCCCTTGGCTTATTCTATTTAGCTACAATTGGTCTCCTTCAACAAGGAAACTCCTGTGTCAGGACCTGTGCATTTGCTGTGCCCTCTGCCTGGCAAGCTCCTCCCCCTCATATTTATATGGCTTGTTCTCCCTCTTCTTTTATGTCTCAGCTCAAATCACCTCATCAGTGAGTTCTTTCTGTCTACCCTTTGTAAACTAAAAAAACTCTGTCCAGCCGGGCGCGGTGGCTCACACCTGTAATCCCAACACTTTGGGAGGCCGAGGCGGGCAGATCACAAGGTCAGGAGATCGAGACCATCCTGGACAACATGGTGAAACCCCATCTGTACTAAAAATACAAAAAATTAGCTGGGCATGGTGGCGCGTGCCTGTAATCCCAGCTACTCAGGAGGCTGAGGCAGGAGAATTGCTTGAACCAGGGAGTCGGAGGTTGCATTGAGCTGAGATCACACCATTGCCCTCCAGCCTGGCAAGAGAGTGAGACTCCATCTCAAAAAAAAAAAAAAAAAAAAGACTCTGCTCAAACCATAATTTCTATCTCCCTTAACACTGCTTTATGATTCTCAATACCCTCATTATCATTTAATACACTATAGGTCTACTTACTTATTATTTTGATCCTTCCCATTAGAATGTAAGTTGCATGAGAATAAGAACTTTATTTTATTTTCTGTTCTTAGAACACTGTTTTCAGCTCTGATAACACTGCCTGGCACATAGTAGGTGAATAGAGGCAGTTGACTAAAGAATAGGACCGATGTTTTCAATGACTGAATTAACAGAAAGACAAAGTCATTCTTCTGAGGATGGGAAAGCATGTTGTAAACTAGGAAATGATATAAAAAGTTTATTTCTTCCAGTTGGTTCTTGATTTCTAAGTCTTATGATCCTCTTTGAAAACCTTTACTAAATAGAGTAGACTCAAATGATCTTGGATGCAATGCTGACTCTTGGTAGGCCACCAAATACATAACTGGGTGTCAGGAAATGCGGTCTTGCCATCTTTCTCAGGCTCACTGCCATAGCTAGCAAGGACCTCTTGCTCCTTTCTTAGGTATCCTTGCATGCCTTTGGCTTTTCAGAATTTTTTATTCTGGGGAATGGGAGTGATGGTTGATGCCCTGTCTGTAGTTGAGATTCTGTACAGGGAAAGTCATTCAGTTAAATCAAGCAGTATTGAATTCCTAATTGACACAAATGAGACAGACAGACAGCTGGAGGAGTGGGGGAGGGACAGAGAGCAGGTGCCCTGAATAATGGACAAAGAAGAGAGGCAGAATATAAATTGAAGCTAATGGTGAAGAAGCTCACTGTGAGTCTAGATTTTGTGCCACAAGAAAAGTAAACTTTGCCACAGCTTACTTTACGTAGAGCGGAAAGGATCCAGTGGTGTTTTTGCCAAGGATAAGGCAACAAGTTCCAAATGCTTGTGCCATTTTGGCTGCCCTGATGGCCAAGTTTGCCTCTTTTCAGGTACCATCATTTGTGAGAATCACTCTTAGTAAAGTCCTCATTCTGTGTTTTTTTCCAAAACAAACTTAATCACGTAGTGTTTGAACGAAAGAAACTGCTTTGAAAATTCTATTTGTCAAACAAAGGGATTCTTAACACGTAAGTTAGGAAGGTGAAGGGAAGGATGTTTCTAGATCTTCAAATGCCAGACATAGGGGGCATTCCTGCAGAGAAGGCATGTATCTTGTCAACTCCAGAATTTCCTCTGAGAATGCTGGGGGCTTTTTTCCTCTCAGTCCCCTCTTGATCAGAGCTTTGACTCCCCAGCTCAGACAGTTCTTTTCTGTAGCCATGGGAATTGCTCCCATAATTAGCAGTGTCTCCTGCCTGGAACTCAGACAAGTAAATGTTCAAACCTGGCAGCCGATCCTGGGAAGGAGAGCTGATTAAATCTTTCCTGTCGAGAGGCACCTTTTTGATTTGAATGTGACACCTACATCCCCCACCTCAGGTTTGTCTGGGGGAAGCAGTTTTGCCCATATCTTCATAACTGAAGATCCTGGTATTTTAAAGACACATTTAATCTTAAAAGGAGCCCATTGGTTTCCCAAGTTAAGTAACTTAGGAAAAAGCCTAGGCTTTTTTCCTCTCCTGGCCCCTTCTCCACTAAACACCACCCTGTGTTTGGTATGATGAAAGCTCCTGCTACACAGGTATCATCAAATGCCAGAGGCCTTGAGAAATAAAACGAGTTCAGAACACCACTAAGTACACATAAGTATTAACTACAAATGGAGGAGTGAAAGAGCAGGCAAACTATTTCTTTAGAAGTTTTAGTAAGACGGGCTGGAACCATCAAGCCCCAAAGTGAATACTCTTGGTGATATTCCGTTCCAGGAAAGCTTTCTACAGGCGGAGGTGTATTCTTATCTGGATGTAGCTGGATTATGTACTACCATTCAAACACTTTTGGGAGAGACAATATCCATTTTCCTACTGACATCAAGGCAGCCTTTTAAGTTTATCCAGATTTATTTTGGTTAGTGCAATAAAAAAGCAAGGTTGGAGAATTATGTTTAACAAAAATAAAGTCATTGTATGCTTAAAGTTTCCCACTGAAAGCTGCTTTTAAAGCAGTTTGCTGCTGCTCAGCTCCAGTCACCTCAGCAATACTTGCATTCAGTCAGATTGGCTGTGAACAAAGCAAATTTACTTCACACACAACAGCCCTAAACCTCCACTCTCAGGACAGAAGTCTTCCTTAGCAATGTTTTCTACATGGCTCTGGTTAAGGGCCATTCACTTACCTCTAACCTCTTTCTCCTGGGAGACAAAGGCACCTTTGGGCTGAAGTGACACAGGAGAGTTAGAATCAGATTTGTTATCGACATTGCAGCCTTCAGTTTCAGTAAGAGGCTAAATCTGTCTATTCCAACTACAGGAAGGCAATCTTTATAACCCCTGGAGCACTTGGCCAATTATGCACCTGCAAATATACCATACAGGACATTTCAGGTTCCTAGGCACTTTGAAAACCGATACTTAAACAGACTCAAGGGATGCTATCACCCACCTCGAATAATAGCTGCTTTGGAATCTGTTATTGGCACCAGAAAAAGAAAGAGTCCTCTGAAGTCATTCTAAAGCCATTTTTATTGTGCATTTTCAAACAAAGAACCTCACCAAAAGAACTTCTGTTACAAAATCAGGGTAGAAAGTCAAACTCATCTCATCTAAGAGTCAATTACCCTGGCAATTTTGTGAGGCGATGGGAAATGAGCGTTAGAGGAGAGGACTGTGGGGAGGAGGTGGGATTGGCTTTTAAAATCCCCTGGGTGAGAAGGGTGTTCCCACTGACTCTAAACCCTAACAATTGCAACAGAAGGGCCTCTGTGACTTTCTGGCTATAAACTTTTTATGATTATTAACTGAGGAAACCTAGAATATGTGGAATTTTAACAGTTGGCTTTCAACCTCCATTTGCTCCTTTCTCAGAAACTTGGTTTTGCACAGTGTAATAATCTAAGGCTCAGAATTTATGTTAGTTACCTTGCTGTTCCTTGATAAAAAGCTACCTTCTTACATATCTTACTTCCAATAAAGAGGCAGATTCCCTATGTACTGTTTATCTCGGGAAAGAAATACATGTGGGAAAAGAAGCAATTTTCTTCTCATTGCAATTAAATTAAATCATGACCACCTGTTGTGGGATTATCCTGCCATCTGCTGTTCAAAAGAGAAACAACAGCAGAGAACCAGAAAGAAGAGGCAAAATGTTGGAAAGCTTTGCTCCCAGATGTCCATCAGTTGATTACGGTTATTGGTATAGTTAAAATTTTCAGTGTTACACCTCTTTTAGAATTTATCTATCAGGTTTTCCAGTGTTCACTGAAATTTGTCTCTTAGACAAGTTCTAAAAGAGCTGTAACACTGAAGATGGTTCTCTTCTCTGGAAAAACTTCCCACGGGAAAAACAAAAATCTTCCTTTAAAAATTTTTTTAAAGGATCTCACTTTCTTTCTTTCTTTCTTTTCTTTTTTTTTTTTTTTTTTTGAGATGGAGTGTCGCTCTGTTGCCCCGGCTGGAGTGCAGTGGCGTGATCTTGGCTCACTGCAACCCCCACCTCCTGGGTTCCAGCGATTCTCCTGCCTCAGCCTCCAGAGTAGCTGGGATTACAGGCATGTGCCACCATGCCAGACTCATTTTCGTATTATTATTATTTATTAATAATAGCTATTGTTTTAGTAGAGACGGGATTTCACTATGTTGGCCAGGCTGGTCTTGAACTCATGACCTCGGGTGATCCACCCGCCTCGGCCTCCCAAAGTGCTGGGATTATAGGCATGAGCCACCAAGCCCGGCCTCACTTTCTATTTATTTAATTTTTTTGAGACAGGGTTTGCTCTGTTGCCCAAGTTGGAGTACAGTGGCATGATTATGGCTCACTGCAGCCTCTAACTCCTGGGCTCAATTGATCCTCCCACCTCAACCTCCCAAGTAGCTGGGACCACAGATGTGCGCCACCCCAACCAGCTAATTTTTGTTTTTATTTAAAAAATTTTGTTGAGACAGAGTCCACTCTGTTGTCCAAGCTGGAGTGCAGTGGTGTGATCATGGTTCACTGCAGCCTTGACCTCCCAGACTCAAGTGATCCTCCCACCTCAGCCTCCCAAATAGCTGGGACTACACCACTATGCTCAGCTAATTTTTGTATTTTTTGTAGAGATAGTGTCTCCCTATGTTGCCCAGGCTGGTCTCGATCTCCGGGGCTCAAGTGATCCTTCTGCCTCGGTCTCCCAAAGTGCTGGGATTACAGGTATGAACCACTGTGCCTGGGCTGATTTTTTTTAATTTTTAAATTATTATTATTATTTTTTTGAGACTTGCTCTGTTGCCCAGGCTGGAGTGCAATGATGCAATCTTGACTCACTGCAACCTCTGCCTCCCGGGTTCAAGCGATTCTCCTGCCTCAGCCTCCCGAGTAGCTGGGATTACAGGCACGCACCACCATACCCGGCTAATTTTTGTATTTTTAGTAGAGATGAGTTTTCACCATGTTGGCCAGGCTGGTCTTGAACTCCTGACCTCAGGTGATCCGCCTGCCTTGGCCTCCCAAAGTGCTAGGATTATAGGCGTGAGCCACTGCTCCCAGCCCTGATTTATTATTAATATTTTATTTTGTCTACAGGTTTTCCCCAATCTTTTTTGTTTGTTTGTTTGTTTTGTTTTGTTTGAGACAGAGTCCAGGCTGCAGTGCAGTGGCACGATCTCGGGTCACTGCAACCTCTGCCCCCCAGGTTCAAGTGATTCTCCTGTCTCAGTCTCCTGAGTAGCTGGGATTACAGGCACGTGCCACCACGCCCGGCTGATTTTTTTGTATTTTTAGTAGAGACGGGGTTTTGACATGTTGGCTAGGCTGGCCTCGAACTCCTAACCTCAGGTAATCCACCCACTTCTGTCTCCCACAGTGCTGGGATTACAGGCGTTAGCCACTGTGCCCGGCTGTTTCTCCCTAATCTTATCCATATCCCTGGTTTCTTCCTTGGGATTAATAGGGAAAATATGAAACTTTAATTTTCCCTCACTCTTGGCAAAATAATAATAAGATTTATAATCCTATTAAAAGGCATATTCTCCACTCAGTAATCTAAGTCATATGAGTGCGTCCCCTGGGCTTTTCATTGTCTACCACTCTAATTGTCTCCTATCTGGTCTTCCTTTCTCCAGGGCATTGTTCACACCACTGCCAGTCAGAGTAATCATTTTCCAATGCAAAATTGGTCAAGCCATTCCCCAGCTCAGAATCCTTCAATGGCTCTCACTTTCTTTCTTTCTTTTTTTTTTTTGAGTCTCGCTCTTGTCACCCAGGCTGGAGTGCAATGTGCAATGGCGCAATCCTCTGCCTCCCCGGTTCAAGTGATTCTCCTGCCTCAGCCTCCTGAGTAGCTGAGATTACAGGTGCCTGCCACCATGCCCAGCTAATTTTTGTATTTTTAGTAGAGATGGGGTTTCACCATGTTGGCCAGGCTGGTCTCGAATTAAAGTGCTGGGATTACAGCCATGAGCCACTGCACCTGGCCGGCTCTCACTTTCTTGTAGGATTAAGTTCAAGATCCTAGTCCTGACATTCAAGGCCTTTGGGTTGAATTTAAGTTCCCTGATTTATCAGGTTATTTTATACCTCTTTGATTTTGCTTGTGCTGTTTTCCTTGCCAGAAACACCCTTTCTGGCCATATATACCTGACAAACCATGCCCATCTTTTAGGTAGCTGGATGTCAGCTCTTCTGGAAATCTCTCTTGGTTTTCTGCCCCCTGATAGAACTGGTCATATCCTCTTTTGTGCCACTGGCTCCCCTTCCCCAACATACTTTAATGACATCACTTATCCCAAGGTCATATAATTTTCTATTTCCTTTTCTGTCTCCCTCACTAGAATAAAAAGCTCCTTAATAGGTTATGAGTTTCCTACTAGATTATGTATCTCAGCACCTAGAACTGTGCCTGGTTTATAGTAGATGTTTAGTAAATGTCTGTGGAATAAATCCTGTAGAATTTATCTAGCATTTTAACTTTTTTGTTGTTTGTTTGTTTAAATTTAATTAATTTACTTATTTTTGAGACAGAGTCTCACTCTGTCACCCAGGCTGGAGTGCAGTGGCACAATCATAGCTCACTACAGCCTTGACCTCACGGTCTCAGATAATTCTCCCACCTCAGCCTCCTGAGTAGCTAGAACTACAGGCACCCACCACCACACCCAGCTACTTTTTGTATTTTTGGTAGAGATGGGGTTTCGCCGTGTTGCCCAGGCTCTTCTGGAACCCTTGGGATCAAGCAATTTGCCCTCCTTGGCCTCCCAAAGTACTGGGATTACAGGCATGAGCCACCACGTCCAGCCTAGCATTTTAACTTTCAAAGGGCTTTCTCTGCACTGTTTCATTTTATCTTTTTTGATCCTGCGAGAAAGTAAGGGCAGGTATTAATTTACTGTGACCACTTTATGGATGAAGAAAGGGAAACAGCAGACAGCTGGTAAGTGGCAAAGCAAGAATTTGAGCCCAGTTTTTCTGAGAAGAGAAAACCACGACCCTGTATACTGTCGCTCTGCCCAGATCTTCTCAGATCTTCTACCAGTTCCTCCTGACCCTCCCTTGGCTTCTGTTTGTTTTTGCTCCCAGTAACCAGCTCCTGAGACGACACTTCAAAAGAGGAAGATCCTCAAGTTACTAGAATGGTTTTGTTCCTTACTTATTCCCTGGTCTCTAGCAAATGATTGATTAGATGCAGGAGTCTGAAAGACTGGCATTCTTGCCTCTGGGTAGAGTTTATACTCTTGAGCTCCTTCAGGGATTAATAGGGATTAAACTACTCTCTTGAGGACTTTGCCTGAAATCTCACCTTTGCGTGGCTTTTTGCTTTTTCCCTTCCCAGCTCAACTTCTCCTATGCCCTACTGACTTCTTGGAGCGTTTCCTTAAGACCCTGTCCCCCACCCCACCCCCGCCAAAAAAAAAAAGAGAAAAAAAAGGCTGGGCATGATGGCTCATGCCTGTAATCCCAGCACTTTGAAAGGCCAAGGTGAGGATCACTTGAGCCCAGAAGTTCAAGACCAACCAGAGCAACACAGTGAGATTTCATCTCTGCAAAAATTAAGAAAATTAGCTGGGCATGGTGGCACATGCCTGCAGTCCCGGCTACTCGGGAGGCTAAGGCAGGAGGATCAATTGACCTGGGAGTTAAGTCTGGCTGCAGAGTCATGATTGTGCTACTGCACTCCAGCCTGGGTGACAGAGTGAGACTGTCTCCCAAACAAACAAACAAACATCTCTTACTGAGAAATCCTGTTTCAGGGTCGGCTTCCAAGTTTCCCGAGGCATCCAACTAAGTGTGTCCTTAGCTCCTACTATATGTCAGAACTTGTCAGGTGCTTTTACAAAAGCTAGTTTATTTACACAAACTCTCTAAGAGTAAAGTACATATATTTAATTGTTTTTTGAGGGTAAGACTGTGTCAAAAAAAAAAAACCTTCATTAAAATAGTCTCTTTTTTTCTCCTACTATGAAATTACCTTTCATTAACTATAAATCATTCTAATGGCCATGTCTTCTTTGGCAAGTTTCCTCACCTCTAGACCCCAATATTTTTACCTTTAAAGTGAGGAAATAAGATAATAAGAATACCTATCATAATAGGATAGGTTAATGGAAAACAGAATAGCGCCAAACATGTTAACTTAATAAATGTTGGCCATTGTTATTATTTTAGTACTTCTACTGCTACTTGTAAACAGGTTATGCTCCAAAGGCTGTGAATCCTTTTGTTCATATGTGTGTTGTAGTGCTCAACCACAGAGACTCAGGATAGTCAAAACACTAACACTAAGTCATTTGTGTAAGTCCCAGATCTAACATACCAAGAAGGGGCTGGTTGCTCGGATATCAAATAGTTATTTCCAAGTGGGTAGATCAGAAATATAATTGAATTGTCCTCACAAGCCACAAGAGTAAATTTCTATTCCCTCTTGTGGTGACTCTGAGAATTACCATTACCGCTTTCATCAGAGACCTAATAGTACCAAATTTGCAAGGAGACCACTGAGAAACTACACTTAATTCAGAAGCTCCCAAGTTGGAGTTCCAAATCCCTACATGTCAGAGAAGGTGCTAATGAATATTTTCAAAATTTCAAAAAATAGAGCAAAAATCATTCAATTACTTATGAAAAAGAAGAAATATTTTCACACATATTAACTTTTTTTTTAATTTTTATTTTTTTTATTGATCATTCTTGGGTGTTTCTCGCAGAGGGGGATTTGGCAGGGTCATAGGACAATAGTGGAGGGAAGGTTGGCAGATAAACAAGTGAACAAAGGTCTCTGGTTTTCCTAGGCAGAGGACCCTGCAGCCTTCCGCAGTGTTTGTGTCCCTGGGTACTTGAGATTAGGGAGTGGTGATGATTCTTAACGAGCATGCTGCCTTCAAGCATCTGTTTAACAAAGCACATCTTGCACCGCCCTTAATCCATTTAACCCTGAGTGGACACAGCACATGTTTCAGAGAGCACAGGGTTGGGGGTAAGGTCACCGATCAACAGGATCCCAAGGCAGAAGAATTTATCTTAGTACAGAACAAAATGAAAAGTCTCCCATGTCTACTTCTTTCTACACAGACACGGCAACCATCCGATTTCTCAATGTTTTCCCCACCTTTCCCCCCTTTCTGTTCCACAAAACCGCCATTGTCATCATGGCCCGTTCTCAATGAGCTGTTGGGTACACCTCCCAGACGAGGTGGTGGCTGGGCAGAGGGGCTCCTCACTTCCTAGTAGGGGTGGCCGGGCAGAGGCGCCCCTCACCTCCCGGACGGGGCGGCTGGCCGGGCGGGGGGCTGACCCCCCCACCTCCCTCCCGGACGGGCTGGCTGGCCGGGCGGGGGCTGACCCCCCCACCTCCCTCCCGGACGGGGCGGCTGGCCGGGCGGGGTGTTGATCCCCCCACCTCCCTCCCGGACGGGGTGGCTGGCCCGGCAGAGGGGCTCCTCACTTCCCAGTAGGGGCGGCTGGGCAGAGGCGCCCCTCACCTCCCGGACGGGGCGGCTGGCTGGGCGGGGGGCTCACCCCACCTCCCTCCTGGACGGGGTGGCTGGCCGGGCGGGGGGCTGACCCCCCCACCTCCCTCCCGGACGGGGCGGCTGGCCGGGTGGGGGGCTGACTCCCCCACCTCCCTCCTGGACGGGGTGGCTGGCCAGGCAGAGGGGCTCCTCACTTCCCAGTAGGGGCGGCTGGGCAGAGGCGCCCCTCACCTCCCGGACAGGGTGGCTGGCCGGGCGGGGGGCTGACCGCCCCCACCTCCCTCCCGGACGGGGGGCTGACCCCCCCACCTCCCTCCCGGACGGGGCGGCTGGCCGGGCGGGGGGCTGACCCCCCCACCTCCCTCCCGGACGGGGCGGCTGCCGGGCGGAGACGCTCCTCACTTCCCAGACGGGGTGGCTGCCGGGCAGAGGGACTCCTCACTTCTCAGACGGGGCGGCTGCCGGGCGGAGGGGCTCCTCACTTCTCAGATGGGGCGGCTGGGCAGAGACGCTCCTCACCTCCCAGACGGGGTCGCGGCCGGGCAGAGGCGCTCCTCACATCCCAGACGGGGCGGCGGGGCAGAGGCGCTCCCCACATCTCAGACGATGGGCGGCCGGGCAGAGACGCTCCTCACTTCCCAGATGGGATGGCTGCCGGGAAGAGGCGCTCCTCACTTCCTAGATGGGATGGCGGCCGGTCAGAGACGCTCCTCACTTTCCAGACTGGGCAGCCAGGCAGAGGGGCTCCTCACATCCCAGACGATGGGCGGCCAGGCAGAGACGCTCCTCACTTCCCAGACGGGGTGGTGGCCGGGCAGAGGCTGCAATCTCGGCACTTTGGGAGGCCAAGGCAGGCGGCTGGGAGATGGAGGTTGTAGCGAGCTGAGATCACGCCACTGCACTCCAGCCTGGGCACCATTGAGCACTGAGTGAACCAGACTCCGTCTGCAATCCCGGCACCTCGGGAGGCCAAGGCTGGCGGATCACTCGCGGTTAGGAGCTGGAGACCAGCCCGGCCAACACAGCGAAACCCCGTCTCCACCAAAAAAGTACGAAAACCAGTCAGGCGTGGTGGCGCGTGCCTGCAATCGCAGGCACTCGGCAGGCTGAGGCAGGAGAATCAGGCAGGGAGGTTGCAGTGAGCCGAGATGGCAGCAGTACAGTCCAGCTTCGGCTCGGCATCAGAGGGAGACCGTGGAAAGAGAGGGAGAGGGAGACCGAGAGGGAGAGGGGAGAGGGGAGAGGGGAGAGGCAGAGGCAGAGGCAGAGGCAGGGGCAGGGGCAGGGGCAGGGGCAGGGGCAGGGGCAGGGGCAGGGCTGGTCTTAAAGGGAGAAGAGCCACATATTAACTCTTTTAATCCTAATAGCCCTTTGAGGTAGGTACCATATAATCATTCCCATTTTACAGATGGAGAAGTTGATTCCCAGAGACTTTGAATAACTTGCCCAAGGAAATGAATAAGGTTTGAACCCAGTCAGTCTGGCTTTAGGGCATGTATACTTAACTACCCAGCTGTATGTTTGCAGTAATATAAGCTTCATTTCCCCAGTGCTTTCTGTGTGCCAGTCCCCAAGCTAAGCTAACACCATACATCCTTACAACTAAGCTGCACTTTGGAGATGGAAAAGCTCAGACTCAAAGGGGCATGAGGGCCCGGGTGCGATGGCTCATGCCTGTAATCCCAGCACTTTGGAAGGCTGAGACAAGCAGATCACTTGAGGTCAGAAGTTCAAGACCAGCCTGCCCAACATAGTGAAATCCCATCTCTACTAAAAATATAAAAATAAGCCGGGCGTAGTGGCAGGTACCTGTAATCCCAGCTACTTAGAAGGCTGAGGCAGTAGGATCACTTCAGCCTGGGAGGCAGAGGTGTAGTAAGCCAAGATAGAGCTACTGCACTCCAGCATGAGTGACAGAGCAAGACTCAGTCTCAACAAAAAAACAAAACAAAACAAAAAACCGCAAAACAGGCTGGGCGCAGTGGCTCATGCCTGTAATTCCCAGCACTTTGGGAGGCTGAGGCGGGCGGATCACCTGAGGTTGGGAGTTTGAGACCAGCCTGATCAACATGGAGAAACCCTATCTCTACTAAAAATACAAAAATTAGCTGGGTGTGGTGGTGCATGCCTGTAATCCCAGCTACTCGGGAGGCTGAGGCAGGAGAATCGCTTGACCCTGGGAGGTGGAGGTTGCAGTGAGCTGAGATCACGCCATTGCACTCCAGCCTGGGCAACAAGAGCGAAACTCCGTCTCAGAAAACAAAACAAAACAAAAAAACCCAAAACAATCAAAGGAGCATGAGGAAGCTTTTGGGGATGATGGATACACTCATAATCTTTATTGTAAAGATAGTTTCACAGGTGTATGCAAATGTCAAAACTCATCAAATTGTACCCTTTGCAGTTTATTGTATGTCAATTCAATACAGCTGCTTAAAGAAACAACATTGATATATCACATTATACCATTAGATTGGCAAAAACTAGAAATCTGAGTAATGCTAAGTGTTAGCCAAAATGAGGTATATAGGGACCCTGATGGGAGTATAGATTAGTGCAGCCATTCTAGAAAGCAATCAGCCAGTACATAGTCAAATTAATTTTGACAATAGTTTCTGTGCCAATTATTCTGCTCCTAGGTTGATATTTAAAAAGAAGATAGCTGGTCCAAGTGCAGTGGTGTTTGCAACTAATTGATCACAACCAGTTACAGATTTCTTTGTTCCTTCTCTACTCCCACTGCTCCACTTGACTAGCCTTATTAAAAAAAAAAAAAAAAAAAAGAAGAGCCGGGCACGGTGGCTCACGCCTGTAATCCCAGCACTTTGAGAGGCCGAGGCAGGTGGATCACTTGAGGTTGGAAGTTCGAGACCAGCCTGGCCAACATGGGGAAACCCCTTCTCTACTAAAAATACAAAAAATTAGCCAGGCATAGTGGCACATGCTTGGAATCCCACCTACTGTGATGGCTGAGGCAGGAGAATCCCTTGAACCTGGGGGGCAGAGGTTGCAGTGAGCCAAGATCGCGCCATTGCACTCCAGCCTGGATGACGAGTGAAATGTCATCTCAAAAAAAAAAAAGAAGAAGAAGAATCTCATCATAATGAAACTGCACAAAATCAAGGGGGAGAGAGAAAATTTAAAAAAATAAAAGAGCCAGGTGCAGTGGCGCACCCTGTTGTCCCAGCTACATGGGAGGCTGAGGCAGGAGGATGGCTTGAGTCCAAGAGTTCTGGGCCATAGTGTGCTACGTCCATCAGGTGTCTGTTTGCACTAAATTCTGCATCAATATGGTGACCTCCTGGGAGCTGGGGGACCACCAGGTTGCCTAAGGAGAGGTGAACTAGCCCAGGTTGGGAACTGAGCAGGTCAAAACTCCTGTGCTGATCAGTAGTGGAATTGTGCCTGTGAATAGCCACTGCACTCCAGCCTGGACAATGTAGTAAGACCCTGTCTCCTAAAAAAAAAAAAAAAGAAAAGCAGGGGGCACGGGCATGATGGCCCATGCCTGTAATCCCAGCACTTTGGGAGGCCAAGGCAAGAGAATTGCTTACCTAATTGCTTACATGCCCTAAAGCCAGACTGCCTGGGTTCAAACCTTATTCATTTCCTTGGGCAAGTTATTCAAAGTCTCTGGGAATCAACTTCTCCATCTGTAAAATGGGAATGATTATATGGTACCTACCTCAAAGGGCTGTTAGGATTAAAAGAGTTAATATGTGTGAAAATATTTTTCTTCTTTTTCATAAGTAATTGAATGATTTTTGCTCCATTTTTTGAAATTTTGAAAATGTTCATTGCCTAGGAGTTCAAGACCAGCCTAAGCAATATGGGAGACCCCATCTCTATCCCTCCAAAAAAAAGATAAAAGAGAGGAGGACTTAAGCTACCCAGTTTCAAGACTGAGTTATAAGCACTGTAAAGCATGGTAATCAAAACTGTGCTATTAGAAAGATCTGTAGATCAATAGAATAGAGAGTTCAGGAACAGACTCACACATATGTGGTAAGTTGATTTTCAACAAAGATGTTAAGAAAGGGTAGTCTTTTCTAAAAATGGTGCAGAAACAATTAGATATCCATAAGGAAAAACAATTTCAATGCTTATATCATACTCATATAGTATATGATACCATAAAAATTAAATGGAAATGGATCATAGGCCTAATCGTAAAAGCTAAAACTTTTGCAAGAAAACAAGAGAAAAATCTTTGAGAACTTTGGGTAGAAAAAGCTTTCTTAGAAAAAAAAGAAAATTAACCTTAAAACAAAAACTTGAGCTGGGAGCAGTGGCTCACACCTGTAATCCCAGCACTTTGGGAGGCCAAGGCAGGTGGATCACAAGGTCAGGAGTTCGAGACCAGCCTGGCCAAAATGGTGAAACTCCATCTCTACCAAAAATACAAAAATTAGCCAGGCGTGGTGGTGCGCACCTGTAGTCCCAGCTACTGGGGAGGCTGAGGCAGAAAAATCGCTTGAACACAGGAGGTGGAGGTTGCAGTGAGCCAAGATCAAGCCACTGCACTCCAGCCTGGGTGACAGAGCAAGACCCTGTTTCAAAAAAGAAGAAGAAGGAGAAGGAGGAGAATAAGAGGAAGAGGAAGAGAAGAAGAAGAAGAAAGAAAGAAGAATAAGAAGAAAAAGAAGAAAGTTTGGGTAATTTGCTCAAAGTCACACAGCCAGTGGGTGGTGAAGCTAAGGTTTCAAACCTGGATTTGTCTGGATCTGGATCTGTCTGATCTCAGAGCCCAGTTTAGGAGAGCCCAATTTAATTGTGAGAAGGGGATTCCTTTTTTTTTTTTTTTTTGAGACAGTCTTGCTCTGTCGCCTAGGCTGGAGTGCAGTGGTGCAATCTTGGCTCACTGCAACCTCTGCCTCCCGGGTTCAAGCAATTCTCCTGCCTTAGCCTCCTGAGTAGCTGGGATTACAGGTGCCCGCCACCACGCCCAGCTAATTTTTGTGTTTTTAGTAGAGACGGGGTTTCACCATGTTGGTCAGGCTGGTCTCGAACCCCTGACCTTGTGGTCCGCCTGCCTCGGCCTCCCAAAGTGCTAGGATTACAGGCATGAGCCACCGCGCCCGGCGAAGGGGATTCCTTTTTATCTGTAGTCTTTATTTATATCTAATCTCATTTCTATAAACCACATAAGAACAACAAATTGTTATTATTTTTTTTTTTTGAGACAGAGTCTCGCTCTGTCGTCCAGGCTGGAGTGCAGTGGTGCGATCTTGGCTCACCACAAGCTCCACCTCTGGGGTTCACACCATTCTCCTGCCTCAGCCTCCCAAGTAGCTGGGACTACAGGCAACTGCCACCACGCCCGGCTAATTTTTTGTATTTTTAGTAGAGACGGGGTTTCACCGTGTTAGCCAGGATGGTCTCCATCTCCCGACCTCGTGATCCACCCGCCTCGGCCTCCCAAAGTGCTGGGATTACAGGTGTGAGCCACCACGCCCTACAATAAATTATTTTTAATGCATCATCTAATAGTGTATGCTTTTCACATAATTAGTGACAAATGTTTGCTTGAATAATACATGTGCAGTGTTTACAGGTATAGGAATTCCTTTCAGACCTTTAAAACAATCTTTTGAGATGATATAATCATTAAAAAACTTAAAGCTGAAAAACAAATGAAACTAAAGCTCAGAGCTGTTCAGTGGCTGTAAGATCACAAGATCACACTGTAAAAACAAGATGTGAACACAGGTTTTCTAATGTGAAGTACAGTGCTGGTACCAGCTCTACCACTTTCTAAAAGGATGACCTTGGGTATTAGGTAATTTAACCTCATACTCATTAGTAAGATGAGTATAATCAAAGCCTTCACTCCATAAGGAAATAGAGGCAATAATACTTATAAAGCATTTATTACAGTGCTTGGCACCTGATAAGCACTCAATAAATGTAAACTATTGATTAAGGGATTAAAGTTTTTTTATTTAAGTTGATTCCATTTGATTTAAGTTATCTGATATTCCATTTTATTCATGTATAAAAGGAAATAATAATATCCACTTAGCTAGGTTGTTTTGATGATTAAATGAATCAAAGCATTTAAAGCTTCTAGTAAACTGTTTAGCATATGGTAAATGGGAGGAAGGAACAGAGAGTGCCTTTTGACAAATAGCAAACCAAAGTCATAAATTTCCCCCAAAAAAATTACATGCCAGGTGAATGCTCAAGAAACGTTTGTTGAACGACAAATGAGCAGATGCCAGATGCCATCATTGCAATATATGGTGTAATAAATAAACTTATTTTTTTTCTTTTTTTGAGACAGAGTCTCACACTGTAGTCCAAGCTGGAGTGCACTGGCACAATCTCAGCTCACTGCAACCTGCGCCTCCCAGGTTCAAGCAATTCTCCTGCCTCAGCCACTGGAGTAGCTGGGATTACAGGCACACACCACCATGCCCAGCTAATTTTTGTATTTTTAGTAGAGACAGGGTTTCACCATGTTGGCCAGGCTGGTCTTAAGCTCTTGGCCTCGTGTGATCTGGCCGCCTCAGCCTTCCAAAGTATTGGGATTACAGGTGTGAGCCACTGTGTCCGGCCCTACTAAGTAAATTTCATTGTTCTTTCCTTCTTTTTTTTGGAACAGGATCTCTCTCTGCCACCCAGGCTGGAGTGCGGTGGTGGGATCTCGGCTCATTGCAGCCTCAACCTCCTAGGCTCAAGCAATCCTCCCACCTCAGCTTTCCAACTAACTGGGACTACAGGCGGATGCCACCATGCCCAGTTAACTTTTTAAGTATTTATAGAGACGGGGTTTTGTCATGTTGCCCAGGCTGGTCTCAAACTCCTGGGCTAAAGCACTCCACCCGCCTAAGCCTCTCAAAGTGCTGGGATTACAGGTGTGAGCCAGCACACTCAGCTAATTTTAGCTTTCTAAAACACATTGAGGGCTACGCGCGGTGGCTCACACCTGTAAACCCAGCACTTTGGGAGGCCAAGGTGGGTGGATCACCTGAGGTCGGGAGTTTGAGACCAGCCTGACCAACATGGAGAAACCCCGTCTCCACTAAAAATACAAAATTAAGCTGGGCGTGGTGGCGCATGCCTGTAATCCCAGCTACTTGGGAGGCTGAGGCAAGAGAATCACTTGAACCCAGGAGGCGGAGGTTGCAGTGAGCCGAGATCATGCCACTGCACTGCAGCCTAGGGGACAGAGCAAGACTCTGTCTCCAAAAAAATTAAATAAATAAGTAAAACATGTTGCACACCAGGTGTGGTGGCTCATGCCTGTAATCCCAGTGCTTTGTGAGGCTGAGGTAGGAGGACTGGTTAGGCCCAGGAGGTTGAGGCTGCAGTAAACCATTATTGTGCCATTGCACTCCAGCCTTGGTGACAGAGTGAGACCCTGTTTCAAAAAAAAAAAAAGGAAGAAGAGAAGAAATAACCTGAGTAGCCATATATCTCAGGAATGAAACGGTGGTTTAACATTTTAAATCTATCTATGTTATTCACCTCATTAACCAACTAAAAAACAAAGCAAAACTTATGATCATCTCAATAAGTACAGAAAAAAGCATTTGAGAAAATTCAACATTGATTCATGGTAAAAATTCTCAGCAAAGTAGGAAGAGAAGGAAACTTCTTTAGCCTGATAAAGAGTATTTAGAATAATACAGATAACATCATACTTAATGATGAAAGATTGAATGCGTTCCTCCTAATATCAAGAAGGTAAGGATATTTTGTTTAATGTTGTACTAGCAATTCTAGCTAGTGCAATAAGGCAAGAAAAAGAAATAAAAGGCATATAGATTTGAAAGGAATAGGTACAACTATATTTATTTGCAAAGAACAAGATTATCTTGGCCGGGTACAGTGGCTCATGCCTGTAATCCCAGCACTTTGGGAGGCCAAGGCTGGTGGATCACCTGAGGTCAGGAGTTCAAGACCAGCCTGATCAATATAGTGAAACCCCAAACCCCATCTGTACTAAAATTACAAAAATTAGGGGGCATGGTGGCACGTGCCTGTAGTCCCAGCTACTCTAGAGCTGAGGCAGGAGAATCGCTTGAACCCGGGAGGCGGCGGTTGCAGTGAGCCAAGATTGTGTCACTGCACTCCAGCCTGGGCGACAGAGCAAGACTCCATCTCAAAAAAGAAAAAAAAAAAGATTATCTCTGTAGAAAATGCTAAGGAATCTAAAAATAGCTATTAAAACTAAGTAAGTTGGCCAGACATGGTGGCTCATGCCTGTAATCCCAGCACTTTGAGAGGCCAAGGTAGGTGGATCACTGGAGGTCAGGAGTTCAAGACCAGCCTGGCCAACATGGTGAAAATCCTGTCTCTACTAAAAATACAAAAATTAATCAGGTGTGGTGGCACACACCTGTAATCCCAGCTACTCAGGAGGCTGAGGCAGGAGAATCACTTGAACCCAGGAGGCAGAGGTTGTGGTGAGCTGAGATGGTGCCACTGTTCTCCAGACAGGGAGACTCCATCTCAAAAAAACAAAAAAAAAATCAATTATAATCCTATACACTAGCAACACAAAATTGGAAACTAAAATTTTTTAAAAAAATAATGCCATTGACAATATTATATTTAAAATATCAAATACTTCAGGACAAATTTAACAAAAGACATATAAATGCTGTACACTAAAGTCTATAAATTGCTGAGAAAAATTAAATAAAATCTAAATAGATATTTCATGAATTGGAAGATTCAATATTGTTAAGATGTAAATTCTCAAGTTAAGCAATAGATCCTGTGCAATCCTATTAGGAAACTTTGCAGATCTTTAAAATTTCCAGGCTAGGCCGGGCATGGTGGCTCACGCCTGTAATCCCAGCACTTTGGGAGGCCAAGGCGGGTGGATCACAAGGTCAGGAGATCGAGACTGTCTTGGCTAACACAGTGAAACCCCATCTTTACTAAAAATACAAAAAATTAGCCGGGCATGGTGGCAGGTGCCTGTAGTCCCAGCTACTTGGGAGGCTGAGGCAGGAGAATGGCATGAACCCAGGAGGCGGAGCTTGCAGTGAGCCAAGATTGTGCCACTGCACTCCAGCCTGGCCTAAGAGCGAGACTCCCTCTAAAAAAAAAAAAAAAAAAAAAAAAATTCCAGACTAACCATCACCTGGGTCTTAAATTACAGAGATGGTAAAGCAGTAAGGATTAGGAGCAGGAAGTTCCAGGTGAGTCTGACCTGGATTTAATCCCAGCTCTGTCTCTTACTACCTGTGTCCTTGAGTAAGTTATTTAACCTCTCCTCTTGTAGGTTTCTCATCTTTTTTTTTTCTTTTCGAGACTCAGTCGCCCAGGCTGGAGTGCAGTGGCATGATCACAGTTCACTGCGGCCTCTACCTCCCAGGCCTAAGCAATCCTCTCATCTCAGCTTCCCAAGTAACTAGGACCACAGGCATGTGACACCATGCCCAGCTAACTAAAAAAGTTTTTCCTTGTAGCAACAAAGTCTCACTATGTTGCCCAGGCTGGTCTCAAACTCCTGGGCTCGAGTGATCCTCCCATCTTGGCCTCCCAAATTGCTGAGATTGCAGGCATGAACCACCATGTGTGGCCAACAACACAACTTTTTATTTTTATTTATTTATTGTATTATTATTATTATTTGAGACAGAGTCTTGCTCTGTCACCCAGGCTGGGGTGCAGTAGCGTGATCTTGGCTCACTGCAACCTTCACCTCCCAGGTTCAAGCAATTCTTCTGTGTCAGCCTTTCAAGTAACTGGGATTGCAGGCACCTGTCACTACGCCTGGCTAATTTTTGTATTTTTAGTAGAGATGGGGTTTCACCATGTTGGCCAGGCTGGTCTCAAACTCCTGACCACAGGTAGTCCACCCTCCTCGGTCTCCCAAAGTGCTGGAATTACAGGTGTGAGCCACCATGCCCAGCCAACACAATTTTTTTTTTTTGTTTTGTTTTGTTTTTTGAGATGGAGTTTCGCTCTTTTTGCCCGGGCTGGAGTGCAATGGCTCGATCTTGGCTCACTGCAACTGCCACCTCCCAGGTTCAAGTGATTCTCCTGCCTCAGCCTCCCAAATAGCTGGGATTACAGGTGTGTGCCACCACACCTGGCTAATTTTGTATTTTTTTTTTTAGTAGAGACTGGGTTTCACCATGTTGGCCAGGCTGGTCTTGAACTCCTGACTGCAGGTGATCTGTCCGCCTTGGCCTCCCAAAGTGCTGGGATTACAGGCGTGAGCCACTGGGCCCGGCCCCAACACAATTTTTTAAATGGCTCAAAAGTTTTGAATAGATGAAAGAGTATACAGGAATAGTCAACAAGCACATCAAAAGATGCTTGATGTCATAGTCATTAGAGATATGCAAATGAAATCCTCAAAGCTAAATCACTTCATACCCACTTGAATGACTAAAGTTAATATCACAGGGTGTGGCGGGGCGTGGTGGCTCACGCCTGTAATCCCAGCACTTTGGGAGGCCAAGGCGGGCAGATCACAAGGTCAGGAGTTTGAGACCAGCTTGGCTAATATGGTGAAACCCCATCTCTACTCAAAATACAAAAATTAGCTGGGCACGGTGGTGCATGCCTGTAATCCCAGCTGCTTGGGAGGCTGAGGTGGAAGAATCACTTGAACCTGGGAGGTGGAGGTTGCAGTGAGCCAAGATCGTGCCACTGCACTCCAGCCTGGGTGACAGAGCAAGACTCCATCTTAAAAAAAAAAAAATCACTGGCATGGTGGCTCACACCTGTAATCCCAGCACTTTGGGAGGCCGAGGCAGGTGGATCACCTGAGTTCAGGAGTTCAAGACCAGCCTGGCCAACAGGGAGAAACCCTGTCTTTACTGAAAATACAAAACAATTGGCAGGGTATGGTGGTGCACACCTGTAATCCCAGCTACTCAGGAGGCTGGGGCAGGAGATTTGCTTGACCCTGAGAGGCGGAGTTGCAGTGAGCCGAGATCGCGCCACTGCACTGCAGCCTGAGCAACAAGATCAAAAGCTCTGTCTCAAAAAAAAAAAAAAAAAGATTAATAATACCAAAGGCTGGCAAGGGTATGAAGCAACAGGAACTGTAATACATTCCTGGTGGGAGTGTAAAATGGCACAACTGTTTTGGAAAACAATTTAGTAATTTTTTTTTTCTTTTTGAGACGGGTCTCACTCTGTCAGCCAGGCTGGAGTGCAGTGGTGTGATTATGGCTCACTGCAGTCTTGACCTGCTGGGCTCAAGCAATTCTCCCACCTCAGCCCCCTGAGTAGTAGGGACTAGAGGTTCGTCACCATGCCTGGCTAATTTTTTTTTTTGATAGAAATGGGGTTTTACCATGTTGCCAAGGCTTGTCTCAACTCCTGAGCTCAAGCAATCCATCCACCTTGGCCTCCCAAAGTGCTGGATTATAGGGGTGAGCCACCACACCCAGCCTAGTAACTTTTTATATAATTAAACATTCACCTATCCTGTGACACAGCAATACCACTTCTATTTACCCAAGAGAAATATAAACGTGTGTCCACACAAAGATTCGTACATAAATGTTTATATTAGCCAAAAACAAGGGGATAAAAAGAATGTCCATCAACAGATGAATGAATTAAACTATGGCATTTTCATTCAATAGAATACCACTTCAGCAACAACAGAGAATGAGCTACTGACATACAGCAAGATTGGTGAATCTTGACGGATGCTATGTTGAATGGGAAAAGTCAGACACAAAAAGTATACACTGGACGATTCAATTTTTATTGAGTTCTAGAACAGGCAAAACTAACTTATGGTGACAAAAATCAGAACAGTGATTGCCTCTGGCTCTGAAGGAATTGAGAGGGGATGCAGGGAATGCTCTGTGTAATGAAAACGTTCTATACCTTGAGAGTGGTGTGGGTTTCATAGGTGTATCAGTTTGTCCAAACTCATTCAATTGTACATTTAAAATCTATGCATTTTATTATTGTTATTATTTTTTATTTTTTAATTTACTTATTTATTATTATTATTTTTTCAGACAGAGTTTTGCTCTTGTTGCCCAGGCTGGAGTGCAATGGCATAATCTTGGCTCACCACAACATCCACTTCCAGGTTCAAGCGATTCTCCTGCCTCAGCCTCCTAAGTAGCTGGGATTACAGGCATGCGCCACCACGCCTGGCTAATTTTGTATTTTCAGTAGAGATGGGGTTTCTGAGGCTGGTCTCGAACTCCCGACCTCAGGTGATCTGCCCACCTCGGCCTCCCAAAGTGCTGGGATTACAGGCTTAAGCCACCACGCCTGGCCAATCTATGCATTTTGTTGTATGTAAATTAAACCTCAGTATTGTTGATATAAATACACACGTGGAGCTCCCTCATGGTCTGTCAGCCTGCAGTCAGCAAGATAACCCCTTCTCCCTGAATCATGGGTGATTAACAACCCCAGTCAATCTACAGGCAGCTCATCAGCACCCCCAGGAGGTGAGCTGGTAGCTCACACTCATCTCCCTGGCAGAGGCCCTCAATGTGACCTCAACCAATGACCATTCCCAGGCCTTATAGAATGCTGATCTTGTTGGTCTCAGCCAACAGAAGGAACTTGACCCCTGAGAAGGCTCCTTTATCAAGACACAAAGTGGCCAACTTTGCAGTCAGAGACTTGGGGGTCCAATTCCAGCATCAGGCTTCCTTCAGCACTGTGTGACCTTGGCTAAATCGATTAACCTCTCTGAAATTCAATGCTCCAGAAAGTCAAGAAGCCAATTGCTCTCATTTTAGTATCTTCCGTGTCTGGAACATAAGTTTTTAATTTTTGTGTTTTTTAAATTTAATTTAATTTTTTTTTTTAATGCCTAGTCTCTCTCTGTCACCCAGGCTGAAGTGCAGTGGCACAATCACAGCTCACTGCAGCGTCAACTTCCCTGGCTCCAGGGATCCTCCCACCTCAGCTTTTCTCAGCTTTCCAAATAGCTAGGACCACAGTCACACCCCACCATGCCTGACTAATATTTTTGTATTTTTGGTATAGAGGGGGTTTCACCATGTTGCCCAGGCTGGTCTCAAACTCCTGGGCTCAAGCAATCCACCCACCTTGGCCTTCCAAAGTGTTGGGGTTACAGGTGTGAGCCACCGTGCCCAGCCTGGAACGTTAAGTCTACTGAAAGAACTATCGCACAGTGCTGTGGCAGGACTGCTGTTCTACATGCTTGAAAAGTAAAAGTGTTATCTGCTCCCCTGGATAAAATGTTTCTTAACATCTAGGAGATCTTGAATTCCTTTGAGAATCTGATGACAAACCCTGTACCCTCTCCTCCCAGGAAGATATACAGGTCATTTTACATATATCCCCATGCCTGGGATGCCATGGGCCCTGAATTAAGATCCCTTGGTTCTGGAGCATCTCACTTAGGCCTGAAGGTTCTATCAAGCATTCTTGCAATTCAGCCATCATTTGTTCTGGATCGGATTCCTGCCAGAGCCTTTATCCTCATTGTTTCTTTTTATCTCCTCCATGACTCTCTGATGATGGTCTGCAGATGAGGGAAATAAGACTTAGGCCAAGTGACTTGCCCAAGATCATATAGTTAGTGATGGCTGCTGTTGAGATTTGACCTCATTTGTGTCTTCTGATTCCAACCCCCACTCACAGAAGCCCACAAAGGACCCAGTAGCTGAAAAGCTTCCTAACGACTGCAGGAATGACTTTGCCCAAGTCCAGGTCTGGAAAGAAGATTCTGCAACGGATGAGTGACCCCAGGCCCATCCTAAGTGCAGGCCTCATGCCCAGCTCCAACATGTGTCATCACCCCTCGGTTTCTCAACTCAGCCCACAGCGGGCGGGGGTGGTGGGGAGCAGAAGAAGGGAAGAGAAACAGAGGAAATTATAAAAAGAAGTCTCAGACTGAGTCATAAACATGAGTTATAACTCAGAGAGAGGTTCTGGAAAGAGAGTAAAGGTCATAATGAAAGGGCTCCCTCTTTTCATGGGGCAAGGATGCTTAAATGAGCTGACCTGTCCAGGTTCTGGATATGATTCCTTCTACTTAAACCGGTGAGAAGGCCAGGCGTATTGGCTCAGACCTGTAATCGCAAGGTTTTGGGAGGCTGAGGCAGGAGGATCAGTTGAACCCAGGAGTTCAAGACCAGTCCAGGCAACATGGTGAGAACCCAGCTCTACAAAAAAATAAAATAATAAAATATAAAATAAAAATTAGCCAGGCATGTTAGTCCGTGCCTGTGGTCTAAGCTACTGAGGAGGCTGAAGTGGGAGGATTGCTTGAACCTGGGAGGTCGAGGTTACAGTGAGCCATGATCATACCACTGCACTCCAGCCTGGGTGACAAGGCAGAGTAAGACTCTGTCTCTAAAAAATAAATAAATGAATCATATGAGTAAATCAAGGTAGAGAGATTAAATGGCTTGCCCAAGATCCACAAGCAAGTGGTCAAAGTTGGATTGTAAGCCAGGGTTGTTTGTCCCTCAAGAAAAAAAGTTTAACAAAACCAGGACAGCTTAATCCCAGGTCTGCACTTAACCACACTACTCTAGCCTGCTTCCCACGTCCTCATGTTGTTTGCTTATAACTGAGCAGCTCCGTACACACTTCACACGCTCTCTCCTCTTTATTATTTATTTATTTATTTATTTTTTCTGAGACAGTTTCACTCTTGTTGCCCAGACTGGAGTGCAGTGGTGCAATCTTGGCTCACTGCAACCTCTGCTTCCCAGGTTCAAGCGATTCTCCCGCCTCAGCCTCCCAAGAAACTGGGATTACAGGCATGCGCCACCATGCCCAGCTAACTTTGTATTTTTAGTAGAGATGGGGTTTCGCCATGTTGGCCAGGCTGGTTTCGAACCCCTGACCACAGGTGATCCACCCGCCTCAGCCTCCCAAAGTGCTGGGATTACAGGCGCGAGCCACTGTGCCCGGCTATTATTTTATTATTTTATTTTGAGACAGAGTCTCACTCTGTCACCCAGGCTAGAGTGCAGTGGCACGATCTCGGCTCACTGCCGTCTCTGCATCTCAGGTTCAAGTGATTCTCGTGTCTCAGCCTCCCAAGTAGCTGGAATACAGGCACTTGCCACCACGCCTGGCTAATTATTTATTCATTTTTTGTATTTTTAGAATAGATGGGGTTTCGCCATGTTGGCCAGGCTGGTCTCAAACTCCTGGCCTCAAATGATCCGCCAGTCTCAGCCTCCCAAAGTACTGGGAATACAGGTATGAGCCACCATGCCCGGCCAACACTCTCTCCTTTAATGCTCACTATCGCTCTGTTTGACAGTTGAAATGTCAGAATAGTGAAGCAACTTGCCCAAGGTCACATGGCAGGTCAGCATTAGGGCTGGGATATGATCTCGGGTCTGTCTAGCTCTGCCTGTTCCCATTACCCACTGCTGCCTTCACAGATGAGTGGGGCAGGAGCTGAGGCGGGAGGGAAAAGGTGGGGACCACTGCAAAGGCCCTGGGAAATGATGGCCCACGAGGGCCTCCTGCTCACTTCTCTGGGTCTTTCCCTCTCCTTGGAGTAGCCTTAGTACCACTCCTTTGCCTGCCACCTGCAACTACCTCCACTGGGGGTGGGGTGCTCATGTAGATCTCTCTCCTGCTTCTGTTGAATCATTTCTCCCTTGGGTCCCCAGGAGTTAGTGGGAACCCCCCACAAGAAGTGGAAGCTACTCAGAAGCCCTCAGTTCAAAGTGGAGGAACTTTCCAACTGTGTGGGGGATTGCCTTGTGATGTGGTGGATTCTCCATCACTGGTGGTATTCGAACAGAAATTGGAAACCATCTGTGGGAGATTCCTATAGTGGGTGGAGGTTGAGTCAAGGCCTTTAGAGCCCTTCTGACTGTGAGATTTTTTGAGTCACTGTGGGAAGATATTTAGCCTGTGCACCAGGGTTGGTTGAATAGTAGGACACACATGAGCTTGGAGCCAGATAGGCCTGGGTTCAAAACCTGGCTGAACCACTTCCTTGCTTGGAGATTGTGGGCAAGTGTCCTCCCTTAGCCTCAGTTTCCTTGTTATAAAATGGAAATTGTAGGCCAAGTGCAGTGGCTCACGCCTGTAATCCCAGCACTTTGGGAGGCTGAGGCGGGTGGATCACGAGGTCAGGAGTTCAAGACCAGCCTGGCCAACATAGTGAAACCCCATCTCTACTAAAAATACAAAAATTAGCCGGGCGTGGTGGCGTGCACCTGTAGTCCCAGCTACTCGGGAGGCTGAGGCAGGAGAATCATTTGAACCTGGGAGGTGGAGGTTGCAGTGACCCGAGACTGTCCCATTGCACTCCAGCCTGAGTGACCAAGCGAGACTCCATCTCAAAAAAAAAAAAAAAATAAATAATGGAAATTGTAATACCTCCCTCATTAGATTGCTTTTCATATTAGGGATGATGTGTATACTCTGCCTGGTTAAAGAAGGAACTCAAGACCTTGTGCCTACCACGGCCAATGAACAAATGACCAATCATGGGTCGGCGTGTTCTTTGTGGCCTTTCATTACGGGGTGAGTGAGTGAATTAAATCCATGTGTTAACCAAGGTGCTAACTGGTTGAATTATTTAACATATGTAGGAAACCAGTCTTTTCTCTGTGGGGGCCTGTCTCTGAAATAATCATGGAAAACATGATACATAAGTGGGTAAAATGCAAAAAATGCTCAGGGATTTTGATGTCTGCATCAACAATTGAGAATCTGAGTCTCTGACCCAAAGGGGACATGTGAGATCATCTAAACTGTCCCCTATGGGAAGAGGAATCTCCTCTAAGACCTCAACACGTCATTAGTGCGCTGTGTATGCAGCACAGGGGATGGGAATGCTCTACCTTCTGAGAATGTCTGCAGGAAACTCCCCAAATTCCCCATCTTGTTTTTTACAGCTTGCCAGCTGGGAAATAGAACTTTCCTACTGTGTCCTCCAATTGACACCAGACCCCAATGTTATGGGACCTTTATGATCACCTGGCTGGCTGAGGGGAAGGGTGGTCACCAGACAGATCTGTGGCACGTGTGACTAGGTCTTGGGCATTTTCAGAAGCAGAGAGGCTGGACAGCACACTGGTGAAGTGTGAGTTTCAGAAACATAGAGATCTCAATTTGAGTCCTGCTCTGCCTCTTAGCTGGGTCCTCGGGCAAGTCATTTAATTTCCAATCCTCAATTTTCTTGTGTGTGAAATTATCACATCTCCCTCATAATGAGGATCAAATGAAATAAAGTAAGGGAAGCACTTGGTGCCCAGCACTCCCATCACGAGCATTTGATTGATAGATGGGAGCCACTATTTTATGGGAGGGGACATTCTGCAGGGTGAGTGCTCAGGGGTTGTTATTTGGGCATTAAAGGGAAGAGTGGCCAGCCTGGGCAACATAGCGAGAACCCGTTTCTACAAAATAAAATAAAATAAATTAGCCAGCTATGGTGGTGCACACCTGTAGTCCCAGCTTGTTAGGCTGAGGTGGGAGGATCACTTGAGCCTTGTAAAGCAGAGGTTGCAGCAAGCTTGGGTGACAGAACAAGACTCTCAGAAAAAAGGAAGAGTGACTGTGGAACTTGGGGACATGAGGATTGATCATTTGTTGTCCCAAGCTGGGTTATTGCTATTCGTGTTTTTTTTTTTTCACTTATTTAAAATATTTCCTGGGAGCATAGATTCAAGTTGCCTTGAATATACACTCTCATTAGTGGGTTTAAAAACATTTTTACTTTTTTTTTCTTTAAATAGAAACGGGTCTTGGGTCTCACTACATTGCCCAGGATGGTCACAAACTCCTGGCCTCAAACGACCCTCCTGCTTTGGCCTCCCAAAGTGCTGGGACTATAAGCGTGATCCACCATGCCCAGCCTATTAATGGGTTTTGTCCAGGCAGTCAGCACTCAGAGAGGAAAGTTCCTACTGGAGGTGCTGGTGGCTGGGAACTGCGTTTCTGGAGTCCAGTGAGTCCCTGGGGGGCTGTCCCGACCTGTGAAAACTATAATGAGCCTAATTGCAAAGCTTTTTACCTTCCTAAACACATTCATATTCACACACTCATTTGATCTTCAGGTGATGCTGTGAGGTGGGCAAGAATTATCCCCATTTAGCAAGTGCGGAAACTGAAGCCCACAGAGGTGAAGTATTAGGGTTTTGGGGTTTGGCTGCTGAGAAACCTATGGACTCCCACCCCACCCACCCATCCACCATTTCCTGGTTCTTGGATCTTCCTTCTGGTGCCTGGGGCAAGACACTAACAGCTCAATGCCTCAGAGCACCAGCTTCCCTTCCACCCCAGATGCCTTTCCAGGCTCCAGCTCTATGCTTCCCCCAGCACCATCAAGTCTGCTCTCTCGTTCACTCACCCATTCAACAAACACTAGCTGAGGACCAAAAAACTGTGTGCCAGGTGCACAGGATATGGAATGAACAAAGCACAGCCCACACCCTCAGGTTCACAGACTAGTGGGGAGAAAACACATCATCAGCTGTTTCCAAAAGTGTGGTATACGCAGAAATGGGGCACAGAGCGGGGTCTGAGGACCCCAAAGGAAGGTCACCAAACAGTTTGTGGTGTCCTAGTTGGCTTCCTGGAGGTGTCATTTGAATTTTCCTAAAGGATGGGAAATTAGCAGGGCACACGTGGCAGCAGAATCCAGTGGAGGCAGAAGCACGGCAGGTTTGGGTCTTGTGAGCAGTTTGGGGACAAGTTACAGAGTTGACACTGGGATCTTGGTGGGGGCCAGATCACACAGGACACTGAATTCAAGCGAGGATGCCTCAGCAATATCTTGTAGACAGTGACGAGTCACTTCAGGGCAGATGCTGGGTCAGATTTGTGATTGTAAATGGAGGATGTTGGGGACACAAAAGTCTGGAGAGATTTAGTAGGCTACTGGAAGAACAAAAATATGAGAAGGGCAGGGAGGATGGAGAGGAGGGGATGGATCCTCCAAATATTTAGGAAACAGAATTGATGGTGGCAGGATGCAGAAGTGGGGGGAAGGAGGCAGGGTGATGCTCAGGATTCCAGCTGGGTGATGGGGTCCAGGGGAGACAACCCTGGATGATGGGTGGGACAGGAAATGTTGGTTCCAAGATGGGGAAACCAAGTCTCCAAGAAGTGAAACACACAGGACATGGGTTGGGGCTAAGTACCACATAAGTGTCACTGGTTGCAAAGGAGGGCTTCCTAGCCCATGGGGCCCCAACAGCACCCTCCTTGCTCCTGTGGGGAGGCTGCCGGGCTTAGAATCCGTACACTTAGGCCAGCCCCAAAACTTAGCTGCTGTTATCAGAATCTCCTTCCATCATAACAGGACTTATTCACTTCTAAGGCCCTAGCTTTCTAAAATCTGTAAAGTGGGGCGGCCGAGACATAATGGAAACCAAGGCCTGGTTCATAAGGCTTGGAATCTTGCCAGACTGGGGGTGGGGGGGTCCTCTGGCTGTCATCCCTGAGTGTCCCTTGCTGGTGCTCCAGGGCTCAGCACAGGCATCCCCCCACCCCCTCATCTTTGCTCAGGCCCTAGAACAGCACTTCTCAAACTTTAATATGCACAGAAATCACATGTAGACCTTGTTATAAGATAGATTCCTATTAACCAGGTCTGGGGACAGGCCTGAGATTCAGCACTTCTACCCAGCTCCCAGATGATGCTGATGCTACTGGTATGTGGACCACACTCTCAGAAGCCCCGTCTCTTGGCTTTGCAAACTTTCTCCAAGCTAATGACTTCCAAATTTATCTTTCCAGTTCAGATCTCTCCCTAGAACTTCAACTTCTAATTACAACTCTTATTTGACATCTCCATTTGGATATTTTTATTTATATTTATTTATTTATTTTTTGAGATGGAGTCTCGCTCTCTCACCCAGGCTGGAGTGCAGTGGCACGATCTCGGCTCACTGTGAGCTCCATTTTCTGGGTTCATGCCATTCTCCTGCCTCAGCCTCCTGAGTAGCTGGGACTACAGGTGCCCGCCACTAGGCCCGGCTAATTTTTTGTATTTTTAGTAGAGACAGGGTTTCACCATGTTAGCCAGGATTGTCTCGATCTCCTGACCTCCTGATCCGCCCGCCTCGGCCTCCCAAAGTGCTGGGATTACAGGCATGAGCCACTGCGCCCGGCATAATTTTCTATTATTTTTAGTAGAGACGGGGTTTCTCCATGTTGGTCAGGCTGGTTTCGAACTCTCAACCTCAGGTGATCCACCTGCCTCGGCCTCCCAAAGTGCTGGGATTACAGGCGTGAGCCACCATGCCCAGCCATTTGGATACTTAAAAGTTACCTCCCACAGAGCTCTAAAAATTTTCCTCAAACCTATTTCTCTCCAATGCTTCCCCCAAAACTCTTTCCCCAAAAATCTAGAAGATATCCTTGAATCTTCTGTTTCCCTTATCCTCTGCATGCAAACTGCCAGCAAGTGCTGTCTACTTTACCTCCAAAGCATATCCTGACCCCATCTACTCCATCCCAATCTCCATCCCACCACCCTAGTCCAAGCCACCTCATCTCTTGCCTGGGCTACTGCAGTAGCCACCAACCTGGTCACCTTGCTTCCCTCCTGCCTCCCCACCTCACTGTCCAAATTCTCTACAGAGCAATCGGAGTGATCTTTTATTTTTTTGAGACAGTCTCGCTCTGTCGCCTGGGCTGGAGTGCAGTGGTGCGATCGCGGCTCACTGCAACCTCTGTCTCCCAGATTCAAGCAATTCTCATGCCTCAGCCTTGCGAGCTGATGGGTGGGAGCATGCGCCACCACACCCAGCTAATTTTTGTATTTCTAGTAGAGAGAGTTTCGCCATGTTGGCCAGGCTGGTCTTGAACTCCTGACCTCAAGTGATCTGCCTGCCTCGGCCTCCCAAAGTGGTGGGATAACAGGCGTGAACCACTGCACCTGGCCCAGAGTGATCTCTTAAAAATGTGAATCAAATCATGATCAAATCATGTCACTTTCCTGCTCAAATTATTTTAGGAGCTTGCGCCTCACTCAGAATTAAATGCACGCCTAATCCTGGCTTACAGTGCCTAGCATAACTGGCCTCTGCCTCCTTTCCAGCCTCATCTTGGGCAAACGCCTGGCTCTGGGGTCACAGCTACATCAGCCTCCTCTCATCCCTGAGCACACCGAGCCTGTTTCCCCCTCATGGCCTTTGTCCTGACTGCCCTCTGCCTACCAGTCTTGGCTGACCCCTTCTCACCATTCAGATCTCAGCTCCTGGGTTACCTCCCCAGAATGGCCTTCCCTGATTACCCAATATCTCACCCCAGTTTAATTCTGTATGTGTCTTATCAGTAGCTGACCATGGCTTGTTAAGTGTCCGTTTCCCCTACTGGGAAGTAAGACCCCTGGACACAATGACCTTGTTCTTTACCTGGTTCACCAGCATCCAGAACAGGGCCAGAATGAGTGCTCAGAAAATACTGCATGAGAAAATGTCATTCCCCAACTTGAGCCTGTTTCCCCATCTATAAAACAGGGATAATACAGAGCATCTACCTCACAGGGTTAAGATTAAATGAGATATTCATGTGAGGCCCAGGCATAGTGCCTGGCACTTGGTCACCATTGGCTAATAATACTGTTATCAATACCATAATGGAATCCCCTGGCAGGAACACGTGGGCCAGGCCAGCGGGATTCCCACACACTCCCCAGATGACCTGGTTCCAAGCAGCTGGGCTAACTGGCCCTGGCCCATTTTCTGTCACTGCCAATGTCTTCAACATCCGATAGCAGAGAGAGGGTAAATTCAGGGATGAAGAGTGCAGGAGAGCGTGCTTCAACTCAACAGTTTATTAGAAAGGCCATGGACAGATGAACCCTGAGTAACCAGCTGAGGAAGAAATGAAAAAAGACCCTGTCCCTCATGGCCCGCCCACTGGCCTCCTGTGAACTCTGTCCTGTTGCCAACCCCAGATGAAGTCAGCCAAAAAGTGCTTTCCACATCCTCTCTCTGGGGCTGCCCAGCCTGACCGCAGGGGATCCACTGGCAGAGCCAAGGTGGATGCTGGTGCCTGAAGCTGGAAGCCAGCAGGACATGAGACCCCTCCTGTAGCAGGAAGTGGTTCTAGAACTCCCAGCAGAACAGAACGGAAAAGGAGCTGATTGGGGATAGAATGAGTTCTGCTAAACAGCCAGATGCTCTGAGAGAGGTGACACTGGACTGTCTCGGAGGTGTGTGCAGATGGCTACAGGTGGCCAATCGTGGGGGTCCCCAGGGTGGGATCCCAAAGCTGCTCTAAAGAGTCTCAGAGAGCCCCAGCGTGACTCAGTTCCCCTCCTGGGGCCGCAATGGCTGTTTCTGCTCCCAGAAAGGCAAATGGATCTTGTAAAAATCCATGGTGGTTGATGCCATTTTTTTCATAAAAAAAAGTTTATACAGTGAATCGCTTTCCACCAGCAGAGCCTGAGCCGAGAAGAGTCCATCCTGGGGAAGGAGAAGGCACTTCTCACACCCTCATTAGGGGTGTTCTGGGCTGGCAGCTTCCCCGGCCCCTCGGGTTCCAGCTCCCTCTGGCCCTGTGGTTCCGGCCTGCTCCCTCTGGGAAGCATGCTGACTGTGTCAAGCTAGCACCGCCCTGTGGCCCGAATGCCCTGGTGCCTCACAGGGTGGTGGATGGCAACTTCCTCACTCGCCGCTGGGCCAGGATGGATGACTCGATGGGCTTCAGCTGGGGGGTGGGCTTGGAGCTGTTGAGTGCGGAGTACGTGGCAGCCATGGCTCCCTGAAAGAGAAGTGGGGAGGTCAGGTCACAATGGTGGGAGATGTAGCGGGGAGGGGATCCATGCCCCAAGGGTAGGCCAGCCCCTCTCAGTGTTCCACAGCCCACTTTTTTTGGTTTTGTTTTTGTTGTTTTTTTTTTTTTGAGATACAGTCTCACTCTGTCACCCAGGCTGGAACGCAATGGCACAATCTTGGCTCACTGCAACCTCTGCCCCCAGGGTTCAAGCGATTCTCCTGTCTCAGCCTCCCAAATGGCTGGGATTACAGGCGCTTGCCACCACACCTGGCTAATTTTTGTATTTTTAGTAGAGATGGGGTTTCACCATCTTGGTCAGGCTGGTCTTGAACTCCTGACCTCGTGATCCACCCACCTCAGCCTCCCAAAGTGCTGGGATTACAGGTGTGAGCCACCGCGCCCAGCCTAGCCCACTGTTAATCCAGCCTCAGTGGTCCTTTATGGTCATGGGTCCTGCCTCCCCCATCAGACTGGAGGGTTCAGAGGTCAGCAGCTGTGCCTTCCAGAGGATTGGGGGCTGTGAGTGCACCGTGACACTGTAGCATGTTAGGCTCCCTGACGGCAGGGCTGTGTCTTCTTCTCCTATGTTCCACCTCATGGTGCTTGGTACAGACATGGCATTGCCTGGCTCTTCCACAAGTCCCTGACCATGCCACCTTGGGCTGACCCCCCAGATGCCCAGCAGCCCAAGGGTGGCCATACCTTCACAAGCTGTAGGTCCTGGTGGGACAGCTGGCTTTGGGGAAGCTTGTCTTTCTGGGTGACCCATGGATGCTGCAGAACCTGCTTAGCTGTGAGGCGCTGGTGGGGATCCACGTGTAGCATCTTGGACACCAGGTCCTGGGGACACAGTGGGCAAGGGGGTTGGGGGAGGGCTGCAGGGGAGCAGGCCCCTGATGGGGCACAGGAGGGCAACCATCTCCTGCTAGCTCCCGCCTGAACCCTTGCGGCAGCCCCTGGGATCCATTCTCCACTCTGCTCCAGGGCTCCCCGCACACAGCCAAGGTTCCTGTCGCTGGGCCTTTGCTGCTCTAGGCCCTTCGTCCTGGAACACCCTTCCATTTCTCCTTTGCCTTCAAAAAGCCATGTGGGAAGGTGGGAAAAGCCTCAGGTTTGGGCTCAGACAGATTCAGGTTCAAAACTTGCCTTCTGCACTCATCAAATGAGTGCCCTGGGCAAGTTCCTTCAACTCTCTGAGCCTCAGTTTCCCTGCTGAGAAATAGGAATAACCACTCCCTGCCTCACAGGTTGATGTGAGGTGGCCGGCCGTACATAGAGGGTTCAACTCTGTCTGGCATACAGGTTCCCAATGACCAAAAACTGTTGCTAATACTGAAAGCTCACATGCTACTTCCTCCGAGGAGGCTCTGCTTGGCATGGCCAGTTGCTCTGCTCTGTGTCTCCACGGTCCACACCCCTGGCCAAGAGCGTCCGCCTATCTGTGCCTCCAGGCATCTCTGCCCCTTGTGTGCAAACCTGTATCCCTCACTACACTACGTTTCCACAAAGCCGGGACTGTGATGATGCAGCCCTCAGTGCCCCACAGGGTCCAGAATGAGAAGGGCCAATGAATGATCACCAGGTTACCCCAACAAGGTACGGAGGTGGTGGTGGTCTGCCTGGGAATCTTCCGCTTGGAGAAATACAGCAACAGGGATTTGTGGAACATCCGCTTGGAGAAATGAGGCTGTTCATGAACTGCTGAAAAGCCCTAGGATGGGACCCTGCCTCCCTCCTCCAAATAAGCCCACGCAGGCCGTACAGACTCACCTTGGCTGTCTCTGAAACTGTGTTCCAATTTCCCCCACTGAGGGTAAACTTCCCACTGCCGATCCGGGTTAGGATTTCCTCTGGTGTGTCACTGGGACCGTTGGCAAATGGAGTATATCTGCAGAAAAGCCCGCACGGTCTGGGTACAGACTCTGGCCTCCATACTGGGGCTGGGGCTGCGGTGGGAGACTGTGTCTCCCCCTCAGATGGGGTACTCCCAAGGTAGAGCTCCTGGAGGCAGGAGCATGTCCCTATTTCCAGACCATCCTGGGGCGGGGCTGGCTGAGCCATTCCTATCAGACAAGCACCACTCAGCCCAAGTGCTAGGGCTGCAGGAGTGGGGAAGGGTCCAGGCCAGGGGCACTCACCCTGCCAGCATGGTGTACAGCAGAATGCCCAGGCTCCAGATGTCGCAGCCTTCATCGTAGCCCTGGCGCTTCAGCACCTGGCAACAGGGCAGGGGAGGTGGTCAGTCTGGGGGGGCAGTAGAAAGTCGCCACAGATGTTTCCTGCTACTCCCCTCAAGGGCAGGACAAGGGTCCCAGGCACAGGCTAGATCTTCCCTTGCCAGCTGGGCCAAGGTCACAGAGACTGGAGTCCCGGCTAATGTGGGGCCTCTGGGAGGGGGCACAAGGCCTCCAATTCCCCCTCACTCTTACAGCTGAGGAGGCTGGGCCACTCACCTCAGGCGCCACAAAGTTGGCTGTGTAGCAAGGTGTCATGAGGAGCCCATTCTCAGCCCGCAGCTGTTTGGCAAAACCAAAGTCACAGATGCGCAGGCACTCGGGATTCCCGGACTCGTCCACATACAGGATGTTGCTGGGCTTCAGGTCCCTGTGCACAACCTAGGGGCAGGGGGCTGGGGTCAGTTCTCAGTGTGGGGAGGTGGCTAGTGGCCCAGGTCAGCGGCCAGAGATTAGAAAGCTACACAGACAGGGTGCAGAGGGACGGGTGCATGGACTTGGCATCCGAGAGAAGGGGAAGGGGCTGAAATGATGGTCTTATTGCTGCTGCTACTGACTCTGTGTAGGTGTCTACAGGTAGCTCTAAGTTAACCTGTCAAAACTGAACTCTCAATTCTCCCCTAAAACCTACTCATCACATAATCTTACCTTGTGGCAACTCCATCCTTCCTGTTACTTAGGTCAAAATCTTAAAAGTCTTTTTTTTTTGAGATGGAGTCTTCCTCTGTCACCCAGGCTGGAGTGCAGTGGCACGACCTCAGATCACTGCAGCCTCCGCCTCCCGGGTTCAAGCAATTCTCCTGCCTCAGCTCCCAAGTAGCTGGGATTACAGGCACCCGCCGCCATGGCTGGCTGATTTTTGTATTTTTAGTAGAGATGGGGTTTCACCATGTTGGTCAGGCTGGTCTCAAACTCCTGACCTCAAGTGATCTGCCTGCCTCGGCCTCCCAAAGTGCTGGGATTACAGGCGTGAGCCACCACGCCTGGCCCTATTTTCCTTATCTTTAAAATCAAAGAATACACTGCTTTACTTTTATCTGTAGCACTTCCCACTACTTAACATAATATTTAATTTGTTTTCTGAGTCTGCCCACCGGCATGTAAGCTCCCTGAGTGTTTTGCTCACTGCTGTATCCCAGCACTTAAACTAGCTCCTAGTACATGGCAGGTATTCAATAAATATCTGTTGAATGAATGGATGAATGACACTTACTGCTGAGGCCATAAGCAAACGGCTTTCCTCTGGGCCCTGTTTGCTCATCTGTAACTTGAGGGGGCTGAACCACCCCACATTTCATTCTTCTCCTCCCCACACTCTGTAAGGCTTTTTTGTTTTGTTTTGTTTTGAGACAGGGTCTGTGTTGCCCAGGCTGGAGTACAGCAGCATGATTCATGGCTCACTGCAGCCTCAATCTCTGAGCTCAAGTGATCCTCCCACCTCGACCTCGCAAGCAGCTGGGACTAGAGGCATGTGCCACCATACCCAGCTAATTTTTAAAACATTTTTTGCAGAGACAGGGTCTCGCTATGTTGCCCAGGCTGCTCTTGAACCCCTGGGCTCAAGTGATCCTCCTGCCTGGGCCTCTCAAAGTGCTGGGATTAAAGGTGTGAGTAACTGTGCCTGGCCTGTACAGTTCCATTCATAGTCAATCCTCTAACTATCAACTACCAATACCTCTCAGATCTCTAACCCTAGTCCAGAACTTTTCCTGAGTCTTGGCTCATAAATCCAACTGCCTACCACAAGGCAACCACTGGATGTTCCACAGAGCCTCAAACTCAACACATCCCACACTAAACTCCTCATGTTCTCATCTTCCTGCTCCTCCTCCCCTAAGCTAATGGAACCTCCCTGGGCATTGTCAAAAAACCTTCAAAGGCTCCCTACCTGCAAGATAAAGCCCAAAGTCCCTACCCTAACATGGGAGGCACAGCCATCATCTGTTCCAGCCTCACTGTCCATTGCATCCCTCAGGTGCCCTGAGCTCAGGCCACCAGGGGCTCCTTCGGTAACGATCATAACCCTATGTCTGTGGAATGCCCGTTCACCTTCAGCACCCAGTGCAGGGCCTAGCACAGAGCAAATGCTAAGTGAACTTTGTGCAATGAATGAACAAATCACACCTCTGAAACACAGAGACAGATACCTTGCAGGTTAGATTAGTAGAGTTTTGCAGGTTAGTTGGTTTTATTCAGATAGTCTTTTCATAGTCTCAGTTGATCTCCAAGCCCTCCAGCAATGCCCGTGGAGCCCGTGGAGTAGGTAGACATGGCCCAGCACAGTCCACCTCCATAGGGAGAAGAGTGCCAGGTAGATGAGGGGGAAAGGGCCACACTGTTAGGGTAGCCCCAGCAACACACTGTATCCAAGCCTTGGAGAAAGTCCCGTGGGCTCCCTCCTTCAAACACAATCGTATGCCCACAGCACAAGGCCAGGCCCCCAGGAATGTGGACTCTACCTAGAGGTCAGGGATGCTCAGCTTGGCTGAGGACACCAACTACCCTGCACAAGTGAACTTCCAGTTTACAAAGAATGTTACCAGTCGTGATCTCACTGGAGCCATCCACTGCACCTCGGCGGGTGGACAGGAATTATTAGCTCCATTTTACAGAGGAGAAAACCAAAGCTCTGAGAGGACAATTTTCTTTTTTTTTTTTTTGAGATGGAGTCTCGCCAGCAGCACAATCTTGGATCACTGCAACCTCCGTCTCCCAGGTTCAAGCAATTCTCATATCTCAGCTTCCCAGTTAGCTGGAATTACAGGTGTGCACCACCATGCCTGGCTAATTTTTGTATTATAGAAACAGGGTTTCACCCTGTTGGCTAGGCTGGTTTTAAACTCTGGCCTCAAGTGATCTTCCCACCTTGGCCTCCCAAAGTGCTGGGATTACAGGTGTGAGCCACTACGCCCAGCCTGAGAGGACAACTCACTTGCATGTAGGTTAGAGGCAGAGGCAAGACCAGAACCCAGTTCTGACCTGAATTCCATAGTCTTTCCAGTTTAGTGTGGCACACATGACACTACTGGGACACAGGGATATGGAAGTTGACCTTTTTTTTAAATTAATTTATTTTTCTGAGATGGAGTTTTGCTTTTGTTGCCCAGGCTGGAGTGCAATGGCGTGATCTCGGCTCAGTGCAACCTCTGCCTCCCAGGCTCAAGCAATTCTCCTGCCTCAGCCTCCCAAGGAGCTGGTATTACAGGCATCTGCTACCATGCCCAGCTAATTCTTTGTATTTTTAATAGAGATGGGGTTTCATCATGTTGGCCAGGCTGGTCTCGAACTGCTGACCTCAGGCAATCCACCTGCCTCAGCCTCCCAAAGTGCTGGGATTACAGGCGTGAGCCACCACGCCCGGCTCAAGTTGTTGATCTTTTTTCCTACCCTAATACAACATAGAGAAACTACAAATTCCTATAGGAAACTGTCTCACCACTGCCAGTGGCAGAATAGTAGGGATGGTGAGTGGGGGAGGGGAAGTACAGCTTTAAAAAGCCCCACAGGTGATTCTGATACCTGACCCTCAGGAGTGTATGTTGGGGGAGGAAAAGTATAGTCTCACATCTCACCGCATGGAAAATCACAACAGGCTGGGCAAGTAATGAGTGAAGCCAGGCAGAGTGGGAACCTCCAAGCAGTCCACAGAGGACAGCAGCTACCTGGCTCCAGCTGACAGTCACTACATAGCAACTCGGACCCAGTGTTTTTAAAAGCAGCCAAATTACCAAACCTTACTAAACCATACCTCAAATCAAAAAACACCCCTTATCTTGCAGGCCAAACAAAATATATGTGTAGGCCAAATGCAGGCACTGGAGCAATAGGCCGTGACCTCCAGGAGAGTTGGGATTCCAGTCACAGGAAGGAGTCGGGCAGGCCAGGGTGTGAATCCTGGCTTTACTATCCACTCACAGCTGTGTGGTTTTGGGCACGACATTTAACATCTGTAGCCCTCAGTTTCCTCACTTGTAAAATGGGGCTGATAATAGTATTCAACCCCAGGCTTATAGAGAAGGACAGGAATATTTAGCAAAGGGCTTGGGAAATGATGGACATCACAGTAACCCCAGAACTGCCTTGGACTGAACCCCTCTATCATGCTGGATGTTAAGACACAGTGACTGCTTGGGAAGAAGCACTAGAGACCAGGCCAGGCATGGTGGCTCATGCCTGTAATCCCAGCACTTTGGAAGGCCAAGGCGGGCAGATCACAAGGTTGGGAGTTCAAGACCAGCCTTACCAACATGGAGAAACCCCGTCTCTACTAAAAATACAAAAGTTAGCCGGGCGTGGTGGCATGCATCTGTAGTCCCAGCTACTCGGGAGGCTGAGGCAGGAGAATCTCCTAAACCTGGGAGGCGGAGGTTGCAGTGAGCCGAGACTGCGCCATTGTACTCCAGCCTGGGTGACAGAGCTAGACTCCGTCTCAAAACAAACAAACAAACAACAACAACAAAAAACCCTAGAGACCAGATGCTGTCCAAAGCAGCACAGGCTCTGGGCTGGGTGCAGTGGCTCACACCTGTAAATCTCAGCAGTTTGGGAGGCTGAGGTGGGAGAATCGCTTGAGCCCAGGAGTTTGAGGCCAGCCTGGGCAACATGGTAAGACCCTGTCTCTACAAAAAAAAAATTTTAAAATTAGCCAGGTGTGGTGGCACGCCTGTAGTCCTAGCTGTGTGGGGTGCAGGTTGCCGAGGAGGAAGGATCACTTGAGCCTGGGAGGTCAAGGCTGCAGTGAGCCATGATCATGCCACTGTGCTCCAGCTGGGGTGACAGAGTGAGACCCTGTCTCAAAAAAAAAAAAAGTTAATATGTAAAGTGCACAGAACCCCGCCTGGCCTGTGGAAAGTGGCATATGGCATTAGCTGCCATTAGCAGCAGTGGCAGCAGCATCTTCAGGAGCAGCGTGAGAGGATGTGCATTTAGGCACCTGTGACCAGCCAAAAAAGAGGCGAAGTTGTTCTAAGTGAATCACCTGGTTAAAGGGAGAAGCCCTCTATTATAGAGTCCATAACCTTATAGAAACAACACAGAGGGAGCCTGGCGACTTAAGAAGACTCCACATATTAAATCATGAACTCCTGCCACGTAGGATGCAAAGGAAAGACAACCAATTTTTAAAAATGGACAAAAGACTTGAAGAGGCATTTCATAAAAGAGGCTGTCCAAATGGCAATAAACATATGAAGAGGTCCTCAACTTCATTAAACATCAGAAAAATGCAAATTAAAACTACAATGAGCCGGGCACAGTGGTTCATGCCTGTAATCCCAGCACTTTGGAAGGCTGAGGTGGGCGGATCACCTGGGGTCAGGAGTTCGAGAACAGTTTGGCCAACATGGTGAAACCCTGTCTCTACTAAAAATACAAAAAAATTAGCTGGGTGTGGTGGGTACACGCCTGTAATCCCAGCTCCTCAGGAGGCTGAGGTAGGAGAATCACTTGAACCCAGGAGGTAGAGGTTGCAGTGAGCCGAGATCGCACCACTGCACTCCAGCCTGGGCAACAGAGCGAGACTCTGTCTCAAAAAAAAAAAAAAAAAAAAAAGCTACAATGAGATACCACTCCACACCCACCAGAATGGCAATGATTGAAGAGATTAAAAATACCAACATTGGCAAGTACCAGAACTCTCACACACTTCTGTTGGGAGTGTAAATTAGCAAAAGCACTCTGGAAAACTGTTTGGCAATATCTGCTAAAGACGAACACACAAACACTCTGACCCAGCAATTCCATTGCTAGGTATACAATCAACAGATAGAATGTCACAACAGCATTATTTGTAACAGTCAACAATCTAGTAACCATCTGGTGTCTATTAACAGGAGAATGGACAATTATACATACAGTAGAGTTGTACACAGCAATGAAATGAATGAACAGCAGCCACAAAACAATGTGGATGGATCTCAAAGACAACATTGAATGGCAGAAGCCAGATACAAAAGAGAAAGTTTGTATGAAATTCCAAAACGGGGCCGCGCCTGTAATCCCAGCACTTTGGGAGGCCGAGACCGGTGGATCACTTGAGGTCAGGAGGTCGAGACCAGCCTGGCCAACATGGTGAAATCCCGCCTCTACTAAAAATACAAAAATTAGCTGGATGTGGTGGCAGGTGCCTGTAATCCCAGCTACTTGGGAGGCTGAGGCAGGAGAATTGCTTGAACCTGGGAGGCAGAGGTTGCAGTGAGCCAAAGACCATGCCATTGCACTCCAGCCTGGGCGAGAAGAGCAAAACTCCATCTCAAAAAAAAAGAAAAGAAAAGAAAAGAAAAGAAAAAAATAAATTCAAAAACGGGCAAAATAAACCTACTAGAATTTAGCTTAGGATGGTTATCCTCAGGTTGCGGGGGCTCCAGGAGAACTGGAAATGCTTTGTTTATTGAGCTGGGTACTGGTTACACAGGTGTATTCACTTTTTGAAAATTTATTGACTTGTCCGTTGTGATTTGTACACTTCTCGGTGTTCATGCAATGCTTCAATACAAACATAATATTCAAACAAACAGGGGTCCCAGTGGACCCTGCTCCCTGGTCATCCCCTTCCCATCCCTCAGCTCCTGTGGGATTCCCAGCTTACAGACCACAGCTACTGCTGCTGACAAACCAACCCAGAGGATCCACTCCAAATATCTCAATAAGAAGAGCTTCCCATTCCTCATCATCTGCCCCGGTATTAGCAAACAGCCAGAAACTTTGGAGACACATACACTCCTAGCTTCAGGAAGGAGACGACTTCCTCCAACAACATCCTCACCAAGTGGTTATCTATACTTGGAGCTTTGCACATCCCTAGTGGAAGGAGCTCACTGCCTCTGGAGGCAGCTCCCCTCTTCAGAAAGTTCCTCCTTACTTTTAGCTTCAGGTGACCCACGGGTACACTGGCTTGCCTGTCTTCTAAACCATTTTAAGTTTAACGAGTACTCACTTAAGAACAAAACAGAAAAAAGGAAAAACATTTACTCTCTGACCTGACATGTTTAAATATTAGTCTATTGCACTGGCATTTCAAAAACCAAAGCCACTTCAAACATGACAATTAAAAGCACAGGGGGTAACCAAACTGGAGCTTTGGTTAAGAGGTAAAGTTCTTTTTTACAGAATTTCCCCTAAAAAATTAGACATAATCAGGCATCGCCACTTTCACAACCCTAATGAAATACTCGACTCATGCAAGATTCTGAAAGGATGAAACCATTAGATGAGGATCTTTATAATAAGGAGATCGGACGGTTACCACCTGCCATGGTTAAAGGTGGGCAGCGTGGCCGGGCGCGGTGGCTCATACTTGGTATCTCAGCTCTTTGGGAGGCCGAGGCGGGCAGATCACAAGGTCAGGTGATCGAAACCATCCTGGCTAACACGGTGAAACCCCGTCTCTACTAAAAATACAAAAAATTAGCTGGGTGTGGCGGTGTGCGCCTGTAGTCCCAGCTACTCGGGAGGCTGAGGCAGGAGAATGGCGTGAACCTGGGAGGCGGAGCTTGCAGTGAGCTGAGATCGTGCCACTGCACTCCAGCCTGGGCGACAGAGAGAGACTCCGTCTCAAAAATAAATAAGTAAATTAATTAATTAAATAAAATTAAATTTAAAAAGGTAGGCAGCATGACACTGTGCACTCGTGGATGTAATGCACTGTGAAGTGTACCTCCATAGATTGGATGACGTTGGCCTTCTTTTTTTTATTTTTATTTTTTATTTGAGACAGGGTTTTGCTCTGTCATCCAGACTGGAGTGCAGTGGTGTGATTTCAGCTCATTGCAACCTCTGCCTCCCAGGTTCAAGTGATTCTTGTGCCTCAGCCACCAGAGTAGCTGGGATTACAGGCATGGGCCACCATGCCCAGCTAATTTTTGTATTTTTGGTAGAGATGGGGTTTCATCATATTGGCCAAGCTGGTCTTGAACTCCTGGCCTCAAGTGATCTGCCCATCTTGGCTTCCCAAAGTGCTGGGATTACAGGCATAAGCCACCATGCTCAGCCCAACCTTAGCCATCTGAACCTCATTCCCATCCCCCCCAAAAAACTGAAGCTAATAATGATGTTAGAGCAACTTGCAGTTTACAGGAAATATAGACAATGGAGAAATAATGTAAATGATCCAGGAGGCAGCCGACAGACAAATTCAGAATGTGAGACATTCCACAGAACTCATATACAATATGTCGGTGGCATAAAAAAGGGAGGTCTAATTGTGGAGGCGACATGGGTGTACACATTTAACAAAATTCATCAGAATGTACCCTTGAAATCTACTGTATGCAAATTTTCCTCCAGTTTTAAAAAAGAAGAAAAGAGGCTGGGTAAGGTGGCTTACGCCTGTAATCCCAGCACTTTGGGAGGCCAAGGTGGGCAAATCACTTGAGCTCAAGAGTTCAAGACCAGCCTGGGCAACAAGCCAAAACCCCATCTCTACAAAAAATACAAAATTAGCCAGGTGTGGTGGTGCGTGCCTGTGGTCCCCGCTATTTGGGAGGCTGAAGTGGGAGGATCATTTGAGCGCAAGGAGGTCAAGGCTGCAGTGAACTGCAATTGTGTCACTGCATTCCAGCCTGGGCAACAGAGTGAGACCCTGTCTCAAAAAAAAGGGGGAGAGATTTACCAACTGAATGAAATGTGTGGAACTTACAGGTATTCTAATTTCAATAAACCAGTCAAAAAAGACATTTTTGAAAGGACAATGGGGGCCGGGTGTGGTGGCTCACACCTGTAATCCCAGCACTTTGGGAGGCCGAGGCGGGCAGATCACCTGAGGTCAGGAGTTTGAGACCAGCCTGGCCAACATGGTGAAACCCCATCTCTACTAAAAATACAAAAAAATTAGCCAGGCATGGTGACAGGCGCCTCTAATCCCAGCTACTTGGGAGGCTGAGGCAGGAGAGTCACTTGAACCCGGGAGGCAGAGGTTGCAGTGAGCCAAGATCGTGCCACTGCACTCCAGCCTGGGCGACAGGAGCAAGACTCTATCTCCAAAAAAAAAAAAAAAAAAAAAAAAAAAGGACAATAGGAGAAAAATGTGTCTATGGACTGGGTACTATGTGAAAACAAGTTAACAACCTCATACACCAAGACCTGGACTCAGCCAGGTGGATTCATAGCCTGCATTCTTAACCCCCATGTTGTCTGATCAGATGCACCCTAAAACATTATCTCATGCAGAGAGAAGCTAATGCTACTGTTTTGGGCTTTAATCCACTGTAATGAACTTTCCTACCTCACCGTCATCTAGTGCTCACCTGCCTTGTGCAGTAATAAAGGCCAGACCCTGCCATTTGGACCTATACCTCTTCTGCAGTCCCTGCTACGTTTCCAGCAGAATTTCCTCCTGCATCCATTTCCTCTGCCTTAGCAACTGAACCCAGTCAAATTCACCTCCCTGAAGCCTTGCAGCTCCCCCACGGTGACCCTGCCACTTCCTAACTCAAAAGCCACTCCCCACCTAAATTCTTCAGTCTGAAATTCTTCCATTCTTCCCGGGCTATGTGATATTTAGCAAATGAACTTTCATCTCTGAGCTCCGGTCTTCTTACCTGTGAAGTGGGGCCAGTAACAGCATCTATCTCAGAGTTGTTGTGAAAATCAATTGAGATAATGTAAATCTTATTTATGTATTTATTTATTAGATGGAGTTTCGCTCTGTTGCCCAGGCTGTAGTGCAATGGTGTGATCTTGGCTCACTGCAACCTCCGCCTCCCGGGTTCAAGCCACTCTTCTGCCTCAGCCTCCCAAGTAGCTGAGATTACAGATGCCCCCCACCACACCCGGCTAATTTTTTTGTATTTTAGTAGAGATGGGGTTTCACCATGTTGGCCAGGCTGGTGTCAAACTCCTGACCTCAAGTGATCCACCTGCGTTGCCCTCCCAAGTTGCTGGGATTACAGGCGTGAGCTACCATGCCTGGTCTGGAAACTTCATCTTATGCTAAACCTTACCATGGTGCCTGGCACACAGTAGATACTGAATAACTTTCCATACCTTCCCTTTCACAATTGGCCACATCTCTCCCTCCTTCCTTTGCACGCATCCACCCACCCAGCCCTAGTGTCCCCTCAGTTTGGCTAGCTGGAGGCTGCCATTCCTGGGCCAGCAGGTGGTTCATGTTCTCTGCTGATGATATGACCCTTGGCATCCCCCTACTGCCTCCCCGAATCCAGACTCACCCCCTGTGAGTGCAGATACTCCACAGTTTTGCCAATGGTGTGCAGGACAAAGCTGGCCTCCCGCTCTGAGAAGAACTTCTGCCGCAGGATCTTGTCCAGCAGCTCCCCACCCCGCATCAGCTCTGTCACCAGGTACACGTGTTTGCCATCATCATACACCTGCCGAAGACCTCACCATCAGGCTCTTCTCCCCAGTGTCAGGCCTGAGCCCCCTGGTCAGCAGCGCCCCAGAGCAGGGAAGAATGACATGAGCCTTGGGCAGGTGTTCTGCTTGCTCTTCAGTGGTCCTGCCTTCCCCAAAAGGAGGATGCTGACACTGGTCTCCTGATACGCAAGAAGGTCCTCAGAAAATGTCTGAGTCTGAAGGAGGGCCCTTGGGGTATGGGCAGACTGAAGGGACCAAGGGACCTCCTTCCCCTCCACATGACCACTGGAAAGAGGATGAGAAGTCAAAGGAATGGCAATCCTGAGACAAATCCTGAGAGTTGAGTTCCTGGTCCCCACCCCAGTCTTAAGGACCCCCACTCACATCTTTCAGAGTGATGATGTTGGGGTGCTGGCCATACCGCAGAAGAATCTCAATCTCTTCTGAAGGATCCCGCTTGCTCTTATCAATGACCTGAAGAAAGGGGGTGCATGTGGCAGTGTCAGGGTGACAGGGTCCAGGGTCCTTTCTGGCCATGGAGCAGGCCAGGAGGTCTCGGCCACACACCTTTCATACATCTGCAGAGCTCAGGCACCATCCCTCCCCACCAGACGGGGACCTGCCCCCAACCCAGCAGCCTTGGCCGAGACGTGGTCAGGAGGCCCACCTTGACAGCATACTCCATGTTGGTGGCCTTGTGGACACAGCGCTTGCACTCAGAGTAGGAGCCCACACCAATTGTCTCCTTTACCACGTAGCCGTCACTAAAAACCAGGTTCTTCCCATGGAGTTGCTGTAGGAGACCAAAAATTGTGGCTGACCCCTGGCTCTAGAGTGCTAGGGGTCATCCCCCAGGACCTAAGGTCTTGGCTCAGTAGAGACAGCACCAGGGAAGGGCCAGGAGACTTGGGGTAGAGTGTTGGCCATGTGACCGCAGGTGACAGCCTGCCCCTCTCTGGGCCTCAGTTTTCTACTCTATATAATGGGCATACTCACTGGCTCCCAGCCTGCCTGGACTGCAGCCTGTGGTCAGAGGGCAGTGTAGGGAGTGGGAAACAGGGTCACAACACACATGGAGAGGACTTTAGTTCTGAAAAGTCTGGGCAGGCCTGGGAGGGACGCAGGAGCCCTGAGCTGAGTTCCAGCTGTGCCACTAAGTACGGCTTTGAGTGGCCTGCCTCCCTTTCTGGGGTGTCACAGCTCAACTCATGGGGTGTCTCAAGGTTCTGGGACATTAGCCGTAGCAATGCTGAATGGTGCTTAGTGTGTGCTGTGTGCCAGGCACTATTCTAAGCACTTTCATCAGGTGACTGCATGCCCCACGGCCAGCCCTGGCTTGCGCATGCGGTCCTTGCATCCAGTCTGATTTAATATTTGTCCTGGACTAAGATGTCCCAGTTTGGAAAATAAATTACATAGTCACCTTAACTTTATTTTTTATTTTATTTATTTATTTTTTGAGACAGAGTCTTACGCTGTTGCCCAGGCTGGAGTGCAGTGGTACGTTCTCAGCTCACTGCAACCTCTGCCTCCCAAGTAGCTGGGACTATAGGCACGCGCCAACACGCCCAGCTGATTTTTGTATTTTTAGAGACGGGGTTTCGCCATGTTGGCCAGATGGGTCTGTTTAAATTCCTGGCCTCAAGCAATCCACCCTTCTTGGCCTCCCAAAGTGCTGGGATTACAGGCATGAGCCACCGTGCCCAGCCCACATGAACTTTACATGTATTAACTCTAATAATCCTCATAACAGCTCTATGGAGGAAGCTTCTATCATTTCCCCCATTTACAGATGAGGAAACTGAGGCACGAGGAAGGGAGTATCTCATCCAAAGTCCATTATCTGGTCAGGTGCTCATGTCTGTAATCTCAGCACCTTGGGAGGCTGAGGTGGGCGGATCACTTGAGGTCAGGAGTTTGACACCAGCCTAGCCAACATGGTAAAACCCCGTCTCTACTAAAAATACAAAAAAAAAAAAAAAAAATTAGCTGGGTGTGGTGGTGTATATCTGTAGTCCCAGCTATTCGGGAGACTGAGGCAGGAGAATTTTTTGAACCTGGGAGGTGGAGGCTGTAGTGAGCTGAGATTGTGCCACTGCACTCCAGCCTGGGCAACAGAGCAAGACTACGTCTCAAAAACAAACAAACAAAAAACCCCAAAGTCCATTATCTTGTGAATCTGGAACCCATGCAATGAGCTCCACAGTCTACATTCTTGCCTCTCAACCTGAAACTTTCATTAGCAGTAGAAGTGTACAAATGGGGAACAAGTGTGATGAGATCCAAGTCCTTCGCTACACTTATGCCGGAGACACGACAGTCACTCGGCACCACCACCCTGGGCACCTCCTGACATGTACCCAGACCCTGGCTCTGTGCTGGGAAATGTACACCCATATCATCATCCAATTATCAGGGCCACTGTGTGAGGTGGGCCTTACTGTCCCTGTTTTATGTTGGAGGCCCTACTGGTCCCACAGTGGCATGAGGGTATGAACCTGGTTCTGTCCAACTCAGAGCCTGTGTACTCAGCCATTCTTTAGAAAAGGATAATGGAGCAGCAGCCCCCTGCCCCCCTCACCTGTACCACCGAGTGCAGGGGTGCCTGCGGGGCACGAGGCTTGCCGTCGTCTTCCATCAGGCCGGTGGCCACGAAGCTGAAGCCCCGGAACAGCTGATGGGCCCCAGCGCTGGGGGGGATGCCTGGGGAATCTGTACGGATGGAAGGAGAATGTGAGGGTACCTGAGGAGGTCCCCTCGACCCTGAGGCAGCCCAGCAAAGGGGGAGCACAGGGCCTCCAGACCTGCCTCAGGGGCTGGCCGTGGCGGGAGCCTGCAGAGGGCCTGTCCATCACAGGCCTTGGCCCAACTGCTCATATGTGTTTATTAGACCAGCCCAGTCCTGTCGCATGAGGAACAAAAAAGACTCTCACATCCACCTCCATCCCAGGCCAAGACAGTTCATCCCTTCCTGGATGCTTCCTCCCCAGCTTCCCCATCTTACGTCAGCCCCTTCAGGTCCATCTCTGCACAGCAGCCAGAGGGAAGGTTCCAACCACAAATCTGCCACCCTGCCCACACCTTTCAAAGGTTCCCGTCTGCCTTCAGGAGTAAGTCCAGCTCCTGAGTCTGGCAATTGAGGGCCCTGTGATCCTCACCTCCTCTCTCTCCATACCACAGCTGAGCCATGTTGGACTTCTCAGATCCTTAGAGGGGTCTCTGAGCCCTTGCACACACTGTTCCCTTTAACTAGATAATCCACTCCTTGCCTATCCTTCAAGACTCAACTCGCACGCTCCCTCCTCTGAGAAGCCTTGCCTGATGCTGCTCCTCCGGCCCCTGACTCCTACGAAGCTGCACTTGTCACGTTGCCCAGCGGACTGCTTGGAGAAGTGCTGTCTCTGTCATCAGAGGCGTGCAAGTGCAGTGAGAAAAGCACCCCCTTGTGGATCACCTGAGGTCAGGAGTTCGAGACCAGCCTGGCCAACATGGTGAAACCCCGTCTCTACTAAAAATACAAAAATTAGCCAGGCGTGCTGACACATGCCTGTAATCCCAGCTACTCGGGAGGCTGAGGCAGGAGAATCTCTTGAACCCAGGAGGTGGAGGTTGCAGTAAGCTGAGATCACGCCATTGCATTCCAGCCTGGGCAACAGAGCGAGACTCCATCTTGAAAAGAGGAGAGGAGAGGGAAGGGAAGGAGAGGGAAGGGGAGGGGAGGGGAGGGGAGGGGAGGGGAGGAGAGGGGAGGGGAGGAGAGGAGAGAAGAAAAGCACACCCTCTCCTAAAACATGCCCTTATAGGAGGTTTCCCAGAACATTCCACCCCACACCCACTGTCAATATCTGGCCAAAAAGTTAGGATTCACCAGGTTCCTTCCCAGAAGCTCCCTCACTGGCTTCTTGTAGCAACCCCAGGGAATGAGTGGGTTTGTGGCTGTGCCCTTGTTCCAGATAAGTACACGGAGGCCGGGCAGTCAGGGCAGCCAAAGCTGATTCCCATGCCTGTCCCTGACCTATGGGCACTGTCACCTCTGCTCAGCCACCACACAGTGTGGCTGGGTCAGATTCTTTCTCCCTGACGTGATGGTAAGCCTGATGTGTTTGGTCTTCCCAGTGGGCTGGAAGGTGCCCCGGGCAGGGGTCCTGGCTTTTCTACTGTGGCCTTCACCACCCACACATCCCCACTCCCACTCTCTCACCAGACACAAAGAGACCCACAGAGCCCCATAGTGAGAGAGTCGGGCGGAGTGAGACAGGGACAAAGTCAGTCCCACGGAGCCAGAAACTCACCCGCCTGCCCACCCGCATACCTCGGCCTGTCAGTGTCCCTGACTATCTCTGCCCCCCAAGCTGCCACCGACTCCCGGCTTCCCTCCTGTACCAGCCCAAGACAGACAAAACAGATAAGGGACGCACCCTTGGGTGTGCGGGACGTGAACTCGGTGTCAAAGTAGAAGGTGTCATCAGGCTGAGCCACTGCTGGCTTGAAGGGTGGCTTGATCTCACGACGGTATAGCTTCTGCACAGTGGGGTGGGCACTCTGGTCACCATGGCATCCTCAACAGCCCACCAGGAGCCCCATGCAGGAGGAGGTGCTGGGCTTGGAACATAGGCCATATTGCCCAGCTCTCGGAATTGCTTGCCCTCAGGAGGCCAGCCCTTGTCTTCAAGGGCAGGCTGTGACCCTCTGCTCCTGCGTCTGGGGCCCTCGCTGGCAGAGGCTCCCCTCCCACCACCCTTCCTGTGGCCAAGATGGCTGAGCCCTGGCCAGAGCCCTGGTGTGGGTGGACACACTCACATTCCAGTCAATGGTGGAGTAGAAGACATGCCGCTTGATTTCCTCTGCCCCATCAGGGCCGGAGCCTGAAAGAGCCCAAATGAAGGGTCTGTCCCTGGCTGGCACAAGTCCCAGATATTACCCTGCCCACCAAGCAGCCTCACAGGGCTCTGGGACCAGCTGCTGGAGCAGAGGGGAAAATGGGCTCACTCAGCCTCAAATCTACCCAGCCATCACCCTAAGGCCTGTCACCTACTCAGCATTTTCCACTTTCTGGAGCTTCTGATGAAGAAATTCCAATGTACCAGTGGGAGGAGGAAGGCCCAGAGACTTTAGGCAACTTCTCCAAGGCCACACAGTTAGAACAGAAGCTGAGCTTGTTCTGAGACCTACAGAGAGCCCCACCTCATTCCAAGGCAAGCCTCATCTCTGTTCCTCTTATCCCATTGACCTTTTCAACCATAGGACAGGCTGTTACTCCATTCGACCCCAGGGGCCTTGACTGGACCTTACACAGCTGGTCATGGACCAGATGAACCCAGGAGCCAGGGAAGCCAGCACACACTGGACACCTACTACATGCCGGCATGTTCACACAACCTCATTTCATCAACAGAGCCCTGAAGCAAGCTTGGGATCATCATCTCCCATTGAGACGAGGAACCTGCGGTGCAGAGAGGTGAAGTCACCTGCCTGGGGTCACTTAGTTCATAAGTGGCCTCATTCGTTTAACAAATATTTATAGAGGGACTGTTTTGTGCCAGGCAGTGGGGACCTGACACAGAGCCGGGATTGGGACCTATGCCTTCTGACTCCTGAGCTCATGCTATTTCTCTTGTGCCAGCAGCCTTGGCGGAGAAGCTGTGTGGGGGCCTCTGTCCTTGTCCCCAGAGGGAGTAGGGATGACTCAGTTCCTGCCTTCCCCCTACACACAGGTCAACTCCCCCCTCCACAACACCACACATGGAGCCAGAAAGCAGGGTGGCCCGCGGCATTGTCTGCCCACACAAAGGACAACGGCCCCTTTCAGCCCAGATGTGGCCCTGTGGCCTAGGCTGCAGCTGTACCCGGCTCCCCATCGCCACATCCCCTCCCCTGAGCTGGGGCTGCTTACCGAGCCGGTTGGCAGGATTCCGCTTGAACAGGGCCCGCAAGAGGCTCTGGGCTTCAGTGCTCAGAAACTGGGGCATGCCTAGCTTCGCCCTGAAACAGCCCCCGGGACTCATCAAGGCTGAGCCCTGCCCCAGAGGCCCCATCTCCCCCGGCCCCTGTCCAGATCTAGTTCCCAGCTCAGTCTAGACAAGCCATCCACTAATTCACTTCCCAAAGGCTTCAGGGATCCTACCCACAGGCCCCCAGGGATGAAAGAGGGGCTCTGGAAGGTATAATGTTTAACCCAGAGGAGAGTCTCATTAGAGAGGGTAGCTGAGGCAGGGACAGGGTAATAATATTCTGACCCCCAAACTGGGGCTGGGGCTTGGAGGAGTCCATTGTTATCAGGGCAGGGCTGGGGCTTACTTCAGAATCAGTGTCATGGTCTCCTTCCGGTCCTTCCCCTGGAAGGGCAGGGAGCCCGTCAGCATCTCAAACTGCAGAGGACAAGGATCTATTCAGGCTCTGATCCCTGTCTCCGACACACCTCCCGCCTCCTCCCAGTCAGACCCCTCTGCCCCAGTCCCAGGATTCTTGCTGATACATCCAAGTCAGCCTGGAGCAAGAATTATGCCCGTCCCTCTTGCCTCTGCCAACCAGACCACCAGGAGCAGCGGTGGGGGCGCGAGGCTGGGGAGAAGGCCAGCACTGGGTTAGGCGCGTCCCAGGTGGGGTCAAGCCTGGGATCCTTCCAAGGAAGAAAACTGCAGGTGCATATAGGGTGAGGCCAGCTTGGCTGTGAGAGGAGACGGGGAGAGCCCTAGAAATGATCAACCCCCTCACTGTACAGATAGGGAGACTGAGGCCAGAGGCTTGGGCTGGATCCTTTACCCCTGTCTGGGCACTCACCATCAACACCCCATAGGACCACCAGTCCGCACTATGGGAGTGGCCCTGGCGGTTGACGACCTCAGGGGCCATGTACTCCACTGTCCCGCAGAAAGAATAGGCCTTCTTCTCGTGGTCAATGGCCTCTTTGCTCAGGCCAAAGTCTACAGCAAGGAGGGCAGGAGGACACACCTTAGGACCCCTGCCTTCCTTGCTGCCACCCTTTGCACACCCAACCCCCGTGCCCAGAGGCCAGAAGGCATCACCCCCATGACACTCAGGAGGAAGCTAAGGCCCAGAGAGGTCAGGTGACTTGCTCAACGTTACACAATGAGGGGCTGGGATTCCAGCTGAGGGTGTTCCAAGTCTGAGGCCTGAGTTTTTGACCACTTCCAAGTAACTGGCACGGCTTCTCGGGAAGAATGAGCCCCCAGCACTCAGCCGAGACCTATCATGACCTTGTCCTGTCCTCCCCTGGGTCCCGAGGGGGCAGGCGCCCTCCACTCACCAGTGAGTTTGATGTGGCCCTCCTCATCCAGAAGGATGCTGTAATAGAGAAATAGTGGTCAGGGCCCCTCAGCTGTGGCCGTGTGGGTGATGGTGTTACCACAGGGCTGTGGGAGTTGGGTTCAGCCCAGAGGAGGTGCTCCACCCAATTCTCTCTGATGACTGGGCGGGTGTTGCAGGGTGGTAGCAGTACCACGCAGGGGTGTTGCCTATCTTTTTTGCTAATCCTTGAAGCAACTGTGTGAGGCAAGTACTATTAGGGCCCCGTTTTGCTAATGGGAAAACTAAGGCTCAGGGCAGTTAAGTAGCTCTACAGTCATTGAGCTAGTAAGTCTAGCTAGTAGGTGGAGACAGGATTTGAATACAGGGCTGCCTAACACTAAAGCCAGATCTTATTCCAACTCACCACCTGCCCCTGGCTCCTTAGTTATCATTTGAGGGTAGTTAGATATTAGGGAAAATTCTATAGGGCTTTATCAAGGAAAGACCTCTAAAGGTGGCATCTCAAATGTCACACTAGATTAGCAAAAAAAGACGGGCAACATTACCTGCATGCAAAGTACCTGGCCCTTGGTAATGGTAGCATTAGTGACTGGGCAGCTGGCACTACCACCCACCCCACTCACCCATCCCTCAGATTGCCCAAGAGAGGGAGACGTTTCTGGAGAAAGCCATGCCCACCCACCTCAGGATGGCCCTGTCCTAGAAGAGGCCTCCCCTGGGGAGGCTGGGGTGGGGCTGGAGGCTTCACTCACTTCTCAGGCTTGAGGTCTCTGTAAATGATACCCAGGCTGTGCAGGTGATCCAGGCCCAGAGCCAGCTCAGCCAGGTAAAACTTCACATCCTCCTCCGTGAACATCACCTGCAAAAGACAGGAGGGGCCTTCAGCAGGGACCTCCTCTTCCTTAAGAGCTGGGGCACTGGGCAGTCAGCAGCTTCCTGGTCCTGAAGAGCCACCCTGGGAGGACCCTTGGAAACCCCAGGCCATATAGCCTTCTCATCATACAAAGGATTTGAAGTATGAAATGACTAATACGCAAGCCACTCATTGTGGCACCATTCAGAAATAGAAGGGGTGGGAAACAGGCCTAGGGTCCAAGAGTAGAAGGCTGGAATCAGCCCTCTCCCCTGCATAATGGAGTGCTTTGCAGCCATGAACTGGAACAAGGAGTTTCTCCGTGTTCTGACATGGAGTGAGCTCCAAGATATACTATCTTGAAAAAAGCAAGGTACAGAACAGTGTATACAGAATAGTACTTTTTACATAAGGAAATGGGGGTAGGAATGAACATATATCGGATTTGTTTGCAAAAGAAACATGGGAAAGTTAAACAAGAAACCAATAAAAATGTTTACCTATAGATGGGAATAGAGGGGGCTGGGGTGGGAGGAAGACTTCTTCATGAATATTTTTCTTTTGAATCATGTATATTACCTATTCAAACATTAAAATCACAATTTAAGCCGGGCACGGTGGCTCACACCTATAATCCCAGCCAGCAGTTTGGGAGGCTGAGGCAGGCGGATCACCCGAGGTCAGGAGTTCGAGACCAGCCTGGCCAACATGGAGAAACCCTGTCTCTACCAAAAATACAAAAATTAACCAGGCGTGGTGGCGTGCACCTGTCATCCCAGCTACTCGGGAGGCTGAGGCAGGAGAATTGCTTGAACCCGGGAGGCGGAGGTTGCAGTGAGCTGAGACCCCACCAGTGCACTCCAGCCTGGGTGACAAGAGCAAAACTCCATCTGAAAAAAAAAAAAAAATTACAATTAAAAAAAAAAAAAGCTAGATTCTCTTTAAAGTTTGAATTGTACGAATGGTCCCATTTTCTAGCTCAAATCCTTTTTTTTTTTTTTTTTTTTTTTGAGACAGAGTCTCGCTCTGTTGCCAAGCTGGAGTGCAGTGGCGCGATCTTGGCTCACTGCAACCTCTGCCTCCTGGGTTCAAGCGATTCTTGTGCCTCCGCTTCCTGAGTAGCTGGGATTACAGGCACACTCCACCATACCCAGCTAATTTTTGTATTTTTAGTAGAGACGGGGTTTCACCATGTTGGGCAGGATGGTCTTGATCTCCTGACCTCCTGATCTGCCCACCTCGGCCTCCCAAAGTGCTGGGATAACAGGCGTGAGCCGCTGCGCCCAGCCTCAAATCCTTTTATATTGGTTCAAAATCCTTTTGGATGACATACGCAAGATGACTGCTAAAGTCTCTGGCTCTCTGGGTGACTTTGGGCTTCTCCCCTATCTTCACACCTCTGCCCAGAGCAGCCCTGGAAGAAGGCAGGTGCAGAGGTGAGAGGAACCCTTAGCTCCCTGGAGTTTCCTTGGGAGAAACTCTCAGAGACCTTGCCAGCGTATGGCCTCCATTCCAGGGTGCGTGGTATTTCCTGGGCCAGGGGCTGCTAGGCAGGCCTGGGTGGTTCCAGGTTCAAGCCATACCAAACACATTCTGTACAGGGCCCTGGGATGGGAGGACTTGTCGTCCCTCAGCTCCATCCCGGGGCCCTCTGGCAGTAGATGTCAGCTCACCTCTTTTGAGAGCCGGGTGAAGAGGTCCCCACCACGCAGGAAGTCCAGAATGAGATAGAGCTTGCCCTCGGTCTGGAAGGCTGGGAAGAGGGAGAAAGGCAATGGTAGAGTCGGCGCGGCCTTATGATCTGCTTCTCCGGCCCTGGCTCCCTTGGCCTGCCAGGCAGGCGGTGGGACAGTGTACAGACCACAGGCAAGGGCGAAGGATGGGTGGGGTAGGAGCTCAGGCAGGGCCAGAAGCTTTACCATAGTGCAGCTTCACCACGAATGGGTGATTTACATCAGCCAGGATGTCTCTCTCCATCTTGGTCCGGACGCGGTCACGTACTGGCCAGACGAGAAAGGAAGTCACCAGTAGCCTAGACACTCAACACAGCCACTCCCAAGCCCCCGCTAAGGGATCTCTTTTCCACTTGTTCCTCCAGGCCTGAGCTCCCAAAGCCCCCTCACCCAGGGCTTTGGGGACACTCAATCCTCAGGTTTCCTCCTTGCCAGTCTGTTTCTGGCTCCTTGGCTGGCTCCTTGTCCCCACCCCTCACAGCAGTGCCCACAGCTGGGGCCTTGGCACCCTGCCCATCTCTCTGGTCCCTTTTCCCACCAGACCCCATCAAGACCTGTTAATCAGCCAGTCTGAGCAACCTGCTCCCCCAGGGTTCTCTGCTTTGTCAGATCCTCAGACTTTGCCTCTGCACCTCCCCCTGGCATGCCTTCACCAGCTCTGCTTTCCATCTGGCATAAAAATTCCCAAATTCTGGTCTCGGGGCTGGTAAGAACGGCTACCTGGTGAGCTGGATCCCTGGGCCTAAAATCCCGATCTATGGGTCTGGGTGGGCACCCTTCATATTATTTATTTATTTTTTTAAATAATACAAGTTATTGGGCAGTTCTGATTCTCAGCAGGTTCTTTGACTCAGCTTAGGCCTCACCTTCTCCAGGAAGCGCTCCTTAATTTGCCAAGCTGGGTTAGGGCCTTCTGGATTCCTACAGTGCTTGTGCTTCTCCTTTGGAGCACTTTTCTCTTTTTCAGGTTGCCTTCTAAATTTATTGAAGCCCACCAAGTATCATGTTTTATTGATTTCACTAGTCTGATTAGAACAGGCTTTTGGGCCGGGCACAGTGGCTCATGCCTGTAATCCCAGCACTTTGGGAGGCTGAGGCAGGAGGATCACTTGAGGTCAGGAGTTCGAGACTAGCCTGGCCAACATGGTGAAACCCTGTCTCTATTAAAAATACAAAAATTGGGACCAGGCGTGGTGGCTCACACCTCTAATCCCAGCACTTTGGGAGGCCGAGGCAGGCAGATCATGAGGTCAGGAGATCGAGACCATCCTGGCCAACATGGTGAAACCCTGTCTCTAGTAAAAAATACAAAAAATTAGCCAGCCTGGTGGCACGTGCCTGTAATCCCAGCTACTCAGGAGGCTGAGGCAGGGGAATCGCTTGAACCCAGGAGGCGGAGGTTGCAGTGAGCCGAGATCACGCCACTGCACTCCAGCCTGGTGACAGAGTGAGACTCTGCCTCAAAAAAAAAAAAAAAAAAAAATTGGCCAGGCGTGGTGGCTCATGCCTGTAATACTAGCACTTTGGGAGGCTGAGGAAGGCGGATCACCTGAAGTCAGGAGTTTGAGACCAGCCTGACCAACATGGAGAAACCCTGTCTCTACTAAAAATACAAAATTAGCTAGGCGTGGTGGCGTGGGCCTGTAATCCCAGTTACTCGTGAGGCCGAGGCAGGAGAATCACTTGAACCCGGGAGGCAGAGGTTGTGATGAGCCGAGATTGCACCATTGCACTCCAGTCTGGGCAACGAGAGTGAAACTCCGTCTCAAAAAAGAAAAAAATATATATACAAAAATTAGCCAGGCGTGGTGGCATGTGCCTGTAATCCCAGCTACTCAGGAGGCTGAGGCAGGAGAATTGCCTGAACCTGCGGAGCGGAGGTTGCAGTGAGCCGAGATCACACCACTGCCCTCCAGTCTGAGCGATAGAGTGAGACTCCATCTCGGGAAAGAAAAAAAAAAAAAAAAAAAAAAGAACAGGCTTTTGGACATGGCTGCCTAGGTTCATTTTGGGCAGTGTGTTTCAACTAAGTTTATCACAATATTGATTACCCCTTGACTGAGACCTCTCATGTGTCCTTTGACTTTTTTTTAATGGGACAGGGTCTCACTCTGTCACCCAAGCTGGAGTGCAGTGGTGTGATCTTGGCTCACTGCAACCTTTGCCTCCCAGGTTCAAGCGATTCTAGTGCCTCAGCCTCCTGAGTAGCTGGGATTACAGACACACCAAACCTGGCTCATTTTTTTTGTATTTTTAGTAGAGACAGGGTTTCACCATGTTGGCCAGGCTGGTCTTGAGCTCCTGACCTCAAATGATCCACCCACCTTGGCCTCCCAAAGTGCTGGGATTACAGGCATGAGCCACCGCACCCAGCCTTGACTTTTATTAAAAGGAGAGGTGGAAGGCTAGGGAGTGCTTACTAAGACCAGACAAAATGTCTGAGCAATACACACAATGCAAAACTAAAGGCTTTTTTGGTCCATGTACTGGATTGGCAGTTTCCTCTCCAGCCTCATAGTCCCAAAGCCTTCACTAGTCCATCCATCTAGTATGAATTCTATTCATTCGTCACTGCCATTCCAGAATTGATGCTCACAGCTGCTTATCTTAGGAGATCTGGCCAATGTACTCCTCCTGCATGTCTTTCCGGAGTCTTGTTCAGGACACAATCCTTGGCCCTTGCTACAAGTAGAAGCTGCAGCTGCCTTCCAACACACCTTCTATGTCAGCACACAGGGCTGCAGGAGCTGGTCCCCTTCTTCTGTTTTAATTTTTGTGTTTTCCTCATTAGACATGACAAGGACCACACCGGAGTTAACTATTTTGGTCACCTTACATTTTCTTTTTTCTTTTTTTTTTTTTCTGAGATGGAGTTTCGCTCTCATCGCCCAGGCTGGAGTATGGTGGCGCGATCTCGGCTCACTGCAATCTCCACCTCCTGGGTTCAAGCAATTCTTGTGCCTCAACCTCCTGAGTAGCTGGGACTATAGGTGTGCATACCAGCATACCCAGATAATTTTTGTATTTTAGTAGAGATGGGGTTTTCCCATGTTGGCCAGGCTGGTCTCGAACTCTTGACCTCAAGTGATCCACTCGCCTCAGCTTTCCAAAGTGCTAGGATTACAGGTATGAGCCACAGCACCCAGCTTACCTTACATTTTCAAACCACCTCTACACTTTAGTTCAGGCAAACAGTTTCTCCTTCCCAGGGTCCCCTTCCTCAAACATTTTTGGTCTAGAGAAATCCACTCATCCTCCAAGGCTTCCCGCTCCTTAGGTGTCCCCTTGGCCTCTGGGCCCACCCTCTACAAGACTACACCACCACTCCCAGCTCCCCAGCGCGTCGGATATCCACGCACACCAGTCACAGCACCGGCTGCACCACACTGTCGGGTATGCTTAGCCTCTCCTGCCCAGCCTGTGAGCCCTTCACAGCAGGGACCCAGGCTTTTCATCTTTCTCCTCCCTCTGAAGCTGCCACCATACCTCCTGGGGGATGACTTCCACACCCACCAGGCTGGCCTTAGGATACCAAAGCCACCCATAACGTCCTTAAGGCTGACGCCTCCTACTGCCCCCACTACCTCCCCAGCTAGGATTTGGCTCTGACTGGGATCAGAGGTGCACACCACCACACCCAGCTCATTTCTTTGTATTTTTAGTAGAGACGGGGTTTCAACATGTTGGTCAGGTCTTGAACTCCTGACCTCAAATGACCCGCCCACCTCAGCCTCCCAAAGTGCTGGGATTACAGGTGTGAGCCACCGCGCCCGGCCTTGACTTATTTAAAGAGAGACTTGGCTATGACTCTGCCGGGTCAGTGGTCACACTGGTTCCCAGGCCAAGTGGTCAGTATCCAACCCAAAGCCCACTACCAACCATCTTCACACCCTTTGTAAGTCCCCAGAACTCTAACCTTGGCTCGGGGCTCCCTTCTGAACCTCTCTGCCATCCAGCTCTGTGGCCCTGCCTGGACTCACCCTCTCTTGCCTAGCCCAGCTGCCTCCCTGGGCTCCCTGCCTCTTCACTCACGCCCTTCTCTCAGGCCCCTGAGTTAGGGGCCACAGAGGTCTCCCCCAGACTCTTCTAGCATCAACAGTCAGAATGCCTCTGCTTGACCAGCTTGGTAGTTGAGGGCCCCGCCCCCTGACAAACACATTGCATTTACCCTATTACCACCTTCCAGACCTTCACAGCCAGTCACTAGCACTTGGCTTAGGGGGAGGAGGATTGGCTGGCGAGGGATAGCTGAGAAATAGGCCTGTTTCTCCACCTTTGAACTAGGTGCTCCTGAAGACAGAGCTGTCTCCCTTGCCAGACCCAAGGCCCTTGAAGTCTGGGCTGCCTCCCTCAGCCAAGCCTGGGTTCTGCACAGGGAGGTGTCCCCACTCACCTTTCAGCGTTGCCTTCTTCAGCACCTTCATAGCATACAGGTGCCCACTGTCAGGCCGGGTGACTTTCCGCACCAGGAAGACCTGAGAAGGCAGAGCAGGAAGCAGGGCAGAAGATGGGAGAGGTCTGAGTCCAGGCTGACCTCTATCTTCTCTGAGCCCCAAGCTGACCTTTTTGCTCTCCCTGGGTACCAAGGTGACCTCTGATCCTTTGGGCCCCTAGGTGACCCTTGACCCCCACCTCTAACATGACGAGTGTTGCCTTCACAGCTATGGGCTCATGACTCACTTTGCCAAAGGATCCCTGGCCCAGAACCTTGAGGAGCTCGAAATGGGATGGATCAGCCTTCTCAGAGCCAGCCTTGACGTGGTGCGTGATGGAGATCTCCTTGAGGACGCCCTCATCCTGATGGAGGGACAGAGCTGGTGGGCATGGTGGGCCCCATCCAGGCAGCAGGAGGCTCCCCTGCCCAAGTCCATTCCCACCAGACCACAGCAGATGGAACCTAAAGGCCCAATAGACGACTTCCCTGAAGGGCTAGCCTCCAGGGTCATCGATTTCAAAAGAGCCTCAAAGTCTGGGGAGGTCAAACCAGAACAGGCACCGCTCCTATTGCTCACGATGCTCTGGCCTGGTTAGGCCCAAAGGGATGCCCAGGCATGGCCAGGCTGAGTCAACCCCAGGCTCTGGCTGAGACCCAGAGACCTGCCCCAGGTCCGCCCGTGGGGCTTCCCTCCCCCTGTTGTTTTAGTGTTGCCACAATAGGAAGTAGGCTTGTTCTCATATGGGGAGGTAGAGCTGGGCCTTCGTTCCTGGTCAGGATGGGATGAGGGGATCCCTCTGGTCAGCAGGACAGGGCTGACGTGCACAAAGACCCAAGAGTCACCCAAACTCCCCCATCAACTAGGTAAGTGCTGGCCTGGGGCAGGTCAGAGTTAAGGCCAAAGACTGCATGGCTCAACTTCCCAAACTTCCCTCATACAAACCTACTGGAAGCCCCTTGCCAGGTCCTAGCCTTTCCAGGACTCTACCCTCCCTCCAATCTGCTGCCATTGCCTTGAAGCCCTGAAGTGCCTCCTCACTTCCCCAGGAAGCAAGTCTGGGCAGGGTCCAGTCACCCTGCAGGGCCAGGCCTGGGCCAGGACAGCCCAAAGCCAGCTTATGTTAAGCTGGCTTCCCAGGCACCTGCTGCAAGGGACACAGCCAGGTCAGGACCAGACATTCGGGCACACTCACCGAGTCCCGCTGGGGGCCAGAGCCAGGGCCAGGGACAGGCAGAGAGGTCTGGCTGATCCTGGGCCGCTGCTTCCTGGGAAGCCAGGGGATCAGGGCCCAGAGCCGCAGACGGGGCGGCTTGGGATCCTGCTCCATCCGCCCAGCAGGGCCACGGCACCATGGCAGGAGCAGGCAGAGTCCGGGGCTGCCGCAGTGGTGGCCGGGACCAAGGCGGATGTGCAGGGTAAGGGCGGGGGCTGGGCCTGGCCCAGGGCAGCCAATCACTCAGGGCCTGTGGTTTCCCAGCACCAGGCCTACACCCTCACCACGTTCCCTTCCTCTCTCTCCCCCTCTCCTCAGAGCCTGAGGGCTGCCCTCTGGCCGTTCCCCCATCCTCCCTGTGGGCCTACAAAGGGAAAGTCCCCTGCCAATGCAGCTGCTGAGCAGACTGGTACCCAACAGCAGAGAGGTACCCAATAGCAAACAGGTACCCAACAGACAAAGACAGGTGCCTGATATGTGGAGGCAGACGAAGAGAGACACCCAACAGGCAGAAGCAGGCACCCAACAGGTGGAAACAGGTAAGAATGGCATCCATCATGCCTGTAATCCCAGCACTTTGGGAGGCTGAGGCGGGCGGATCATGAGGTCAGGAGATCGAGACGATCCTGGTTAACATGATGAAACCCTGTCTCTACTAAAAATACAAAAAAAAAAAAAATTGGCCAGGCGTGGTGGTCAGCTCCTGTAGTCCCAGCTATTCGGGAGCTGAGGCAGGAGAATGGCATGAACCTGGAAGGCGGAGCTTGCAGTGAGCCGAGATAGCGCCACTGCACTCCAGCCTGGGTGGCAGAGCAAGACTCCATCTCAAAAAAAAAGAAAAAGAAAAAGAAAGAATGGCATCCAACAGGCAGGGGCAGGAGAGAACACATACCCAACAGGCAGGGATGGAGGATAAGGACACGCACCCAACAGGCAGAGGCAGGAGGAATTCATATCCAATAGAAAACAGATGGAGACACGTACCTGACAAGGGGAAGCAGGAGGGGACTCATATCTAACAGACAGAGGTGGACAGAGACTCATCCCCAATGTGTGTAGGCAGATAGGGACACAAGCCCAACAGCCAGAGACAGATGGGGACATATACCCAATAGGTAAAGACAGATGGGGACATGTACCCAACAGGCAAAGGCAGGAGGAACACATCTCCAATAGGCAGAGACAGAAGAGAATACCAACCCAACAGGCAATGACAGAAGGGGACATAAACCCAACAGGCAGGCTGGGCGTGGTGGCTCACGCCTGTAATCCCAGCACTTTGGGAGGCCGAGGCAGGTGGATCACGAGGTTAGGAGATCGAGACCATCCTGGCTAACACGGTGAAACCCCGTCTCTACTAAAAATACAAAAAATTAGCTGGGCGTGGTGGTGGGCACCTGTAATCCCAGATACTTGGGAAGCTGAGGCAGGAGAATGGCTTGAACCTGGGAGGGGGAGGCTGCAGTGAGCCAAGATCGCACCACCGCACTCCAGCCTGGGCGACAAAGTGAGACTCCGTTTCAAAAAAAAAACCAACAGGCAATGACAGAAGGGGACATGTATCCAAAAGGCAGAGACAGATGGTGACACAAACCCAACAGGCAAAGACAGAAGGGGACAGGTATCCAACAGGCAGAGACAGATGAAGACATAAACCCAACAGGCAGAGACAGAAGGGGACATGAACAACAGGCACCTAACATGTGACATGTACCCAAAAGGTGAAGTCAGGCACTTATCAAGTGGAGACAGAGATTGGAACCCAACCACAGACAGAGGTAGGCAGCAAAGAGAGACAGCGGGAGAGTCAGCGAGCCCCAAGCAGACTGACAATACCTAGGGCAGATAGGTCTGACACCTGGCAGACACACGGGCAGGCAGCAGGGCAGGGATCCCCAGGAAGGGGTTAAGGGCAGAGCTGTGGGTTCTTGCTGCTGTACCTGGGGTGGGGAAAGAGATGAGGGGAGACAATCTGCAAACTCCCACCACTCAGGAGAGGACTCTCGTATTTCTTGCAGACCCACCTCTGAGATCTCCCATTTCCCTAGGATTTTCCTCCTATGCCAAGACCTGAGGGGGACCCAGACAGTAGCTGAGAGGACTATCTCCTGAGTGCAATCTGATGTCTTTGACTCTGATCATATCCTAAAAACTGTTATCCTCATTCCAGGAATAGGAAACTGAGGCCCAGAAGACAGTGACTCACCAAGGCTCAAAGCAAACAGTGGCAGAGGTAGCTTGGACCCAGGCGCCTCCCTGCTTACTGCCTGGCCTGGGGTCAGCAGGCATCAAATGCCAGGAAAGTGTGGGCAGGTCAATCAGCCAGAGCCACGTCCTGCCCACCCACATCTGCCTAAAACCCCTTCTCCTTCAGTACTAGGGTCCGTCTGTGACCTCCCACTGTAGGTCCTGGCCCTCGGAGACACAATCTTATCTTCAGGGGAAGATACCTAACCCTTCCTGACAGATGGAGGAGTGGGTGGAACAGCCCCACAAAAACACCACAAAACTGCAGTCAAATCAGACCCCTGAGTGTAACCTCCTGGCGGGACAGGCAGAAAGCCTGGCTCAAAGAGGGACTAAGAGGGGGCCAAGCCCACATGGCAATACCTGCACACCCCACCCTGAGATCTGAACCTCCACCTCACCTGTCTGCCTCTGACTGAGAGCACTCCCTGGGGACAGAGACAGGAAACCACCCAGAAATCCCAAGGGACAGAGCCACCCCCAAACCCATTCCTTGCCCAGTCATGGTGACAGACACCGCTGGAGGCAGGCGACTCTTCTGCTCACCTTTCTGGGACAGGGAACCAAGTCTCTCTCAACCCTGGGGAAATCTGCTGGGGTCTGCATGGTGGGGCTCAAGCCGGTGACCAGAGGGCCCCGTTACTCTTCCTACTTCTGCTTTTTTTAGCCTTCCTGGCCCAGAAGGCAGGGTCTCTGGCCCCCCTCCTTCTCACTTCCCCCTCTGCAGGGAGGAGGGGCAGATGATGGGTCAGGCTCCTCTATAGAGGAGGGGACACTGCAGACCCCAAGCCCATGACCCCAGGGAAGGCCCAGGGGCACACCTCTCCCTATGTCCTCTGACTCTAAGGAGGAGAGACAAGAGCAGAGACAAAAGTCACAAGGCGATAACGCAGTGTCACAGTGGGCATATCAGCACCCGCAAACATCCACGTGAGGGGAGGACCTGAGAGAATGTGGGGCAAAAGTCAGCAAAGGCCACTGTCCGACTGTCCAGTCCAGAGCTTAGATACTGTGTCCCACCCCTCCATAGCATCCTTCCCATGGCTATGCCCACCCACAATGGCAGCCCAGAAAGCAGGCACCAGTGGCCCCCCTCCGGTCCTGCCCTGCTCAGCTGCCCCGAAGAAGGCTGCCAGTCCCAAGCCCCAGGATGGGTAAGGCGGGCAGAAAGCCTGACCAAGGACCTCACAGAGGTCTGAGAGGAGGAGCAGGCAGCTATGGGGCAGGGGTTGACCAGGCCCAGCCCCTTTCTACGTGGCCTCATTTCATCACTCATACCAGCACAGCACAGGCACTGACATGCACACACACACACTCAGGCCGATGATCGGAAACCCTGTCCGCAGACAACCCCTATGCAGAAACACATGCCCCCACGCACACACGGACTTCCCCTTCCCTGTCCTTGCAGAGTCTCTGCGGGTGGATGGCTGCCGGGAGATTGTGAAAGATGCCTCCCTCAGCCAAGCCTCTCATTGCTCTCCAGCTTCCTCAGACAGGGGTTTGGAGGCTGGGGCAGCTCTCGGAAGCCCCAAAGCTCACCCTCCCTACCAACCCCTGGTCCCTCAGATGCAAAGAAGGTAGAGAGGTAGCTACTTTGTGGGAGGAGACTCTCCAGATACGGGCTGAGATAAACCAAGGGGCCTAGTCCACACGAGCCTCTGTGGCCAGCAGGGTACCAGAAGGGGCAACAGGAAGGAAACAGTCTCAGAACTGCCTTTGCTGAAGGCTGTGTGGGCCCTGAGGCCTCTGGTGGCGGGCGGGGGGAGGACAGCCACCAGCCCACATCCCTTGGTCCCTGCCCCATCCCCCGCATAGGGACTTCCTCTTTATTTACTTCCTCCTACAGGGCAGCTGGAAGAGAAGCCCAGAGCCCCCAGGCCTGATCCGTGGTCTCTAGGGTTCCCACCCTGCCAGCTGTAGCCAAGCCCACCTGCCAATCCTGGCCCTAACGGACACCAAAAGCCCCTTCCCCAGCTGGCAGCATTTGCAGGGCCCTTCCAGGCGCTACCCCCTCCCTCAGTGGGACAGATGTCCTCAGACACATCTCCCAGCGTGCCTCCAGGCAGGTGAGGAGGGGTCCACAGCTCCCTGGCAGCCTTGAGGGGGAGCTGGCCTCCAACACTAGGTCAGGACTGGCATGGAGAGATGATGGTAAGTGTGCCTCCTACTGATTGAGCAGTTGCTGCACGCACACAGCCTTTTTTTTCTTTGAGAGGGAGTCTCACTCTGCTGCCCAGGCTGGAGTGCAGTGGTGAGATCTCAGCTCACTGCAACCTCCGTCTCCTGGGCTTAAGTGATTCTCGTACCTCAGCCTCCCGAGTAGCTGGGACTACAGGCACACTCCACAATGCCTGGCTAATTTTTTGTATTTTAGTAGCGACAGGGTTTCATCATGTTGCCCAGGGTGGTCTCAAACTCCTGAGCTCAGGCGATCTGCCCGCCTCGGCCTCCCAAAGTGCTGGGATTACAGGTGTGAGGCACTGTGTCCGGCATTTTTTTTTTTTTTTTGAGACAGAGTCTCACTCTGTTGCCCAGGCTGGAGTGCAGTGGCATAATCATGGTTCACTGCAGCCTCTTGGGCTCAAGCGATCCTCCCACCTCAGCCTATGGAGTAAGCTGGGAGGACAAGTGCGTACCACCACATCTGGCTAATTTTTAAAAAATTTTTTGTAGAGGGCCGGGCGCGGTGGCTCATGCCTGTAATCCCAGCACTTTGGGAGACCGAGGTGGGCGGATCACCTGAGGTCGGGAGTTCGAGACCAGCCTGACCAACATGGAGAAACCCCGTCTCTACTAAAAATATGAAATTAGCCGGGCATAGTGGCATATGCCTGCAATCCCAGCTACTACGGAGGCTGAGGCAGGAGAATCGCTTGAACCTAGGAGGCGGAGGTTGTGGTGAGCCAAGATCGTGCCATTGCACTCCAGCCTGGGCAACAAAAGTGAAACTCCATCTCAAAAAAAAATTTTGTTTTTTGTAGAGGATGGGTCTCCCTGTGTTGCCCAGGCTTGTGTTGAACTCCTGGCTGGGCATAGTGGCGTGCGCCTGTAGTCCCAGCTACTCCGGTAGCTGAGGTAGGAGGATCACTTGAGCCTAGGAGGTCAAGGCTACAGTGAGCTGTGGTTGTACCACTGCACTCCAGCCTGGGCAACAGAGGGAGGCCCTGCCTCAAAACAAAAACAAAACCAAAAAACCACAACTATCCTGAGACAGCCATAATCAAGGTGTTGTGGGTGCCCAGAGGTGGTGACTATTTGCCAGTGCATGAAGTCAAGAAAGACCTTCCAGAGAGGGGCAGCCCAGCTGGGTCCTGAGGATGAACAAATGTTGGCCAGGCAGAAAGGAGGAAAAAAAGACACTCCAGGTAGAGAAAGACCTGTGTGACCAAGGGGCTTAAGGCCAGGAGGGTAGAGTGGGAAGTCAGGAAGAGCTGGCCACTCACTAGCTGGGTGCTCCCGGGCAAATCTGTTTCCCTGTCTGAACCTCGGTTTCCTCCTCTGTAAAATGAAGGTTAGAACAATATGCTCCACTCTCAGATTGTTTCTAGAAGCAAAATGGGCCACAGAGACAAGGGGATGTTGGAAACAGAACTTCTCCCAGGTTTACTTAGTCTTACTGCTGTGGGGTCTCCCCTGGGCAGGCTGAAGGGACAGAGCCCAGCCACAGGGCCCCAGGTACTAGGAGGGTGGCTGGCCTTCTCTGACCAGGCCAAGGGAAGTTCCTCCCAACACCTGAGGCTGCCCAAGGCTCCCTGAAGTCCACAGTCACATCCTGCCTAAGCTCTGGCCAGGGGAGCATGAGGGATCCGGGAGGGATCAGGGTTTCATAAACAGGAAGAGAGGAGGGGAGGGGAGACGCTCAGCTCTCAAAATAGACCTGCAGGCGCTTCAAAGGGGTCCAGCTCCGGAGATAGCTGGGGGAGGGGGCCTGGGATGCCCAGTCCACTCCCAGAAGGGAGGGAGGGCAAATGGAGCCCCGGTGTGCCTTAGGGTACCACGTGCACCTAGGTGCTGAGGGGATCCAGAGAGTTCTCACCCTGGATGGCTATCCACACTATTGCTGCTAAAAGCCAAATCCCAAATCCCAAATCCCGCTTTCTGCCTGAAATGAATAAAATAAACAAGCATTAAACAGCAACATTGTGCCACAAGCCCTGTTAGATACTTTAATTTATATGTACCACATTCTCTTTTCCAGGTAGCCCTGAGAAATAGGCTTTATTCTCCTTTCATTTTTCAGGAAAGAACCCGAGCCTCAGCAAGGCAAATGACTTGCCCAAGGTTACAAGGCAAATAAAAAATAGGTGCAGGATTCTGAACTCAGAATCCCTGACTCTCTTCCCTGCCTCTTTGCCACCTGGAAGGCCCAATTCTTTCTCCAGCTGCCCAAATCCTGCCTTTTGAGTCCCAGCCAAATGCCAGTTCCGCAGGGAACATGGCCTGTGCCCTAGAGCCCACCCCAACTCTTCTTCCTCGGCCATGCACGGCAATGACCATGTCTCTGGTCCACACTCAGCCCTGAACTCAGATGCCATCAGCTGGGTTCCCGGGGACGTGCTCATCTCGTCATGCTACGGAGAGAAATGTGGGCACCTGGAAGGTGGTGGTATACGTCTCTGCCCAACATGGGCCTAGCACAGAGCAGAGGTTCTATGTGCCCACAGCTGTGCTCTTGCCCCATCATAGCGCCTACCACATGGCTTTCCTGTCTCTACCCTCTGCCCAAAGATTGGAAGCTTCTCGAAGGTGGGGGATATTGACTTCATTTTAGGCCCTCCTGTGAACAACAGGGTGCACCGAATGTCTGATTAGGATAAAGTGGCCCATTGCCAGCTCATTCCACTGCACAAAGTGATGAGGTCCGGACCACAGGTTGAGCGCCCCCTGGTGTATTAAGCCCAGAAGTGGGCATTAGGGACACTGGTGGCTGGGACAACAGATGGATGAGCAGGTGCCCAGGACTGGTCCCACTTGGAATCACAGAAAGCCAGTGCTCCTCCTCTTCAGCACTCAGGGTTCTCTGGACTATGAGGAATGACCTTGAAGCCAAACAAGACTTGTCTTCATTGCCCACCAGCTATGTGATGTTGAACCTCAATTTTCTCATCTGTAAAATGGGGACAGTAACAATCTACCTCCAAGGATGTAGTTAGAACTAAATGCAAAGCACCTGGTATGATGCTAGGCATAGGTTAAGCTCTTTCTCTTCCTTAAGTGGCATTCGAGACTCCATGTCCCATCCATCTCCAGCCCTGTCTCTCTTCCTACCCCAGGATCTTCTGCTCTAGAGCAAGAGTCATAGGCTTGGGAGCAAAAGGTTACCTGCCTCGGCAAGCTCCTGCCATCTCCCAGTAAGCTCCTCCAGTTCTTGAGGTGAGAAGCTGTACTCAGCACAGGTCCCTAAATGCTGCAAGCTCCTCTGCAACCCCCAGAACCTCAGCCCTGAGATCTGAACACCGTGTTTCTTCACTGGGAACCTACAGTTCTTCATTTTGTTACTAGGCAACAAGAGGTAGCTACTTTGTGGGAGGAGATTCTGCAGACATGGGCTGAGCTAAACCAAGGGGCCCAGTCCACACTATTTACTGGCCTCTGCTGGTCCAAGGTTGCCACAGCAACCCACAGAGAAGTGGTGCGAGAATACTTCCCTCACCTGCCCTATCCTACCCAGCTCAGTCACCTCATCTTAGGAAGCTGAGTCAAGGTAAACATCAGGACTAATCCTGCATCCATCTCAAAGGTCAAGCTTATGGCAGGTCTGGTGTTCAAGCCAACCTAGGTCTGGAAGGTGGGGTCACTGGCAGGAAGCTGAGCTGAGCAATATACTAGGACATTTTCGGTGCTGGCACCGAAGCTGCCATGTGCCAGGCAGTTACTATCTCATCGTCCTTCACATTGCTCCTGTGAGACAGACACTGTTTCCCCAACTTACAGCTCAGGAAACTGAGACTCAGAAGGGAGAAGAGCTTCTGGTTAAATGGTGGGGATGGAGCCAGGACTGGAACCCGGATTTGCTCTAACACCATGCTCTGTCCCTGCCTAAGCAGCTTCCAAAGACCCTCCATAGCCAGCATCTCCTGTGACCTCACAGCCACCCTGTGAAGGGGATGTGGTCTTTTCCAATATACAGATGAGAAAGCCAAGGCCCAGAGTGTACAAGGAACCTCCCCAAGGTCACACCACTGTCACCTAGTCCTGGTGCTTCTGGCAAAACACAAAACCAGCAACAGGGGCTAGGGGGCTACAGGAAGGGGCCCAGGGGAAGCAGAGATAGCAGGGGTGAGGGAATGACCCTCACACTGGGAAGTGGAAGCCCTAAGAAATGCCATGAGTGCCACATGCCAGGCAATGGGCCTGGTTAGCCTTGAGCGGCCACCAGCACCCCCTTTCCAGCTCACGTGCCCAGATGCTCACTTCCAGGCTCTTGGCAAGCGCAGCTCTACCAAAAGGAGCAGGACAGCTGGCCTGAGCCCCTCCCATCACTCCTTAGAGCCAGCCCAAATTCCATGAGTAAATAAACTGCAGGGGCATCCTGGCCTGGGTGACAGGTAACCAGAGCCCTGACCTGGATTCTGCTCCTGACCCTTTCTGGGCCACAGTCGCCTCACCTACAAAATAGGAAGGTTGGAACAAGTGATTTCTATGCCCAGGGTTGCCACAAGGATTCGGTGGGCCCTGAGAAGGACGGCTGAGTTGGGCAAAGGGGCTAGAGGCTGGAGCCCTCAACCTCCTCCAAAGCCATGCAAACAGGATCCCCCACAGCCCCTCGCTCAGGGTGCTGGCCATGGTCCTCACCTTGGACGGCTGAAGTCCAGCTTCTTCCCCTGAGGTCTGTCCATTCTGGAAAAGAGAAAGGAGATTGGGGGAGCACTGTCAGAACTTACACGCTTGGGAGAAAGACTCTGTGGGGCACCCCCACCCTTAGGTGCTCCCAATAGCCATGGAGGCCATGGTGGTAGGGCAGGAGTCCTGGGTGGGTCCCTCCACCTCCACTTTCATGGTGTAGGCACAGGGACCAAGTATTCTGGCAATGGCGCCTCATGACTCAGGCAGAATATTCCCAGGGACCAGCATTCTGACCCTCATGCTGTCTGCCTGGCAAACACTTCATCTCTGAAGACTTAGTTCAAATGTCACCTCCTCCCAGGGAGAAGGGAAGGGTCATGTGTGGCTTCCAGCTCTACCAGATACAAACCTTGTACAAACTAGTCAACTGTGAGAGGACTCAGTTTCCCCATCTGTAACATGGGGTGGGGTAGTTACACTGACTTCCCAGAGTTGCTGCAAGGGTGGAAGGAGACAAAGTCTGGGAAAGCATGCAACCCAGAGATGGTGGCTATCCTTGCCCTGCCCCACTCTGGGACCCCTCCCCTGACCTTGCCAGGCAGAATGACTGCTGCCTCCACTTCAGCCTTCATTGTAGCACTTGTCCCACTGCAGGGACTATTTACACACAGGCCTGCCCTTCCTAATAAATGGGGAGTCCCACGAGGGCAGAGACGAGGGCTTGGGGCTAACAGCTGCTCTCTTCCAAGCCTCTGCCACATGGCAGGCACTGGGCTCAGTGCCTCGCACCTGTGGCACCACTTTTTTTTTTTTTTTTTTTTTTTTTAGACAGAGTTTTGCTCTGTTGCTGAGGCTGGAGTGCAGTAGTGCAATCGCAGCTCACTGCAACCTCCGCCTCCCAGGTTCAAGCGATTCTCCTGCCTCAGCCTCCCAAGTAGCTGGGATTACAGGCGTACGCCACCATGCCCGGCTAATTTTTGTATTTTTTTTAGTAGACACGGGGTTTCACCACGTTGGCCAGGCTGGTCTCAAACTCCTGACCTCAGGTGATCCGCCCGCCTCGGCCTCCCAAAGTGCTGGGATTACAGGTGTGAGCCACTGCGCCTGGCCCCTGTGGCACCATTTAATCCTCATGACAGCCCTGGGAGGTAGGCCCTGGCCCCATGTGGCAGAGAAGGAAACTGAGGCTCTGAGGGGACCTAGTGATGATGCCTATGGTCACACAACTGGTGAGTGGGGATTCAAAATCTGGTCCCAAATCCAGGAGGTGCTCCAAACAGGTCAGCTGAGAAACAGCCCAGAGCCCAGAGCCCCCCTCTGGTCAGTCTTGCCTTTTCCAGCCCCCAGACTTCACTCTCAGGTGGTTATTAAATATGCTGGGGTGTGTCAAACCCAGCCCATCTGTTTCCTGTGTGATGTGAGGCAAGTAACCTACCCTATCTGGGCGTTTGGAAGCTGAAAGAAATTGCCCCACCCCTCCTAGAACAGGGAGAGTGTGGTGAGGCAGACAGGAGGTTCCCAACAGCTAGGAAGGCCTGCTCTAGAACAGGTCTGGATCTGGACTTTGGAGCCAGGAGCTGGGTCCATGGGGCAGCTGTAGCCCTGCTTGGCTACAGCTGGGTAGGCACAGCTGTGCTCTACCCATTACATAATCTCCCTGCCCCTGGAACAGCTCCCCATTGCCACTCCCAGGACATCCTGCCCCCTGAGCCCCTTTAATGCCCCTAATCTCTCCCCAGGGGCCAAATGTTCTACAGGCCCCTCCATGCACACATCCATACACACACTGTCATCTCTCAGCAGCCTGGGGAGAAGGGATGGGTTGGTCAGGGCCCAGGGGCTGGGCTGTGGTAGGGATGCTTTTGTAGACTGAGCTCCACTTCACCCAGCATTCTAGACTCTTGACATAATTCCTGCAGATGATCAGAACAGCCTACCCACCAGCTCCCTGCCCCACAGCCTTCCCCACTCCAAACCCTCATCATTCCTAAAATCAAGTGCAACTGCTGCACTCAACTCACTCAGTCAACATTTGCTGAGAACCTTCTATGTACCAGGCCCCAAACCCCTCTGTGGCTTCCACTGCCTGTAGAATCAAGTCCCAGCTCCTTAGCATAGAAATCAAGGCCATCATCTTCAACTGCCCAGCACAATAACTAGGAATGTAGGTTTTGCAACCTGACCTTGTGGGTTCAAATTCTGGCTTCTACCACCTGCGTGACCCCTAGAAGGTTAGTTCATTTACTGGGGCTTCAGTTTCCTCATCTGTGAAATGCGGATCAAAGTAACATACCTCAATGGTGGCGGCAAGAAGCAAATGAAATAATGCCTATAAATATATACACCTGACATGTAACTGGCCTACAAACAATAGCCATTCTTATCATTGGGCCCTATTTTTGAGCTAAACTGAACAACCACAGACCCTGAAAACAGTCTATTTTATATCCCCAGCATTTGTATGGTGGCTCCCTCTACCAAGAAAGCCTTTCCTGCCTTGTCACTTTGGCAAACTCCTGATCTTTTATCAGGACTGAATTCAAATGTCACCCCTGTCCACACAGCCTCATGTTCTTTCCTCCCTCCTCTCTACCCCCATAACCTAAGCATGCTGCAGGTTAACTCGGGAAGGGGCCATGGCTTGTCCATCATCAACATCTTGGCACCCAGCCAGAGTCCAGCATGTGGTTTATCCAGTGAAAGTTCAACCCAGCAAAGACAGCAAGGAGGCCAGAGCAGGTTCTATTACTCCTATTTTTCAGATGAGGCTCAGGAGAGTTAAGGGACTCACCGAGGTCCCTCAGCAGGCAGGTGGCAGACATGTGACCATAACCCAAAGTCACGTGGCTGCAAGCCTACTGAGGGTGGGGAGGAAGGGGTAGGTGTACCTAGAGGTGTGGGTTTCTTGAGCAGTGGCCTGGATGACTTAGGGACCCCCCGCTCTAAGGCAGTCTGGCTGCCTCTACTCCCTGGATCTCTGGCTTGGGTGTCATTCTTATGGAACGCCAAACCTGTAAGAGTAAGGGAACAGGCAGCCCTGGAGAACAGACTGGTAGGGGGGTCAGGGGGGTTGTGGGGTGCTGGCTTCCCACTCAGAGCCTGGGTCCTGGGTCCGGGGTCATCTGCCCCTCTGGCCTGACTGCTGCATAGCAATCCTTGAAAGAACACAGCTGTGCAGCCACAAAGATACAGCCACTAATCCTAGCTCTGCCAGCCACTTATTCTGCCCTTGGGTCTGTCATATCACTTTTTATTTTTATTTTTATTTATTTTTTGAGACAGTTTCACTCTTTTGCCCAGGCTGGAGTGCAGCGGCGCAATCTCAGCTCACTGCAACCTCTGCCCCGCTGGGTTCAAGCAATTCTTCTGCCTCAGCCTCCCAAGTAGCTGGGAATATAGGCCGCACCACCACACCTGGCTAATTTTTGTATTTTTAGTAGAGGCGGGGTTTCGCCATGTTGGCCCAGCTGGTCTCAAACTCCTGACCTCAGGTGATCCACCCGCCTCAGGCTCCCAAAGTGCTAGGATTACAGTCATGAGCCACCACGCGTGGCCTCATATCACTTTTTGAAGTCTCAGTTTCGGCCAGGCGCAGTGGCTCATGTCTGTAATCCCAGCACTTTGGGAGGCTGAGGCCAAGAGGCCTCACAGATCACGAGGATCACGAGGTCAAGAGATCGAGACCATCCTGGTCAACATGGTGAAAACCTGACTCTACTAAAAATACAAAAATTAGCTGGGCATGGTGACACGGGCCTGTAGTCCCAGCTACTCAGGAGGCTGAAGCAGGAGAATCACTTGAACCCGGGAGGTGGAGGTTGCAGTGAGCCGAGATCACGCCACTGCACTCCAGCCTGGTGACAGAGCAAGACTATGTCTCAAAAAATAATAATAGTAATAAAGTCTCAGTTTCCTCATCTGTATCACGAGGGCAGGTGTGTCTTGCTGACATCTGCACTTTGTTGTCTGAAATAGTACTTATCACCTAAGTGCTAAATAAATGACTGAATGGGGACAATGGTGCTGACCTTGCAGAGTACTGAATGAAGGACTTTGTCTTAGGAGTCCTTTGGCCTCTTAGAGGTTGAAGACCCACACTCCTCCCTCTTCCTCAGAGAGCACTGCTCATGAGGACAGATGCCCAGGGCCCCAGACCACTGCCCCCAGTTCTGAGATGTCAGAAATGGGTTCCAACTGGCATCATTCCTTCCCACCCAAGCAACTCTGTCTTAGAAAGAGGGGCCCAGGGCAGCGTCTGGAGAAGCTGGGCAGCAGATGGAGAAGGACAGCACGTGCCCCACAGGCAGGAAGCAGCCCCAGGAGCTGGGTTCTGAGCCCAGCATTGGCAGCCCTGCTCACTGCTGGAGGCTGGGGGCCAGGTGCCAGGGCTGGCTGGCACTGCCAGCCCTCGGCAAAGACTGGACGAGGGCCTTGCAGGATAAGGAGAGTCCGCCAACATCCGGAGCCTCTCTTGGAGCACCTTCCACCTGGGCTAGTGTGGCTCCAGCCCTTCCCCATCCCTGAGCCTCTCTCCCACTTGGTGGAAGAGAGAGATCTTGGTTCCAATCCTGGCTCTGATATTAACACATAAGCCTGAGTTTTCAGTTGTCCCATCTGAAAACAGGGGTAATAATCCCTATCTTGAGAAGCTGTTGTGAGAATTAAAGTGGGGTGACATTCGTAAGGCAGAGTGGGTGGCACATAGTAAAGCTCTGTACGTGGCAGAACTGGGCCTGGGGACAAGGCTACTGCTTTCAACAGGGCTAAGCGAGGCCCAGGCAGAATCCTCACCCACGCTTCCCATAGATTACTCCACCTGGGCTGCACCCTGGGCCAGGCCCTGCCTCCCAGCGGCCCATTTTCAGCAGCATTAAGGGAGGGCAGGGCAGTCCAGATCCTAGGTCCCTGTGAAAAGTCCCCCACCAGCCCCTCACCTGCCTCCTTCCTGGCTAGGAGCTGCCAGCAGTGGTGGTGCCTGTACGTGCAGGTCAGGCGGCTGTATCGCTTACATGTCACCTGGGCTAAGAACAGCGAGGCCCTGTTCTCCAGTGAGAACAGCCCAACCTGCGCCGTGGCTGCCCTGTGGCTCCTGTTACCCAAACAATAACACCCAGTCGCCTGGCACCTCCAGGAGTGGGGGAGGGGGGACCAGACAACAGTACCCAGCGCTCTGCACCCTCTCAGGCCCAGGAAGTGGAGGCTAGAACCTAGCACTTGCCACTGGAGAAGCAGAGGCCCAGACAGGCTGAGGACTGACTGAGGATCACACATCGTTTCTGGAGCGAAGCTCCTGAGGAAATTGCGTCCCCCTGCCCCACCAATCCCAGGAAGTCCGCTGGTCTTCCCCTCTCACAGACCTGAGATGTTACAGAACTCAAAACTGAGATGAGTTTCCCAGTTAAACCTGGCTCCCTGGTGAAGCTGGCCCCTGCCTCAGGATTCCCTAAAGAGAAGCAGGAAGTGGTGCCCCAGGATCGAGCTCCTGGGTGTCCACCCTCCCTATCAGCATAAAGTCACTCCCCAGCCTCTCCCAGCCCTACCTTCTCCTTTGGAGGCCTGGTCCCAGGGGCGTGCCTGGGCAAAGGAATCCACCTCTGAGCACCACCCCCAGGACCTTGCGCCCCGGTCCTAGTAGCGGGGTGGCAGTACAGGGGCTGCAGAGGGCAGTGTTCCTCACCTCAGAGGGTGAGTCAGCGAGAGAACCTCTGAGCAGCCTAGCAGTGCCTGTAAAATCCCCATGGCAGGAATCCCAGAGCAATTTACTCCAAATTGCTCCTTCAGGTTGGTTACCTAATCCTGCCGCGCCCACCCTCCAATAGCCAGTGTCGGCCATCCCTTTAAAGGGGCAGCACACCCTGGGGGCTGGGGACCCTGGGTGCTCACCCTGATCTAAGCCTGTGGTCCTGAGAGGCAGGACACTTGGTGGCTGCCCTAGGTAAGAGAGGGCAGAGGAGGGGACTGAGACAGGGGCTCCAGGCCCAAGCTGGGAGAAAGTCATCTCAGCTCCTGGGCTCAAATGAGGTCTCCATTCCCTCCCTGCATACCCCCAACAACCACCTGGGAAGGAGAATATCACCTGCTTCCTTCCCAGCAAGAGGTTAAGGAGGAAGTTTTCCACCAGCTCATTCAGGGGCTTGACCTTGACCCTGGGGTCAAAAGGCACAGGAAGAGGTGGCCTTCTGCACGCTTAGGGACTGGAGCCACAGAGCCCTCAAGGGAGGTCAGGAGCTGCTTCTGAGAGAGAAGGAGCTGGGTTGTCTGGGGAGTCTGGGCTGGCAGAAGCCAAACTCCCCAAGGGCCCAGCCCTTCCTACCGGAAGGGGCATAAGAAGGGAGGCAGGCACCAAGGTCCCCCCACGCCCTGCCAGGAATCATCTTCACAAGGTCTAAGGGCTCTTCCCCACTCTCGTCTCCACAGCCTGGGGTAGGGCACACAGGTGTCCTCTGGCCCTAGCCTCAGGGCAAAGAAAACCAGGAGTTCCAGCCCCAGACGGGTGGTGCCATCCCACACTCCGCATCCGCCAGGGGTCAAGAGGAGCAATCCTTCTAGGCTCAGCAGCGGTGAAGCCAGAAGCAGGGAGCTCTTGGCGGAGGGCCCTGGGAGAAGTGGGGGTCCCATAACCCCTGTCTCTGGTAGAATCCCAGACATCTGGCACTGAAGATCTCCCCGTCTGCATTAATGGAGGAAGCTCCGACAGCTCTGGACAGATGCCGGGACGGGTCCTAGGTGTGGGGTGAAGGCGACCAGATCTCAGCGCCCCATAGGATCCCCTCTCCTGGCTATGGCGGGGAGGTAGTCGGCGCTTGGCGGAACTGTCCCTCGCACACGCACACCCGGGCATAGGGGGGTGGAGCCGGACAGTGGGCAAGAGATCGGAGGGCACTCGCGCCCTCGCGGGCGCCCGCCGGACTGCAGCGGCGCTTCGGGCCGCCCCGCCCCTGTGAGGATCCGGGCTCGCCGGCCGCGGGCGCCCGTCCCCCGCCCCGCTCACTCACCTCCGGGTCCAGAGGCACTAGCTCCATGAGCGGCCAGGGCTCCTTGAGCTGGGCGAGCGGCATCTCGCCGCCGCCAGGTCACCCGCGCTCCTCCGGCGGCCCCGGCTGCGCCGCCTCCCGGGTCCTGGGGTCCCTGGCTCTGCGACCCGAACCGCCGCGCCCCCCCGAGCCCCTCGCGCTCCGGCTGGGCCGTCCGCCGCCGCCGCCGCGGCACTAGCACTTCGGCTCCCTCCGTCACCCGGCGCCGCCGCGCCCATTGGCTACCTGCGCGGGGGCGGAGCCGGAGAAGCCCCGCCCCAGCCCCCGCGGCGCGGCATTCCCAGCGCGGACCCCCGCCCCCGCCGCGCCCCGAGGGCCGGCCCCGCCCCTGCCGCGAGCCCCCGGCCCGCGCTCGGCTCCGCCGGAGAGGCCCTGCTGGCTCCTTCCCTTCCAGTGGTGTACCCCTGGACACACCACACCAGGGCCACCGTTCTCCCCCGCTCAGCTCTTTTGGAATCCCAGCCCAGATGTTCCTTCTCCTTCCAACGGGAGAGAAGCACCTTATCCCCGACCCCAGCACACACATTCACACTGGGTTCCTGGGCCTGATCTAGGCTGAGGCTTGGAAGGAGCCTGAGACCCACTCCCCTTAGGCCCTCAACTCACCAGGCCCTAGAGATCCCCTATCCTCTAATTTCTACCCCGCCCTGAAGCTAACACTGTGATCTCCGGGCGATCTCAGTGCCCCAGGCCAAGATGGGCATCAGCAGTTGTTACCACCATCAGGACCCATAGTGCCACCACAGAGTGATTGATTGATCGATTGATTTTACATAATGTATATAAATATTACATATATAAATAAATATGTATAAATAAATATTATATATATGCACATATATGTATGTATGTGTGTATATAGTGAGAGAGAGAGAGACACGAAGTTTCGCTTTGTTACCTAGGCTGGTCTCTGACTCCCCGGCTCAAGTGATCCTCCTGCCTCGGCCTCCCAAAGTGCTGGGATTACAGGCATGAGCCACCGCGCCCGGCCAAGAGTGATTTCTTAATATGCGTTTTTGCAATCTGTGCTCTGCCCTATCACTTGAAGGGGGTCCTTTCAGGTCAGGTCTCCCTGGAGTCACCTGCAGCCCCAGCTCTGGACTAGTTTGGGTTTGCGACTCTCTGAGGAGGGACCAGGCTCCCAGGATGAACCGAGGCTTGGTGGGACTTGGAGTGAAAGGCCAGGGAGACTGGTTGCCCCAGAGAGATTCAGCCTCCACCTAAAGAGCCTTAGGGGTCCGGGTGTGCTGAGATGTATTCACATGTGAGGAGTGAGCTTGCTGGAGGGACAAGCTTGCTGGTTTCGCAGGAAGACTGGTCAGTTATTTGCAAAGCTGTTCTAAGGCAGGGGAATGGGAAGGAATGTTTATCAAAAGCTTCCTGCGAGCCATGTGATTTCCTTGAATGATTACCACCACCTAGTTTACAAATCCTGAAACAAGCTCGGAAAGATGAAGTGACTTACCCAAGGTCACACAAGAGGTTGAGAACAGACTAGGGCTTAAAAAAATCAAAGTGTCACACCTGTAATCCCAGCACTGGGAGGCCGAGGCGGGCGGATCACGAGGTCAGGAGATTGAAACCATCCTGGCTAACATGATGAAACCCTGTCTCTACTAAAAATACAAAAAATTAGTAGGGCGTGGTGGCAGGCACCTGTAGTCCCAGCTACTCGGGAGGCTTAGGCAGGAGAATGGTGTGAACCCGGGAGGCGGAGCTTGCAGTAAGCGGAGATAGCCCCCACTGCACTCCAGCCTGGGCGACAGAGACTCCATCTCAAAAAAAAAAAAATCAAAGTGGATAAGGATTTCTCCAGAATCCACGTGCTCCCCCTTTTCCATGGCTTTCCCAGGGTAGGACCTCAGCTGTTGAACTGAATTTTGAGTGAAAGGACTTTGGAACCCAACAATTCTGGGTTTGAATTCCAGCTCTGCTACCTTCTTAACACAGGGAAACTCATTTTATGCCTCTAAACCTCAATTTCTCCATCTGTAAAATGGGAATTATAATCTCAATCTTTCAGGTATATAGGACAAGATTCATTTTAATTCAATAAATTTACAGCTATATATTTTTTATTTGTTTTTTAGAGACGGAGTCTCGCTCTGTTGCCTAGGCTGCAGTGCAGTGGTAAAATCGTAGTTCACTGCAGCCTTGAACTTCTGGGCTCAGGCGATCCTCCCACCTCCCACAAGTAGCTGGCACTTCAGGTGTGTGCCACCATGCCCAGCTAATTTTTTTTCTTTTCTTTTGAGACAGAGTCTTGCTCTGTCAACAGGCTGGAGTGCAGTGGCTCAATCTCAGCTCACTGCAACCTCCACCTCCCAGGTTCAAGCAATTCTCCTGCCTCAGCCTCCTGAGTAGCTGGGACTACAGGTGCGTGCCACCACGCTTGGTTAACGTTGTGTATTTTCAGTAGAGACGGGGTTTCACTGTATTAGCTGGGATGGTCTCAATCTCCTGACCTCATGGTCTGCCCATCTTGGCCTCCCAAAGTGCTGGGATTATAGGCGTGAGCCACTGTGCCAGGTCCCCAGCTAATTTTTTATATGTTTTGTTTTTGTAGAGATGGGGTTTCACTATCTTGCCCAGGCTGGTCTTAAACTCCTGGCCTCAAGCGATCCTCCAGCCTCCCAAAATGCTGGAATTACAGCCACCACACCTGGCTTATTTATGGCTATATATTACACACTAGACCCTCTTTCTGAGCATGTATTGTAAGCCAAGCCTTCTTTTTATTATTATTATTATTATTTTGAGATGGAGTCTCACTCTGTCGCCCAGGCTGGAGTGCAGTTCAGTAGCCTGATCTCGGCTCACTGCAACCTCCGCCTCCCGGGTTCAAATGATTCTCCTGCTCAGCCTCCCAAGTAGCTGGGACTATAGGCATGTGCCACCACACCTGGCTAATTTTTTTTTTTTTTTTGACGGAGTCTCGCTCTGTCACCCAGGCTGGAGTGCAGTGGTGCGATCTCGGCTCACTGCAAGCTCCGCCTCCCGGGTTCACGCCATTCTCCTGCCTCAGCCTCCCGAGTAGCTGGGACTACAGGCGCCCGCTACCACGCCCGGCTAATTTTTTGTATTTTTAGTAGAGACGGGGTTTCACCGTGTTAGCCAGGATGGTCTCGATCTCCTGACCTCGTGATCCGCCCGCCTCGGCCTCCCAAAGTGCTGGGATTACAGGCGTGAGCCACCGCGCCCGGCCCACCTGGCTAATTTTTGTATAGGCGTGTGCCACCACACCTGGCTAATTTTATATATATATATTTTTAGTAGAGACGAGGTTTCACCATGTTGGCCAGTATGCTCTCAATCTCCTAACCACATGATCTGCTCGTCTTGGCCTCCTAAAGTGCTGGGATTACAGGCATAAGCCACTGCGCCTGGCCTATTATTATTATTATTTGTAAAGATGGGGTCTCGCTATGTTGCCCAGGCTGGAGTGCAGTGGCTATTCATAGACGCAACCATAGCACACTACAGCCTTGAACTCCTGCCCTCAAGCAATCCTCTTGCCTCAGCACACCAGGGGATGTGGCTCAGGCTTTCTACTAGATGCTGAGAATATAGCAATGAATAAATTAAAGTCCTTAGCTGGGTACCTGTAATCCTAGCTACTCAGGAGGCTGAGGTAGAATGATCCATTGAGCTCAGGAATTTGAGACTCTAGTGAGCTATGATCACACTATTGCATTCCAGCTTGGGCGACAGAGTGAGACCCCATTGCTAAAAAATAAATAATAAAATACATAATAAATAAAGTATTTGCCTTTACGGAGTTTACATTCATTGTGGTGTAACTAAATAAATAATGACAGCTAACACTAACATAGCACTTACTATGGACCAGGCACTGTTCTATGCATTTTTTACCTGCATAAACTAAGGTAGTCCTTGTAATCTTATGTGTTATGTGCTATTATTCTCTCCAGTGTACAGATGGGGAAACTGAGGGCAGAGAAAGTAAGCATCCCATTACTTGGGTCCCTCCAAGGCCACAGGACTGCAGCCAGGCGCGGTGGCTCACGCCTGTAATCCCAGCACTTTGGGAGGCCAAGGCGGGTGGATCACCTGAGGTCAGGAGTTCAAGACCAGCCTGGCCAACATGGTGAAATCCCGTCTCCCCTAAAAATACAAAAAAAAGAAAAAAAAAGAAAAAAAAAGTAGCTGGGCGTGGTGGCGGGTGTCTGTAATCTCAGCAACTCGGGAGGCTGATGCAGGAGAATCACTTGAACCTGGGAGGTGGAGGTTTTAGTGAGCTGAGACTGTGCCATTGCACTCCAGCCTGGGCAACAAGAGGGAAACTCCAACTCAAAAAAAAAAAAAAAGCCACAGGACTGAAAAATGGCAGAGCTGAGAGACAACCTGACAGTCTGGCTCCAGAGTGTGTTATTAATTTATTTTTTAGACAGAGTTTCACTCTTGTTGCCCAGGCTGGAGTGCAATGGTACCATCTCAGCCCACTGGAACCTCTACCTCCCAGGTTCAAGCCATTCTCCTTCTGCCTCAGCCTCTCGAGTAGCTGAGATTACAGGTGCCCACCACCATGTCCAGCTAATTTTTTGTATTTTCAGTAGAGACGGGGTTTCACCATGTTGACCAGGCTGGTCTTGAACTTCTGACCTCAGGTGATCTGCCACCATCGACCTCCCAAAGTGCTAGGATTACAGGTGTGAGCCACTGCGCCCAGCGCAGAGTGTGTTCTTTTGTTCACATAGTCTCCACCTCCCTGATGAGAAAAGGTGAGGACAAAACAGACGGCAGCCTGGACCAGAGTTGGCAGCCATTATTCACATCAGTGTGGGGATCGTCCAGTTCAGTTACCTGGAAGCAGGTTGTGATGCCCCAGCTCTTGCTGCTCCCAGTTTGAGCTGTTATACTTGAACATATTTTGACTAAAAGTGTATGTGTTGTTTATCTGAAATTCAAATTGGGTATCATGTATTTTGGTTTGCTAGATCTAGTAATTGTACTCAGGAATTGGAACAGATCGCACGTAGCTGCCAGATACCTGGCTTGGAGTCAGCCACATTTAAGTTAGGAAGAGAGACACTGAGACCCACAGGATGAGGGTCAGGGGATGGGCCAGAGAGGTGGGGTGGATGGCAGGAGTAGAGGAGGTGAGGGAAAGCAGGAGTGGTTCTACCTTCAGCTTTCTCCCTTCCTGGGTCCCTGACCCTCTTTCTTCTCCCTCTCAAAGTAATCTCCCTATCAAGAGCATCCTCTCACTTAAGGACTGATTGATTGGTTGTGCTTTCAACCTTTTATGAATAAGCTTCACTTCCTGTGTCCCCTCTCCCATGAGTGGGTCATGCTGGTAAGAGGGGAGCCCAGAGGACATCTGGGCTCTACCTGGAGAGCTTCTCTAGGGGTCAGCTTGCCCATCTCTGGAGTAGGCATAGCAGTCACTCATCAGAGAGCTGTGCAGAACAAACTGTAGCCCACAGGTACAGATGCTGCTAAAGTTTCAGTGCACAAAAGTGTGCTCCACCTCTCTCGTGGCTCCAGCCACACTGGCTTTCCTTCAGTTCTGCCGCAGGGCTTTCGCACATGCCACTCCTTGTACTTGAAACAGTCTTCTTTGTTCTTCAAGCCAGCTCAGCTCTACATCACTTCCTCCAGGACATTTTCCCTCACCTCCGTAGTACTCATACCCATAGCAATCAATACTTGACAGTGCTTCTCAAAGTTGTACTTTTTTACATTTGTTTATGTGACTATTTGATTAACATCTGGCTTTTTTTTTTTTTTGAGACAGAGTTTCACCCTCGTTGCCCAGACTGGAGTGCAATGGCACAATCTTGGCTCACTGCAACCTCTGCCTCCTGGGTTCAAGCGATTCTCCTGCCTCAGCCTCCCGAGTAGCTGGGATTACAGGCGCCCACCACACACCAGCTAATTTTTTGTATTTTTAGTAGAGACTGGGTCTCTCCATGTTGGTCAGGCTGGTCTCGAACTCCTGACCTCAGGTGATTTGCCCACCGCAGCCTCCCAAAGTGCTGGGATTACAGACGTGAGCCACTGCCCCCGGCCTACATCTGGCTTTTAAATTAGACTGTAAACTGTGAGAGGGCAGCTGTTGGGTCTTGTTGGCTCTTCATTGTCTTCCTGACACCTGACACACTGCCTGGCACACAGGTACTCAAAAAGACTAAATGAATGATATGTCCAACATCACCCAGCTATGCAATGGTAAATTTGCAACTCAGACCCAGGCAATCTAATCTCATGCTCTGAAATGCTACACTCTGAGTGATGGATAAATTCTAGCTTTTTTTTTTTTTTTTTTTGAGACAGGATCTTGTTTTGTTGCCCAAGCTAGAGTCCAGTGGTGCAATCATGGCTCACTGCAGCCTCAACATCCTGGGCTCCAGCAATTCTCCCACCTCAGCCTCCCAAGTAGCTGGGACTATAGGCATGCACCACTACTCAGCTATTTTTTTTTTTTTTTATTTTTAAAAGATTTTTGTAGAGACGGGGTTTCGCCTGGCCTTGAGATGTTTGTTAAATGAGTGACTTGTGAGTGTGAAAGGGCTTTGCTAGACACAAGTGAGGCTACCACTCTGCGCCCTGTCAAAGAGGCAGTTCTGGCAAGGAGCAGGGGGCTGAACTGACAGGGGCTGAGGGCCGGGTTTTGGGTCCCTCTTCTGAAGCCTGGGAGGTTTTTCTTTTTCTTTTTTTTTTCTTTGTTTGAGACGGAGTCTCTCCCTGTCACCAGGCTGGAGGGCAGTGGCGCGATCTTGGCTCACTGCAACCTCCGCCTCCCAGGTTCAAGCTATTCTCCTGCCTCAGCCTCCCAAGTAGCTGGGAATACAGGCACCTGCCACCACACCCGGCTAATTTTTTGTATTTTTAGTAGAGACAGGGTTTCACCATGTTAGCCAGGATGGTCTCGATCTCCTGACCTCGTGATCTGCCCGCTTCAGCCTCCCAAAGTGCTGGGATTACAGGTGTGAGCCACCGCGCCCGGCCGAGGTTTTTCTATGATGTTCAAGAGCAGAGGTTCTGGAAAGGACCTGTCCTGGGGAGAGGGTCTGTCATCATTATTCTTTCTTGGCCTCTCAGTAAAGGGTATTCCTGGCTAATGTGTCTTTAACAGGTGGAACAGGATGAGGAGAATAATCACAATGATAGTTACCTTTAATGAGCGATTACAAAGTGCCAGAACAGAGCTGAAACTTTAAATAATAATAATCACAAGTGGGGTGCGGTGGCTCATGCCTGTAATCTCAGCACTTTGGGAGGCTGAGCCAAGAGGATTGCCTGAGCCCAGGAGTTTGAGGCCAGCCTGGGCAACATAGCAAGATACCATTTCTACTAAAAATAAAAACATTAGCCAGGCATGGTGGCGCGCATTCATAGACCTAGCTACTTGGAGGCTGAGGCCAGAGCATAGCTTGAGCCCAGGAGTTTGAGGTTGCAGTGAGCTATGATTGAGCCATTGCCCTCCAGCCTGGGCAAAAGAGCAAGCTCCTGTCTCAAAAAAAATTAAAAAATAATAGTAACAAACTATGAGTGCTTATTGAGAGAGCCCTATGTAGCCTGCCTGGAGCTGAGTGTTTTACAAGTAAGAACTCATCAAATCACCCCAATGATACAATGCCATGAGACAAAAATTATTGTCCCATTTTCCAGATGAGAAAACTGAGGCTTAGAGAGGGACAGGATTGCCCATGGTCAGACAGCCAGTAAGTATTGCAGCTGGGCTGGGAACCCACTTCTCTCAGACCTGAAAGCCAGTGCTCTTGATCACTTCACTATGCTAAGTTCAGAAAGGGGTCCAGGAGAGCTCAGTGTGCACACAGTGGGTGACAGTGATGGAGCAGTGATGGAGTGATGGAGGGGGCAGAGTCTCTTGTCTGTCTCATCCCTCATCTGAGGAATGGGAATGGTGTCATCCTTCTGCTTGAAATCCTCCTGCGCCTCCCCCATCACACTTCAAACAAATCCAAAGTCTTGGCCAAGTCTGTGAACCCCCCAGGCCCCGGCCCACTCCGTCGGGCACTCTCTCCTACCACTCTGTCCCTCGTTCGCCGCTCTCCTGCCACCGGGTATCTTTGCGGATCACTGGACATGCCTGGTATGCTCCTGTCAGGCTCTGCTCCTGCTATGCCCTCCACCTGGAACATTCTTTCTCCATTTCTCAGGGTTCACTCTCTTACTTCATTCACACCTCTGCTCAAATGTCACCTCCCGGAGAGGACTTTCCTTTTCTTATCTTACCTAAAATAGTTCCCCTTGGCCGGGCGCGGTGGCTCACGCCTATAATCCCAGCACTTTGGGAGCCTGAGGCGGGCGGATCACTTGAGATCAGGAGTTTGAGACCAGCCTGGCCAACATGGTGAATCCCTGTCTCTACTAAAACTACAAAAATCAGCCAGGCATGGTGGCGCGCATGCCTGTTATCCCAGCTTCCTGGGAGGCAGAGGTAGGAGAATCACTTGAACCCAGGAGGCGGAGGTTGCAATGAGCCAAGATTGCGACATTGCACTCCAGCCTGGGTGACAGAGCGAGACTGTCTGAAGAAAAAGAAAAAAAAAGCTCTCCATCAGCTATATAACCTACGTTATCTTTTTATTTTTCATGGCATGCTCTTTACTAGCAATCCTGTTGTTTATTTACCTGTTTGTTTCTCCCACTAGAACAAAGCTCCATGAGGCAGGACTTGTCTGTTTACTGCTGTTTCTCTGGATACATTTGATATATTGTAGGCCCTCAAAATGTACTTGTGAATGGAGCCACACCAACCTGGGCTCTAATCCTGGTCTGGCTACCTCCTAGCTGTGTGACTTTGAGTATTTCGGTTAACCCCTCTGAGCCTCAGTTTGTGCCTTAGAAAACTAGAGGTGGCTATGAGTATTAAGTGAGATCAGGCAATAAAATACCTGTGTGGCACCTGGCACACGATAGGTGCTCCATAGAAATGGTAGGTGACAGCCGGGTGTGGTGGCTCACGCCTGTAATCCCAGCACTTTGGGAAGCCAAGGCAGACAGATCACGAGGTCAGGAGATCGAGACCATCCTGGCTAACACGGTGAAACCCTGTCTCTACTAAAAATACAAAAAATTAGCCGGGCGTGGTGGCGGGCTCCTGTAGTCCCAGCTACTCAGGAGGCTGAGGCAGGAGAATGGTGTGAACCCAGGAGGTGGAGCTTGCAGTCAGCCGAGATTGCACCACTGCACTCCAGCCTGGGCAACAGAGTGAGACTCTGTCTCAAAAAAAAAAAAAAAAAAAAAGAAGAAAATAAATGGTAGGTGACAATCACAGACTTCCTTCCTTCCCTCCAAATTCTTCCCCCTGCAAAGAAGGGAGAGAGCCAGAGATTGGGGCCTGGGGTTCACTGAGTGGGTTCTGCACTTGTGTGCAGCGAAGACATGAGGCCTCAGCCTGGAGGGACTCCCCTGACTGTGGTCAGGGGATGAATGAGAACGAAGCCAAAGAGGGAGTGGTCAAGCCTGGTGAAACCCGTCTCTACTAAAAATACAAAATTAGCCAGGTGTGGTGGTGCACGCCTGTAGTCCCAGAGACTGGGGTCTCACCATGTTTCCCAGGCTGATCTCGAACTCCTGGACTCAAGTGATCTGCCTGCCTGAGCCTCCCAGAGCGCTGGGATTACAGGCATGAGCCATCATGCCAGGCCTAATTTTAAAAAAAATGTATCACCGAATGGACAAGACAGGGGTGTTGCTGAAAATGTCAGACTCAAATTTGGATAGCAGCAAGAAGAATTTCTTTGAGGGGGAAGTAGCTGATGAGGAAAGTGTGATTTTGACATTGCTGCCAGTTAAAGATGACCCAAATATGGAACAAACAGAACCAAGTGTTTCTTCAACTTCTGATGTCAAACTGGAGAAACCTATGAAATACAATCAAGGTCATCTACTTCAAACAAATTAACAATTTACAGCTCCACAAAAAGCTAGATGCAAAATACCAGCTCTTCCCTTGCCGACCATTTTGCCTCCCATTAATAAGGTGTGTTGGGACACTTTGCGGGACTGGTGCCAACAACTCAGTTTGAGTACTAATGGCAAGAAAATCGAAGTTTATCTGAGGGTCCATAGGCCTGCTTACCCTGAACAACAGCAAGATATGCCTGAAATGTCACAAGAGACCAGATTACAGCGGTGTTCAAGGAAACACAAGGCAGTGACCAAGAGAGCAAGGCTTCAGAAAACTTATGAGATGAATGAGAGAGCAGAAGAGACGAATACAGTCGAAGTGATAACTTCAGCGCAGGGAGCCATGTTGGCATCAAGGGCAAGAATTGCTGCAAGAGCTGTTGAGCCTGAGGCTGTGAATTCAAGTTCCATTCCTGTTTCTCTTGAGGCCTTTTTGATGCAAGCCGCTGGTGTCAGGTGGTGTGTGGTCCATGGCAGACTTCTCTCGGCAGACACAAAGGGTTGAGTACGCCTGCAGTTTCATGCAGGTCAGGCTTGAGTGCCTACCACTCACAGGAGGATGATTTCTCTCTTCTTGTTACCTGCCTGCATTTTCCCATCCCCAGGCACAGAAGATAATATGTTATGCCCCAACTGTGCTAAGAAGAATAAGAAGATGATGAAAAGATTAATGACAATAGAGAAGTAGCAGCCATCTGTTTGAATGAAATGTACTAGAGAAGGAGGGATGTACTTTCGGACCATGTAAACCTATTATGAAGGAATAGAAGAGGAGACAATTTGAATGAATCTTTGTGATATACAAAACAAAAATCATAGTGACTAGGACTCCACAGTGAAGATGGTTGATAGTGACACAGCCCCATCTGAAAAGCCCCTTTCTGTAAGTCTGAAAACCCTTTAAAATAAAGTCACAGCAATCGGCAAAAAAAAAAAAAAAAAAAAAGAGAGAGGGAGTGGTCAGAGAGGAAGAGGAGGAACAGAAGCATGCAGGTGGGATGGTCCAGGACTGCAGAGGGTCAAGGAGAGCAAGGCAGAGAATTAGGCAGTGAGCTCCTCCACAGAGCGGTACCTCTGACCTGGAGCCTGGGGGTGAGGCCAACTTTGGTTGCTGACATTAGAGAGGACAGGAGGCGACAGCAGAGGTGACACAGTAGCAGGAAGAGTTGGGAAGGGAATTGGAGTTAAAAGGGGCAGAAGAGGGAGCAGCTGATCACCAACAAATAGTTACTGAGCACCAGCTACATGCCAGGCACTGTTCTAGGCACTAGGAATACAGCAGAGGAGAAGACAGTCTCTGCCCTCTAGGATAGAGGCGCACAAACTGGCCCACATGATAAATCTGGCCTACTGTGTTTGTATGCTTGCAAGCTAAGAATGGGTTTTAGATTTTTAAATCATTTTAAAAGTCAAAAGAAGAATATTTCATGACATGTGAAAGTTATATGAAATTCATATTGTAGCATCCATAAATAAAGTTTTATTGGAACACAGCCACGCTCCGTTTACGTATCGTCTATGGCTGCTTTCTCACCACAACAGCAGAGTTGAGTAGTTGCAACAGAGACCATATGGCCTGAAAAGCCTAAAATATTTACTAGCTGGCTCTTTCGAAAAAAGTTTGTTCAGGGGGTGAGGGGTTAGGAGAGGGACAGCATTAGGAGAAATACCTAATGTAGATGACAGGTTGATGGGCGCAGCAAACCACCATGGCATGTGTATACCTATGTAACAAAACTGCATGTTCTGCACATGTAGCACAGAATTTAAAGTATAATTTTAAAAAAAATTAAAAAAAAAAAGAGGCACCAGAGCGGTGGCTCACGCCTGTAATCCTAGCACTTTGGGAGGCTAAGGCAGGCGGATCACCTGGGCAAAAAGAGGGAAACTCTGTCTTAAAAAAAAAAAAAAAAAAAAAAAGAGGCACCAGAGAGCTGCCTTGCCTTTCTGCCATGTGAGGACACATAGAAAGTGCTCTGTATGAGGAACTGGCCATCACTAGACACCAAATCTCCTGGAGCTTTGATCCTGGACTTCCTAGCCTCCAGAACTCGGAGAGATTTCTGTCTTTGATAAATTGCCCACTGTAAAGTATTTTGCTGTAGTAGCCTAGATGGACTAAGACAGTGCCCTAATAAGAAGAGACACCAGATAGCTTACTCCCTCTCTCTCAAGCTCACAAAGAAGAGGTCATGTGGTCATGTGAGCACACAGCAAGATGGTGGCTGATGACAAGTCAAGGGAAGAGTCCTCAGAATGAAATCAACCTTGGCAGCACCTTGATTTTGGATTTCCCAACCTCCAGAACTGTCAGAAATCAATTTCTGCTGTTTGAGCCCCTCCCCCCACAAAAAGTTTGTTGACTCCTGCTCTATCTGGCTAGACACAGTGGCTAATGCCTGTAATTCCAGCAATTTGGGAGATTGAAGCAGGCTTGCTTGAGCCCAGGAGTTTGAGACCAGCCTGGGCAACACAGTGAGACCCCATCTCTACAAACAATACAAAAATGCCTGGTGCCTTGTGCCTGTAGTACCGGCTAATCAGGAGGCTGAGGCAGGAGGATAGCTTGAATCTGAGATGTTAAGGCTGCACTGAGCAATGATTATGGCACTGTACTCCAGCCTGGGAGACAAAATGAGGCCCTGTCTCAAAAAAAAAAAAAAAAAAAAAAGAAAGAAAAAAAAGAAAAGAAAAAGAAAAGAAAAGAAAGAAAAAAAGTTACATTTTCTTTGGGGAAGACAGTTAAACAAGTAGGTGAGCTCTTTTCCGGGTGCTTCCCAGGACAAGAACCAGCGGGTTTCAGTGTTTCTTTGTACCCTGCTCCTTGGCCGCCTTCCCCTGGAAGAGAAGTTCTCTATCCAGCCAGGCTCTGATACAGCAGCAGAGCAGCCTAGGTCATGGTGATCAGTTCCCTGCCTCCTGGCCAAGAGGATCTAGCCTTTTCCTGGAAGGAAAAAAATCTCTCAGTGATTGCAGTCTAGCACCCACCAGATCCCCTTCCCCTCTCTCAGATCCTGGATCCAGGAACAGCTTGTGAGCTCAGAAGAACATAATCACCTTTGTTGTCAAGGCCTGCCATCTGTGTACACCTGCCACCTGGGTGGTGCCCTCCTCTTTCTAAACACTCTTCTCCCCCACTGCTTCATGGAACCCTCACAGGGGTAAGGTATGGGTAGGGATTGTTACTTCCATTTCCAGATGAGAAAACAGACTTAAAAAGATGAACTGACTTACCCAGGGTCATTGGCTGGAAATAGCTTGTGGAGCCAAAATTAGAAAGAGTGGATTTAGAGGCAGTCTTTGTCTCTTTTTAAAAAAAGAAAGAATTAATAAAAGAAAGTTGGCCAGGCGCAGTGGCTCATGCCTGTAATCCCAGCACTTTGGAAGACCGAGGCAGATGGATCACTTGAGGTCAGGAGTTTGAGACCAGCCTGGCCAACATGGTGAAACCCTGTCTCCACTAAAACTCCCACCAAAAATTAGCTGGGCGTCATGGTGCATGCCTATAATCCCAGCTACTCAGGAGGCTGAGGCAGGAGAATCGCTTGAAACCGGGAGACAAAAATTCACGCCACTGCACTCCAGCCTGAGTGACAGAGCAACACTCCATCTCAAAAAAAAAAAGAAGAAGAAGGGCTGGGCGCAGTGGCTCACGCCTGTAATCCCAGCACTTTGGGAGGCCGAGGTGGGCGGATCACAAGGTCAGGAGTTCGAGACCAGCCTGGCCAACATGGTGAAACCCTGTCTCTACTAAAGATACAAAAAATTTGCGGGGCGTGGTGGCACGCGCCTGCAATCCCAGCTACTCGGGAGGCTGGGGCAGGAAAATGGCTTGAACCCAGGAGGTAGAGGTTGCAGTGAGCTGAGATTGCGCCATTGCACTCCAGCCTAGGTGACAGGGCGAGACTCCATCTCAAAAAAAAAAAAAAATAGTGGAATGTTGTCAGCTTTGGAAGGGGCCTTTGTCTTGGCCAAAGATGGGAAACTGGTAGCCTGAGGCAGAGGTGAATCAGGTAAGGGTGGTAGTGAGTCTGCCATGTGCAAGAAATAAGGCATGCTTTGTCTGTAGAGAATTTAAAAACATTAGTGAGGCCAGTTGCCATGGCTCACGCCTGTACTCCCAGCACTTTGGGAGGCTGAGACAGGTGGATTGCTTGAGCCCAGGAGTTCAAGACCAGCCTGGGCAACATGGTGAAACCTCACCTCTACAAAAAAAGTAAAAAAAATGATAAAATAAAAACATCAATGAAACTGGGTAGGTCTGCTTTTTACTATCACCATGGCTTGGCAATTCTAAATAATGTCAGTGATAAAATCATCCTTCCCAAAGAGATCCCTCTGTTGGTCAAAGTACTAATTGTTGTGATTGCTGTGAGGTTTTTGTTTTTTGTTCTTTTTTTGTTTTTTTTTTTTTTAAGAGACAGAGTTTCCCTCTGTCAGCCAGGCTGAAGGGCAATGGCACAATCACAGCTCACTGCAGCCTCGAATTCCTGGGCTCAAGGGATCCTCCCACCTCGGCCTCCCAAAGCACTGGGACTGCTATAAGTTTTAGGAATATATGTAAGCTGCAGATTCATATATTTTTATTACCTAAACTTTAATAAATAATATATTCTACATGGAAGCTAATTTGGATAACTCCTGAGTTATACGCTTGGCCCCCAGCACACAGGGAGTCAGCTACACACCTTTAGTTTGAGAGTTCCCAGTGGGTCGAAATCATGGGAGCTCACTTTGGGAGTAGTTCATGTCTCCACATCCTTGCATTTAAACAACAAATTTGAAATCAACAGTGATAGCACAGTAACTATAAAAACAAGGGAAAAGCTGGGCACGGTGGCTCATGCCTGTAATCCTAGCACTTTGGGAGGCTGAGGCGGGTGGATCACGAGGCCGGGAGATCGAGACCATCCTGACTAACACGGTGAAACCCCATCTCTACTAAAAATACAAAAAATTAGCCGGGCGTGGTGGCGGGTGCGTGTAGTCCCAGCTACTCGGGAGGTTGAGGCAGGAGAATGGCATGAACCTGGGAGGTGGAGCTTGCAGTGAGCCAAGATCACACCAGTGCACTCCAGCCCAGGCAACAGAGCGAGATTCCGTCTCAAAAAAATAAAATAAAATAAAAAATAAAATTTTCACTGTGTTTACTTTCTGACCATGATTATTTGTTTTATTTCATAATTGTTATTGATAAAAATTCTGACATATGGAGGTTAAAATATGATTCTCTTTGTGTGTCAAATATACTAGGTGCACCATGGACCTGAAGACAGAAGAGGACCCACAGTGGCTTACATCATTATGTTATCCATCATAATCATCATTTTATTTATTTATTTATTTTGGACACAGGTCTTGCGCTGTCACCCAGGCTAAAGTGCAGTGGAGCTCACTGCAGCCTCAAACTCCTGGGCCCAAGTGATTCTCCCATCTCAGCCTACCAAGGAGCTAGTACTACAGGCATTTACCACCACATCTGACTACTTTTTGTTTTTTGAGACAGAGTCTCACTCTGTCGCCCAGGCTAGAGTGCAGTGGTACGATCTCGGCTCACTGCAACCTCTGCCTCCCAGGTTCAAGCAATTCTCCTGCCTCAGCCTCCTGAGTAACTGGGACTACAAGGGCGTGCCACCACACCCAGCTCAGCTAATTTTTTGTATTTTTAGTAGAGACGGGGTTTTGCCATGTTGGCCAGGCTGGTCTCGAACAACTAGATCTCGTGATCTGCCCGCCTCGGCCTCCCAAAGTGCTGGGATTACAGGTGTGAGCCACCATGCCTGGCCTTAATTTTTATTTTTGTAGAGACAGGGTCTTGCTATGTTGCCCAGGCTGGTGTCAAACTCCTGGGCTCAAGGAGTTTTTTTTTTTTTTTTTTGAGACACGGTTACTCTGTCTCCCATGCTAGAGTGCAGTAGCATGCTCATGGCTCACTGGAGCTTCGACTTCCCAGGCTCAAGCAATCCTCCCACCTCAGCCTCCCTAGTAGCTGGGACTACAGGCACGCACCACCATGTCCGGGTAATTTTTGTATTTTTTGTAGAGACAGAGTTTGCCATGTTGCCCAAGCTGGTCTCAAACTCCTGGGCTCAAGTTGTCTGCCCTCCTCAGCCTCCCAAAGTGCCCAGGTAAGCGTGAGCCACCATGCCTAGCCTCTTTCTTAAAAACATGAAAAAAAAAGTTATTGTCTTGATTATTGAGATTTTTGATGCCTCCTTAAATTTTGTACTTTAAGAGGTTTTGTACCTCATTAACCTCCCCCTAGTCCTGACCTTGCTTATTTAGCCCTCGCGACAATCCTGTAAAGTAAGTGCTATAATTACCCCTGTGTTACAGATAAGAAACGTGAAGCACAGGCTGGGCACGGTGGCTCACACCGGTAATCCCAGCACTTTGGGAGGCCGAGGTGGGCAGATCACAAGGTCAGGAGATCGAGACCATCCTGGCTAACATGGTGAAACCCCATCTCTACTAAAAATTAAAAAAAAAATTGCCGGGTGTGGTGGCACGCACCTGTAGTCCCAGCTACTTGGGAGGCTGAGATAGGAGAACTGCTTGAACCCGGGAGGTGGAGGCTGCGGTGAGCCGAGATCGGGCCACTGCACTCCAGCCTGGGCAACAGAGCGAGACTCTGTCTCAGAAAAAAGAAAAAGAAAAGTAAGGCACAGAGAGGCCAAGTGATTTGGCCAAGGACATACACTTTGTTTTTTGTTTTGTTTTGAGACAGGGTTTCATCATATTGGTCAGGCTGGTCTCGAACTCCTGACCTCAGGTAATCCACCTGCCTCGGCCTTTCAAAGTGCTGGGATTACAGGTGTGAGCCGCTGCACCCGGCCTTAAAATGTATCTCTTTCTTTTTTTTTTTTTTGAGATGGAGTTTCACTCTTCTTGCCCAGTCTGGAGTGCAATGGCATGATCTCGGCTCACTGCAACCTCCACCTCCCAGGTTCAAGCGAGTCTCCTGCCTCAGCCTCCCAAGTAGCTGGGATTACAGGCACGTGCCACCACGCCCAGCTAATTTTGTACTTTTAGTAGAGATGGGGTTTCTCCATGTTGGTCAGACTGGTCTTGAACTCCCAACCTCAGGTGATCCACCTGCCTCAGCCTCCCAAAGTGCTTGGATTACAGGTGTGAGCCACTGCACCCAGCCTAAAATGTATTTCTTAAAATAATAAGACTTGAAAGTCAAAATTACTCCCTGATCCATGGGCTGCAGAATGGATGTTGTGTTAGCAGGCATGAAAATCATATTAATCTTGTACATCTCCATCAGAGCTCTTGGGTGATCATGTGCATTGTCAATGAGCAGTAATATTTTAAAAGAAATCTTTTTCCTAAGAAGTAGGTCTCAACAGTGGGCCTAAAGTATTCCATAAACCATGCTGTAAACAGATGTGTTGTCATCCAGGCTGTGTTTTCCCATTTATAGAGGACAGCAAGAGTGGATTCGGCATAAGTTTTAAAGTCCTTGAGATTTTCCCCAGAATGGTCAATGAGCACTGGCTTCAAATTCAAGTTGCCAACTGCATTAGCCCCTAACAAGAGAGTCGGCCTGTCCTTTGAAGCACTGAAGCCAGGCATTGACTTCTCTCTAGCTATGAAAGTTCTAGATGGCATCTTCTTCCTATAGAAGGCTCTTTTGTGTGTGTGTGTGTGTGTGTGTGTGTTTGTGTGTGTGTGTGTGTATGAGAGAGAGAGAGAGAGAGAGAGAGAGAGAGAGAGAGAGAGAGAGAGAGAGACAGAGTTTCGTTCTTGTTACCCAGGCTGGAGTGCAATGGTGCAATCTCAGCTCCCTCTAAGGCTCAGCTCCAACCTCTGCCTCCTGGGTTCAAGTGATTCTCCGGCCTCACCCTCCCGAGTAGCTGGGATTACAGGTGCTTGCCACCATGCTCAGCCAATTTTTGTATTTTTAGTAGAGATAGGGTTTCACTATATTGGCTAGGCTGGTCTTGAACTCCTGACGTCAAGTGATCCACCCGCCTCAGCCTCCCAAAGTGCTGGGATTACAGGCATGAACCACTGTGCTCGGACTGAAGTCTGTTTCATCTACACTGAAAATATGTTGGGTGGGCATGGTGGCTCACTCCTGTAATCCCAGCACTTTGAGAGGCTGAGGCAGGTAGATCACTTGAGGGCAGGAGTTTGAGACCAACCTGGCCAACATGGTGAAACCTCATCTCTATTAAAAATACAAAAATTAGGCTGGGCGTGGTGGCTAATGCCTGTAATCCCAGCACTTTGGGAGGCCGATGAGGGTGGATCACCTGAGGTCAGGAGTTCAAAACCAGCCTGGTCAACATAGTGAAACCCCGTCTCTACTAAAAATACAAAACTAGCCTGGTGTGGTGGCACGTGCCTGTAATCCCAGCTACTCGGGAGGCTGAGGCAGGAGAATCGCTTGAACCCGGGAGGCGGAGGTTGCAGTGAGCCAAGATCAAGCCATTGCACTCCAACCTGGGTAACAAGAGCGAAACTCCGTCTCAAAAAAAAAAAAAAAAAATTAGCCAGGCGTTGTGGTGGGTGCCTGTATTCCCGGCAACGTGGGAGGCTGAGGCAGAGAATCACTTGAACTCGGGAGGCGGAGGTTGCAGTGCAAGATCGTGCCACTACACTGCAGCCTGGGTGACAGAAGGAGACTCTGTCTCCAAAAAAAAAAAAAAAAAAAAAAAAAAATTTCTGGATTATTTGCTAAAGCTTCTCCATTAGCACTTGCTGCTTCACCTTGCACTTTTTTTTTTAGATGAATTTTCGGTCTGCCGCCCAGGCTGGAGTGCAATGGCATGATCTCTGCTCACTGCAACCTCCACATTGTGAGTTCAAGCAATTCTCCTGCCTCAGCCTCCCAAGTAGCTGGGATTACAAGCATGCACCACCACACTCAGCTAATTTTTTTTGTATTTTAGTAGATACAGGGTTTCACCATGTCAGTCAGGCTGGTCTCACATTCCTGACCTCAAGTGATCTGCCTGCCTCAGCCTCCCAAAGTTCTGGGATTACAGGTGTGAGCCACTGCACCCAGCCCTGGCTAACTTTTTATTTTTGTAGAGACAGGGTCTCACTATGTTGCCCAAGCTGACTTCCAACTCCTGGACTCAAGTGATCCGCCTGCCTTGGCCTCCCAGAGAGCTGGGATTACAGGCATGAGCCACAGTGCCCAGCCTGTTCCACATTCTTGTCATTCATGTGTTCACTGGAGTAGCACTTTTAATTTCCTTTAAGAACTTTTCTTTTGCATTCACAACTTGGCTGACACAAGAGACCTAGCTTTTGGCCTTCCTCACTAAGTTTAATTAATTCTAGCTTTTGATTAAAAATGAGAGACATTCGAGTCTTCCTTTCACTTGAACACTTAGAGGCCACTGTAGGATTTTATTTTTATTATTATTTTTATTATACTTTAAGTTCTGGGGCACTGTAGGGTTTTTATTGGCCTAATTTCAATATTGTTTTATCTCAGGGAATAGGGAGGCCAGAGGGGAGGGAGAGAGATGAGGGAAGGGCACCGGTGGGTGGAACAGTCAGAAAACACACACCACTGAGACGGAGTCTCGCTCTGTCACCCAGGCTGGAGTGCAGTGGTGCGATCTCAGCTCACTGCAACCTCTGCCTCCTGGGTTCAAGCGATTCTTCTGCCTCAACCTCCCAAGTAGCTGGCACTACAGGTGCGAGCCACCACGCTTGGCTAATTTTTGTATTTTTAGTAGAGACAGGGTGTCACCATATTGGACAGGCTGGTCTCAAACTCCTAGACCTTGTGATCCACCCGCCTTGGCCTCCCAAAGTGCTGGGGTTACAGGCATGAGCCACTGCGCCCAGCTTAAGTTTGCCATCTTATATGGGCACAGTTTGTGGTGCCCCAAAACAATCACAATAGTAACATCAAAACTCACTGATCACAGATCACCATCACAGATACCATAACAATGAAACAATCTGAAATATTGTGAGAATTACCAAAATATGACACAGGCACGAAATGAACACATGCTGTAGGAAAAATGGTGCCTGTAGTTGCTCCACACGGGGTTGCCACAAACCTTCAATTTGTTAAAAACAAAATATCGATTGGGTGTGGTGGTTCACGCCCAGAATCCCAGCACTTTGGGAGGCCAAGATGGGAGGACTGCTTGAGTGCAGGAGTTCAAGATCAGCCTGGGCAACATACGGAGACCTCATCTCTACATAAAAAATAAAAAATAGGCTGGGTGCAGTGGCTCATGCCTGTAATCCTAACACTTTGGGAGGCCCAAGTGGGCGGATCACCTGAGGTCAGGAGTTTGAGACCAGCCTGACAAAATGGAGAAACCTCATCTCTACTAAAAATACAAAATTAGCTGGGCGTGGTGGTGCATGCCTGTAATCCCAGCTACTCCGGAGCCTGAGGCACGAGAATCGCTTGAACCCAGGAAGCGGATGTTGCGGTGAGCCGAGGTTGTGCCATTGCACTCCAGCCTGGGCAATAACAGCAAACCTCCATCTCAAATAATAATAATAATAATAATAATAAATTAATTAAATAAAATAAAAAATAAAATCAGCTGGGCCTGGTGCCTCGCACCTGTGATCGTAGTTACCGAGGAGCCTGAGGTTAGAGGATCACTTGAGCCTGGGCAATTGGGGCTGCAGTGAGCGGTGATCATGCCACTGCACTTGCCTGGGTGACAGAGCAAGACCCCATCTAAAAAAAAAATTTGATGAAGCACAAGTAAAGTGCAATAAAATGAGGTATGCCTACACTCGTGTGCTGTGCACAGGTTGTTAAATATCTCAAATTACTTGCCATCATTCCAATTTAAAATTAAATTAACAACAAAATAAATAAATAAGATTTTAAAAATACAACTTTCGGCCGGGCGCGGTGGCTCACGCCTGTAATCCCAGCACTTTGGGAGGCCGAGGCGGGTGGATCATGAGGTCAGGAGATCGAGACCATCCTGGTTAACAAGGTGAAACCCTGTCTCTACTAAAAATACAAAAAATTAGCCGGGCGCGGTGGCGGGCGCCTGTAGTCCCAGCTACTCGGGAGGCTGAGGCAGGAGAATGGCGTGAACCCGGGAAGCGGAGCTTGCAGTGAGCCGAGATTGCGCCACTGCAGTCCGCAGTCCGGCCTGGGCGACAGAGCGAGACTCCGTCTCAAAAAAAAAAAAAAAAAAAAAAAAAAAATACAACTTTCTAGCTTCTTTAAAAATACGGGCATCCGGACCCACATTCCTGCTTTATAACCATCAGCAGGAATGGAGTAGCCACCTCTTTCAGATGAGGCTAGTTTGTCACACTGCCATAGTCCCCATTGTCTGAACTCCTTACTCATTTAACTTCCTTATGTTACCCACCTGCTCCTATGGGCATTTGAATTTGGACCTCTAATTTCACCGTTTCACAAATGGAGGGATCCATGCCCCAGAGAAGGAGAGGCTTCCCAATTGACACAGCAGTTTTGTGAGAAGCTGGGTTCCAAACCTCACCTCACACAGTCCTCATAGACTCTTTTTTTTTCTTTTTTGAGACGAAGTCTCGCTCTGTCACCCAGGCTGGAGTGCAGTGGCGTGATCTCGGCTCACTGCAAGCTCCGCCTCCCGAGTTCACGCCGTTTTCCTGCCTCAGCCTCCTGAGTAGCTGGGACTACAGGCGCCCTCCACCAAGCCTGGCTAATTTTTTATATTTTTAGTACAGACGGGGTTTCACTGTGTTAGCCAGGATGGTCTCGATCTCCTGACCTTGTGATCCGCCCGCCTCGGCCTCCCAAAGTGCTGGGATTACAGGCGTGAGCCACTGCACCCAGCCGACTTTTTTTTTTTTTTTTTGAGATGAAGTCTGTCGCCCAGGCTGGAGTGCAGTGGAGCTCGCTGCAACCTCCGCCTTCCGGATTCGAGATTCTCCTGCCTCAGCCTCCCAAGTAGCTGGGATTACAGGCACATGCCACCACACCTGGCTAATTTTTTTTTTTTTTTTTGAAATGGAGTCTCGCTCTGTCGCCCAGGCTGGAGTGCAGTGGCGCGATCTCGGCTCACTGCAAGCTCCGCCTCCTAGGTTCACGCCATTCTCCTGCCTCAGCCTCTCGAGTAGCTGGGACTACAGGCGCCCACCACCATGCCCAGCTAATTTTTTGTATTTTTTTTAGTAGAGACAGGGTTTCACCATGTTAGCCAGGATGGTCTCGATCTCCTGACCTCGTGATCCACCCGCCTCAGCCTCCCAAAGTGCTGGGATTACAGGCATGAGCCACCGTGCCCGGCCTAATTTTTGTATTTTTAGTAGAGATGGGGTTTCGCCATGTTGGCCAGGCTGGTCTCAAACTCCTGACCTCAGGTGATCTGCCCATTTCAGCCTCTCAAAGTGCTGGGATTATAGACGTGAGCCACCATGCCCGGCCCCTCATAGACTATTATGAGTGAACTTGAATGTGGTGGGAGCTCAGAAAGGGAGGTCCCCAACTCAGAACCGAGCTAACCCCTATTTTCTGAGCACCTCCCAATAGCCAGCACTGTGGTGGGCACATACACATTCACACCCCATGTGGTCCTCCAACAACCCCGACAGATCAGCATGGACAACCTCTATCTCTCAGGTGAGTAACTCTGGTTCAGGGAGTTATGGGACTTTCCCAGGATCTCACAGCAAGTTTGTGGCAGGTCTAAGTTCAAATCACTAGCTCTTAACATAAGACTAGAGGAATCCACCGCCTGCTCTCTTCCTGGGACACCCCCTCTCACTCCTGCTTGGATTTTCTTGGGATGGGGCTGGAGTCATCCCAAGAAATTCCTGGCTAAATTTCCTCTCTTCCAGGTGGATGCTGAGGTAGGGCAGCATGAAAGCCAACAGAGGATTGTAAAAAATATTTCCTATATGCTAGGCATGTGCTAGACTTTTTTCACAAGACTTATATCATCTTCTTTGTTCTATCTGCCTTCTCTAAATTTTCCACAATTAACACTTTTTACATCTTGCACAAGGAATTGTTTGTTCTAGGCCTGGATATGATTCTCTGGAAGATAGGGAGATGCTGGGGTCAGTAACTCCATTTTGCAGTTAAGGAAACAGGCTCACAAGGATTGCCCAAGGTCAGACAGCTAGTAAGTATGACTCCAAGGCCTGTACTCTCTCAATTCCACTGCTAGGCCTGCCTTTTTGTTTTTAACACACTGTTCCACAAAGGAGTTCAGGCAAGTCATAAAAATACGTAAGAAAAATTAAGCATTTATATTGTCTGTCTTGTATAAACTATATTTCAAAAGAATCAAATAATGAATGAGAAAATGTTCTTTACATTGAGCTAATGAATGCAAAAAGAATGAGAGAATTAGAAAATTATTTTGCAATAGCTAATAAAATTGAATCATTAGTGGATAATAAAACCAATAGGTGAAAGGTTGATGGGAAATTTTATACTGAAGAGGGCATTAAACCCACTGATCAATCAGTAAAAACGTCAACTAGACATATGTGTCTCCAGATGTGATGTAATAATAAGTACACAGCACTGTTACCAATAAGGTATTCTTTAAACACTCAGGGGGCCAGGTGTAGTGGCTCACACCTGTAATATCAGTACTTTGGGAGGCCAAGGTGGGAGGATCACTCAAGCTCAGGAGTTCAAGACCAGCCTGGGCCACAGTGAGACCTCATTTCTACAAAAATATTAAAAAGTAGCCAGGTGTGGCTGGGCGCGGTGGCTCATGCCTGTAATCCCAGCACTTTGGGAGGCCAATGTGGGTGGATCACGAAGTCAGGCCTTCGAGACCAGCCTGGCCAATATGGTGAAACCCCATCTCTACTAAAAATACAAAAATTAGCCAGGCTTGGTGGCGGGTGCCTGTAGTCCCAGCTACTCGGGAGGCTAAGGCAGAAGAATTGCTTGAACCTGGGAGGCGGAGTTTGCAATGAGCCAAGATCACGCCACTGCACTCCAACCTGGGCGACAGAGTGAGACTCCATCTCAAAAAAAAAGTAGCCAGGTGTGATGGCGTGCCTGTAGTCACAGCTACTTGGGAGGCTGAGGCAGGAGGTCAAGGCTGTAGTGAGCCATGATTGTGCCACTGCACTCCAGCCTGGGCGACAGAGTGAGACCTTGTTTCAAAAAAAAAAAAAAAAGAAATAAATAAAAAGAAACATTCAGGCATTCTTAAATGTAATCAAGCTTCTGGATCTAACTTTCAGTTTGCTGGAAACACAAGGGGCAGAAAAACAAGGTAAAATACACTACTGAGTCTGGGTGCGGTGGCTCACACCTGTAATCCCAGTACTTTGGGAGGCCAAGGCAGGTACATCACTTGAGGTCAGGAGTTTGAGACTAGCCTGGCCAACATGGTGAAACCACATCTCCACTAAAATTACTCAGGCGTAGTGGCAGGTGGCTGTAATCCCAGTTACTCGGAAGGCTGAGGCAAGAGAATTGCTTGAACCTGGAGGCGGAGGTTGCAGTGAGCCAAGATCGTGCCACTGCACTCCAGCCTGGGCAACAGAGCAAGACTCTGTCTCAAAAAAAAAATTCTCAAAAAGTTCTTTATACTGAGCTAATGAATGCCAAAAGAATGAGAGAATTAGAAAGTTAGAAACAAATACACTACTGGGGCCAGGCACAGTGGCTCACGCCTGTAATCCCAGCACTTTGGGAGGCTGAGGCAGGTGGATCATGAGGTCAGGAGTTCGAGACCAGCCTGGCCAAGATGGTGAAATCCCGTCTCTACTAAAAAAAATAGAAAAATTAGCCGGGCATGGTGGCGGGTGCCTGTAATCCCAACTACTCATGAGGCTGAGGCAGGAGAATTGCTTGAAGCCGGGAGGCAGAGGTTGCAGTGAGCCGAGATTGCACCACTGTACTCTAGCCTGGGCGACAGAGCAAGACTCTGTCTCAAAAAAGAAAAAAATACACTACTGGAAAGCAATCAGCCAAATCTGGAATGTAGGAACTTTTACAGGACAAATATTCTGGTTTCTTCTACAACTCAATAGCATTAAAAAAAATGGAAAGAAAAGTGGAACTGATCAAAAGTTACTTAAGAGACACATCAACCAAGTGAAGTGTGTGGATCTTGTTGAATCCTGATTGGAACAAACCAACTATTGAAGAAATTTGAGGCCGGGCGCGGTGGCTCATGCCTGTAATCCCAGCACTTTGGGAGGCCTAGATGGGCGGATCACGAGGTCAGGAGTTCAAGACCAGCCTGGCCAACACAGTGAAACCCCGTCTCTACTAAAAATACAAAAAATTAGCCTGGTGTGGTGGCAGGTACCTGTAATCTCAGCTACTAGGGAGGCTGAGGTAGGAGAATTGCTTGAACCCAGGAGGCGGAGGTTGCAGTGAGCTGAGATCGTACCACTGCACTCCAGCCTGGGTGACAGAGTGAGACTCTGTCTCAAAAAAAAAAAAAAGAAAAAGAAAAAAGAAATTTGAACATGGACTAGGTATTAAATAATTTTAAGGAATTTGCATAAATTTTGTCAATTAGGTGTGACAGTAGCATTGGAGTTGTTTGAAAAAATCTTTTTTTTTTTTTTTTTTTTTTTTTGAGACAGTCTCGCTCTGTTGCCCAGGCTGGAGTGTAGTGGCAAGATCTTGGCTCATTGCAACCTCTGCCTCCCAGGTTCACGCCATTCTCCTGCCTCAGCCTCCCATGAAAAAATCTTATTTGAGATTGATAATGAAATAATTCAGGTGAATTGATATGATGTCTGGAATTTGCTTTATAATACTTTAGAGAGAGGAAAAAGTGGGGAGGTTGATGAAACAAGATTGGCAAAATGTTGATAATTACTGAAGGTGTGTGGTAGGTACATAATAATTTATTATTATTATTTTTTGAGACGAAGTCTCACTCTGTTACCCAAGCTGGAGTGCAGTGGCGAGATCTCGGCTCACTGCAACCTCTACCTCCTGGGTTCAAGCGATTCTCCTGCCTCAGCCTTTCAAGTAGCTGGGACTACAGGCACGTGCCACCATGCCCAGCTAATTCTTGTATTTTTAGTAGAGACAGGGTTTCACTATTTTGGCCAGGCTGGTCTTGAACTCCTGACCTCATGATCTGCCCACCTTGGCCTCCCAAAGTCCTGGGATTACAGGCATGAGCCACCGTGCCCAGCCTGGTAATTTATTATATTCTCTCTACTTTTATGTATGCTTGAAAATTTCCAAAATAAAAAGTTTTTTTTAAAATTTTTATCTTTTGAGACACAGTGTCTTGCTATGTTTCCTAGGATATAATCGGACTCCTGGCATGCACCACTGCATTGAGCTTATTCTTTACTTTTAGCCTTAAAAAATATTTTTATTATACCAAGCCAGGTGTGTATCTATAGTCTCAGCTACTTGGGAGCTTGAGTTGGGAGTACTGCTTGAGTCCAGGAGTCTGAGTCTAGCCTGGGCAACAAAGCAAGACCTCCTCTGTTAAAAAAAAAAAAAAAAGTAAATAAGAGAATTGGGGCCAGGCATGGTGGCTCACGCCTGTAATCCCAACACTTTGGGAGGCCAAGGCAGGTGGATCACTTGAGGTCAGGAGTTCGAGACCAGCCTGGCCAAAATGGTGAAACCCTGTTTCTACTAAAAATATAAAATTTAGCCGGGCATGGCAGCATGCACCTGTAACCCCAGCTACTCAGAAGGCTAAGGCCAGAGAATTGCTTGAACCTGGGAGGTGGAGGTTGCAGTGAGCCCAGATTGCACCACTGCACTCCAGCCTGGGTGACAGAGCAAGACTCCATCTCAAAAAAAAAAAGAAAGAAAGAAAATTGGGACAAAAAATAATAAAGATATAGAAAAGTTCTGAGCTTCTTACCAACCAAAACAAAGAGGGAAACAAGAATCATGCTAACCAAGAGGTTTATAAAACCAACAAACCAGCAGTTTCTTGTAATCATAAGGATTCTGGGGCCTGGTGCGGTGGCTCACGCCTGTAATCCCAGCACTTTGGGAGGCCAAGGTGGGTGCATCACCTGAGGTCGGGAGTTGGAGACTAGCCTGGCCAACATGGTGAAACCCTGTCTCTACTACAAATGCAAAAATTAGCCGGGTGTGGTGGTGCATGCCTGTAGTTCCAGCTACTCGGGAGGCTGAGGCAGAAGAATCGCTTGAACCCGGGAGGCGGAGATTGGGGTGAGCCAAGATTGCGCCTGGGCACTCCAGCCTGGGCAACAAGAGCGAGACTCTGTCTCAAAAAAAAAAAAAAAAAAAAAAAAGTATTCTGGTGGTAGCAAAATTCCCATTCATTATGGCCTACCAGTTCACTAGTAGAAAGGCCAGTCACCTGTTCTTATATGACTATAATGAGGGACTGGAAAAGAGCTGGTGGCAACAGGAGAATGAGATGGAGAAAGGTAGCCCTTACAGGATAGGGAGGAGGAAACGCAGTGCATTCGGGGTAGAGGGCACAGAATGAGCAAGGCTAGGGAGGCTATTCTATTCTCATAAAAGGAAAAATAAACAAAATGTATAAAACCAATCCCTTTCTCCCTACTTGCACGCGCGTGCACACACACACACACCCCCAATCCAACTCCAAAAAGCACTGCAAAAAAGCAAAAGCCTTTACCAAAGTTCTCGGGAGGACATTGCAAAGGGGTTACACAGCACATCTCACAGCAAGATGTTCATTCATTCATTTCTTAGAGACAGGGTCTCTGTCACCCAGGATAGAGTGGCTGCTCACTGCAGCCTCGACCTCCTGGGCTCAAGTGATCCTCCCACCCCAGCCTCCGGAGTAGCTGGGACTACAGGCGGATGACAGCACCTGGCAAATTTTGTTTATATTTTGTAGAGACAGGGTCTCTCAGTGTTGCCCAGACTGGACTCAAACTCCTGGCCTCAAGCAATCCCTCTGCCTCAGGCTCCCAAAATGTTGCTATTGCAGGCATGAGCCACACACAGAGCCCGGCAGAGATGTCCTTTCTTTTTTTTTTTTTTCCTTTTCTGTTTTCTCTGTCGCCCAGGCTGGAGTGCAGTGGCACGATCTTGATCTTGGTGGCTCACTGTAACCTCTGCCTCCCAGGTTCAAGCGAGTCTCCTGCCTCAGCCTCCCCAGCAGTTAGGATTACAGGCGCGCGTTTCCACGCCTGGCTAATTTGTTGTATTTTTGGCAGAGACGGGGTCTTGCTATGTTGCCCAGGCTGGTCTCGAACCCCTGGCCTCAAGCAATCCGCCCACCTCGGCCTCCCAAAGTGCTGGGATTACAGTTGTGCCTGGCCACTTTTACATAAAAAAAACTTTTCTGAGGGAAAAACAGGCAGGAAGAATTTCCAGGTATTTCCAGGCCGAATGGCAAAACAAGATATGACAGAAAAAAAAAGGGCCCCAAGGACTCTGCACCTCGGTCCTATCCCTGTGCAGTTTGAGCTCTTCAGCCCTCAAAGTGCCCTTCTGGCCACCACCTGGTCCTCTTTTGCAAAGACTGCACGAGAAAGGAGCCAGCCGAGGTGCCCTCAGGTCCAAGCCCTTGTGACCTGGAGCTCTTTCTCCATGTGGCTTGAGGTCCCAAGGTTTCCCCAATGCCAAATCCTTTTGAAACTGAATATGAAGGAGGGGCTCTGAGGGACCCCCATCGCTTTGCCAGGTTTTCAGAGCGCGGCCCACCCTGCAGTTGTGGAGAGAGGGAGTCGTCGCGGAGTTCCCAAACCGCTGAAGGGCAGACCTGGACCGTTCCTGGAATGTGGGAAATGAGTGCGACGGCATACTGGGGCTGCATCAGCCCGTCTCTAGAAAAACCATCGCCTCCAGATCTGGCCCCCAGATTGAGTCCCAGGATTTCCGGGCTGGTTCCAAGAACCTGATCCGGAAAATGGGCGCGGTTCCTGTCTCCTCCCCCTTCCCCTCGGGCCGGTTGGGCACAGTACTTAGGACCCAAATCTGGACCTAATGCCAAGGCCGCCCATCCAGCGCCCAGACTCAGCTGGCCTTGCGCTCCCTGAAGCCACTCGCGGGTACTGGGGACGCCCCTCCCCGTCCCGCGGCCCCTACCCCCACTTCCGCGTAGTCCCGGCTCCCGTCACCCCGCGCGCGCCCCGCGGGAACCCGAGCCCGCCGACCCCGCCCTTCCAGGCCCCGCCCCCGGTGACGCCCCGCCCCGGCACGTGCGCGCGCGTGGTCTGCCAGCTTCTCTGGCCCTGCAAGGCGACCCCTAAGCGCAATGTCCGGGACCCGCGGTCAGAGGGCCGGAGTGAGGGTGGCAGCGCTCAGGGAAGGAGGCGGAGGCAGAGGCCTCTTTCTTCCCCCGAGGTGGAGAGGGCCCCGGGTCGGAGGAGCGAGGGCCGCACCGCTGGAGCCCACTCCCGCCTCCTTCCCCACGGGCCGGCGCACTTGGGAGCTGGACAGGACGCTCTTCCTGGGCTCGGAGCAGGCGCGGGCCCGGGTTGAGCCGAGCCTGAGCAGGGGCAGGCTCTAGCTGGCGGCTGGCCAGATGCCCTCCAGGTGCGCAGCGCGTGACCTGCGGCAGGGCGGGGCGGCCCCACGAGAGTTCTTCGAGGGTGGCGGGCGAGTCACGTGAGCAGGGGTTGGGGTCCGCCGGATAATGGGGGATGCGGGAGCCCGCTGGAGGAGTGGAGGGGCGCCTTGGGGAACGGCGGTTAAGCCCCAGCGACGCTCCTGGCCTGGATGTCGGGCCGTATCCTTGTCGAGGCTGGGGAGCTGGGCCGAGGAGCCCCATCCCGCGGGCGCCGCCTCCCAGGTGGGGCGCGGAGCTCGGCTCTGCGCCGCCACCGTGTGGCCGAAGGGGGCAGCGCCTGCTTGGTGCCAGGAGGCTCCTCGGGGCTGACGGCGGGGACTCGCACGAGGCACCGAGGAGCCTCTGGCGATCGGCTTTCGATACCCTGCCCCCTTCCGAGCTAGGGTCCAGGAGTGGGGTTGAGGTTGCCATGGCGACGGGTGCGCGGGCTGGTATCTTCCTCTGGCTGCTGTGGGGCCGGGGCGTGGACACCCAGCATCTGCCCTCACCCTGCTCACTGAATCACCTTGGTGTGGACGAGGATTATCCTTCCCAAAAGCAGCCAGGCCTCCCAACAACCAACCAGCTTTTTTTGTTTTGTTATTTTTTTAAAAAAAAATAGAGATAGGGTCTCGCTCTGTTGGCCAGGCTGTCCTCCCAAAGTGCTGGGGTTACAGGCATAAGCCCCCGCGCGCAGCCCCAGCTTTCTTTTTTTTCTTTTTGCTGGAGTTAAGCAGTATGATCTCGGCTCGCTGCAACTTCCGCCTCCAAGGTTCAAGCCGTTCTCCTGCCTCAGCCTCCCAAGTAGCTGGGACTACAGGCACGAGACACCACGCCTGGCTAATTTTTGTATTTTTAGTAGAGACGGGGTTTTGCCAAGGCGAGGCCAAGGCAGGTGGATCACGAGGTCAGGAGTTCAAGACCAGCCTGGCCAACATGGTGAAACCCCATCTCTACTAAAAATACAACAATTAGCCAGGCGTGGTGGTGCGCACCTGTAGTCTCAGTTACTCGGGAGGCTGAGGCAGGAGAATTGCTTGAATCCGGGAGGCAGAGGTTGCAGTGAGTCCATATCATGCCACTGCACTCCAGTCTGGGCGACAGAGCAAGACTGTCTCAAAAAAAAAAAAAAAAAAATACCTAGGGCCCCCAGCTGTAGTCATGTCCCATTCTGGAAAACACTACCATAGGGAATTACTGGAAGTACCCTGGGGAGGTAGGATGAAGCCACTGTTGGTTGAGCAAGGTTGTCTGTGTATCAAGTAAGGAGGCTTGCTGCTTTTCATAATTCTTTCTGAGCCCCAGATCTATCAGCATATCTGATCTTAACCTTCCCTGCTGGCAACACTTCGGTGACTCCCAGTTCTCTTCCAGACAAAGAGCAAATGTCTTAACATGGCCCGCAAGGCCCTTTGGGATCTTGAGATAGGTCCACCATGGCTCCACTGGGCTGGTGAATGAGGGAATGAGATAGGAGAACCAAGAAACAGGGAGGACTTCCTGGAGGAAGTGACATTTGAGCTGAAATCTCACCAATTTATGTGCGAGAACCAGGTGATGGTGGTGAAGCGCTTTCTAGGGAGAAGGAACAGCGTGTAAACAGTTCCTGAGACAGGAGGAAACCTTGTGCATGTGACCACCTGAAAGAGGCCTGAAGAAGAAACCGGAGGAATCTGCAGAGGCCAGATCCTGAGTGCCTGGCGCATCACAGACTGTGATTTTTTTTTTTTTTTTTTGAGACAGTCTTGCTCTGTCACCCAGGCTGGAGTGCAGTTGTGCCATCCATGGCTTACTGCAGCATCGACCTCCTAGGCTCAAGCAATCCTTCCACCTCAGCCTCCCTAGCAGCTGGGACTACAGGTGTGTGCCACTATGCCTGGCTAATTTTTGTATTTTTTGTAGAGCCAGGGTTTCCCTGTGTTGCCCAGGCTTAGACTGTGATCTTAATACTGTGCTGTCAGAAGCCATTCAGAGTTCCAAGCTGGGGGGTGACTTTTATTCAATGACGTGAACAACAAATACTTCTTGAGCACCTACTACATGTAGAATGCTGGGGATTTTATAGTAACCAGACTCTTGCAATCTCTGTCATTGGGAAGCTTATACTCTTTTCTTTTCCTAATCAAAGTTATATATGCACAAAGTTTAAACAGATAAGTTTTTATAAAAACAGCAGGCTGGGCATGATTATCACACCTATAATCCCAGCACTTTGGGAGGCCAAGGTGGGAGGATTGCTTGAGCCCAGGAGTTCAAGACCAGCCTGGGCAACATAGTGAGACCTCCATCTCTACTAAGAAAACAAAAAGACATCGCCCATTCCACTGAAGCAGAGGCACCCATTTTCAACTCCTTTAACTGACTATATTTTATATTTATCTCCATATCTCGAAATAAATGTGCTTGTTTTGCTCTTTCTTGATATTTCAGTTATAGGCACTATCTCTTGTTTTTCTACCATGGAAAATAGTTTTATTTTTTGGGTTTTTGTGAGACAGGGTCTCACTCTGTCACCCAGGCTGGAGTGCAGTGGTGCCATCCATGGCTCACTGCAGCCTCGACCTTCCTGGTTCAAGTGATCCTCAGCTCAGCCTCTTGAGTAGCTGGGACAATAGGTGCGCACCACCATGCCAGGCTAATATTTTTTTCTGTTTTTTGTAGAGATGGGGTCTCACTTTTGTTGCCCAGGCTGGAGGACGATAGTTTTAACACTTCCCATCACCAGCCATACGGATAATCCCCATCTCTCTAAACTGCCATCATAATTTTGTTTTGTTCAATTCTCATTGTTTACATTATTCGACGGCGCTATGATTCCTTTCCTCTACAACTTTTTGTTTTCCTGCAGCTCTTAATTGTCCTGTTTTACCACTTGCTTAGTGTATTCCACTCCCTACCAGGTATCTAAATCTCCTCTCAAGATGTTCAGACAGGCTGGGCGTGGTGGCTCACGCCTGTAATCCCAGCACTCTGGGAGGCCGAGGCAGGTGGATCAGAGGGTCAGGAGATTGAGACCATTCTGGTTAACACGGTGAAACCCCCTCTCTACTAAAAAATATAAAAAATTAGCTGGGCGTGGTGGTGGGCGCCTGTAGTCCCAGCTACTCGGGAGGCTGAGGCAGGAGAATGGCGTGAACCCTGGAGACGGAGCTTGCACTGAGCCGAGATTGCGCCACTGCACTCCAGCCTGGGAGACAGAGCAAGACTCTGTCTCAAAAAAAAAAAAAAAAGATATTCAGACAAATCAGATACCTCAGGTTGGTCTCTCTGGAAGGTACACAGAAGAAGAGGTTTGTTAGGGATCAACACCTATGAAAGGAAGTGGGAGGAAGCAGGATTGGGCAGAAGTCAAACTACAGTGCAGGCCTGGCAAAGCCTAGGCCAACCTGGCAAGGAGCTCTGGAGTGAGTTTTGCCCATCAGAGTGTGCCAAGCCTGGCTGGAATGGCCAGGCCTTTATACCACTGCCTGGCTCAGTCACCTGATGGGGGCCGCCCTGGGGAAGGATGAGGAAGGATGTGGAAGGATGTGATCTTGGGCGAGGAGGCTGTCTGCATCTGAGGCCAGCCCTGGAGCTGACAGCTGGAGGCTGTCTGCTGTCCAAACTCCCTGCAGCTGGGCAGCAGGCCCTTCCTTGAACAGCGGGCGGGGTGGGGGGTGTTGGGAGGCTCATCTCCATGACTACCACATCAATCTTCTATCACTTTCATGTTCTTGAAGAAGTTTTCTTGGAGTCCTCTGTTCTGCTCCAGTCTGGAGTGTTTGCCCTTTATACCTGGTGAGCAGGTATCACTCTGGGCAGGGAAAGATCCAGATTGTTTAGGGTCTAAAACTTATGCAGGCATGGTGTGGTGGCTCAGAATTTTGGGAGGCCAAAGTGAGAGAATCTAGGCCAGGAGTTCAAGACCAGCCTGGGCAACGTAACAAGCCCCACTTTCTACCATCAGTCATTCAGTCCAAAATTATCTGGGTGTGGTGGAAGTTGAGGCAGGAGGATTGCTTGAGCCCAGGAGATCAAGGCTGCATTGAGGCGTGTTTGCGCCACTGTATTCCAGCCTGGGCAAAAGAGTGAGGCCTTGTCTCAAAAAAAAAAAAAAAAAAGCTTATACATTCTGAGTCCTTTTATTTATTTAGAGACAGTCTGGCTCTGTCATCCAGGCTGGAGTGCAGTGGCGCCATCTTGGCTCACTGCAACCTCCACCTCCAGGGTTCAAACGATTCTTGTGCCTCAGCCTCCCGAGTAGTTGGGATTACAGGCGTGTGCCACCACGCCTGGCTAATTCTTTTATATTTTTAGTAGAGACAGGGTTTCACCATGTTGGCCAGGCTGGTCTCTAACTCCAGGCCTCAGGTGATCCACCTGCCTCAGCCTCCCAAAGTGCTGGGATTACAGGCATGAGCCACTGCTGGCCTTTTTTTTGTTTTTGTTTTTGTTTTTTTGAGACGGAGTCTCAGTCTGTCACCCAGGCTGGAGTACAGTGGCACGATCTCTGCTCACTGCAGCCTCCGCCTCCAGGGTTCAAGCGATTCTTCTGCCTCAGCCTCCCGAGTCTCAGTGGTGTGATCTCTGCTCACTGCAGCCTCAAACTCCTGAGCTCAAGCAATCCTCCCACCTCAGCCTCCTTAGTAGTAGCTGGGACCACAGGTGCTTACTACCATGCCCAGCTAGTATTTTGCATTTTTAGTAAAGATGGGGTTTCACCATGTTGGCCAGGCTGGTCTTGAACTCTCTACTTCAGGTGATCCGCCCACCTCGACCTCCCGAAGTGCTGGGATTACAGGTGTGAGCCACCGTGCCCGGCCTATTATTTTTTATTGAGACAGGGTCTTGCTCTGTCGCCCAGGCTGGAGTGCAGTGGCACCATCTCTGCTCACTGAAACCTGGACCTCCTGGGCTCAATTGATGTGCTCTCCTCAGCCTTCTGAGTAGCTGAGATAAAGATGCATACCATAGTGCTGGGCTAATTTTTGTGTTTTTTCTTTTTCTTTTTTTTTTTGAGACGGAGTTTCACTCTGTCACCCAGGCTGGAGTGTGGTGGCGTGATCTCGGCTCACTGCAACCTCTGCCTCCTGGGTTCAAACGATTCTCCTGCCTCAGCCTCCCGAGTAGCTGGGACTACAGACAGGCGCGCGCCACCACACCCGGCTAATTTTTTGTATTTTTAGTAGAGACGGGGTTTCACCGTGTTAGCCAGGATGGTCTCAATTTCCTGACCTTGTGATCCGCCCGCCTCAGCTTCCCAAAGTGCTGGGATTACAGGCGTGAGCCACTGTGCCCGGCAATTTTTGTATTTTTTGTAGAGACAAGGTTTCACCATGTTGCTCAGGCTGGTTTCGAACTCCTGAGCTCAAGCAATCCATCTGCCCGCCTTGGCCTCCCAAAGTGCTGGGATTACAGTCATGAGCCACTGCGCCTGGCCTTTCAGTTTTTAATTGATTCCTCCCCTCTGTTGTCTCTTTCTTTCTCAGGCTAGAGTGCCATGGGTCTATCTCCTTGTTGCAGCCTCTGCCTCCAGGAGGATCAAGCCATCCTCCCACCTCAGCCTTCTGAGTAGCTGGGACTACAGGCTCGAGCCACCACTCCCGGCTAATTTTTGTATTTTTTTCTAGAGATGGGGTTTCACCATGTTGTCCAAGCTGCTCTTGGACTCCTGGGTTCAAGCCATCCGCCAGCCTCAGCCTCCCAAAGTGCTGGGATTACAGGTGTGAGCCACTACGCCCAGCCCTAGTCCCCTCTCTTTTCTATGCTTTCTCTTTCTGTAATTTCTTTAATTCAAATGTTGGGTGTCCTGGACCAGGCCCCTAATTATCTTTTTCCTTCCCCTTTTTTATCCCTTTTTCTCTTTGTTCTACTATCTGGAAGATTTCTCCAAATTTATCTTCCAGCCCTTTCATTGAATTTTTAGATCCCAAGGACTTTTTGTTGGTGGTGGTGGTTGACTGTTTCTTTTGTTTGTTTGTTTGTTTGTTTTTGAGACAGAGTCTTGCTCTGTCACCCAGGCTGGAGTGCAGTGGCGCGATTTTGGCTCACTGCAACCTTCGCCTCCCCAGTTCAAGTGATTCTCCTCTCAGTCTCCCGAGTAGCTGGGATTACAGGTGTGCACCACCATGCCCGGCTGATTTTTGTATTTTTAGTAGAGACGGGGTTTCACCATCTTGGCCAGGCTGGTCTTGAACTCCTGACCTTGTGATCTGCCTGCCTCAGCCTCCCAAAGTACGGGGATTACAGGCGTGAGTCACCGTGCCCGGCCTTGACTGTTTCTTTTTAAAATAACATCCTCTTCAGCTGGGCACGGTGTATTTTTGTATCAAAAAATACAAAAATTAGCCGGGCATTGTGGTGTGCACCTGTAATCCCAGCTACTTGGGAGGCTGGGACAGAACAATTGCTTGAACCCAGGAGGCGGATGTTGCAGTGAGCCAAGATCACACCAGTGTACTCCAGCCTGGGTGACAGAGCAAGATTCTGTCTCCCAAAAAAGTAAATAAATAAAATAACATCCTCTTCTTGCATCATAGATGTAATCTCTTCTCTTCTCTCTCTGAAGATGTTAACAGTAGGTCTTTCTTCTTGGCTTGGTCAGATTTCCTTTAGACAACACTTTTCCTGCTCTCTTGCCTAGGGAGCAAAGCCATGGCGGCCAGCTTTCTGGGAGCCAATTTGGGAAACAGGGTTGGTGTGGGGTCTCAGCATTCACAGTGTGTGTGTTCACTTCGTCTCCTGATTTGGGGAGGATACCCCCGCCCTCAACCATGCCTGTGATCTCTCATTCCAGTGATCCTGTTTTCTCCTCTCGGAGAGTAAACCTCCAGTGTTCCGCCAGGATTAGGGAAGCCACCCAGGGACCTAATAATTTTCATCCTTAAACAGCAGGGTCCAACTCCTCCTTATTTTATTCCTCCTCGCCCCCATAAACAGGTGCCTGAGCCTTTGGGGGAGTCTGTGATCTGGACTGGGTGGGTTCTCCTCTTTCCCCACATCCAGTTTAGGGTACAGTTTTCATGGGTTTGCTGTGTAGTGACCACCTGACCATCTGCTTCCCAGCCTCCAAATGCTGTGCATTTGTCTCCTCCCTCATTCTCCCCATCTTAGTGGGTTTATGCCTTAAAAAGAATCTCTTTACTGTAGTTTCAGTGAAGTTTTGGGAGGAAGTGAAATTGGATGTGTATGTTCAATTTGCAGAGCCTCTATTCTCGCCTAAACCAATACACAGATTAATAATTACAGACTGTGAGAGCTACAAAGGAAACAAATAAGGGGCCAAGATGAGAACAGGCAGGAATACTTAGGCTTGAAAAATGCAGATTTGCATCTTTAAATATGTGTCTTACTGCACTCCCGTCTGGGCGACAGAGCCAGACCCTGTCTCAAAAAAATAAAAATAAAAATAAAATATGCGTCTTGCTGCTGTGCAGAGAAGAGATTGTCCAGGAACAAGCAGGGAGTGTGGGAGACAGTGAGGAAGCCACTGAGATCAAGGTGAGGGATGGGGTTGATTGGAAAGGTCATGGCTATAAAGCTAGAAGGAGCCATTTAGGATTCAGAGAGACTGTGACCTCCAGGAGGACAGGCACCATGTCCATTTTATTCCCTGATGTTTACATACCCAGAGCCTAACATGGTCCCTGGCCATCACAGACATTGTATAAAATACTTATGGAATGGACATGGTAGATGAGGAAGAGAGACGAGTCCAGGATGACCTTCAGGTCCTCTGAGGGCTATGAGTGTGTAGCCAAAGGGAGCCACAGGTGGTGTGGGAGCAGGGGAATGACCAGGTGAGAGTCTTACCTGCGTCATTGGGCCCCTCCACTTCCTGGCCTGTCTCCCACCACACCCCCCAGTCTGGCCTCCTCACTCAAGCACTTCCCTCTGCCTAACATTCCCTTTCCCTAGCCCCACTCTTTCAACCTGGCCACTCCACTGTCCGTCCTGACCTCAGGAGGCCTCAGTCAAATTCTGATACCCGTTCTTTTTCTGCAGAACTCTTTTTTTTTTTTTTTTTGAGACAGAGTTTCGTTCTTGTTGCCCAGGCTGGAGTGCAATGGCACTATCTCAGCTCACGGCAACCTCAGCCTCCCAGGTTCAAGCGATTCTTCTGCCTCAGCCTCCCCAGTAGCTGGGATTGCAGGCATGTGCCACCACGCCCAGCTAATTTTGTATTTTTAGTAAAGATGGGGTTTCTCCATGTTGGTCAGGCTGGTCTGGAACTCCTGACCTAAGGTGATCTGCCCGCCTCAACCTCCCAAAATGCTGGGGTTACAGGTGTGAGCCGCCACGCCTGGTCTTCTGCAGAACTCTGACCTCAGTCTGCAGTTGTTGGGGTTCTGTGCTGAATGTCAGACTCCCTCATAGAATGTAGGCTTCATGAGCGAAGGAACCTGCCTGTTTTGCTTGTCATTGTGTCCCCAGCACCTAGGACTGGACCTGACACACAGAAGAGGGCGCAATAAATAGTTGTTGAATGAACTAAAGTGTCATCTTGCAAAAGTGGTGGGACAGGAAAGAGGCTGAGGGGAGACCACAGAGGAGGCATGGTCGCACCTGGGAGGGAGAGGCACAGTCCGGGCACAAGAGGAGCAGAAGCTCTGAGAGAGGGTCATTGTGGGGATTAAATGAGCATGTGGAGACCACTATATGAGTGCTATTTCTTCCCTTCCTGAAGCCTCTCTGCTCAGTCCTGGTCCACTGTTTCTCTGACTGTGGTCAGTGGTGGGCACAAAGGAGTAGAGGGTCTTCTTTGGTCTGGCCTGGGACTGAAGACAAGAGGAAATATAATTTCCTATGATATTCATTCAATAGATGAGGAAGCCAGGCCTCAGAGAGGAGAAGTGACTTGCCCAAGGTCACACAGTCAGGGACAGAGCCAGGATTAGAACCTAAGCCTACTCAGACCCTGAGCCTAGGGTCTTCCCACTGTGCCTCCCAGTTGCTGTCGACCCCTTTGTGGACAGGTTGAGAAAATTTCCTTCACCAGGAGATCCACAATGCTCTTCTTCCAGATCTAAGACATGCACACAACTAACTCCCTTAGAAACTGCAGAATGAGGCTGGGCATCCGGCTCATGCCTGTAATCCCAGAACTTTGGGAGGCCGAGGTGGGCAGATCATTTGAGATCAGGAGTTTGAGACCAGCCTGGCCAACATGGTGAAACCCTATCTCTACTAAAAATACAAAAATTAGCCAGGCATGGTGGCGCATGCCTCTAATCCCAGCTACTGGAGAGGCTGAAGCAGGAGAATCGCTTGAACCAGGGAGATGGAGGTTGCAGTGGGCCAAGATCACAACACTGCACTCCGGCCTGGGCGACAGAAAGAGACCCCGTCTCAAAACGAACAAGCAGATGGGCGCAGTGGCTCACGCCTGTAATCTCAACATTTTGGGAGGCCAAAGCGGCTGGATCACCTGAGGTCAGGAGTTTGAGACCAGCCTGGCTAACCTGGCTAACGTGGTAAAACCCTGTCTCTACTAAAAGTATAAAAATTAACTGGGTGTGGTGGCGGGTGCTTGTAATCCCAGCTACTTGGGAGACTGAGGCAAGAGAATTGCTTGAACCTGGGAGGCAGAGGTTGCAGTGAGCTGAGATCATGCCACTGCACTCCAGCCTGGGCAACAGAATGAGACTGTGTCTCAAAACAGACAAACAAACAAACAAAACAGAAATCCAGGAATGAGGGTCACCCCCTCTCCTCCCATCTCCTGTGCTGGGCCAGAGCCCACCTGCAACTGCGGCTTAGGAGCTAGTTATAGACCCCAACCTCCACCCCAGTCTCCAGTGTACTCGGGATGGTCAGAGAGGGGAAGTTGGGGCACAAAGGCAGGCCCGGGGTGGTAAGGGTCCTGGAACCAGGTGGCTTCAGGTTTGCATTCAGCTCTCCACTACCTTACTAATTTACCTTGGCTAAGTCACTTCACCTCCCTGAGCCCCATGTTATTCAGCTGTAAAATGGTTGGGGAAAAACCCTCTTCTTAGAGCTCTTCTGAGGTTGTTGACTTGAGATTGGTGGCCCATAGACACCCAGTCCATATTTATTGAGTGACTGGCTGGCTGATCAAATGCATGTTAGAGGTTTGTTAGCACAAGGCCTGGCTCGCGGGGGTTCTTGCTGTGCTTCTCCTTGGTGCCTGGCCCTACCATGTGCTGCACCTTTAATGCAGTCTCCTCTCCAAGCCTCAGTCCTATCCCACATAGGTCCTTCAGCCTGTTGGGCTACCACGACCAGGCGCTGCTGCTGTGACAAACCAGCCCTCCCCTTCCCCCTACTTAGGGTCTCTTCAATGCTTTCCAGCCAAGCCCCACCCCCAGCTTATGTCCCTCATTGTCCCACCTGTGGCCCTGCTTATGACCTCAGACTTGAAGCTTGTCTCTTTTCAGCCTCTTGTATTTGCCCTCAATCACAGGTGACTTGGTCTCATAACATTGTTTGGTTCCTGTATAGCATCCAATAGTCAAGGCCTGGTTTGACAAATTATAATACTGCATATTATGGGTATCCATGGCACACAGCAGTTAATAACTTAATTGATGAACTCAAGATGCCCGAATTCAAGTCCCAGCTCGACCACTCGTTGGCTCTGTGACTTTGGGGAAATTATTTAACTTTTCTGCATTTCGGTTTCCTCATTTATAAAAGGGAATAACAAACAGCCTGGGCAACATAGCAAGACCCAGTCTCTATAAGAAATAATAAAACTAGCCAGGCATAGTGGTGCATGCCTGTGGTCCTAGCTACTCGGGAGGCTGAGGTGGAGGATCACTTGAGTCCAGGAGTTGGAGGCTGCAGTGAGCTATGATCCAGTCTGGGTGACAGAGCAAGGCTCTGTCTCTTTAAACATTTTTTTTTAATTAAAAAAAGTTTTTTTATTTTTTTTATTTTTATTTTTTTAGAGATGGGGTCTCATCATCTTGGCCAGGCTGCTCTTGAACTCCTGGGCTCAAGTGATCCTCCTGCCTCAATCCTCCCTAAGTGCTGGGATTACAGGCGTGAACCACCATGCCCAGCCAAGACTCTGTCTCAAGAAAATAATTAAAATATAAAAATAAAATAAAATGGGGTTGGGCATGGTGGCTCACACCTGTAATCCTAGCACTTTGTGAGACCGAAGTTGGAGGACTGCTTGAGCCCAGGAGTTGGAGACTAGCCTGAGCAACATAGGAAGACCCCGTCTCTACAAAAAAAAAAAAATTTTAATTAGCTGGATGTGATGGTGCTCATCTGTAGTCAGGAGGCAGAGGTGGGGGGATTGCTTGAGCCCAGGTCAACTTGCAGTGAGCTATGATCCCACCATTGCACTCCAGCCTGGGTGGCAGACTGAGGCCCTGTCTCAAAAAAAATTAATTAAATTAAATTAAATGGGATAACAATAGTTTTTACCTGGTAAGGTTGTTGCTAAAAAATTAAATTACTTAGAATGGAAGCTCTATAAGGGCAAGGATTTTGTTCACTGGTGCATCCCCCATGCCTAGCCTAGTGCCTGGCACAGATAAGCTATTCAATAAATGTTACAAGTGTGTGAAGTAGCAATGCACATAAAGCAGCACTGTCAAATAGAAATATAATGCAAGCACACATGCAGTCTTCAGATTTCTAGTAGCCATGTGAAACTAAAAAGAAATGGGAAATTGGCCAGGCACGGTGGCTCACGCCTGTAATCCCAGCACTTTGGGAGGCTGAGGTGGGGGGATCACCTGAGGTCGGGAGTTCGAGACCAGCCTGACCAACATGGAGAAACTCTGTCTCTACTAAAAATACAAAATTAGCCAGGCTTGGTGACACATGCCTGTAATCCCAGCTACTTGGGAGGCTGAGGCAGGAGAATCGCTTGAACCCGGGAGGTGAAGGTTGTGGTGAACCTAGATCGTGCCACTGCACGCCAGCCTGGGCAACAAAAGCGAAACTCCCTCTCAAAAAAAAAAAAAAAAAAAAGAATCATTCTTACTGTAATCTTAGCAACCCTCAGTGTATATATATATATATAAAATATATATTATATATGTATTATATATAATATATATTATATATGTATTATATATAATATATGTATTATCTATAATATATTATAGATATTATAATATATATTATATATATGTTATATATAATACATATATTATATATATTATATATATGTTATATATAATACATATATTATATATATTATATATATATATATATTTTTTTTCTTTTTAGACCGAGTCTCACTCTGTCACCCAGGCTGGAGTGTAATGGCACAATCTCAGCTCACTGCAACCTCTGCCTCCCGGATTCAAGCCATTCTCCTGCCTCAGCCTCCCAAGTAGCTGGGATTACAAGTACGCATCTGCTAATTTTTGTATTCTTTTTAGTAGATACAGGGTTTCACCATGTTGGCCAGACTGGTCTTGATCTCCCAACCTTGTGATCCACCCTCCTCGGTCTCCCAAAGTGCTGGAATTACAGGTTTGAGCCACCGTGCCGGGCCTGATTTTTTTTTTTTTTCCTGAAGTAGAGAACTTTCCGCCTTTTCACTTAAAGAAAGCACTTTGCGGCGGCTTCTCTTTGGCATATCCACATTATGAGTATCACTCCTCCTGTGCTTTGAGGCCATTTTTTTCTTTTTTCTTTTTTTTTTTTTTAAGATGGAGTCTTGCTCTGTCCCCCACACTGGAGTGCAGTGGCACAATCTCGGCTCACTGCAAGCTCCGCCTCCAGGGTTCACGCCATTCTCCTGCCTCAGCCTCCTGAGTAGCTGGGACTACAGGCACCTGCCACCACACCCAGCTAATTTTTTGTATTTTTAGTAGAGACGGGGTTTCACCGTGTTAGCCAGGATGGTCTCGATCTCCTGACCTCGTGATCCGCCCGCCTCGGCCTCCCAGAGTGCTGGGATTCCAGGCGTGAGCCCCCGTGACCAGCCTGAGGCCATTATTAAAATAAGGGCTACCTGAACACAAGCACCGCAGTACCTCAACCAGCGATCTGATAACCGAGATGGCTCTGAAGTGACCAACGGGCAGGAAGCACAGACAGTATGGACATGCTGGACAAAGGAATGATTAATGTCTTAGGCAAGAGGGACAGAGATGGTGCAAGATTTCATCATGCTACTCAGAATGGCACATAATTTAAAATTATTATTTCTGGAACTTTCCAATTAAAATTTTCAGACCTTGGGCAACTGAAACCATGGAAAGGCAAACAGCAGATTAGGGGGGACTACTGTACCTGACAAAAAGAAAGGCATTTGACTTCACTGAGTATCTGGAGGGTGGGAGCTCTGAAGTTGGCTTGACAGCTCCGTGCTGTCTCAGGCTTTCCTCTGCTCTGCCATCCTCAGTGTGTTGGCATTTGGCCTCAGGGTCACAAGGTGGTTGTTGCAGCTCCAAGCTTCAGATCCTCATAAATATCTCAAGGAGGAAGCAAGCAGGGAGGCAGCAATAAATCCTTTTCCTCTAGAAACTTTTCCCCCCCAAGAAAATCTTTCTCATACTTCAGCGGGCACAACAATCACCTCAATCACCTAAACAGTTTTTTTTTTTTTTTTTGAGATAGGGTCTCACTCTGTTGCCTAGGCTGGAGTGCAGTGGTGTGATCATGGCTCACTGCAGCCTCCACCTCCTGGGCTCAATCAATCCACTCACCTAAGTCTCCCAAGTAGCTGGGATTACAGGTGCATGCCACCACGGGCAGCTAATTTTTAAAAATTTTGTAGAGACAAGGTCCCATTATGTTGCCCAGGCTGGTCTCAAACTCCTGAGCTCAAGTGATCCTCCTGCCTTAGCCTCCCAAAGAGCTGGGATTACAGGCATGAGCCACCATGACCAGCCACCTAAACAGTTTTTGTTTGTTTTTTGTTTTTCTGAGATAGAGTCTCACTCTGTCGCCCAAGCTGGAGTGCAGTAGTGCAATCTTGGCTCACTGCAACATCTGCTCCTGGGTTCAAGCAATTCTCCTGCCTCAGCCTCCCAAGTAGCTGGGATTACAGGCGTGTGCCACCATGCCCAGCTAGTTTTTGTATTTTTAGTAGAGATGGGGTTTCACAATGTTGGCCAGGCTGGTCTCGAACTGGCTGGGCTCAAACTCCTGACCTCGTGATCCACCTGCCTCAGCCTCCAAAGTGCTAGGATTACAGGCGTGAGCCACCGTGCCCGGCCCTAAACAGTTTTTAAAGCCATGGTCCTAGGCCCCATCTTCAGGGATTCTGACTCTGTGAGTCTGAAGCAGGGCCCAAGAACTCCATTGCTAAGTTCACAGGTATGCTGATGCACTGGTCCCCAAGAGATAATGGTGGCGTGGACTAGGTTGTGTCTCATCCTGGTGTTACCCTTAGCCCTTCAGAAAGAGGTGGCTGAGGAAAGGATAAAATGCTGATACTAGACTTGGAAAGGTGGGAGGGTGGTGAGGGATGAGAAATTACCTGATGGAGGGTGGGCGTAGTGGCTCACGCCTCTAATCCCAGCACTTTGAGAGGCTGAGGTGCGTGGATCACCTGATGTCGGGAGTTTGAGACCAGCCTGAGCAACATGGAGAAACCCCGTCTCTACTAAAATTACAAAATTAGCCAGGTGTGGTGGTGCATGCCTGTAATCCCAGCTACTCGGGAGGCTGAGGCAGGAGAATCGCTTGAACCTGGGAGGCAGAGGTTGCAGTGAGCCGAGATTGTGCCTGGGCACTCTAGCCTGGGCAACAGGAGTGAAACTCCGTCTCAGAAAAAAAAAAAAAAAAAAAAAAAGAGAAATTACCTGATGAATACAGTGCACACGTGCACACTCTTCAGGTGATGGTTGCACTAAAAGCCCAGACTTCAACACTACCCAAAGTATCCATGTAATGCAACTTCATGTATGCCCCCTAAAAATATGTTTTAAAAATTTAGGCCGGGCCCAGTGGCTCATGCCTGTAATCCCAGCACTTTGGGAGGTCAAGGTGGGCGGATCACGAGGTCAGGAGATCGAGACTATCCTGACGAACACGGTGAAACCCCGTCTCTACTAAAAATACAAAAATATTAGCCGGGCGTGGTGGTGGGCGCCTGTAGTCCCAGCTACTTGGGAGGCTGAGGCAGGAGAATGGCGTGAACCCGGGAGGCGGAGCTTGCAGTGAGCCGAGATCGCGCCACTGCACTCCAGCCTGGGCGACAGAGTGAAACTCTGTCTCAAAAAAAAAAAAAAAAAAAAAATTAAAGCTGACACTTTATTTGGGAGATGCAAGAATGATCCAATAGAAGAAATGGATAAGGCAAGCAAGGAGGTACCTGTGTGGGCTTAGCCTCAGAGGAGCAGAGGGATAGGTCCCGATCACAAGTTGAAAGTTTGGCTTTAGAGATTACCCCCATAATAGTAGGGGACCCAAGCGGCCTGTACACTGTGCTGCAGGTAGGTAGTAGAGGAGGTGGTGGGAAGACGAGGTAGCTCTTTTCTCACCACATCTTCTATCACCATGAAGTATGAAGGGAAATTGCTGATGTGGGTGAAGAAAGCAGGTTAGCGATGGGAGATAAGGTGAAGGTGTCAAATAGTTTATCCAAGACAGGAAAGGTGCCTATATTAGGGAAAGTAATTGGAGAGTTTGGCAGTGTTGAGGGCCCATTTGAAATCTGCGGTTGTAACTATAAGGTGCGTCTAGTTAGCACGATGGTGTAGTACTCTTATGCAACGTCCAGCTGTTTGGGTACAGGTGCCAGCTAAGTGCTGGGTTAAGTGTGATAGAGAAGGGAGTTCAGTGTCTAACTCTCTTCGTGCTGGACCATAGAATCTAGGCTGACAAAGAAGGTATGTGAAGACAGGAGGGGACTGGTGGAGAAAAGGTGAGTTAGGTTAATGGGCTGGGTGTGGTGGCTCACGCCTGTAATCCTTGGGCTTCAGGAGGCCAAGGCAAGAGGATGATGGAGTCTTGCTCAGTTGCCCAGGGTGGAGTGCAGTGGCGTGATCTTGGCTCACTGCAAGCTCCAACTCCTGGGTTCATGCCATTCTTCTGCCCCAGCCTCCTGAGTAGCTGGGACTACAGGCGCCCACCACCACGCCCGGCTAATTTTTTTTTGTATTTTTAGTAGAGACGGGGTTTCACCATGTTAGCCAGGATGGTCTCGATCTCCTGACCTCGTGATCCACCCGCCTCGGCCTCCCAAAGTGGTGGGATTATAGGCGTGAGCCACTGCGCCCGGCAAATGAGTGCATTTTTAAAAGAAGATACTTGGACAGTTAGAAATTTTAAAATTTGGGTATTTCATAATATTAAGAAATTAATGTGGACAGTGGTATAAACAAGAACTGCGACAAGTTACTAAGTGTTGAAGTTGTGTGGTGGGAGTATGGGACTCATTGTATTATCCTACTTTTGCACATATTTGAAATTTTTCCATGACCAAAAATAGACATTTTTTTCAAAGTCAAGTCACCATGACTTAACACACTCACTGAAAATATGCGATGATGGGGAGTGAGAGATGAATCTGGGATAACTTTCAGGTTTCTAGCTTGAGGGGTGGAATGGGTGGTGGTGCTTTTGTTACGGGCATGTGAACCAGAGCAACTGCATCTTAAATAGGAACTAGGGAAAATGAGGCTGAGACCTGCTGGACTTCATTCCCAGATGGTTAAGGCATTCTAAGTCACAGAATGAGATAGGAGGACAGCATAAGATACAGGTCATGAAGACCTTGCTGATAAAACAGGTTGCAGTAAAGAAGCTGGCTAAATCCCACCCAAACCAAGATGGCAACGAGAGTGACCTCTGGTCATCCTCACCACCAGTGTCACGACAGTTTACAAATGCCATGGCAATGTCAGGAAGTTACCCTATGAGGTCTCAAAAGGGGAGGCATGAATAACCCACCCCTTGTTTAGCATATCATCAAAAAAATAACCAAAAAAATGGGCAACCAGCAGACCTTAGGGCTGCTTTGTCTATGGAGTAGCCATTCTTTTATTCCTTTCTTTTATTTTTAATGTTTATTTTTTCGAGACAGTCTCGCTCTGTTGCCCGGGCTGGAGTGCAGTGGACCGATCTCGGCTCACTGCAATCTCTGCCACCTGGGTTCAAGCAATTCTCCTGTCTCAGCCCCACAGTAGCTGGGACTACAGGCACCCACCACCACGCCTAGCTAATTTTAGTATTTTTTAGTAGAAATGGGGTTTCACCATACTGGTCAGGCCAGTCTTGAACTCCTGATCTCAGGTGATCCACCCACCTTGACCTCCCAAAGTGTTGGGATTACAGGTGTGAGTCACTGCACCCAGCCTCCTTTACTTTCTTAATAAACTTGCTTTTGCTTTGCACTGTGGATTCGCCTTGAATTCTTTCTTGCTCGAGATCCAAGAACCCTCTCTTGGGGTCTGGATCAAGACCTCTTTCCTGTAATACTTGTAAAAGATTGAGGGGAACTAGAGGAGGTGGTTTGTGAAGAGCAAGGAGAGTTGAATTTTGGTCATGTTGAGTTTGGGGTGCCTGTGGTACATCTGGATGGGACTACACAGGAGGATGATGGAAATACTGACCTCAAGAGAGATTGGGAGGGATGCAAATGTGAGTCGCTTGATGACATCATGAGGAAAAACTGAAGAGGAGGGGATTGCAAAGGGGCTGGAGGAATGCCGTCTCAGAAACTAGAAGTTCTAGCCCAGGAAGAGGGCTAGAAAAGTTTTTAAAAGGAAATGCTTGGACTCCTACCTCACACACTATACAAAAATTAACTCAAAATAGATCAAAGACCTAAAGTGAAGAGCTAAAACTATTTAAAACTCTTGGAGAACATGGGTGTAAATCTTCATGACTGTGGACTAGGCAATGGTTTCTTAGATATAACACTAAAAGCACAAGTAACCAAAAATAAGTAAACAGGACTGCATCACAATTAAAAACTTGGTTTGTCAAAGGACAGTATTAAGAAAGTGAAGAAGGGCCGGGCGCAGTGGCTACTCCTGTAATCCCAGCGCTTAAGGAGGCTGAGGCAGGAGGATTGTTTGAGTTCAAGACCAGCCTAGGCGACATGGTTAAGACTCCGTCTCTACAAAAAATCTAAAAATTAGCTGGGCGTCATGACACATGTCTGTAATCCCAGCTATTCAGGAGGCTGAAGTGGGAGTATCACCTGAGCTCAGAGACTGAAGCTGCAGTGAGCAGTGTTCATGCCACTGAACTCCAGGCTGGGTGACAGAGCCGGACTCTTATCTCAAAAACAAAACAAAACAAAACACACACACACAGAATGAAGGGATTACGGATATTATAAGTATCTAATATGGAAACTATATAAAGAACTCAGGCTTGGTGTGGTGGCTCATGCCACTAATCCCCAGCACTTTGGGAGGCTAAGGAGGGCAGATCACTTGAGGCCAGGAGTTTGAGATCAGCCTGGCCAACATGGTGAAACCCCGTCTCTACTAAAAATACAAAAATTAGGCCAGGGTTGGTGGCTCATGCCTGTATCCCAGCACTTTGGGAGGCCGAGGTGGGCGGATCACCTGAAGTCAGGGGTTCAAGACCAGCCTGGTCAACATGGCGAAACCCCATCTCTACTAAAAAATACAAAAATTAGCTGGGTGTGGTGGCAGACACCTGTAATCCCAGCTACTCGGGAGGCTGAGGCAGGATAATTGCTTGAACCCAGGAGGCGGAGGTTACAGTGAGCTGAGATCGCACCACTGCACTCCAGCCTGGGTGACACGGGGGAGACTCCATCTCCAAAAAAAGGCTCGGTAGCTCAAGGCTGTAATCCCAGCACTTTGGGAGGTGGGCAGATTACCTAAGGTCAGGAGTTCAAGACCAGCCTGGCCAACATGGTGAAACCCTGGTCTCTACTAAAAATACAAAAATTAGCCGGGCATGGTGGCAGGCGCCTGTAATCCCAGCTACTTGGAAGGCTGAAACAGGAGAATCACTTGAACCTGGGAGGCGGAGGTTGCAGTAAGCTGAGATCCCGCTACTACACTCCAGCCTGGTGACAGAGCAAGACTTGGTCTCAAAAAAAATTATCTGGGCACGGTGGCGCACGCCTGTAATCCCAACTGCTCGGAAGACTGAGGCATAAGAATCTCTTGAACCCGGGAGGCGGAGTTTGCAATGAATGAAGATTGCACCACTGCACTCCAGCCTGGGGGACGGAGTTGAGATTCTGCCTCAAAAACCCCGCCCAAACAAAAAACTAGCTGGACATGGTGCTGTGTGCGCCTGTAGTCCTGGCTACAAGGGGGGATTGTTTGAGCCCAGATCAACACTGCAGTGAGCTGTGTTTGCACAACTACACTCCAGCCTGGGAGACACAGTTAGATCCTGTCTCAAAAATCAAAAACCAAAAACTACACACACACACACATATATATACATAAAGAACTCTGAGGCCAGGGGCAGGGGCTCACGCCTGTAATCACAGTACTTTGGGAGGCTGAGGTGGGCGGATCATCTGAGGTCAGAAGTTCAAGATCAGCCTGGCCAACATTGCAAAACCCTGTCTCTACTAAAAATACAAAAATTAGCCAGGCGTGGTTGTGCATTGCCTGTAATCCCAGCTACTTGGGAGGCTGAGGCATAAGAATCTCTTGAGCCTGAGAGGCAGAGGTTGCAGTGAGCCGAGATTGCACCATTGCACTCTAGCTTGGGGGACACAGCGAGACCGTCTGAAAATAAAAGAAAAGAAAGAATAGAAAAGGTGGCTCATGCCTGTAATCCCAGCATTTTGGAAGGCCGAGGCAGGCGGATCACCTGAGGTCAGGAGTTCGAGACCAGCCTGGCCAATATGGTGAATCCCCGTCTCTACTAAAAATAGAAAAAAATTAGCCGGGCACAGTTGTGGTCATCTGTAATCCCGGCTACTCTGGAGGCTGAGACAGGGAGAACTGCTTGAACCCAGGAGGCAGAGGATGCAGTGAGCTGAGATCATGCCACTGCACTCCAGCCTGGGTGACAGAGCAAGACTCACTCTAAAAAAAAAAAAAAAAAGAAAGAAAAGTAAGAGAAAAGAACTCTTACACTTCAACAATAAAAACAACCCACAAAGAATACTTTCCTGAGAAGCATGTTAAACACACACACACACTCCCTAATTATAACTTGGCAAAGGATGTGAATAGACACTTCTTTAAAAAAAGATGCACAGGCTGGGCACAGTGGCTCACACCTGTAATCCCAGCACTTTGGGATACTGAGGTGGGCAGATCACCTGAGGTCAGGAGTTCAAGACCAGCCTGGTGGCCAACATGGTGAAACCCCTCTCTATAAAAATACAAAAATTAGCTGGGCATGATGTTGGGTGCGTGTAATCCCAGCTACTCAGGAGGCTGAGGCAGGAGAATCACTTGAACCCGGGAGGCGGAGGTTGCAGTGAGCTGAGATCGCGCCATTGCACTCCAGCCTGGGCGAGAGAGCAAGACTGTCTCAAAAAAAAAAAAAAAAAAAAAAAAAGCCAGTACGGTGGCTCCCACTCATGCCTGTAATCCTAGCACTTTGGGAGGCCAAGGCAGGCGGATCACAACGACAAGGTCAGGAGTTCCAGACCAGCCTGGCCAATATGGTGAAACCCTGTCTCTACTAAAAATACAAAAATTAGCCAGGTGTGGTGGCGGGCACCTGTAGTCCCAGCTACTCGGGAGGCTGAGGCAGGAGAATCACTTGAATCCAGGAGGCAGAGGTTGCAGTGACCAGAGATTGCACCACTGCACTCCAGCCTGGGAGACAGAGCAAGACTCTGTCTCAAAAAATAAAAAATAATAAATAAATAAATGAGGCCAGGCATGGTGGCTCACACTTGTAACCCCAGCACTTTGGGAGGCCAAGGTGGGCAGATCACCTGAGGTCAGGAATTTGAGGCCAGTCTGGCCAACATGATGAAACCCTGTCTCTACTAAAAATACAAACAATTAGCCGGGTGTGGTGGTGGGCACACGTAATCCCAGCTACTCGGGAGGCTGAGGCAGCAGAATCGCCCAGGAGGGGGAGGCTGCAGTGAGCTGAGATCACGCCACTGCACTCCAGCCTGGGTGACAAAAGCAATACTGTCTTAAAAAGAAAGAAAAGGCCGGGCAAGGTGGCTCACACCTGTAACCCCAGTACTTTGGGAGGCCAAGGCAGGTGATCACCTGAGGTCGGGAGTTCAAGACCAGCCTGACCAACATGGAGAAACCCCGTCTCTACTAAAAATACAAAAAATTAGCCATGCATGGTGGCACATGCCTGTAATCCCAGCTACTTGGGAGGCTGAGGCAGAATAATTGCTTGAACCTGGGAGGAGGAGGTTGCAGTGAGCCGAGATCATGTGACTGCACTCCAGCCTGGGCAACGAGAGCGAAGTTCCGTCTCAAAAAAAGAAAGAAAGAAAGAAAAAAGTACGAGTTACCATATGACCCAGCAATTTCATTCCTAGGTATGTGCCCAAATGAGCTAAAAACATATGCCTACAAAAACTTCTATATGATATTTGTAGCAGCATTATTCACAATAGTCCCAAAGTGGAAATCACCCAAATGTACATCAACTGATGAGTAAATAAAATGTGACTTATCCAATGTGATATATCCATACAATGGAATGTTATTTGGCAGTACAAGTTATCAAATACATATGATACGGATGAACCTTGAAAACATGCTAAGTGAAAGAAACCAGTCGTGAAAAAACACAGATTGATTCCATTTAGATGAAATATCCAGAAAAGGTCTAGAGAGACAGAAAGTAATTAGTGATTGTCTAGGGATGGGGGAGGAAGAAATGGGGAGTTAACTGCTAATGGGCATGGAGCTTTTTGGGGGTGATGAAAATATTCAGAGGCTGGGCAGGGTAGTTCATGCCTATAATCCCAGAACTTTGGGAGGCCAAGGTGGGCAGATCACTTGAGGTCAGGAGTTCAAGACTCTAGCCTGGGCAACATGGCAAAACCCTGTCTCTACCAAAAACACAAAAAATTAGCCAGGCATGGTGTGTGCCTGTAGTCCTAGCTATTTGGGAGGCTGAGGTGGGAGCTTGAGCCTGGGAGGTAGATGCTGCGGTGAGCAATAAGCTGAGATCATACCACTGCAATCCAGCCTGGGTGACACAGTGAGACACCCCCATCTCAAAAAAAAAAAAAATATATATATATATATATATATATATATATATATATATATACACATATATTTATATATATATACACATATATTTATATATATATACACATATATTTATATATATATATATACACACACACACACGTATATATTCCAGAATTAGATAGTGGCAATAGTTGCACAATGTTGTGAATGTACTAAAACCACTGTAGTATATGCTTTAAAATTGTGAATTTTGGCTGGGTGTGGTGGCCAGCACTTTGGTAGGCCAGGGTGGGAGGACTGCTTTGTGCCCAGGAGTTGAATACCAGGCTGGGCAACACAAGACTCCATCTCTTAAAATAATGATATAGTGGTGACTTTTTTTTTCCCCAAGAGCGTTAAGTATATTTATTTTTTAAATTTTATTATTATTATACTTTAAGTTTTAGGGTACATGTGCACAACGTGCAGGTTACATACGTATACATGTGCCATGTTGGTGTGCTGCACCCATTAACTCGTCATTTAGCATTACGTATATCTCCTAATGCTATCCCTCCCCCCAAAGTGGTGACTTTTAATGGTATATGATTATTTCTCAATTTAAAGAAGGGGAGGGGTAATTCTCAGCAGTGTTAACTGCTGCAATGAATCAGGCCAGGCCTGAAGAGACCGTGCAGCAGGCTGTCCACACAACAGCCATTTTCCTCTATCATCATCCCTCCTCTATTGAATTCCAACAATTCTGACTGGTCTAGGCAGATTCTGTGGTTTCATTCCTCTTGCTATGATTGGTTTAGGAGTGGAGAGGCAATCCAGATCTGCCCAGTGAAACACAGGCTGCTGGGGTGCTTGTAGGAAATATTTCATTCTTCTTAAATGCAGGGAAAAAAGGAGCAGTCCTCCAGCCTCTTGCCATTGGTATGGCAAATTACGATGTCTGGAGCAACTGCCTTGAAGGTGAGGTGGCTGGAGAACATGTTGAGGGCGGCAGAGCAGAAAGACAGGAAGCCCACCTGGGTCCTCACAACTGCCCGACCTCGGGACTTGTATCAGATGAATCCTCTAGTTTGTGCCATTTATGTTACTTTTTTTTTTTTTTTACTTAGAGCCCAAGCATCTGGTGACTTTTCCCGAGATCTTAAGAATGGGCCTGGAGACAGGGCTGGCACTGAGCATGCTACCATGGCTGTCTTAGTGAATGGTCCTTACCACGTTTTGATGTCTGGTTTGGTTTTAGGCCCAGCTACTTTCATGGTCCAGAGCCAGTCAAATCAGTATTTTCCAGGAAGGAAAAAAAGAAAAAAACTCGAAAAAGTTCAAGCTTACCCTACTCATCCTAATTATATGGCAACAAGAAGAGGGCCAGAAAATAAGTAAAAACAGACTATCAAGTTTAACCTCAGCCAGTCGCTTCACATCTGAGCCTCACTCTCGACTACAAAATGGGGCTACACCTGTATCTCATAGGTCTGACTCAAAGATTAAAGAGCATGAGGCAGAGCTGTTAGCATAGCCCAGGGCTTAGCAGACTTGCCACTAACAAAGAACCTCAGCTGTAACTTTCTCAAATTCTGCAACCTCTGCTCAAATACCAGCCCACTACCCCTGACCATTCTAAGATGTCTCTTAAGTTTCCTCTGGAAGAGGACACCGCTTTTAGAATAAAAATTACCCGTCTACAACCTAGAATGAATGACTTCAGCAATAATGAAAGTAAATGGCTGGTAACTGGCTAAATGGACAAATGGTATTTTATCCTGAATAAAAGTCTGTCAGAGATGACTTTTGTCTAGTTGAGGGTCTGAATCCTGACTCTGCTGCTCATTAAATGTACACATAACCTTCAACAAGTTTCATCTGTGCCTGATTCCTCATCCATGAGTGTGATACATATATTACACAAACATCTCAACACTTGAGAGATAATACACAAAAAACCTCAAGAACTTAACAGCGATACTTTTTTGACTAAGGGAATGGACAAAGCAATTAGTCTCCAATTTACTTTATTCCTGTCCAACAATACAGCCAGGTCTGTGAAAGCAAATTCAAGGTGCAAACATGAATTTGTTACCAGTTCCATATTCTAACAAATAACTTCTTGCCATTTCACTTAGAGAAACGTGGGGTTCTCTGCATCTCCAAACTAAAGGAATCAGGAAAGACCCCATTGTCTTTGTTTGCAGGTCTACTTAGGAGCAAAGTGTCATCTACCTTACAAATGGACAACTGTGTACACATTCACAGAGACACTCTCTGACATGAGTCTATTAATTTGCTAATTTTATAGAAGTTGCAAATGCAGATGGAAGTAGAGAGGCTCCTGTCAGCTACCCAGCCAAAACCGCAGATCTACCAAAAATCTGCATTTAATACACTTCATGTATTCGGAGTCATGCAAAAAACAAACACTGCAGGGAATGCTGCATAACCAAGTACAGAAATCACTCCATACTCCCAGCCTTTCACCATCAGCTAAGTCTACTCCTGGAATCCTTCCTAACTGCACCTAGCACTGTGTGTTTTGGAAGCTGACTATAAATCAGTGAAAGATCATCATTAGACTGTACATGGAGTACCTCAAAGCAGAACGTACCCTGTTCCAAGAGACTTGGATAAACCAGGTTACCCCACTTGTGGGAAAAGATCAGAGGCAGCATTCCAAGCCAAACTGTATCCAGCTTTATTAAAGATACTTTCCATAAACAATCATGGTATTTCAGGCAGGACATGGGCAGACAATCGTTAACAGTATACAACAACTTTCAAACTCCCTTCTTCAATGGACTACCAAAAATCAGAAAGCCACTATAAAACCCAATGAAGTCTTCATCTGATGCTCTGAACAGGGAAAGTTTAGAGTGAGGGTTGACATTTCACATTTAGCATGTTGTTTAACAACTTTTCACAAGCCGACCCTGACTTTCAGGAAGTGAAATGAAAATGGCAGAATTTATCTGAAGATCCACAATCTAGAAATGGAACCACTGCTCTTTTGACAGGTGCCATCTCAGTGGCATCACTGGAAAGTCCAGATTGCCTGACACACTGGTAACCAATGACTAGGGGTCAGGTCTCAACAGATGTCTGGGCTTAAGGGAGTTAAGTCTATGCTGAACGATGGAAAGGGAGAAGAGGACATAAAAACAAATTTGTTTTTCTATACCACAAGGCTTTTGTGCCAAGGTGGCCATGTGTGTCAAAGTCAGGGAATCCCTCCTCCTGGGAGCCAAGAGGAAGTCTCTCAAAACTAGAAGGGAAAGGTGTTTTCTCCACATCAATCCAGCTTTGGAGACATTCTATTAGTGACATATGCCCCTTCCCCCAAAAACAACAATGAAGTGTTCTGTGTGCTAACAACATAGCTTTTAAAAAAAAAAAAAAAGTAAAACAAAATTCTGCATTTTTATAAAACTTGATAAAAAATAGTATTTCAAACTGTACAGTCACCAGAAGTACACAGTTATCAAAAATGCACACACTTCACTTGGCATCTCCAGCACCTTCAGCTTTCTGTGCCTAAAAGAAAACAGACAAATTAATGCAATGCGTAGATTTCAAAACTATCTGTGTTCACATTCCACCTACAGCATCACTTTGCTCCCAGGCCAAAGTTCAGGTTTCAGGTACTGAGACTCAGTATTTCTTCTGAGAATGACTTACTAGGTAACTTTGCTAAGTCACCTCTCCTCTGGGCCTCACTGTAAAATTGAGGTAGGAAGAACACCAGAATAAGAGACCTGAGGTTACTCCTAGCTTGAAAACTTCATGTAGTATAAAACACAATGCCCTTCAGCTGACAGTAGAGATTTCAAGAATCCAGGATTTAAGTTAACAGGAAAGCCACAAGCACACTGGACCAAATGGTACATTTGGAGTGATACAAGAAAAGGGCAATTAAATTTTTGATATCAGCAACTAACTGAATGAACAAATCTAACAAAGGGTGAAACAGCAGTTATACCTGGTCTGTTTTGGCATCTCCATTTTCTGCAGGGTTATTCCCCTCCTTGCCAGCATCAGCTTTTCCCTTTTTCCCTTTGGGTACCTTCTCTCCCTTCTGAAAAAGGGGAAAAAATAGAACTGTTTCTCCCCATTTCGTATTACCAAGGTATGGTCTGCAAAGTTCTGCACAAGGTAGGATTGTTTACTCAAGATAAAACACAAACCCTCACCCATTTGACAAGAACAACTGATCAAAACTAGGCTAAATTATCTGTAATTTGCTATAATCTTTAGTACTTAGAATTTCCTAAGTAACAGAAGAATAAATTAGTTTAAACCCTGGGGTATTTAATATTTAAATGCAGATTTTCCTATAAACTAACAACAGAATTCTTGATCAGGAAACCAACGTTATGAATGACACGGACGAGGTAAGCTATCCACACAGTTTATAACCTCCATTAATGGAGGCACCATTATGCTAATTAAGTTAAGGCACTAAGGACAGTCCTCATTCTGTGAAAATGATCAGTTCCAATGTTAGCACTTACCTTTGCAGGGGCCTTTTTAGGCTTGGGCTCTGGCTTTGGAGGAGCAGGTTTCTTTTTTTGGCAGGAAGAGAGGAAAAAGTGAACATCAGTACAATGGACTGAAGAAAACCACCCACAACCAACCAAAAGTACCAAGGGTAGAGAAGTTTCTCCTCCTCCTCAAAAGTTTTTGTGGTTGGCTTTCTTCTAGAATGTTGGATTTCCAGAAGCCCACTCAAATGTCCCACTTTGGCTACAGGCATCAGAATTTCAGAACCAGCAAAACCCAAAGGGGCAAGAGTCCCAAGTAGAGGCAATGATTCAAAACCAGGCACTAACCATAATTCATGGAAGCAAAGGGAATTGTTTTTTGATGTTTTTTAGTTTCAGGGACAAGCACGAAAATTCAAAAGCATACACTTACAGCAGACAACCTCGCGGATCTTCTCTGTGGCTATTAAAGACAACGAGAAAGTTAGAAATAGGACAGGTAAGTCGCTTTGAAAGTTTGGTATCAATTTGCTCTAGATTATAGGAGTGTAAATTCAGGACACAGGTTACGGTTAATCACCGAGTCCAGTGGCCTCTGCTAGTCCAAGGCTTTGACCCTTGAAGAGAGAATGACTTACTTCGTCCTTCACCTTTGCTTTATCTCCCTTAGCATCCCCTTCAGCCTATAAGAAACAAGAACAAAAAACTGCAGATTTTGAGGTGGTTCTTAATTACTTCCCAAACTTTAGAGTGCTAAAAATGAAAATTAAAGCAGTCGTCCACACAACTTTTCTAGGACATAAATGAGTGAGCCCGACGTTCGTATAAGAACGAAGCGCGCGCAGGAGCTCCGGCTCGCCGACCCCGAGAAGCGAGGGCTGGACCGGAGCGCAGCCGGGGAGGGCAGCGGAGCCCGCACCACCGCGACAGGCAGGAGCAACAGCTGCAGATGGCGCAAACAAACCCCCTCCGGAGGCGGAGCCCAGCGCCGTTGCTATGGCAGCCGTCGAGGGCGGGAGAGGGAGGCGCGCGCAGCCCGGGGAACTCGTGGGCGGCGACAGCGCGCGTCTCGTGCGCGGGGAACGTGGGCGAGGGGGCGGGGCCATACCGCACAAGCCCCGCCCCTCACGGCGGCGGTTTTTTGGCGGCAGCGCTTTCCCCCGCCCGCCAACCCCGAGCGCCGCCTTCCCGCCCTTTCGGGTTTGAATTGCCCGCCCGCAGGGAGGGGAGGGAAGGGGCCCTCGCGATGGGGGAGGGGGCACGGGGCGGGGGCGGCGAGCCCGAGGAGAGCGGGATAAACAGCCGCCAACATGGCTCCTCCCGCCGCGGCCGCCGCTCCTCCAATATGGCCTCTGGCGCCCGCGGGCAGCCGAGCCGCTCAGGGTTAGCCCCGAGCTGCCCGACACCGTCTCCAGCCCCCGCGCGGGGAGGCTGCGCTGGCTCCTGCTCGGCGCCGATTCTCGCTCCCTGCACCAGGGAGGCGGCGGCGGCGGTGGCGGCAGTGGTGGCCCGGCGCCTGGGGCCCTCGCGCCACGTACCTTTCTCTTGGGCATGGTGGCGGCGGCGACGGCAGCGGGACGTAGGTGCTGGACGCGGGATGCAGCGGCGCGCGGGCTTTGGTCGGTCCGGGGGTCGTTCTCGCCTCTTCTTCACACTGCTCGGGCTCCGGGGGGTTTATAAAGTTTTTATAGCGCTGGGAGCCCCGGACCGGTTAGAACCGGATTTCACCTCCCGCCGCCGTTCATTGGCCCAGCTGGGGTCACGTGGGCGGGGTTTAAACTCACCTCCTCTGGAGGGAGTGAGGAGGGGGGTGTGTGGGGGGGGTAGTGCGCGGAGACGGCGGCGCGCCGAGGGGGTGGGGGCGCAGTCGGGGTGGCGCGCGTCGAAGGCAGTAAATGAGGAGGGGTGCGCGAGTCGGCGGGCTCCGGGTTCCGGCTCCCGCCAAGAGCTGTCTTTTGCAAACTAGCAAGTTCCTTCCACCTTATGCAACCCAGCAACCCACTTCTCCAAGCCGTGCGACACTCACGGCGCATCTCAGCGGCTTTCCTTCCTGCTCCCGCTGGGGGCCCCAGAAGAGGGGTTTGCGAGGCCTGGCTGCACTGCCCTGCTCCTCTGGAAGCAGGAGGAAGCGCGCGGCTGGAGGCACAGGCTGCAGTTCCCAGAGCCCAGGCTGACGCCAAAGTGGGAAAAAGGCGGGGAAACCAGCTTGGCGCAGCCGGACGTGCATCCTTCCGAGCTGCCACTTCGGAGAAGCCTTTCGTGCACCTCACCTGAAAGACGGTCCCACTCGAGGTGGGCTAGGGGTTTCAGGGGGAGACTTTCCATGCAGAGGTGCCTTTTGGGTGCCGTGGGTCAGGTAGGAGCTGTCCTTTCAGCACCCGTTGCGCAGCCGCCTCCCCAAATGCTATCGAAGCCCCCACCCCCAACTCCTCTCGGGTGGCTCCCTTAAGGTCCCTGTATTCCCAAACCTCCAGACCCCGCCACAGTATGGTGGAGAGCGGCCGTCGAGGTCTACCAGCACTCACTTCCCCCTACACTCTACCCCTCTCGGAGACATTTTGCCCAGCTGCCCAACCCGACGCGGCCACCAAGCCTGGGCACTGCAGCCGCAGCTGGCGAAATCCCTCCTTCCACACTGTCAAGCTGGCTGCCTTTCACTTGCGCGAGGAAAGGAGGGTGGAGGAAAGCGCCCGGGGATTAGGAAACAAGTAGAGGAACAGGTGGTGTGATGGCAAAAGGGCTCTTCCGGTGCCCCCTAGTCCAAAGCCAGGGTCTTGGAGCTAGCCAAGTGCACCTGAGGGAGGGTAGGCAATTGCAGCAGCAAAAGAAGGTGTTCTTCCGTTGCAGTTAGCAAACAAGTTTTACATCTAAGAATCTTTAAAAATTCTATTTGAGACCCAGCACACAAGAATACGATAGATGTCCTCAAATGGGGGCTTGGCTCACAGGTGGAAGGACACTAAATTGGTCCCATCTGATTTCTTGAGGCAAGGGTTGAACCTGGCTTGCACAAATCACACCTGTCCAAAGCAACCACGAGTTCTACTATTTTGCAGCCCTTGCTGCTGGGCGACGACGACGACCTCTCTGCCTCTTCTTTCCACCACTACATCGCCTCCTGGGGCAGCTTCTCCCTACTCCACCCTGTGTACCTTTCCCAGAATACAGAACCTCAGGCCAAAGAGAGATGCCAGCCCCATTAATCACCTCTACTGTACCCCAATCATATTACGGAAAGTCAGACCCAGGAGACAGGACTCAACAGCCACGCTCATAGGGCAGATTCCGTTTGCTGCCTCCAGCCCCTCATTCCCGCCTTAATTGTAGGGCTCTGCATTATAGCCGCATAATTCATGCCTCCCTAATTATGGCTGTCAACAGCCCCATTGTAAAGCTGTAAAATGTACAGCACCTGCTCTCCAGGAACCCTGTGCCAGGGATTGGTAGAGGGGAGTGCCAGGTGTGGATGGGGGCTTTGCCAAAGGGTTCACTGATTGGCTTCTCAATCGCCGTGTCTGGCATTTATGCTTGATTCTGGGAGCATGGACAATAGCCAAGAAGTCTCTTGCCGCCAGGTATCCCGGGACAGAAAGGGGAAGAGGCGGGTGGGGTATAGGAAAGTTAGGGGTTTCCTGTGTGCTCTTGCTACAACTTGCAAGATTTCACCTCTCCCCTAGAGGGAGCTGCTAGGGAAACAGCTTGCAGAAAGTAAAATGGGAAGTCTGGCATGGTGGCTCATGCCTGTAATCCCAGCACTTTGGGAGGGTGAGGCCGGCGGATCACCTGAGGTCAGGAGTTCGAGACCAGCCAGGACAGGGTGAGATGCTGTCTCCAAAAAAAAAAAAAAAAAGAAGAAGGAAAATGGACTTTAAAGAGAGTAGCATTTGGTTGGTGTTGCTGGCTGGTACTTGCCGGTGTGGGGCACCTGAAATAGAGTTGCTCAGGCAGACAGCTCTTCAAAGGCACTAATCCTCTCAGCAGCTCTGCAGCAAGTCCTGGCAGAGGGAGGTAAGGGAAAGGACACAGCTTTGACCCTCACAAGCAGAGGACCTAGAACAAGCTTTGCCATGCCAAGAATAAATCATCTAGGGCCTACTTAGGGAGCCAGGTCAAAAAGCTGAGAGAAACCTCGAAGAGTGGAGTGGGAATCAGAGTTTGAGATGGTGAGGGCAGGGAGCAGAGTCAGTTGGAAGAAGTGTTTGGTTCTGCTCAGTCCTGTTGTGTTACAGGGGAGGCCTGTGCTGGATTCAGTTCACCAGGGCCTACAGGCCCTTCTGTTACCCTGAACCATGGAGGGGGCCAGTCTCATTTGGGAGTGGAGCCTGGCCCCATGCCCTGCAAGAGGAGGAGAAAAGCTTGTGTGGGCTGAGTCGACAATAGGTAATTGGATTGTAATCGCCCGCCTGGCTTCCGCGCACCATTGGGGGTGCTGAGTCTTTCAGTGAGCAATCAGTACTGTGTGGTGGGAGAGGGTAGAGATTCAATAGCAAATCCCAGGTGGAGAGCCAAGGGGGAGGAGCAGCAGATGGGCAAATTTTCTGTCTCTCCCACCCCTTTTTTCCTTACCCAAATAACTGCCTGCCTATTAGTTATTTACTAGCAGATCCAAGGTAGAGCCAAATCTTTTGTGGAAGCTGGGTGGAAGGCTAAAATGGAAGGGTAAAGAGCTAGGGTTTTGGGGAGAACTCTTCCCTGAAATTCTGTGTGTTGAAGGATGTGCTGGTGGAAAAAGAAAGTGCATCTAAGAGACAGGCAGCTGATGAGTTGTGGCCCTTTGCTCTCCAAACCCTATTGGTGACCAGACCTAGGTTTAGTGTACTCGTGGGAGACTTTCACCCTCAATCCTCCTCAGGAGCCTGTCCCAGGCAGCCCAAAGGTATCTATGGCCAGCAAACCTGGCCTGGGGGGCTCCCCAGCCAAGCAAAGGGAACACCATTCATTATCAGGAAAGGAGGTGCCTTTCACCAAGAAAAGGAAGGGGAGTGGAGCCCTGGAGGCAGAGGGCAGGGCAAAGTGGCAGGTGGCCAGCCTCATTCAGGCTGATGCAGTGCCCAGACGGGCCAGCCAGTCAGCTCGCTTGAGTTCCAAGGCCTGCAGGAAGCCTTGGACTCGCTCTTCCCGTCTGGCCGAGAGTTTGTGCAAGCGTGTCCTTCGGAGCTGGGCGTCCCCACTGGCTTGGAGCCCCTCTCGCAGCAGCTGCTCTGTCACTGTAGCCTGGTCCCTCTCCAGCTGCTGCCTCTTCCGCTCCTCTGCATACATGTCTCGGGCCTTCTGCTAGAGAAAAGTGGGGATTGGGGTGGGGAGATCATTTTTAGGAGTGGGTGAAACTGGGATGGAGGAGGTAGGGGGTGGGGCACAGGGTGGGCCAAGTGAAGTGGAACAGTGGAAAGTAGGTACCAGATTTGAAAAGGCTTGGGAGTAGGTATGCAGTGGGTGGTGCTCATGTTGTACAGGCAGGGCAGTGGCAATTCTGGGTCCATCTTGGTTTGTTTTGTGTGGAAGCGTCTGTACTTCTTAAAGTTTTTCTCATGCTCTTGGAACCAAACAAATGTGGGTCTGACTTCTGATTCCCCCATCAACTGGCTTTGTGTCTTTGGGCAAATCCTGTCCTAACCTCATTTCTTCATCTGTAAAGTGGGGGTTGTGCCTACCTTGAAGAGTGGTTTTAAGGATTAGAGATAACATATGCAAAATCCTCTCTAGGATATTAGCAGGCTCTTAGACAGAAACAGCAATTTTACAAGTTGTTATTGTCTATTCTCCGCTGCAAGAAAGGTCCTATTCTTGTCGGGGACATGTCCCTTGGGTCACTTCCTTTGATCTCCCCAGGTTTTCCTCTGAGGGTACCATCCTCCCCACTCCCTAGGCTATTTTTCAGAGCTCCAGACTTGCCTCCTGTATGAAGACCAGCCTGATCCTTCCAGCAAATGACCCCCCTATGAACATTCTGAGAAGCAGGTTCAACTCTCTTAAGCCACTTATTGCATTCTGCATAGTAGAATAAGTGTTAGTGTTCACAATCCACTCTTTCTGTTAGAAAATAAGCCCTTGGAAGTTTGAGAGCCTTCAAGCCTCTTGCAACCAGCTCTGACACCAGGTGGTGATCATACTCCCTGGCAGCAGTTATCATCCCAAGTACTAGAGGGCAGAGACTGGGCTTCTTCCTCTCCAGCACTTGGGGTGCCCTGTACATGTGAAACACTCAACTGACTGACCACGTGATCCCAGGAGAGCAGTGAGGATGCTCCTGATACAGAAGAGCGGAAAATCCCTTTGGAGCAGAACCAAGGCTTTCCTGTGCCTCACTGATCCTCTCTGTTCCTGCCAGTCTAACTGACCTGCAAAGCCTTTGCACTAGAGCTCCTCCTGCCAAACCTATTCCATGTGTGAGAAACTCTATTTTCCTATGGTATCCTATACCCTGATGACCCTTCCCACATTCTACCTTGTATTACGATAAACTTGTATACATGTTTTTGTCCTAATCAGCCTGTAAGCACCTTGACTGCTCTGTCTTCATGGTTTAAAGAATATCTTACATGTGCACAACCACTTCATCTGTTGCCTCACTTGACCCTCACAATGGAGCTGTGAGGGAGGTACTTTCTGCTGGAGACAGACATGGAGCAGGGAACTGATTTGCTGTCTCTCAGCAATAAAGGTTTACTGCATGAATAAGGATGACAAATGAGAATTCTGGACTGTCCCCCCCGGCTCCTGAATAATCCCAGGCATTCAAGAATACTTCTCTTCTGCTATTACAATGAATTACATGTGGAGCTATGAGGACTTCGGGCTTGAACAGTTGCCGTAGAGCTCTCCGTCTTGCTGGAAGGGCTTCTTCCAGGCCTTGGTCAGGAGGCTCCCTGGGTGCTACATACAGGATTTTTTTTGAGGATATGGAGATGCGCAGGACACGATCCCAGCAATCCAGGTGCTTACAGGCTGATTGTACAGCCATGCACACAGAGTGCCACGATGCAAAATAGGATGTGGTAAGGGTCATGCAGTTCAGAGGAGAAAGCAAGTGTGGCTGATGAACATCACGGAGCAGTGACCTTCATGGACAGACAGAATTTGAGCTGGCCCTTTAACCAATGAGGAGGATTCAAACAGAGGTGAGGTGTGTGGGGGGCAGGGAGAATATTCTGGCAGTGGGAGTAATGAGCAAAGATGCATGGAACCGAAGAGCCTGTTAAGGCCAGAGTAAGTCCACCTGGAGCACTGGGGTTTGAGAAGTTCCTAAGGCCTCCCTCACCTCTCTAAGGCTCTCTCTTACTCTGCAAAACCGGGATAAGAGTACCCACCTCACTGGGTTGTTTGAGGAAAAATGAGATAATGAATTTTCAGCCTACTGCTTGGCTATTAACTGTTAGCTGTTCTATCACCGCCACTTGTGGACTGGGCTAAGTAGTCTAAGTTTCTGGCAGAACAGAAAGGATGGGGGACGCTCAGCAACAGAGGGAGGAAATATGGAGCTAGCTAAAGCCACTTCATGAGGCGCAAGCTTCTTCCAGATGGCATCAGAGTGCATGCCAGCAATGGGGGCTGTAGCCCAGGCAGAGCCTGGCCCCTGTCTGCCAGGAATTAGCAGTTCATTGTTCAGATAGCAGAGTTGGGAGGGTGTCTGCTCGTCATTTTACAGAAAATGACAGCGAGGCTGAGATGGCTGAAGTTCCCTTGGCTTCTCCACTAAGATAACTTCTTGAGAGGACAATGTGAAGTGTATCTCGTGCCTGTGTATAAGCTCTACTTTCTAGGGGTGGAAAAGCTGGTGGCCTGTATCTGGATACCTGTCTATCCAGCTTCCACATGGTCTGAATCTACCCTTTCAATCTCAGAGGTGTTTCCAGTTCTTCTCAAGTACTTACCCTTGGGAAATCCAAGCTAACAGAAGTCCTAGAGGTCAACTTTTCTCTCCCTGACCATTTGTCTACTATCCTTGTATAATGACCAATCAGGGTAAGTGAGGGCGTTAATTCTTTCCTTAGAGACTTTTTGTACAGACCTTATCCAATCTTGGTGCAAGGGCTCCAAGAAGCTCACTTTGAGAAATGTGGTTCTAACCTATGAATCTAAATTCCTCCTGGGCATTATCCCTCTCTGCTCTTATTCTCTCCTTGGTAGAATCAGAGAACAAGATGTAATAGTCCCTCCAGTACTTAAATCTAAAAGTCCTCTACCACTCTGTTGGCACCTGGAGAGAGGCTGCAGGTCCTTGGCTTCAAAACATTAGCCAATGAAAAGTCCTTCCCCAAGCTGCAACCAGCCAGCCCAGGTCAGCAGCATGAGGAATGCATTTCTGAGGGCTGCTCTCAGGCAGAGAAGGGCACCTCCTACCAGAAACATGATGTTCTGAAGCACCCTCAGAGTCTCCTTGCCTGGGGAGTTGTACTGGGGACAGGATGTGCAGGGTGCTTTTCCAGAGAGGAGTCTGAGGAGAGGCCAAGAGACACACATGTGGGGAACAATATTGGCCACCATTCTTGGAAAATGAACTCTGTTCCAGCCACTGCACTCAGCACTTGACATGTGTTAGCTTACTGAATCCCTATCACAAACCTGCAAGGTAGGTATTACTGTAAACGCTACTTCTCTCATTTTACAGGTGAGGAAAATGATACTCTGAGGGGTTAAGTAACTGTACAGTCATATAGCTATGTAGGCAGTGCCAATATTCAAAGTCATGAATGTCTGAGACATTAACTCAAGCTTTTAGGCTAAGGTGGGAGGCTCGCTTGAGCCCAGCTGCTCAAGACCAGCCTGGGCAACATGGCGAGACCCCATTTCCACATGCATACATATATGCATACATACATAACTCAAGCTTTTATCCTGAGGAGAAGATAGTGACAACCTGAAGAGCAGAAGAAATATAATGTTCAATCCAGCCCGTTTAAATTGTGACAAATGTACTACAGGAAGCTTCGTGGGAACATGTGTCTTTTCCCTCTCTAATATCATCCTTGGAGATGAGGTGAACACTTTTTACTCATCTCCATCAGTGACCTCTCAAGGACCTACCATCCATGCAACTTGTGATTGAGGATCAGCTGCTCTGCACTGCCGCACACCCCCTCCCTGGCCTGATTCTCTATTTGTCCCTGCCTCTTTGCTGACAAGTCCTACTGCATCATAGTCAAGATCTCCCTTTGCCAGCCTTTAAGACTGGCTAGGTGACCACCTGGAGACTGTCATGGTCCATTCAGATACCAAGGTCTGGCTCCCCACAACTTGTAGCCAAGTCCCTGCTTCCCTTACGATCCACCCGCTGCCTTCCTCTCAGTAAGCTACTCTAGGTCCAGAGCCTAGCCCCTTGCCCTGGCTTCCTGCAGAGAATAGGGACACATTGGGCAGGGCCTAGAGACAGAGCAGCTCAGATTTTAAAATGGGAATTTGGGTGATGGGGCAAGAGCACAGACATACAGGTAGGAAACTGGAGGGCATGGAACAGGTAACTGGGAAGAGTCCAGTTTGGCCATGATACAGGGTCTGTAAAAGGGAGACATGAGAAAAGCCTGGAAAGACCTCTCTGGTCTGAGAACAAACTGGTGAGGATGCTGTTAGTCTGGATTCTCCCCTTAGTGCATCTGCCAAGGTGATATGATTTCTAGAAACAGAGCTTTGAAGCTTCTGGGGTAGAGAAAGCCTGGCCAGGACCTCCAAGGGCTCCTGCTGGAGAAGGCTTCAAGATAATCAGTATCTCTATTATAACTTTGGATTCCTTGCTCTAAAAACAGAGGCAATAATAATAGTATCTGCCTTAAAGCAGTTCACAGAATTTACTGAAAGGATGCCTGACATGTGGTAAGAACTCAATACTGGAAGGATGCCTGACATGTGGTAAGAACTCAATAAAAGTTTGCAAATATAGGCCGGGCGCAGCGGCTCATGCCTGTAATCCTAGCACTTTCGGAGGCCAAGGTGGGTGGATCACCTGAGGTCAGGATTTTGAGACCAGCCTGGCCAACATGGTGAAACCCTGTCTCTACTAAAAATACAAAAATTAGTTGTGCGTGGTGGCACGTGCCTGTAGTCCCAGCTACATGGGAGGCTGAGGCAGGAGAATTGCTTGAATCCGGGAGGCAGAGGTTGCAGTGAGCCGAGATCATGCCACTGTTCTCCAGCGACAGAGTGAGATTCCGTCTCAAAAAAAAAAAAAAAAAAAAAAAAGTTTGCAAATATGATCCATAGGTAAAAATGGAACACTTAATAGTTGACCTCAAACACCTTCCACCCCATCCCAGGAAACAGCAGAACTATACAACCAATTGCTATGGCCACAACCTAAGTGTCTTGGTTCCTAATAACATTATTATTTGTACTTATTTGTTTTAGCCTACAAGAAACAAGAGTTTCAGGCCGGTCGCGGTGGTTCACGCCTGTAATCCCAGCACTTTGGGAGGCCGAGGCGGGCAGATCACCTGAGGTCGGGGGTTTGAGACCAGCCTGACCAACATGGAGAAACCCCATCTCTACTAAAAATATAAAATTAGCCAGATGTGGTGGCACATGCCTGTAATCCCAGCCACTTGGGAGGCTGAGGCAGGAGAATCGCTTGAACCTGGGAGGCGGAGGTTGCAGTGAGCCGAGATCACGCCATTGCACTCCAGCCTGGGCAACAAGAGCGAAACTCCATTTCAAAAAAAAAGAAACAAGAGTTTCATAATTACATTACCAACATTGCCACTAACAATAAACCTCTTAAGTAATGTTTAATTTTGTGTTGCAGTTTGTATTATCCTGAAAAGAAATTCCACTAAAGATGAATAGCAGAGAACTGTGTTCAGGTAAGCTGAATTAATTCCTTTCTCTGGGGAGTTATATTATCACCTTGATATAGCTAGTTTCACTTGTTTCTATTTCAACATTTGTTTTTATCCCGTCTTCACTCCTCCCCTTCCCTACTGCCACCACCCTACCTCGAGGCGCATCCTCTCTCACCTGGACTACTGCAGGAGTTCTGTCTCTTGGCTTTAACTCCAGCCCGTTGAAAATTCTGAATGATTTTTACAAAATGCAACTCAGATCCCGTCATCCCCTGATTAAAGTCCTTCAGCTTTGTTACCATGACCTACAAGGCTCTATATGAGCCAAGGTCTGACTCTAGCCTCATTTCCTGCCCTTCTCCCTTGGCACATTGACCTCTTTTTTGTTCTTCCAAGACCCAAACTTTAACCTCAGTCTCTTTGCATTCTCTTCATTACTTTCTAGCACATCACTCTGTATTCTTCACTGCCTTATTACAATCGGAACTTATATATTTGTTTACTTGTTTATTTCTGTCTCCTCAAGAATACAAGTTCCACAAAGGTAGAGATCTTGTCCCTCTGGCTACCTGTTGACTCTCCTGTGCCTAATACAGTGCCTGATTCATACTACTCAATAAATACTTATGGAATGAATGAAACTTGAGTTAACTCCTCTGACAACCATATGCAAAGTATCTGAGAAACGTGAAATTACTATAAAAGACTTCTGAGCAGCCCAATTAGAGGTAAAAACACAAAAACTCATGCACCAAGCTCCTTTGGGCTTCATGCAGAGCCAGTTCACTCTCATTTTATATACATAATTCCAACAAGCTTGACTATCTGGTTTCCTTGTCTATAGCTGATTTAAAACAGTAAATACTATGGAAGAGGAGAGATACTGTCAAAATTAACTGTTGACAGCAGTAGGAAATGAAAGAGGGAGGACACAGAAAAATATACATGAAACCTCAAACCCAGGTATTCTGGGACCATCTAACTTAGAGCAAACAGCCCTACCCCTCAAGGATATTGTTGTACAATGAAGTGTTTAAAGATGATAATTACTATTATCATAATCATTAGAATATGACGGCCAGGCATGGTGGCTCATGTCTATAATCCTAGCACCTGGGGAGGCCGAAGCAGGAGGATCACTTGAGCTTAAGAGTTCAAGACCAGCCTGGGCAACATAGTGAGGACTTATCTCTACAAAAAATAACAAAAATCAGCCAGGCATGGTGGTGTGTGCCCATAGTCCTAGCTACTTGGGAGGCTGAAGTAAGCCAAAGTTGCACAACTGCACTCCAGCCTGGGCAACAGAGTGAGACCCTGCTAAAAAAAAAAAAAAACAAAAAATAGCACGTGATTATCCTAATCATCATCATTATTAGCAAGTGCCTGGTATATAGATTTCAATGAATTATGTACAAGATACATTTTAGAAATTTTTCCATCAAAAAAGGGTAAAGTTTTAGTTTTTAGAGGGAGCTTTGGTCATATGGAAAAATCTGATATTCATTCCCCACTGACAGTGGATAATTGTGCCTTTGCTGTTTTTCTTTTCACTAATTCTAAACTTCTTTTAATTTCCTCATATTCTGAGACTAAGTAATTAAATACATGATCAAGTCTTTGTGATTTGATTTACTTATAGCAGGAGTTATGGACTTGGGATTCAGGGGCAGATTTCAGCAGTTATGTGAACCCCCTTAAAGTATTCTATGTGTGGCCGGGCTTGGTGGCTCATGCCTGTAATCCCATCACTTTGGGAAGCCAAGGCGGGCGGATCACCTGAGGTAAAGAGTTCAAGACCAGCCTGACCAACATGGAGAAACCCCATCTCTATTAAAAATACAAAATTAGTTGGGATTGGTGGCGCATGCCTGTAATCCCAGCTACTCGGGAGGGTGAGGCAGGAGAATCACTTGAACCCGGGAGGCGGAGGTTTCGGTGAGCCGAGATTGCGCCATTGCACTCCAGCCTGGGCCGCAAGAGCGAAACTCCGTCTCAAAAAAAAAAAAAAAAAAAGTATTCTATGTGTTTCCATGATAAGTTTACAATTCTATGCAAAATTCCACATTTGAGTGATCTGCGATTTTTCTAGGGAGATGGTCTGTGGCTTTCATTAGATTATTCAAAGGGACCCCAATACCAAGGAGATTAAGAATCCCTGACTCACATCATTATTTCCTCCTGGCATTATCTCTCCAGACTGAAGAAGCAGCACCAGCTTTGATTTTAAAATTCAGGCTCTTCACGCCTGTAATCCCAGCACTTTGGGAGGCCAAGGTGGGCGGATCACCTGAGGTCAGGAGTTCAAGACCAGCCTGGCCAACATGGTGAAACACTGTCTCTACTGAAAATACAAAAATTAGCCAGGCATGGTGGCGTGTGCCTGTAATCCCAGCTAGTTGGGAGGCTGAGACAGGAGAATCGTTCAAACCCAGGAGGGGGAGGTTGCAGTGAGCCCAGATCGCACCACTGCACTCCGGCCTGGGCAACAAGAGCAAAACCCCATCTCAAAATAAATAAATAAATAAAGATAAAATTCAGGTTCCTTGGGACAGTTACTTAAGTCTCTCTGCCCCTCTGGTTCCATATATGAAAAATGAGGACACCAAAACTGCTGGGTTGTTAGGTTAAATAAGAAAACTTACATGAAATCACCTAAGTGCCCTCGTAGATCCTCATATGTTAGCTACCACTACCATTATTATAAAGAGACCTAATCATATACAGGTGACTGCTAATAAAACCTGTTTCAAGATTTGGTGATGAAAACTGAAAGTCAAACTTCAAGTCTTGACACAACATAGGTTTACACAATGGAAAGACAATGCTATTTAGTTCTTAATCCCTACTGCTACGATCTTTTATTAGGGTAATACTTTAAAGGAATAATGGCCAGTTTCTCTGAGAAGCCTTTTCCTCCTGAGTCTTTAAAAGATAAAAGACCTGTAGCTCAAATCCTATTCCTACCTCTTACTGATTATGTGTCCTTAACTAAATCATTTCTGTTTGCTTACTTACATAAGGGAGGGGCTAATAAGACTTCCCTCATTGGGTTCTTGGGAACATTAAATGAGTTGCAGCATGTAAAATGTTCGCAGTGCCTGACAAGTAGTAGATACTCAGTAGGTGGTAGCTACTATCATCATTATCATCATCTTATTAGGAAGTGCCTGGTATATAGTAAGGTGGTTGTCAATCAATGCTAATCTTTTCTTCCATCCCATCCCATCTGGCCAGCCCTGAACTCTTTCTTACCTGAAGCACGCTATGGTTCATCTGGAACTGCAGGATGGCCTCGAAGAGGTTCCAAAATGTATACTCTGGCCACAGAACGGGTTGGAACACCAGGCAGGAGTGAGAGGTCTGGGAAAGGTAGGGAGGAGAGTATGATTTAGTAACATGTTGCTGGGCCGCATCCCTGGTCAGTCCTCCAGGGAAAAAGCAGGCTAAGCAGGACCCAGAAGCCCAGAGATGACAATGTTACAGGCATCCTGAGCTGTAGCTGCAGCTGCTGCTGGCCCTGATTCATTCACTAGTAGGGGGAGGCGTCACTTGAGGCAGCCAGATCACCTGCCTGTGGTAAAGCAGAACTAAAACGAGACTAGATCAACATTTCCACCAGGATTTTTCTAAGAGCCAATTTTAGGACTATGAAATAACATCTGGATTATGTTATTGGCTCTTGGCCCTTAGAGGGCATCTGGAAGACATACTGTCTGATAAAGGTCACCAATGAACAAATGGTAGCTGCCATTGTTATTTTTAAGTACCAGCAGCAGGGCACAGTGGTTGAGAGCATGAGCTCTGGAGCCAGACTGCCTGGCTTTGAATTTTGGCTCCAACCATTTACCATTTATTTGAGCAGGGGTAATTTCACCTGGCCTGAGATTCCTCAAATGTAAAACTGGATAATAGGAATACCTAATTTTCAGGGTACTGTTTAGATTAAATGAGATAACATATGCATAGCAAAGAGCCAGGTGTACTTTAATAATAATCACTGATGAAGAATCCCCTTTGGAACACTCTTGACAGCCACTGCCTGATATCTCTAGTGGTGAGGAATTCAGTACCTCATGGGGGATAACTAGTTGTCCGATAGCCTGTTTGGCTTTTTATGCTAAACCAATGTCACCTTCCCTACAACTTCTACTAAGGTCCCAGGTATTTTTTCTGGAACAAGTTTGTTTCTTCTTCAAAGTGACATTCTTTCAAGTATTTCAAGGCTAGATTAGAGCTGCCTGTTATCAGTTCCCAAAGTTGTAATGACTTGTTCAGAGTTTGTCTTTGCTAGCAAACTATAAGTTTCAAGACAGTAGGGATCATTTCTGACTCACTCACTGCCATATTTCCAGCATAAAGAAGGAACTCAACACTTTTTTCCAAGGGAATACATTGTCACTTATTTCCCTTTTGCAGACCACTATCCTTTCCTCATTTTTTGTAAGACATGAGATTCCTTGCTTTCCAGTTTGGCCTCTTCCAGTAAGTCCTCAAGTTTGTCAATGTAACTAATTCTGTACACTGAGTAACTGACTCTGTAGTCTCTTAAAATTCAGCCCATCAGTAAACTTCCCAAACGTGATCTGAGCAGCACAGTGGGCCACAGAACCAATAGGTGCACATTGTACTTATTTCTTTTCTTTTTTTTTTTTTTTTTTTGCGACAGAGTCTCACTCTGTTGCCCAGGCTGGAGTGCAGTGGCACGATCTCGCCTCACTGCAACCTCTGCCTCCTAGGTTCAAGTGATTCTCCCACCTCATTCACCTAAGTAGCTGGGACTACAGGCACCTGCCACCATGCCAGGCTAATTTCTGTATTTTTAGTAGAGACAGGGGTTCACCATGTTGGCTGGACTGGTCTCAAACTCCTGACCTCAAGTGATCTGCCTGCCTCAGCCTCCCAAAGTGCTAGGATTACAGGCGTGAGCCACCACGCCCTGCGTTAGCTCACTTTTAAGATTGTGGTCCATTAAAATTTCTGGAGCTTTATCATGTGAGCTGCTTCCAAATGGAGTCTCTCCCAGAACAAGGACTTCCCCTAGTTATGTGCTCTCCAGGGACCAAGTTAACAGGGGATAGAGACTTGAGTGTTTGCATATTGTTTACCATGCTTGCATAGGTATGGCCCTTTATCCTGAAGGGGAGGGACTAGTAACTGCAAGGCAAGCTTCCAACCCAGAGGGGCTAGGGTCCCTGGCAGGTTACCAAGGCAAGAGCTTACGCTCAGGGATGCAAGACAGAAGTCCCATTCCTTGAAAAGCGGCACAATGAAGTTTTCACTATAGTTGGATTCGCAAAGCCAGCGACAGATGAGGAATGGACATCAAATATTATGAGACACAGCCTAGAGATGCTTCTCCAGATTTTAGCTTTCCCCAGAAGTACTCTGGCCCCAGCCTGTTTGGGAGTGGGGATGGACCACTCTGATCCATTCTGTGGATACAGTTGGTTTCCCCATGACACAAACATAATAGTACTTGGAAATGACCTACCTGCCATAGCAAGAAGTCACTCAGCCGCACTTCTCCAGAAGTCCGTATCAAGATGTCAGGATGAGGAGAGCGGTTGGTATAGAGGCACTTATCAAGCAGAGACTCAGAGATATCACTAAGATGAGCAAGAAGAGACAAAGAGAGGCACACATCCTGTAGTATTCTCTTTCTGTAGTGTTCTCATGGTGAACTTCCATATATAGGCTTCTCAGTTTATACAATACCATCAAATACACTAGCCAATACTACACAGAAGGCCCTCAAAAAATGTTTGCTAAATTAATGAATGAATTTAAATCTTCACAACTACATAAGGTATTTCTTTTTTTTTTTTTTTTTTAGAGAATACAATGTAAAATTCTTTTCTCTTTTTTATTTTTTGCCTTTTTTGACATGTTCTGATACATAAGGTATTTATTTATTTATTTATTTATTTGAGATAGAGTCTCACACTGTTCCCCAGGCTGGAGTGCAGTGGCACGATCTCGGCTCACTGCAAACTCTGCCTCCCAGGTTCATGCCATTCTGCCTCAGCCTCCCGAGTAGCTGGGACTACAGGTGCCCGCCACCACACCCTGCTAATTTGTTTTTTTTTTTTTTTGTATTTTTAGTAGAGACAGGGTTTCACCATGTTAGCCAGGATGGACTCGATCTCCTGACCTCGTGATCCGCCCCCCCCTCGGCCTCTGAAAGTGCTGGGATTACAGGCATGAGCCACCATGCTCAGCAGATACATAAGGTATTTCTATCCTCATTTTATAGATAAGGAAACTGAGGCTCAAAGATGAATAATTTGCTGAAAGTCATTTAGCCTCAGGCCTAAAACCAGATGCACCCACAAAAATATCTGTTGTCTTTTGCTAAAAACATCTTGTTTTTTAAAATACATACATACATCCTATGGCCCAGTATTTGATGAAATACTATGCAACTGCATTCTAAAAATAAAGATAAATCTAAATGCACTGATTTGGAAAGATGTCCAAAATCTAATGTTAAATGTAAAAGGCAAGTTTCAGAGAATATATAGTATAAAACATACACACACATTCAAACATTCACACGTGCATATAAGTATACATAAAGAACAAAGTCTAAAAAGATACATCATACTATTAACAGTGGATTGGATAAGAAGTAAGGAAGAAAAGACTATTTCTTTTTACTTTATGTACTTCTGTTATTGTTTGAATTTATGTAAATAACTTTTTTTGGCCAGGCGTGGTGACTCATGCCTGTAATCCCAGTACTTTGGGAGGCTGAGGCAGGCAGATCACCTGCGATCAGGAGTTTGAGACCAGCCTGGCCAACAAGGTGAAACCCCATCTCTACCAAAAGTACAAAAATTAGCTGGGTGTGGTGCCGCATGCCTGTAGTCCCAGCTACTTGGGAGGCTGAAGCAGGAGAATCGCTTGAACCCAGGAGGTGGAGGTTACAGTAAGCCCAGATTATGCCACTGAACTCCAGCCTGAGTGACAGAGCGAGGCTCTGTCTCAAAACAAAAAAAAACAGAAAACATATTTTATTTTTTTTCCAGACAGGGTCTCCCTCTGTTGCCCAGACTGGAGTGCAGTGGTGTGATCTCAGCTCACTGCAACCTCCACCTTCCATGCTCAAGCAATCCTCCTACCTCAGCTTCCCAAGTAGCTAGGACCACAGGTGTGCAACACCATGCTCAGCTAATTTATTTTTAAAATCTTATTTAAGTCATATGGATCCTGAAACATTGCAAAAATTCCACATTACACCGGATTTTAAATAAACAGCAATATGATCAGTTCTCCTGTGTTTGATAAGAGCTACTTTCCCAAGCACAGAGATGGTCAGAAAGGAGATAGAATTGAAGAAAACTGGTGAGTGGAAGCATTTATCTTAAGTAAAACTATCCTGTCCACAGAAAGAGGGTATTTGCATGGCTGGTGTCTGTTGGCTCCAAGAATGCTGTTTACCTGTCCTACCAACTACCCAGAAGCAGAATTCAGAATGTCCAGGTAGTTAGAGTTACATCTTGGAAAGGGTCCAGAAGACAAAAATTTCTTGGTGGGAACATGTTTCTGGACGCATGGTCAGGAAAGCAGAAAGATCTGGGCTGAGTGTTCAAAACCAGACTCTACACTTACTAGTTGTGTGTCTTTAGGCAAGTTATTCATCTTTTTTTTGGAGATGGAGTCTTGCGCTGTCACCCAGGCTGGAGTGCAGTGGCGCAATCTTGGCTCCCGCAACCTCCACCTCTCGGGTTCAAGTGATTCTCTTGCCTCAGCCTCCCAAGTAGCTGGGACTACAGGCAGCCACCACCACACCCGGCTAATTTTTGTACTTTGAGTAAAGACGGGGTTTTACCATGTTGGCCAGGCTGGTCTTGAATTCCTGAGCTCAAGTGATCTGCCTGCCTCGGCCTCCCAAAGTGCTGGGATTACAGGTGTGAGCCACTGCACCCAGCCAAGTTGCTCATCTCTCTCAGTCCTTTAAGGCAAACCACAGAGAGAGCTTTCTTTTCCGTATCATCATCACAGAGGAAACAGTATTCACTTATAATTGAGCAATAAGAAGGGCTCTGGTTCAGATTTCTCTGGTAATCTGACAATCTTGTCTTGGCAGCATGGTCTTAATTCTCCAAGTTATGTGAGACTCTGTACAATCCATATAATTTCTCATTCTCTTATCTTTAAAATGGGCCCATTTGCTCTTTCCCTAAGCGGCCTGAGGTAATCTGTGAAAATGGTTCACTATTCACTTAACCCGGAGAACCTCATGATATCATGCAAATCAAGAGGTTCCAATCTTCGTGTTTACTTTAAGAATATTCGTGAAACTGCCCAGGCCATCAAGGGTATGCATATACGAAAAGCCATGAAGTACCTGAAAGATGTCACTTTACAGAAACAGTGCGTACCATTCCGACGTTACAATGGTGGAGCTGGCAGGTGTGCCCAGGCCAAGCAGTGGGGCTGGACACAAGGTCAGTGGCCCAAAAAGAGTGCTGAATTTTTGCTGCACATGCTTAAAAATGCAGAGAGTAATGCTGAACTTAAGGGTTTAAATGTAGATTCTCTGGTCATTGAGCATATCCAAGTGAACAAAGCACCTAAGATGTGCCGCTGGACCTACAGAGCTCATGGTTGGATTAACCCATCCATGAGCTCTCCCTGCCACATTGAGATGATCCTTACTGAAAAGGAACAGATTGTTCCTAAACCAGAAGAGGAGGTTGCCCAGAAGAAAATGATATCCCAAAGAAACTGAAGAAACAAAAACTTATGGCACAGGAGTAAATTCAGCATTAAAATAAATGTAATTAAAAGGGAAAAAAAAAAACAGGGCCCATTTGTCCTATCCACCTTATAGGTTATCATGAGGGTCAAATCAAATGAAATAATAGATTTGAGTGCACTTTGGGAACTATAAAGTGCTATATAAAGAATAATAATAAAAAATTATTTTCAGTCCCACCAACTTGCAGTGTGACTTCAGAGACTCAGTCTCTCTGAGTTTACAATTTATCTGCAAAGAGTTTCTTCTACCTACTTTAGGCAGTAGGTATGCAGTAAGAATTCTGCAGTGGGCAGAATTCTTAATGGAAAAAGCTGATATTGTGCCAGTGCATTCCAGCCTGAGTGATACAGCAGACTGTGTCTCAAAAAAACAAAGGGGTTGGCCAGGCGCGGTGGCTCACGCCTGTAATCCCAGCACTTTGGGAGGCCGAGGCGGGCAGATCATGAGGTCAGGAGGTCGAGACCATCCTGGCTAACACGATGAAACCCTGTCTCTACTAAAAATACAAAAAATTAGCCGGGCGTGGTGGTGGGCGCCTGTAGTCCCAGCTACTCGGGAGGCTGAGGCAGGAGAATGGCGTGAACCCGGGAGGCGGAGCTTGTAGTGAGCCGAGATTGCACCACTGCACTCCAGCCTGGGTGACAGAGCAAGACTCCATCTCAAAAACAAAAAAAAAGGGGTTAACTCTAGGGTGGAAAGATGAAACTGACAAAATCAAAATGGAACATCTGTAGACTTTGGCCAACAAAAATCCATCACTAAATGGAATGGTGAGTTAAAGCTGTCTACGTGAAGACTTTTCGGAAATGATTTACATTAAATAACGGTAAAATATCAGTTTTTACCTATGAGAATAGGTTTATTTTTTTGTTTTATTTTTTGAGACAGGATCTGGCTGTTACCCAGACTGGAGTGCAGTGATGTGATCTTGGCTCACTGCAGCCTCAGCCTCCTGGGCTCAAGCCATCCTTCCACCTCAGCCTCCCAAGTAGCTGTGACTATAGGTGCATGCCACCACACTCAGGTAATTTTTGTACTTTTAGAGACGAGATTTTACCATTTTGCCCAGGCTGGTCTCGAACTTATGAGCTCAAGCGATCCAACCTGCCTCAGCCACCTAAAGTGCTGGATTACAGGTATGAGCCACTGCACCTGGTCAGAACAGTTTACATTTAAAAAATCTTGGCAAGAATAAGGTGAAATGAGCACTTTCAAACTCAGATCCTGAGGAAACAATAAAAAATGCAGGCAAGTTCAGTCAAAGATTTAATTGTGGCATTATTTGTAATAATGAAATATTAAACTGCCTATATACCCAACAAATAGAAGACTGGTTAAAGAAATTAACACAAGATATATTTTACAGCCATTATAAATAATGATATGAAGAATTATTAAAAACACGGGTCATGAAAAGTACTCGTAACATTGAATGATAAAAGCATGATTCAGAGTGTAAACTATTCATTATGTGATTTCATGTGTTATAAATATTTATGTCAAAAGTGAGTGTGTGTGTGTGTGTGTGTGTGTGTGTGTTTCAGACAGGGTTTCACTCTGTTGTTCAGGCTAGAGAGCAATGGCGCAACCATAGCTCATTGCAGCCTCGACCTGCTAGGCTCAAGTAATCCTCCTCACTCAGCCTCCCAAGTAGCTACAGGTGTGTGCCAGCACACCCAGCTAACTGTTTTATTTTTGTAGAGACAGGGTCTTGCCGTGTTGCCAGGGCTGGTCTCAAACTCCAGGGCTCAAGCGATTTTCCTGCCTCAGCCTCCCAAAGTCCTGGGATTACAGGCATAAGTCACCATGTCCATCTAATTTTTTTCTTTTTTACTGCCTTATTGTTCATTTCAGCTTTGCTATGAGGAAGTCAATATGCCACAGTGAATGAGAACACAGGCTCTGAAGCCAGGTTGAAATCTTGGCCCCCAGGTTTGCCAACTATGTGAACTTGCACAAGTTACTTTTCCTCTCCATGTCTCAGTATTCTCATCTTTAAAATGGGCATAAAAACAGTATCTACCTTATAGGGTCTAAGGATAAATGTATGTGGAATACTTAATGCTTGGAACAGAGTAAATGCTCAGTAAGTGTTAGCAATTACTATTAACACTATTGTTTTATAAGAAAGACAGAGGCCTACAGGGAATCAAGTAGCCCGTTCAAGGTAACACGGTGGAATAGAATTTATTAACTATCCTTTGGTCTCAATCTACTTCCTTCTTCTATAATTTCCAGACTCACAAAACAATCTATTAATTTAACTGCTAAAAAAATACATATATACCTCGGTCAGGTGCCGTGGTTCAAACCTGTAATCCCAGCACTTTGGGAGGCCAAGGCAGGAGGATCACTTGAGCCCAGGAGTTTGAGACCAGCCTGGACAACATGGCAAGACCCTGTCTCTACAAAGTCAAAAAATTAGCCAGATGTGGTAGCAGTATCTGTGGTCCCAGATACTCAGGAAGCTGAGGTGGAAGGATCTCTTGAGCCCAGGAGGTCTAGGCTGCAGTGAGCCATGTTCATACCACTGCACTTCAGCCTCAGCAACAGAGTGAAACCCTGTCTCAAAAACAAAACGAAACAGGCCAGGTGCTATGGCTCACACCTATAATCCCAGGACTTTGGGAGGCCAAGGTGGGCAGATCACTTGAGGTCAGGAGTTCGAGATCAGCCTGGTCAACATGGTGAAATCCCATCTCTACTAAATATACAAAAAATAGCCGGGTGTGATCCCAGCACTTTGGGAGGCCGAGGCAGGCAGATCACGAGGTCAGGAGATCGAGACCATCCTGGCTAACATGGTGAAACCCGTCTCTACTAAAAATATAAAAAAATTAGCCAGGCGGGGTGGCAGGCGCCTGTAGTCCCAGTTACTCAGGAGGCTGAGGCAGGAGAATGGCGTGAACCCGGGAGGCAGAGGTTGTAGTGAGCTGAGATTGTGCCACTGCACTCCAGCCTGGGCGACAGAGCGAGACTCTGTCTCAAAAAAAAAAAAAAAGAAAAAAAAATAGCCGGGTGTGGTGGTGTGCACCTATAATCCTGGCTACTCAGGAGGCTGAAGCACGAAAACTGCTTGAACCTATAAGGTGGAGGTTGCAGTGAGTTGAGAGCGTGCCACTGCACTTCACCCTGGGCAACAGAGCAAGACTCCATCTCAGAAAAACAAAAAAACAAAAATACACACACACACACACACACACACACACACACACACACACACACACATCTACATACATACCCTGGAAGAAAGAAAAATGAGGAGTTGGATGGTGATAGTGAGAAATCAGGAAAATTCCAGCTATTAGAAGCATAGGACCTAATTGTAATTAACGCACTGACTTTGTTATAAATGCAGGTTTGTCTAAATTCGAATAATATAAAGTGTAACGCCTCAGGCCCTGATTAGCCCAGTCTGAGCACACCAAGCTTCAGGAGTTGGTGGGTTGAGACATTGGCCTCCTGACCCTGGTGATACTGCCCAACCCACACCCTGTCTGCATAACTAACCCCACAGAGGCAAGTTACTAAACCATGCAGGACAGAGAAGGATATGGAAAAACTTGCTGGACAAGAAGCAGGAGATAAGGTAGTGGTTACTGTAATGTGGTATGAGGGTAAAGCATGCTGGACTAGGAGTCAAGATCAGAGTCCTAGGCATAATGCATATTAGATCTGCTTGTCAAATGGCTTTCTTTCATTCTAGTGTCAACCCTTGTGCCTTAATATTTATTTCATACATACAAGAATATTTGAAACATATTCATTATAAAGCACAAAAATATAATGAACTACGAAAGTACCTCCAAACTAAGAATTTTATTGAAAACATGCTTCTATTTCTATACCCCTTTTCTGTCTCATCTTCCTGCCTGCTCTCTACCTCTGCTAACTCCACCAGTCTCTTAATTGTTTTAACAACAGCTGATTTTCACTCTACATCTTAATTGACCTCTCTACAGCATTTGACACCATTGTTTCCATGGGTGCCCTACCCCTTCCCAACTTGCACCAACAAACTCCCTCTTTTCTTGGCTTATGTAATGCTGGCTGCCCTGGTTTTCTTCCTGCTTTTCTGTGTTTTTGCTTATAAAGCTTATTCTCCTCTACCCAGCCAGTAAAGGGTAGAGTTCCTCAAAAATGCCATCTTAGGCTCTTTCTTCTTCTCACTCTACACTCCTTAACAGGCAGGGCTGAGTGGCTCACACCTGTAATCTCAGCATTTTGGGAGGCCAGGGCAAGAAGACCACTTGAGGCCAGGAGTTCAAGACCATCCTGGGCAACAAAGTCAGACCCTGTTTTTACAAAAAATAAATATAAAAAGTTAGCTGGGTAGGTGGTGCACGTCTGTAGTACTGGGTACTTGAGAGGCTCCTTTGAGACCAGGAGTTCCAAGCTTCAGTGAGCTTTGATTGCCCCACTGCACTCCAGCCCAGGAGACAGTGTGAGACCATCTCTAAATAGATAAATACACAGATAGACAGACAGACTCTCCTTAGCTTTCTCATCCCCTCTTTGCTCAAGTTAACCTATACACAGATGGCTTCCATACTGGCGACAGAGATAAACCCTGTCTGAACTGTTGACCTGACATCTCTGTCTGACTGTTGACCTGACTATACCAATCCCTCGCTGAACTGTTGACCTGACATCTCTGTTCAACATGTACAGGATATCCAAAACCAAACTGCTGACCCTTTTCAACTGGATTTTCTCTCAGGGTTACCTAGCATGGTGAAGGGCACCACTATCCACTGTAACGTAAGTCTAAAACCGCCGGGCGCGGTGGCTCACGCCTGTAATCCCAGCACTTTGGGAGGCCGAGGTGGGCGGATTACCTGAGGTGGGGAGTTTGAGACCAGCCTGGCCAACATAGTGAAACCCCGTCTCTACTAAAAATACAAAAATTAGCTGGGCATGGTGGCATGCCCCTGTAATCCCAGCTACTCAGGAGGCTGAGGCAGAAGAATCGCTTGAGCCCAGGAGGCGGAGGTTGCAGTGAGCCGAGATTGTACCATTGCATTCCAGCCTGGGCAAGAGTGAGACTCTGTCTCCAAAAAAAGAATTAGCTGAGCATGGTGGCACACACCTGTAGTCCCAGCTACTTGGAAGGCTGAAGTGGGAGGACTGCTTGGGCCCGGGAGGCACAGACTACAGTGGGCCGAGATCACACCACTGCACGCCAGCCTGGGCGATAGAGTGAGTCCCTGTCTCAAAATAAAAATAAAAATGGGCCAGGAGTGATGGCTCATGCCTGGAATCTCAGCACTTTGGGAGGCTGAGGCAGACAGATCACTTGAGGTTGGGAGTTCAAGACCAGCCTCGCCAACATGGTGAAACCCCGTCTCTACTAAAAAATACAAAAAATTAGCTGGGCACGGTGGTGGGCGCCTGTAATCCCAGCTACTTGGGAAGCTGAGGTGGAAGAATTGCTGGAACCTGGGAAGCGGAGGTTGCAGTGAGCCAAGATCTCGCCATTGCACTCCAGCCTGGAGACAGAGCGAGACTCCATCTCAAAAAAATAAATAAAATAAAAAATAAAAATAAATAAATAAAAATAAAATATTTGTTGAATGAATGAACTATGTGACAGAGAAATGTCACCCAGCTGTTAGGAAGGAGAGGCATTCATAAAATAGCCTCAAAAACTGTCTCCTCTCCTTTTTATCTAATTCTATTCTCACCAAGTAACTTTTTGATTTTTAATCTAGTTTCCTAGGTCAATCGAATCGGGAAGGGAACCAGAAAAATTCCTGCTTCCCAAGATCCCACATAATAGAGGTAAAGGATAAGAACCCTAAAATCAAACAGCTTTAGATATGAGTCCCAGCTCTGGCACTTACTAGTAGAGTGACCCTGGGCAAGTCACTTCAATGCTGAACTCAGTTTTCTCATCTACACAATGGACAACAGCCTTGAATCTCTCACACATAAGGTTAATGACTTAATGAAATACAGAACACAACACATCTCCTGGGTTATTTTTTGCTACTATTATTTTACTATTGCTGTTAGTTTACAAATATATTAAAAGTTACATAAATAATAACATGAGAGGGACCAAATATTTAAATGGCTTCAAAAGTCTCTCCACCTTTAATAATTAGGATTCCACTATGTTGACAATAATTAATAATTTTCTTTTTGAAAAATCCCTGAATCGGCTGGGCATGGTGACTCACGCCTGTAATCCCAGCACTTTGGGAGGCTGAGGCAGGCAGATCACGACGTCAGGAGTTCGAGACTAGCCTGGCCAATATGGTGAAACCTGTCTCGACTGAAAATACAAAAATTAGCTGGGCATGGTGGCATGCACCTGTAGTCCCAGCTGCTTGGGAGGCTGAGGCGGAAGAATTGCTTGAACCTGGGAGGTGGAGGTTGCAACTCCAGCCTGGGCAACAGAGTGAGACTTTGCCTCACCAAAAAAAAAAAAAAAAAAGAAAAGAAAAACACCTGAATCTTGTGTGGAACTAGAACATGAGAGACCTAAAGAACTCTAGCCCCAACAAACTGCATTCATGAAAAGTCATTCTTGGAAAAACACTACCAAAGGGCCAGGAGGGTATAATTTGTAAAGGAATAATAACATGGCTTTGTCATCTGCTTTGCTCTTTCTCTGGGGTTTCTTGGTGTGTGGTGAACTCTAGTTCTGAAGCAGGTTGTAATAAGCCAATCCTAATCTCTAAATTTGGGAGATCCCCTTAAATCTTTCCACATGCTCCCCTAATTAGACCTCTGGCCAAGTACATGGCACAGAGGGGCTTTATGGTTTGGTACAGGCCTGCTTTTTTGTTGTTGTTGTTGAAAAGAGGGAGTTTTGCCATGTTGGCCAGGCTGGTCTTGAACTCCTGGCCTGCCTCAAGTGGACTGCCCACCTCGGCCTCCTAATGTGCTAGGATTACAGGCGTGAGCTGCCATGCTGGCCCAGGCCTGTTTTCCTTAACAATTACCATGCAAAACAACTCGGGATACCTGGGATCCAACAGGCCTTGCTCCACCCCCCAGGCCATCTCTCTCACAGCATTGCTGATCTCATGACGGGATGTGTATGCAAAACAGACATTCAGGAAACACCTGAGGAGGGAAGAAGAGAATAATTTACCAAAGGGGGACAGGGACTGATGATTGAAGTCACTGATTACAGAGAAGCCCTTCCAGCCTTTCCCTAGAAAAACAAATACACATCAAATGTTAATTGTGGATACCTCTGAAAGGTGAAATTATGAGTTTTTTGTGGTTTCCAAGTTTTCTTGGAATAAACATGTAACTAGTTTTATAATAAGACAAATACTAAATGGCTCCTTTTTTTTTTGAGACAGAGTTTTGCTCTTGTCGCCCAGGCTGAAGTGCAATGGCGTGATCTCGACTCACTGCAACCTCTGCCTCCTGGGTTCAAGCGATTCTTCTGCCTCAGCCTCCCGAGTAGCTGGGATTACAGGTGCACACCACCACACCTGGCTAATTTTTGTATTTTTAGTAGAGATGGGGTTTCACCATGTTGGCCAGGCTAGTCTTGAACTCCTGACTTCAGGTGATCCACCTGCCTAGGATGACAGGCGTGAGCCACTGTGCCCAGCCACCAAATAGCTCCTATTGCCGTCCTAACCCTCTCCCCTTCTACTGTACACCGGCTTTCAGAGGAAGACTCTACTGTGATATTGGCACAAACAAAGGAAAATAGGAAGGAGATTTGATGTAAAACAAGTCCACTGCCAAAATACACGTTATATTTCAAAGCTACACATCACAGAGTTTGGATTATTGAACTCTATTCCCCTGTACATCTGTATGACCTCCCAAGGTCATCCTATCCATAGGTTAAAGGAGTGGAACAGAACAAGAATTTCTTGAAGGATCTGTCTTCAAAGTCAGGGATAAGAACTGCTGTATTCCGATCCCATTCCCTGTCAAGTAAAAACACACCCACACACACACACACACACACTTATTTGGTGGGGGCTGGGCAGAGAAAGGAGGAAAGAGAAACTATGTGTATGTGTCAGTATACACACATATAACATGTTATTGCAGAATCATGTCTGGTGTGCCCTGCAGACGGAGAAAGTCTCTAAGCTGCTCAACCTACTCTCTCATTGCCCCTTGCACCAATCCAGACCAAGGAAAGCCCAGGACGTCTCCCTAAAGCCAGCAGGGAATCAAAGATTGAAACAGCTCCCTATAGGGAAATCTGAGAACTTACTTGTTGTAGTTCTTCGTGGCCTGTACAGCTTGTGCAATCAGCTCCTGGAGATCCAAGGGCAACAAGTGCAGATCGCCCAGGACCCGGATACACACCCCATGCTTCTGCAGTTTCTCCCTGATCAGGGAAAAGAGGCAGCATTGGGATAGGGCCCCTGCTGAGCTGGAGAGAGCAAGGTGCTCAGGTAATAACTGACCACCAGTTTTTTGAGTGCTTTCCTGTGTGTCAGACCCTGTTCTACATGCATTATTTCATTGCATCCCTTCAACAACTCTGAAAGAAACTTACTTCAGTGCCAAGGCTCAGACAGGACAGTCAGATAGGGACTGCCCAGGGTCATATAGCCATCAAGTGCTTTGTCAGGATTGAAACCCAGTTTGTCTGATTTGAGAACCCAAATTCTTTTTCTTGAGATGGAGGCTTGCTCTGTCACCCAGGCTGGAGTGCAGTGGCGCAATCTCAGCTCACTGCAACCTCCGCATCCCGGGTTTAAGCGATCCTCCCACCGCAGCCTCCCAAGTAGCTGGGATTACAGGTGCCCACCACCAGGCCTGGCTAATTTTTATATTTTTAGTAGAGATGAGGTTTCACCATGTTGGCCAGGCTGGTCTCGAACCCTTGACCTCAAGTGATCTGCCTGTCTCGGCCTCCCAAGTGCTGAGATTACAGGCATGAGCCACTGCGCTCAGCCCCAAACTACATTTTTTTTTCCCCTTTTTTGGAGACAGGGTCTTACTCTCACCCAGGCTGGAGTGCAGTGGTATACTCATGGTTCAGTGTTAACTTCCAAATCCTGGGCTCAAGCGATCCTCCTGCCTCAGCCTCCCAAGTAGCTGGGACTAAAGGCATGCACCACCATGCCTGGCTAATTTTTGTATTTTTTGTAAAGATGAGGTCTCACTATGTTGCCCAAGGTGGTCTCAAACTCCTGGCCTCAAGTGATCCTCCTGCCTGAGCCTCCCAAAGTGCTAGGATTACAGGTGTGAGCCACCATGTCCAGCAAGAACCCAAACTCTTTACTATACATTACACGACCTCATGTGTCCTTTTTGGGCAGTTGCATTTTATGTATCTGTGAAGTTTGTCCCATTTGAGAAGTGAGTAAACTCCTCAAGGGAAGGAGCTGTATTATGGGGTACTTTTGTTATGTTCTAGTGAAATATTATGATAATGGTGACAGCTAACATTCTATGTTTACTAAATGCCAGATATTGGTCTAAGTGCTTTACATGTACCAACACATTCCATCCTTACACCAACCTCTGAGTTATATACCCTTATTATTCCCCTTTTACAGATGAGGAAACTGAGGCACAGGGACGTTAGGTAATTTGTTTGGACAGCTGATGGAGAACCAGGATTTGCACGTAGGGAGTCAGCCTCCAGAGCTTGTCTTCTTAATTATGACATTATATTGCTTCCATACAATAACTCCCAAACTCTGCATACAGTGAGAATGAATTCAGCCAGCTTCTCTCATCTGGAAATGCTATGAAGAAACCGAATGCTTCACATTTGGAAAATGGGAGATTAATTGAAGGCAGTATACTAGAAGACCTTGATTCAGCTCCTCCTGCTAGCTTGTGGTATAGTTCTGCCACTAGTTTGATGTGTGACCATGTGTAAGCTCTTGTCTTCTGTTTTTTAAAATTTTAATTTACTTATTTTTAATTATTTTTTCTGAGACAGGGTCTCGATCTGTTGCACAGGATGGAGCATAGTGGATCGATCACAGCTCATTGCAGCCTCAGACTCCCCAGGCTCATCACAGTGATCCCCCCACTTCAGCCTCCCACATAGCTGGGATTATAGGCATGTGCCACCATCCCCAGTTAATTTTTTTGTATTTTTTTGTAGAGATGGGGTTTTGCCATGTTGCCTAGGCTGGAATCAAGCAAATTCCTGGACTCAAGCAATGTACCCTCCTTGGCTTCCCAAAGTGCTGAGATTACAGGCATGAGCCACCTTGCTCAACCTCTTCTCTTTACTAGGGTTTAGTTTCCCAACTGATGAAACAGAATCAGGCCAGTGGTTTTCCCACCTTCTTTTAGCCAAAGAACCCTTTCTTCAAATCAAATTCTACACAGAAGCCCAACACATAAAATAGGTAAATGCAACTCAGCACCCCCTACCCCATTCCCACTAGGTTCTTTCTACACCTCCTCAGACCTTGGGGTTCTGTGGCACATTAATGGAAAAGCACCTCTGAGTTTCTTCTTGCTTTTGCCAGGACTTCATGATAAACGAAGACCATTTTCTCTACTACTAACTGATCAGCGCAATCTCATTAGCATCTCTTCTGCCATGCGTTTTGATCTTGCAGGAATTGTAATATGGTCTGTCTCTCAGAGCACAGTGTAGTAGATGATAGCTCAGCTCTGGAGTCAAAAAGATCCAGGTGTGCACCTTGGCTCTGCCTGTCTGATAGCTGTGTGACCCAGGATATATGCCTTAACTTCTTTGGTTAACTACTTTCCTTCTCTCTAAAAATTGGCTAATAATATCTTTGTCATGGTATAATGTGATTACAGGATGAGTAAGAATATATTTTAGGCTCAAAGCCTGGCATATAGTAAACACTTTAAAAAGGTAAGATTAGTGGGATATGCCCCCCATGCCTCCATCCCCGGCTCCTTAGGTGTAAACTCTGAGCCACACAGGCTCTGCTGGGGACCGGGGAGCAATGTCTGTAGCCCAGAGTCTCACCATCCTAATATAGACAGAAGGAAGCCTGGCTACCCTCCCTACCACCCATTGTTCTAGGCTCATCTTCACTGGAGTTCTAGGCTCACTGTTCTCTCATCTTCCTGGTACAGGTAGGAGCTGGGCACACAACAGTTGTAACTAAGACTTTCGGGCAATTCTGGCTGGTAAGGGCTCCATACTTTGAAGCAAGCAGTCTCCACTGAAATTTGTCTTTGCCCCTCTCTGGCTTTATTCCCTAAGTTAAGCCTAAACTTACTGACAGCTAAGAATGGTACTGATGCTTCCCCATAAATGTCTCTTATGCATCATCCTATCCCTCCCAAAAGACTATGCAGGGGGAGTACAGTAACTTTTTAGGGTTCACTGTGCAGCAGAAAATGACTTCCTCAATGTTTTCTTTAACTCCACTTCCTTGGCCATAGTTTATTGGCTCTGGGGTAGAAATCTGATAGAATTTAGGGATCCCAATTAAGGGATTTTATTGATTCCAGGCTGCTCTTTTGAAGCAAGAGAAAACTGGTCTGCAGAGAGAGGTGGAAATAAATGAATACAGAGGTTCTACCTAGTGGGTTTAATTCCTGGTTTCAGTTTTGCTTGAGGCTGGCTGTACTTGTTCTTAAATCATGTGACACCCCTCAATATCCTCAAATAAATGCCCCCTTTTTTATTAAAAAGTTAGAAATAAAGAATGAAAGACTATCTTGTATTTCTGATATTTGCCACCCAAGATATCTAACTAACATTAAAAAGAGTTGCAAGTCCCTTAAGTAAGCCTCAGATAACAGAATTTCAAGGGTTAGGATAAGGCTGGGGGTGGTGGAAGAACATGCTCTCCCCTCTGATAGCATCTTACTTTTCTTCCATCAAGCGGCTGAACTTCTGCCGGGCCAGATCCATAAGCCCGTCTACCTCACTCTTGGAGCGTTTGAAGTTCTCAATGCTGAATGCGTAGACTGTCACCTCTAGGATGCCCAGGTTCAAACACCACCGCAGAGTCTGAGAGGGGAGAAGGCAAGGAGCTAGGATACAAGGAAGAGTGGGAAGGGGAAATAAGAGATACTTTTTGGTCCTGACTCAGAGTTGGAGATAGGAGACAGACTTTTCTCCTCCCCAAAGCTGGGTGAAGCTAGGATAACATCAGTGTTTATGTCAGAATTAATGCATCAAATAAGCAGAAAACCACCATTGAAGAAACTGAAAAATGTGATCTTAGTGAATGCTGATGGCATTGTGCACTACAAGAAAGAACTCTGCACTGAGAGTGTAAAGACATAGGCTCTAGTCCCTGACTCCAGCATGCACTTATGTGACTGGAATCAAATCATTTAATTTCTCTAGGTTGAAGTCTCCTTACCTGTAATATGGGATCACAATCCATCCCTTACAAGGTGGCTAACGAACAATATAAAAACACAAGGTGTTATTACTCACAGCATAACTTCATTATTCTGGTAGGTTGAGAGGCTGAGTTAAAAGAAAAAAAGCAACAACTGGACAGCTGTGTAGCATTTAATAGCCTGCAAAGGGTTTTCACATAATTTCATTTGATTCTTTGAACAACCACTTTAAAATGACACTACTGTTTTCATGCCTACTTTACAAATGATAAAACAGGCTCAGAGTTGAAGAATATGTCAAAAATCCTCAACTGTCTGATTCCATTATATGGAGTTCTAGAATGGGAAAAACAAATTTATAGTTACAGAAATCAGAACGGTAGTTGCCTAGAGAGGAAAAGGAGGAGGTAGAACAGAAGTTGATTGAGAAGGGGCACCAGGGAATTTTTTTGGAGAGATGGAAATGTCCTACATCTTTTTTTTTTTTTTTTTTTAAGCTGGAGTCTTGCTCTGTCACCCAGGCTGGAGTGCAGTGGTGCAATCTTGGCTCACTACAACCTCCACCTCCTACGTTCAAGTGATTCTCCTGCCTCAGCCTCCCGAGTAGCTGGGCCTACAGGCATGTGCCACCACATCTGGCTAACTTTTTGTATTTTTAGTAGAGATGGGGTTTCGCCATGCTGACCAGGCTGGTCTCGAACTCCTGACCTCAGGTGATTGCCTGCCTTGGCCTCCCGAAGTGCTGGGATTACAGGCATGAGCTACTGAGCCCGGCAGGAAATGTCCTATATCTTGACAGGGGTATGGGTTAGATAAATAAATGCAATTGTCAAAACCTAAAATCTGTGCAGTTCACCATATGAAATTATAACTCAAAAAGAAATGAAACTGGCTGGGTGTGGTGGGTCTCTCCTATAACCCTAGCACTTTGGGAGGCCAAGGTGGGCAGATTACCTGAGGTTGGGAGTTCAAGCCCAGCCTGGCCAACATGGTGAAACCCCATTTCTACTAAAAATACAGAAACTTAGCTGGGTGCGGTGGCGCACACCTGTATTCCCAGCTACTTGGGAGGCTGAGGCAGGAGAATCGCTTGAACCAGTGAGTGGAGATCTCACCACTGCACTCCAGCCTAGACTACAGAGTGAGACTTCAACTCAAAAAAAAACAGGCCGGGCGTGGTGGCTCACACCTATAATCCCAGCACTTTGGGAGGCCAAGGCAGGCGGATCACGAGGTCAGGAGTTCAAGACCAGCCTGACCAACGTGGTGAAACCCCGTCTCTACTAAAAATGCAAAAATTAGCCGGGTGTGGTGGCGCAGGCCTGTAATCCCAGTTACTCAGGAGGCTGAGGCAGGAGAATCGCTTGAACCTGGGAGGCGGAGGTTGCAGTGAACTGAGATCGCGCCACTGCACCCCAGCCTGGGTGACAGAGCAACACTCCGTCTCAAAAAAAAAAAAAAAGAAGAAAACTTAGTCCTTTGGGGCTGCTCTAATCCTGTACCACTAAAGGTGGAGAACAATGTTGAGAGGTGGAGGACAATGTTGAGAGATGGAGAGCGGGAGGTTAAACGTAGACAACAGAAGACATTCAAACAGAACAGAAGAAACAAGCTGAAGAGCTGCCTCTCTAACCCCTTAACAAACATACAAGCAAACAAATCTACTGTCATCTTAGGAAAATTGCCAGTGAGAACCTGACACTTGAATAGCCTCAGGCCCTAAAGACCTTGCAAGGCAGCCACTGTGGATGGCACATCTGGGTTGGAACCCACCACTGACATCAGTCAATACAGTTGCTAATAACAAGTTTCAATTTTTTGAGTACTTCCTTTAGGTCAGGGCCTGTGCTACATGCTTTTCATTGTGCCATCTTATTTATCTTCAAATAATCTACTGAGATAGAGATTGCTAACCCCATTTTATAGATGAAGAAACTGAGGCAAAGGGAAGCTACATAACTCGCTGCAGGTCACAAAGCCAGACAGTGACAAAGCAGGGGTGCCAATGAATTCTGAGTGACTCCAGAGCTCAAGCTCCTAAGCATTAGGCAAAACTGCCTCTCAGTTACAAAAGAGAAGCTGGAGTCAACAAACGTAAAGACTTCTACAAGGTTCTGGTGAGAACCTCACTGCCATTCACTCAAGGAAAAAAATATCACGGCCCTGGCATCAAACTGTGTCCCTGTGCTAGGACACTGGGACCTGTGAACTACAGACCATATTTCCATTCTTTTATTTATTTATTTTTTTTGAGACGGAGTCTCACTCTGTTGCCCAGGCGGAGTGCAGTGGCACAATCTTGGCTCACTGTAAGCTCCGCCTCCTGGGTTCATGCCATTCTCCTGCCTCAGCCTCCCGAGTAGCTGGGACTACAGGTGCCCGCCACCACGCCCGGCTAACTTTTTGTATTTTTAATAGAGATGGGGTTTCACCGTGTTAGCCACGATGGTCTTGATCTCCTGACCTCATGATCCGCGCACCTCAGCCTCCCAAAGTGCTGGGATTACAGGCGTAAGCCACCGCGCCCGGCCCTCCATTCTTCTTAAAAATTTCACCAAGATTGTCATATTCCATTCTTTTGTTAAACTTAATGTCTTCCAATTTATAACATGCATTATACCATAAAATGTTCATGACCTCTGTGTAGAGTGATGTCCTGGTTTGCCGGGGACTTTCACCAGTTTTAGCACTGAAAGACCTGTGTCCTGAGAAACCCCTCAGCCTTGGCAAAGCAGAATGAGTAGTCACTCAATGTTCGTCCAGAAATGTCACTTCTAAGAATTTATCCAAAAAGAGTACTTTTTTTTTTTAGACAAGGTCTTGCTCTGTCACCAGGTTGGATTGCGGTGACGTGAACACAGCTCACTGCAGCCTCAACCTCCAGGGTTCAAGTCATCCTTCCACCTCAGTCTCGTAAGTAGCTGGGACCACAGGCATGCACCATCATGCTTGGCTAATTTTTTTTTTTGTTTTGTAGAGACAGGATCTCACCATGTTGCCCAGGCTGAAACAGTACTATTTATAATGTTTATTGTAATGTCAAGTAATAGTGGAGCAGTTAAATTATATCAGATCCTCTTGATAAAATGTTCTACAGTCATTGAAAGATACAGATAGAAAGCTTATATATACACCTTAAAAAATGCCTCCCCAAATGTTGGCCGGGTGCAGTGGCTCATGCCTGTAATCCCAGCACTTTGGGAGGCTGAAGGGGGTGGATCACCTGAGGTCAGGAGTTCGAGACCAGCCTGGCCAACATGGTGAAACCCCATCTCTACTAAAAATACAAAAAAATTAGTTGGACATGGTGACGGGTGTTCAATCTCAACTACTCAGGAGGCTGAGGCAGAAAATCACTTGAACCCGGGAGGCGGAGGTTGCCGTGAGCAGAGATCATGCACTGTACTCTGGCCTGGGCAACAGAGTGAGACTGTCTCAAACAAATAAACAAAACCAAAATGTTAAGTGAAAATAAGGTTACTGAAGCTACAGATGCAATTTTATTAATGTTAAGTCACGTAGAGCATACAATAAGGATTGGATGAGGCATAAAATATAAACTATTGATTTATTAAAATAAGAAGAGGCAATTTTGTTCTTATTTCCAGTATTTTATGGTCATTCACTGGATGATTACTTCTTTGTTAATGTCATTTTTTTTTTCTTGAGATGGTGTCACTCTGTCACCCAGGCTAGAGTACAGGGGCACAATCTCTATTCACTGCAGCCTCAAGCTTCCTGGGCTCAGATAGTCCTCCCACCTCAGCCTCCTGAGTAGCTGGGGGCACAGGTGTGCACCATCAAGTCTGGCTAATTTTTAAATTTTTTTGTAGAGACAGGGTCTGACTATGTTACCCGGGCTAGTCCTGAACCCCTGGGCTCAAGCAATCCTCCTGCCTTGGCCTCCCAAAGTGTGGGATTAGAGGCAAAAGCAACCACGTCTGGCCAATGTCAAGATGAGATCTATAGCTAGCAAGCAAACAATAAAACACAGAGACAGATACAAAAAACACTCTCCAACCACAGCAAACTCAGAGCCTGGTTTTCTAGCTATAATCTACCTCTCCACAGACTGTTCACTTTGGGCTCTGCCATACACACCCACCTCAGCTAGCTTGTTGAAGCCCTGTGAGTGGCCTTCCTGCCGCTCCACCTGGCACTTCTTGGCATAGCGACGGTTCCCGTCCATTATGAATGCAATGTGTTTCGGCATTGGGCCTGCCTGTGGAATAGGAAGACAAATGATGAACAGGTCTCATATTCTTCAGGGATAAAGGAAGACACTACACCCCAAGGTGATATGTTTGGGCTATGTGATGAAAACCCTGACGAAGGGAATTGGGTACTTTGTGCTTTTAACTCAGTAAAAAGACATTAAAGTTTACTTACTTAGTTACTTACTTTATTTTGAGGCAGGATCTCACTTAGTCACCCAGGTGGGAATGCAATGGTATGATCACAGCTGACTGTAGCCTTGGCCTCCTGGGCTCAAGTGATCCTCCCACCTCTGCCTCCCGCTGAGTAGCCAGGGCTACCAGCACATGCCACCACACCTACCTATCCTTTTTTCTTTTCTTTTCTTTTTTTTTTTTTCTTTTTTTAAGAGATGGGGTCGGCCGGGCATGGTGGCTCACGCCTGTAATCCCAGCACTTTGGGAGGCTGAGGTGGGCAGATCACTTGAGGTCAGGCATTCGAGACCAGCCTGGCCAACATGGCGAAACCCAGTCTCTACTAAAAATACAAAAATTAGCCGGGTATGATGGCACATGCCTGTAGTCCCAGCTACTCTACTCGGGAGGCTGAGGCAGGAGAATCGCTTGAACCCAGGAGGTGGAGGTTGCAGTCAGTTGAGATCGTGCCACTGCACTCCAGCCTGGGTGACACAGCGAGACTCTGTCTCAAAAAAAAAAAAAGATGGTGTGTTTCCCTATGTTAACCAGGTCTCGAACTCCTGGGCTCAAGCAATCCTCCTTCATCAGCCTCCCGAAGTGCTGGGATTAAAAAAGGCATGAGCCACCATAGCTGGCCTACTTATTTTTATTTACGTGTTTACTGAGCACGTACTACATGCCAAATACTATGCTGGGCTTCTTATACTTCATCTTATCATACAAGTCTGTAAAGTAAATAGTATTATCTTCATTTTACAGGTGGAAAAACAAGCTCAGAGAGTTCTAGTGACTTGCATAAGCCACACAGTTTTGTTCTGTTTTTTTTTTGAGAAGGAGTCTCGCTCTGTCGCCCAGGCTGGAGTGCAGTGGCACGATCTCGGCTCATTGCAACCTCTGCCTCCTGGGTTCACGCCATTCTCCTGCCTCAGCCTCCCGAGTAGCTGTGACTACAGGCACCTGCCACCATGCCCAGCTAATTTTTTATATTTTTAGTAGAGACGGGGTTTCACCGTGTTAGCCAGGATGGTGGCGATCTCCTGACCTTGTGATCTGCCTGCCTCAGCCTCCCAGAGTGCTGGGATTACAGGCGTGAGCCAGCACGCCCGGCCCAGTCACGCGGTTAAGAAGAGGCAAATAGGGATTCAAACTGATGTCCATCTGCTTCCAGAGTTAATCTTTCAACCATATGCTCTTAAATACAGGCTTGGTTTAGTTGGTCTCCAACTAGAAAGCAAAAGGAAAAAATTTTTTTTCTTTGAAACAGGGTCTTACTCAGGCCAGGCACAGTGGCTCATACCTGTAATCCCAGCACTTTGGGAGGCCGAGGCGGGTAGATCACGAGGTCAGGAGATCGAGCCCATCCTGGCTAACACGGTGAAACCCCGTCTCTACTAAAAATACAAAAAGTTAGCCGGGCGTGGTGGTGGGCGCCTGTAGTCCCAGCTATTTGGCAGGCTGAGGCAGCAGAATGGCATGAACCCGGGAGGCGGAGCTTGCAGTAAGCCGAGATGGCGCCACTGCACTCCAGCCTGGATGACAGAGCGGGACTCTGTCTCAAAACAAACAAACAAACAAACAAACAAACAAACAAACAAAACAGAGTCTTACTCTATTACCCAAGGTGGATGGAGTGTGGTGGTGTTATCTCAGGTCATTTGCAACCTCCACCTTTCGGGAGGAGAAAGGTCCTCCCACTTCAATTCCCCAAGTAGCTGGGACTACAGGAATACACCACCACACCCAGCTAATTTTTTTATATTTTGTAGAGACGGGGGTCTCACCATGTTGGCCAGGCTGCTCTCGAACTCCTGGGATCAAGAGATCTACTCGATTTGGCCTCCCAAAGTGCTGGGATTACAGGTTTGAACCATCGTGTCTGGCCAGGAAAAATTTTGATGGGCATAGTCAAATGAAGATGGTACCTTCCACAGAAAAAAGGAACTCATAGGGCCAGGTGCAGTGGCTCACGTCTGTAATCCCAGCACTTTGGGAGGCCAAGGTGGGTGGATCACTTGAGGTCAGGAGTTCAAGACCAGCCTGGCCAACATGTTGAAACCCCATCTCTACTAAAAATGTGAAAATTAGGGCTGGGCACAGTGGCTCATGCCTGTAATCTCAGCACTTTGGGAGGCGAAGGCGGGCAGATCACGAGGTCAGGAATTCAAGACCAGGCTGGCCAGTATGGTGAAACCCCGTCTCTACTAAAAATACAAAAATTAGCCAGGTGTGGTGGCAGATGCCTGTAACACCAGCTACTTGGGAGGCTGAGGCAGGAGAACTGCTTGAACCCGGGAGGCAGAGGTTGCAGTGAGCCAAGATCACGCCACCACACTGCAGCCTGGGCGACAGAGCAAGACTCCATCTCGGAAAAAAGAAAAAAACAAAAACAAAAATTAGCCAGGTGTGGTGGTGGGAGCCTGTAATCCCAGCTACTTAGGAGGCTGAAGCAGGAGAATGGCTTGAACCCGGGAGGCAGAGGTTGCAGTGAGCCGAGATAGCACCACTGCACTCCAGCCTGGGTGACAGAGTAAGACTCTGTCTCAAAAAAAAAAAAAAAAAAAAAAAAAGGCACTAATTCCTGACCTCTAGCCAACTGCTGACACACAGGAACTGGGGCACAACATTGCTGGATCTGGTGATCTTGCAAGAAAACCAAACATCAGGATTTTTATTAAAATTTTGCTTTTCAGCCGGGCGCAGTGGCTCATGCCTGTAATCCCAGCACTTTGGGAGGCCGAGGCGGGTGGATCACGAGGTCAGGAGTTTAAGACCAGCCTGGCCAAAATGGTGAAACCCTGTCTCTACTAAAAATAAAGAAAAATTAGCCGGGCGTGGTGGCGAGCGCCTGTAATCCCAGCTACTCGGGAGGCTGAGGCAGGAGAATTGTTTGAACCGGGGAGGCAGAGGGTACAGTGAGCTGAGATTGTGCCACTGCACTCCAGCCTGGGCGACAGAGTGAGACTCTGTCTGAAAAAAAAAAATTGTTTTTCAAAGCAAACAAAAAAGACTTTTTTTGAGCCAAACAAAACTTACTTGGGGCCGGACGTGGTGGCTCAAGCCTGTAATCCCAGTACTTTAGGAGGCTGAGGTGGGCAGATCACTTGAGGCCAGGAGTTCGAGACCAGCCTGGCCAACATGGTGAAACCCCAACTCTACTAAAAAAAAAAAAAAAAAAAATTAGCCAGGCATGGTGGCCGGTGCCTATAATCCCAGCTACTTGGGGAGGCTGAGGTGGGAGAATCGCTTGAACCCAGGAGACAGAGGTTGCAGTAAGCCAAGACTGCACCACTGCACTCTAGCCTGGGCAACAGAGTAAGACTGCATCTCAAAAAAGAAACCACAAAAAACAAAACCCTTATTTGGCTTGGAGCAGCTTTGAGTTGTCTCCCATAACACAAATGGACTCCTTAGCCTATTTTTCCTCACCTGGGAGGGCTCTTCCCTGACTGCTTCCTCATCAACACTTCTCCTTTTTCTACTTCTGTCTCACATACAGCCTTTCCAGCCCCCAAAATCCATTCAAGTTATGCAGCTTGTTCTTCCAAACATACCACTGCAGTGGTTCCCCAAGGAGATACTTCCCATTTCCTGGACTGCTTGAGATCACTTGGCATTTGTTTGTGAGCATGTGTGGGGCTTGTATAAAGGTTACTGACTCATAAATTCATTACTACCTGCTGCTTGACAGCCTGTGGTTGAAAAACAAAACCAAGCTGACTGGCCCCAATCTCAAACCTGTCTTAGGCAGATATAATATTGCTGTGATTCCTAGAGAAAAAGCTGAGGGAAGATTTGGGGAAGATAGGAGATAATAGTCTTCAAATGTCTGAAAGACAATCCTAATAATAATTAAGAACTGCTAGACATTATGCTAACTGCTTTATATTAATGTCTCATAAATTCTCATGATAATTCTACAGTTGTTAAAGTCACATGATTACTAAATGATAGAACTGGACTTTCAGGCCAGGTGCAGTGGCTCAGTCCTATAATCCCAGCACTTTGGGAGGCTGAGATAGGTGGATCACCTGAGGTCAGGAGTTCGAGACCAGCCTGGCCAATATGAGAATCCCATCTCTACTAAAAATATAAAAATTAGCCATGTGTGGTAGCATATGCCTGTAACCCCAGCTACTTGGGAGGCTAAGGCAAGAGAATTGCTTGAACTTGGCAGATGAAGGTTGCAGTAAGCCAAGATTGCGCCATTGCACTCCAGCCTGGGCGACAGAGCGAGACTCCATCTCAAAATAAAAAAAAGAACAGGAATTTCACCCATGTTTGTCTGCGTCTAGAGCCCAAACTCTTTTTTTTTTTTTTTTTTTGAGACAGAGTCTTGTTCTGAACTCTTTTTTTTGAGACAGTCCCGTTCTGTCACCCAGGCTGGAGTGTGGTGGCACAATCATGACTCACTGCAGCTTTGACCTGGGCTCAAGAAATTCTCCCACTTCAGCCTTCCGAGTAGCTGGGACTACAGGTGCACACCACCAAGCCCTGCTATTTTTTTAATTTTTTGGAGAATCGGGGTTTTGCCATGTTGCCCAGGCTGGTCTCAACTCCTGAGCTCAAACAATCTGCCCACCTCAGCCTCCCAAATTGCTGGGATTACAGGCGTGAGTGACCGGGCCCAGCTCTACTGACAGATCAAAGAATATATCAAAGATTAACCTATTTAAATCAAGAAGACAGTACATGGAACAATGGATCAATGTTCCAGGGAAACAAATTTCAGTTCTCTATAAAGAATACTTAGCAGTCTAGGCTGCCCAGTGACATTAAGAGGCCTGGGCTTCCAGAAAATATCAGAGTTAGGACAAAAGTCTACCAGAAATGTAGACCTGGAAGTTACCATTCTAAGACTCTTTGGTTTCCTTGCTAAATTCCACTTAACATCATGAATTGCACTTAACATCATCAACTTTAATAACAGGTTTTTATATAAGATTATCCAACTGACCAGAAGGCCAACCGGTGCTCTGGGCCATTGCTCACCTTTATGATGTTGGCACAGAACCGCTCCCAAAGTGACAGCTCTCCTTCCTTGATCCATGACATAGTTCTTTTCCAGTCAGAAGATCACTCCAGAACAAGCAAACACCAGCCAGGTAATCTTGGATAAACAAGAAAGAAAATAAGAAGTCACCAAGGTTTGCGAAGAGCTATAACTGACTTCTGGGGAATCAGATGGACTATGGAGAGCAGCCAGCATTAGAATCCAAAGACACTGGTCTAAGCCTATAATCTTTTACCACCCAGAGTTTTATAACGCAATGTGACCTCTGGAGGCAAAAGCCTTTCCTCGGTTCTCCTGGCTTTGCAGACTTCTTCCCATTCCCATTTCCTCCGTATCTGCACTGACTTCTTCTGAACATCTAAGTCGGTTTCCTGCCACATCATGGTGCCCACATCTTGATCATTCCCCGTTTCTTCCTTCTCCATCTTCCCCTAAGCTGTTTCCAACTCTGTGCTCCCAGTTACTAACTCCTTCAGTTATCGCACGCCTAGTACTTCACGCCTCAGTGGTCTCCTGATTATTCCCTCAGTCGTCCCTTTGCTTCTCCCGCAGCTGCTCCCCGCCCAGTCACCCTCTTCTCCTCTAGTTCACCCCTTCAGTTCAGTGGCACCTGATTAGCTCCGCTGGGCGCGTCCCCACGGCTTCAGTGGGCCGGCACTTCCTCATGACGTGGCGCTGGCAGAACACGTCATCTTTGGGCGCTGCGACACGCCCCTTCCGTCACCCAAACTGAGGGGACCCTGCCCTGCGCCTGCGCCTGCGAGCTAGTGGGAGGGCGGTTCTCAGTCCCGCGGGGTGTGGAAGCCGGCGCGGGTGAGAGCCAGGCTCACGTGACCGAGCGGGGCGGGAGGCTGGGCTCCAGGCCACGTGCTGGGAGACCAGCTGGGGAAGACAGGGTTGAGCCCAGCGTTGGGAGCGGAGGCGTCTGGAAAACGCGCCAGGGAAATGAGCCAGGGGCAAGAATCGAGGCGCTTCTCGGCCGTCGAAGGCAGCTTAGGACTGCTGAGAGACTGGGTAAGGCAGCGTCCTTACCTTGGAATGCCGCAGAACCGGGCTTCATTAGAGCACTGGTGCATACTCTTAAAAATTATCTCGTTACCGTTTCGTATTTTATTTAGTGGATTTAATCGTCTGGGAAGGAGTTTCTAGCCGCAGCCAATCTTACAGACGCGCAGAATATTAATCTATTTTGTGCCGACTTAAGGCACGCATATTTTAGGATTTGTGGATTCCCAAGACCTATCCCAACGAACTCAAGAGAAGGGGTAAGGCCAGAAAGATTTCTGCCATAAGAATGACTTCTAGGCCAGGCGCGGTGGCTCACGCCTGTAATCCCAGCACTTTGGGAGGCCGAGGCGAACGGATCACCTGAGGTCAGGAGTTTGAGACCAGCCTGACCAACATCGTGAAACCCCGTCTGTACTAAAAATACAGAAAATGAGCCGGGCGTGGTGGCGGGCGCCTGTTATCCCAGTTACTCGGGAGGGTGAGGCAAGAGAATCGCTTGAACCCGGGAGGCGGAGGTTGCGGTGAGCCAAGATCAGGCCACTGCACTCCAGCCTGGGCAACAGGAGCGAAACTCTGTCTGAAAAAAGAAAAAAAAAAAAAGCATGACTTCTAAAATAACAGAAAGGTGCTCGCTTTGGCAGTACATAAATGAAAATAACAGAAATTAACCCTGGTAGAAAAGTTAAGGGCATTAGCTCTACTGAACCTTTACGAAAAAAAGGGTTGCAAGAATTCTAGGCTCACAAAACAAATTTGTAGTTCAATTTTCTCAAAATTGAAAGAGGAGGAAAAAATTCTTTACAGATTCTTATACAACCAGTATTATTTTTATTTATTTATTTATTTATTTATTTATTTAGAGACGGAGTCTGGCTATGTCGCCCAGGCTGGAGTGCAGTGGCGCGATCTCGGCTCACTGCAGCCTCCGCCTCCCGGGTTCAAGCGTTTCTCCTGCTTCATCCTCCTGAGTAGCTGGGACTACAGGCGCGTGCCACCAAGCCTGGCTAATTTTTGTATTTTTAGTAGAGACAGGGTTTCACCATTTTGGCCAGGATGGTTTTGATCTCTTGACCTCGTTATCTGCCTGCCTAGACCTTCCAAAGTGCTGGAATTACAGGCGTGAGCCACCGCGCCCGGCCACAACCAGTATTTCTTGCAAAGCATAATACAACTTTATGTAGTATTATGTTTTGAGTGGAATAAAAATTCACAATTGTCAAAGAACCTTTTTGTCGCATTTCATTTTACAATATTATTAAAGAAATGAGGCAAGGAAGAGATGTTTTATTGGCACTTTCTAATTGATTATGTCTTCCACTCTTTCTAATGAAAGGGGTTATTTTAACACAGCAACATGATGAAAGAAAGCCCTAGAGATGAGTAGAAATGAATAGTGTTGAGCTTTTCCATCCTTCCTGCTTTGCAGCCTGGGGAGTAAATTTCAGTCCAAGTTACTTCATTTTGCAGCAAGACAATTTAATGAAGTCCACTAGTAGTTTGCTGCTTCATGAGGTTCTACTGTCAGCTTTGACTTTTGGTACAATTAAGGAGCCACAAAGTCCCTGGAGTAGATTATGAAACTTCTTACCCTTACTCTTATAATGTCAGGCTTGAGGATTTAAACCAGTTTCCCTGTTTCCTTGCACGGTGTTAATATACTTGGTTTGCCTCCAATCAAGTTTTTTTTTTTTCCTTTTTAAAATCCTCCTTCCCTTAGTGGGAATAGATGTTTAAAATTCAGTGTTCTTGCTTGATGACTTGTGATGTATATAAAAAAACTCGATGTTCATTAAAAAGCTAGCAAACTTTGGCTCAAAGAAAATGTTGCATTTATAGCTAGTCAGTGAATCTCCTCTGGCCTCAATTTCCCCAGTTCCACAACACATTTCTCTCCTTGGGGTGCTGCAAGCGGTTAATTAATTAAGATTTGTAAAAGGCTTTGAGGAGTAGGGGACAAAGTATTATTAGGGTCTCATGCCCCAAGCCATGGCCCCATCCTTTCATCCCAGCCAGTGGCACAGGCAACCCCATTCTTATGCATGCCAAGCCCCTAATCCCCTCTTGAATGTGGAAGCTTCCAAGGAAAGGACAAGAGGCCTTAACTAGAAACAAAAATCCACTGTAATGAGGTGCTAAGAGGACTGAACTTTCAAGATTCATTCCTAACAAACTGGCTGAACAGAAAAACTTCTGAGTCCCAATCCAAGAAAGTGGGAGTTATCGGAAGGGCAAAAACATCTGACAAGGGGATGACAGTTTGCGTACCAATAAGTCTTTATTTATTCATTGTATTTTCCCAGGGAAAGGAGAAGGGAAGGGAAGAGTCAGCTTGTGTTAAAAAATGATTAGAAAATGGGAAAGGAAGTACCCAGTACAGCAAAATCAACCATCAAATAAACACACCCCAGTGATGGGGTCACCAAAGCCCAAAGGGGCTCAGTCTCCTGCAGTTCAGGAATGAGGGAAAAGGATCAGGAAAAAAACAGACAGGTACAGGCTTTCCTACCCTCCCGCCCCATAAATTCAAGATTTTACACAAAGCTTTGGTTTTTAGCAGTAAACATGGAGTTACATTCGTTCGTCTCCTATTAAACAATCTTGTGGCCACTTTGACATAAAGTTTCTAGCACCTGCATAAAAGTTCCTGAGTGACTTGGATATACATTCATATTCCCTTTCTTGGCCTCCTGACCCCACTTTCTACATGGAAGGCCCCCAATTGCATCTCTTTACTTTAGGATTAGAAATTAAAATTAAGGAGGTTTGATCCATCCAAAATACAGTAGTGTGTTTTTGTTTTGTTTTGTTTTGTTTGAGACAGAGTCTTGCTCTGTAACCAGGCTGGAGTGCAGTGGTGCGATCTCAGCTCACTGCAACCTCTGCCTCTCGGGTTCAAGCGATTCCCCTGCCTCAGCCTCCTGAATAGCTAGGACTAAAGGCATGCACCACCACACCCGGCTAATTTTTTTGTATTTTAGTAGAGACGGGGTTTCACTGTGTTGGCCAGGATAGTTTTGAACTCGTGACCTTGTGATCCGCCCGCCTCAGCCTTCCAAAGTGCTGGGATTACAGGTGTGAGCCACCGCGCCTGGGCTACAGCAGTGTCTTAAGTGTTTGGCATGAATACACCAAGAAATGGTTGGCCCAGCATGGTGGCTCATGCCTGTAATCCCAGCACTTTGGGAAGCCAAGGTGGGCAGATCACCTGAGGTCAGGAGTTCCAGACCAGCCTGGACAACATGGTGAAACCCCGTCTCTACTAAAAATACAAAAATTAGCTGAGTGTGGCGGGTGCCTGAAATCCCAGCTACTCAGGAGGCTGAGGCAGGAGAATCACTTGAACCCAAGAGGCAGAGGCTGCAGTGAGCCGATCATGCCACTGCACTCCAGCCTGGGTGACACAGTGAGACTCCATTTTAAAAAAAAAAAAAAAAGAAAGAAAGAAATGGTAATGGTCTTGACTTAGGAGGTTGGGAACAAGGGATGGAGGGTTTTCCTAGCTTCAGTATTTTTGCATACATCATTTAAGAGTTGTGGAGACACTCCAAGCATGAAATGTGTATGTGTGTGGGTGTGTAAGTTTTCTTTTGGGGGTGAACAGAAAAGAGGGCAGGGTAGAAGACAAGTTTTTAGGACAGAAGATCTGGTCTAATAGGTAATAGGGGAAGGGGAATACAAAAGAAAGGATGGTTCAAGATCCCCACTTTAAGAAGAGGGCCCCCCAAACTAATGTTTCAGATCTTTTTGCCTGGTGCAGAACCTTCTGTCAAAGATGCTTTGGCTATTTTTCTCTCAATACAAAAAGAAGTTTGTAAACAAAACCCCCAAAGAACACGGAGAAAGACCAATACATTATATTTACACAAACTAGGCCACCTAGCAATCAACGTAGTGAAGTCCTACAAAGCCCAGACAAATACAGTAACTTGGGGGGCAGCATTTAGGGGAGACAAGAACCCAGGATCAGACACACACCACCCAATGCGTTCTATTGCATTTGTCCCGTTTCAACACAGTAAGGTAGGTTTGCGGTGATCTCACAGCGTGTAAACGAAACCCCCTTTTTCTCCTTTAGCTACCATGACACTATTAATCACTACTGTAGCAGGGCAGGACACAGGCTCCAGGCACCACAAAACCCTCGCTTGTGTGTCTCCCTGGAACCCGAAAATTTTGAAAGGTTAAGGATCTCACCTTACTTCATATATCCATCCCTCGACAGCACAGGATTAAGTACAGGGGTATTGGTCTTTAAACTTATCCTTAGCAACTCTAGTTTTACAAACACACACACACCCTGTGGCACATGGTAGGCCTAACCTAATCTGGTGAAGAACAGATCTGGAGATGTAAAGCACGTCCTGTGCCATAGGATTAGACAACCCTCACCTAATCTTGGCTTGCTCTCTGGCCTTTTCACCGGGCCCAGCCTCTCCTAGCCTCTGTGTACCACCATTTCCTGTTTAGACTAATTCCCAATCTTCCAGTAGAAGGCAATCAAGTCATGGGGCCACCCAGTTAAAACCTAGTCTCCCATAAAACATTTTCAAGGCAGAGGGGGTTTCAAGAGGACACTATGGCAGAAAAGCCAGCTCTTATTGGCAAAAATGAGGTAGTTCAATAGGCTGTGCACTCCAAATAGTTGCTCTCCACGGTGGCAAAAACAACAAAAAGTAATTCCTGCTGCGCAGACCTGGAGCTGCTGCTGGCTATCCCTGAGATTGCTCATGTACCTGAGAACACAGTGCAGGAAATGAGGGCCTTAGATTAAAATATACAAAAATACAAAACCAGAATATTTATATTAAGGAAAAAAAGTTAAAATGCACAAGATACGTCATTCGCACACAGCTAGTGCAGTTGGCATCCTGGAGAAAGTGGGACCCAAGGTGCAGTATCCAAGGGAGCAAATAAATAAAATCACATTGGCCCAGAATGGGGCGGGGGTGAGCATAGAGCAGCAGGTCTGCAGCTGTTCCCCCAAACACCCTTTTTGCCATCATCATTACCCATTGCTTGGGACAGCTGCCAGCACCCTATCCCAAAAGTGGGTATGAGGATACAAGATGTGAAAAAAAAACAATGCTTACTCCTGAGAGATCTCCTTCCACAGAATGTAGTGGCTTGGCTCCATGAATCTGGTCTTATACTTAATCATTTCACTCTGGCATGGGAATTATTATATATCCTTCTTTAAAAGGAAAACAACTTCCCTATCCAGGCCACTTTCAAAAGCTGGAAATTCTGGGGATGGAGACTCAAAGTATGCAGGTTGTAGGGTGATTCCCCCCTCCTGGTTGCCCCCAGAACCCTCACTTGCATTTGGACAGAGCATGGTTGGAGTTCCTTTGACTCACCCTTTCCCCCCACCTAGAGGGAAGAAAGGGTGATGGTGTGAACCCAAGCCTGAGATACATGGCAGTGCCAACTAGCCCCAATGCACCCTATTCCCACTTTCTCCACTCTGCCTGCTCCTCAAAACTTCCTGATAGCAAAAGAATAGCCCCCACCCATTGTGGCTCAATTCTGTGCCTCCGGGAGCAGGGTAGGGCTGTGGATTTCTTCTTCTTCCTCTCGAAAGTAGGTTGGCTTTCCCTGTGCACTAGGGCCCTGCTGGGCCTTCAGCGGACATGAGGCTACCATATGGCTGATGCTCTGGCAGAAGTGGCACTTCTTGGGCTGGGGTGGCAGCTTGCATTCCTTGGCATGATGATCTAGACCTCCACAGTTGTAGCACCTAGTACAAAGCAAGATCGTAAAAGTAAGAGAAAGGAGCAAGAAGAGGCCAGATGCCTCCCACGAATGAGGACACCTGGGCTCTGGTACAGGTTTGTCACTTACTTCCCTTCCCAGAGACCAAACTTCCCACTTGCAAAAGGAGGACTATTACTAAATGATCTCTAAGTCCTTTCCACATCTAATTGTCTAGGTGATCTCTTCAGATTCATGTCAACTTGAAAATACCAAGATACCAGAAATATAAGTTACTGACCCCAACTAGGAACTGCAACTTGGGGGATAGGAGAGATTCTTCCATACCCTTAATATAGGAGAAATTAAAGAAGCCAAATTATAGTATCTGTTCAGAGCTAAGGGGCTTTAAGCCCAAGCAAGATTAAGGAAACCAGCCATTTGCAGACCTGGTAAAGCAGCAACAGATATAGATAATACTGTCTTGTCCCACCATTTGCAAATCTATGATCTCCTTTAATTCTAAAACCATCCTAGGATGTTAGTATCACTGCCTCACTTAACAATTGAGGCTTAGAGACCACAGAGCAAACTTACTTGTCCCAAGTAGCACTAAGTCACCCCCAGTGGCCTCCTCACCTACTGCCCTTGCCCACACCTATTGCAGGCGCTCAGCCTTCCAGATGCTGCCAGGGACCACAGGCTTCCCTTTGTCTTTTGCAGTGTGACCCAAAAAGTGACAGGATTGGGAGACTGGGGATGCCCTTAGCAACCTATATAAGCTGCCTTCCAATCCATACCTGTCTCCTTTTGATCTGCGCTTCTGCATGCTCTTTCCTTTTGGCCGCCTCTCACTCCCAATACAGAATACTCCACCAGGTCCGGTGACACGGATGGATTCCAGACCCTTGGCTGACTTCTTAAAGGTGAACTCCACTGCCTCACCCTCCTTCAAGCTCCGGAACCCTTCCATGTGCAGCTTACTCTGGTGAAGGGAAATGCAGTAAATTTTAACATTAATTTCCATTATTATACCAAAAGACAAGGAACTCTTATTCCTGTAGGGTAGGAATCAAATGTGATGGTACTCCTATTTTACTGGTAAGGAAACTGACTCAAAGAGTCACTACGATTAAGAACAACAAAGTCTACCAGTACATTAACAAAAATCGTAATTATATAAGCAGATGCCATGACATTTTTGTAGCTATTCAGGTTTAAAGTTCTTAATAAAATAGAACAGAGGGCCGGGTACGGTGGCTCACACCTATAATCCTAGCACTTTGAGAGGCTGAGGCGGGAGGATCACCTGAAGTCAGGAGTTCGAGACCAGCTTGGCCAACATGGTGAAACTCTGTCTCTACTAAAAATAAAAAAAATTAGCTGGGCGTGGTGGCGGGCACCTGTAATCCCAGCTACTTGGGAGACTGAGGCAGGAGAATTGCTTGAACCCAGGAAGCAAAGGTTGCAGTGAGCTGAGATCACACTATTGCACTCCAGCCTGGGCGACAGAGTGAGACTTTGTCTCAAAAACAAACAAACAAACAACAACAAACAGAAAAATTTGTAAATACAAGCATTTGGAAGAAATCAACAAATATAAAATTACGAAATTTAAAGTGTCACACTATAGAGGTTGCAGTGAGCCAAGATGGCGCCTTTGCACTCCAGCCTGGGCAACACAGCAAGACTTCGTCTCAAAAATAAATAAATAAAATAAAAGTAAAAATAGCTGGGCATGGTGGCTCAGCCACACACGGTGGCTTACGCCTTTAACCCCAGCACTTTGGGAGGCTGAAGCAGGTGGATCACGAGGTCCAGAGTTCGAGACCAGCCTGGCCAACATGGTGAAACCCTGTCTCTACTAAAAATACAAAAATTAGCCGGGTGTGGTGGTGGGCGCCTGTAATCCCAGCTACTTGGGCAGTTGGGGCAGGAGAGTTGCTTGAACCCCGGAGGCAGAGGTTTCAGTGAGCCATCATGCCACTGTACTCTAGCCTGGTTGACAGAGCAAGACTCCATCTCAAAGAAATAAATAAATAAAATAAAAATAAAATGTCACGCTATGAAGCACTGAAATATTCATTTTTCACATAATGCCTCACTTAGTATTTATACCATCATCAAAAGACCAAATAAGTAGAATACTGGAAAAAATACAAAATCAAGTGGTATTTTTATAATCAAAGCAATATGATATGCCTTATTTAAAAAAGAAAAAAAAAAAGGCCGGGTGCGCTGCCTCACGCCTGTAATCCCAGCACTTTGGGAGGCAAAGGCAGGGGATCACGAGGTCAGGAGATCGAGACCATCCTGGCTAACACGGTGAAACCCCGTCTCTACTAAAAATACAAAAAATTAGCCAGGCGTGGTGGCGGGTGCCTGTAGTCCCAGCTACTCCGGAGGCTGAGGCAGGAGAATGGCATGAACCTGGGAGGCAGAGCTTGCAGTGAGCTGAGATCGCGCCACTGTACTCCAGCCTGGGTGACAGAGCAAGACTCCGTCGCAAAACAAACAAACCAACAAACAAAAAAACAAACTCAAGATGCTCAATGATTTAAGAAATAATACTAATGGGCCGTGCGCAATGGCTCATGCCTGTAATCCCAGCACTTTGGGAAGCCGAGGCGGGCATATCACCTGAGGTCAGGAGTTTGAGACCAGCCTGACCAACATGGAGAAACCCTGTCTCTACTACTAAAAATACAAAATTAGCCAGGCGTGGTGGTGGGCATCTATAATCCCAGCTACTTGGGAGGCTGAGGTAGGAGAATCACTTGAACCCGGGAGGCGGAGGTTGCGGTGAGCCAAGATTGCGCCATTCTACTCTAGCCTGGGCAACAACAACAACAAAAAAAAAAAAAAAAAAAAAAAGAAAAAGAAAAAAAAGGAAATCATAATAATGGCTGCAAAACATGTTAAAAAACCAAACAAACAGAATAGGCCAGGCACAGTGGCTCATGCCTGTCTGTAATCCCAGCACTTTGGGGAGGCTGAGGTGGGCAGATCACATGAATCCAGGAGTTCAACACCAGCCTGGCCTACGTGACGAAATGCCATTTCTACAAAAAACACAAAAATTAGCTGGGTATGGTGCGCAGACCTGTAATCTCAGCTACTCGAGAGGCTGAGGCAATTGTTTGAACCCGGGAGGCAGAGGTTGCAGAGATGGCACCACTGTACTCCAGCCTGGGTGATGGAGCGAGACTCTGTCTGGCTCACCCCTGTAATCCCAGCAGAGGTGGGAGCATCACTTGAGCCCATGAGGCGGAGGTTGTAGTGAGCCAAGATTATGCCACTGCATTCCAGCCTGGGCGACAGAGTAAGACCCTCTCTCAGAAACAAACAAAAACACCAAAACCCTCAGAATACATTTAACAAGGTAAAAAGCCTATATGAAGAAAAAACTCAAATATATTAAAGGAAAAAATGCAAAAACATACCACGATCTTGGATTGGAAGATTGAGTGATTCTAAAGGCTATGGGAAAATATAAATTGCCAAGAATACCAGATATTACAATTTAAATTGGATATAATCAGCAGTGTAGCAACTACAAAGGGAAAAACAGCAAGTTTACAGTGGAGAAAACTGGCAGATAATACCCTAGTCAAGTTCTTTGAGTTTAGCTTTGCCTACAATGGGACACACATATCTTCTAATATGATGCACTAAGGACTTATGACTTTAAAAATGCACATCCTGAATCTAACCTTGAGGGAACATCAGACAAACCCAAACTGAGGGACATTCCTATAAAACAGGACTTCAAAAATGTCAAGGTCATAAAAAGACAAAGCCTGAAGAACTGAACAGTTCAATGAAATCCAAGATTCCAGATTGGATCTTGAAACAGGAAAAAAAAAAAAAAAATAGGACAATTGACAAAATTTGCATATGGTATATAGATAAATGTACCAGTGTTTAATTTCCTGATTATGATTAGTGTACTGAAACGATGTAAGATTGATATTCCCAGCCAGGCACAGTGGCTGATGCCTATAATCCCCAGCACTTTGGGAGGCCAAGATGGGCGGATTGCTTGAGCCCAGGAATTCGAGACCAGCTTGGGCAATATGGCAAAAACCCATCTCTACAAAATAATACAAAAATGAGCCAGGCACAGTGGTACACACCTGTAGTCCCAACTACTGGGGAGGCTGAGGTGGGAGGATCCCTTGAGCCCAGGAGGCAGAGGTTGCAGTGAGCAGAGATCACACAACTGTGCTCCAGGCTGGGTGACAGAGTGAGACCCTGTCTCAGAAAAAAAAAAAAAAGATAAATATTCCCATTCTTGGGAAATACGCACTGAAATATTTAGAGATAAAAGTGCTTACTGTCTCCAACTTATGGTTTCAAAAAAAAAACTATCTGTAGCAAGATAGAGAATGATAAAGCAAATGGGGCAAAATGTTAAGAGTCAATGAATCTGGGTAGAGGTTATGTGGGAGTGTTGGGTATTGTTCTTGCAGCCTTTTTAAAGTTTGAAATTATATCAAAATAATGTTACCGAAAGACAGTATAACCCAAGCAGATGGATCAGAGGATTAAAATGGAAAATCACAGAGATCTGAGAATATATGGAGAAATCAATAGGTAAGAAAAATAATTCAATAAATGCTGCTATAAAAATTAATAATCCATTGGGAAAGGAAGTCATATTCCTACAGACTTTGTATGATACATATGCAAAATACATTTCAGAGGATTTAAACACCTCATTGTTAAGAAAAATACTGAAAAGTTAAGACAGATAATCAGACTGGTAAAACTACAAAAATATACCATAAATCACTAAGAAAAAAGAATTACACAACATAATATAAGTAGATTATCAGTAGGAAGTCTTAGCACGACACATATACTCAGTATCTCATTGTTGCTTTAAAAAAATTGGAAATAACCTACTGGTGTATTTGAAGGGGAATGGTTGAATAAATATGGTACATCTATAATAATGAATACCACGCAGCCATTAAGAACAACGTAAAGTCTTTGGTTTGTTCACAGCCACATTTTGGTACCTGAAATAATGCCTAGCACATTTTTGAATGAATTAATGAAACAGGAGGCAGATTTTTAATCATTCAGCTGAGAAAGATCACCAAATAATATTGTTAAAAGAAAAAACAAAAAGCAAGATTTAGAACAATATGTATGGAATAATCCTATTAGAACACTGCACGTTTGTACCAAAATTTAAGGACACTGATATTTATAAAGCAGTTAGCAAACAGCCAGCAGCCATCAAGAAAAAAAAAAAAAGTAGTTGTTGATACAGCTAGTTCTGTAGCAAAGCCAGGGTCAGATGAACCCAGAGTTCCTGATTTAAAGCTCAGAGCTCATTCTATCATGCCACTTACTGCACCACCAACTTGACATTAGCGGAGGTGACAGCATCTCAGACCCTACCCAGAATAGACTTCATTACAGCTTCATCTATTATAGTAAAACAACAGTGTCAAATATGTCAACAAGGAGTAGTCGTCATAGAAAATGGAGAAGCAAAAGGGATCACTGTGCACTTACCTAGTCCTGGCTCAAGGGAACATGAGTAAGTAGCATTCGTATTTTATGCTGGTGGCTGGGGGGTAATATTCCAAACTGGAACTTAAATGAAACATGCTCTTCATCAAGATGAAGGAACCACAGATTCCTTATCACTTAATTTTTTTTTTTTTTTTTTGAGAAAGTCTTGCTCTGTCGCCCATGCTGAAGTGCAGTGACACGATCTCAGCTCACTGCAACCTCCGCCTCCTGGGTTTAAGCGATTCTTCTGGGTTTAAGCTAGGACTACAGGCGCACGCCACCACACCCAGCTAATTTTTGTATTTCTAGTAGAGACAGGGTTTCACCTTATTGGCCAGGCTGGTCTCAAACTCCTGACCTCATGCCTCCTAAAGTGCTGGGATTACACACCATGCCCGGCCAAATTTTTGTTTTAAGATGATATTGCAGGCCGGGTGCAATACCTCTCTCGCTGTTTCACAGTAACCACCCTGAGTTTAAAGTTAGATTTGTAAGGTCGGGCATGGTGGCTCACAACTGTAATCCCAGCAATTTGGGTGACTGAGGCAGGTGGATTCTGAGCTTGAGGCTCAGGAGTTGGAGACCAGCCTGGGCAACAGGGCGAAACCCTGTTCTCTACAAAATAATACAAAAATTAGCTCAGCATGGTGGCATGTGCCTGTGGTACCAGCTACTTGGGAGGCTGAGGTAGAAGGATCGCTTGAATCTGGGAGGCAGAGCTTGCAGTGAGCTGAGATCGCGCCACTGCACTCCTGCCTGGGTGAGAGAGCAAGAACCCATCTCAAAAAATAAAGATTATATTAGATTTGACTTATTTTTTATTGAGCGGGGTGGGACAAGAGATGCAATTAGTGGGTGAGTTGGGAGGTCCTAGAGGAGCCAGACCAAGAGCCTTCTGGACCCAAGCAATTCCAGCTTCATTTGCTTGCCCAGCTTGTCTTAGGCTGGGACACTCCTAGTTCTAGCTGTGATTCAGCAGGTAAATAGTTAAGAACAAGGGTTGATTGAGTCTGATGGCCTGTTCCCTCCTTTCTTTAATCATCTATAAAATGGAGTAAATACTAATTTTATGGTAGTGCTGTGAGGTTTTACACATGAAAAGTAGTTAGCACTTCGCCTGCTACACATAAATCCTCAGGGAGTGGCAATTATCAACCTCTTCACACTGGGTGGCGTGGGTTAACAGAGAGAACTAAGTGCCAAGCATCTGGTTTTATCCTAACTAGCTATAGAAACTTAGAAGAATATCCCCTCTCTAAGCCCCAGTTGACTGGAGAGTAACACCTTCCTCTATGGACACCTCATAGGTTTATTTTAAGAGGATCATATAAATGGGGACATGCAACAAGAAATTGACTAGTCCTCTCAGGTCACTCACTGCATCACTGGAGGATCTGAGGTCTAAGACTTTTACAGAGTAAACCCCCACCCCTGCAGGTACCTCAGTGTAATCAAGAGATTTAAACTGGTGGTCTCCAGGGGTGGCTCCCTGCCCTCCTCCCCCGCCCCTTTCTAAAACACATAGTTTGAATTCCTCTCTTATCAGATAGGTAATCAGCGTGCAGCCCCACAGAGCCAGCCTCCCAGGGCCTGCATCTGAAAAGCGCCTGAAATTCTTGTACCACCCCCATTCCACCCCCAACCACACACAAAGCAGGGCCCCGCCCCCTTCCCCATCCCCTCCAAAAAGAAAAGACCTTAGGGGGAGGGGCATGGCCTGAGCTCCCCCAGTAGAGCCCAGCCCCAGGAAACAAAGAGTTGACACTGGCTGGTTCTGGTGGTCAGATTCCTGGAGTTCCAAGGAGCAGATCCCTCTTGCATCTCCCTCTCCCTCCTCCCCACATTCAACTGTTTCTTCCTTCCTCTCTATGTTGGGGTTATGGTCACGGGAGAGAACTAGATATAGAAAATTCTTCCTTCCCCAGGCAGTCTTGCCAAAGTCACCATCAGCAGCCATCTCCCTTCTCTGGCTTGCGCACTGCCCACTTCATGGATAGAACCAAACAGGACCCCCTCCCCTTGGGTCTCTTCAGTCCAATCCTGAATTATTGATTCAGATAAATTATTTTAAAGGGGAGGGGGAGAGAAGGCATGACCCATATCATCCTTTCCCAATTTCTTCAAGTTAGGACTGTGGGGAGCCTACATGGGCCTACTGTGTTGGGGAATGTGGCATCAGACAACAGACAGCATTTCTTTTTCTTTTTTTTTTTTTTAAAAAGTCTGGCTCTGTTGCCCAGGCCGGAGTGCAGTGGCACAATCTCGGCTCACTGCAAGCTCCGCCTCCCGGGTTCACGCCATTCTCCTGCCTCAGCCTGCCGAGTAGCTGGGACTACAGGCTCCTGCCACCATTCCTGGCTAATTTTTTGTATTTTTAGTAGAGACGGGGTTTCACCGCGTTAGCCAGGATGGTCTCGATCTCCTGACCTCATGATCTACCCGCCTCGGCCTCCCAAAGTGCTGGGATTACAGGCGTGAGCCACCGCGCCCACCCCAAGCATTTCTTTTTCTTTTTTTGATAACAGGGAAGGAATCTCTCCAGTTAAAGTACTTAGGCCTTCTGATCCCTTCTTAATACCTCAGTAATTGCCTGCCTTACCCTATCCAACCCACACCAAGTACCTCATCCCAGCTTCAATTTATGCCTTTGCAAGCTTAGAGATAGAATGAGCCTTAGGGGTCACTTAGGAAATGTGGAGTTAAAAACAAAAGAAAACATTATAAAAGAAAAAAGTATGAAGAGAAAAAAAAAAAACAACACAAAGGAACCTAAGTGTCCTTTCTCCAGAAGTGGCAACAGAATTTCAGGGTACTTGCTACAGTTGTGCAGATTAAAGCTGGGGTTCTTGGCTCTTCCGCAAGAGGCTATTCCAGATCTTCTTCCAGGGCCATTCCAGCCGGAAGATTCTGTAGTGCAGGTCTCTACCTCAATTCTAGGTTCTTAGCTTGCACAAGCATTTGTTGAATGTCTAAGTACTATGCAAAATAACTGTTACTAATTGATTCTTACTGTAGGCTAAGTGGCATTCTAACCACTTTACGTGTTGTAACTCATTTAACCCTCATATCAAACTGGTGCAGTGGGGTGATATGAAGACCCTCATTTTACAGCTTGAGGACATGGAGGCAGAGGGGTTAATAAGCACCTTGGTTAAAGTCGCAATAAGAGGCAAGAGCTGAGCTGAGTGCAGCTGGCCTAACTCTCCCCAGTGCAATTCATTATGATGCAAGTCACATATATAATTGAAAACTTTCTAGTAGCTACGTTTAAAAAAGCAGCTGATGAAAGTAATTTTAATGATTCAGTCCTGTGGTGTCACATCCCTAACTTAGCTTCATTCCTGGAGGTAAGATTTGGTAAGGGAGAACCAACCGGTTCTCCCAGAAGCAGTTATTCGATGGTGTGTGTGTCAAGGAGGGTGTGTGTCAAGGAGGTTGGTGAAAGGGGTGTCTGGAACAGAAGGCTGCAGGCAGCCAATCCCTCTGATCCCCTCTGCTCAGCCACAGCCAGGCCCTGTAGCTCCTGCCTGGAGTTCTCCACCAGATGGCGCTGCTCAGCCTGTCTGCCCAAAGGTAAGCCCGAGGGCGCCTATACCAGGAGGTACTGAGTGGCCCGCTACCTGGTCTGAGCTGTGAACTCAAGTGTTCGGGTAGATTTATCTCCACAGCTCCTTAGGGCAGTCATCTTGTCCTCCCCGTCCCACCCTGCCCCCACCCAACCACCGGCTTGATCAGGGATAAGAATGAAAGGTTCCTAGACTTTTAGGCCAGAAACTCAGTTCTTATATTCTACTGCTTAGAAAAGCCAAGTCCTGTCTAAATTAAATAACACCACGCTGGGCCAGTCATGGTGGCTCATGCCTGTAAATCCAGCACTTTGGGAGGCCGAGGCAGGCGGATCACCACGAGGTCAGGAGTTCGAGACCAGCCTGGCTAACATGGTGAAACCCCATCTCTACTAAAAATACAAAACATTAGCCGGGCATGGTGGCAGGTGCCTCTAATCCCAGCTACTCGGGTGGCTGAGGCAGGAAAATCGCTCAAACCTGGGAGGTGGAGGTTGCAGTGAGCTAAGACGGCGCCACTGCACTCCAGCCTGGGCAACAGAGAGAGATTCCGTCTCAAAAAAAATAAAAAACCTCGATGGTGAGATCATGTTAAATAAGTCTGTATCAACTGTGTATTCTCCCCCAACTCCTTTGACCTCCCACTCTGACTATGTGGCCAGTGGTTGCTATTCATGCCTGCAGGAAGACAGGAGGCATAGTTTTACCTAGGGCAGTTACTCCAAAAAACAAGAATTCCAGTAGAGTGTGATTAGCAATGTTCAAAAAACTAAATGGCCCTGGTGAATGTTACTGAAAACCACTTGTAAGGCAGGCAGCAGTGTCAACAACCAGAGGGTAGAAACATCCCATATTTGAAGCTTTGTTCAGGATGGTGTCACAGCCTTTACTTTACACTGTCGCCGGGCATCATGGCTCATGCCTGTAATCCCAGCACTTTGGGAGTCCCAGGCAGGTGGATCACTTGAGGTCAGGAGTTTGAGACCAGCCTGGACAACATGACGAAAACCCTTCTCTACTAAAAATACTAAAATTAGCTGGGTGTGGTGGTGTACATCTGTAATCCCAGCTACTTGGGAGGCTGAGGCAGGAGAATTGCTTGAACCCAAAAGTCAGAAGTTGCAGTGAGCCGAGTTCGTGCCACTGCACTCCAGCCTGGGCGACAGAGCAAGACTCTATCTCAAAAAATAAAAATAAAAATAAAAAAAAGACATTGTCTAGAAGCATGTCTCAGAAAGAAGAGGACCCCAGAAGATTCCACAATGTCTTCATGAACCTTCCTACCTCTCTACCAACTTTCTGAAAAATCGAGTCAATTTATTTTTAAGCTGCCTTTTCTTATTAAGACAGAAATAACTCATGGATGACCACTAAATCCGTGGCTTCCACTCTGTCAACAAAAACGAGAGGAACCTCTCTGGGCTCCGAGTGGTGATCTACCCATATTCACTCCACAAACTTTCATAGTGCTATGTTGTGCCCAGGCCATATTCTATGTTGTGCCCAGCCCAGAAAGCGAGCAGCTACAATTGACACCCCTCAGTATCTCTAGTCTTTTTCTCTGAACAAAGATCTCTGCCAACATGGACCCCAGACTGCTAAGTGTACTTCTGATTCACCAAGGTCCTCAAGATGCCCCTTTTCTTATTCATTCCTCAGCCCACCAAATGCATACTAGAAAATTAACCAGGCAGCTAAGTTCCTCCCTTCAAAGAGCTTATGGGTTACATAGAGAAGGGTATAAGACCAGTACCTCAATAACTAGACATGAGGTGAGTAATCAGAGGTGCAGTGTTACAAACCAGGAGGAAAGATTCCGTATATTTCCCCACCCGCCCCCGCAACCCTAACACCAAACCCAGCAGTCCTAACCTAGACCCTGAATAAAGTTGCTCTTACCACCTCCTCACTCATGGCTTTTAGAAAAAGAAGGCCACCTGGCTACAGGGCAATTTCAGCAGTTGTCTAGGTATTGAAAACCTTTTCTCCTAACCCAACTTGGTCCCTTGGTCAAATCTGGGCTTTTGACTCCAAGTCTTCTAATATAGCATTTTAGCCAGAAAGCCAATTTAAACATATTTGAGATTGAAACATATCTGGGTCCTGAGGAGCTATGGGAAAGCAGGGAACTTTTCTTATTTCCAAATTTCTATAAATCTTGAGAGTTTGCAAATTGAGCCACAGGAAACATGAGTTAAGCCAAAACTCTTAAAATGGCCCAAAATGAGGATTTTTGAATTCTTGATGAATCTCAGGAAAATAGTTGACAGTTTAGCTTTCTTGTTCCAGCTTTCCTATATAACTGTGTTTCTCAAGCAGGGATGAGATTTTTGACTCCAAGGGGACATTTGACAATGTATGGAGATGTTTTTGGTTGTCATACCTAAGATGCAACTGGCTTCTAGTGGGTAGAGACCAGGAATACTGCTGTACATCCTATAATACATAGGACAGACTCCCCAGAACAAATTATCCTGCTCAAAACATGTCAATAGTGCTGAAGTCGAGAAACTCTAATTTAAGGGCTTGCTATCTATTTCCCTAACTCTAGAGACAGGCAGATTTCTAGATCTAAAGATGTGTACCTAAGGAAAAGAGTTGTTATAGAAATCTCTTTGCTTTTTGTTTTGTTGTCGTTTTGCTTAGTTTTTGGCTGGGGGTGGGCTTTTCCCCCCACTCATCTACTCTTGAAGAGGATATTACAGCATTTGGGAGAGAGCATAAGAACATTAGTTAACAGGGCATTGGGATCCTAATAACCCCAACTTTGGAAAGGAAAAGAAAATGTTTTTAAATTGCCTTTCCCCCTTCCTCTTTATTTGCAAAGGGGCTCCCTGACCCCCTCCCTCTGGTAGATGCTATCTTAGGACAATTACCTTCTCACCAGCCCACCCCAACCCCAGGGTGCCCAACCCCAGCAGCCAAAGAATGGGAAGTTTTGTTAAAGATTTCTTACCCTCTGCTTCGGGAACACTTTCCTCCTCCCCCAGTAAACAATTTATCCTGTGTTTACTAAATTCCTTTACCATAAGATTTCCAGAGAGTCATTTCTAATTTCACAAATGCAGAAGAGTGGTGGCTCATGCCTGTAATCCCAGCACTTTGGGAGGCCAAGGCGGGCGGATCATCTGAGGTCAGGAGTTCAAGACCAGCCTGACCAACGTGCAGAAACCCCGTCTTTACTAAAAATACAAAAAATTAGCCGAGCGTGGTGGCACATGCCTGTAATCCCAGCTACTCAGGAAGCTGAGGCAGGAGAATCGCTTGAACCTGGGAGGCGGAGGTTGCGGTGAGTGGAGATCATGCCATTGCACTCCAGCCTGGCCAACAAGAGCCAAACACCATCTCAAAAAAAAAAAAAAAAAAAGCAACAAACAAACAAACAAACAAACAAAAAAACAAGTGCAAAGACTGGAATCACTAATCTAACTTACGGTTAAGGTGGGGTTGGAGGACCCCTGACCCAAGCCTTTCTGGCATGCTACCATTATCAGAGCTACCAGGTAAAGGCTCAGGGAATTTCCACCCATCATTGTGCTTTGTGAGTAGAATGGGAAGAGCTGGGGATTAGAGAGACAAATTCTTAATTCTCTTCCAGCTCAGCTCCCTATTGACAACTTACTCAACTATGGGTTCCTGGATGTTCCAAGAGCCTAAAATCCAGAGTATTTCCAAGCCAGCACATCTGACCCAGCATGGTGTAGACTCAATGCCTGCTCTATGCCATCCAATAGTTTCCCAATTGCTCTAGATCCTAAGGTGAAGCCTGCTGAGGCCCAAGTCCCCATTTGCTCAAACAAACAAACAAACAAAACAAGAAAACACCTTCCTTGGGGTATGTATATCACCAAGGAACCCAGAAGATGAGGGGATACATTCCCCTCAGCCCCTCCCTATCTGGCAGCCTTTGGATGGGAGATGAGAAAACGTTGGGTCTGACTCTTTTATTCCAGCCTCCCAAAGTTGGGGGAGCTGTCCAGTCCCCAGACCAGGAAAGATTTTAATCTCTTTGTGATCAGATAAATGGGAGAGTGGGGGAGGCTTGCTACCCTGCTGAGGAGGGCCATTCAAAGCTGGTTCCTGTAATAAAGTGATTTAATAGATCTAAAAAGGCCAATTCCCTTCTTTCTCCCACAATTACTTCCTGTGGGTTATCATTCACATATGTAAATGAGACAGAGAAGGGAGAAAAGCCACTAGTGGGAAACTAGCTGTCTAATGGGGGGTTGGGGGAATAAGGGTGCTGCAAAGGGGCAGCTCAGTATCCTGCTGCAGGTCCTCTTGGCAGATGTTCAAGTAGCCCACTGACCCCATGGCCCCAACAGTAAGTGGTGGCTCCCCATCTCCCTGCGTCTATTTCCCTTGTTTGTTCCTCACTGAAGGCTGTGCTCAAAGACGTCCCTGCTGCCTCCAACTAGTCCATCCAGCATCTCCCTTCTCTACCCCTCCCCCAAAGAATGCCATCCCTTCAGGCTCCAACCCTTAATCCCCACATCCTCCTTTCCCCTCCCCCACACCTCCTAAAGCCAACCTCCCTTAAGTAACCCCTCCCTGCCCGGCCTGGGTGTCAACCTACACGATCTGGGATTAGCAATTTCTTCTTTCCAGATCCAGTCCCAAACCTCCAAAGATGGAAGGGCCATAGGCAGCAAGCAACTTCCTTTCCATGGTCTTTATGGGTAGCTGGTGGCCCAGGACCACCGGAATGCCTCTAGGATATTCAGGAAGGGGAAGCCTGGGAGGAGGGAGACCTGAAGTCTCTGGCTCCTTGTTTGAGGCCAGGAATGTTAAGACAGCAATCAATGGCTGTCTGGGGCCATAAATGCCAAGCGGAGAATAGGACCAGAGGCCAGCCTCCCTTCACCCCCTGCCCTGCGACACTGAATTTCACCCCCTACTGTGCTGCCCTGCTTTAACTGAGAACTTGGGGTTGCGACCTACCGACTTCCCTCCCAGCCTGGCCCAGGAATGTAAGGAAGGCCTGGGCTCTTTGGGTTTTCCTTCCTCACGGGAACTGGACAGCAAAGACCCCAGTCCTGAGCTTTCAAGCCCCCACAGGGATCCTTCAGGGATCTGCCAAACCCAGTTTTTAGTGACCAGCCAGGTGAGGTCTGCATTAAAAAGGGGATGAGGCTGACTTCTCGGCTTTACGCCCCTTGGGTCCAGTAGCCAGTTGCCCTCACTCTCTCCCGCCTTCTGAGCTCCATTCAGACGTTGGAGGAGCTGGGCTCCCGGCTTAGGCCCGGCATGTGCTTCCCTGGCCGGCCTGCTCGCCCTCCCCCCACCGGCAAGCACAATACAACCTTAGTTTCTGCCACATGGGGTCACCTCCCTGCCCCCTGCCCCTTCCCAGGGGAAAGAGGTAATAGACACGTGGTAAGCCGGAGGGGTTCCCGGAAGGGGGCGGGGGTGCTGATAATTGGTGCTGCCTCCCACTACTCCCCCACGAGATAGTTAACAGGGACTCAGAATTGGGGTGCCGAAGCAAAGACAGGGATGCATAATGAGGGCTCCCGATGGCCCTCAATTCAACTGCGAGCCCGGAGCCCACCCGTGGATATGGGCGCCTAGACGCCCTTCCCTGGGCAAAGTTACCGGAATCAGTCTCACCTGGTGCACAAAGACATCCACTGGGGGGTCGAGCGCGACCCCGGCGCGGGCGGTCATGGACAGGAAGCCGAACCCCATGCGCACGTTGAACCACTTACAGATGCCCGCACCGTGCAGCAGCTGAGGCTCGTCCGCCGCCCGGGCCGCGTCCTCCGGCGCCTCCTCGGGCGCCTCTTCTGCCGCCTTGGCGCAGCCACCTGGAGAGAGGGAGGGCCGGGCACTTAGCTGGGGGGCACGGAATCGGAGGGCCGTCTCGGGCCCCAGGCAGGGAGACCCGAGTATCCAGCCCCACAAGTGGACAGCCAGGAGGGGGCAGCTACCAAGCAACAGAAGAGAAGAAACCTATCCCGGTCGCCTCCCGCGTTCCCCTAGCGTACACCGGGACAGTAGTGCCCCGAAAGTTTTGCTCCTCTTCCCACAACGCGTTTCCCAGAGACTCACGGCGGGACAAGCCTCTCCTCTCCATCCACCCACGTAGTCTGGCGCGCACGCCACTGGGACACCAAGGTTCCTGGCCCCAGAGACGGCCCTATGAAGCAGAAGGCCGCACCGTCTTGGGGTCCTTTGGGCAGCCTAGGACTCAGTTCCCCACCTCCCTTCTACGTGGCTCCTGGCCGCCCCTGAATCCTAAAGTGTCCCCGCTAAGTCCCGAGCTCGAACCTGCAAACTGCTGGTTGGACACGGAGCCCATGGTCGTCGGCTGAGCCCGTGGCCCCGGGCCCCTGGTCGGGCGGCTGCTGGCCCCGGAGAAGTCCGAAGGCAAAGGGTTGGTTCGGAGAAGAAGCTGCTACATCTTCCCCCGCACAATAGCGGTGGGAGGGCCCACGGCTTTTCAAAGGCTCCCAAATTCTAAAAGACAATGACCCAACCCCCCGCGGGCAGCCCCCTCCCCTCCCCTCCCTCTCCTTTCCCCTCCCTTTCCCTCCGGCTCCAGCTCCGGCCCTCCCCCACAACTCCGGTCTCTGACACCTCTGGGGTGTCCCTTCTCAGAACCTTGAGGTTTGACACCCCCTCCCCACACGCACAACTGGAGATGGGTCTGTCTGCCCTAGAAGACTTGAGTACCCCGGAATTTGAGATCCTGCACTTTGGACTCAGTAGGGGTCCCCAAAGCAGATACAGGTGGGGGACCTGGTGGGGGGGGTAGTTTTAAAACCACGTGACTGCACACACACACACACACACACACACACACACACACACACCACCCCCACCCCCCGGGCAGATAATTATACATTCCAGAGAGTTGGGGGAGGGAGGTGTGAGCCTGGCGGCGCTGGCCAATCAGAAACACAAACCACCTGTCAAGGGAGAAATGAATGGGCCCTCCCCCTCCCCCAGCCCTTGAGCTCCCCTCCCCCTCTCTTCCCCCTCAGGCCTCTGAGCTGACCCGGCTGCTTGGAGCTGACCCGCTCTCACCCCCCACCCCCGTGTGCTTAGATAGACCTGGAGTTCTGGACACTGGGAAGCCCGGGATGGGGGAGCAGGGGAGAGGCTGGGGACACACAGGGCTGATCTGTCCTGACCAAAGCGCTGCCTTCCAAAGTCTGTCTGCCTCTGACTACATCTGAATGTCTGCCTCCCAGAGTTTCTGACTCAGAGTTTTTCTGGGCCTCCCCCAGTTAGAAAAGAGAAAGTGCTCTTAATTGATTCGTTGTAAAGAATTCTTCCTTCTTTCCTCCCTCCAAACCTGTGTGTCTAAAGTTAGCCCCAGGTAAGCTCCCTGGAGAGCAGGAGGAACCCAAAGAGTCTTGAAGCTGTTTCTCCACCAGCTGCCTTCTCGTCCTACCCCCACCCCATCCCCATCCACTGCTGAGAGAGGGACTGGGTGGGCTGGTGGGTAGAGGTACTTCCTCTCTACTCTTCACACTCTTAGATTCCTAGGCCCTCCTTGTTTCAGAGTAACCACCCTAAAATGCGCTCCCATTCCGTAGTGGGGCTGGTGGAGGAACAGGACTGGGGGGCCTCCTCATTTGAAGAGGTAACCTCCCCTTCTAGGAGATAAAGACGGCTGGCTAGTGGGGGTGGCTACTGCCCTGGTCGGAGATGGACAATGGCCCGGGGCTCAGTGCACGGCCCTGGCCCTGCCCCTTCACTTCCGGTGTTCAGTTCAAACTGGACAATGCCAGCTCCGGCCAGTTCCCCTCCCCCACCACTACAACCCATTTAAAGGGACAGAGCCTGCTTTCGGGGGCATCCGCTTGCTCTGAATTCAATCTTCTCCACCGAGTGTGCAGAACCTTTTGGAATTCTCACGCTGTGGCTCTGTGTGTGTGTTTGTGTGTGTGTGTGTGTGCACGTGCGGATGTGGGCACATGTGTATTTCAGAGAGACCGGATGAGTGGGGGTAGGGAAGGGGAAGATGGGGAGGAAAGCAAGAGACTGCAGAAGTTATTTCCCTTTCTCTCGTACGGGGTGCTCTCCAAGAAATGAAAACTTGAGCGTAAGGAATGGGAGGTGGGACTTCGTGGGGTAAAAAGGACAAGAGTGGCCCTTTGCTGCTCCGCCTAAAAAATACATATCGTTAACAAATATTATTAGCAGTGCCCCACTCCCATCTGAGGACTCTAATTTAGAATTATCAAGAGTTCTCCTAGTACATCAGCCAAAGCCATTTTTATTTACATAATTCTCCTCTCCCAAAAGTCTTATCTCCCGCTGTTAGTGGCGCCCTTAAAATATATTCGCTCCGTGTACCTCTGTTCCTAAGACTCAGGAGCAAGTGGCTGAGGTCTGGCTGAAGAAAAGGGAGGGAAAGGGGAGTTGAACGCTCTGGCTTCTCTAGGTGGGTTCTCAAGTGATGCGAATTCGGTTCCCCGGGAATGCGCGGCCTGCTTCTCTGTCCAGGGTCCTGAGGGCTCCAGCAGCTCTGTCCACGGTGCTGAATTGAGTCACGCTGTCTTGATTCCCAGCTCACAGTTTTGAGAATAACTTCTTGAGTTCCCACCTCCAAGTCTTTCCCAGAAAACCTGATTTTCCTCAATGCCGGTTCCCGCTGTGGTAACACTGACACATTTCAGATGAATGAAGACACTTTTTTTGGGGGACGGAGTCTTGCTGTGTTACCCAGGCTGGAGTGCAGTGGCACGATATCTGCTCACTGCAACGTCTGCCTCCTGGGTTCAAGCAATTCTCGTGCCTCAGCCTCCCGAGTAGCTGGGATTACAGGCACATGCTACCACGCCCGTCCAATTTTTGTATTTTTATAGAGACGGGGTTTACCATGTTGGCCAGGCTGGTCTTGAACTCCTGACCTCAAGTGATCCGCCCGCCTGGGCCTCCCAAAGTGCTGGGATTATAGGTGTGAGTCACCGCACCCGGCCTAAGATACTTTTTTTGAATGCTAAAGAAATGGCACTTTCGACCGGGCGTGGTGGCTCACGCCTGTAATCCCAGCATTTTGGGGGGTCAAGGTGGGAGGATTGCTTGAGGACAGGAGTTTGAGACCAGCCTGGGCAACATGACGAAACCCCATCTCTAAAAAAAATACAAAAATTAACCGGATGTGGTGGCGCATGCCAGCTACTTGAGAGGCTGAGGTGGGAGGATCACTTGAGCCCAGGAGGCCGAGGTTGCAGTGAGGAGATAGTGCCATTGCACTCCAGCGTGGGTGACAGACTCACCCAGGCCTTGTCTCAAAGAGAGAGAGAGAGAGATTCCCAGTAGTATATGATTTTGTGAGAGAGATGCAGGTATCTCAAACTCCTCTTCAGAAAAATGGGAAACCTACTTCCCATAATATGGCTGTAAAGGGTTAGGAAAGAAGAGATAATATTTTTTGAGTCAAAGAAGACCAAAGTAGAAGAAAAACTAATCTCTGTTTTTAATTTTCTTTTCTTTTTCTTTTCTTTTCTTTTTTTTTTTTTTTTTTTTTTTTTGAGATAGATTCTCACTCTACTGCCCAGGCTGGAGTGCAGTGGTGCGATCTTGGCTCGCTGCAACCTCTGCCTCCTGGGTTCAAGTGATTCTCCTGTCTCAGCCTCCTGAGTAGCTGGGATTACAGGTGCCCACCACCATGCCTGGCTAATTTTTGTATTTTTAGTAGAGACAGGGTTTTACCATGTTAGCCAGGCTGATATCGAACTCCTGACCTCAGGTGATCCGCCCACCTCGGCCTCCCAAAGTGTTGGGATTACAGGCGTGAGTCACCACTCCCGGCCTTATTTTCTTAATTATTACCACTTTTTAAAGGAGTACAAGGCATTAGAGTCAGATTACCCATGTTCGAATGTCAGCTCTACTATTTACAGCTCTTCCTTAACCTCTATATTCCTCTGTTTCTTCCTCTGTCCTATAGGAATAATGAGAATACTGAGGCCTCAGAGATATTGTGAGGATGAAGTTAGATCATGTAGGCAAAGCTTTTGAAACAGTTCCTGTCATGTAGTTAGTTCTTCTTCTTCTTCTTCTTCTTTTTTTTTTTTTTTTTTTTGAGACGGAGTCTTACTCTGTCACCCGGGCTAGTGTGCAATGGCATGATCTCAGCTCACTGCAACCTCTGCCTCCCAGGTTCAAGCCATTCTCCTGCCTCAGCCTCCCAAGTATCTGGGATTACAGGTGCCTGCCACCATGCCCGGCTAATTTTTGTATTTTTAGTAGAGACAAGGTTTCACCATATTGGCCAGGCTGGTCTCGAACTTCTGACCTCGTGATCCACCCACCTCGGCCTCCCAAAGTGCTGGGATTACAGGTGTGAGCCACCGTGCCCAGCTGACATGTAAAAAGTAGTACACACTAAGTAGCATGAGGATATACAAAAGTAAAAAAGGAAAGAAAAAATATTCCCTGCCTTCCAAGAAGTTATAGTCTACTTAGGAAGACAAGACTGAAATAGCTAAGCATTGTAGGTTTCTTGTGTACTGGTTTCTGAGAGTAATAATATCTAGGTAAAAGGAGGGTAAATGTACTCTTTAGAGAAGACAAGGGTGTCCGGTATCAACACAAAGAACATCCCTTTCCTTAAGGCATTTTGCTAAGTTCCTTTTGCGCAGGTTTATAGCTTCATAAAAGAGCTGCAAGAGGTCTTAATAATAATAACAATCCATCCAATAATTGACAAATATTTGCTGAGCACTTCTTCCGTGGCAGACATTGTTCTAATTGTTGAGAATACATCAAAGTGCAATACAAACAAAAATTCCTGCCTCTGTGGAATGAGCATTCTGCTAGATAATAATAACGACAGCCAGCATTTATCAGGAATACAGGCACCTTTTTAAAATCTCATTCAAGACTCTCAATAATGCTGAAGAATAAGTATTAAATTTTTACTTTACAGGAGAGGAAACTAAAGCTTAATCGAATCAGTATATTAATAGCTTGCCTAATGTTGCTCAACTAATACATGGCAGAGGCAGATTTGAACTCACACATCTTTGACTGCAAAGCCCATATTATTCCCACAGTTCTAGTATGTTGTTATCATGACTAGTGCCATCACCATTTTACCAATAGTGAAAAAATATACAGGCAGACAAAAAGACTGGAAGGAGACTATATATTCCACCTAGTTGATAAATATAGGACCCAAGTTTGTGATTTCTTTTCCATGGGCCACAGCTCTAGCCTGTCCTTTTTTTTTTTTTTTTTTTTTTTTTTTTTTTTTAAGACAGAGTCTCACTCTAGTTGCCCAGGTCGGAGTGCAATGGCATGATCTCGGCTCACTGCAACCTCTGCCTCCTGGGTTCAAGCAATTCTCCTTCCTCAGACTACCAAGTAGCTGGGATTACAGGTGCCTACCACCATCCCTGGCTAATTTTTTTTTTTTTTTTTTTTAAGTAGAGACAGCATTTCACCATGTTTGCCAGCTGGTTTTGAATGCTTCACCTCAGATGACCCGCCCGCCCCGGCCTCCCAAAGTGCTTGGATTACAGGCATGAGCCACCACACCTGGCCTAGCCTGTCATTTCTACTGATCATTCTTCCTATAGCTCCTTGGCTTTCTAAGTCAAAGAGCTGGCCAGAGCCAAAGCAAGTCCTCTTCTGGGTAATCATCCACACTCAGCTCCCATTTCTGAAGTACTCTGAGAATTCTGTGGTACAGTCGAGAGTGGTGTTCGGAGTGTAATATCCTGACCATCTTCTAACATGAATGATGGTATGCATTTGAGAGAAATATTTCCCATAGTGTGTCCCTCCAGATAGTAATTCCATGGGATGAATAATACGTATTATCAGTTTCAAAACATTTATAGAGTGACATCATTTGGAAAGGTATGTTAACTATGTTTCCTATGCAGAGGTTTTCTTTCTTTCTTTTTTTTTTTTTTGAGATGGAGTCTCACTTTGTCGCCCAGGCTGGAGTGCAGTGGCGCTATCTCGGCTCACTGCCACCTCCACCTCCCGGGTTCACGCCATTCTCCTGCCTCAGCCTCACGAGTAGCTGGGACTATAGGCGCCCACCACCACGCCGGGCTAATTTTTTTATTTTTAGTAGAGATGGGGTTTCATCGTGTTAGCCAGGATGGTCTCAATCTCCTGACCTCGTGATCCACCCGCCTCAGCCTCCCAAAGTGCTGGGATTACAGGTATGAGCCACCGCGCCCGGCTGGGACAGAGCTTTTCAAAGCATGGCAGTATACTCTGTAATTCACCATGAAGGCAATACAGCATCTATTTCTATTTATTCATCTATTCATTCACTCACATACCTAACAAGTATTTATTAAACAAATATTGTGTATCAGGCAGCACCATCTGAAGCACAGTAAATACATTAGTGAACAATACAGATGAAATTTCTGACTCATAGTACTAACATTCTAGAAGAGAGAGACAGACAATAAACAAATAGTTAAGTAAAATGTGTCTATGCATCTAGTTCAGCCTGATTTTTGTTTGTGTTCCAGCCTAATTATTTCTGTTTGTTTTTGAGATAGAGTCTGGCTCTGTTGCCCAGGTTGGAGTGTAGTGTCACGATCATGCTCACTGCAACCTTGATCTCCCAGTCTCAAGCAATCCTCCTGCCTCAGCCTCTTGAGTAGCTGGGGCTGCAGGTGTGCACCACCATGCCTAGCTAAATTTTAAAAAAATTTTAAAACTTTGTAGAAAGAAGGTCTATGTTGCCCAAGCTGATCTTGAACTCCTCGGCTCAAGCAATCCTTCTGTCTTGGCCTCCCAAAGTGCTGAGATAACAGGTGTGAGCCACCACACCCGGCCCCAGCCTCCTAATTTGCTCTGTGATCTCAAGAAAAGCGCCCAGTTGTACCTTTGAGGGTAAAATGAGAGTTAGATTTGTTGTTAGACAAATGTTTCTTCCAGTTCTGACATTGACATTTTTAGATGATATGATCTGTATAAGTGTGTGTGAGAGAGACAGAGTGTGTGTGTGTGTGTGCGTGTCTGTGAGAGAGAGAGAGAGAGAGAGAGATCTCCCATTCCCCCATTCCTATTACACAGAGAAACAATCTGTTTTTGCCCCATGCTGTCATCCTCATCCCACTCAGGGACTAGGGCTTCCTGCATCGAGCAGGATCGTGTGCCTCTTCCTTCTCAGGCCTATTGAGTTGGCAGTGGCAGGAGAACAAGCCAAGGGGGTCCCACCCTTCTTTCAGTGTGCTCCCCGTGCTGGCCCTGCTTCACAGAGCAGGATGCCAGGCACTTGCTTTCACCAATAATGGCTTCATTAGATTGAAAGGAGACGAGAGTGACCTCAGTGAAATAGACTTCCTGACCCCAGCTGACCTCCGACCCTCACCCTGACAGCCTCTAAATCTTTTTCTTTTGACACATCCCCCACAAGGCATAGGCAGGAAGAGAAAATGATGATCCTGCTATAGCTCACTGTCCAGGAACTGTAACTCTCCAGGCGTCCTCTTGCAGTGGAACTCATGACACCCAACTGTGATTTCCTCATGGCTGCTGATCCTTCCAGCAATCCCCAAGTCTGGTTTGTGGGTCACAACCCACACAACTGTCATTCACCTGGTGCCCGTTTGTTTGTATCCAATGATTGTCATATGCCATGGAGGCAGGAGGCAGGTGTATCCAAAAGCTTTCATTTCTCAATGCTACTTTAGTCTGAACCTTGAACCTATTCTTCCCTGATTCTGCAGTTACTGTTTATTGTGTGATGAATTTACACCAGGCATACATCAAATGCTTTGTGTGTATTGTCCCTTTCAGTCCTCAAACATCCTAATATGGTCCCCACTTTACTGGAGAGGAAACCGAGACTTACTGAAGTTAAGTGACTTGTCTCAACTTACGGAACATAAGGGGTGGATCCCAGGTGGAACTCACTCCAATATTCTTCTTCACTTTTTAAGAAATACTGTAGTTCCTCATAAATATGTACACCTACTATGTACCCACAAAAATTAAAAATTAAAAAACACTGTAAAGTAATGAATGCATATGGTTCAATTAATATTGAAAGAATTATAATGAAGTCCTTTGGCCACTCCACCTCCTCCACTCCCATGAAGCAACCACTCTTTCAGCCATTTCTTCTGGAGAACATTTCTATACCTCTAAATAATATGCATGCATGTCTGTTCCTTCATTTATTGATTTTAGATATTATCTATTGATTTCCTGTTATGGTAGATGAGGACTTACCTCTCTTACAGGGCCCATCTCTCCTGTCCCCTTCCTCCCAATGTAGTTAAATAACCACTTTCAACTAAATTGATAACCAATGTTTATGCTGTCACGATTATGGAAATGTTCATTGCATTGCCAAGTAGTATACTAGGTGAAAATTTTCTTTTTTTATTTCTTTTGTTTTTAGAGATGAGGTCTGGCTATGTTTTCCATGCTGGACTCCAACCCCTGAGCTCAAGCAATCCTCCCACCTTGGCCTCCCAAGTAGCTGGGACTACAGGAAAATTTCCTTTCTTCTACCACTTTTTATTTTCCCTGGACTCTCTAACTGCCTTTCTCCGTTTACTGTCTTGTTTGTCATTAAAACATCCTCAGTTGTTTTCTTTCTTTTTTTTTTTCGAGATAGAGTTTTTGCTCTTGTCACACAGGCTGGAGTGCAATGGCGCAATCTCAGCTCACTGCAACATCTGCCTCCCGGGTTCAAGCAATTTTACTGCCTCAGCCTCCCAAGTAGCTGGGAATACAGGCACCCGCCACCATGCCTGGCTAATCTTTGTATTTTTGGTAAAGACAGGGTTTCACCATGTTGGCCAGGCTGATCTTGAACTCCTGACCTCAGGTGATCCACCTGCCTCAGCCTCCCAAATGCTGAGATTACAGGTATGAGCCACCATGCCTGGCCTCCCTTAGTTGTTTTCAAAGCCTCCATCATATTATCTTTTACATTAAGTCCTTTTTCCCAGAGCCCCCTCCATTCTGGCCTGCTTCCAGCGGTCACCTTAGGGGTTCCTTCTCACTGCTTTCCGTCTCCAGGTTGGGGACGGTGTTTTCTGGATCTCATGTCAACATACTTCTTTTTTTCACACTTGAGAAGCACATCTTCAAGTAACTGCCCAGGAAAGGGTGAATGGGAGTGCAATTTCCTGGATCCCACATGTCTGAGCATGTTGTTATTTTGCTCCTACTTTTGGCTGGTTTCAGATCCATGCTCTTTATCACTCTGCTCTGCAGGCCCCTCCTAGAATGAAGACAGACTCTCACATTGCTTTGAGGACATTAAAGTTGGAGCTGTGAACCCAGAGTTAGTAGAATAAAAATAATAAAAAATAATGGTAGCTTACTCTTTTCAAAGGCTCACCATGTGCACCAGGTACTGTGCTAAGTGCTTTATATATAAATTATCTGTTCGAATCCTGACAACTCTTATGAGACAGGCATGGTTATTATTCTCATTTTACAGGCACAGAGGGGTTAAGTAGCTTACTCAAACTCACAGAGTAAGTGACAGTCAGGATTCAAAGTCTGGTAGGTTGACTCTAGAATGAGCATTCAGAGTCAATAATCTACACTTCCATTAAAAGAGGTTTAGGTGGTCAGGCGCGGCGGCTCACGCCTGTAATCCCAGCACTTTGGGAGGCCAAGGCGGGTGGATCACCTGAGGTCACGAGTTTGAGACCAGCCTGTCCAACATGATGAAACCCTGTCTCTACTACAAATACAAAAATTAGCTGGGCGTAGTGGTACACACCTGTAGTCCCAGCTACTCAGGAAGCTGAGGCAGGAGAATCGCTTTAACTTGGGAGGCAGAGGTTGCAGTGAGCAGAGATTGCACCCCTGCACCCCAGCCTGGGCAACAGAGTGAGACCTTGTCTCAAAAAAAAAAAAAAAAAAGAGGCTTAGGTAGGCTGAGTGGGTGATTCATGCCTGTAATCACAGCACTTTGGGGGTCAAGGTGGGAGTGGGAGGATCCCTTGAGGCCAGGAGTTTGAGGTTACAGTGAGGTGTGATGCATTCTAGCCTAGGCAACAGAGTGAGACCTTGTCTGTTTAAAAAAAAAGAGAGAGAGAAAGAAAAAGAGGTGGCCGGGTGCGGTGGCTCACGCCTGTAATCCCAGCACTTTGGGAGGCCAAGGCAGGCGGATCACGAGGTCAGGAGATCAAGACCATCCTGGCTAACACGGTGAAACCCTGTCTGTACTAAAAATACAAAAAATCAGCTGGGTGTGGTGGCAGGCGCCTGCAGTCCCAGCTACTCGGGAGGCTGAGGCAGGAGAATGGGGTGAACCTGGGAGGTAGAGCTTGCAGTGAGCCGGGATTGCGCCACTGCACTCCAGCCTGTCCAGCCTGGGCGACAGAGCGAGATTCTGTCTCAAAAAAAAAAAAAAAAAAGAAACGAAAAAGAGGCTTAGGAGTTACTATTTTCAGACATTGTCTTTCATCCATTCCATTTTGTAAATGTGAAAACAAGATCTAAAATCCAAGTAACTTGTTCAAGTTCCCATAGCTAGTAAATAACAATAACTAGGTTTCTGGCCTCCTTGTATACTCCTTTCAATCAGAGTATATAGGTTCAAACTGACATTTCTGGTGGGGCGTGGTGGCTCACGCCTGTAATCCTAGCACTTTGGGAGGATGAGGCAGGAGGATCCCTTGAGCCTAGGAGTCCAAGACCAGCCTAGGCAACACAGGGAGACCTTGTCTCTATAAAATAATAATAATAAAATTAAAAATTAAAAAATTCACATCTCTCCCCTGTCTGTTTGGTGGGGAGAAAACTAGTGGAGAAGACAGACATATAACTAGACAAATGCATCAGACTGTGGCTGGGACATAACAGCATACAATGGAATCAGTGAAAGCTAACATATGGGATGTTATGGGAGGCTTTATAGATGAGGTGGCATTGGGTTAGACCTTGTATACGATTTTGAAAGCCAGAGTGGGCAGGGCATTCCAGAATAAAGGAACAGTTGAAACAAAAGCAGGGAGGCTTAAAAGAACAGCTTGTGGGCCGGGCGCGGTGGTTTACGCCTGTAATCCCAGCACTTTGGGAGGCCAAGGTGGGTGGATCACGAGGTCAGGAGATGGAGATCATCCTGGCTAACATGGTGAAACCCTGTCTCTACTAAAAAATACAACAAAAATTAGCCAGGCGTGGTGGTGTGCGCCTGTAGTCTCAGCTACTCAGGAGGCTGAGGCAGGAGAATGGCATGAACCTGGGAGGTGGAGCTTGCAGTGAGCCGAGATTGTGCCACTGCACTCCAGCGTGGGTGACAGAGAAAGACTCTTTCTCGAAAAAATATATATGTATATATTATATATATAATTATATATACAATTATATATTAATATATATAATTATATATACAATTATATATTAATATATATATAATTATATATACAATTATATATTAATATATACAATTATATATAATTATATTATATATAATTATATAATACATACATAATTTATATAATTATATATGTATAATACATTATATATTAATATATAATATATAATATAATTATATATTAATATATAATATATAATATAATTATATATTATATATATTATATATATAAATTAGCTGGGAGTGGTGGCAGACGCCTGTAGTTCCAGCTACTCGGGAGGCTGAGGCAGGAGAATCGCTTGAACCCGGGAGGTGGAGGTTGCCGTTAGCCGAGATCACGCCATTGCACTCCAGCCTGGGTGACAGAGCAAGACGCTATCTCAAAAAAAAAAAAAAAAGAAAAAGAACAGCTTGTGGCCAGGCTTGGTGGCTCACACCTGCAATCCTAGCAATTTGGGAGGCTGAGGCAGGTGGATCACTTGAGCCCAGGAGTTCCAGATCAGCCTGGGCAACATGGCGAAATCCCATCCCTACAAAAAATACAAAAATTATCTGGGCATGGTGGCATGTGCTTGTAGTCCCAGCTACTCAGGAGGCTAAGGTGGGAGGGTCACCTGAGTCTGGGAGGTCGAGGATACAGTGAGTAGTGATTGCACTGGAACAGCTTGCCTGAGGAACAACTGCTGCAAAGTTTGGTTCTCACATCAGCAAATCCTCCACGTCCCTGGGAACATATATAGAGACCTTCATTCATTCAATCTTCAATGATACATTCATTCAACATTTTGTCAATAATAGAGATAGAATGGTATGGTATGGTAAGAAAGTTCTGGTTTCCAATCCCAGCTTTGTCACTAACTCACTGTGTGGGGCCTTGAGCAAATCTCTTCCTCTCTGGGTGTCAGTTTCCCATCTGTCAAACGGAAGAATGGATATATGATCTCTACACTCTCTTGGTGCTCACTGCGTTTGCGACGTTTACAGATGGAGAATAGGACAAAAGGTGTAGAAGTACCCCTGATTCCCATCCTTTCTTCTTTTTTTAAATTTTTTATTATACTTTAAGTTCTAGGGTACATGTGCACAACGTGCAGATTTGTTACATAGGTATACATGTGCCATGTTGGTTTGCTGCACCCATCAACTCGTCATTTACATTAGGTATTTCTCTTAATGCTATCCCTCCCCCTGCCCCCCACACCCCCATACTTTCTTCTTTTAGAGTAAGGATTGAAAATAACATTTGTGGCTGGGCACGGTGGCTCACACCTGTAATCCCGGCACTTTGGGAGGCCAAGAAGGGCAGATCATGAGGTCAGATCAGGACCATCCTGACTAACACGGTGAAACCTCGTCTCTACTTAAAATAGACACAAAAAAACTTAGCCGGGTGTGGTGGCAGGCACCTGTAATCTCAGCTACTTGGGAGGCTGAGGCAGGAGAATGGCGTGAACCCAGGAGGCGGAGCTTGAAGTGAGCTGAGATTGCGCCACTGCACTCCAGCCTGGGCCACAGAGCGAGACTCTGTCTCAAAAAAAAAAAAAAAAGAAAAGAAAAAAAAGAGAAAATAACATTTGTGGGCTGGCTACAGTGGCTCATGCCTGAAATCCCAACACTTTGGGAGGCCCAGGCAGGCAGATCACTTGAGCCCAGGAGTTTGAGACCAGCCTGGGCAAGATGGTGAAACCTTGTCTTTACAAAAAATTAAAAAATCAGCCAGGTGTGGTGGCACATGCCTATAGTCCCTGCTACTCGGGAGGCTGAGGTGGGAGGATCTCTTGAGCCCAGGGGGGTAAAGGTTGCAGTGAGCTGAGATGGCGCCACTGCACTCCAGCCTGGGTGACAAAGAGAGACCCTGTCTCAAATAAATAAATAGTATAGAAAATAACATCTGCCAACTTCTGCTATGTGTTGGACACAGCTTCCTCCAACTATCTTGTGAGTTAGGTGTTACTCTCCCCATTTAACAGGAGAGAAAACTGAAGTTCAGAGTGTTTGAATAACTTCTTCAAATTTCCCCAGCAAGTGACAACAATAAAATATAGATAGTCCCTGACTTACAATGGTTTAATCTACCATTTTTTGACTTTATGATGGAGCAAAAATGATACCTATTCAGTAGAAACTGTACTTTGAGTACCCATGCAGTCATTCTGTTTTTCACTTTCAGTCCAGTATTCAGTAAGTTAAGTGAGATAGTCAATTTATTATAAAATGGGCTCTGTGAATGGCCGGGCGCGGTGGCTCACGCTTGTAATCCCAGCACTTTGGGAGGCCGAGGTGGGCAGATCATGAGGTCGGGAGATCGAGACCATCCTGGCTAACACGGTGAAACCCTGTCTCTACTAAAAATACAAAAAATTAGCCAGGCGTAGTGGCGGGCGACTGTAGTCCCAGCTACTCGGGAGGCTGAGGCAGGAGAATGGCGTGAACCTGGAAGGCGGAGCTTGCAGTGAACGGAGATCCCACCACTGCACTCCAGCCTGGGTGACAGAGCAAGACCCTGTGTCAAAAAAATAAATAAATAAATAAAATGGGCTCTGTGTTAGATGATTTTGCCCAACTGTAGACTAATGTAAATGTTTTCAGCATGTTAATAGCTAAAATGTATGAGTGCCTACTATGTGACAGACATTGAACCTAGGCCCTACCTTAGCTCATGTAATCCCCCCGCAAAACTTCCTGATGCGGGAATTATTGTCTCCATTTTTATTTTATTTTATTTTATCTTATTTTGAGATGGAGTTTCACTCTTGTTGCCCAGGCTGGAGTGCAATGGCATGATCTCAGCTCACCGCAACCTCTGCCTCCTGGGTTCAAGCGATTCTCCTCTCTCAGCCTCCCGAGTAGCTAGGATTACAGGCATGCACCACCACACCCAGCTAATTTTGTATTTTTAGTAGAGACAAGGTTTCTCCATGTTGGTCAGGCTGGCCTCAAACTCCCAACCTCAGGTGATCCGCCTGCCTCAGCCTCCCAAAGTGTTGGGATTACAGGCGTGAGCTACCCCGCCCGGCCTATTGTCTCCTTTTTTTTTTTTTTTTTTTTTTTTTTTTGAGACGGAGTCTTGCTCTGTTGCCCAGGCTGGAGTGCAGTGGCGCGATCTCAGCTCACTGCAAGCTCCGCCTCCCAGGTTCACGCCGTTCTCCTGCCTCAGCCTCCCGAGTAGCTAGGACTGCAGGTTCCCGCCACCTCGCAAGGGTAATTTTTTTTGTATTTTTTAGTGGAGACGGGGTTTCACCGTGTTAGCCAGGATGGTCTGGATCTCCTGACCTCGTGATCTGCCCGCCTCGGCTTCCCAAAGTGCTGGGATTACAGGCGTGAGCCACCGCGCCCGGCCTATTGTCTCCATTTTTAAAATGAGAAAGCAGAGTCTCAGAGATTAAACAATTTGCTCATGGTAACTGACAGGAAGTGACCCATCCAGGTCAGTCCCATGCTGCAGTTCATGCTCCTAACCACTAGGGCACACTGCATTTCAGCAATGGCATCTGAGATGACACCAAACTCTACATAAACCATGCCGGACTTGGCTGGGCGCGGTGGCTCACGCCTGTAATCCCAGCACTTTGGGAGGCCAAGGCGGGCGGATCACGAGGTCAGGAGATCAAGACCATCCTGGCTAACACGGTGAAACTCCGTCTCTACTAAAAATACAAAAAATTAGCCAGGCGTGGTGGCGGGAGCCTGTAGTCCCAGCTACTCGGGAGGCTGAGGCAGGAGAATGGTGTGAACCCGGGAGGTGGAGGTGGCAGTGAGCCGAGATCGCGCCACTGCACTCCAGCTTGGGCCACAGAGCGAGACTGTGTCTAAAAAAAAAAAAAAAAAAAAGAAGAAGCCATGCCGGACTCAAGGCCTCCAAATGATAGGAGTCTGTCCCTTCCCTCTCCTTATCACTGGGTCCCTGTGGTTCAGCCATCGAGGAAGGATGACAGAAAGACAGATGCATGGAGCTGTCCATTTTCCGTTCCAGCCTCTCCTGAATGCAAGCAGCATCGTGAGGTTCTGAAAAGAGCCTCCACTCCTGTTCTATTAAAGGAGAGGGAATGGAACAAAGGGAATGGACATTCCAAGATCCTTGATTCCAAGACTCTCAAAGTCAAATAGACCTTGCAGATCAGCTGACCCTCTCCCATACTCCAAGCTTGACACCAGCCATTGTCCAGATCAGCTTGCAAACTTCCAGCAACAGGGAACTTACTGCTGTGAATGCCTTGCCCATCCACAGATAGTTGGGATTGTTAGAAAGTTCTTTCTTCTGCCTGTGTGCAGTGGTTCACACCTGTAATCCCAGCACTTTGAGAGGCCGTGGCAGGAGGATCGCCTGAGGTCAGGAATTCGAGACCAGCCTGGGCAACATGGTGAAACCCCATCTCTACTAAAAATACAAATAAATAAATAAATAAATAAATAAATAAATAAAAATAAAAATAAATAAAAATAAAAATAAAATTAGCCAAACGTGGTGGCTCATGCCTGTAATCCCAGCTACTGGGGAGGCCGAGGAAGGAGAATTGCTTGAACCTGGGAGGCGGAGGTTGCAGTGAGCCAAGATCGTGCCACTGCCCTCCAGCCTGGGCAACAGAGCGAGACTCCACCTCAAAAAATAAATAAATAAAAATAAGAAGTTATTTCTTCCATTGAATTCAACCTAGTCTCTATAGCTTCTATCCACTGGGGTCCTTAGAACAAGTCCCCTTCCTCTTTTGCAAAGACTCTGGGGTCATGTTTTATGTTCAAACTCCAGTCCTCATCTTCTCTAGTTTTGTGACCTAAGGTTTTTAAAGGCTCAATGTCTCAATCTTGGTTAATTTTCCACTGTTTTTCTGGAAGTTAGCCCAAAGCCAGATTTACCCAGCTTGATCCTCAGTGATCCACAGCTCTTTTCTAGTGTCTGTGTACTACTTTGTACAGTGCTTTTCAGACCACAAAGTATTTTCCCATTCATTATATCACTAGACCCTGGAAAACAAGGCGGCCAGAAAAAGAGGGAGATTAGGTGGGCACATTGTTATCGCATTTTTGCAGAGGAGGCAGATCTCTGCCCCCAGTACCAGTCTTACTGCCAACTGTACTCCTTGTCCTTCCCCTTCTCACTTCTGTCACAATGCACGCTCTAGGGCCTCCAATAGCTTGATTCTCTTTCTCCTTAGGGTTTCTCCATGATTACCCCTCTGCCTGAAGCACCATTTCCCTTACTTTCACTTTGCTGATCACTATTAATTCTCTTTTATTTTTATTTTTGAGACGGAGTCTTGCTCTGTCTCCTGGGCTGGTGGGCAGTGGCGCGATCACAGCTCACTGCAGCATCTGCCTCCTGGGTTCAAGCAATCCTCCCACCTCAGCCACCCAAGTAGCTGGGATTACAGGCATGTGCCACCACACCTGGCTAATTTTTGTATTTTTAGTAGAGATGGGGTTTCACCATGTTTGCCAGGCTGGTCTCAAACTCTTGATGTTGTGATCCGCCTGCCTCGGCCTCCCAAAGTGCTGGGATTACAGGCATGAGCCACTGTGCCTGGCCCTATTCTCTGTTTTTTTAATTAAAAACATATTTTTATAAAGATGAGGTCTCCTTATGTTGCCCAGGTTGGCCTTGAACTGCTGGCCTCAACCAATCCTCCTCCCTCCCAAAGCACTGGGATTATAGGTGTGAGCCATGGCTCCCAGTCCCTTCCCCATTTTTTTTTTTTTTTTTCAGTTTTTTTTGAGATGGAGTCTAGCTCTGTTGCCCAGGCTGGAGTGTGGTGGTGTGATACCAGCTCACTGCAAACTCTGCCTCCTGGATTCAAGCAATTCTCCTGCCTCAGTCTCCCAAGTAGCTGGGATTACAGGCGCCTGCCACCATGACTGGCTAATTTTTGTATTTTTAGTAGACATGAGGTTTCACCATGTTGGTCAGGCTGGTCTCGAACTCCTGACCTCAGGTGATCCCCCCCCGCCTCGGCCTCCCAAAATTGCTGGGATTACAGGTGTGAGTCCCAGCCCCTGGCCCCCTTTCCCATTTTTTATAGTGCTCTACACATCTGTGACAGAGCATTTGTCCCACTGTATTATATATATTTGCTTATTTGTCTTTCTTTCCCACTGACCACTACAATGTAAACCCCATAAGCCAGGGACTATGTTTTGTTCATTGTGTCAGTATGCAGCACAAAGCTTGGGATAACGTAATTGCTTATTAAATGTTTGTTGAATTAATAAATGCATGACTTGCCCCAGTTTCCACAGTTAATAATGGCCAAAATTAGAATGCAGATTTTATTTCCAAGTCCAAGAATTTGTTTTTACCATCTCCCGAACCTAACCTAGTTCTTACTCCTAACCCCTGCTGTCAGGCCTGTCCCCTCTAATTCCTCAGAATCTTAGGTCACTTATCCGGAAAGGAACTTAGAGCTCATCTGATTCAATCCCTTCATTTATAGATAAGGGAACTAAGACTCATAGAAGGTAAATGCTTTGTCAAGGCTACACAGCAAAAATTGTTGCCATCCTTTCTTCCTGACAACCAGATTGGTGTTTTTTTTAATGGGATTCACCAAAGAGTTCATGGACTCCCAGGGCTTTGTCTTGGGGACGGGGGTAGTAGTAAATAAATAATTCCATCTAAGGCTCTCCTTTTATACTCCCTAGACACCCCAAAGGCTAGACACCCAAGAGTCTATTCTGAGACATCCCATCAGGCAGAAATTTCAAGCAAGACAGGATAGAGGGGTGTGGGAGTGTGTGTGTGTGTGTGTGTGTATAGGATCATGGGGCACTAAGGATGCAGACGTGAAAACTGGGCTGCAGCACAGCCCCTCTGTTGTGGGGTCCCTCGAGTCTCCCACCATGGCAACACCACTCCCTCTGCCCCTGAAGCTGACCTTTGGGGCCAGAGATCAATAACTTGGACTTTGGCTTCAGTCCCCTTTGGCCCCCCAGTGACCATAGGCTGCCCAGAAGAGCTAGTGGGACTCAGAGTCATTAAGTAACTGTCACTCTTCCCCAGCCCCATTTTGGGGCATGGCTGGGGGAGGGGCCAGGGATGGGAACTATATGGAGAGTCACAGGTGTGGTCTGGTTCTTCCCATCCTCACTGGAAGAGAAGTGACCTCTATCTCTCTTTGACCCCCACCCACTTCTTTTTACCCTCGGCCAAGAGGCTTCCTCCTGCCCTCTCTACTCCTCCATGTCCTTAGCACTGAGCCCTGACTCCCCTCACAGAACCCCCGTGCTCCTCACCATGTTCCTCTTAGTCCAATCTTTTATGAACCCCCTCCTCCCATTGTGCTCACACTTTATATAAACTGGAGGTATTTTACCCTTTTGTCAGCCAAGACAGTAGTCAGAGGCCGGGTGCGGTGGCTCACTCCTATAATTCCAGCACTTTGGGAGGCGGAGGCAGGTGGATCACCAGAGGTCAGGAGTTCGAGACCAGTCTGGCTACCATGGTGAAACCCCATCTCTACTAAAAATACAAAAAATTTGCCAGGCTTGGTGGCAGGCACCTGTAATCCCAGCTATTTGGGAGACTGAGGCAGGAGAATCACTTGAGCCCGGGAGGTGGAGGTGGCAGTGAGCCAAGATTGCCCCATTGCACTCTAGCCTTGGCAACAAGAGCAAGACTACATCTCAAAAAAAAAAAAAAAAAAAGACAGTAGTCAGGAATTTCTCATTCACCTTTTTCTAAATACCTCATCCCAGGTATCTTCTCACCAACTATTCTCCTCCAGAGAAATCCACTGTTCTGCCATACTTTTAGCGGGATCCTGTTTCAGAAACACACTCACCTACCCCACCACCACCCCACCAACTTTCCTTGCTCTTCACCCACCAGTCCTCGTCCACCTCCACCCCAGTGTCCCAGCCAATCACTACTGATTGATTGATTTGGGAGGAGGGGGAAAGAGGATCGATGGAGGACTCTGGGCCTATTCTTATTCAAAGCAAAAGGTTTAAGAGGGGGTGGATATTCATTGTGGAGAGGATGCAGAAATCGCTGTGGCGCTCCACAGCCTTGCTGATGTGGTCTGCAGCGTGGGGGAGGGTGGGTCAGGCCACTGGGGGTGGGGACGGATGCTCTGAAGGCTGGGAGGACAGTGGTGTGGGGGCTGATAGAGGTAAGAAGAAGGCATGCATCAGCAGTCTGGGCATAAGGTGAGGTTCCCCAACTCTGCCCCTCAGGGAGGAAATTTATGACCGAGAGTCATTCTTCCCAGCTCAGAGAGGATGCCCTGGGTACTCTCAATGTCCAGCAGGGGACACCCTTACCCCACATGACCCCTTTCCTCATCCACCATCACTAAGTTCCGTTGTTCATTCATTCATTCATACATTGAAACGTTGTTTGAGTGCCACTATGTGCCAGACACCATGCCACAGACTGGAAAAATACAGGCATGAACAAGATAGATACACAGACAAATGAGGTTCCAGGCCTTGTGGCACCAGCAGGGCAGGATTACAGTGAACAAATAGTTATAGTGATTTAATTTAAGGGAAAGGAGATCAGAAAAAAGCTTTCCTCAGAAACTGATTTTGAAACAGAGACTTAACAGATGCCTAAATCTTGACCAAAGAAAATGTGAAAAAGAGGTAAAGGGGGGGCGTTTGTATGTGTGTGCATGTGTTGAGAGTGTGTTTCAGGCAGAGGGAACAATTTATACAGACCTTGAAGCAGAGAAGATCAAGGTTCCTTTAGAGGGATGAACAGAGAAACCTGTGCACAGCTGGATTCAGCTTTGGTTGGAGGTTTAACCCTTTAAATTGTAGAATGCATGCATGTGGACACACACACAGACACACACACACACGTGCACACACACAGCCGGGGCCTCCATTTCCCAAGGCGCAATTTTCCTGGTAATCACTTTTTTTTTTTTAAAGAGAAGGCAAGGACAGAGAGCCAGCAGACCTCTGAGGCCTTTCCAAAGTAATCAAACTCAAAACCTGTCTTCCAGGAATGAGTGGAACAGAGGTAGATTTAGCTTAAGCTTCAGGGCTTCTCCTTGGGAGGAGTTAAGTAATGTGTGCAAATGATTTTTTTTTTTTTTTGAGGTGGAGTCTGACTCTGTCATCCAGGCTGGAGTGCAGTGGCACGATCTCGGCTCACTGCAACCTCCATCTCCCGGGTTCACGCCATTATCCTACATCGGCCTCCCGAGTAGCTGGGACTATAGGCGCCCACCACCATGCCCGGCTGATTTTTTGTATTTTTAGTAGAGATGGGGTTTGACCATGTTAGCCAGGATGGTCTCGATCTCCTGACCTGGTAATCTGCCCGCCTCAGCCTCCCAAAGTGCTGGGATTACATGCGTGAGCCACCGTACCCGGCCTTTTTTTTTTTTTTTTTTTTTGATATGGAGTTTCGCTCTTCTGCCCAGGCTGGAGTGAAGTGGCAAAATCTCAGCTCACTGCAACCTCCGTACCCCAGGTTCAAGTGATTCTCCTGCCTCAGCCTCCCAAGTAGCTGGGATTATAGGTGCCTGCTACCACGACCGGCTAATTTTTGTATTTTTAGTAGAGACAGGGTTTCACCATGTTGGCCAGGCTGGTCTTGAACTCTTGATCTTAAATGATCCGTCTGCATTAGCCTCCCAAAGTACTGGGATTACAGGCATGAGCCACCATGCCCGGTCAATCTAATATTAATAGAAGGCACAGAGCCCACCCTGTGGGGGCCTCCTCATCTCAAGGTGAGACCAGGACTCAACCAGGGGAACCCCTGGTCAGATGGGAAAGACACAGAACCTGCTCTCTGAGAATCTGATCCCCTGACCTTCTCAATACTAACCTTGGCTGGGAGTGGTGGTACGTACCTGCAGCCCCAGCTATGCAGGAGGCTGAGGTGGGAGGATTGCTTGAGCCTGGGAGGTTGAGGTTGCAGTATGCTGTGATTGCATCACTGTACTCCAACCTGGATGACAGAGCAAGACCCTGTCTCAAAACAAAACAAAACAAAACAAAACAAAACAAAAATCACTAACCCTGCCCCTTCCTCCTCATTCTGCTCCTAGATGCCCCTCCAAAACTGGCTGGCCCTTCAGGCCCTGAGGCTGTCCTCCTCTGTGCAGGAGGCCTTGTACCAGGCTATGTTTCTTCAAAGCCCCTCCTTCCCTCAGCCTGTGGGGGTTTCCTGGAAACAGAGTGGTGGTGGTGAGAGTCTGCTTCAAAGTAGCCACCAGTCTGCCCCTCAGAGGTTACTTTGGAAGGTGATACCTTCCCCTTACCCACCACCCTCTCAAAGCCTGACCCCTCACTGGCACACAGAGCTGCTGTGACGGCTAGCTCGAGGGAAACCGCAAAACCAGAGGCTGAGCCCCCCAACTGCTCAGGGAACGCCAGGGGTAGAGGGTGGTGGGGAACAAGGTCCCTGCTTGGCAAACCCAAGTGGGCACAAGGTAAGTGTGCAGGAGCAGGAGGCTCTGGTGTTACAAAAGCAGCCCCAGGCCCACAGAATCCTCTGCCCAAGAGTCTGTCTCTGAGGGGACATTGAACAGCACACAGGTGCCCCTCTTCCTTGCACTCATTTTAAGATGTGGAAACTAAGGAAGTGACTTGAAGACACTTCCAGAGCAAGCTAGTGACAGAATGAGGCTAGAATCCAGATCTCCCAGTTCTGTCCGGTATCTTCTTTCTGCAATCCCAAAGGTCCCTTCACGAGGAATCCAGGACTTTCCAAACCCATGGCCCAGTCATGGCACTGGACTGTAATGCATGACTGACTTGTCTCTTTCATCACAGCTCAGGGGCCCCTTGAGGGCAGGGACCCTGTTTCCCTCTCCTTTATATCCTTTGCCCCCAGCATGGGGTCCGGCCCCTGTTTGAGACTTAGGACACATTTGTTCACCACACAAATCGACAAAATGAATGGAGTGATTTCGGCTGTGAGCTTCTGGTTGTTGACTCATTCATTGCACATGTTTTGTCAGACAGCACCCATGTATGTGAGACTGTGTGGGGGTGTGGATGTGGGTAAATAAATGCTCAGGCTCTTTTTCTGCCCTGTAAGACGATATAATCTGGAAGGAAATGGCAGGAGAGGGGACAGGAGGGGAAAATAGCCATCTGTTGAATAGTAGTTAGGCCCTGAGTAAATTCGTTATGTGGGTGACCTCTCCAACAAGGTGGGTATTAGCAACCCTATTTCACAGGTGCAGAAAGAGGTTCATAGAGGCTCAATAGCCTGCCCAAGGTAGGCTGTGGCTGATGGGGCTTAGAAGTCATCCAGGCCTCATACCCTTCCCACTGTCATCATGACATAGAGTAGAATAGACCTGAGGAGGTGTCTGTCTGTACTGAGGGCTGGGGACCCTCAGAGGTAGGATAGCTTGCTGAATTGGGCTCTAAGAGGCTTTTACAGGGAGGAAGTTGCCCAGTGAACCTTAAAGATGAGGTCACTGATGAGATGGGGATTGGAGATCCTCTCCAAGGGTATGAAAACCCTGGGGCCCTGGGAGAGCGTCCTTGGAGTGCTCTGCAGCTGGCAGGTGGACAGGAGAGGGTGGATTCATGGTCCAGACTCTTTGCTAGATCACGTGCTTCTTTTTTTTTTCTTTGAGACAGAGTTTCACTCTTGTTGCCCAGGCTGGAGTGCAATCTCAGCTCACTGCAGCCTCCGCCTCCTGGGTTCAAGCGATCCTCCTGCCTCAGCCTCCTGAGTAGCTGGGATTACAGGCATGTGCCACCACGCTGGCTAATTTTTTGTGTTTTTAGTCGAGACGGTGTTTCACCATGTTGCCCAGGTTCGTCTTGAACTTCTGACCTCAGGTGATCCACCCGCCTCGGCCTCCCAAAGTGCTGGGATTACAGGCGTAAGCCACCATGCCCAGCTGTTGATCACGTGCTTCTTTAAGAAGCCTCTGGGCCCAGTTCCTCCTGCAGCCCTGTGGCACCAACCACACCTCTTGTTTTTGGTCAATGTCAGTCAAGTAAATGGATCTTTCTCTCCTGACTCCTTGGGTGAGCAATCAGGATTGGCAGATCTTGGCCCCATCCTAGCAAAGAAACTGCTGCCTTCCAATCCCTCCTTGTGGTACCCAAATTGCCCCAATTTTCTGGGGTGGTGGCCCATCCAATCCAGGGGGTTGCTCATTGAGATGCTTTCTCATTGAAAGGAGGATGCCAACTCTTTCCCCAAGCTGAAAGGAAAATGAATCATGGGCTAAAAGTAACAAGTCCAAGTACAGAGCACTGATACAAGGGCTCACGCTCTGGAATCAGACCAATGTGGCTTCAAATCCATTCTCTGTTTGGCGTAGTGGCTCACACCTGTAATCTTAGCACTGTGGGAGGCTGAAGTGGGAGGATCGATTTGAGTCCAGGAGGTCGAGGTTACAGTGAGTTATGATTGCATCACTGCAGTGACTCATGCCTATAATCCCAGCACTTGGGAGGCCGAGGCGGGTCAATCACCTGAGGTCAGAAATTTGAGACCAGCCTGGTGAACATGGTGAAACCCCGTCTCTACTAAAAATACCAAAATTAGCTGGGTGTGGTGCCAGGTGCCTGTAATCCCAGCTACTGGGGAGGCTGAGACAGGAAAATCGCTTGAACCCGGGAGGCAGAGGTTGCAGTGAGCCGAGATCGTGCCATTGCACTCCAGCCTGGGTGACAAGAGTGAAATTCCATCTCAAAAAAGAAAAAAAAAAAAAATCCACTGGGCATAGTGACACACGCCTGTAGTCCCAGACACCAGGGAGGCTGAGGTGGGAGGATGGCTTGAGCCCAAGAGGTCGAGGCACCAGCGAGCCATAATTGTGCCACTGCACTCCAGCCTGGGAGACAGAGTGAGATTCTGTCTCAAAAAGAATTTTTTTTTTGTTAGGAGGCTAGATCTTATGTTATGTGTTCTTACCACAAAACAACAACAATAATAACAACAGCACGAGGAAGCCTTTGGAGGTGACGAATTTGTTTATTACCTTGAATGTAGTGATGGTTTTGCAAGTATATGCATATGTCCATACCCATCAAGCTGTACACATTAAATATGAGCAATTTTTTGTATATCTATTATACTCCATTAAAGTTTTGTTTTGTTTTTTTGAGATGGAATCTTGCTCTTGTCGCTCAGGTTGGAGTGCAGTGGTGCGATCTCTACTCACTGCAACCTCTGCCTCCAGGGTTCAAGTGATTCTCCTGCCTCAACCTCCCGAGTAACTGGGATTACAGGTGCCCTCCACCACGTCCGGTTAATTTTTGTATTTTTAGTAGAGATGGGGTTTTGCCATGTTGGCCAGGCTAGTCTCGAACTCCTGACCTCAGGTGATCTGCCTGCCTCGGCCTCCCAAAGTGCTGGGGTTACAGGCATGAGCCACTGCACCCAGGCTGAAGCAACTTTTAAAAACAACTTTATTAGCCGGACGTAGTGGTGGATGCCTGTAATCCCAGCTACTCGGGAGGCTGAGGCAGGAGAATCGCTCGAACCCAGGAGGCAGAGGTTGCCGTGAGTCAAGATCACGCCATTGCACTCCAGCCTGGGCAACAGAGTGAGACTCCATCTCAAAAACAAGAAAAAAAAAGTTGCTTCAAATCCTTACCCTAAGACTTCTGCTGACACTGCTGCAGAAATGGCTTTGATCCGAAGCCTTTAACCTCTTTTCTTCCACCTTCCAAATCTCACCCAAATGTATCTAGATTAGCAGATCCACATTCACATCCAGAGCCCCAGCTGCAAGGGGAGTCTGGGAAACGTAGTTTTTCACTTTCCATCTGTGCAGTCCGGGAAGCCACGCTAGGAGGAGGAAGGAATGTTGAGTGCCAAACCACCATTTCTGCCACTGTAGAGCCTGTGGCTTTTCATCGAATTACCTGACCCAGGGTCTGCTTTTTGTGTGGGGGATGCTGACATATAGGTTTTGGTGGAAACTTCAGCTGTTCCCTCATTTCTTAGAGCTCCCATTCGAGCAGGAGGCGTTTATGGGGAACCCTAGGAAGGCAGTCAAGTGTAAGGAGAGCAGGAATATTCCTCTATTTCTCTCTTTCTCTCTCTACCTTTCTTTAACGGCTTTATTAAGATATAATACACCTATTATACAATTCATTTATTTAAAGTGTACAATTCAATAGATTTTAGTCTAGTCATAGAGTTGTGCAACTATCACCACAATTTATTTTAGAACATCTTCATCATGCTAAATAATGCAGTCTCCATTCCCCTCCCCCGCCAACCCACATCCTCTGGCAACAACCACTAATCCACTTTCTGTCTCTATGGATTTCCCTATTCCGTACATTTCTTTTCTTTTTCTTTTTTTCTTCTGTTTTTTTTTTTTTTTTTTGAGATGGAGTCTCCCTCTGTCGCCCAGGCTGGAGTGCAGTGGCGCGATCTCGGCTCACTGCAAGCTCCGCCTCCCAGGTTTACGCCATTCTCCTGCCTCATCCTCCCTAGCAGCTGGGACTACAGGAGCCCGCCACCATGCCCGGCTAATTTTTTGTATTTTTAGTAGAGACGGGGTTTCACCGTGTTAGCCAGGATGGCCTATTCTGTACATTTCATATAAATAGAACTACATAATATGTTGCCTTTGTGTCTGGCTTCTTTCACTTAACATAAAGGTTTTCACTGTTGATTCATGTTGTAACATGTATCAATACTTTTTTTTTTTTTTGAGACAGGGTCTCACTCTGTTGCCCAGGCTGGAGTGCAGTGGCATGATCATAGCTCACTGCAGCCTCAACCTTCCGGGCTCCAGCCACCCTCCCACCTCAGCCTCCCAAGTAACTGGGACTACAGGTGTGTGCCACCACACTTGGCTAATTTTAAAATTTGTTTGTAGAGACAGGGTCTCACTATGTTGCCTAGGCTTGTCTGAAACTTGGGCACAGCAATCCTCCTGCCTCGGCATAGGCATGAATGGATAAATTGTATTGCATACATATAATGGAATATTCATCCATAAACAGGAATAAAGTATTGATACATGCTGCAACGTGGAGAAACTCCAAAACATTATGCTAAAGCAAATAAACCAGACACAAAAAGTCACAATTGTATGCAATTGTATGATTCTTTTTTTTTTTTTTTTGAGACAAGAGTTTTACTCTTGTTGCCCAGGCTGGAGTGCAATGGCGCGATCTCGGCTCACTGGAACCTCTGCCTCCTGGGTTCAAGCGATTCTCCCGCCTCAGCCTCCCGAGTAGCTGGGATTACAAGCCATGGCTCCCAGCCATTTAACCTTTTTTTTTCCCCAGAGACGGGGTCTTGCTCTGTCACCCAGGCCGGAGTGCAGTGGCACAGTCATAACTCACTGTATCCTCAAACTCCTGGGGCTTAAGTGATCCTCCCACCTCTGTCTCCCGAGTAGATGGGACTACAGGCACATGACACTGCACTCTGCTAATTTTAAAATTTTTCGGTAGCGATGAAGTCTCACTTTGTTGCCTCGGCAGGTTTCAAACTTCTGACTTCAAGCAATTCTCTTGCCTTGACCTTCTGAAGTGCTGGGATTACAGGCACTCGGCCTCTGTTTAGTTTTTTGAGGAATTGCCCATCTGTTTTCCATAGTGACTGTACCATTTTATATTTCTACCAGCAATGTATAAGGGTTCCAATTTCTCTGTAATCTCGCTAACATTTGTGTTTTTTTCTGTTTTGGTTTCTTTTGTGCAATTGTAGTCATCTAGTAGGTGTGAAATGGTATCTCGCTGTGGTTTCCACTTGCATTTTCCTGATGGTTAGTGATGGTGAGCATCTTCTTATGTACTTATTGACCAATTGTATATCTTCTTCAGAGAAATGTCTGTTCAGATCCTTTGCCCATTTTTAAATTTGGTTGTTTGTCTTTTATTATTGAGTTGCAAGAGTTATTTTTATATTCTGAATACAAGTTTCTTATCAGATATGATTTGAAAATATTTTATCTCATTCTGTGGGTTGTCTTTTCACATTCTTTTTCAAAAAATAATTTATTTAGGGGAAATTAATATAACTTAAAAGCAACCATTTTAGGGCTGGGCAAGGTGGTTCATGCCTGCAATCCCAGCACTTTGGGAGACCAAGGCAGGAGGATTGCTTGAGCTCAGGAGTTTAAGATCAGCCTGGGTAACATAGCAAGACATTGTTTCTACTAAAAATAAAAAAAGAAATTACCCTGGTGTGGTGGTGCATGCCTACAGTCCCAGCTACTCAGGAGGCTGAGGTGGGAGAATTGCTTGAGCCCAGGAGGTTGAGGCTGCAGGCAGCCATGATTGTGCCACCGCACTCCAGCCTGGGTGACAAAGGGAGACCCCATCTCAAAAAAAAAAAAAACAAAAACAAAATTAGCCAGGCACGGTGGCTCAAGCCTATAATCCCAGCACTTTGGGAGACTGAGATGGGTGGATCACCTGAGGTCAGGAGTTCGAGACCAGCCTGACCAACATGCAGAAACCCTGTCTTTACTAAAAATACAAAATTAGCTGGGCGTGGTGGCGCTTGCCTGTAATCCCAGCTACTTGGGAGGCTGAGGCGGGAGAATCGCTGAACCCAGGAGGCGGAGGTTCCTGTGAGCCGAGATCGCGCCATTGCACTCCAGCCTGGGCAACAAGAATGAAACTCTATCTCAAAAAAAAAAAAAAAAAAAAAGAATCATACAATTGCATACAATTGTGACTTTTTGTGTGTCTGGTTTATTTGCTTTAGCATAATGTTTTGGAGTTTCTCCACGTTGCAGCATGTATCAATACTTTATTCCTGTTTATGGATGAATATTCCACTGTATGTATGCACTACAATTTATCCATTCATCTGTTGATGGACATATGGGCTGTTTCTACCTTTTGGGCTGTTTCAAATAATGTTGCTATGAACACGAATGCATATGTGCTTGTTTGAGTACCTGTTTCCAATTTTGGGTATATGCTAGAAGTGGAATATGCTAATTCTTTACCTTTGAGGCACCACCAAACTGTTTTGCCATAGCACTTGGACCATTTTGCATTTCCACCAACAATGTATGAGAGTTCCAATTTCTCTACATCCTTGCCAACAACACTTGCTTTTTCTTTTTTTTCAAGACAGAGTCTCTGTTGCCCAGTGCAGTGATGCAATCTCAGCTCACTGCAACCTCTGCCTCCTGGGTTCAAGCAATTCTCCTGCCTCAGCCTCCCAAGTAGCTGGTATTACAGGCGCATGCCACCACACCCAGCTAATTTTTTGTATGTTTAGCAGAGACGGGGTTTCACCGTGTTGGCCAGGCTGGTCTCGAACTCCTGACCTCGTGATCCACCTGCCTTGGCCTCCCAAAGTTCTAGGATTACAGGGGTGAGCCACCGCACCCGGCCACCAACAATGCTTATTTTCCTTTATTTTATTTATTTATTTATTTTATTTATTTGGTTTTTTTTGAGACAAAGTCTCGCTCAGTGAGCCACCATGCCTAGCCTATTTTATTTTTATTTTAAAAAATATATATACAGCTATCCTACACTTCCTTTGATTGAATCTTATGAAGCACAAAGGCTTTTAATTTTGGTGAAATCCAATTTTCCTACTTTATTTTTTGTTGCTTGTGCTTTTTGTGTTGTGTCTAATAAAGCTTTGTCTAACCCAAGGTCTGAAAGGTTTGCTCCCATATTTTCTCCTAAGAGTTTTGGAGTTTTAGCTCTTACATTTAGGTATACGATGCATTTTGAGTTTAGTTTTGTATATGATAAGAGAAACCGACACAACTTTTTTTTTTTTTTTTTTTTTTTTTTTTTTGTGATAGGGTCTTGCTTTGTTGCCCAGGCTAGAGTGCAGTGGCCCAACCACAGCTCACTGCAGCCTTGACCTCCCAGGCCCAAGTGATCCTCCCATCTCAGCTTCCCAAATAGCTGGGAGTACAGACGCACACCACCACGCCCGGCTAATTTTTGTATTTTTTTTTGTAGAGAAGAGGTTTTGCCATGTTATCCAGGCTGGTCTCAAACTCCTGAGCTCAAGCGAACCTTCTGCCTCAGCCTCCCAAAGTGCTGGAATTATAGGCATGAGCCACACTGCACCCAGCCAGGGATACAACTCTTTTTGTATGTAGGTATTCTGTTTTCTTAGCACCATTTGTTGGTTTTGTATCCTGCAACCTTGCATTAGTTTCAATAGGTTTCTGTGGATTCCTCAGGATTTTCTTTCTTTCTTTATGTTTTTTTGAGATGGAGTTTCACTCTTGTTGCTCAGGCTGGAGTGTAATGGCGTGATCTCGGCTCACTGCAACCTCTGCCTCCTGGGTTCAAGTAATTCTTCTGCCTCAGCCTCCCAAGTAGTTGGGATTACAGTCACCCGCCACCGTGCCCGGTAAATATTTGTATTTTTATTGCCATGTTGGCCAGGCTGGTCTTGAACTCCTGACCTCAGGTGATCCACCTGCCTCAGCCTCCCAAAGTGCTGGGATTACAGGCATGAGCCACCGAGCCGGGCCTCCTCAGGATTTTCTATGTACAAGATTATGTCCTCTGTATATACAAACAGTTTTACCTCTTAATTTCTAATCTGGGTGCCTTTTTTTTTCTTTTTTTTTTTTCTTTCTTTTTTTTTTTTTTTTTGCCTAGTAGCCGTGGCTAGAACCTTTAGGACAGTGTTGAATAGAAGTGGTAAGGGTGGATATGGTCTCATTCCTGATCTGAAGAGGAAAACAACTCACCTCTCATCCTAAATTCAATCTTAGCTGTGTGCTTTTTGTAGAAGCCTTTTATCAGGGTGAGGAAGTTCCCTATTCCCAGTTTGGTGAGTCGTCTTTTTTTTTTTTTTTGAAATAGAGTTTCACTCTCGTTATCCTGGCTGGAGTGCAATGGCACGATCTCAGCTCACCCCGCAACCTCCTCCTCCCGGGTTCAAACGATTTTCCTGCCTCAGCCTCCCAAGTAGCTGGGATTACAGGCATGCACCACCATGCCCAGCTAATTTTGTATTTTTAGTAGTGACAGGGTTTCTCCATGTTGGTCAGGCAGGTCTTGAACTCCCGACCTCAGGTGATCTACCGACCTTGACCTCCCAAAGTCCTGGGATTACAGGCGTGAGCCACTGCACCTGGCCTGGTGAGTGTATTTTATCCCAAAAAGGAGTGGTGGATTTCGTCAAATCGTTTTCCTGCACCTATTGAGATGATCATGTCCTTTATTCCACTGCCATAGTATATTATAGTAATTGATTTTTGCATGTTAAACCATTTCTGGGATAAAACTCACTCACTCATGATGTATAACCCTTTTTATATGTTGTTGAGTTCTGCTTGCTTCTATTTTGTTGTGGATTTTTGTATTTGTGCTCACAAGAGATATTAGTCTGTAGTTTTCTTATGATCTTTGTTTTTTTTTTTAATTTTTAAATTTTTTTTGTAGAGATGGGTTTCACCGTGTTGCCCAGGCTGGTCTTGAACTCCTGGGCTCAAGCAATCTTCCTGCCTCGGCCTCCCAAAGTGCTGGGATTACAGGTATGATCCACTGCAGCAAGCCTGTCATTGTTTTTTGATATCAGGGTAATATTGGTCTCATAGGATGAGTTGGGAAATGTTCTCTCCTCTTCTGTTTTTTGGAAGAGTTTGTGAAGATTTGACATTATTTAAGTGTTTAGTGAAAACAGTCAAGGCCATGGCTTTGGAGACAGCTAGAAATGTGGAAAGGTCTTAGGCTCTGGGACCTTGGGCAGAGGCTGCTGAATCTGACACACAGACCTATTCTGATTGGCATACACATTACTTTAAGACATTGGAGAGCCAGGCGCAGTGGCTCACGCCTGTAATCCCAGCACTTTGGGAAGCCGAGGCGGGTGGATCACCTGAGGTCAGGAGTTTGAGACCAGCCTGGCCAACATGGCAAAACCCCGTCTCTACTAAAAATAGAAAAATTGGCCGGGCGTGGTGGCACGTGCCTGTCTTCCCAGCTACTGGGGAGGCTGAGGCAGAAGAATCTCTTGAACCCGGGAGGCGGAGACCATCAAGCTTCCGATGATCATGCAACAAAGGCTCCAGCCAGTTCCAGGTGAAGACACCACCCCTGGCCATCAAGAAGCTACCCTGTCTCCACTAGACAGTACAGGGTGAGAGTTCCATGATCTCCAATAGGGAGATCATGCCACTGCACTCCAGCCTGGGTGACAGAGCAAGACTCTGTCTCAAAAAAAAAAAAAAAAAAAAAAAAAGACATTGGAGCCATTCTTTTAAAAAATATGGAGATTTCATGTACAACTCCTGATTTTCAGATTCTCTGGAAAAGTTGGAAGACTGGCAACACTGGCCCCTGATTATTCTGAGTAGTGGCTGATCTTTAAGAATGGACCATGCTCTCTGGTTTGCCTCAGTCCCAACCCTTCCCTGTTGGAAGCTTGAAACCAAGACTGAGTGTCAGGAAACAATTTTATCATACTTATTCTTGGATCACTTTATGTTAACTACATGGCCACTGTAGGCATTTGAGTTGATACTACCTGGTATACCCTTGCTGAGTCTTGTCTGCTCATCCATAAAATGGAGACATTAAAAATTCCTACCTTGGAGAGTTTTTTTTTTTTTTTTTTTTTTTTTTTGAGATAAAGTTTCACTCTGTTGCCCAGGCTGGAGTGCAGTGGCAGGCACAATCATGGCTCACTACAGCCTTGACCTCCAGGGCTCAAGCAATTCTCCTGCCTCAGCCTCCCAGGTAGCTGGAACTACAGGCCCATGCCATCATGCCTAGTTATTTTTTGTAGGGAAGGGGGTCTTGCTATGTTGCCCGGGCTGGTCTCAAACTCCTGGGCTCAAGCTATCCTCCCACCTTGGCCTCTCAAATTGTTTGGACTACAGGTGTGAGCCGCCATGCCTGGCCAACTTGGAGAATTTTGAGGACGATTAAATAAGATGATCATAAAGAGATTTGGCATGTAGGAGGCATTGAGTAAATTTACCTCCTGCTTTTTCCTGGCTGCATAGTATTCTGATGCATGGATGTACATAATATGTAGCTTTCCTCTAATGGTAGACATATAGGTGGACTTTAATTTTGCCCCGTTCCACACCAGGCTGGAAAGGACATACATGTACATGGTGGGCAGTTTTGCACAGTGGCTCAGATTACATTAGCTCTGCTGGATTTGAATCCAAGCAAGGTGACCTCTTGTCTCCTATTCTCTTGGAATGGTTGAGGATAAGTGGCATGACCTTGGATATCATTTGAAGATGCATCTGCAATTTTACCCACAGAAGGATTGGAAGGTCACAGATGGGTGCAGGGGAAGACGCAAGAGTGTCTGTAGGCCCCTTCTGCAAATGTAAGAGCAGGCACGCCTTAACTCAAGATCTCTTCCCCACCTTGGGGTGTGAAGCCAAGGGCCAACTCAAATGCATCTGACAGACTGACAGCTGGGCTGTCTGGGGAGATAAGCATGTGGGTGTCAGGCAGAGGGAGGGAGGTGTCAACCACAGAGCAGAGCCAGGCAAGAGCACTGTCAGCCCCACCCTCAGCTCTGCCTGTGGAGGCACACCCTACAGCTGCTTAACCTCTAAGCCAGTGACGTCCCAGATCCCTTCCTGACCTGGGGTCCTTACCTGGTGCCTCTCAAAAGTGTCCATGTGACAGAGGTCCTGGACCCATGTGCTGAGCTGACTGGGAAGTCAGCTGGCTGGCCTCAAGGTTGGAGGTGGCAATGGATATGGGTTGAAGAAGTTTTTAAGGTTTTCAGGGAGGAAGTGGGGCTTCTGGCTGTGGTTCCGTTGTCTCCCTTTCTTGGTGCATGAGTCAGCCAACCCCACCCCCAGTTCTACTTTGCTCCTCCAGCCCCTACCCTCCTAATAATAAGCTCAGATGTACATTACTTTCCATTTCACAACATCCAGCAAGCTTCTTGATAGCCGGAATGTAATTCCAAGGTCTGAGTCATATTTCTATGGGCTGTATTCCCAGAAAATAGTCCAATGCCTGACACATAGCTGGTAATTAATAAATATGTGAATTACTTTGGGAGGCTGTTTGAGGGCAGGAGTTTGAGACTAGCCTGGTCAGCACAGCCAGACCCTGTCTCTACCAAAATACAACAAGAAAGAAAGAAAGAAAGAAAGAAAGAAAGAAAGAAAGAAAGAAAGAAAGAAAGAAAGAAAGGAAGGAAGAAAGAAAAGGCAAATAAATATGTGAATGAATGACGTTCTTGCAGGGTACCAGATGCTAATTCTGCAGCTCGTTTCAAGATGGCCTCTGTTTGTCTTAATTTTTCTGGGAGCCCCTTCTACCAAACATATTTGTGGCACTTTTTACTTCTTCAAATGCCTGGAAAGTCTTCCCTAAGCTCTCCCTCACCTCTGGGACTTACAACCTCAACTTGGGTCATGTGTTTCTTTTAAAATTGTATATATTTAAGATCTACAACATGATGTTTTGATACACATATGCTCAGTAAAGTGATTACTACAGTCAAGCAATTTAACACATCCATCACCTCACAGTTACCTTTTGTGTGTGTGTGCGGTAAAAGTACCTAAAATTACTTTTAGCAAATGTCTACTATATAATATTACTAACTATAATCCTCATGCTGTATGTTACAGCTCTAGACTTATTCATTCTAAGTAACTGCAACTTTGTACCCTTTGACCTTCATCTCCCATTTCCCTTACACCCCAGGCCCCTGCCCCTGGTAAAGACCTTTCTACTCTCTGTTTCTATGCTTTCCACTTTGGGGTCATGTGGTGTTTTTTGGTTTTTTTTTTTTGAGACTGAGTTTTGCTCTTGTCTCCCAGGCTGGAGTGCAATGGCACGATCTCAGCTCACTGCAACCTCCGCCTCCTAGGTTCAAGCGATTCTCCTGCCTCAACCTCTCAAGTAGCTGGGATTACAGGCACCCACCACCATGCCCGGCTAATTTTCGTATTTTTAGTAGAGACAAAGTTTCACCATGTTGGCCAGGCTGGTCTTGAACTCCTGACCTCAGGTGATCCACCCGCCTCGGCCTCCCAAAGTGCTGGGATTACAGGCATGAGCCACGCCCAGCCAGGTCATCTGATCTTAAGTGAGTCATTTTCCTTATCTGAGTGTCAGTTTTCTTGCCTCTAAAATGGGAATAATGGCATTCATCTCCCAGAGTCACTCTGCTGATCCAGTGAGACAAAGCGTGTGGAATGGCTTTGCATGGTTCCTGGCATATAATGAGGGCTCCCATGCCAAGAGCTATTATTATTGTGGTGTGTGGATGGGGTAGGAGAAGACTGCATTGAATGAGAGCAATGATCCCCAACCAGGGAAGGGTCAATAAATAAAGCAAGAAAACTAAATGTAGTTAATCTCTCCAATTGTGCTGCCCAAATTTCGATCTTCCAAAATGGGTCAGGAATAACCATCAAAATTTTAACACTTTTAAGAAGCTGACTTGCAGATGCTTGCCTAACTAGGTAAAGGGTAATGTACAATATAGTCATCCACATTGGTCAAGTGCTTGCTTTGGGCCAGGCACCATCCTAAGGGCTTTACATGGATTATCTTGAGGAAACCTGGAAATAATTCTATGAGGCAAGTGCTATTATTATCTCCATTTGACAGATGAGGAAAGATGCACAGAGAGGTTAAGTGATTTGCCATAAGTTTACCCAGTTGGGATTAAATCCAGCAGAGCTCGTATTCTTAACCATTCCGCATACTGACTCTGTCTGGAGGTCTTTTCCAGCCTTGTGTAGAAAGGGGAAAATTGGATCCCACCCGTATGTCCACCAACAGGGGAAGGCTACATATTAAGCACAACCCTGCAATGGAACATTATATAGTCAGGAAAAAGCAGGAGGCAGATAGGTATGTTCAGGGCATGAAATGATGCCCACAATGGATTATTAGAAAACCCAGAAGAGACTGGGCATGGTGGCTCCCAAAGTGTAATCCAGCACTTTGGGAGGCCAAGGTGGGTGGATCACTTGAGGTCAGGAGTTTGAGACCAGCCTGGCCAATGTGGTGAAACCCCGTCTCTACTAAAAATACAAAAAAATTAACTGGGCTTGGTGGCGCATGCCTGTAGTCCCAGCTTGAACAGGAGAATTGCTTGAACCCAGGAGGCAGAGGTTGCTAGTGAGCCAAGATCACACCACTGTACTCCAACCTGGGAGGCAGAGTCAGATTCTGTCTCAAAAAAAAAAAAAAAGAAAAGAAAAGAAAAGAAAACCCGGAAGAGCAATGTGCATCAATATATTCCCATGTTTGTATAAAACACAATTTAGCCTTTCAGCCCCTATGCTCAGGCCCACTCCAACACTGTGGAGTGTACTTTATTTTCAATAAATCCCTTCATTTCTTCGTTGCTTTGTTTCTGCTTTTTGTCCAATTCTTTGTTCAAGATGCCAAGAACCTGGACACCCCCCACCAGTGACATATTTTGGCCAGCCAGCCCGGAGGAAGGGCCGCTCAGGGAAAGAGAGCCCAGAAACCTGGCATACCAGCAAAAGGAGGCCATCAAGCTTCAGATGATCATGCAACAAAGGCTCCAGCCAGTCCAGGTGAAGACACCACCCCTGGCCATCAAGAAGCTACCCTGCCTCCACTAGACAGAACAAGGTGAGGGTTCCATGATCCCCAATAAGTAGGGACTACGCCCCATGCCAGCATGAAGCAGTCCCAGGAAAAAGACCATCGGTCCCTCTGCCTCCCGTGAAGATTTACGGGGACCACAATCACATCTCTTAGCGGGGAGATGAGGCAGGAAAATAGGGGCTGGAGGCAGGAAACATAAGGCCAATTCACACTTCAGCTCTGACAGGAAATAGCTTCTCCCTGAGTACATGACATTGTAACTTTACTTCATTCTCTTCATTTACATAGGGCGTACCACAAGCAGAAGGTATTTAAACTCTCAAAAACTCTGTAATGGGGCCTTTGAGCCCCTATGCTCAGGCCTGCTCCCACACTGCAGAGTGTACTTTCATTTTCAATAAGTCACTTCATTCCTTAGGAAAAAAAAAAGCAATTAAAAAAATCAATTTACCTGTTTGTTGGTTCATAGAAAAATGTCTGGAAGGGTAAACACTAAACAATTCACATTGACCACTGGGAAATTGCGAAGGAGGAGGAGCTTCCATTTTTCGTTTTTACATTTTCTGTTGTTTGAAATGTTTACCACTAGTATGTATTATTTTGCAACTAACGAAAGGAAGAAGAAAGTGTGCAGTGAGCACCGGGAGCCCAAGGACCCAGCCCCTCCAGCTCTTGTCCCCTAATGTGGAGGCACCTCCTCTTCAGAGGCCTCCCGAATGTGCCCCTTGCACCTGGAGTCAGCTCCCTACTCCCCCTCTGTCCGCACTTCCCAAACCCACTCTGGTGATCATGGGCTTTCCTTGGCTTGGGTCTCTGGTCTGGGTCAAGGCATCTGCTCAGGTTCCTCAGTTAGAAGACCATGGTCCTCCCTCTGTGCTACCTCCCCAGGGCATGTGGGACAAAGTGACATCACATTTAGGCCTGTGACATCACAGGGCATGGATGACACAAGACAGATGATCTGGGAGATGACAGCAAGGAAGGGCTTGGCAGGCAGAGGCTTCTCCACGTGGGAACCTGAGGGAGTCTGTCCTCAGCCCACCTCCTGGGGCATTTCCTAGCCAAGCCAGGGAGCTTTCAGGATTGGAGACCTGGAAATCTCCAAGGCCATTTCCTTTTTTATTTTTTTCTAACAGAGAGGTTGTGCAAAGTGTTCTGAGAGCTGGGAGCAGAGTGTGATGCCAGGAGGGAGCACAGCTGGCAGATGGAAGCCAAAGGTGTGTGGGGAAGTGCCTTGGAGGGGAGGAAACTTCACTCGGTGCCCCTCACTTCCCTGTGATTCCCAGCAAGACAGCAGGGGAGGCGGGCTTGTGGCCTGGGGGTCTGAGAGGGCTCTTCCTTTTAGGGAGTAGAGTTTTGGTGAACTAAGCCCCTCCATTACGCTGAAGGATACTGAGGGGGCCACTGAGGAGTTGGGGGAAGGACTGGGAACAGCATGTGGGAAGAGAGAGCAAGAAAGAAAGAAATGAGGGGGTGGCTGTCGTAGTGGGGGAAGCTGACATGGCCAAGAGATGGCAGAGTCTGAGGTTTACCACTAAAGAGCTCTTGGCTACTTGTTGTGTGACTCTGGATGAGCTGCTAATAATAAAATCCACCACACAGGCTTATTGTGAAGACTAAATGAGATAAAGTTTATGAAGCCCCTAGCACAGTGCCAGACACAGCAAGAAAGCTGTTTGTAAAGGTGGCTATTTACTCTGTTCCTTGGACAATTCCAGCTGGAACCCTGTTACTTTATCTTCTATTCTGGGCATGTATAATGCAGAATTATCAGTTGTAAGCTACAAAAACCATTTCAGGAGGAGTTAAGCAGAAGGAATTTGTTTAAAAGATGTTAGAAAAGCTCGCAGGAGGTCTGAGAAGGCTGGAGAGCAAGGCTTGGAGAATAGGATGGATCAAGGGAGGCTGGAAGTAGACAGGACCATGGCCAAATATCACACCCCAGGACCAGCCCTGCACAGATTCTGCAGCCTCCCCTGAACCCCCTTCTTTCCTTCACTGCCCTGGAAGCCGGATGTGGTACCACAGCCTTTGTTGTAGAGAGGAGTTTCCACAGACCTGCCACCTCAGGACCAGTGGCTTTTTTTATTGTATTTTATTTTATTTTGAGATGGAGCCTCACTCTGTTGCCCAGCCTGGAGTGTAGCAGAGCCATCTCAGCTCACTGCAACCTCCGCCTCCCGGGTTCAAGCAATTCTCCTGCCTCAGTCTCCCAAGTAGCTGGAAATACAGGCACGTGCCACCACACTTGGCTAATTTTTGTATTTTTGTAGAGATGGGGTCCCACCATGTTGGCCAGGCTGGTCTTGAACTCCTGACCTCAAGTGATCTGCCCGCCTCGGCCTCCCAAAGTCCTGGGATTACAGGCGTGAGCCACTGCGCTCAGCCAGTGGCACTAGCTTCTGATCTGCTAGTCTACTGGGCTGCAGTGGAGATTAATGGCTGCTTGGGGCTTTTGTACCCTGGGCCAGACTCACGCACACCAGAATTTGTGTGAGGCCACAGGGGTTATGCCTCTTCTCATGCTCACAAGACTCGGCTTGGCAAGGAAATGTCCCAGGAGGTGGGCTAAGACAGACTCCCTCAGGTTCCCACATGGAGCAGCCTCTGCCTGCCAAGCCCTTCCTTGCTCTCGTCTCCCAGATCATCTGTCTTGTCAGCCTCCATGCCCTGTGATGTCACAGGCCTAAATGTGATGTCACTTTGTCCCACATGCCCTGGGGAGGTAGCACAAAGGGAGGACCATGGTCTTCTAACTGAGGAACCTGAGCAGATGCCTTGACCCAGACCAGAGACCCAAGCCAAGGAAAGCCCATGATCACCAGAGTAGGTTGGGAAGTGCGGATAGAGGGGAAGTAGTTTTTATTTTTTTCTAACAGAGAAGTTGTGCAAGGTGTTCTGAGAGTTGGGAGCAGAGTGTGATGCCAGGAGAGGGCAGAGCTGGCAGATGGAAGCCAAAGGTGTGCGGGTCACCCCTTCTGGGTGGGGACATCTGATCGACCTAGTCCATGTATGCCTGCATGAAGTGCTGGTGAGGGAGGTTGGAATTAAGTATTTGGCCATTTCGGCTTTTATAATGGGAGGTACCTTTTGCCTCCCTCAAGACTCATGTAGGGGAAAAGTTTCAGAGGCTGGGCGTCCAAAAAAACCTGACAGATGTCTACATGGAAAACCAAAATGAGTAGACAGAGGACCCTGTCCTTGAGATGCTCACAAACATGTTGGGATCAGTTATGTGGAGGATGAGTCACAGCCCTAGGGGCTGAGCTGGCAGAGAAACCCCAGGAACATGCCCCAGCCCATGGTGCACAGCCTGAGATGTCCCTGTATATTCTGGGACACCAGGGTGGCGTGGCTGGGGTGCAGATTGATGGCTGGTTGGGGCTTTTGCACCCTGGGCCAGACTCACGCACACCAGAATTTGTGTAAGGCCGCAGGGGTGATGCCTCTTCTCATGCTCACAAGAATAATGACATTGCTCAGGCTAAAAAGCCACTTTCTGGCCTATGAGGTCTCCCTTTTTGTATCTAGACATGTCTTTTCCTTATTTATTAACTTTTTTTAAGACAGGGTCTCGCTCTGTCACCCAGGCTGGAGTGCAGTGGCATGATCTCAGCTCACTGCAGTCTCGACCTCCCTGGCTCAAGTGATCCTCCCACCTCAGCCTCCTGAGTAGCTGGAACAACAGGCATGCGCTACCATGCCTGGCTAATTTTTGTATTTTTTGTAGAGATGGTGTTTCACCATGTTGCTCATGCTGGTCTTGAACTCCTGGGCTCAAGCAGTTGGCCCACCTCAGCCTCCCAAAGTGCTGGGATTACAGATGTGAGCCACCACACCTGGCCTAGTCATGCCTTACACCCATTTTGCTATGTCTATTTTTTTTTTTTTTAAAGAGACAGGGTCTTTCTCTGTCACCCAGGCTAGAGTGCAGTGGCAATATCCTAGTTCACTGCAGCCTTATATTCCTGGGCTCAAGTGATCCTCCTGCCTCAGCCTCCTGAGTAGCTGGGACCAGAGGTGCAAGTCACCATGCCCAGCTAAGTTTTGTATTTTTTGTAGAGATGAGGTCTTGCTTTGTTGCCCAGGCTGATCTCAAACTCCTGGGCTCAAGAGATGGGTCTGCCTTGGTCTCCTGAAGTGCTGGGATTACAGATGTGAGCCACTTCACCTGGCCATGTGCTTGAATTATCTTTTGCCTCTTGGGGCCTCTAGATTAGAGGATAGAACTTTCCAGGGTCAGGAGATCTGAGATGGGACTTGGAGGAGGAAAACGTGTTTGCTGTATCTCTGTGAGATCAGCTGCCTTCTCTGTCCTCTGTCTCATTCCATATCCTTCTATGTTGCCTGTTCTTGTCTCTGCCTGTTCCTGTCCCTACCTGTCACCATCACTGTCTCCCTGTCATCATCAATGCCTATCTTCATCTCAGCTTGGCTCCCCTCCACAGAAGGCTCCCCTGTTCAGCCTTTGAGCCCTACTCTGTCCTCCCGTCCAGCCATCTGGGTACTTTGAGAACAGAAATAACAGCCCGCCCCCCTCACACACACATCCTGAAATTCCAGTAGCCCCAGTTCACTGCAATCCACATCAGCAGGTTGTCCTCCAGAGTTGCCACAGGTAGGCAAAGCTGAGTGGATAGTGCCCCCTTGTCAGACCTTGCAGGGCCCCCAAGCCTGCCTGCCCCCACTTCCTATCTGTGGCAACTTCAAATGTAACACCTTCCTGCCATCTCTCACTCCCACTGGGGCCTCAGCCACAGGCAGCTGTGGCCTGGCTGCCCACCTCCTTCCTTCCCAGCCAGGAGCACTGCTGCAGCACCGAGTGGAGAGCCCCACAGCCAGCAGCCCTTCGGGGGTCCATGGTATTTGCTTTGAGACCTGAAGCAGCGTTGGGAGGAGTGAGGAAAGAGGGAAAGGAGAAGGGGTTTTAGAGGGCTGAGACACTGGAGTGAGGGTCTTAGGGTCTGAGGGGCATTTGGGATTCAAAGAGTGGTCCCTGAGGTGACGGGGAAGGGGTCTTGGGGCATTTGCTGGGCTGAAGTGTTCCCTGTGCTGTGTGGCCTCAGGTGGAAGATGGCAGAGAAGCCTGGTGCTGGATGAGCAGACAGCTGGGCACTCGCGTCTCTCTGTCAGGCCAGTCAGGGGCATCCGGGGGCTTGGTCCACTCATTCAGGCTTTATTCCTGGTGAGAGCGCTGAGCTGGGCAGCCTGGGTGACACGACACTGAGGTGTCCTCAGCTGTCCAGAAGAGCTATCTGGGTGAGCTAGGATGCAGGATTCCCCTTGGTGGGGGGCCTCTGGTTGGTAGAGTCAGGGACCCCTCTCAGCACAGAAGGGGGTGGCTTCTTTGTAGCCCTGAGGAATCTGGAATGTTCCCTCAGATCTCTGCACTTACTTGGAAGTAAGCTCCGTGAGGGCCTTCCTCTCCTCTCAGGAGAGCTCTGCTCTTCACTTCTGATTGGCTAATCTCCATTGATTGATTGATTGATTGATTGATTGAGACAGGGTCTTGCTCTATCCTCGCCCAGGCTAGAGTGTAGTGGTGTGATCTCAGCTCACTGCAGCCACAACCTTCCAGGCTCAAGCAATCTTCCCACCTCAGCCTCCCAAGTAGCTGGGACCACAGGCACAGGCTACTACACCCAGCTAATTTATTTATTTATTTTTGAACCGAGTCTCACTCTGTTGCTCAGACTGGAGTGCAGTGACATGATCTCGGCTACTGCAACCTCCGCCTCTTGGGTTCAAGCGATTCTCTTGCCTCAGCCTCCCTAGTAGCTGGGACTACAGGTGTGAGCCACCACACTCAGCTAATTTTTTTTTTTTGGAGACAAAGTCTTGCTCTGTCACCCAGGCTAGAATGCAGTGGTGCTATCTTGGCTCACTGCAACCTCTGCCTCCCGGGTTCAAGCGATTCTCCTGCCTCAGCCTCCTGAGTAGCTGGGATTACAGGCGTGCGCCACCACACCCGGCTAATTTATGTAGTTTTGGTAGAGACGAGGTTTCACCATGTTCGTCAGGCTGGTCTTGAACTCCCAACCTCAGGTGATCCGCCCGCTTCAGCCTCCCAAAGTGCTGGGATTACAGGCATGAGCCACCGCACCTGGTCTAATTTTAATTTTTGGATTTTTAGTAGAGATGGGGGTTTCACCATGTTAGCCAGGCTGGTCTCGAACTCCTGACCTCAGGTGATCCATCTGCCTGGGTCTCCCTTTTATTTTTTATTTTTTTATTTATTTTATTTTATTTTTAGAAGGAGTCTCATTCTGTTGCCCAGGCTTGAATGCAGTGGCACGATCTTGGCTCACTGCAACCTCCACCTCCCAGGTTCAAGTGATTCTTGTGCCTTGGCCTCCTGAGTAGCTGGGATTATAGGCATGCACCACCGTGACTGGCTAATTTTTGTATTTTTAGTAGAGACAGGGTTTCACCATGTTGCCGAGGTTAGTCTTGAACTCCTGACATCAGGTCATCCAACCGCCTTGGACTCCCAAAGTGCTGGGATTACAGGCCTGAGCCACCCCGCCCACCATATTTTTTATTTTGTAGAGATGGGGGTCTCACTATGTTGCCCAGGCTGGTCTAGAACTCCTGGCCTCAAAAGATCCTTCCTTCTCAGCCTCCCAAAGTGCTGGGATTACAGGCTTGAGCCACGGCACCTGGCCAATCTCTATTTAATCTTCCCACACCCACCAGGAGAGCATCACTGGCTTCTAAATGTCAACATTGAGAGAATCCTTACGCATCAACTAGACCAACCTTCCCATTTTGCGGATAGGGAAACTGAGTCCAGGAAGGGACATGAATAACTTGTGGTCATGCAGCATGTTAATGGGAGAGCCAGTCCTAGAACTCAGACTCCTATTTGGAGGACCTTCACAGCTTACCTCTAACTCACCTGTTTCCCAGCAGGTAATGGGGATATGAAGGAAGAATCAGCTGCACAATTAGGTTGTTGTCATAGGCCCATGGCCCTGGGAGGTACAGGGGGCTCCCTGTCCCCCAGCCTGGACTTCCAGCTCTTCCGAGGTGACCAGGTAAGGTAGAACCCCAGCCTTACCTTTGTGGGTAGTCTGCTTATAGTAGGAGGTGACATTAGGAGGAAAAAGGGGAACGTCTGAAGGGACCTAGATCTCCTTCCCAGTCTGAGCACCCCCTATCCCAGGCACATCATAGGGATGTTTCTTTGAGGAGCCAGACACCCTCTCCCCATGCCTCAGGGGCCCAGACTCTCCTGTGGGGAATAAGAAGCGGAAGCCTCGTGCAGTAGGCTTGGCTGCTATGACCATGGCCTTGGGCCTTAGTGAGCAGGGGCTCAGGGCCATCTTGTGGAGTTTATAGTCTTTGATGGGGATTTTCTTTGTGCTCAACTTGGTGCCATTCAAATTACAGTGATGGTCTGAGATACACTGGGGACCAGGGTGGTCAGAGGTACATGGGTTCGGGGCAGGGAGGGAGAACAGGGCTAGAGAGGGCCCTGGGGACAGGAGGAGGGCAATCTTGTGGTGGGTGGGAAAATCCTGGGGGAAAGAGATCTTTGGATGAGGGAAGAGATGCCATTTGAGTGACAGATATGGAGTGTGGTGGCTGTTTTAGCTTATTCTCCCCTTTGGAAAACAAAATAGGGGTAGGGGCCATCTAAGGGACCCATGGAGTCCCAGTCACCAGCCCCCAAGCCCCTTGCCCCTGCCCTCCAGGTCTTCTCAGCCTGCAGACCACTTCCAGACATGGTGGATGCTCATGGCCCATCCTGTGCCAGCTGGCTGTGTCCCTTGCCCCTGGCACCGGGCAGGTCTGCACTGCTGGCCTGCCTACAGGACCTGGACCTGAACCTGTGCACCCCACAGCCGGCACCCCTGGGCACAGACCTGCAGGGCCTCCAAGAGGACGCCTTGAGCATGAGTAAGCCCAGGGCACCGGGCTGCACCTGCGCCTGGCAGAGGCTGGAGGGTGGGGGGCACTGCTAGGTTTGGGGATGGGTGGTGGAGAGGACGCAGTGTCACTGATGAAGACAGAGCTTAGGCACACTTTACTTCCACATTTTGGCCTTGGAGTTCTGGCCTGAGGGTGCAGGGGGCTTTCGAGTGGTGATACCTAAGCCAGAGAAGCTGGGCACTGGCTTCTCAGGCATGTGTGTGGGAGCTGATGTAGGTATAGCCAAGGTCATGGGGGTTGGGGATGGTGCTTTGTCTGCTTAGAGAGGTGTTTTTTGTTTGTTTGTTTGTTTTTGAGATGGAGTCTCGTTCTGTTGCCCAGGCTGGAGTGCAATGGCATGATCTCCAGTCACCGCAACCTCTGCCTCCCAGGTTCAAGCGATTCTCCTGCCTCAGCCTCTCGGAGTAGCTGGGATTACAGGTGTGCGCCACCACCCCCGGCTAATTTTTGTATTTTTAGTAAAGACAGGGTTTTGCCATGTTGGCCAGGCTGGTCTCGAACTCCTGACCTCAGGTGATCCACCTGCCTCGGTGACCCAAAGTGCTGGAATTATAGATGTGAGCCACTGTGCCCAGCCCTAGAGGGATCTTATAAAAGTACTGGAGGCCGGGCACGGTGGCTCATGCCTGTAATCCCAGCACTTTGGGAGGCTGAGGCGGGCACATCACGAGGTCAGGAGATCGAGACCATCCTGGCTAACACGGTGAAACCCCATCTCTACTAAAAATACAAAAAATTAGCTGGGGGGTGGTGGCAGGTGCCTGTAGTCCCAGCGACTCAGGAGGCTGAGGCAGGAGAATGGCATGAACCTGGGAGGCGGAGCTTGCAGTGAGCCGAGATGGCACCACTGCACTCAGCCTGGGCGACTGAGCGAGACTCCATCTCAAAAAAAAAGCACTGGGCTGGGAGTCAGGGAATTGGGGTTGGAGTCTCGGTTCTGCCCTTTCTATTTCTATGGACTTGGACACAACACCAAGGTCTGGTTTCTTCATCCATAAAAGTGTGATCTCATCTCTGCCTGGGTTCTAGGTTTGTTGTAACACACCATTTCCTTATGTGACGATGACCCCCTGAAGGCAAGGACTCTCTTGCTGTGTCCTTTATTTCTAGGACCCCAGCACAGAGCACAGAGTGAAACGGCTCAGTGAGATTGATTGAGTAAATAAATAAGGATCCAACCAGAAGACAACTTGCTTTTTTTTTTTTTTTTTTTTTTTGAGATAGGCTGGAGTGCAGGGACACAATCATGGCTCACTGCAGCCTCCAACTCCTGGGCTCAAGCAATCCTCTCTCCTCAGCCTCCTGGGTAGCTGGGACTACTACAGACACATGCCACAAACACCCAGCTAATTTTCTTTCTTTCTTTCTTTCTTTTTTTTGAAACAGAGTTTCGCTTTTGTTGCCCAGGCTGGAGTGCAATGGCATGATCTCGGCTCACCGCAATCTCTGCCTCCCGGGTTCAAGTGAATCTTCTGCCTCAGCCTCCCAAGTAGCTGGGATTACAGGCATGTGCCACCATGCCCAGCTAATTTTGCCTTTTTAGTAGAGACGGGGTTTCTCCATGTTGGTCAGGCTGGTCTTGAACTCCCAACCTCAGGTGATCTTCCCGCCTCGGCCTCCCAAAGTGCTGGGATTACAGGCGTGAGCCACCGTGCCCAGCCTTAATTTTCTTATTGTTTTGTAGAGATGGGATTTTGCTTTGTTGCCCAGGCTGGTCTCAAATTCCTAGGCTTAAGCAATCCTCCTGCCTCAGCCTCCCAAAGCACTGGGATTATAGGCATGAGCCACTGCACCTGGCTGACAGTTTATTTTTTAACAGGTTTTTTATTTTAGTACTCTTTATCTAGAATAGCACTGTTTGGTAGAACTCCCTGCAATAATGGGAACATTCTATACCTGTGCTGTCCAATACTATACCTGCTGAGCACTGTAAATGTGACTGGTGCAACTGAGAACTTCATTTTTTATTAGAATCATTGTAATTAATGTAAATCTAGTCATGCATCCAGTGGCTGCCATTTCGGACATAGCAGATCTAGCCTCACCCTTATGTGATCTTATCTGTGCCCATGGCACCTGGATTTATGTCTCCAGTTCAGACCTCTCCTTTAAACTCCAACCCAGTTTATCCATCTGCCCACTTGGCTTCTCAACCTGGGTGTCTAATAGGGACCTTGAACTGCTTTCTCCCCCTGAAATTGTTCAGCACTACAGAAATGCTAGCAGGCTCGCAGGCTGGAGGTCTTTCTCAGCCCCGAGCAGGGCAGGTTTGATGGCGGACAGAACTTCACCCCAGACTGTGGGGATCTGACCGCCTTCCTTTTCCTGCTTAGAGCACGAGCCACCAGGGCTGCAGGCCAGCTCCACCGATGACAAGAAATTCACAGTCAAGTACCCACAGAACAAGGACAAGCTGGGAAAACAGCCAGAAAGAGCTGGCGAGGGGGCCCCCTGCCCAGCCTTCTCCTCTCATAACAGCTCTTCCCCACCACCGCTGCAGAACAGAAAGAGCCCCAGCCCCTTGGCTTTCTGCCCCTGTCCCCCTGTCAACTCCATCTCCAAGGAGCTCCCATTTCTCCTCCACGCCTTCTACCCTGGATACCCACTTCTCCTGCCTCCACCCCACCTGTTCACCTATGGGGCCCTACCTTCTGACCAATGTCCCCACCTCCTCATGCTGCCCCAAGACCCCTCCTACCCCACCATGGCTATGCCTAGCCTGCTGATGATGGTCAATGAGCTGGGGCACCCCAGCGCTCGGTGGGAGACCCTGCTTCCCTACCCAGGGGCCTTCCAAGCCTCTGGCCAAGCTCTGCCTTCCCAGGCCCGAAATCCAGGTGCTGGAGCTGCCCCAACCGACTCCCCAGGCCTGGAGCGTGGTGGCATGGCATCTCCAGCAAAGCGGGTCCCATTGAGTTCCCAGACAGGCACCGCAGCCTTGCCTTACCCGCTGAAAAAGAAGAATGGCAAAATCCTGTACGAGTGCAACATATGTGGCAAGAGCTTTGGGCAGCTCTCCAATCTCAAGGTATCTGCCTCCTGGGCTCTGCTTCTCCCCTCAACATCCTTCAGGGCCCCCCATGCACCCGAGTCTGCTTCTAGAAGCAAGGACCTCAAAGCTAGAAGGCACTCCTGGGCAACCTCTAGGGCCAAGTGACCTTGGATGGTTCATTTGGGTGGAGATATCGGATAAGACGGCCACCAAAGTCCTCGCCACCCTAGAGGACTGCCTATGAGATCGTCTCATTTAGGTTAAAATGGGGAGACTGAGGCTTTTAATGGGCAGCGTTTGCCTAAGATTACCCCGATTTAACGGTAGTGTTAGGTTTAGTCTCTCAACATTTGCTCTGGGCAAAGAAAGCCCTTACCTGGACAACCATCCTTTCTGGACTCCAAGTTAAGCTTCTTATTTATTTTTTTGGGCAGTCAGATGAGGGAATGGGTAGATTTTGGTGAGTCTAGACCACAGTCCGATGACCAACCTTTTTCAAGTGGGATCCCACAAATCTGCGCGACCGCCGATGCGATTGGCCTCACCATCCGCATCGCCCAGCAGGGGGCGCCCAGGGAGCGCATCTCAGTGCGTTAGCAAAGGGCGGAAACTGTGCGCTCTCTGGCTAGTTCTGAAGTTGAAGGCACATTGTGGTTATGGGGAGAAGCCCTGCTGGATCCTGCAGGGCAGGAGTTCTTAAACTTTCATGAGCCTCAGACCACCTGGAGAGCTAGTAAACATGCAGATTCCTAGAGTTTTTGTGATCCTCCCACCTCAGCCTCCAGAGTAGCTCCCAGCCCCAGAGTTATCTTTTTTTTTTTTTTTTTTTTCCATATGGAGTCTCATTCTGTCGCCCACGCTGGTCTCAAACTCCTGGGCTTAAGGGATTCTCCCACTTCATCCTCCCCGGTAGCTGGGACGAAGGGTAAACACCACCACTCCTCGTTAACTTTCAAATTTTTTGTGCATACGGGGTCCCAATGTGTTTCTCAGGCTGGTATTGAACTCCTGGGCTCCATTGATCCTCCCTCCTCGGCCTCCCAAAATGCTGGGATTACAGCCACGAGAGTGTGCCCAGCCCTCCCAGAGTTTTTGATTCAGCAGGTCTGGGGCCGGACTTGAGAACCTGCATTTCTAACATGCTCCCAAAGTGTGATACCAGCACTGCTGGTCTGTGAACCACATTTTGAATAGCAGTGTTCCACAATATACCTGGGGTACCTCTTACCCCTGGCCTTCTGACCACTGCCATCTCCCCTACAGGGCAGCAGAAAGAGTAGAGTATCCTGGGGATGATGGGCCCTGAGGGAGATGACGGGGAGGGAGAGAGAAGTGGGCAGAGATTTGGAGAGGACCTCAGGCCCTGCTAGGGGTGCTGGGCAGTTGGCAGCATTTATCCCGCATCTGACTCAGGTCCACCTGCGTGTGCACAGTGGAGAGCGTCCATTCCAGTGTGCCTTGTGCCAGAAGAGCTTCACTCAACTTGCCCACCTGCAGAAGCACCACCTGGTGCACACTGGGGAGCGGCCCCACAAGTGCTCGGTGAGATCCTTCTCCCCCTACTATGTACTCCTATAGGCTGGAGAGGAGTTTTAGGCCCTTGGAGGGCTGGCACCTGCAGCCTCCATTCCCCAGTCCTCCTGAGCAAGTGGAGATGGGAAGGGGGAGTGAAAATTGAAAATGACTCCTCTCAGCCTGGAATGGGTAATACTGAAGGTCACTCCAAAGGCCTGCAGGAGGGAGAGAACAATGAAGTTGGAGGTCATGGAGAGTGTATGTATACCCATTATCTACCTCCCTGAGTTATTGGAGGAGTTAATGCTATAGTGTACCCAGAGTATCCAAGTAGGAAAACTATTAGCTTGATGTCAGCTCCCTCCTTCTGTGAGCCTGGCCACATCCCTCGGGAAATCAGAAGGGCAGGGGTTCTTTCCCATTTTACAGGGGCAGAAATGAAAGCAGTGCCATGATTATGAGTCCGGGCTGCATAGTCGGGCCACCTGTGTTCAAATCCTAGCTCTGCCTTCAACTTGCTGTGTGACCTTTGGCTAGTGGCTTCACTCCTCTGAGACTCTGCTTTCTTACTATAATATAGGACTTGTACTAATACTTAGTCATGCTTCCCTAGGGTCCTGGGGAAGACTAGATGAAACCAACTGCAGGCATGTGGCAGCCCCCTGTAAATGTTCATTACAATCTACTGAAGCTGCAGCTTCATACTTAAGAGTTCTATGTGATTATCTCATTCAGTCCACCATATCTATGAAGCTAGGTATTAATAACCAATGTTACCAATGAGGAGAGGAAGGCTCAGAGAGGAGAAGTTACTTTTACAAGGTCACACATGGAGTAAAGGACACTAACCCAAGTTGGCCTGGTTCTAATGTGCTAGATACCGTGGGTTCCAGGAAGAAATCACTGGAAAAGCTTCCAGGCCTGGAGGGAAAGAGAGGTGGGTCATGGGTATTTCCAAGATGAGGAGAGGGAGTAGAATGCCTGAGCCAGCCCAGAGGACAAAGCTGATGCCAGTGCTCGTTCCCGTCAGGTGTGCCACAAGCGCTTCAGCAGCTCCAGTAACCTCAAGACCCACCTGCGCCTGCACTCCGGGGCCCGGCCCTTCCAGTGCAGTGTCTGCCGGAGTCGCTTCACCCAGCACATCCACCTGAAGCTGCACCATCGGCTGCATGCCCCACAGCCCTGTGGCCTGGTGCACACCCAGCTGCCCCTGGCCTCTCTGGCCTGCCTTGCCCAATGGCACCAGGGGGCACTAGATCTTATGGCGGTGGCATCTGAGAAACACATGGGCTATGACATAGATGAGGTCAAAGTGTCCTCGACATCCCAGGGGAAAGCAAGAGCAGTGAGCCTGAGCAGTGCCGGGACTCCCCTGGTGATGGGGCAGGACCAGAACAATTAAAAATGTTTCTTCTGTCATGCTTTGAGGCTTCCTGAGCTTCAACAGTTTAGGTGTGGGGTGGGGGTAATGGGGGAAAGCCACTGTGTTTGCCAGACCTCACACTTCACCCGGGAGCAGGTCAGGGGACTCAGCCAGGAAGAGCCTGTGCTGCCTGTGTGTGCGGTGCTTGCCTGCAGCCATCTGCTTCAGCAAGGCTTGAGTTCCACTCCCCGTCTAGGACCAGGCTCTCCTCGTCTATTCACCGACGGACAGTCCAGCCCTCCAGCGCGCTGCAGGGTGCCGACCGTGCTGTCCAGCCTGGGCACATTGTCCTGTTCCCAACACCTGTGCAGAGGGTCCCGCTGCCCCCACTGCCTGGGTCTCACCGTTCCTATTGGCCACTTGCACCTCAGCCGGTACTCCCTGCATGGTCGTTGCGAGGTGGAGGGGGAGGGTGCCCCTCATTGTGGGTCTATTGAAGAAGGAGACTCGAGATATCAGGGTCCACTCACGACCCAGAAGCATGATGTCCTCTGTCAACCGGGTCTAGTTACCACAACACTCTGGGCTAACAGGGTGCCAGGCTCAGGGAAGGCGTGGAGGCTGCAGCCAGATAAGGGCTACAGGCAGAGAAGAACTGGCAGAGACCCTGGGGAGCTGAGGCCTGATGGCCCTTCTCCCTGTAGGCCCGGAGGATCCTCTGAAATGTACAAGGTGCTCCCCATCCCCACTCGAGTCAGAGAGGCCGCGCCAGGCGGAAAAGGGTATTGCCTGGGAGGCAGGAGGCCCAGGTTAGGATCACAATCGATGATAGTTGTTATTAAATAAGAGCGATTTGCGGACAGAGTGGGGTTCTCTGGCCAACTTCCAGGAGATGGCACCGTCCGCACCCCGTGGATTTCCGTGCGGCTTCCCCACCGCGGTGGTGACGGGATTCCCGCTCCCGGCCGTAAGTGCTTCCCATAGGGAGGAGCAAGCCCCACTGACCGTGGCAGAACAATGGCAGGGTGGGCTTCAGCCCCACCAGTAGCTAAGGTCCCGGTTCCAAGCCCACCCGTGTCACACTTTGGGCCCCGCGCGGGACGCCAACCACTCGCGTTAGACCCTCCCATTCGGCAAGACCACGCCCATTCCGAACCATCCACCCCTCCCCGCAACCGCCCCCCTTGCCCAGCTCCTCCTGCTCCTGGGGGATCCCCCTCGCTCGCTCAGCCCCGCCTCCCCGCCTCTGTTCGCCCCAGGCCACTTTCCCTGTCCGGCCTCATGCAGGTCTTGCTCTCGGGCTAGCTCACCTGGGGCTGCGGGGGGCCCTGGCGCCTCCAGGGGCTTAAAGATGTAGCGCGGACCGGGCGGAGAACCACGCCCCCGGGGTGGGGGCAAGGGCTCTTGCCGAACGTCTGGGGTCTGCGGTCCGAGGAGAACAATGAGGTTGGGGGTCCTGGAGAGTGCCCCAGGGCACGGGCAGCATCTGGATCGGGTCACCGCCCGCATGGGCTGCGGGTGGGGCCGCTGTTTGCTAGGGGGGCGGGCCGGAGGAGGCATTTCTCCGCAAATGCAGCGGATGCGGGTAGCCCCGGCGGTCAGGTGCTCCGACGGCCGGAGCCCCGGGTCTTTCACTCGCCATGGCCGAGCGGTGCGGAGGCCCGGGGGCCTGCCTGGCCCACCTTTTGGCTGGGTTAGGGGTCCGGAGGGAGCACAGAGGGAAAGAGATCTCGGAGGCCACATCCCGGGAGAGGTGAGGAGAGATGGAGAAAGGCCGCGTGGGGAGCCTCTGGGCCCTAGACCGTGTGTGTGTGTGTGTGTGTGTGTGTGTGTGTGTGTGAGAGAGAGAGAGAGAGAGAGAGAGAGAGTAGTGATCAAATAAGCGTGTATGTGTATCTCTCGAAGCATAAAAATATATGTGTCTTGGGAGTCCGAGGCGGGCGGATCACGAGGTCAAGAGATTGAGACCATCCTGGCCAAACAACATGGTGAAACCCCGCCTCTACTAAAAATACAAAAATTAGCTGGGTGTGGTGGCGCACTCCTGTAGTCCCAGCTACTCCGGAGGCAGAGGCAGGAGAACCGCTTGAGCCCGGGAGGCAGAGGTTGCAGTGAGCCGAGATCGAGCCACCGCACTCCAGCCTGGCGACAGAGCGAGACACCGTCTCCAAAAAAAAGAAGAAGAAGAAGAAGAAAAAAATATATATGTATACACACACACACACGTGTGTGTGTGTGTGTGTGTGTGAATGTACCACGATTTTGGATGTGAATGTGGAATGGTCCCTGTGCTCTTTTAAAACTTTACAACTTATGTGGACAGTTTCCTAAGTCAGGCAGGTAGCCTGCAGACGACAGAGACAGTTTAAGGGCAAAGGCAGTAGTTCTTCCCTCCCCTATGGACTTTGATTCTCGCATCACAGCTGATTTCTTCATATCCCTTTGTCATGAACCTGACAGGTTCCGTCTGAGACTGTACTGCATTTGCACTTAGATGCCACGGAGAGGTTTTCCCCTGTCGTCCCCACCCCTGGAGATAGCTCTAGATTGTAATAACAATAAGCCTTTATTTGCCACATGCTTCATACTTCACCTGGATTATCTCACGTAATCCTCACAGCAGCCCTATGAAGCAGGTATTCCACATGATTCAGATAAGGAAATGGAGGTTCAGAGAGGTGACGTCACCTGCCCAAAGCCACACAGCTGGGGCGTGGTGTAGCTGGGACACAGGCTTTGGCAGTCTGACTTCAGAGCCCACATTTCTGAAGCTTTGTTGCCTGCAGGGACTGCCAGACTGCAAGACCCGGCTCCTAGCTGTAGGTGCCACTGGTTATATGACCCTGAGCAGATTGCTTCACCTCTCTGAGCCCGTGCACTGGTAGCTGATGTCTGAGGGGTTGTGTGTGTGTGTGTTAGAGTGTTGTGGTTGATCAAATAAGTGTGTATGAGTATCTTGAAGCATAAAAATATGTGTATCAATGTACCACGATTTTGGATGTTAATGTGGAATGCTCCCTGTGCTCTTATATCCTTTATGTATTTACTTATTTGTTTTTTAAGATGGAATCTTGCTCTGTTGCCCAGGATGGAGTGCAGTGGCACTATCGCATCTCACTGCAGCCTTGACCTCCCCAGGCTCAGGTGATCCTCCCACCTCAGCCTTCTGAGTAGCTGGGATTACAGGCACATGCCACCACGCCGGGCTGATTTTTTGTAGAGACAAGGTTTCACCATGTTCCCCAGGCTGATCTCGAACTCTTGGACTCAAGCAGTCTGCCCACCTCAGCCTCCCAAAGTGCCAGGATTACAGGTGTGAGCCACTGCACCTGGCTCTCTTTTCTTTTGATTTTTTTAAATTTTTTTTTAATAGAATCAGGGTCTTGCTCTGTCACCCAGGCTGGAATGCAGTGTCACTATCATAGGACACTGCATCCTCAAACTCCTCCTGCCTCAGCCTCCCAAGTAGCTAGGAACATGCCAACATGTCCACCCAATCTTTTTATTTTTTGTAGAGTTGGAATTTGGCTATGTTGCTCAGCCTGGTCTCAAACTCCTGAGCTCTACTGATTTGGCTTGGCCTCCCATCGTGCTGGGATTATGGGTTTGAGCTACCAGACCCAGTCCCTTGTGCTCTTTTTTTGTTTTGCTTTGTTTTGTTTTGTTTCATTTTTGAGATGGGAGTCTCACTCTGTTGCCCAGGCTGGGGTGCAGTGGCATGATCTCGGCTCACTGCAACCTCTGCCTCCCAGGTTCAAGTGATCCTCCTGCCTCAGCCTCCTGAGTAGCTGGGACTACAAGCACGTGCCTCCACGCCCAGCTAATTTTTGTATTTTTAGTAGAGACAGGGTTTCACCATATTGACCAGGCTGATCTCGAACTCTTGATCTTAAGTGATCCGCCCGCCTCGGCCTCCCAAAGTGCTGGGATTACAGGCGTGAGCCACCGCGCCTGGCCCCTTGTGCTCTTTTAAAACTTTAAAATGTTTTAAACAGAAGGAAAAACATCCTGTGGAAGGCCAAGTCAAAAGGCAGGGAAGGCAGTATTGAGAATCCGAGAGCCCCACAGCTCCCCGGTCCTACATCCGTGAAGAGCATAGGGTGTGCTCTCACGCATGGGTGTTTATGTGTCTGCCCAGTTACCCGGCAATTTGTTCTGATCTTATCATGGCACAGGTGTCTTCAGCCTGCGCCAGGGGGACTGGGGGTGTGGTGGGGGCAAAATGAGGGCAGGGATTTGTGCTGCTCTGTCACCCTAAAGAGAGAGGAGAGGAAGGTCCAGTCACCCTATGCCTGGAAGCCTGGGTGCCCTGGGGTGTCCACACCCTGCCAGTGCCCTGCCCGCCCCCGCCTGGAAGACACGCCCTCCCCCTTTACCCTGTCTGGCAGAAACCTGCCCTATAGGCCCAGGCGGCACTGCCCCTCCCTCTCTGGACTTGGAGGTGCAAATGAGTCAGGGGTGGGGAGGGCCAGGAGGGGTTGCTCAGGCAATCTGCAGGGCTGGAGTGATGATTCTTGGCCATGCTACACTTGCTCTCCGATCTCACCCGCCCTGGGAATGGGAACCCGGTACCGAGGCAGGGGCCTCTGACCCCTGCTGATTGCTGGGGGTATGGAGTGCGCAGAGGAGGATCCAAGGCACTTTCCTACCTGGCCCCTATTCATGCCGTGGTGTCCAGCCAACCTTTGGAGTGGAGTCTAAGCAAGCCATTTCACCTCTCTGGGCCTCATTTTCTGTATCCGAGAAACAGGGGGCACTAATATCCACCTTCTAGGATTACTGTGAGGCTTAGGGGAGATCATGTAGGTACAATGCCTAGTGCCAAGCCTGGCACACAGGAGGGCCTCAGCAAACGGCCAACTTTTGCATTATCAGGGCACTGTCTTTCTCTGTATTCCAGCCCCATAACAGGCCCAGCCCCCATTTTGCAATCAAGCCCATTCCTGTCTCTTTCTTTGCCTCTGGGGGTGAAGTGGACAGCTGGGAGAGGGAACAGAGAGGAGGCTGCCACATAGACCTTCCCCAAAATGTGTTAGGAGTTCATCCTGCTGGGCTGTGGGCCCTGAGAAAAGGTTGGGGGAGAGGACTTCCGGGTCCAGACTGGGGGTGATGGTGTTGGCACAGGAGGAGGCTACTTCATTCTCTTCCCCGTGTGCTTCCTTCCCAGGCCTCTGGATGGCCGGAGCTGCTCTGACCTAGCCCAGGGTACCACCTGCAATGTCAGCCTCAAGGTAGGAGAAAATCCAAAGGGGAGTGGGGAGGGCAGGAGCTCTGGGAGGGCTGAGCAGGTTGTGAGAACCCGGACCAACAAGTCAGACAACCGGAGCTCCAGTCCTCCCTCTGCCACTGATCCACCATGTGACCCTGGGCAGATCATTCCCCTCCTTGAAACCTCAGTGTTCCCTTCTGCAAAATGGGGACAATAATGCTCCACTCTCAAGGCTGTTGTGGGAGATAAAGTAATGGATATGGGACATCCCGCATGGTTGGGGCCCGGACTTTCAGGAAATGTGACTTCCTAAAGCTGGGATCTTCTGGGGAGGGATGTAGGGGCAGAGGGGCCTCGCTTCTCTCCATTCTCTTCTTTGGCCTGACCGCCTTCCATCTTTGGTCCCTCTTCCCCACTTCCTGGCATGGCCCCTCAGGGGTGAGGCTGGGCTAGTGGCTTAACCTCCTGCCCCAGTTTCCTCATCTGCAGTAAGGACCTGAGCCCTGAATTGAACAGTGAAAAAGTGTTCTTCCCTTGGAGGAGTGAGGGCAGCCTCCTCTGGAGGTGGCTCAAGCAGCCATGTGTCTCTCTTGGGTCTTGAATACCATGAGTAATTGCCAGTGTTTAATTGCCTACTTGTCATGTGTTGGGCCCTCTGCATGGACTATCTTGTACCATCTGTACCACACTCTCAGGAGGCAGGTACTGTTATTATCACACCCATTTTCCACATGAGGAAACTGAAATACAAACGGTACTGCAGCTATTATAGGAAGCAGCAGGGCGGAGATTCAAGCCCAGGTTGCCTCGATCCAAGCCTCCAGGTTCATCACTGTACTCTTGTCTCTTGAGGTGGTCAGCCCCTGGGGAATGAGAGGCTGCATCTGTTTCATAGATGAGTAAATTAAGGCATTTGGCAGCAAGGATCCCTGCTAGGCGGAATTTTGACCTCCTCTGTTGCCAAGGAAACAGCCCATCTTTTAAAACGGGTCGTTTTGGGGGCAGTGTCCATCTGGGTCTGGGGTGCTGAGCCCTCTCCTCTTATCCCCACAGCCAGGCTGGACCCCAGGGGAAGACAGCAGAAGAGGTCAGGTGTTGTCCCATTTCAGGGGAACCCTCTTCTCTGGCTCCCTTATATCCCAGGTACATCCTCCCAGGTGTTCTGTCTCAAGCTGGGAGGGTACAAGAGAGGTGGCCGCAGTCTCTCTGTTAGCTTGGAATGGGCAGAGGCCATGGGCACTTGAGGCAGGCCTTCCCACCCAGCCCTCAGCCCCAGGGCGGGGAAGCACCTCAGGACTGCAAGGAAGCTGAGATCTCCAGCCTTTGGGGGGCATGGCCGGCCAGGCCCTGGGTGCCTTGTCACCTGGGAGGGAGTGCGGCACCTGAGCGTTGGGAGCCCTCGCTGGCTTGCTGTGTGATCTCAGTCATGTCGCCGTCTTCTTTGGGCCCCACTTTCCTCTTACGTAGAATGGGAAGGGGTGAGTTAAATGCTGAAGGGCCTTCCCAGAGCTCTGTCCCTTTGTCCAGCTCTGGTGGCCTTAGCAGCCTCTCCCTAGGGCAGCTTACCTTGGTGTCAGAGCCCTGTTCAGCTTCCTTGTGACAGGGAAGATACCAGGTACCAGGGGTGCCTGGAGGGCAGGGGGAGCTGTCACTATGCCCCTGCCTCTCTCAGTGTCTATCTCTGTTTTCACCCAGGCCCAAGGCCAGAGCTGCTCAGAATGGGACATCCATGTAGGGGACCATGATGATTTCTGGATTTGGAAGCAACAAGGAATCTCGGGGGGTCCTGCTCAGTCCCTGGGGCGCCTACAGAGGCCAGCGGTGGGCAGCGCCTTCGACCTGGCCAGCCATGCCTCCCTGGGGCCTGAGAGCCTGGCCCTGGAAGTGGCCTCAGGAGAGTCTGCTCGTACCAGGCTCCCCCAATACCCAGGGCCTGCTCCTGGACATGGGGAGCAGGGATCCTCAGGCTGCACCTGTCAGCAGTCTCCACCCACAGCTTCAGAGGTCCCTCTGAGGCCTGAGCCACCCAGCAACCTGGAAGACGCACCCCTGCTGCTCCACCCTGCATCCTTCCCCAGGGCAGAGGGGACAAAGGGCAAGCCCGCCACCCCAGGGACTGCCTTGCCAGAGCCTGCCCAGACCCTACACACGCGTCCCTCTTCCAGGAGGACCCGCTACTACATCACTGTCACCCTGCTGGGGCACAGGCAAGCACCAGGGGAGGAGGGTGAAGAACCGGCCCAACCAGCTCCACACCTCTGCGGCCCTGAGGAATCTGAGGGCTGGTGGGAGCCTCCCCAGGGGCCACGCCCCATCACAGGGTGCCGGACGGCCCCGCCTCAGGAACCCCAGCTGAGAGCCCAATCGCATCAGGGGAGCACGGCCCAGCAGCAGGAGCTCCAGGCTGGCTGGACACCTGGGTCCCCACGCAGACTGTGAGTAGAGGTCGGTCTGTGTGTGGAGATGGGAGGGGAGACTGGCCTGGCTGCCCTGTCTTGAGACTTTGCCTATTCCCTGGGCCTCTCCAGCTCTAGGCCCATTCATTCAGGACCCTGAGCCGACTCTGCCTTCCCTCCCTGCTCCAACCCTGCCTTCCTCTCCCTCCCTTTGCCCACAGGCTACCTCCTGGAACCCACTGCTTCTCACCCCCACTGTCCATCTGAGAAAGGGGAAAGTCTGTCAGGGAGAGGATGGGCAGGAAGGGGGGTTGCCTTCTTCACAGCATACACCACTCCCCAGTTCTGTTCAGGAGGCCACAGACTCAGCCTGGGAATTGGCACCCAGCCTAGGTGCTGGGTGTCCTGAGGCGAGTTGCTTAACCTCTCTGGGCCTTGAGTTGTTGAGAGGATTTGGTAGCTGAAAATGAGGAAGGAGGAGGTGGCTACAGGAATATACTTTGAACTCCAGAGACTGGGGGTGCCAAAATAGCAGGGATGCTTATTAATTACGTCTCAGTGACAGCAATAATTACCCCACCTGGCTCTGAGCTGGAAGCCAAAGGAGTGGGTGTCGAGTTTCCCAAGCCTAGTTTTATTTGTGTTGAAATGACTCTCCTAAATCTGCCTGGGGGGCGCAGAGGTGGAAGGATATGTCCCCCAAAGCTCATCAAGGAGGGATGAACATGGAACCTCCCAGGGATGACCCTGAAGAGGAAATGAGCCTGGGGTGGGGTTTTGAAGGGTGCTTAAGGATGATGGGGTGGCTGTCATTTGCAATTTGTTTTCTAAGCATAATTTTATTTAATCTTCCCAACCATCCCATGAGTAGGGACTGATCCCAACCCCTGTCACCTAATTCTAGGAGGCTCTGAAAGTCACTTGCTCAAAGTCAACTAGAAAGTGAAGGGGCTAGAATCTGAACTTAGGTTTCTATAACTCCAGTGCCTGTGCTCTAACCACTGCTCCATCCTGCCTGGAAGAAACCTCTTTGGCCCTGTGCAGAGAGTGGAGGGTTGAGTGAGGTTGCTGTGTGGGCTCCAGGGTTTTCTAGGCTCCTATGGCGGTGGATTGGGCAGCATTGTAGTAGCAGAGGCAGAATCAGGAATGCTGGGGTCCTCCAAGCAGGGGTCAATGTGACTGCTTCCGTGCCAAGGAAGAGGGAGATGTAGGACCCAGGCTGGCTCTGAGACCTGCTTGGATGCCCCAGAAGTCAGGGGCTGGGGGACAAGGGCTGCAGAGAGAGGGAAGGGGGGTGGAGGAGGCTACCTTGGAGAGGGGGACGGGAAAGAGAAGTAGGGTTAGCTGGGGGGAGGTGGTTTCTATCTGCCACTACCTGGGTATTTTGGGCCCAGGTGGATAATGACAGACTCAGGTGGGAGGCTAGGGCTCACTTAGAGTGGGGGGCAGGTGACCTCCAGAAACATCATCCTTCTATGTCCCCTTCCTGGGAGAAGGTTCTCTGGGCCAAGATTGGCAAATATGGGAGTCGAGAAGAAGTGAGACATAGCTGGGACTGCCAGTGGGAATGTGTAAGATACGTGTGCATCCAAGCGTGTGTGTCCACGTTCAGGGGTAGGTGAATTTCAAGGGGAAGAGAGCTTGGGGCTGTGAATTGACTGTGTGTGTATTGTGAATGTGTGCACGTGTGTGTCACTGTGCCTGTGTTTCTGTCTGTATGTGATTTGTGTGTCTGTTGTGGCTCTGAGTGCCTGTGCGTGTTTGTATTTCTTGGGTGAGTGTATATTTGTGTGTGTGTCCCTGGTTGTGTATGTTTTTATAGGCTTCTAGGTGTATCTTTGTGCCTGTGTGATTGTGGGTCTGTGTCGGTATCTGTCTGTGTGTCTGTGCCTGCGTCTGTGTGACACAGCATGTGTTTGCCTGCATGTGGGCCTGTGGACTGGTTTGGCCTAGTTTGGGGGTGACTCACAGGTAAGTGGGGAGAATCCAGGACTTGTTGGGTTAGACAAGGCTCTTTCCCACACTCCCCCCGCCCCCTCCTCAGCCTCTCCCTTCCCAGCTCCACACGCCTTGTTTGGAGGTCACAGGTCACGCTGCCAACAAATCCACTTCTGGTCTGGGGCCCTGCAGAAGAAAGGGCTCTGGGAATGGCCCCTTCTGCTGGCCCAGGAGAGGCATCCTGGGTCATTGTATTGGGGTATGTCTTCAGAGCAAGGACAAAAGGGGGCATCTATAGGCAGGCACATTCCAGCAGAGTCTGAAGGACATTCTAGCACTCATGACTGTTCAGGGACGGGGCAGGTGAACTGTCGAGTGGTGACCTCCCTGTCCCTGGAGGTATGCAGGCAGAAGCCAATGACCACATGCTTGTGGAATGACTGGCTATCAGGGGTGTTGTCCAGGGGTTGGGCTGGTTGAGAAAGACGTTAAATTCTGATTGGTAGGAGGTCATCGACAATATCTGATCTCATGATCGGCCGCCTCCTTTAACATTGCTCTCCTGTCGCTTTCCTGATGCCTATGGCGCTTTCCAAATGTCCCTGTTTTTATGTCTAATTCCTTGGCCCCTGGCTTCTTAATATGCCACCTTTCATGAGAAAGTTGGCTCTGGTTCTGGTTGAGTCTAGCCAAGGCCTAGCACATCCCTTGATACAATTAGCACTGAATGAGTGAGTAATTGAATGAATGAATGAATGAGTTAGAGCTCAAGCTTTGCCACTTACTATAAGCACCATCAGAGACAAGGAAGCTCGGAGAGTGGAAGGCAGGTGGACAGGGGCTTAGGAGGTGCTCAGCGAGGGCGTCAAACTTCATTTGGGCAGAGTCCCAGCGAGGAGGGCAGGGGTTGCATGAGGAAAAAGGGAGCTCCCTAATGGGGACAGGGGAGTGGGCTGGGGCCTCAGTGAGAGGCTAAAATCCAGAGCCTTTGGTGTCTGGCTGTGTACTGCTCTCAGGAAGCCCTGGCCTGGGAAAATGACCAGGGCTCTACCTAACCCCTCCACCTTCCAGTCCCCCTTGGACCCTGTCCCTGACACTGTCATAGCCACCAGCAGTCCTGGAGTCAGGTCAGGCTTCCCGGGGCTTCAGTCTCTTTCATCTCTGCCCCTCATAAAGCCTGAGTCACTGCTGTGGCCACAGGGAAGGGTCAAAGTTCTGAATTCCACCAGCTTCTCAGGAAGGAGGACAATGGGAAATGGGGGAGGGGAGTGGGGGCAGTGGGTCCATTTCCTGCCCAGAGTCAGGTCTCTTGGGGAGGGGAGGGTACCTCATGGAGAAGGCCCAAAGACTCGGGCTGAACAGGCTGGCCTCTCTGGGGTTCGTGGGGCCTAAGAATAGGATTGCCCTGGTCAGTGTAGCTTGGAAGTCAGGGAGTGGGGGTGGAGACGCCCTCCAGGACTGACATGGCTCCCTGTAAATGTAAACCCCCAAACCAGAGACTCAGTTATAGGATACATATATTAGGGAGTTTGGTATGGTGAGTGAGCACTTAGGGTTGGGGTTCAAGTCTTGTTTCGGTTACTCTGTGACTTTGGACAAGTTTCTTAACCTCTCTGAGCATTTAAAAAATCTCATCTGCAAAATGGGAAGGTATGATCTAATTTATTAATAATTTATTCTTTATGAGGTCTCAAGCTCCTGGGATTCTTCTGAGGCTTCAATGGGACAATGAATCTAAAGCACTTAGCAAGGTGTTTGGCAGAGTCAGCCCTCCCCAAATGGCTGTTTTTGTTGTTGTTGCAACTAGTAAAACAGAGAAATTCACCTGAGAGTTCCTAGGGAGCTTAGTCTATTTTCTGTTGCTTATAATGGAATACCTGAACCTGGAAGCCCAAGGTCAAGGGGGTGCATCTGGTAAGAACCTTGTTGGTGATTCTCTGCAGAGTCCCGAGGGGGCTCAGAGCATCACATGGCAGTGGGGCTGAGGTGCTAGTTCAGGTGTCCCTTCCTCTTCCTATAAAACCACTGGTCCGGTCAGGCACAATGGCTCACACCTGTAATCCCAGCACTGTGGGAGGCGGAGGTGGGCAGATCTCTTAGGCTCAGGAGTTTGAGACCAGACTGGGCAACATAGTGAAACCCCAACTCTACAAAAAATACAAAAATTAGCCAGGCATAGCGGTGCAGGCTTGTAGTCCCAGCTACTCGGTGGGCTGAGGTGGGAGGACTGTTTGGGCCCAGGAGGCAGAGGTTGCAGTAAGCTGAGATTGTGCCACTGCACTCCAGCCTGGGCAACAGAGCAAAACCCTGTCTCAAAAAAAAAAAAAAAAAAAAAAAGCCTCTAGTCCTACTCCCATGATCACTCATTAATCCATTAAACCATTAATCTATTAATCCATGAGTATATTAATCCATTCATGAGGCATAGCCCTCATAACCCAATCACTGCTTAGAGGCCCCACCTCTCAATATTACCACATTGGGGATTAAGTTTCAACATGAGTTTTGGAGGGGACAAATATTCAAGCCATAGCAGAAGCTTAGAAGGTCTTCTTTGGCAGGTGTTAATATTATCCTACATTTAGTAAGGGAGGCTATGGAGACCCAGAGAGATCAAGGAAGAGTCAGAAAAGAAACAAGACCCAGGCCCCACCCCTCCAGGACGGAGGGTGAGACATGCTCTGCTGAGGATGATCACAGGAGCAGCTGGACATGCCCCAGAGCTGTGGCCTGGGGGTAGGAGGGAGGATGCCTGGATGTGAAATCAGAAGATGGGAATTTAAATCCCTGCTTGACAACCTCATAGCCGCGTCATCCTGGGCCAGTCACTCGTCTTCTCTGACCCTCGGTTTCTTAACCTTCAGTAGGGAAAAAATCACAGAGGACAGAATCGAGGGAAGAGTGCCTTGTAAAGCCCAAGTGCCCTAACGGAGCCAAGGGGCTCCATTTATTTACTTTTTTTTTAAAATTTTAATTTTGAGACAGAGTCTCGCTCTGTTGCCCAGGCTGGAGTGCAGAGGCGTGATCTCAGCTCACTGCAACCTCCGCCCCCCAGGTTCAAGCGATTCTCCTACCTCAGCTTCCCAAGTAGCTGGGATTACAGGTGCCCACCACCATGCCTGGATAATATTTTTATTTTTAGTAGAGACTAGGTTTCATCACGTTAGTCAGGCTGGTCTCGAACTCCTGACCTCAGGTGATCGGCCTGCCTCGGCCTCCCAAAGTGCTGGGATTACAGGCGTGAGCCACCGCACCCAGCCTTATTTTTGTTTTTATTAAAAACTTTTTTTAGGCCGGGCGCAGTGGCTCACGTCTATAATCCCAGCACTTTGGGAGGCCAAGGCGGGTGGATCACTTGAGGTCAGGAGTTTGAGACCAGCCTGGGCAACATAGTGAAACCCCATCTCTACTAAAAATACAAAAATTAGCTGGGCATGGTGGCACATGCCTGTAATCCCAGCTACTCGGGAGGCTGAGGCAGGAGAATCGCTTGAACCTGGGAGGAGGAGGTTGCAGTAGGCTGAGATCGTGCCACTGCACTCCAGCCTGGGCGACAGAGCGAGACTCTGTCTCAAAAAATAATGATAACTTTTCTTAGCGATAAGATCTCTCTGTCACTCAGGCTGGAGTGCAGTGACACGATCATAGCTCATTGCAGCCTGGGCTCAAGTGATCCTCCCACCTCAGCCTCCAGGGTAGCTAGGGCTACAGGCACACACCACCATGCTGGCTAATTCTTTTAATTTTTTGTAGAGACTTGTAGAGTCTTTTTATGTCACCTAGGCTGGTCTAGAACTGCTGGCCTCAAGCAATCCTCCCACCTCTGCCTCCCAAAGTTCTGGGATTACAGGTGTGAGCCACTGCATCCAGCTCTGAGAGGCTCCATTTAGACCTACACTTGCACACAGACCTGCCCCTGTGCTCTGGAGACCATCAGCAGGTGCTCATGCCCATACACACGTGTGCACACCAGCTAACATTTGGTCACAAATCTCCAAGGTGACAGCAGAAAGTTGATGAGCCAGCAATTTAGGTTATAAGGCGAGCATTTTGGGTGTGGTGGCATGTGCCTGTAGTCCCAATTACTTGGAGAGTTAACGCAGAAGGATCACTTCAGCCCAGGAGTTCAAGGCTACAGTGAGCTACTGCACTTCAACCTGGGCAACAGAGCAAGACTCAGTCTTATAAAATAAATTAAAATAAAAAGATAAAAAGTTAGGCCAGGCACAGTAGTGGCATATATCCATAATCCCAACATTTTGGAAGGCCAAGGTGGGAGGATCACTTCAGCCCAGGAGTTCGAGACCAGCATGGGCAACATAACAAGACCTCAAAGTACAAAATAAAAACTAGCTGGGGCTGGGCACGGTGGCTCACACTTGTAATCCGAGCACTTTGGGAGGCCAAGACGGGTGGATCATGAGGTCAGGAGATCAAGACCATCCTGGCTAACACGGCGAAACCCCGTCTCTACAAAAAATACAAAAAAATTATCTGGGCGTGGTGGAGGGCACCTGTAGTCCCAGCTACTTGGGGAGGCTGAGGCAGGAGAATGGCGTGAACCAGGGATGTGGAGCTTGCAGTGAGCCGAGATCATGCCACTGCACTCCAGCCTAGGTGACAGAGCGAGACTCTGTCTCAAAAAAAATAAATAAATAAAAATAAAAATAAATAAATAAATAAAAACTAGCTGGGTGTGGCGGCGTGTGCCTGTAGTCCCAGCTACTTGGGAGGCTGAGGCAGGAGGATCACTTGAGCCCAGGAGTTCAAGGCTGCAGTGAGCTAAGATCATACCACTGCACTCCAGCCTGGGTAACAGAGTGAGATTCTGTCTCACAAAAAAAAAAAAAAAAAAAAAAAAACGCAGGGGGAGGTTTCATTGTTTCTCTTACTGGACTCTGGCAAGACTCCAGTTTTGTGGCTGAGGACCCTGATGCTTGAACAGAAGAAATGGCCAGTTAGTGAGCAACTAAGGAACCCAGCTCTGCTTGAGGCCAAAGCCCATCTTCCCTGAACAGAGTTAGAACAACGCTTGCCCAGTTTTCGGCTTTCTAGTTTTCAGCTCCTGGGGGACTAGACCTAGGGCTCTGTGGGCAGAGTCCCAGCCCCCCTATAGACCTGTGGGTCAGCTGCATCTTCCCTTCTGCCTTCTTCCTTTTCTCTCCTTCTGGGCTCAGGCCTCAGCTTCACCTTTGAAGGACCCTGACCTAGGAGATCACCTGAAAGTCAGGGAGAGGGATGGATGAGGGGCTCTGATCAACCAAATCAGAGCTGAGACTACCATGCCCATTTCACAGATGAGAAAGCAATGGCCCAAAAAGGCCAAGCGATTTGCCTGAGGTTCCCAGCCTGACTTGGGTAGGGGTGGTTATTCTGCACTTTAGGAAGCCACTCTCACCACCCTCTGACCCTCATCTTTCTTATTCCTCTGCAGGGAGCTGGACCACAGTGGGACAAGGACACCTCCAGACAGGTTGCCAGGGCCCCACATGGAGGAGGCAGGTGGGCCCATGGCCCGGGCCAAGGCCCGAGTGGTAAGTGCCACATTGACATGGCGGCAGCGGCCCCCCACCCAGGAAGAGATCAAACATGGTTTTCACAAGGTGTCCCTGGTGTCAGGGGCCCAGATGGAAGCCCCGCAGAAGGAGATGTTTGAGTTCAGCCGTCGAGAGGAAGTGGAAGTCAATGGCTTTGCAACACAGGAAGAAGAGACTGTGAATTGCCAGGGCCCTCGGGATACAGCTGGCTCCAAGAACTTCCAGAGCCATGGACCCATCTTTTCCAAGAAGTACATACCACCTCCCAAGGAGAAAAGGCCTGAGGGGAGGCTGAAGGAGGCTGTGGACCAGAGTGATGGCAGCCGCCAAGCTCCCAGGACTGAGCCCCCATGTGTGGGAGCTATGGCCAGGACTGAGCTTTTGGTTCCCCTGCCTGGGCCCCGAGAGCCAAGTCCCCACCCAGGTGTAGGTCTCACCAGTGGTAGCTCCCGGAGCCTCGAGGAATACCGAGTGACACGCACTGTGCGGACCACCACAGTGGTGGGAGGTCATGTGGACCGGCGGATGAGCAGCTCTGTGACTGTGAGGCCAGTGTCCTCAGGCGAGGCCCTGCCACGGGGCCGTCAGGTCTCCCGCATGGTGCCGCCAGTGGTGGTGGGCTCCCCACCAGGCTCGCCCAGCCGCAGCCAGGCCGTGAAAGTGCTAAGTAACCTCGTGCCTGCTGGGCACAGCCCCCCTGCCAGTCACCTGCCCAGGCCCACGGCTGGCGGGCCAAGGAGCACAGGTCTGGGCAGCACAGTGGGGGCAGCCTTGAGGCAGCTGCCTGAGACCGGGACAGCAGAGCTTAAAGACAGCTCTGCCCTGGCCTCTACAGGCATCCCAGCCAGTGCTCACCTGCCTAAGAATCAGGATGCCCCTGCAGCCTGTCCGGACAGAGACCAGGGCAGAGCCCCGGATGCCAGGGCCTGTGAGCTCTGGCAGGTGCTGGGAGCCCCCAGTTCCACTGAGCTCCCTCTCCAGACTTCTCAGGGTCAAGCATCAGTCCCCTCCTCTCCCAGACTCGAGACCCATGTCCCCTCTCCTGGCCTAACTCACCCTGCAAAGCAGCCTGTGGTGCCCACTCACCCCGGGGCCCGGCTCACTCCCCTTGTTCTGCCCCCTAAAAAAAAGGACGGGCCCGTGGACCCCCCTGCTGCCACCGTCCTGCCCATGGTGAGGAGCGAGCATGTGACAGTCCCTGGACAACCTCCTGCTCCATCCACTACAAGAAGGAAGGATGTCCCCAGCCCAGGAGGTCTTTCTGCTCCATCGTCCCCAAGGAATAAGTTTGTTCAGAACTCTGAAAATGTCCCTGTCCTCCCCTTTACCCAGAGGGAGGTCGTGAAGGGCCCCGGTGCTCCTGCTGCCTCATCTCCCACCCGGAAGGAGGTGGTGCAGGGGTCCAGTGCTTCTGCTGCCTCGTCCCCCACCTGGAAAGAGGTCGTGAAGGGCCCTGGTGCTCCTGCTGCCTCATCTCCCACCCAGAAGGAGGTGGTGCAGGGGTCCAGTGCTCCTGCTGCCTTGTTCCCCACCTGGAAAGAGGTCGTGAAGGGCCCCGGTGCTCCTGATGCCTCATTTCCCACCTGGAAAGAGGTTGTGAAGGGCCCTGGTGCTCCTGCTGCCTCATCCCCCACCCAGAAGGAGGTGGTGCAGGGGTCTGGTGCTCCTGCTGCCTTGTCCACCACCCCAAAAGAGGTTGTGAAGGGCCCTGGTGCTCCTGCTGCCTCATCGCCCACCCAGAAAGAGGTTGTGAAGGGCCCCTGTGCTCCTGCTGCCTCATCTCCCACCCAGAAGGAGGTGGTGCAGGGGTCTGGTGCTCCTGCTGCCTTGTCCCCCAAGTCAACTGAGGTTGTCCAGGGCCCAAAAGGCAGCAGTAGCATCCAAAAAGAGGCTGTCCAGGGTATTGCAGGCAGCCTTGCCCCGCCCCTCACCAAGGAAGAGACTGTTCAAGGCCCAATTGCTCCTGCCACCTCACTCCCCAAACAGGATAAGGGGGTCCAGGACTCTGAAGGGAGCCCCATCTCATCTCTCACCCAGAAAGAGGTTGTGCAGGACCCTGATGCTCTCCCTGCCCCATCTTCCTCAGTGGACAGGGTGTCCCCCAGCCCAGGAGGCACCCCTGCCCCAGTGCCAACAGGAGCAGAGGCCAGCACGGAGTCCCAGCTTGTCTCTGATCCCACCGAGGGCAAGACGTGCACAGAGACATCAAGGGAGGAGGATGAGGTGGCCCTGGCCGCTGACCTGGAGATATTCCTGGATACGCTGCGGAGCATGGAGCCCCCTGAGATCCTCCGCACTCACCGGCTGCCACGAGCCCCTCGCTCCTCCTACCTGTCCATGTACGCCACGCTGCCTGCCATTGAGGAGGACCAGCTGGGGCCATGGGTGCTGGGCCCCGGACCCCAGGAGGTGCCTTCACTGGAAGAGAAAGAGGAGGAGGAGGAGGAGGAACCAGAGAACCCCTATCTGAGTGACGATGAGAAGCTCCAGCGCAGGCAGGAGAAAGCTGGGCCCAGCCCCTCCAGGGACCTCCACCCTGCCAGACCCACCCAGGTCTCCTGCTCTCCTCTGGAGATGATGAAGAAGCATGTAGCAGGAACCAAGGGCCCCCACTCAGAGCTGGGATTGGAACTGCAGGGAGGCAGCAGGCCCACTTCCCGTCTTGGAGGCAGCCTTCTGTTCGGCAGTCTGGTGCCTACCGCCAAGGAGGCCTCCACCCCGGAACCGCTGGGCACAAAACTATCTGCTCTGCTGCCCCATGGGGCACCGGGGCTCAGGAAGGTGCCAGGACAGTTGCCCCTGCTTTGCAGTGAAAGATCATCCCCAACGGAGAAGCTTGCCTGTTCCCTGCCCCTGGAGGGGTGGGTAAGTGAGGCCTCGGGTGGGCAAGGGAGGTGCCTGGCCTCACCTGGGTCAAGGCTTGAGTGGTGTGAAGAGAGTGGTGCTGGGAGTCAGAGTCTGGGGGCAGAGGCTTCTGTCTGAAGTCTGGTTCAGTTGACCTGTGCAAGCCACATCTCTCTGGGCCTCAATCTCCCTATCCCTATCCCTACTGTGGGAGGTTTGTACTGTGGATTCCAAAGGGTGTGGGGGCTCCAAGATCCTGGGAGCTGAGGAAGGCGGGTGATGAGCACCAAGCTCCTGGGACAGGGTGATGAGGCCCTTGGGGGTTGGGAACAAGTGTGAGCATCCTCTATGCGCCAGCTCCTTGCGGGTGGAGGTTAATAGGGAGGATGTGGGATCCTTGGAATGGCGGGTTGTGGGGAGGCAGAAAAGAGGTGACCCCACAGGACTTCTTTATCACCTGCCTCCGTTTCAGAGCCCAGCCTTAAAGACCCAGGGCAAGCTGAACACCAGGCCTGGAAAGGTAGGGTTGTGGGGGCAAGTGGGTGGGGGCAGCAGGATGCAGGGGCCTGGGGTCAGGGCCTGAGGACCCCTTCTGTGCCTTCTCAGGTGATCTTCTTCTCAGAGTCTGGCTGCCAAGGCAGTGGCAGGGAGGTCTGGGGAGACATCGTTGATGCCTCAGGCTGGGCCCCCGTAGCCTCCATAAGGGTAGTTCGAGGCTGGTGAGTGGGGAGTGCCCAGCAAGGCACTTGGCTGTGAACCTGGGGGGATGCAGAGGGGAGTGAGGAGTGACCAGTCCAGCCTGGGAGAAACCCCATCAGCTACCCAGCAGCCCTGGGCACATCCTCCTCCCCATCTGTGATCCTGGAATCTCTGTGCCCACAGCTGGGTGCTGTACGAAGAGCCAGAGTTCCGGGGTCAGAAGCTGGTCCTGCCTGAAGGAGACATGGAACTCAGAACCCCAGGGACAAAGTGGAGTCCCCAAGGCATCGGCTCCCTAAGGAGGGTTGTCTGGGTGAGTGAGTTGGAGGTGGGAGACGGCCTCGAGTGCCTAGAGTTGAAATCCCCGAGGCCAGGAGCAGTGACTCACGCCTGTAATGCCAGCACTTTGGGAAGCCAAGGCAGGTGGATCGGCTGAGGACAGGAGTTGGAGACCAGCCTGGCCAACATGTGAAACCCCGTCTCTACTAAAAATACAAAAATTAGCCGAGTGTGCTGGCATGCGCCTGTAATCCCAGCTTCTCAGGAGGCTGAGGCAGGAGAATTACTTGAACCCGGGAGGCAGAGGTTGCAGTAAGCCTGGATTGCACCACTGCACTCCAATCTGGGCAACAGAGTGAGACTCCGTTTCAAAAGAAATTCCTGGCAGAGATCTTATGGGGTAGTGGGCAGAGGGGCTTAATGTGGACTGGTCCATAGATTCTTGACCGTGGAGCTGACTGGGGAAGAAAGAGATTCTGGGGAATGGGCAGCCTGGCTTGAGGAGTCAGGGCCCAGGCAGAGGCCAAGCTCAGCTTGGGAAAGCAGCCTGGGGAAGTTTGAGTGGATGCTCAAGCAGGAAGGGGACAGAGCAGCAGAGACAAGATGGGAGGGAACGTGGGGGTTACCTGCCCCCCAGGAGCCAGCATGCAGGCCCCCAGTCAGACCCGAGGTGCCAGGCATGTTTGCTCATTCATTTGCTCACAGATGCTCACTCATGTCTAATATGTGCCAGGCACCGGTGCCAGGCAATAGGCAGTGGGGGGAGATCTCCTCTTTGCCCTTCAGGACTTACAGTCAAGCTAGGCTGTGAGGATTGGGTTTGGAGCAGGGACGCCATATAGCCAGACTAGGGATTTATAAACATCCCACTGGCTGCCAGGTGGAAAAAAGAGGGATCCTGGAGGCAGGGAGACCAAGAAGGGCTGTGATTTCCAGCCAGGGGCACCTCTAATTTTTGAGGAAGGGCTGTGTGGTTTGAAAAGTTAACATTATAATTTCAAAGGCCAGGCGCAGTGGCTCACGCTTATAATCCCAGCACTTTGGGAGGCCAAGTTGGGGGATCACCTGAGGTCAGGAGTTCAAGACCAGCCCAGCCAACGTGGTGAAACCCTGTCTCTACTAAAAATACAAAAATTAGCCAGGTTTGATGGTGGGCGCCTATAATCCCAGCTACTCAGGAGGCTGAGGCTGGAAAATCGCTTGAACTCGGGAGGCGGAAGTTGCGGTGAGCTGAGATCATGCCATTGCACTCCAGCCTGGGCAACAAGAGTAAAAAAAAATTATAATTTCATGTGCTGTGCTGTGAAAACAACAACATTGTTTTCACCGCACAGTAATAAACTACTGAAATTAAGCTTGACACGAGAAGGAAGAGCAATGACTGTAAAAGCAGTGTCTATCAGGCATTTTGGTTCTTTTGGTTTGTTTGATTTTTTTATTTTTTTTTGAGACAGAGTCTCGCTCTGTTGCCCAGGCTGGAGTGCAGTGGTATGATCTCGGCTCACAGCAGCCTCCGCCTCCTGGGTTCACGCGATTCTCCTGCCTCAGCCTCCCAAGTAGCTGGGACCACAGGCACCTGCCACTATGCCCGGCTAATTTTTTTTTGTATTTTTAGCAGAGACGGGGTTTCACCGTGTTAGCCAGGATGGTCTCGATCTCCTGACCTCGTGATCCACCCATCTCGGCCTCTCAAAGTGCTGGGATTACAGGCGTGAGCCACTGCGCCCGGCCTGATTTTCGTTTCTAATGAAAGAATGAATAACTGAGTCCAGAGCTGTTGCAATCTTCCTGGTAGGAGATGATGAGCGCTCATTAGGCTTAACTAGGACAGTGGCCCAGGAGGAGGGGATAGTTTACAAAGCCTCTCCAGAGGCTGGACGCGGTGGCTCACGCCTGTAATCCCAACACTTTGGGAGGCTGAGGCAGGTGGATCACCTGAGGTCAGGAATTCAAGACCAGCCTGGCCAACCTGATGAAACCCTGTCTCTACTAAAAAAAATACAAAAAATTAGCCGGGCATGGTGGCGGGTGCCTGTAATCCCAGCTACTTGGGAGGCTGAGGCAGGAGAATCGCTTGAACCCGGGAGGCAGAGGTTTCGGTGAGCCAAGATCACACCACTGCAATCCAGCCTGGGCAACAAGAGCAAAACTCCATTTCAAAAAACAAAAACAAAAAAAGCAACAAAAAAAACAAAGCCTCTCCAGAAACACACAAATGTTTGTGGACAATTAATTGTGAACTTCTGACAATAAATTTGTCTTCATGTGGGAGGTAAAGGCTTTGAAGTCAGATGTTTCTGGATTCCTTTGATTCATTCAGCATTGATTAGGTGCCTGTTGTATGCCAAGCACATGGGAGGTGCTGGGTTGCAACAGTGAACAAAAACTATACTGCTCTGCTACTTACAAGCTGTGTGACCTTGGGCAGGTTGCTTAACTTCTCCGTGCCTCACTTTCCTTACCTGTGACTGGATGAATAATGCCCACTGGGAGGACTAAATGAGATAGGGTAGGACATGACCTTAGCACAGTGCCTTGCATGCAGTAGATGCTTCGTACATATTTGATGAATGAGTGAGTGAATGAAAATGGTCCTGGTGGGGAAGAAACACTCAGAATACAAAGAGGATCTGCTGCTTCCTGGGATGACGTGCAGGCAAAGCCAGTCTGGACAGAGGCAGGAACCGTACCTAAAGAAGGAGTCAAAGTTGGAACTCAGGAAGTGGCTGTCCATCTTGCCCATCCTCCCACCAGGCTGGAAGTCAGGCTACCCAGAGGCAAGGCTATGGGCCTGGCACTTTGCAGGTTCTCCCGGGAACTTCTGTCCCAGGTCCCAAAGGTTCAGCAAAGGACCAGCACAGGCTTTGGTCTTAGGCTTGGCTGGCTGACCTTGCAAAGACCACCCTAGTCACTTTCCTGGTCTCTGGGGGAATGGCTACAAAGGTTTTCTCAGAAGCTATTTGGAGCCTTGGCTAAATGGACTTGGGGAAGCGGGGTGTTGTCCAAGGGGGGCTATTTATATATCTTTTCTTTCTTTTTTTTTTTTGTTTTGAGACGGAGTTTCACTCTTATTGCCCAGGCTTGAGTGCAATGGCATGATCTCGGCTCACCGCAACCTCTGCCTCCCAGGTTCAAGCAATTCTCCTGCCTCAGGCTCCCGAGTAGCTGGGATTACGGGCATGCCCAGCTAATTTTGTATTTTTAGTAGAGACTGGGTTTCTCCATGTTGGTCAGCTGGTCTCGAACTGCTGACCTCAGGTGATCTGCCCGCCTCGGCCTCCCAAAGTGCTGGGATTACAGGCGTGAGCCACCACGCCTGGCTGTTTATCTATATTTAATTTTCCCCCTCCTTCCACAGGACTACAGCACCCCGGAAATCAGCCTCTTCTCTGAGGAGGGCCTCAAGGGGGAGCAAGTGAAGCTAACAGAGGCCTTGAAGAATTCCCAGGGTCTGGAGAAGCCCCTGCAGGTGGCATCTGCCACCGTCTCTGCAGGACTGTGAGTCTGGTCTATTCTAGAATCCCCTCATTTGACATTCACTGTGCTGGGTGCTGGGGACACAGAGGTGACAGAACACAGTTCCTGCCTTCAGGAGTGCTCAGTCCACTGGTGGGGACAGGCAAGTAAGCAGACAATAGCAATTCAGTGTTTTGGGGTGAGGGAGCACAGAAAAACACCATACCATGAGAGGCAGAGTGTGGAAGTCAGAGAAACCCTCCTGGAGGAGGAGACACCATGCTGGGATGAGTTGGCCAAGAATCTAAGCTCCATGAGGGCAGAGATTGTGTATGCTTGTTCACCACTGTATCCCTGATGCCTGTAGCAGGGTCTGGCACAGAGCAGATGCTTCTAAATATTTGTCAATTGAATAAATGGGGAAAAGAGTATATCTGGCAGAGGGAATAGCACATGCAAAGGCCCAGAGAGGAGACAGCTAAGCTTCAAATTTTCAGTGTAGCCAGCATAAGCAACAAGTGGGAAGAACTGAGGCCCAGGGAGAAGGAAGAGGCCAGATTGCAGAGCCTCTTTGCATAGCCGGGCTTTATTGTGAGGCTAACAGGGAACTACTGGGGTTATTGAAGCAGTTTTCCATGCATGCTAGAGAAAAATGCTCCAGCTGCTGTGTGAAATTAGAGAAGGCAAAGCCAGAGGAAGGGAGACCAATGTGGCTACTGCAAGAGATTATACGAGACTGATGGGAACCTCCCCAGAAAACCTCCTTTTCCACTCTAAACCTTCCCTCCCGCCCACCAATCTGTGTCCCTTGAAGTCTCTCTGCTAGGGTGCAGCAGCCTCTCTGTTTCCCCTAGGTGGCTACTGTACCCCAAACCATTATTCGAAGACACTCCCTACATCCTGGAACCTGGAGAGTACCCCACCTCAGAGGCCTGGGGCACATCGGACCCCAGCGTGGGCTCCCTGAAGCCCATGAGATTGGTAAAGAACAGGGCACACCCACAGGCCAGGAGGTCTAGGCTCTGCCCCTGGTCCCAAGTAGCTGGTCCTGCAGTCTGTGGGAAGGGATGGGGGATGAAGTGTAAAACAGCACCCCTTGGAGACTGCTTCCTGGGAGCTTCTATTGGGAATGGGAGTGGGAGGAGAGGTAGGGATTAACCTAAGAGGTAGGGGAAAAGGGAAGACATGGGGTTGGGGTTCTCAGGATCAGGAAAATCCTAGATCCGCAGCCCCATCTGTCTTTCCCATCTCTGGGCTGGTGTCTCAGCTCTGTCTCCTCTGCAGGGCTGCCCAAGTGTGGAGAAGCCAGGGGAGCCCAGGGTAAGAGTCTGGGCTTAAGAGCCAAAGAGGGCCTTTGGTGGCGGGGTGCAGGTGTTTGGTTATCGTGGTCTGGACAGGAAATCCAGAGAGGAGGGCACTGGGGGCCAGAAGCACGGTCTGGGGGGATGGGACCTGATGGGCTCACTGGGAACTGGCTTTTGATGTGTAAGAAGGTCAGAGGTCAGAGTAGAGATAGGAATTGGGTAAGGGGATGGAGTTCAGCAAGGAGGTGGGAGGGCTGGGGGGTGCCACATTGGCCTGATGCTGGGCAGAGCCATTCCTGAGCTGGCTGGGTGTGTTTGGGTCCAGATGACTCCTGACAGCCCCTTTCCCCCAGGCTGTGGTGTATGAGGCCCCAGGCTTTCAGGGCCGCAGCTGGGAAGTGAGCCGAGACATCTACAACCTTCAGCAGCCAGAGGACAGCCAGAGCCCCCACCTGGCCTCTGTGGGGTCCCTGAGAGTTCTCGGAGGCTGGTGAGAACTCAGGACCCTTCCTTCTATTTCATCACCTCTGGCCTTTACCCTTGGGAGTGGGGAGTGACCTGGGCTGCGTAGGGGTGGGGACAGCTGTCTCATTCATCCATGGGCCTCCTATGACTGAACCTGCCTGTCTGTCCTCCTGCTTTTCCCAGCTGGGTGGGCTACGAGAAGGAGGGCTTCCGGGGCCACCAGTATCTGCTGGAGGAGGGGGAATACCCAGACTGGTCACACTGGGGAGGCTATGACGAGTTGCTGACCTCCCTCCGGGTCATCCGGACGGTAAGCAAAGGCAATTGGCCCATCCCTCTGCCTCTGGCCACAGCCAGACCTCCCCCAGTACAGTTTGTGGAGGGAAGAATTTGTACCCCCTCTCCGTGTTCTCCCTGTAAGTGTTCCCAGAGGTCTAGCCTCTCTTCCCCTGCTGCTCTTCTCCAGGTCGTACTGACAGCCTCACCCCTAATTCCCCGGGTGGGCTGTGACCCTGGGGTCTGGGCACTCCCAGGGGTTTCGGTTTGTGGGCGGGAGAGACCTGACTGTCCCTGGGGACCCAGGACTTCGGGGACCCGGCCGTCGTGCTATTTGAGGCCATGGACTTCGAGGGGCACGGCGTGGAGGTGAGCAAGGCATTGCCGGATGTGGAGCTGGTGCAACACGGCCCCAGCACACAGGCCATCCACGTGCTCAGCGGCGTGTAAGTGACCCGGGCTCCGGGAGCGGGGCGGGCCCGGGCGAGCCGGGGGCGGTTCCAGGAGAGGTGCAGGCTCCGTCCCAGCTGACTCGCGCCCCGCCCTTCCTGCAGGTGGGTGGCCTACCAGGAGGTGGGCTTCTCCGGGGAACAGTACGTGCTGGAGAAGGGCGTGTATCGTAACTGCGAGGACTGGGGCGCTGGCAACAGCACCCTCGCCTCGCTGCAGCCGGTCCTACAGGTGCGTGCCGGCCGCGGGGGGCGGGGCCTCCCCGGTGGCGGGACCTGGAGTTCGGGTGCGCCCCGCCCCCACGCAGAGGTAGCGGGCTGGAGGACCTGCCTGGGCGCTTGGGGCGGGGCCTTAGAAGGGGGCGGGGCCGAGGGCGCGGCCGCGGGGTGGACGGTACTGAAACCTAGAGAAGACAAGGCTAGGGGCCGGCACCCTCCCTAATTCTCGATTCGGTCCCTACCTTCAGGTCGGGGAGCACGATCTGCACTTCGTCTCAAAGGTAAGGCAGGGACTCCGCAGGGAGCCGCTGGGCTCACGTCTCTCCCCTCATTTCGGACCTTTCCCCTCCCCGCTGTTCTCGGCCCCACTCCATCGTCCTCCTTCCCCTCATCTCCCCTCTCTGCCTCCAGATTCAGCTTTTCTCCCGCCCCGACTTTCTGGGCGACCACTTCTCTTTCGAAGATGACCAGGCCGCTCTGCCCGCCTCCTTCCGACCTCAGTCCTGCCGGGTCCACGGCGGCAGGTGAGAACGTGGAGGGGCGGAGGGCTGGGGGCGCTGGGGCAGAGGCGGGGCTGCAGGAGGAGAGTCTTTCAAATGATTTCCTTCCTTTGGCTACCTTGCGATGAACTGTTCTGTCTTGCGCAATTTTAAAACAAAATAAGGTTTTAATGGAAAATGTAAAACTGTAGATTGTATAATATAAAGATAAATCTTGTTTCCTCTATCCGTGTGCTCTTTTAAATTTTCGGTGGAGTATTTTAAATCCCTGACCCAACGTAAAATTTCATGGGTACACACTTCAACGTGTGTCTCTAATATGAAAGAACATTTTCCCCACGTAGCTACAAGTCATTATCACATCTAATAAAATTAATAACAATTTATTCATATTACCCAATACCCAGTCCGTGTTCAGATTTCTCCCATTGTCTCAAAAATGCCTTTGTGAAATTAACTTGTTTTTCTCAGCATCCAAATAAGGTCCTTGGGCCAGGTTTCCTCATGTTGGCCAGGCTGATCTCAAACTCCTGGGCTCAAGCTATCCGCCACCTCGGCCTTCCAAAGTGCTGGGATTACAGGCATGAGCCACCGTGCCTGGCCGACCCCAGTAGTTTTTTTTGTATTGTTTTGTTTTGTTTTGAGACAGAGTTTTGCTCTGTTGCCCAGGCTGGAGTGCAGTGGCGCGATCTCAGCTCACCGCAACCTCCGCCTCCCAGGTTCAAGCGATTCTCCTGCCTCAGCCTTCCCAAGTAGCTGGGATTATAGGCATGGGCCACCAAGCCCGGCTAATTTTGTATTTTTAGTAGAGATGGGGTTTCTCCATGTGGATTAGGCTGGTGTTGAATTCCCAACATCAGGTGATCCGCCCACCTCGGCCTCCCAAAGTGCTGGGATTACAGGCGTGAGCCACTGCGCCCGGCGACCCCAGTAGTTTTGATAACTTTCTTGATATAATAAGATGCTCCAGGATCATTTTGTACATTTTTTTTTTTTTTTGCTCCAAATCTAGAATTGGCTATTTGCCAAGGAACCCTGGTTCTTTTTAGTGGCAAATGGTAGAGACCAAAATCTGCATGCTAGGTGTTTCAAAGTTATAATGCCCTTATTACAACTAATAGTAAAAACCACTGAATGCTGTTGGGAGTTTCCTGTTTTTTGTTTGTTTGTTTGTTTGTTTTGTTTGTTTGTTTTTTTGAGATGGAGTCTCGCTCTGTCGCCCAGACTGGAGTGCAGTGGCACTGTCTCAGCTCACTGCAGCCTCTGCCTCCCGGTTCAAGCAATTCTCCTGCTTCAGCCGCCTGAGTAGCTGGGATTACAGGCACCCGCCACCACGCCCAGCTAATTTTTGTATTTTTAGTAGAGATGGGGTTTCATGATGTTGGTCAGGCTGGTCTCAAACTCTTGACCTCATGATCCGCCCCCCTCGGCCTCCCAAAGTGCTGGGATTACAGGCATGAGCCACCGTGCCTGGCTTCTTGTGGTTCTTTTTGTCCTCAAGATATTCACCTATAACCTATTTGTTATATATTCGTTCAAATTACCGTGTCTTAAACACATTTGAAATAATACTTTTGTGTGTGTGGTTATGTCACCAACCTAATATACAATTAGGTTCATTAATTTAATTTATTTTCAGTTTTAAGGAATATTTTTCATTTTTATCTATTTCTGGATTTGTTTTTGTTTTTGTTTGAGACAGGGTCTCACTTTCTTATTCAGGCTGGAGTGCAGTGGTGTGAACACAGCTCAGTGCAGCCTTGACCTCCTGGGCTCAAGGGATTCTCCTACTTCAGCCTCCTGAGACCTGGGACCATAGGTGCACGCCACCGCGCCCGGCTAATTTTTTAACTTTTTTGTAGAGATGGGGGTCTCACTTTGTTACTTAGGCTGGTTTCAAACTTCTGGGCTCAAGCAATCCTCCCTTCTTGGTCTCCCAAAGTGTTGGGATTACAGGTGTGAGCCACTGCACCTGGCCCTAGTTCTGTTTTCCTATGAATAATTACCATGAAGCTGGGCACAGTGGCTCATGCCTGTAATCCCAGCACTTTGGGAGGCTGAGGCAGGAGTCCAGGAGTTCAAGAATCACCTGGGCAACATAAGGAGACCCTGTCTTGACAAAAAAATTTTTAATTAGGTGGATGTGGTGTCATGCACCTATAGTACTACCTACTCAGGAGGCTGAGATGGGAGGATTGTTTGAGCCCAGGAGTTGGAGGCTGCAGTAAACTATGATCACACTACTGCACTCCAGCCTGGGCAACAGAGTGAGATTTTATCTCTAAAATAATAATTATTACATGAAATATTTACATGGTGCCTTAGCTCAGGCTGCTATCACAAAATACCATAGTCTGTGTGGTTTAAATAAGAGAAATTTATTCTCTCACAGTTCTGGAGACTAGGAAATTCAAGATCAAGGTGCTGGCCACTTCACTTCCAGAGTGAGGCCTTTCTTCCTGGCTTGCAGAAGGCCACCTTCTTGCTGTGTTCTCATGTAGTGAAGAGAGAGAATATGAGCTCCTGTCTCTTCCTCTTCTTTTTTTTTTTTTGAGGTGGAGTTTCACTCTTGTTGCCTAGGCTGGAGTGCAATGGCGCAATCTCGGCTCACTGAAACCTCTGCCTCCCGGGTTCAAGCAACTCTCCTGCCTCAGCCTCTTGAGTACCTGGGATTATAGGCATGAACCACCACACCCGGCTAATTTTTGTATTTTTAGCAGAGATGGGGTTTCTTCATGTTGGTCAGGCTGGCCTCGAACTCCCGACCTCAGGTGATCCGCCCACCTCGCCCTCCCAAAGTGTTGGGATTATAGGCGTGAGCCACGGCACCCGGCCTCTTCCTCTTCTTTTAAGGACACTAATCCCATCATGGGGTCTCACCCTCATGACCCCCTCTAAACCGAATTACCTCCTAAAGGCCCCACCTCTGAATAACATTACATTGAGGGTTATGGCTTTAGCATATGATTTTGGGAGGACACAGACATTCAGCCTATAACAGTTCCAAAGCCAACAGCTTTCATCTCTGTCCCTGCCAACTTTTTCCCTCCCTCTCTCCCGCTGTTAGAAATCTTTTTTTTTTTTTTTTTTTTTTTTTTTTTTTTGGGGTTTGGTGTGTTCATCCACTGGCTTTTTTGTTGTTGTTAAGATATAAGCAAATATACACTCATACATTTCCATATAACTATAGAAGCCAAATATTTATATTTTGTTTTCCTTCTCCTCCATTTTATTACATAAAAGGGAACATACTATAACTGGGTTAATATAATAAAAAAAACACTAAATTGTACACCTTAAAAGTGTGAATTTTGGCCAGGTGCAGTGGCTCATGCCTGTAATCCCAGCACTCTGGGAGGCCGAGGTGGGTGGATCACTTGAGGTTAGGAGCTTGAGACCAGCCTGGCCAACACGGTGAAACCCCATCTCTACTAAAAATACAAAATTAGCTGGGTGTGGTGGCGCATGCCTGTAGTCCCAGCTACTCAGGAGGCTGATGCAGGAGAATTGCTTAAACCCAGGAGGCGGAGGTTACAGTGAGCTGAGATCGCGCCATTGCACTCCAGCCTGGGCAACAATAGGGAAACTCCATCTCAACAACAACAACAACAATAACAACAACAAAAAGTGTGAATTTTATGGCATGTGAATTATATCTCAGTTTTTTAAAGGAAGTTTGCTATAAGCACTGTTATGCACCTGCTTTTTTCATCTGTTTGGAGATCACTTTATATCCCTTTAAGAGCTCTTTTTCATTCCACTTAACTGCTGCATTATACTCCACTTTTTCTTTCTTTTTTTTTTTTTTTTTTGACACGGAGTCTCGCTCTGTTGCCCAGGCTGGAGTGTAGTGGCGTGATCTCAGCTCACTGTAAGCTCCGCCTCCTGGGTTCATGCCATTCTCCTGCCTCAGCCTCCTGAGTAGCTGGGACTACAGGTGCCCGCCACCACGCCTGGCTAATCTTTTGTATTTTTAATAGAGACGGGGTTTCACTGTGTTAGCCAGGATGGTCTCGATCTCCTGACCTCGTGATCTGCCCGCCTCAGCCTCCCAAAGTGCTGGGATTACAGGCGTGAGCCACCGCGCCCAGCCCACTTTTTCTTAATTTATTCAGCTCCAATCCCCTATTGATGGACATCTGGGCTGCTTCCCCCCTTTTCTATTGCAGAAGTGCCATAATGAATAGCCCCCTGCATGTGTTATTTCATGTTTTCAAATGGTGTCCTTGGGATGGATTCCTAGGTATGAGATTGCTGAGTAATTACTCATGGAGTTTTGCCTAATATTGCCAAATTCCCCTCCATAGGGGCAGTATGATTTCATTCAGTCTTTTCTTAGGTCTGACCTCATTCCCTGCTGCTGTAGTGCCTGTTCATCCCACCTCCCCTGGGACAGGGGATCATGATCAAGTCTGCATTCCCTCTTCTGTATCTCAGGGGAACCTGGGCAGGCCAAGGACAGGTAGGCTCAGATACCCTCCATTTCTTCCCCTTCCCTAGCTGGATCCTGTTTGATGAGACGAACTTCGAGGGTGACCAGCACATTCTCTCTGAGGGCGAGTTCCCCACTCTCACGGCCATGGGCTGCCTCGCCTCCACAGTCCTGGGCTCTCTCCAGAAGGTATCCCTGGTGAGTTTCCATGTCTGGTTCCAGGCAATCCCGGAAGCAGAAGTTGCTGCTGTGGGACTTCTGGACACAGAACCTGTGTGCTGGTGCAGGGGTTGATTCCAGTGTTTTTAGAACTGCCCCAGGTCCCCTTGACTCTGGGGCTGTAAAGCCAGTTTAGTTTGCTAGCTCTTCATTGAGCACCCACTGAGAGAGGACCTGGGGACATGGAAAGAAATCAGACACAGCCCTGCCTGTAAGGAACCCATGATCCCATAGACATAAAGATTACATGCAGAGTGGTGCATCCAGATACAGGAGTGGTGCGGGGATGGTGGGACTAACACTCAGGGCTTGGGTGGGGCAGGGGCCAGTGCTGCCAAGGTGATGTTCCATGCAGGGAGGAGTGACAGGACCAGCTAGAAAGATGGCCCTGCCAGCCACAGACCAGTGAGAAGGGGCAAGGCAGTGGGGTTGCTGCTACAATGACCCAGAATGAATTGTGATGTCCTCCACCTAGGAAGAGATGGATGGAAGTGACGGGGCCACAATAAGGGGCTAGCATCTGTAGGACTTGGTGACTGTGTGGCCAGTGGGGGCAGTACCCAGTCAGAACAGGTGATGCTTACTGAGTGCATAGTATGTGCCAGGTGGTGTTTAAAAGGCTTTCCACCAGCCAGGTGTGGTGGCTCATGCCTGTAATCCCAGCACTTTGAGAGGCCGAGGTGGGTGGATCACCTGAGGTGAGGAGTTCGAGACCAGCTTGGCCAACATGGTGAAACCCTATCTCTACTAAAAATACAAAAATTAGCCAGGTGTGGTGGTGCACGTCTGTAATCCCAGCTGCTTGGGAAGCTGAGACAGGAGATTTGCTTGAACCCAGGAGGCAGAGGTTGCAGTTAGCCCTGATAACGCCACCGTACTCCAGCCTGGGTGACAGAACAAGACTCCATCTCAAAAAAAAAAAAAAAAAAGGCTTGCCACATATACTAAAGCCTTTTAATCTTCTCCACAATGCTAAGAGGTGTGTTACCATTATTATCTCCCTTTTCCAGATGTGGAAACTAAGCCACAGGCTCCAGGTCACATAGTTGGTAACAGGCAAAGCCAGGCTCTCCCCCAGGCAGCTGGTTCTGGGGTCCAAGTCCCTTGCAATGACACGCTGGGCTCTGACGACAAATAAACCTGGTTCTGAAGCCCAGCTTTAGGGCCCTGAGCAAGCGATTTACCCTCTCCAGCCTGTTTCCTCCCTATTAAGTGGGGGATAATAATAGCTTCTACCTTATAGGGTTGTTGAAGAGTTATAATGAGATCAGGTAAAGCACTTAGCATAACATGGCCTGTAGTAAACCCTGATGAATGTGAGCTGCTATTATTATCAGTATTATTATTGTTGTTATTGTTATCATGAAGATGAAAAGGAGAAATCTAGAATGAAGCCAAGTGCAGTGGCTTGTACCTATAATTCTAGCACTTTGGGCCGGGCGTGTTGGCTCACGCCTGTAGTTCCAGCACTTTGGGAAGCCAAGGCGGGCAGATCATGAGGTCAGGAGTTTGAGACTAGCCTGGCCAACATGATGAAACCCCGTCTCTACAAAAATTAGCCGGGCATGATGGCACATGCCTGTAATCCCAGCTACTTGGGAGGCTGAAGCAGGAGAATTGCTTGAACTTAAAAAGTGGAGGTTACAGTGAGCTGAGATTGCGCCACTGCACTCCAGCCTGGGTGACAGAGTGAGACTCCATCTCAAAAAAATAAAGTAAATAAATTATAGCACTTCAGCAGGCTAAGGCAGGAGGATCACTTGAGCCTAGGAGTTTGAGACCTGCCTGGGCAACATGGTGAGACCCTGTCTCTACAAAAAATTAGCTGGGCATGGTAGCATGTGCCTGTAGTCTCAGCTACTCAGGAGGCTGAGGTGGGAGGATTGCTTTAGCCCAGGAAGTTGAGGCTACAGTGAGCCGTGATTGCACCACTGCACTCCAGCCTGGGCAACAGAGCGAGACCCTATCTCAAAAAAAAAAAAAAAAAATCTAAGCTGCGCATGGTGGCTCACCCCTGTAATCCCAGCACTTTGGCAGGCCAAGGAGGCAGATCGCCTGAGGTCAGGAGTTTGAGACCAGCCAGACTAACATGGCGAAAGCCTGTCTCTACTAAAAGTACAAAAATTAGCCGGGGATGGTGGTGCGTGCCTGTAATCCCAGCTACTCAGGAGGCTGAGGCAGAAGAATTGTTTGAACCCGGGAGGCAGAGGTTGCAGTGAGCCAATATCGCGCCACTGTACTGCAGCCTGGGTGACAAGAGTGAGACTCTGTCTCAAAAAAAAAAAAAAAAAAAAGCCTAGAATAAGCCCCAGGTTTCCATCCTGGCTCAGAGTGCCAGGTTAGTTCTGAGAAGTGCTATTTACTGGAGAGGAGGTTTGAGGGGGAAACTGGGGACCCAGCCTAGCGCTTACTGCCTCTGAGAATCAGGAGCACTCGGCTGGCAGCGTCCAAGAATCAGTGGCCCTGCAGAACTGAGCTCAGGAGGGAAGAAGGCCTGACATACAGATCTGGGAGTCAGGGTGTCTGGGATTGTGGGGCTGCGTCTGGGACTTGGGCTCTCAGAGCCTCACCCTCTTCTGTCTCCTGGGCCCCAGCACTTTTCAGAGCCTTCCATTTTCCTGTATGGACTCGAGTGCTTCGAGGGGAAGGAGATCGAGCTCAGCAGGGAGGTGCGGAGCCTGCAAGCCGAGGGCTTCAACAACCATGTGCTGTCTGTGCGGATCAAGGGGGGCATGTGAGTGCTGAGGGGAGGCATGGGTGCGGTGGCTGCTGGTGGGGATGAGTCATGGCAAGACAGAGATCCTGGGGGTCTCTGGCCTCTTTCCCCTCCCCACTTTTCCCCCACTCCCCTCCAAGCCAGGAAGGAGGGAGAAGTGCGGACTGAGAAGGGTCACTGGCTCTCAGGGCTTAGACCCCAGCTTGGTGGGCTTCTCAGGATCCTTCTTTACCCTGAAAACCCCAAATCTACTTCCCAGCCTCCCTCTCCGCCCTGGGAACCCTATTCCAGGCAGAGGAATCCCTCCATGGGAGAAGAGGAGGTGGAGAACGTTTTGACGTCTGTGTCTCCTCCTCCACCTGTCTGTCTGTCTGTGTGTCTGTGCTCTTCTCTGTGTCCCTGACACCTGCTGGGCCCAGTTGGGTGCTATGTGAACACAGTGACTTCCGGGGCCGCCAGTGGCTGGTGGGAAGCTGCGAGATCACCAACTGGCTGACCTACAGCGGCACCCAGAGGGTGGGCTCCCTCTACCCCATCAAGCAGGTGGGTAGCGTGGCTGGAGCTGAGCGTGTCTGGGGCTGAGCGTGTCTGGGCAGGCCTTTCTGGATGAGTGTCTAGCTGTGTGTTTCCCAAACACAGCATTTGTGTACTTTTGTCACAACTTTTGCCACATCGTCATTCCTCTTGAGCCATTGTCTACTTAATATTTTTCTCTAGATTAACTCTCTTTTTAAAAGTCTTTTAATTAATTTTTATTTCTTAAAAAAAGCTTTTTTTTCTCTTTCTTTTTCTTTTTTTTTTTTGTGTGACAGAGTCTTGCTCTGCCACAAAGGCTGGAGCGCAGTGGCAACATCCTGGCTCACTGCAGCCTCCACCTCCCGGGTTTAAGTGCTTCTTGTGCCTCAGCCTCCCAAGTAACTGGGACCACAGGCACGTGCTACCACGCTCAGCTAATTTTTGTATTTTTAGTAGAGGCAGGGTTTCACCATGTTGGCCAGACTGGTCTCCAATTCCTGACCTCAAGTGATCCACCTGCCTCGGCCTCCCAAAGTGCTGGGATTACAGACGTGAGCCACCATGCCCAGCCCTTTTTTTTTTTTTTGAGATGGAGTTTTGGTCTTGTTGCCCAGGTTGGAGTGCAATGGCACGATCTCGGCTCACTGCAACCTCCGCTTCCCAGATTCAAGTGATTCTCCTACCTCATCCTCCGAAGTAGCTGGGATTACAAGTATGTGCCACCACATCTGGCTAATTTTTGGTTTTTTTTTTTGTTTTTTGTTTTTTGAGACGGAATCTCGCACTGTCACCTGGGCTGAAGTGCAATGGCGTGATCTCGGCTCACTGCAACCTCTGCCCCCTGGGTTCAAGCAATTCTCCTGCGTCAGACTCCCAAGTAGCTGGGATTACAGGTGCCTGCCACCACACCCGGCTAATTTTTTGTATTTTTAGTAGAGACGAGGTTTCACTGTAATTGGCCAGGTTGGTCTCGAACGCCTGACTTGTGATCTGCCCACTTCGGCCTCCCAGAGTGCTGGGATTACAGGCATGAGCCACTGCGCCTAGCTAATTTTTGTATTTTTAGTAGAGATGGGGTTTCATCATGTTGGCCAGGCTGGTCTTGAACTCCTGACCTCATGTGATCTGCCCACCTTGGCCTCCCAAAGTGTTGGGATTACAGGCATGAACCACTGTGCCCAGCCCCAGCCCAGTTTTTATTTAGCTTTCTGAGTCTGTGCTTGTGCCTTCAACACTTTCATAAGGATTTTTAGCTGCTGCATAAGGAAAGCAGGCTTGATCCTGCCACGAACACATTTAGCATACCTGGAACCACCATAGGCCCTCCTGACATGTTTTTTGTTTTGGACAATCTCATAAGAACTTTAGACCTCACAACATGAACCCCTTGAAGTCTGCCTGGGCACACGCCACATGCAGATTTTGGTGCTTTCCCAACTTTGTAGGTATAGAGGTCAACAATTCTATTACGAGGGGCTCAGGACAGCCTAGTTTTGTTAGAGGCTGTACCGTAGGAAAGCCTATGACAATATGTCAAATGCTGGAACATTCTCAGTGCCTCTAGACAATATCCCCAGAAGAGGAAAAAGAAAAAAATCACATTTTTTTTAACTTTATCCTTGTCCTAAGGAATAATATCCATAAAGTCATGAGTTTGATGTGTACATATGATTTTCTTTCTTTTTTTTTTTTTTTGAGACAGAGTCTTCTTGCTCTGTCGCCCAGGCAGGAGTGCAGTGGCATGATCTCGGCTCACTGCAAGCTCTGCCTCCCGGGTTCATGCCATTCTCCTGCCTCAGCCTCCTGAGTAGCTGGGACTACAGGCACCCGCCACCATGCCCGGCTAATTTTTTTGTATTTTTAGTAGAGATGGGGTTTCACCATGTTAGCCAGGATGGTCTCGATCTCCTGACCTCATGATCCGCCCGTCTCAGCCTCCCAAAGTGCTGGGTTTACAGGTGTGAGCTACCATGCCCAGCCTGATTTTTTTTCTTAATAGATGTAATAAATACATTGCCATTAATTTTTCAAAAATGAGTTTATAGGCTGGGTGCGGTGGCTCACTCCTGTAATTTCATCACTTTGGGAGGCCGAGGAGGGAGGGTTGCTTGAGCCCAGGAGTTCGAGACCAGCCTGGGCAACATGGCGAGACCCCATCTCTACAAAAAATACAAAAGAAATGAGCTAGGTGTGATGGCTTGTGCTATAGTCCCAGCTACTCGGGAGGATCACCTGAGCCCAGGAGTTTGAGGCTACAGTGAGCCATGATGGCTCCACTGGTACTCCAGCGTGGGTGACAGAGCGAGACCCTGTCTCAAAAAAAAAATAGTTTAGCCACATAGGACTGAAAGTGATCTCATGGACCACCCACTGGTAGTAAGCATACCTCACTTGGGGAAGCACTGCCTGCATATGTGTTTCTGTATGTCCGTGCCTGCATGTCTGAACATCAGTATCATTAATGCACATGTGCAGATAAATGGTAAGGCCATGGGCTCTGTGTGTATGTGTGTGTGCATGCATGTTCCCATCTGAGGGTATTTCTGTGCTCATCAGGTTATTTGTGTCCATGCATCTGTGTGCTCTGGTGATGACCTGTGTGTGTGTGTGTGTGTGTGTGTGTGTATCTGTGGGAGTGCATTCATTTTTTTAATTTTTATTAATTAATTTATTTTTGAGATGGAGTCCTACTCTGTCACCCAGGCTGGAGTGCAGTGGTGTGATCTCGGCTCACTGCAACCTACATCTCCCGGGTTCAAGCGATTCTCCTGCCTCAGCCTCCCGAGTAGCTGTGATTACAGGCGTGTGCCACCACACCTGGCTAATTTTTTTGTATTTTTGGTACAGACAGGGTTTTGCCATGTTGGCCAGGCTGACCTCGAACTCCTGACCTCAGGTGATCCACCCGCCTTGGCCTCCCAAAGTGCTGGGATTACAGGCGTGAGCCTCCGCGCCCGGCCGGGATTGCATTTATGACTGCGCATGCTTGTACTTGTGACACCATTGACAGTGTGTGTATCTTTGTATAAGGATATTTGTGTAGTTCTTGTATTCAAGACTCATAACATCATTGCTGGGAGAAATCTTGGAGATTATCTCCACCCCTCACATTTTACAGATGGGGAAATAAAGGCCCAGAGAAGTGGACACGGATTTGCTCTGCAATCTTGGGCAAGTACTGTACCTCCTTAGACCTTCGTTTCCTCATCTTTAAAATGAGGATAACACGTGTCATGGGTCAGTTTTGAGGACTGAAGATAATGTAGGTAAAACATTATTAGAACAGTGCTTGAGTGAGTCAGCTCTCAACAAACGTTAGCTGTGATTATTGTTATTACTATTATTACTTTTGCTACCATCTAAGAGCTCCAGCTGATTTATGGCAGAGCCATGTCTGATGTCTGACAGTCCAGTGTCCATCCCGTCAGGAACCCTCTTCAACACAGGTGTGTGTGCATTTCTTTCTGTAAGTGTGTGTGCACATCTGTATGCCCACACACATCCACGCTTTTAGCAAGCAGAACTGCCTGGTATGGAGTAGACTGCATGGATCTATGGTTAGAACATGTGAGTTGGATGGCTGCATGTATCCATGTGTTTGTGTCTTCTGTGAACTTCTGTGCCATCATGTGTACCAGAGGTGTATCTGTCAGTTTGTCCCTCTGCACACATCTGTGGGTACCTCTATGACCATGGAACTGTGTGTGTGTGTGTGTGTGTGTGTGTGTGTGAGAGAGAGAGAGATACATGTGCTCTCCGTATGTGTGTGTAAAGAAGCAGTGACTTAGAAATAGAGTCAAGGAAGGTTTGGGGACAGGAGGGAGGGCTTGGGAGCCTGATACTGGAGAGTCCAGAGTTGAGGGTACTGGGGGCCCAGGTCATCCCTCCCCGGCACCCCTGACTCTCAGCCTCTTTCTGCCACCAGCGCCGGGTTTATTTCCGCCTCTGGAATGCAGCACTGGGGGGATTCCTGGCAGTGCCGGACCATGTGGAGGACATGAAAGCAGGCCGTGTGGTGGTCGCCGACCCCCAAGCTGGAGGTAGCTGCATCTGGTACTACGAGGATGGGCTGCTGAAGAACCAGGTACTGATACAGGGGCTGGCACAGGGACACCCTGGCCCTAGGCATTTGCAGGTCCACTCTGGGGAGTCCCAGCCCAATCAGGAACACAGAGGGATGCACACAGAAGCCAGGACCCTGGGGAGAGGGAGAGTGCAGACTGTTCCCCCTGGGCAAGTCGTGCTCTTCTCTGGGCCCCAGTCTGTAAAAACAAGAGCAATGAACTGGGTGCTTCTAAGGGACCTCCCAGCTCTAATGCCCATGACAGAACTTGAACCCTATTAATAATGGTAGATTTGGCCAGGCATGGTGGCTCATGCCTATAATCCCAACACTTTGGAAGGCCGAGGCAGGAGGATTGCTTGAGGACAGGAGTTTGAGGCCAAACAAAAAATTAACTGGGTGTGGTGGTGCATGCCTGTAGTCTCAGGTACTCAAGAGGCTGAGGTGGGAGGCTTGAGCCCAGGAGTTAGAGGCTGCAGTGAGTGAGGATTGCGCCACTGCACTCCAGCCTTGGTGACAGCACAAGACCTGGTCTCAAAAAAAAACAAAAATAAAAATAAGAGAAAAGGTAGATTTACTCCACAGACATTTCTTGAGCACCTACTATGTGCCAGGCTCTGTTCTAGATGCTGGGGATACAGCAGTTATAGACAGAATTGACACCTGCCGTCCTGAAGCTTACATCCTAGTGGGGAGAGATAGACAGAAATAACTTAAATGGGCAGAATATCTTAGTGTCTTACAGGATGAAAGTTCAATAGAGGAAGATAAATCATGAAAGGGGAATAGGCCAGGTGCAGTGGCTCACTCCTGTAATCACAGCACTTTGAGAGGCTGAGTGAGGCAGGAGGATCTCTTGAGCTCAGGAATTCAAGACCAGCCTGGGCAGCATAATGAGATGCCATCTCCACAAAAAATAAAAAAACTAGCCGGATGTGGTGGCATGCACCTGTAGTCCCAGCTACTCAGGAGGCCGAGGTGGGAGGATTACGTGAGCCCAGGAGATTGAGGCTGCGGTAAGCTATGATCACACCACTGCACACCAGCCTGGGCAACAGAGGGAGACTCTGTCTCAAAAAAAAAAAAAGGAGAATAGAAAGTATCAGGTATGGTAGGGGAGCCTTTCCGAAGAAGATGACATTTGAGGGAGGCAGCCATGCAGATATCTGAGGGAAGAGTGTTCCAGGCAGAGGGAACAGCCAGTGCAAAGGCCCTGAGGAAGGAACATGCCTGGGATTTTTCTGGGCTAGCAAGGCTAGCTGGGTGGCTAGAGTGAGTTGAGTAAGGGGGAGGTAGCAGGAGATGAGGCCAGAAAGGTTATAAGGACTGTAGGTCTTTGTAGGCCATTGAGAGGTTTTGTCTTTTACTTAGAATGAGAGAGATGGCTGACCACATGCCAGGCTCTGCATTGAGTTCTTCACACAAATGCCTCCTATAATCTTTAGTCTAGAGTACCGTGGGGCAGGTCTTTTTATACTCCCCATTTTACAGGTGAGGAAACCAGAGCATAGAGAGGTTAGGTAATTTGCTGAAAGTCACACAGCTAGTAAATGTGTAGAGATTTGTCTGATGCTAAAGCCTATGCTTTGGAAGCCAATCATGGAAGGATTCCTGGAGGAGTTAATATTTTTCCAGCCCTTTTATGTTTTCTCACACTGAACCCTCACAAAAGCCAGCATTTGGGGATTCCCATCCCCGAGAGGAAACTGAAGCTGAGGAGGATTAAGAGACTTGCCCAGGGCCACAGTCCCTAAGAGCCAGGATTCAGAGCAGATGGGTCAAGGGTTTCTTGGGTACAGTAGAGTCCCTGTGGGGAGGAACAATGCCTGATGACCTCCTGGGGCCTCAGATGGCCCCCACCATGAGCCTACAGGTGATTGGACCCCCTAGCCCAGGCTCCAAGGTGGTGCTGTGGGCCGAGAGCCGCCTGCCGCGCCAGACGTGGAGCATCAGTGAATCGGGCCACATCTGCAGCCAGATGTTCGAAGGCCAGATCCTGGACGTGAAGGGTAAGGTGGGATGTATGGGGAAGAGGGCTCCTGAGGGGGCTGAGAGCCATGGAGTCCCAGCTCTCTCTGACTATCTCCCTATCTTTTAATCCCCATCCCACCCCCAGGAGGCCGGGGCTACGACCGGGACCACGTGGTGCTATGGGAGCCGGATGAGGACAGGGCATCCCAGATCTGGACTATCCACGTGCTTTGAAACTTTTCCCCTCACCCTCCAGCCCTGGAGGCTTTTGCTGGGATGAATGTTTTTATAGGGTTTTTGTTGTAACATAAGCTATTTTCTAATATGCTGCCAGGTACCCTTGTCTCTGTGCACCTTGATATTTCGGGGTGGGGTGGGGATTTGTTCACTTGCCTTCTTCCCTGACGCTCAGGCTGGCTTCTTCCCTCCAGGCCCCAGCTTTCGGGTTCAGATGTTAGGCCTCCTTCTGCCATCAGAGGGCGCCCTGGGACCAGACTAACTGGGGAGTGTAGTCTCGCGCAGCCACCCAAATGAAGTGTTGTGAGAGCAGGCTCTGAGCCGGGTGGGGCCCTAGGCTGTGCGGGCACAGACACAAACTGAGCCTTTCGGTCCCTGTCCTTAGGGAACGCACAGTCCCACAGAGGATCCTGACAGGTAGGGTGATGCATCCATGAGAAGGGAGGAAAGAAGTAGAGGGACTCACACAGCAGGAACATCACCCCCACAAGTGCAGGGCAGGCTGACATGTCTCTCTGCACACGTCAGGGACCTGCAGCTGAGATATTAGGGTGGGGAGTTAGCCAGGCTCCAGGAGGCAGAGAAAGAATATTCTAGGGATGCATACAAGTCCAGGGTGAAAACGTGGAGGTTAGTGTGATGGGGGTGCAGTGGGCCAGGCATGGGAGATGAGTGTGAGCCACACCCTGAAGGGCTGTGCCCCCAGGGCTCTGCTGCACTCACCCCAACTCTGGTCTTAGAGAAGCCAGGACAGGGCATCCAGGTCTCTAACCCAGCTCAGAGAGGGCAGGACATAGAAGAGAGGGAGCTCCCTCTGTCCCTGGAGGTCCTCAAGGAAGAAGCCAAGGTGGGAGGGGCCCTTGGGGGGTGCCCTGGGGCTCCCTTCCATCTCTGCAGCACCCACCTCCGATGCCTCAAGCCCAGGAGGGTGGGAGTGGTCAGAGCAGCTGCTTGCCCTTCCTGCCTTCCCAGCCCCTGGGCCAGCGTGGGAGGTAGACAGCCACCCATCATCCTTCTCCAGCCCCAGATGCCTGTGGGGCTGGTTTGCTGGGGATCTAAATACCTTGTTGAGGGGTGTCCCTGGGACTGGGGATTTCCCTGGATCTGTCATTCTGAAGACACCCAGGTAGTGGGGTAGGGGCTCTCTGAGCCTGGGATGTCCAGGGTGGTGGCATCTCTAGTACCATCATTCCCAAACACCCAGGGATGGATGAAGCAAACGCAACTGCAGGGTTGGTGAGGCTGCCAGGTTCTGGGCCTTGTCCCTGCAATGTGCTTCTAAGGGGAAGGGCCCTCAGCATTGGAATTTAGGTGGGGAAGCTGGGGGCTGCTCCCTGGTGCCAATTTCCCTGCTGATGGGGACATGGGAAACTCCCTGGTGCTGCTGCACAGCTGGCTCTTGGGGCGTAGGGATGTCCAGTAACCACAAGCAGGACCCCACTGCAAGTACAAGGGTAACTTTATTGACCCCCAGCTGGGCACTGCTTGGCCCCTACATCATTACCCCCCTATTTTGGCTGTTGCCCCCATGGCACTGCCTGTCAACTTCTACAACCTGGTGATGTCTGGCATCAACCCCTCCCAAAGATGGAGGGGATTCTCTTGCGAGTGATGGTGGCAGCTGTTTCAGGGGGCACAGGGCTAAGGCTGAGACGTGTCACCTCAACTGAAGCAGAAGAGGTGGATTATGGCATTGGCCACGAAGAAAAGGAAAATGCCTCCGCTTATGTTGCTGGATGCTGAGGGGCTGCTGGTTTGGCTGGTGTCGTTTTGTCCTGAGAGTCCAGTTTGTATCTGTAGGAGGAGAAGTGGGATAAGATCAGGGGACTTTTTTTTTTTTTTTTAGAGGTGGAGTCTCACTCTGTCACCCAGGCTGGACTGCAGTGATGCGATCTCGGCTCACTGCATCCTCCACCTCCCGGGTTCAAGTGATTCTCCTGCCTCAGCCTCCTGAGTAGCTGGGACTATAGGCACGTGCCACCACGCCCGGCTAATTTTTCTATTTTTAGTAGAGACGGGGTTTCACCATGTTGGTCAGGCTGGTCTCGAACTCCTGACCTGGTGATCCACCCGCCTCGGCCTCCCAAAGTACTGGGATTACAGGTGTGAGCCATCGTACCCAGCCCTCAGGGGACTTTTGAATAGCGTGTTTGTTATTTAAAGATGCAGTCCCCTTTCTACCCTCCCCGCCCTCCATCCGCCCACCTCCATAAAACAGTCCTCAGTTCTGCCCCATGTGACCACTACTTCTTCCACAAGGTCCTGTCAGGATGTTTGACTGCTTCCTGCTTTGACACAGGCAGGGACAGAGGTGATCACTGCCCCTGTCCACCCCCTTTCACAGAAACTTTCTGTTTTTTTGAGATAGAGTTTCGCTCTTTTGCCCAGGCTGGAGTGAAGTGGCATGATCTCGGGTCACTGCAACCTCCACCCCTCAACCTCCCGAGTAGCTGGGATTATAGGCAGCCGCTATCACGCCCAGCTAATTTTTTTTTTTTTTCCGAGACAGAGTCTTGCTCTGTCGCCCGCCCAGGCTGGAGTGCAGTGGCGTGATCTCGGCTCACTGCAAGCTTCACCCCCAGGTTCACGCCATTCTCCTGCCTCAGCCTCCCGAGTAGCTGGGACTACAGGCGCCCGCCACCACGCCACGCCCGGCTAATTTCTTTTTGTATTTATGGTAGAGACGAGGTTTCAATGTGTTAGCCAGGATGGTCTCGATCTCCTGACCTCATGATCCACCCGCCTCAGCCTCCCAAAGTGCTGGGATTACAGACGCGAGCCAGCGCGCCCGGCTCGCCCAGCTAATTTTTGTATTTTTAGTAGAGACGGGATTTTGTCATGTTGGCCAGGCTGGTCTTGAACTCCTGACCTCAGGTGATCCGCCTGCCTCGGCCTCCCAAAGTGCTGGGATTATAGGCGTGAGCCACCGTGCCCGGTCACAGAACCTTTCTTTTCACCTTTCCCCAGCGACCAGCCCTTCTGGCATAGAGGGAGACAGGGGAGCCCTGGCCCTTGACCTTCCTAGCCTGGCAAAGGGCTTAGCTTCCCTGAGCCTCAGTTTCATCTTCTGAGTGGGGAGAAGTTCATCACAGTTGTGAAGGTCACATGAGCCAGGGCTGAGTGAGAAAGCACTTGGCAAAGCGTGGGTGGCTGGATGTGGGGTGGGGAAGTGGCCAGATGGTGATCGAGCTGTCCTTAATGCTTGATGGAGCTGCAACTAGAACTGTTCTTGATGGAGATTAAGCTGGTTTTGATGGTGATCAAGCTGTTCTTGATCAAGAACTTGATGGCTCCGGTCTGCTGTACTGACTCCCCTCTGGGCACCTGGGATGCTACCAAAGCTGCCTCCTGGAATAGCAGTCGCTTTTGAGACTCCAGTTGTTTCTGAAATGGGAGAGTCCTGTCTTCTTTGCATTCCTGAACATCCAGGCTTCTCTCTGGCAGGGGAGTGGGGGTTAGAGTGTCCCCTGTCACCTCCATAACCACAGCAGGCTCCACTTGGACATCTCCTGGCCTCTCCCCAAAGGACCATCTCCCCAGACTCCCTGTGGGCCGATGCCTTCCTCACTCAGGGTTGTCTTCCCAAGTCTCTTAGTTCTCTATTATTCCACAACACCCCTTGGGTGCCCCAACGCGCCTAGCACCCTGTAAGTGCTCCCCAGCTGTGGATACAGGTTTCTCTCAGGGCAGCCCGCAAGCAGTGCAGCCCCAGCCAGAAGAGCTGGAAGGCTGGGCGGCCAGGCCCGCTGTGTCCCCAGTTTTCCTGTTGGAGTCCATCTGCTGTGCTCTCAGGAGAGAAGGCTGGGTCTCTGGGAGCTCACATCCTGTATGCCCTCCCTCCATGCCAAGCAACTTTGGGGAGTCCTGGCAGTGGTGCCAGGCGTTGCTCTTACCTGTACCATAACCAGGAGGCTGATGGTGAGTAGGAGGAAGAGGAAGCGCTTCATTTTGGTAGGATCTTCGTGGCTGTCTTGGTAGCAGCTTTTTAGGTGATCTCAGGGCTGTCTGGAGGCTTCTTTTGGTTTAGCTGCTTTTGAACCAGGAGGCAGAGGAGGCGGGGTGAGGTAGGGAGAGGAAGGAGGGCTTACAAGGTGGAGGAGGGGTGTGGCTTCCTTTCTGCAGATCTGGGGGTGGATAATACCAGGCTCTAGGTTCTAAGGCCCTGGCTGGGGGAGCAGGCTAGATCGTACAAGATAGGAGAGAGGTCAATCCAGAGGCAACGGTGGGAGTAAGTAGGGCCCAAGGCCTGGAATCATGCATCCTGCAGGCTGAATCCTGGTTTAATCACTGACCAGCTCTGAGACCCTGGGCCAGAAACTCTACCTCTCTGACCCTTTAACAAAAGAACTGCCGGATTACATGTAATAATAACCAATTTAAAAAGAGCCAGAACATAGCAGATATTCCGTAAATGAGTTTGTTGTTTAAAGAAGATTGGGGCAGGGTATAGGAGCTGAAGGAGAAGGGCTGGGATAGATTTATGTTTCAAGGGAAGGTTGTAGATGGGCTGCAGGTTCTGAATGAAAGCTTGGGAAATGTTTAGATTGTGGAAGGGTTGGTGGATTTCTGTGAAGGTGCTGGAGGTGAGGAATCGGGAAGCCTGGTTTCAGTTGGGCTTTCCCTCTCTAGGCCTCAGTTCCTCATTTCAAGGAACTGGGAAGACTGAAATAGATTATTTCTGAAGTTTGTTAAAACCTAGTGTTTTGTTTTGTTGTTGTTGGTTTTTTTGTTTTTTTTTTTAAACAGAGTTTTGCTCTGTGCACTGGCATGATCTCGGCTTACTGCAACCTCCACCTCCTGGGTTCAAGCAATTATCCTGCCTTGGCCTCCCGCATAGCTGGGACTACAGGTGTGTGCCACCATGCCTGGCTAATTTTTTGTATTTTTTTTTTTTTTTTAGCGGAGACTGGGTTTCACCATGTTGGCTAGGCTAGTCTCGAATGCCTGATCTCAAGTGATCCGCCTGCCTCGGCCTCCCAAAGTGCTGGGATTACAGGCATGAGCCACCGCGCCCAGCCAAGACCTAGAATTTTGTGATTTTGGTAGAGAAAGTAGCAAGCAGATGGGTTGTTTGTATTAGCTGAGGATGAATGGGAGGGGAGCGAGGGAAGGGACAAGTGGGTGACTAAGCTACAGTGGAAGGGGACTGGGGTGAGAGAGTGGCTGTGAGGGCCCAGGGAGGGGTGGGGGGATGAGAGGAATCCCACAGCTGCCTGGATAGTGCTCCATGCTTTATGCATTCCCTCACTTGATACCCTCTGTGGTGCCCTGCAGCAGGTGTTATGTTTATCCCCATTTGACTGGTGAAAAAACTGAGGCTTAGATGTTAAGTGACTTGCTAAGGTCGTAAATGGTGGAGCCAGTCTCATTTGACCTTGAATCCAGGTCTGTCTGAAGCCACAGCCATGTATGTAACCTCTGGGGCTGCCCTAGAATTCATCCATTAAGTCTTGATTCCCTGCCACTCCCTCCCCCTCCCCTACACAAACTCCCCCCAGGCCCCAGGAGTTGGTCACCACAACCCCAGCTCTGGCCCACTCTCCCTTCACACTCTCCCTTCCTTAGTCTACTTTAGGCCTCATTTACATGCTAGGTAGTAAAGGGAAAACTCCCCTCACTTCTCTTCTATTGTTTTGGGCCTTGTGTTGCAAGCCCAGGGGAGATCTGGCTGAGGCTGAGTCCAAAGAAAAAAACAGAGGCTGGGCATAGGGGCTACGCCTGTAATCCTAGCAGTTTGGGAGGCTGAGGCGGGCAGATAACTTGAGCACAGGAGTTTGAGACCACCCGGGCAACATAGGAAGGCCCCATCTCTCAAAAAAAAAAAAAAAAAAAAAAAAAATTAGCCGGGCATAGTGGCACAAACCTATAGTCTCAGCTACTTGGGGGCTGACGCAGGAGGATTGCTTGCACCTGGGAGGCCCAGGCTGCAATGAGCCATGATTGTGGCACTGCACTCCAGCCAGGGTGACAGAGCAAGACCCTGTCTCAAAAAAAAAAAAAAAAAGGCCAGGAAACAGTGGCTCACGCCTGTAATCCCAGCATTTTGGGAGGCCGAGGTGGGTGGATCACCTGAGGTCAGGAGTTCTAGACCAGCCTGGCCAACATGGTGAAACCCTGTCTCTACTGAAAATACAGAAATTAGCCAGGTGTGCTGGCACATGCCTGTAATCCCAGCTACTCGGGAGGCTGAGGCAGGAGAATCACTTGAACCCGGGAGAAGGAGGTTGCAGTGAGCCGAGATCGTGCCATTGCACTCCAGCCTGAGCGACAAGAGAAAAACTCCATTTCAAAAAAAGAGAAGAGAAGAAAAGAAGAACTGAGAGTCAAAGCTGATGAGAGAAAGCCAGGAAGTGGAGAGGGAGGGGCGGGGAGGGAGAGAAGAGGGAGGAGTCCCCAGCCATCCATCACCCTCTTTCCCCATCCCTGCCCTTTCACCCAGAGGTCTCTCCTCACCCTTGACTCAAGTTCTCAGCTGTCTTTGGTGTGCCTGTGGGGGTGAGTGATTCTGGGGTTCATGAGAGTCAGGGAGGTGTCCTGTGCCAGAAGGGCACCAGCCCAGAAGACAGGATACCCGTGTTGAAGTCTGAGATTACTCTGCTGAAAATGAGCTCCATCACACTGTGCAATCTTCTCCCCTCTTACAAAGAGGCAGCCAGACAGGACGAGCCTGGGGCCAGCCGTGTTATAGTTTCCCATGCTGGAGATGCATGCGAGGATACTAAATGCCAGACTCTTATTTGTAAACATTTTCTTGCAAACCTCAGAAGCTTCATTTTCACCTCCTGACACCCTGAGGAGTATCTTCTACAGTCCATGTATTTCCTCTGCAAGGAAAGCCCTTCTCCAATTATTTTACCTGGCAAACTCTTTTTTTTTCCCCTCGAGTCAGGTTCTTGCCGTTGTCACCCAGGCTGGAGTACAAGTGGTGCAATCATAGCTCACTGTAACCTCGAACTCCTGGGCTCAAGCAATCCTCCCGCCTCATCCTCCTAAGTACCTGGGACTACAGGTGCATGCCACCATGCCCAGCTAATTTTTGGGGTGGTGGAGGGTGGAGTTTTGCTATGTTGCCCAGACTGCAAACTCTTCTTTATTCTTCAAGATTTAGCTTAGAAGCCCCTTCCCCAGGGAAACTTTCCACTTTCCCTAGGAAACTCAAAGTTCCTAAATGTTCGAAGGGCCCTTTCTGTTGACCTCTGTTCTAAAGATTGTGTCTACCAAGAATATGGTCTGTCCCTTGTGGGTTGGGACTAGATTTTGTCACTTCTCTTACTCAGCGAAGCACAGAACATGGCACAGTGTAGGTGTCAGGGACTGCCGGAAGAATGAGTGCGTGTATTCATCTAGATCTATTCCCACCTCCGAGCCTAGTAGTCCTGCATTTATTCATCCAGTAAATATTTACTATGGGGCAACAGTAAAGTCAGTACTGAAAAGTTACCAATGCAGAAAAGAAATAAGGGACTGAGAGAAGCAAGCCCTTTATATGGAGCTGCTTTCCTCCTAAAAGTATGCCACTTGCAGAGGGGACAGCTGAGAAACTGAGCTGAGCTTTCTCATCTTCACATACTTACAAATGTATGGGAGAAAAACTATAGTTCTAGATTCTCTAAGAAAGGGGAGCCCTGACAAACTCCCCCCACCTAGGCTTTGGGTTGGACCACGGGGAGTGAGAGTAAACAGGAAACAACAGCCCAACCCTCAAAGAAATTGAAGACAACATGACCAAAAAGCAGAAACAGATAATAGAAAGTTATACAAAAGATCCAGATAATGGAATAATCAATCAAATTTTCAAATAACTATGCTTACTTAAAGACATTTTCCTCTTCTGCCCTCTGAGCAGCAGGACAAGATTGAGAACTAGAAATTATAGTAAAGAACCGGCCGGGCGCGGTGGCTAACACCTGTAATCCCAGAACTTTGAGAGGCCGAGGCGAGTCGATCACAAGGTCAGGAGATCGAGACCATCCTGGCTAACAAAGTGAAACCCCATCTCTACTAAAAATACAAAAACTTAGCCAGGCATGGTGGCGGGCACCTGTAGTCCCAGCTACTCGGGAGGCTGAGGTAGGAGAATGGCATGAACCTGGAAGGCAGAGCTTGTGGTGAGCCGAGATCGTGCCACTGCACTCCAGCCTGGGCGATGGAGCAAGACTAAGTCTCAAAAAAAAAAAAAAAAGAAAAAAAATTATAGTAAAGAACCAAATGGAAATTCTAGAACTGAGAAATATGGTAATAAAAATTAGGAACTCAGTGGATAGGTTTAACATCAGATTGGGCACAACTGAAGAGAAAATTAGTGAAGTGAAGTAAAGATCGTAAGAAAGTATTATTAGAGCAGAATGTGTTTATTGGGTGCCTGCTGTGTACCAGGTACTGAACTAGGCACTGGGAATACAACAGTGACATAAAGACATGGTCCCTGCTATTATGGAGCTGATATTTGAGTGGGGGAAGACTAATAAAAAACAATGGTAATTTCAGATGTTCACAAATGGCATCAGGAAATCAAGGGGGTAATGTGAGAAGAAGAAGAAGTGAAATGTGGGGAGGATATATTCTAGGTCAGTGGTCAGGAAAGACCACTCAGAGGAAATGTGTGTGCTGAGACCTGCAGAACAAGAGAAGACCAGGCATGCAAAGCACCTTAGATCACAATTCCATCCCAGTTCCACAGTGTCTTTTGATGACTGTCCCTGGGGCCTAGCACAGTCTCACATAGGCCAGGTTCTCCAAATGTCCTTGGTCAATGATAGAATGGAATACAGCAGGGAGGGAGGAAGGAGAAGAGAGTTATAGCACACGTCACAGTGTGATCCGCCTTGAATTTTTCATCCTCACTGAGACAGGGCTGGGATTCAGTAGCATCATACAGCATCCAAGGTGAATCTTCATCCACCCATTCATTCACCTATCCACGCACCCACCTATCCATTCAGTCTTTTGCTCATTCACTCTTTTTTTTTTTTTTTTTTTTTTTTTGAGACAGAGTTTTGCTCTTGTTGCCCAGTCTGGAGTGCAATGGCGGGATCTCAGTTCACTGCAACCTCCACCTCCTAGGTTCAAGCGATTCTCCTGCCTCAGCATCCTGAGTAGCTGGGATTACAGGTGCATGCCAACACGCCCAGCTAATTTTTTGTATTTTTAGTAGAGACAGGGTTTCTCCATGTTGGCCAGGCTGGTCTCAAACTCCTAACCTCAGGTGATCTGCCCACCTCGGCCTCCCAAAGTGCTGGGATTACAGTCGTGAGCCACTGTGTCCAGCCTCATTCACTCTTTTAATTAATTTATTGACACCTACTGTGTGTCAGGCAAGGTGAATGAGTGAGGGTCCTTTCCCCTGAGGAATTTATAGTCCAGCAGGGAGACCCATACGAAAATCACAAAACTGAAGAAGAAATGCTATAATGGGCCAGGCGTGGTGGTTCATGCCTGTAATCCCAGCACTTTGAGAGGCCGAGGCGGGCAGATCACCTGAGGTCGGGAGTTTGAAACCAGCCTGGCCAACATGGAGAAACCCTGTCTCTACTGAAAATACAAAAAATTAGCTGGGCGTGGTGGCATGCACCTGTAATCTCAGCTACTCAGGACGCTGAGGCAGGAGAATCGCTTGAACCCAGAGGTGGAGATTGCAGTGAACTGAGATCCTGCCATTGCACTCCAGCCTGGGTGACAGAAAGAGATTTTGTCTCAAAAAAAAAGAAATGCTATAATGGCAGCAGGGCTTTTAGACAGTGGATTTTAGAGTGTGGTTCTGCTTGCAGGGGAGTGGGGATGAACCAGAGATGATTTCATGGGGGAGGGGACATTTGAACTTGTTGAAGGATCGAGTGGGAATTTTCCCAAATGGAAAAGGCAAGAGAGGATGTTCTCATTGGAAGGAGAGGCCAGAACGTAGGGGAGAACATGACGGTTTCTGGAACGTGAGAAAGGCGGAACCCAAAATAGGAGGGCTCTAAATATCAGGCTAAGCTGTAGATGATGAGGGCTTCGTCTAAGGTGGTGGTGATGTGGGTGGAGAAGGGAGAAGGTGGAAGAGATAGCTAGATTTGTATTCTGCTAAAGAGACTTGGAGGAACTCCTTTATTATTTACCTTTTACTTCCTGAGCTGGTAGAACTCAATAAACTCTTTAACCTCAGAGGGGTCATAACTGTAAGGCTCTTTCAGGAAATGACCTAAAAGCAAAGCAGACTCTGTCCACTCTCAAGAATAGACTTGTGGCTGGGTGCGGTGGGTCATGCCTGTAATCCCAACACTCTGGGAGGCCGAGGCGGGCGGATCACGAGGTCAGGAGTTTCAGACCAGCCTGACCAACATGGTGAAACTCTGTCTCTACTAAAAATACAAAAATTAGCTGGGCATGGTGGCACGTGCCTGTAATCTTAGCTACTCGGGAGGCTGAGGCAGAAGAGTCACTTGAACCCGGGAGGCAGAGTCTGCAGTGAGCCAAGATCGCGCCACTGCACTCCAACCTTGGCAACGAGTGTGAGACTCCATCTCAAAAAAAGAATAGAGACTTCCACCGGGCATGGTGGCTCATGCCTGTAATCCCAGCACTTTGGGAGGCTGAGGCGGGTGGATCATGAGGTCAGGAGTTCAAGACCAGCCTGGCCAACATGGTGAAACCCTGTCTTTACTAAAAAATACAAAAACATTAGCTGGGCATGGTGGTGGGCACCTGTAATCGCAGCTACTCGGGAGGCTGAGGCAGAGAATCGCTTGAACCTGGGAGCTGGAGTTTGCAGTGAGCTGAGATCACGTCACTGCACTCCAGCCTGGAAAACAGAGTGAGATTCTGTCTCAAAAAAAAAAAAAAAAAGAATAGAGACTTCCAGAACCATCTAGCCCCAGAGCTGGGGTCTACTTCCTCACCCTGCAGGTGGGAAACAGGTCCAGAAAGAGCCTTGTTCAAGACCTCCCTCCTCCCAGGCCAGGGCCTTTGCACCATCATCAGACTGAATATCCACCACTGGATGCGATCAAGATGAGGCTGGGCGACCCCATCTCAGAAGTCCAGAGGGAATCCTTCCAGCTTGGAAGTGGTCGGATGGGTCTCCAAGGCCCTCACAACACTCAAGTCTTGTGAGCCTGGAGACCTCAGAGATTTCCAGACCTTCTAAGATGTGGGAAGAGAAATATAGGTTAAAAAAAAAAAATCAGATGAGCTTAGACTCTTGGTTTCTTTTATAATTTTGTTTTTGAAAAAACACCTTTTTTTTTTTTTTTTTTTTTAAGACAGAGTCTGGCACTGTCGCCCAGGCTGGAGTGCAGTGGCGCAATCTTGGCTCACTGCAACCTCAGCCTCCCAGGTTCAAGCAATTCTCCTGCCTTAGCCTCCCGAGTAGCTGGGATTACAGGCGACCGCCACCATGCCCTGCTAATTTTTGTATTTCTTTCTTTTCTTTCTTTCTTTTTTTTTTTGAGATGGAGTCTTGCTCTTGTTGCCCAGGCTGGAGTGCAGTGATGCGACCTTGGCTCACTGTAACCTCCGACTGCTGGGTTCAAGTGATTCTCCTGCTTTAGCCTCCAAAGTAGCTGGGATTATAGGCGCATGCCACCACACCTGGCTGATTTTTGTATTTTTAGTAGAGATGGGGTTTCACCATGTTGGCCAGGCTGGTCTCAAACTCCTGACCTTAGGTGATCCACCCACCTCAGCCTCCCAAAGTGCTGGGATTACAGGCATGAGCCACTGCTCCTGGCCTAGTTTTTGTATTTTTTAGTAGAGACAGGGTTTCGTCATGTTGGCCAGGCTGGTCTCGAACTCCTGATCTCAGGTGATTCACCCACCTCGGCCTCCCAAAATGTTGGGATTACAGGTGTGAACCACTGTGCCCAGCCAAAAACTCCTCCTTTTTGGGCCGGGCACAGTGGCAAGAGGGTATAGTCTCTGCTACTTGGTAGGCTGAGAGGCCGAGACTGGAGGATCCCTTGAGCTCAGGAGTTCAAATCCAACCTGGGCAACATAGACAGAGTCTGTCTCTAAAAATAAATAAATGAGCAAAGAAAGAAAAGAAGAACACCTTTTCAGGAGCAATAATGCAACAACATTATAGGAATTTTTAAAATAGTGTATATATTTTTTTCAGCTGTTGTCCCCACTCATGCTGGGGCCGGTGCCTCATTATGGAAAATTTAATTTGTACAATAATCCTAGGAGGTAGATTCTATTAGTATCTCTACTTTACATTTGTAGACACTGAGACTCTGACAAGTGAAGTATCTTGAGCAGGAACAGCCAGCTATTAAACGACAGAGCCCAGCCTCATAGAGTTGTTAAGTTATGCTGGTCCACAGTACAATGTATCCCCAACAAATGATGGCTCTTATTATTTTCCAAGTTTCTCCAGTGAAATTGTATATTTTTATAATAAGGCTCTGACTTTCCCAATAAATGTTATTTTTTTAAAAAAAATCAAACCAGAAGGGCACGGTGGCTCACACCTGTAATCCCAGCACTTTGGGAGGCTGAGGCGGGTAGATCATGAGGTCAGGAGATAGAGACCATCCTGGCCAGCATGGTGAAACCCCATCTCTACTAAAAATACAAAAATTAGCTGGGGGTGGTGGCACTTGCCTGTAATCCCAGCTACTCAGAGGCTGAGGCAGGAGAATTGCTCGAACCAGAGAGTTGGAGATTGCAGTGAGCTGAGATCACACCACTGCACTCCAGCCTGGCGACAGAGTGAGACTCTGTCTCAAAAAAAAAAAAAATCAATTGACTCGGGACAGGGCGCAGTGGCTCACGCCTGTAATCCCAGCACTTTGGGAGGCTGAGGTGGGCGGATCACAAGGTCAGGAGACGGAGACCACACTGGCCAACATCGTGAAACCCCGTCTCTACTAAAAATACAAAAAAATTAGCTGGGCATGGTGGCGTGTGCCTGTAGTCCCAGCTACTTGGGAGGCTGAGGCTGGAGAATCGCTTGAATCTGGGAGGTGGAGGTTGTGGCGAGCCACGATCGTGCCACTGCACTCCAGCCTGGTGACAGAGCAAGACTCAAAAAAAAAAAAAAAAAAAAAATCAAACGACTGGCCTGCCAGGTTAGAGGGCTCCCATTTTCCTCCCAGGAAATAGATGTTTACTGAGTGTCTGCCTGCTGCGGAATCTACAGCCAGGCCCTGGGTGGGAAGAAGGGATGGGGTAAATCCTGGTGCCTGGGTAAATGCCACTCACGATCTGGTTCTTGCTGAGGCAGGAATCAGAGGGCAGACCACAGCAGGGCTCATGAGACCAGAGCTCCTGCTTCCCACGCTTGCTTATCTCCATGAGCAAGGTGACAGTATGAAGTTGCTACTCACCCTGACCATGGGTCCAACCTCAAAAAACACTTGGCCCCGACATGATCTCAGTCTTTCTCATCTTCATATACCTAAAACCTCAGAAAACTTTCTGGGAGCAGCTCAGCAACAAGAGAGCTCTTCCTATGTCCACTCTCCAGTCACACTTTCCGCCCAGACTCCTCCCTTGGCAGTAGGTCTGTACCACCTTCTTCCTTGGCTTATCTATGCCTGCCTTGTTTACCAGAGTGAAAGTTTCTAGGAAGAGCGTGGACTCTTGAGGCTGACCGTTCTGGGTTTGAATCCACTTCTGCTTCCTGCCTTTATAATCTTATGCAAGCCGCTGTACTACCCTGAGCTTGTTTTCTCATCTGTTTTTTTCTTTTTTCTTTTCTTTTCTTTTTTTTTTTTTTGACAGAGTTTCACTCTTGTTGCCCAGGCTGGAGTGCAATGGTGCGATCTCAGCTCACCGCAACCTCCGCCTCCCAGGTTCAAGCGATTCTCCTGCCTCAGCCTTCCTGAGTAGCTGGGATTACAGGCATGCGCCATCATGCCCGGCTGATTTTGTATTTTTAGTAGAGACGGGGTTTCTCCATGTTGGTCAGGCTGGTCTCGAACTCCCGACTTCAGATGATCCGCCTGCCTCAGCCTCCCAAAATGCTGGGATTACAGGCGTGAACCACCACGCCCGGCCCTCATCTGTAAATTTCATGTTACCATCTGGTACTTGGCACTCAGTAGTAGTAGCTCTCTTTAGCTTCCAATTTGCATATAAAGAATGCTGTCCACTTTGGGAGGCAGAGATGGGCGGATGGCTTGAGCTCAGGAGTTTGAGACCAGGCTGGGCAACATGGCAAGACCCCGTCTCTACAAGAAAATACAAAAACTAGCTGGGCGTTGTTGTGCACACCTGTAGTCCCAGCTACACTGGTGGCTGTGATGGGAGGATAGCTTGAGCCTGGGAGGCGGATGTTGCAGTGAGCAGAGCCTACCCTTCCCTGAATGTGGTAGGCTAGAAAGTCAAACGGAAAATTAAAAAAAAAAAAAAAAAAAAGCAACAGAAAAACACTCTTGGGTTGTGCAGAGAAAGGGCTTTTGAACCTGGGCACAAAGAAGTGAGTGCCTGAGATCAGAAATCATAAACTCCCAGACCATCACAGCTGAAAGGGTGAAGAGATGATGATGATGATTAACAGCAGGAAACGTTTTTGAAAAAGTGCTCTCTACAGGTGTTTCTGTTTCGGCTTTCCCCTTTAAAATCGTGTACTTTGCATTACCTTATTTAATCCTCACGGCAACCCAGTGGGGGTAGGTATTATCACTGTTTTACAGATATAAAAACTAAGGTGTATAAAGTGCCCAAGAACACACAGTAAGGAGCCAGGACTCCTAATTCCAAAGTTCGTGGTCTTAACTGCCTTTAGCTGTTTTGGTGACTGAGTCTAATCCAACACAATTTTACAGATGAGGCTCTGGGAGGGGAAATTGTCTTACCCAACTCTTAACACAAGGGAACTAGAATTTGGGCCGCCCTTCCGGGCGCCAATCTGGTCAAGGATTTGTCACAGAAACTCAGATTTAGGAAACATTTATTAAGTACTTGCATCATTGCAATCCATCCTCAAAGCAGCCTCCGTGAAGTATTACAGTACTTCGTGTTACAATACTGATCATATGGGGAAATAAGCTAAGAGGGATAATTCCTCCCAAGATCAATTTAGCAAAATAGCGGCACTGTCGGGATCACACATTCAGGTCCTGAATGTGAGGCTGCCAGCAGTTTCATTAACCTAATCCCAGGCTCCTTCCTCCCGCACCTGAGGGTAGGAACGAACCACCCCCCCCCCCCACCCCGCCCCGGACCTGGAGCCCTCTCAGAGCGGTGCATTCTGGGATTCGCCCGCGAAGAATACCGACTCTGTGGGCCAATAGAATCCGAGCACAGGCGACTGTATCCACCTTCGCTGTCTGCAGGTTGCTCAGGCCTCCCTCAAACTAGCCAATGAGAAGTGCACGGGTCCTGGTCGCCTAGGAAACCGCGTGACAACAAGATGGCGGCGCTGCGGGACGGCTAGCGGCCCTGCGTGGTGAGTCTGGCTTAAGACCTTTCTGCCCCTGGAGTCCCCACGCAGGCTGGAGCCCGAGCCCCGAGGGCCTGCGAGCTCCGCGGCTCCCACAGGAGAGGTTCAAGACCCTGCTTACCATGACTACGCGTGGAGGCGGAAGGAGGCGACACGGCCTCCAGGGCTGGGTTAGATCGTGATAGACGTCGCTCCCTGAGCGCGTCCTGGGGGCATTAGGGAGTCCTGGCAGCGGGCCGGACCGTGTCCCCGCCAGAGCTCTGGGCTCTGGGGATGACGGAGAGGCCGAGGAGGTGTGAAGAAGAATGTTGTGAGTCAAGCACAGCACTGAGTTTGGTTCCAAAGATGTAGAGGCATGGTGCAGAGATTTGCTCTCAGAGCCAGGTCTGAAGTGGGTGACAACTCTGCCTTAAGGACCTTTTGGCCTGAGGGGTAGTCACAGTCCTGCCCTTGGAAGCCCCAAAGTGAAGGAGTTAGGCGACTGTCCTCAGGGCTCCCTAATCTGAAGGAGAAAGAGATATGCCCCTGCCCTCAGGAGTCCCCCCAAACGGACAGGGAAATGCAGCCTTTGCCTTCAGGGGCCCTTGTAATCTGGGAGAAGATTAACCTGGAGACAATGTGTCGGACTGGACTGGAGTGACACTGGAAGTAGGGAAGTCAGTTGGGAGCCATGTGACAGCCCCCAGAATGGGCAGTGAGAGTCCCACTAGGACGGCCGACGGTGGCCATGGAAAGGGGCAGCTATATGTGAGAGAGTTTAGCCTGCAGGGTTTGATGTAAGAGGCAAGATGGCGTAAGAGGGAAGGAAGGAGAGAAAAAATGTGGTTGGGTGATGGGGTCCCATTAAGAAGGGGGAAGTGGGAGGAAGTGAGTTTGACGAAAATGTTGGATTTGGTTTAGGAGTTTTGTTTTTTTTTCCCATGACAGCTTTATTGAGATATAATTCACGTATTACATACTTCACTCCTTTAAAGTGTAAATTTCAATTTTTAGTATATTTTAGTATATATTCCATTTATATGAAATGTGCAGTGTGGGCAAGTCTATAGAACAGAAAGTAGATTTGTGGTTGCCTAAGGCTGCCTTGGAAAAGGGGTGGGGGCTGGAGGGTAAATTGGGGGTGACTGCCAAAGGGTACAGGGTTTGTTTAGGCTGACGAAAATGTTCTAAAATTGTGATGGTAGTACAGCTCTGTGAATATACTAAAAAGAAAATTACACTGTAAGAAGGTGAAATATGTGAATTATATCTCAAAGCTGTTTTATGAAAAAGGTTGCATACTGTATAATTCCATTTGTGTAACTTTTTTGAAGTAAGAAAATTATAGAGATGGGCCAGGTGGGGTGGCTCACGCCGGTAATCCTAGCACTTTGGGAGGCTGAGGCAGGAGAATTGCTTGAACCTGGGAGGCGGAGGTTGCAGTGAGCCGAGATTGCGCCATTGCTCTCCAGCCTGGGCGACAGAGCGAGACTCCATCTCAAAAAACAAAACAAAAAAAGTATTGAGGGGAGCTGGGTGAAGGATACAAAGGATCTTTCTGTACTATTTTCCTAATTTCCTGTGAATCTATAATAATTTTCAAATAAAAAGCTAAAATATAAGTGAAAAACAAACTGAAGGGGAAAAAAAAGAGTTAGCTGGCCAAGGGAAGGGTGCAGGTAGGAGTGGGGAGACCGTTCTGGGAGTGGGGGGATTGAGGTTGAGGCAGGGGGGATACACATGCATTTGAGGCATTGCTAGAAGTTGAGGTGGCTCAAGTGTGGGAGGCGGCAAGATGGGAGATGAGGTCAGGAGACATAAGCAGGGACCAGGTCACCTATATCAAGGAATTATGAATTTTTTTTTGAGATGGAGTCTTGCTCTGTCACCCAGGCTGGAGTGCAATGGCGCAATCTCTGCTCACTGCAACCTCCGCCTCCTGGGTTCAAGCAATTCTTCTGCCTCGGCCTCCCAAGTAGCTGGGATTACAGGTGCCTGCCACCAAGCCCGGCTAATTTTTGTATTTTTAGTAGAGATGGGGTTTTGCCACGTTGGTCAGGCTGGTCTTGAACTCCTGACCTTAGGTGATCCACCCTCCTCGGCCTCCCAAAGTGTTGGGATTATAGGTGTAAGCCACCGTGCCTGGCCAGAATTTTGAATTTTTTTCTGTGGGTGAGAAGTGCTGGGATTATAGGCATGAGCCACCGCTCCCGGCCTGCTTTATGTTTTAAGATCTCTCTGGTAGCACATGGGAACTAATGAAGGGAGCCTTGGCCATACAACCCGTGAGGCTGCCCAGACAGGGCAGGGGCTGGGGCAGGGTGGGGACAGATTTGGGAGGCTGGATGCTGGGGGTGAAGAAACTCTGGGCCTGATCCTTGAGGAGGGCTCCTTCCAAGGAAGGGGCAGGGCATGATTCTCAAACTCTGCAGTGAAGGCATTGGAGGCTGCCTCCAGGCAGCATAGATTCCCTTGCTGACTGACTTCAGAAGTAGGGTTGAGGCCAGAACCAGACATCTTCAAAGTGGAACTTCTTGGATTTGTCCTAAAAAATTTGGTCCAGGCTGGGTGCAGTGGCTCATGCCTGTAATCCCAGCACTTTGGGAGGTCGAGGGGGGCGGATCACCTGAGGTCATTTACTGAATAGAGTAGTAGCCTTCGATTATGTCCTTCAGGTGCACTCCTTTTTCCAGAAGGAAGAGGAAAGGAAAGGAAACTAACATTTACGAGTGCTTCCTATGTGGCAGCAACAGCAAAAACAACAGCAGCCCCAACTCACATTTTTCAGTGCTTCCTTTGAGCTTGGCGCTGGGCTAGACCTTCTCTGTTATCTCTGAATCTGCTCAGAACCCTGCCTGTGCCAGTACTATTACGACCCCCATTTTATACTAAAAGAAACTGAGGGTGGGTTACTCCAGTGAGTGGCAAAACCTGGCATCTTAACCTTGGTGTCACATGGACTGTGTCTTTTTTTTTTTTTTTTTTTTTGAGATGGAGTTTCGCTCTTGTTGCCCAGGTTGGTTGGAGTGCAATGGTGCAGTCTCATCTCATTGCATCCTCCCCACCTCCTGGGTTCAAGCGATTCTCGTGCCTCAGACTCCCAAGTAGCTGGGACTACAGGAGCACGCCACCACGCCCAGCTAATTTTTGTGTTTTTAGTAGAGACAGGGTTTCACCATGTCGGACAGCTGATCTCGAACCACTGACCTCAGGCGATCCACCCACCTCGGCCTGTGTCTTGATTGAATCCTGCCTGTGGGTTGGCCTCTCTGGCTCTGAGATGTTGGGAGTGGCACCTGGTTTCTGGTGGGAGGGAAGGAGATACTTGGGCTTTGTGTCACCCAGCTGGCTGATGGACGGACAGCCTCCTGGGTAGTAGCATTTTCAGGCTCTAAGTTTGGGAAAGTTCCAGGCTTCTGACTCATTTCTGCATCCCATCCCACCCTCACAGTACTTTCCCAAGCACCACCAGGCCAAAGGTCTCTCAGTTCAGAGCAGAAAGCCGTATACCCAGAGGAGCAGGCAGATAACAGAAACTTCCAGAAACCTCTGTGGAGACAGTGGAAGAGGCAAAAGGTACTGCTGCCTAGACAGCGCTTCCCATTAGGAAGAGTAGCCAGGGAAGTGGAAACTTCAGGCTACCCCCTGGGCTTGGAGCCCTGAGTCTGTCCCCAGGGGCTGACTTCCTGCATTCCTCTAGGGAGTTCCTGACAGCTGGATTCTAGAAGTAGAACTATGAGCTCACCTTTGGCCTCCCTTAGCAAGACCCGAAAAGTGCCCCTGCCCTCGGAGCCTATGAATCCTGGGTAAGGAGCCAGCCTCAGGGGTCTTTCTGTCCCCGCCTCTGTATCCTCTTCTATCCTTCCATGGCCAGAGGACAGTGACTCCTAGTGTCTTGGGGAATACAAAGAAGGGCCACATAGCCTTCCCTGACCACTGTCTTTTTCTTTATACCTTCTTCTGGGGCACCCAACTTTGGATCTGAGCATAAACTGGGTTGTGCTTTTAGTAAGGTATGGGCCCTGTAGGAGTGGCTTGGCATCCCATCTGTTCATTCACTGTTCATTGATTAATTCTGCAAACACAGATGGTCTACGGACCTATCCTGGGCCAGGCCCTGTGTGGGGTTCAGTAAAGGGAATCTTTTACATCTGTCTAGCACTTTCATGTTTTCAAAACATTTTTTACCTCTCTTCCTTCTTGCTCTCTGGAATACCACTTTGAGTCTTTTTTTTTTTTTTTTTTTTTTTTTTTTTAAAGACCAAGTCTCGCTCTGTCGCCCAGGCTGTGGATTGCAGTGGCACGATCTTGGCTCACTGCAACCTGTGCCTCCTGAGTTCAAGCGATTCTCCTGCCTCAGCCTCAGTAGCTGGGACTACAGGCGCATGCTATAACACCTGGCTAATTTTTTGTATTTTTAGTAGAGACGGGTTTCACTGTGTTACCCAGGATGGTCTCGATCTCCTGACCTCGTGATCTGCCCACCTCGGCCTCCCAAAGTGCTGGAATTACCAGCCACCGCGCCTGGCCCCACTTTGAGTCATTCTAAGGCCTAGAAGATTCAGAGAGGTTAAGCAACAGGCCTCACAGCCTTTGCAGAGCAGAGCTGGGGCTGAGCTCATGGGCTTTGCAAGCCTTGTAGTCTTCCCACCTAAGACTCTGCTCTTCACCCCTTCCCCATCCTTCTCCACTGGGTGAAGTCAGACACCTCGAAGCCTGTCCCTTGTCTCACCCCAGGCTGGGGCTGGGATTTGGGGCTGGAAGTCCTCAGGAGTTAGAGGCCCTGCTTCCATCTCTTTGAGCTTTGGCTGAAGTCCGGTGCCCAGAGCCTTATCCCTGGTATCATTCCAGGGGCCCTAACTTATATTTCTTCCTTCTTCCTGCCTGGGTTCCCAGGAGGCGAGGAATCCGCATCTATGGAGATGGTAAGTGTGCCCCGCCCTCGTGCCCTCTTCGCCTCTCATGTGCTTGCACCTCCTACAGTTGGACCGATGGAGAGAAATCACACGAGAAAGGCCCTTGTCAGCTGGAGCAGCGGCCTCCACCGTGTTCTGTGCAGCTCCCATGCTGTCCTCCCTGAGGGCTGGGCTTCCCTCCTGGAAGCTCTCAGATTAGGAGGCCCCATACCCTTGGCACAGATGTTGCCACTCACATTTGAACCCCTTGACCCACTGTGGGACTGGCCAGTGTGTGCCTAGAAACCAAGTGAGGGCCAAGAGATTACCCAGCCCAGGGGTTTGGATCCCAGCCCCCCTTCCCCCTCCAGCCTCCTCCAGTGTGACAGCCTTTCTCCCGGGAGGCCTGTCCACACATTGCCACCCTGACTCTTGTAGCTCAGGCCTTTGGATCCCTGCCCCCCAACTCTCCACCATGGCATTGGCATTGGCCATGCCAGTCCCCCTGGGAGCAGGACTGGAAGAACTCCAAAACAGCCCCATTCTGGTTGGATCCTTGCTCCCCAGCCTTGTGAATTCTCTCTCCTCAAACTCCCTGGGGCACAGTGCATAGGCCGCGTCACACTGGCGAGGGCCCAGGGCCTGAGTTTCCTCTGGGTCTCCGCCCCAGAGCGGTGACCTAGGCATCCCTGTCTGCAGAAGATGAGGTGGACATGTTGAGTGATGGGTGTGGCTCAGAAGAAAAGATCTCAGTCCCTTCCTGCTATGGCGGCATAGGTGCCCCTGTGAGTCGGCAAGGTGAGAGCAGAGGCCTGAAGGGTCTGGGTCCTGGCTGCAGGAGGGGGCCCCAGAGACGGGGCAAGGCCTAGGGAGGCATGGCCCTTCCTCTCGCCTGTTTGGTCTGAGGCAGCTGCTTCCACTCCTGGCTGATTGTGGCAGGGACCTGGCTTGGCATAAAGCCACACAAGCCCCACCCTTAGCTCAGGAGGCCGAGGCCCAGCCCCAGCCCCAGCCCCAGGCCAGGCTGTGGCTATAGTTACCAGGTGTGATATCAGTGGGCTCAGGATTCAGGGTCAGAGAGGGATGAAGTCTGAGGGTAGAGCTCAGCTTCCTGCTTCTGCAGGGCTCTGGCAAGGCCCAAAGTCGCCTAGACAGTCTGCTTAGCTTGGCAGAGGGCTGTGGCAATGCTGAGCTCATGGAGGCACCTAAAGTGGGATGGGGCTAATCAGGGTGGCTTCCCAGAGTGGGGATTTAGCAGGTCTGAGAAAAGGGGAGACATGGGCAGGCAGGGATGAGCCCTGCAGAGTGCTGGGCGGGATCTGGGGATGCTGGGGATAAGGTTAGAACTTTCCACTAGCTCACTAGCTGTGGTATCTTGAGCAAGCAACTTCGCATCTCTCTGTCTCTGAGGCCTCCTCTGTGAAGTGGGCATGGGAACAGCGAGGGCAGCGTGTTGGGAGGATTCAATGAGATGCTCCTCGGTGGAGGGCCCCTGGCCAGCGCCTGTCACGCGAGGTGCTCAGTGTGGTGGCTGCCCATCAGGAGGCCAGCCATAGGGAAGGGCCTGATGATTCTCCCTCAGGCCCCTTCCATTTTACCGGAGGAGGGAATTGAGGTGGAAAAAGAGACAGGAAGAGCCTGGCCTAAGGTTCTGCGGCCATTTCACCACAAAGCCAAGATCTCCTATACCCTGGCTGGGGTCAACTTTCTTTTTTATTTTATTTTTTTTGAGACAGGGTTTTGCTCTGTCATCCAGGCTGGAGTGCAGTGGTGCGATCATGGCTCACTGCAACCTCAGCCTCCCAGGCACAATCAGTCCTCCTGCCTCAGCCTCCCAAAGTGCTGGGATTACAGGCATGAGCCACCATACCCAGCCAGGTCACTTTCAGTAGTAACCATGGCAACCAGGTTCTCTCTTTGAAAGAGCTCCAGGTGTCCTCTCCCTGCTTTCCCCTGTCATCCCCTCCTCTCCCACTCCCAGCCAATATCTGTCCCTACCAAGGTAACAGATGAGGACTTGCCTATCTTATTTTACTTCTCTGCCAGCAGTGTCCTATACTGTCCACTGCTCCTTCCTTCTCAGGACCTCCACCAAGCTCTTAGGCACCAAGCTGCTGCCCTCCCATTACCCTCTGCTTCTAGGCTCTGTCTCTTAGCTGTCATCACCACCTCCTTTTTTCTCTCAGGTTTTTTTTTTGTTTTTTTTTTTTTTGGAGACTGCCTTGCTCTGTTGCCCAGCCTGGAGTGCAGCGGTGCAAATCACTACTTACTGCAGCCTCGACCTGTCAGGCTCAAGCAGTCCTCCCACTTCAGCCTCTCAAGTAGCTGGGACTACAGACACACACCACCATGCCTGGCTAATTTTTGTATTTTTAGTAGAGACAGGGTTTCTCTATGTTGCTCAGGCTGGTCTCGAACTCCTGGTCTCAAGTGATCTGCCCGCCTCGGCCTCCCAAAGTGCTGGGATTACAGGTGCGAGCCACTGCACCCAGGCCCTCAGCTTTTCAATGTGATGTTCCTCTGGCCTGGATTCTCCTCTGTGTCCACTGTGCCCCAGTGAGCTCACCTGCACTCCATGTGTAGACAGTTCCCAAATGTTTGTCAATTAAGATGCATTTAACTATAAGTCAAAGAAAACCCTTCCTCAGCCAACAAGAACATTAAGGAAGTTTTGTTATCCCACATGCAAAGAAATCCTAAAGAGGCAGCTCCAGGGGTGTTAATTCAGTGACTCCAAGACATCATCAGGGGCTCAGGTTTCTCCATCTTTCCACTGAACCTGCCTTGACATGTCAGCCTCATGTGGTTGTAGGATGATGGCCGCGGTTCCTGCTTCATACATAGAAAGGACACTGTCTAGGGGAAGAAAAGGAAAAGGCCTGCTTCTTCCTGTAGGTTTCTCTTCTTTTCCATTTTCATACTTTTTTTTTTTTTTTTTTTTTTCTGAGACAGAGTCCCTCACTCTGTTACCCAGGCTGGAGTGCAGTGGTGCGATCTTGGCTCACTGCAACCTCCGCCTCCTGGGTTCAAGCGATTCTCGAGTAGCTGGGATTACAGGCACCTGCCACCACGCCCGGCTGATTTTTGTATTTTTAGTAGAGGCAGGGTTTCACCATGTTGGCCAGGCTGGTTTTGGACTCCTGGCCTCAAGTGATCCACCTGCCTTGGCCTCCCAAAGTGCTGGGATTACAGGCATGAGCCACCGCATGCCCGGCCCTGGCTACTGTTTTCTACAGCACCCCGCATTCTGGCTTTGTCTGGCAGTTTGCCCGTGGGGTATTTGCCTCACTCCTCTATCTGCTGTTTTGCGTACCAACTGGACACTAGATTTGGAGGTTTGATTAGATCGAGGGTGAAATTCTTGGCAATGCTTCAGGGTGATGTCACCCATATGTTACACCACTTCCTTGTATATGTTGGACAAATTACTTGATCCCTTTGTGTCTCAGTTTCCTAAAACAGTTCATTTACCTCCTGGGTGTGTTTCAAGGATTACAGGGGGTTGATCTACATGAAGTGTTTAGAACAGTTCCTATGATGCCAGTGGGAGCTGCTCTCAGTACCTTCATTTCCATTCCTGGGACCCCTATCCTCCTCCCTCCCCCCCACAACTCAGCCTCGGCTCTAGGTCTGGGCTCTAAAGACTTTGTGTGCTTGGCAGTCCCTGCATCCCATGACTCGGAGCTGATGGCCTTCATGACGAGGAAGTTGTGGGACCTGGAGCAGCAGGTGAAGGCCCAGACTGATGAGATACTGTCCAAGGTGGGGCTCCAGGTGGGAGAGGGCCAGGGGCCGGTCTGAGAGGTGGAGGGACTGGGCTGGGGAGGCCAGGAGTTGGACTAGGGTGGGTGATTCTAGAACCGTCTACCACACTGACCTGCCCAGTTCGAGGACCAGGTGTGGCCTGGGCCTGATCTAGGTCCTGTGACCTGAGCCGAGAGGCTGGGGGGTCTTCCCCTCAGCTGAGCAGGACCCAGTAGACCCTGGACTGGGTGGCACAGTGGACTGCTGAGCAGAGCGCGGCACCCTCAGATGTGGGGGTCCTCAGGTGTGGGCCGCACCTCTCCCTACCTCAGAGGAACTGCGAGGGTTATCTGAGGTCCGGGAGAAGTGGCTGTGCCAAAGGGTGGCAGGGGCTTGCTGCTCCCCAGCATCCAACATAGGCAAAGCTCTGGAGCTTCCTGTCTGGGCAGGGCTCTGGGAACCACAGGCCCTGTGCTCACCCTGTGTCTTATGCTACAGGATCAGAAGATAGCGGCCCTAGAGGACCTGGTGCAGACCCTCCGGCCACACCCAGGTAGGGGGCTCTTGGAGGGCTGACCTGCGCCCCCAGTCAGGCACCTCCCCTGGGCCCAGGGCTCCTGGAAGCTTCACAATGGCTTCTGGCATCAAGAGCATCAAGCTGACTACTTGGTGGGGTCTGGACAGCTGAGCCCACAGAGGGGCTGCAGCATATCCAGGACAGTGCTGGAGTCACTCCATGCCCTCCTACATGGGACCGAGTCCCATCTGAAGTGTGGAGGAGAGGAGGCTCTGAGGGGAGTGGCAGCCTCCTAGGGCCCATCAAGGCACCGCCACGGGGTCAGAGGAGAGGCCAGAGAGGTGGGGGGCCAAGAGGCAGTTCTTGGGGGATCCCCAGAACAGCTTCTCCAGATGACCCTCAGGGCAGAGGTGACCTGGCAGTGTCTTGCTGGGGCAGCTGAAGCCTGTCCCTGTCTTTCCCTGAAGCCGAGGCAACCCTGCAGCGGCAGGAGGAACTGGAGACGATGTGTGTGCAGCTGCAGCGGCAGGTCAGGGAGATGGAGGTGAGAGAGCTGGGCCCCGGGGGATGCGGGCAGCCAGCAGTCCCCAGCTCTTCACGGCATGTTCCTCAGGAGCTGGGTCCGAGCCCACCTCTCTGGGCCTCTCCTCGTCACATCCCACCCAGGGACCCTGCCCTGCATTTCCCTACCCAGGACTGGCCCAGACTTTAAAGAGCCAGGGAGGTGTCTGGGGCTGGGGCACACCCCTGCTTTTGGGCCCTCTGAACATGCCTCTCCCCTGCTTAGCAGACCTCATGGCTCCCACTGAACTGAATTCTACAGTCCTCGCTGTGGCCCCTGCGGGCTGGCCCCTGCATGCCTCTTCATCTTAGCTTGAACCACTCTCCCCTCCAGCCATGAGGCCCTTCCTCTGGGTCTTTGACCTCATGGAGCTGCTTCCCACCTCAGGGCCTTGGGCCGTGCTGTTGCTGTTCCCTCTGCTGAAATGTTTCCCCACCTCCCCCAGGTCAGTTCCACTGTCCTCAGTCATATCCCCCGGGCCTCCTAGGCAGGTTTTCCATCCCGAGCTTTCTCAGTGCCTCATCTCTCTTCCCTTGTGGGACTCTGAACTCCACGACGGAGGGAGCAGTTTCCTCCTGTATGTCACTGTGCACCCAGGACCTAGCACTGAATTGGTTAAGCAATTTGCTGCCTCTGGCTGTGACTTCTGCTCACTGGGGACTCAGTGACCCCAGTCACCTTTCTTTCCCCCGCTCACAGACCCATTCAAACAGCAAGGGAACTAGAGGGACACCAGGCACAGAGAAGGGTCCCAGGCACGCATGGGCCCTGCCAGAAGTTCTTCCTGGGATTCAGCCTCTCTCCCTCTCCACGCAGAATTGGTTTCCAAAGTCCCAATCTAATTTAAAACCTTGGCAGCAAACCTCCAATTGCAGCTGAGAGCCCTTCCCACTCCAAGCTGTTCATACCTGGGGTTGTCCCCGAGCAGTGGCCACAGGCGGTGAGGGCTGCACCAGAGCCTCGGGGCAGGGGCATGACTGCCCTTGCATGCGTCTCCGCCACACAGTTATCACTTCATTCATTTAACAGCCTCATCTGGAGGATCTGCTTGGGGCAGGCCTGGGGCAGAGCATGACCAAGACAGACATAGTCCCCCGCCTGCATGAGGCTGCCAGTCTGTGGGGAGGGGAACAAACGAGTACACAGGTACACAAGTACAGAGAGTGCTGTGACTTGATGAAATGGGTGACACCACAGAGGCAAGTTGGGGGACCACCTGCGGGGGTGACATTGGGCATGATGTCTGGTGAGTGAGGAGGGGAATGGGGTGAGAGGATCCAGGCCTTAGACAGGGAAGGTGCCACTTCCCGCCACATAACTTGGCTTGCGGTCGGTGGCTGTGTGGAGGAAGGAGAAGAACGGGAAAAGAGAAGAGGTCGTGGGGGCCTTATCACATTGGAGCCGCCCGTGGTTCTGGCTGGATCCTGTCCCGAAAAAATGGGAAGCCATTGGAAGGCTTCTGTTTGAGAGGTGGCATGACAAAAAGACCACCCTGCTTTGTGGGGTTGGGTGGTGTGGGTGAGGAGAGGACGGGGGAAGCAGGCGCCGCCCCTGGATTGTCCAGGAGAAAGATGACGGTGGCTTGAACTAGGGTGGTGGCAGCAGATGGAGCCCAGTGGATGGGTTCCAGGCTGCATTGGAGGGGGCACCACAGGCCTTGTGGGTCATCCTGGAGGAATGGGCGACAGAGGATTCTCAGGTGGAGGGGGTGCCATTTCTGGAGACAGGAAAACCTGGCACGGGGGAGGTTTGACAGGGGGACAAGAGCCACAGCCATTAGACATCCAAGTGTGGACGGTTGGAAATGTGAGTCTGGAGCTCGGGTGAAATCTGCATAAATACAAACTTGGGTTCTGTCGTATATATTTGGGAGAGCGTGTGGATGGAGCTGGGCCCCCATGAGTTGGTGTTGGATAGGAAGGGGAAACGGTGAAGGAAATTGGAAAGGAACAGCCCAGGAGATGGGAGGAAAACTAGCAGATGGTGAAAGATAGACAGAAATGTGCCCATGCGCTTGGCAGCGGGTAGGTTGGTGGTTGCAGCACCTTGAGCAGTTTCAGAGAGGTATGGCGATGGAGCCAGGTTAGAGTGGCTTGAGAAAAGAAGTCGGGGTGTGGACATGTAGACAGTCCAGAAGTTTCCTGTGGCAGAGGGGACATGCGGCCAAGCCCTAGGGAGGCTGGCACATGGTTCACATCCCTCAGCCCTGCCTCCTTCTCACACTTGGGCCAGGCCACGTGATTTCTGCAGCCAAGGAGGCTGACCTTACCGAGCCCTCGCATGGGCTGGGCGCTGACCTGAGTGATCTTACTGAGCCCTCCTCACAAGCTTATGTGGCAGGAACTGTCACTCCATTTTATTAGAGGAGTCGTCTGAGGCTCTAGGGACTGAGGTGGCTTTCCAAGGTCACAGCCAGGAAATGGCAAGATCCCCCTACTCATCCCTTTGTCTGGTCAGCTCTGGGGGCCCCATTGCCTGCAGACTGAGGCTGGGCTTTGGGCTGACACTGCCTTTCCCTGGGAAGGGGCTGAGCTGACGGTGCCCCGCATCTCCCCCTTCTTTCCCACAGCGGTTCCTCAGTGACTATGGCCTGCAGTGGGTGGGCGAGCCCATGGACCAGGAGGACTCAGAGAGCAAGACAGTCTCAGAGCATGGCGAGAGGGACTGGATGACAGCCAAGAAGTTCTGGAAGCCAGGTAGAGCAGGGCGTCTGCCCCAGGCCCTCTTCAAAAGGAATTCTCCAACAGTTTGCTGTTGGCCGGCAGCTCCCCAGAGGCCTATCTCATTCGTGCCCGGGTCCCTGACCCAAGACGCCCTGAGAGCCCACAACTTGCCCCTGAGACAATGTGGGAGCAGCCTTGGCCTCCATCACTGACCACTTAACCTGCTGGCCCACTTCTCCACGGTCCTACCTCTGCTCTCTCTTGCTCATCTGTCAGAGACCCAGAGATACAAGAGGTAGCAAGGCCTTATTTGCCTCAGGTCACATAGTCTACAAAACGCCACCAATCTGGAAGATGTTGCCGTTTTAAAAAAAGGCAATCCTTCTGTTCTAGAAGCTGCTGCCAAATTCCCAGGTTTGGCCTCCCTCTCCAGGTTTGCTTATGGCCCTTGGAATCCACCTGGTTCTGTGGGCCCCTACCATGTCTTTTTTTTTTTTTTTTTTTTTTTTTTTTGAGACGGAGTCTTGCTCTGTCACCCAGGCTGGAGTGCAGTGGCACGATTTGGCTCATTGCAACCTCTGCCTCCCAGGTTCAAGCAATTCTCCTGCCTCAGCCTCCTGAGTAGCTAGGATTACAAGTGTGTGCCAACACACCCAGCTAATTTTTGTATTTTTAGTAAAGACGGGGTTTTACCATGTTGGCCAGGCTGGTCTTGAACTCCTGACCTCGTGATCTGCCCACCTTGGCCTCCCAAAGTGCTGGGATTACAGGTGTGAGCCACCACGCCTGGCCTACCATGTCTTATTTTTAACTTCTAATATCTAGAGGGATTCCTCCCACAGTCCCCTCCTATAGACCCACAGATTTGGGTCCATAAAACTGGCCATTTCTGAAAACCAGGCCCATTCTCTTCAAAGAATGGAGATTGTCACCCAAAAGATGCTTCTCCAGGCTCTAGAGTCAGGCACACCTGGGCCCTCAACTCGACTCTACCTCCTATCCCAAGTGTGACTTGGGCAGATGACCTCTATTCACTTCATCAACAAAACAGGAGTGTTCTTCCCTGGGAGTTACAAGGAGCAAATGAGTTAAACGCAGAGCGCCTAGCTCTGGCCTTGCAGCCATTGTTGTTTCCAAAGTCTGAGGGCAGGGGTCCCACGGGAATAGGAGCACAGCTTCCAAGGGGCCCATTTGGAAGATGACGACACCTTCTTGGTTTCCTGCTAGGTAAAAACCCAGATTCCAAACATGAGAATCCTGCCTCCTGTTTAGGCCTGGGCTCTGGCTGGATCCCCCCAGATCTCAGGGTCTAACGCCCTCACTGCTTGTTCTCAAAACATCACTTCCCATTTTTGTGCCATTTGCAGCTTTCTTTTTTTTTTTGAGATGGAGTCTTGCTCTTGTTGCCCAGGCTAGAGTGCAATGGCACAATCTCGGCTCACTGCAACCTCTGCCTCCTGGGTTCAAGCGATTCTCCTGCCTCAGCCTCCTGAGTAGCTGGGATTACAGGCGCCCACCACCATGCCCGGCTGATTTTTGTATTTTTAGTAGAGACAGCGTTTCGCCATGTTGGTCAGGCTGGTCTCAAACTCCTAACCTCGTGATCTTCCCGCCTCGGCATCCCAAAGTGCTGGGATTACAGGTGTGAGCCACCGCGCCCAGCCATTTGCAGCTTTCAAAGCATTTTCTTTTTTCTTTTCTTTATTTTTCTTTTTATTTTTTGAGGCAGGGTCTCACTTTTGCCTGGGCTGAGTGCAGTGGCACAGTCATGGCTCACTGCAGCCTCAACCTCCTGGGCTGAAGTGATCCTCCCACCTCAGCTGTCTGAGTAGCTGGGACTGCAGGCACGTGCCACCACACCCAGCTGATTTTCTTTATTTTTTGTAGAGACGAGGTCTCGCTACGTTGCCAAGGCTGGTCTTGAACTCCTGGATGCCAGTGATCCTGCTGCCTCAGCCTCCCAAAGTGCTGGGATTACAGTTGTGAGCCACTGTGCCCTGCCAGCATCTTCATAGCCTTGACAGGGGCCAGGAGTTACTCCATTTCACAGATGGGTAAAGGGAGGCACTTAAGGAGTCTGTGGACTCATTATTGAGGGAAGAGGGGCAAGACTTAAGGCTGACAGCCCACTGTAAGGCAGTTGGTCACTGAGGCAGAAGATGAGATGATGCCCAGCTTGAGGGTGGGGATGGTGAGAAGGGATGGGCAGAGAGATTTAAGTAGAATCCGTGGCCTTGGTGTCTTTACATGAGGGAGAGGACCAGAGGAGTCAGGGATAACCCGAGGGAGCACAGCTGCGGGAAAGATGCTGAGTACACTTGGGACACAGCAAAGCTGGGGGCTGTGCAGTCCCTATGATGCTAGGAAGGGGAGCGTGTCCCTGCTGCCCAGGGCACTGTAGGCCCAGGCATGCCAACTCCAAAGCTCTAACTGAACCCAGGGTGGGTGTCGTGGGGAGAGTTCTCAAGGGACCCCTGGCATGAGTGAGAGGTGAGGCCCTATTGGGTGGCTGCAGGTGCTCTGAGAATGTCTATCCTGGATCTAGGCCAGAGGCCCACAAGTGCCGCACCCTGGGCCCTGCTGTGGCGGGCTGGGCTCAGGCTTCAGGTAGGCCTGCCATCTTGTTGCAGGGCAGCCTTCCTCCTGGCCAGGGGGGACCTCCTTGCTCCTTGCCAGGTGGCTGGTTTCTGGACCTGGCTCTGTGGATTCCTACTCTGCCCTGTTTGGTTGTTTGTGCTCTGAGTGCCTCAAGTCAAAGTAACTTGTGAAAAACCCTGCCCTCCATCTTGGAGGCCCTGGCCATATCTGTGGTCCCTCCGTGCGTTCTCTTCCTTCTTTTGTTCTTTGATTTTTTCAGCATGGGCGGGGGGCCTTGATTCGGCTCTTTCTGCCAGATGAATGACGTTTTTCGTCGCTAGCAGCTTCTGTTCCTGGGACATCTCTCCGGCGTCCCCGTTCCTCTCTCCCCAGGTGCCACCCTGCTCCGCCCAGGGGCCTCAGGCTCACAGCCTGGCCCCCGCTGGCCTGCCTGACACTCGGCTGATTGCTCTGCTCTCCCTCTGTTGGAGAGGCTCCCACAGGCGCTGGGGTGGAGGCCTGTGGAGGGTGAGCCAGGGCCGTCTGTGCCGAGCCAGTGGGGTGATCAAACTTCCTGGAGCCTGGGACTCCTAGGGAGGAGGGCCGGTGGGGCCATGAAGGGGCTTGGCCTCAGGCTGGATCGCTCACTCTCCCCCTCTCTCTGCCAGCGTCACAGAGCATGCTGTGCCAGGTGCTTCAGGGTCTGTGGAGACATGAAAGGGACAGTCCTGCTCTGGTCACACGCCACTGGGGCCAGGTGTTGGGCCTCGGGGCTGAGAGCTCTGGTCAGCTCTGAAGTTCTCCCTTCCCCCCCACCCTCTGCATCTCTGAGCTCCTCACTCCTCACTACTTCCCTGTTCCCCTGAGAATCCTCACCCTCTCATCCCCCTCTGAAATCCCCACTTCCCCTACCCAAGTCAGTCCCTGCCTCCCTCCATGGCTCCACCTCTCCCTGCCAGCACCCCACACGCCTCCCTCCTTCCTCTCAAGCCCCACACTCCTGAGTCTGGGTTGGAGGCCCCCTGACTCCGCAGCCTGCGTGACTTGCCCCTGGGCTTGCCCTTCAATCCCAGAGCCACCTGGCTTGACCCCTCCCCACCTGCACTTCTGCCTCCAGCCTTTGCTCCTGCTCTGTCCCCACAGAGCGCCTTGCCCGCTTCCCTCCCCTCTGAAGCTCAGGGCAAATCCAACCTCCGCCAGCAAACTCTGACTGCCCTGTGTGGGCTGTGCTGCTCTGTGGGGAGGGCTCTGCTTGAGGGAAGGGGCTAAAAGCTCTGGCTGAGGCAGGGTTCAGGTCGGGTCAGACCCCAGATCAGCAGATCGCTGACCCCCTCTGAGTTCATTTCCTCCTCAGTCGTGCTGACGGGCTCCTAGGGCCACTGAATGGATGTGGTAATAAACTGTGACAGCCACTGTCACCTAGCTGTTGTCATGCATGTCCCAGTGCTTGGCACATGGGCAAGGGTGTGTGTAGCTGCATGTGATTGGCTGTGATGCCCGTGTGCCCAGGCTTGGATGATCAGAGCACATTGGAACAGTCATCTGCACATGATGAGGTGGGGACAGGGTGGTGCGTAGCTCAATGGCAGGGGCCAGAGAGAGCTGCAGGTGGGACCCGGCAGGCCTGAGTTCAGATCCTGCCAGTCCACAGGCTGGTTGAGTGTTCTGGCGGGGACCAGACCTGCAGGGCCTCCTTTCCTGCACTGGCTCCTCTGAAGAGCAGAGTGACTGCAGTAAAGTCCCCAGAGCGGGGCCTGGCTTGCAGGTGTGTGGTAATAGTGGTTCCACTTCCTGTTGCAGCCGTCTTTGCCTGAGGGTCAAGGGCAGGCACATGGAGGGCGGCACCGCGTGAGCTGCCGGGGTGCCCTGGGCACTTGTGCAGTGAGGGGCTGCCACCTCTCCACTGAGCATGGTAGGGTCTGGCCCTCTTCTGGGCTCCACAGCCCCCACAGTGATACTTACACATGCCATTGTCGCCATTTGCCGCCCCGTCTTCTTCACTTGAGTCTGAGCCTGAGGATGGCAGGACCCTGGGCGTGGGCATCGCCATGATGGGCAGGGCCTAGCAGAGCACGGGTGCTCAGACATTTCTGGAAAGCAGGATCCAACCCTGCTTTTAGTGGCCCAGCCACTCTGGGCCAGGCCCAGGGCTCAATGCTCCTGAGCTCAAGGGGTGCCCAGCATGGCTGGAAGGCAAACAAGCAAGCAGAAAGCAGCGGCCTGTGACGAGGGCCAAGGGAGTAGGTGCAAGGGCTCCAGGCATGCAGCCTCAAGGCAGGTTGGGGGTGGCTCCTAGCAAGGCTTCTTGGAGGAGGTAGGGGTGAGTGGGCACAGCTTGAGCCCAGCGATGAGTAGGCGGTGCTAGGGACAACAACAGCCACCATCTGCCAAACGCTTCCTCCAAGCCTCACAGCAGCCCTGTGAAGTGTGGAAACTTTTATCGTCCTCATTGTACAGAAGAGGAAGCTGAGGCCCATAGAGGCCCAGGGTTACAGAGCTCGGAAGTGCCCTCCAGTGCCCACCAGAGCGCAAGGCGAGGGGCATGTTGAGGGTTGGCTGGGTGCTAAGTAAGGGTCTTGGGAGTTGGGACAAAGAGCTTGGACTTGAGCTCCCTTCTCATTTTAATACACTCGTGGGCTCTCAAAGTTGGATGAGGCCTCAGAGGTGATCTCCCAGCATTGCCACTCTCCCTGGAAAAGGGACCCCAGTAAGCAGCCTCTCAAGAACCAATATTGAGAGGCAGCCTATGTGATCACTGAGCACTGAGGCTGAGTCACTTGGGCCCTGCAAGCTGCATGATCTGGGGCGTGACAGCTCATAAGGCCCAATTTCCTTATCTGTAAAACAGAAATGGTGATGCCTGCCTCCTGGCGCTTGGCACAGGGCTGTCATTTACAGACAGGTTCACCAGCTGGATCTTGCAGGCAGTACAGGGTTCTTACCATCTCCCCATTGCACAGAAAGGATGGCTGTGGCTCAAAGAGGAAGTGCCTTTCCATTTGAGTTCTGCTGCTAGCTCAGGGCAGACCTAGGACTTGCCCTCTGACCTTACTCCTGCTGTGTGACTCCCCAGCTGCACCTCTCTCCATCCACGGGTCAGGCCTCAGTTGAACCCTGGTGGGGTGGTGGGGGCTCACTGGCTTCACAAGGCCCTGCTGTGGTAGCTCTTCCCACCTCATTCTCTCAGTGCTGGTTTGCCCAGAGCTGTGGTTCCTTCTTCCTGGCCCCTGGTCTCATCTCCACTCTATCATATCCAGCATCTGCCTGGGCCACCTGCTTTTACTTCTTTAAGCCAGGGCCATTTTCTTGGCAAGCTTCTCTCTTCCCCTTCGTCGTTTCTTGGCATCCTCCCTGGTCTCACCCCATCCCATGTCAACCACCCATGTTCATCAGCCTGAAAAACCCCCGGCCCTGGGAGGCGGCAGGAGCATTGAATTAGGAGTTGGTGTATTTGGTGCTCTTCCTGGCTCTGTCTGGTCTGATCAGGCCATGTCATCTGACCTTTCTGGGCCTCACTTTCCCCATCTATAAAGAAGACAGAGCCCTGGTAACACAGCGAGACCCCATCTCTACAATTTTTTTTTAAATTAATTAGCAGGGTGTGGTGATGCCTGCCTGTGGTCCAAGCTACTTGGGAGGCTGAGGTGGGAGGATAAGTTGAACCCGGGAGGTCACGGTTGCAGTATCATGACTGTGCCGCTATACTCCAGCTTGGGTGACAGAGGGAGACCCTTTCTCGGAAAAAAAAAAAAAAGGGTTGAGGCAGGCATTGTATGAGATGATCTATTCTGCTATTGTTTTTAGGTTTGCCTATTTGTCCTTAAGGTAGTTGTTAAAAGAAAAGTGTCTTGGTATCATTCTGTTAGGCGAGTTTTTCCTGGGAATCTCAGGGACTATGTGGGGAGCCCCCGGAGGGGCTGGGGGCAGGTATAGCCCCTTCAATGGTAGGAAATATAGGGGAGAGGAGAAGGCCAGCTGGGGCCTACCATTTCACCTGCTGCAAAAGCAACAGGAAACACATCTGCACCTCCCTGGTACAGCCACTGCACCACTGAGAGGAAAGGAATTAGGTCCCCAGAGCCCTGACCCACATCCTGCCGCAGCCTGCTTGTCCTGTTGAAAAACAGCCTCTCTGAGGCCCCAAAAGTTATTGGTGTGTTGTAGGGCACACCCAAACAGATGACTTACTTGGGGGCCAGGTCCCATCAAAGATGACAGAACAGGCCCCTGGTCTGTACCCAGCCAGCATCTACCTGCCCTCCACCTTTCTGCTCTGTTGTCTGTCACGGCTGTCCCCACCGCTCCGTATTCTCCCCTGAAGCCAGAACACAGCTGTATGCGCCACACGTGTTTCAGAAGAGGAGGCCAGAGCTTTGTCAGCTTCTCAAAGGGGTCTGTGACCCAGAAATAGTTGCACAACCTAAGGTCTGTCCCATATCTGTTCTGGCCAGCAGCTGTCCCTACATCCTCCCTGAGAGCCATCTGTCCCTCTTCTGACCTCCCTCTCCTGATGGTGCAGATGGGTGGGGGAAACAGACTTGAGAGTCAGCCCCGGCTCCCTTCCCAGTTCCTCCTCTCACCAAGTGGCTTGGGACGAGTCATTTTTCATCTCTGTGGGCCTGTTTCCTCATGTGTAAAATGGAACTAAATAACCCCTGCCTCAGCCTGGCGTGGTGGCTCACACCTGTAATCCCAGCACTTTGGGATGCCAAGGCGGGCGGATCACCTGAGGTCAGGAGTTCGAGACCAGCCTGACCAATATGATGAAACCCCATCTCTACTAAAAATACAAAAATTAGCCGGGTGTGGTGGCTCATGCCTGTAATCCCAGCTACTCAGGAGGCTGAGATAGGAGAATCGCTTGAACCCAGGAGGCAAGGTTGCGGTGATCCAAGATTGTACCATTGCACTCCAGCCTGGACAACAAGAGTGAAACTCCATCTCAAATAAATAAAAATAATTACCCCTGCCTTAAGCCTCAGGGTTGGCGTAAGGACCATGTGTGCAAGGTGGAGTTGGGCACAGTAGCAAACATGGACAGGGTGCGTGTTCCAAGCTGGCTCTTAACATGGTTACTTCTTGGAGCCTTACAGCCATCCTAGGAGGCAGATACTACTGTCATCCATTCTAGAAGAGAATGCTGCAGCACAAGCATTAAATGACCTAAGGTCACACAGATAGAAGGGAGGAACTGGGATTTGAACCCAGAAGGCCTCGATCCAGAGCTGGGAGCTCTGCCCTGTACTTTTCAGCTGCCAACCCAGTGCCTGACACAGATCTGGGATCAGATCCTGCTTCTGCTGCTTACTACTGTGTTTCTCACAAGCCATGTAACTTTCTCTAACCCTCAGTTTCCTCATCTGAAAAAATGGAGGTGATTATAGCCTTTATAGATAGGCTTGATAAGAAGTGGGAATGGAATATGGATAGTAAACCCCTAGCACAAAATAAGTGCTCAATAAAAGACAGCTGCTGTTATTATCTAGCGTTGTCCTTTTCCCCAGGCAGTCAGTTAAGGAGACATTAAGACCACTGCCCAGCTTGGGAGGGAGCCACAGAGGCTAGGGCTGCTAGGGACATGACAGCCAAAAGGCGGCTCACAGGTGTCTGTCCTCTTTGCCAGGGGACTCATTGGCGCCCCCTGAGGTGGACTTTGACAGGCTGCTGGCCAGCCTGCAGGATCTTAGTGAGCTGGTGGTAGAGGGTGACACCCAAGTGACACCAGTGCCCGGCGGGGCACGGCTGCGTACCCTCGAGCCCATCCCGCTGAAGCTCTACCGGAATGGCATCATGATGTTCGACGGGCCCTTCCAGCCCTTCTACGATCCCTCCACACAGGTAGGAGCGGTGTTGGGGGGGGTGGTGCTCTAGTGCCCCTGCTGCCCACTGTTAGTTGGGGATGATGAAGCCAGCTCACCCCAGGCCCAGCCTGCCCTCCACGGGGCACCCAGGCCCACACACGACTTGCAGAGGCCCCTCTCCCAAGGCCTGGGACTCTGAATGTTTCCAGAGTGCGGCACTGGGTGACCCTGGATCTAGGGCCTGCCATCCAGACCAGTGGCAGGGCAGGGTGGGCCCAAGGCCCAGGCCACCCCCTCACTTTTCCTCTTCCCTTGCAGCGCTGCCTCCGAGACATATTGGATGGCTTCTTTCCCTCAGAGCTCCAGCGACTGTACCCCAATGGGGTCCCCTTTAAGGTGATAAGCTGCTCCTCAAACCACACCTTTGGGGATTTTGAAGGGAGTGGGGATACACAGCCTCCCCAGACACCTCCCATTCTGAGGGGAAGCCGCTGCACTCCCTGGGGGACCCCAGTCTGATGCCCTCCAGGAGGATAAGTCTGAAGCCGGGCTGGGAAGGGAGCGGAGAGGCCCGAAACAGAGCAGCAGGCAGCGCCCTCTGCTGGCACCCTGGAGACAGCCTCGGCTGCGGGGCCCCTGCCTTCTAGTCCTCCCCAGCTTTCAGGACACCTTGACAACCTGGGGTCCCTGCAGAAGTGGCCCGGCTGTCCCCCAAGTCTCCTGAAGCTATCTGGGTAGGGTGGGAGGCAGTGCTGTGAGCCACAAATGCAAAGCAGAGGGGACAGATGTTGGGACTCAAAGACATGAGGTAGAGCTGGCCCCATGGGTAGGTGCCACCACCAGAGCCCATGAGGCTTCGTGTTCTAGAAGGTGGTGGGTTAGTGCCGCACTGAGGGCGTGTCCGGGAGGGAGCATGTGTCACCAGGGCTCAGGAAACAGCATGAGTCATGACGCGGGGGTGTTTAAGGCATTCGTGCCACAGCGGGGACCTCGGAGCTATGCCTTGATAAGGCAAGTGAGGTTACATGTACGATGATGCGGTTTGTGCTGCAGACTGGAAAAAAGCAGGGGCTTTGTCCTCTCCTGACCCCCTCACACTCTGCCTTCACGGTAGGCTCCTGAGAGGGGGGTCTCCAAGGAGGGTGTCAGTACTGCAGCTTCAGCTGGCGTGGATGGGGTGCTTACAGGAGCAGCAGGGCTGAGGGAGATGACAGCAGTACGAACCGTGGCTCTCCTGAGGCCTGGGTTTCCTCATATGTAAAATGGGGGTTGCATTAGACCATACCCTTGGCCTGTGTTTAGGCAAATAGGGATGAAAGTGGGGCCAAGGGCTGAAGAGCTGGGTCCGCTGCCGTCGTTGCCCTTCTTTCTTGCCAGGTGAGTGACTTGCGCAATCAGGTCTACCTGGAGGATGGACTGGACCCCTTCCCAGGCGAGGGCCGTGTGGTGGGCAGGCAGCTGATGCACAAGGCCTTGGACAGGGTGGAGGAGCACCCAGGTGAGTTTGGCCTCCAGGCTGAGCCAGGGGGCTGGGGGACTGCAGAACAAACTCCAGGGGGGCTCCACCACCACTCATAGTCCTTCCTGGGCCCCGGTTCCCAACTCTGCCTGTAGGCTCCAGGATGACTGCTGAGAAATTTCTGAACAGGCTCCCCAAGTTTGTGATCCGGCAAGGCGAGGTGATTGACATCCGGGGCCCCATCAGGGACACCTTGCAGGTGAGGCCAATGCTAACTCCCCCAGCCCTCCTGGGGGAACTTTAGCACCAGCCCTGGTCCAGCCTGCCAGAACAGTGTCTTGTCAGAAGGCTCAAGCTTGAGGCACCTGATGAGTCCCTCAGAGCTGTTGCTCCACTGTCTCCTGGAAACTGTGAGGCTGGTGAGGGCACGGGCTGGGCCCCGGAAAGCAGGTGGGTTAGCTGTAAGAGGGCTAAAGTCAGAGTCCAGGCCAGGGGTGAGCCCAAGGCCCAGGCCACCCCATCAAGGTCTAGGCCAAAATATCCAACTCAGTACTGGGTACTCCCTTCGTGGTTGCCTCAGACTCTCCTTGGCCCTCATCATTCTGTCTCCTCGCTCCCTATTCTGCTTCTCCTCCTAGGTGTCCACCTGTGAAAGGCACCAAACCTTAGTTTCTCAGGCCTCCTCTGCCTCCCTCACCCACACATTGCTAAGTCCTGTCTGGTCTGTCCACCCCCAGAACTTCTCCCAGATGCATCCCTTCTCCACATTCCCACCACCCACCACCCTAGTCTAGGGTTCAGAGTGTCTCTCCCAGACAGCTGCCTCCCACTGCCACTCCTGCCCCTGCTGACCATCCTCCAGGCTGCCTTCCCTGTTGAAATGTTCCAGTGGTTCTTGAGATAAAGCCAGGTTCCTTATGCTGGCACTCAAGGCCCGTCCTATATTGCCAGGCCCCTCCTCACACCAACCTTTTCCTTCCAGTCCAATTGAGCCCCAGCTTCAGCCACACATAATGCTGGCAGTTGCCCAAATGTGTCGCCACCTCTAGGAAGCTTTCCCTGAACCCAGGATCTTTGTTGATGCTGTCTGGAATATCCCTGCATCCATTCCATTTCTAAGGACTCCCATTCATCCTTCAGTCACAGCTCAGTTGTCATTTTCCGAGGGAAGCCTTCCCTGACCCCAGGCTGGGGTGGGCTTCCAGCCTGATCATCGTCTGTGTGGGGTTCTGTCTCCATTAGACTGAAACGGGGGGTTACCTGGGGGGAACCATGGGGCTGCCTCCCAGAACCTTCTTCCCCTTCCATTGCCTCTCCTCTGGCCTTGGTTTATACAGAACACCCCCTCCCGCTTTGCTCACTGGTCTCATCTGTCCCTGGTCAAGGAAGTGTCCCTCTAAGGTTTGTGGGGATGACTCAAATGGGGCCTAGGGCTCTGTCCACCCTCCACTGATACCTTCCAGAACTGCTGCCCATTGCCTGCCCGGATCCAGGAGATTGTGGTGGAGACGCCCACCTTGGCCGCTGAGCGAGAGAGGTGAGGGCGGGATGAGGAGGTGAGGGCCTGGGGGCGTTGGGTCACCGCGTGCTGATGGCCTCTGGGCTGTGCAGGAGCCAGGAGTCACCCAACACGCCGGCACCCCCGCTCTCCATGCTGCGCATCAAGTCTGAGAATGGGGAACAGGCCTTCCTACTGATGATGCAGCCTGACAACACCATTGGGGACGTGCGAGCTCTGCTAGCGCAGGCCAGGTGGGTGCAGGGCAGGGCCAGGGCCACAGAGGGGCTCTGGTCCCACTGCCCAGCCTGATCTGCTCTGCCTGGTCCCCAGGGTCATGGATGCCTCTGCCTTTGAGATCTTCAGCACATTCCCGCCCACCCTCTACCAGGACGATACACTCACGCTGCAGGCTGCAGGCCTTGTGCCCAAAGCAGCACTGCTGCTGCGGGCACGCCGAGCCCCGAAGTCCAGCCTGAAATTCAGTCCTGGTCCCTGTCCCGGTCCCGGTCCCGGCCCCAGTCCCGGTCCCGGTCCCGGCCCCAGTCCCGGTCCCGGTCCCGGCCCCAGTCCCTGTCCTGGACCCAGTCCCAGCCCCCAATAAAGCACCCGCCCCCTCAACCCGCTGCTCCGCCAGGCTCTTGGGTGGGCCATCTCGCCAGGCACGTAGGAAAGGCCTGGGACCAGCTGGGCCAGGGAGGGGGCGGTGCCGACCCGCCCCTTGGTAACTCGAGCCCCGGCTGGCGGGCCTGGCTGCTGGGTCTTTGTCTTCTAGGTTCCTCTTTCTCCCAAGAAGGGCTAAGTGGATCCTGTGAAGGGAGGGATGCAGTGGGGGGAAGGAGCTGGCCCCAGCTGGGTTTACATTCTCAGCTGGGACAGCAGAGCCTCACTGTGTATGTGTGCAGCCAGCAGATACCTGTGCACAGGCACAGACCCACCAACTCGTGGGGACACTTCAACACCGCACAAAGCCATTTTGCCACTAGACCCATGCCCCCAAATTAGCAGAACTGCAGCTGGGTACCCACCTCCCATGATACACTCATTCTTAGCCATTGTGCTCCAACACAGGCGCATGGGATGGCCACACTCACTGACAGGCATGGAGATGTGCACTACACACCAAGGCACAAGCATGATATGGACACATGCATGTGAACTGGAGGGTGGCCCACCCAGACATCTCCAGAAACCACTGGTCCATACAGGTATTTGTGTGTCAGACATATCCAAACACATGCACTAACAAACACAGAGGTGACAGTCACAAGAGAACAGCTCAGCCACCCTTCCCACAGAGCAGTCTCAGCACAGTCACAACTACCAACCTTGCCCAGGGCAGGGACCCAGGAGGCCCAGGCCACAACCAACCAGACACAGTGCCAATGGAACAGGACATCATTTAATTGCCTCTAGGGTCCTCCTGGGAGAGGGACTGCGGGGCCTTTGGCAGAGCTCTGGCTGATGGAACCAACAGAGGTGCCCATCAGCCAGTGCCAGGCAGGATGGCGGCCCCAATGCTTGGCTGGGGGCAGCCAGCATTTGGGGCTGTTGCTTAAGACAATTTCTGAGACTAATGGGTAAGGAATGTTGCCTTTAGATGGAGGAGAGGGGACTACATTTAGAGAGGAGGGAGGAGAAGTGGCCTGCATTGGGGGAGGGACTCTAAGGTTAGGTTAGGAATGACAGGGAGTTGGTCAAAAGGTCCTTCATGGCCAGGTGAAGGCTGGGGGGAGTGTGGTGATGGAGTCCAGCAGGGGAACTCTGGACAGGCTTGACTCAAGCCAGCTTCAGGAACTCCTGCAGCGTGTTTTGTTCCACAGCCTCCACGAAGAGCTCATAGTCCTGGAGAAGGGGAGGCGAGGGGTGGTCACCTGAATGCAGGGGGCCCAAGTGCTTTGTGGCAGATATGACCCTGGCTAGAGTCCTCTTCCAACACTCCCCCCACCCCCCCGTCCCCCAGCCCATACCCCACAGTACTGGTCCCCGTTGACAATCTGGGGTGGGGTGGCCTTGGGGTTGCCTGCCAAGGCTCGCATCTCATCCCTCAGGGCGTTGTCCTGGGAGATGTCCACTAGCTGGTATTGGATGCGCTTCCCATCCAGGATTCGGGTCACCTCGCTCTGCTGGGACTTGATCTGGGGACAGAGGGTGGGTAGGGGTTAGTGGATAGGCTGGAGGATTTATGGGGGAAATGCTGGGCAGGGTGAGAGAGGCTGTGACCAGGAGCTTTTGTCCCCCCATTCCCCTCCACACTAGGGGAGGGTTCTGGCCTCTAGGAGTTGGGAGGATGAGTCAGGCTTGAGGTGGTGCAGGATGAAGAGAGGGATTATCAGCCACGGGGGAGGGGGTCAGAGTGAAGGGAAGTGGGATCAGGCTCAGGGTGGGGAGGGGAGGGGAGGGCAGGCTGCGGTCGTGGTCAGGGTCAGCCCGGTAGTGGGAGTGCAGAGAATGGGTGTGGGGTTGATGGGGGATGGGCACGGGAAGTTCATGCCGCGGCTGCAAAGGACCCAGGATGCCCGATGAAGACATTCAGGATGGGGCCTCGGGACCGGGTCCGGGAGACCGTGCCCAGCACCTCGCCGACGCACTCCCCCCACCCCGCCCCCGTCCTGGGGGTGGGTCCCGGGCGCTAGGGTCCAAAGCACCGGGATACAGCCCTGCGCTTTCCCCCAGCGCCAGTCCGGGCGCGCACTTACTTCGCGGGAGCCGGTGACCGACGTGCTGTAGACGCGCAGGCCGCTCATGCTGGGGGTAGACAGACGGGCCGGCGGGCAGAGGGCGGCGGTAGCGGCAGCTGCACTGCCGGGAGACGACGCCGCCGCCGTGCTCGGGAGCGGTTTCCTTCCTGCTCCGCCCGCCAAGTCATCGCGCTCGGGACCAATGGGCGGCGCGGGCAGGCGGGGTGGGACCTGCGCGACACCGCCCCGCACGCCAGAGGCCCCTTCCCTTCCCCCTCGGTTACCAGGCGCGCAACGGACCCGTCCCACGCAGGGCGCCCCTTCTGCGGCTGCCCTGATCGTCCTTTTCGGCCCTTCCCTGATCTGGAGCTCAGTGTGAGACTGGGGAGGGGCCTGGGTGGCAGGACAGGCCCGGGAGAGGGTCTGGCAGAAGCCTCCCTCTCCAGCCGCACACAGGTTTGGTGCATCCAACTCCCCAGCCACGAGAGCCGCTCTCTCCAGGAGGAGGTGCTCTAATAGCACAGGGAAGCTTGGGGCTTTGGAAGGTTTGAGCTGCTTTCAGACCCAAAGTTCTCTAAGAACCTTGCTCCAAGGGATCCCTCGCTCCACCACCCAACACGCACCACTAACCCTAGGGGATAGGAAGCATAGGACAGCAGGAAGAGCCCATGCTTAGAGATTTTCCCCCAAGTTCCTCTCCACTCAGGTGGGAAGGTTTAGACAAGGAAGGGTGATAGCAGGACGCAGAGGCCACACCCTCAAGGAACCAGATGGAGACCAAGGCTGACAGCTGGAAAGCGTGGCGGTAGAGGATGATGTCAGGACTCGAGAGCCTAGGCTCAAGCTGACCCTTAAGATCCACCCCAGGTCTTGGGGTGGTCCAAGCTCAACCCCAGCTCCATGCTGCAGATGGCATTCCCAAACTGCTACTACTCCCAGCAAGAATTCAGCGGTTGAGGGGGCAGACTCCAGCAACGAGCCCAACTTTGGAGACCTAGCTGTCTGGCACTCAACATCATGCTTCTCAGATGTCCCCCTGGTCCAGGGCTCAGGCAGGTTAACAGCCCAGAAAGACAACCCTTGCTCTGGTAAAGCCACTTCCTCACAGCAACCCAGAGGCTGCCAACTTCCTGAGAGGACTGCTGAAACTTTCCAGTGACAAACTTCTGTTATGACTCAGGGAAGGTTTGCCCAAGAGAAAGTGAGTGGGAAGAGATCTGGTTCTATAGAACGACAGAGGAGCAGAGGTGGCAGAGATAGATAGGGACATGAGGCTGGCTGGACCTGCCAAAGGTTCCTCCACGCTGCTGCCTGGGGGACCTGGCTGAACACCCAGGTGTTTGGCTCTAACAAGCCAAAGTGAGGGGTAGAATAGCGTGGTGGTGGTGATGGAAGGGTATGGAAAACTGAGGAGTCTGTTAAGATACTTTATTTTATAATCAAAATACGCAATACAAACAAATGGACATAACAAAGATTCATATAAATAACTGGTTATAAACTTTATGAGGAAAAATACCCGTCAGCATGGTGGCTGGGCTCCCAATGCACAGGGTGGAGACCAACCAGGCGGCTCTGCCTTTAAGCAGCAGGAGCCCAGAGGCTGAAGGGCTGGCTGGGTGGGGCTGCTCTGAATGGAAGGGATAAGTCACTCCATAAATAAAACACAAACTTGTAAAAACACTTAAGAAAGAGCCTCATTCAGGCCCAGGCATGAGGTCCAAGATGCTGCCAACAGCCCAAAGCTTAGCAAAAATCTTGTAGTGGCTGACTGGCCCACACGTGGCCCCTGCCTGGCCTGGCTCCAGATCTAGAGGAGGCACGGCTGGCCCAACAACCAGATACTAACAAGTGTGAGATGCTCCCTAAACCAGGAGGCAAGAAAAACCAGAGGGCAAAGGTCCCTCACTAAAGCCCCAGAGAAACAACCCAGGAAACACTAAAAGCTGTACTTTAAAGCTGACTTGTACTGGGTACTCTGAACTTTCAAGGAGGCCAGAGCAGGAAAGGGAAAGGAATAACCCCCACCACCCCCAACACAAGAGAGGCACAAATTAGAGGGCTGGGCACAGGCTGTAGCCCTGGGTGAGGGGGTAAGCAGCTTGACAGTTGCTCTGTGGTCTCTGGGATATAATTCTGCCCAAGGCTAGAACCACAGAGAAGAGTTTGCACTCTTAAGTCCAGGAAGGGGACTACCTGGAAGGCCTGAGAACAAAGGAGAAAGTTTAGCACACTAAACACATGGCCAGGACCCTAGGGACACAAGGCAGCTGGAGAGTGGGATCTCTTGTTAAATGGCATGGTAGGCAGATTAGAGTCCTGGCTATAATCCCTAGGGCCCCAATCCTAGTAGTTACGTGCTAACCAACACATTACCCTGAGGCTTCTGGGAGAACAAGAGCCCTGAGGAAGAAGCAGTAAGACCAGGCATGAGAAAACCCAGAAAGCCAGCTCAGTTCCCAAGAAGGCTGGCACATGGGGCCTGAGAATTCTTAAATGGCCATTGTCACTGGTACTTGCTCAGCCTTTCCAGGCCCCTCTGATGAGCTCTCTAATCAGCAGGACCAAGGTGTGAAGTGGGAATGAACATGGATCCATCCCATTGGATGGAGAAGAAAGGTGGACAGCCTGTTCGTCTCTCATGTCAGCCTAGGGCTGGGAACAGTTTGTGAGGACTTATCTGTTGTACCTGCCAAAAGTTAATTAGTAACTCACCGTCTAGAGTGAATTAACAGGACAAACGTAATCCAACATGCCAGTGTGGGTAGGACACAGTTCCCTAATCAGCCCTTGGCCCCCAGATGCAGGCTCTCCCCTCCCCTCTGAGACCTCTCTGGGAATAGCAGACAAGAGAATGTCAGGGCAGAAACCTGCTGGACTAGGCTCTCAGCAGCCCAGCTCCTCCCTGGGGGAATCCCCCAGAATTCCTCACTGTGTGACACAGTTTTCTCCCATGTCCTGGGCATATCTGTCTGACATGGTGGTCCTTAAGTCCTCAATGTCACGACGCAGCTGTTGAACCTCTTCTAGTTTCCTCTTGATCACATCTGGCTTCTGCAAATCTAGCTGAGTCTCTGGGTGCTGTGCTGCTGGGGAGAAGAGCATTTCAAGAGAATGTTAGTTATGAGACATTTTCATGTGGAGGGTGCAGTATGGATAGGCAGTATCTTGAACCCACAGTCTTGGGACATGCACTTTAAAAAAAGCATCTGGGGACAGTGGGTTAATTTGCTGCTGAAGGTCCACTTTTAGTTTGTCCTGCATGCAAGTACCCCATAGCTTGTTTCCAAAAACAGATTTGTGAACACCTACTTTGTGAAACAAATAAATGTCCAGAGGGCAGTGGCCAGGACTATGTACTCTGTCTACATATTACCACAAGAATATGGGAAAGCAGGATGGGGGAGAGAAGAGAAAGAAGGACCCTCCTTCCTGGGCCCCAGACTGGTCTGAGGACTCACAGTGAATGCCCAGGAGCAGGGAGAGATTGGGGTCATGGCCCTGGGCCCTCTGGGTCACAATGCTACAGACAGCCTGCAGATCTTGAAGGCAACTGGCCAACTCCTGGTGCAGCTCAAGTGCCAGCTGGGCCGTGTCTGGTGAAGGTGGAGACCCTGGTTGGGCCTGGCGCAGGTGTTCCTGGAGTGTCAGATTCTTCTCAATCAAGTCCTGGTTTTGCACTGAAAGCTGAGCAGACAGATGGGTAAGCACATTAACTCAGGCCCAGGGAGAGGAAGAGTATCTGTGCATGAGTGTGTGGGTGTGGAAGGGATGGGTGAGTCATAGGCAGTGTCCCTCCTTCCCCAACCCTACCCCTGCCAACAGGCTTTTAGCACTTCTCCCACTATCAGTATCAGGCCTGGTTCTTCCTGTGGGTAGGTTGGGCCCACAGGGCTCTAGCACTGGAGAGGAAGCCAACCCTCAACTGGTTCTGAATCATCAGCATCCAAGTTTCTGTTCAAGAACCAGAGAAGATGCTCCCGCCCCTAGGAACTCTATCTCAAGCCAGTCCCTCAGCCAACTCTGTTAGCCAGGCTATTAGAGAAGGCTTAATGTGAACCGTGAAATCTGAGGAGACACTGGTTTCAATCTCTCCCTGCCACCCTGACAAAAGTGGCCACCAGCCAGCCTGATCACAGTGTGTCAGAGGAATAAAGAGAGTAAGAAAGACAATATGACAGCTAGTAGCCACTAGGTGGGGGGCTGGAGAAGCTGGAACCTGGAGGATCCAGCCCTGGAACAAGTCCTGCCTTTTCAAACTCTCACCTCAGTGGAGTCAGACTTTATTACAAAAACCATCTATTCATGTATGTCTGTCTGTTTCCCTCTCTTCCTGACAGCTTAATCCACTTTCCTTCCCTTCCTACCTTGATTGTATTTTTATAGAGTCTGAATAGAGTCCGTCCTTCAGTCCCAGGCCCTCCACCCACACTGGGCCATGTGACAATCCTAACTCAAGGAGGTTCCTTCCTAGGCACTAGGCCAGTCAGTGAACTTGGTTGCCCCCTGCTGACAGCTCTGTTTAGTGCATGAAGGCCACCAAATCCTCAGTCTTCTTGAACTCTCCACTCCCCAACCCCAGAAACCTGTGGCTTCAAGACAAAGGAAGAGAGAATGACTTTCCCCATCAAAAAGCATTCCTGGGCCCAGCGCAGTGGCTCACGACTGTAATCCCAGCACTTTGGGAGGCCAAAGTGGGCGGATCACAAGGTCAGGAGATGAAGACCATTCTGGCCAACATGGTGAAACCCCACCTCAACTAAAATACAAAAAATTAGCCGGGCGTGGTGGCGCGTGCCTGTAGTCCCAGCTACACAGGAGGCTGAGGCAGGGGAATCGCTTGAACCTGGGAGGCGGAGGTTGCAGTGAGCCGAGATTGCGCCACTGCACTCTAGCCTGGCGACAGAGCAAGACTCTGTCTTAAAAAAAAAAAAAAAACCTTCCTAGGTAATAATTATGGACATGCTAAAACAGGCTTAGGGTCTGTAATATAAAGAATGATGCAATGCACCTTTCCTCTGCCCCCAGAGCTCAGTAGGGACCTTTCCCTTTCAAACACTGGGGCTCTTATTGGGGTAGAGATGGGGAGGGCAAACAAAGAAATCGGGTTTGTGGAGGCAAAACCAAGAGGTCTGACTAATGTTGCTCACCTCCTTCACGGCTGTGCGCAGCTGCTGCAGGGCTGAATCCCTTCGCTGGGCCTCCTCTCTCAGGGCCTGGCTTGTTCCTTCTTCTTGAGCCACTTCCTGCTCTAGGCTCTGAATCACACAGCAAGATGTTGAGGGAACACAGTAGGGGTAACAAGTCTGGTTCAGACAATATCACCGCTGGCTTGGACTATATAGTGACGACTCACCCTACCTACACCCTCATAAGAAATCATTTTAGAACAGTCCTGATTTGTGACCTCCCATTTAAACCCTCCTATAGCCCTTGACCACATACCAAATAGAGGTCAGCTTCTTAGCAGGGCATTCAAGGCCACTGTAGCTCCTACCTACTTTTCTAGTCATATCTCTTTCCACCCTCCACATGGCCAGCCTCTACACCGTCACGATGAATGACTGGCCCTCATCCCTGAAGGCTGCAGTGTCAATGCTTCTGCTCACTTCTCTTTTCCTTTCTTCAAGCTGCTCTTCTGCTGTTACCTCCAGGAAACCTCCAAGGCACACCTGAGCTGTCTTCAATCTGCAAATCAGATCTAATTAATCCTAATCCTACCTTGCTATCATATCCATCATGGCTTACGAGTACATCTGCTTAATATTCTAGTTGGCTATGCACATGATCCTTCGCTCCACTCAAACATAACTTTCTTGAGGGCAGGGAATGTGCTATTCAGCTGAGTTCACTATTTACCGAGCACTTACTGTGACCAGCATTGAGAAGAACACCAAACAGTTCCTGTCTTTTAGGAGTTAACAGTCAAGTGCTCTTGACAATACTGTCTACTAAATGCTGTTCAGAGACATGGAAAGGGGTAGAAGAGCATACTCACAGGTACCTAATCTAGTGAGTTGTGTGTAAGTGTGTCTGTGTTTGTGTGTGTAGGAGCGGTCAGGGGAAGGGAGATATTTAAGCTTTTAAACTTCTGCCTCTCATTCTCTTCATTCAATTTTTCCTCAAATTTTGAAACTGATTTGAATGAAGTGTGAAAATTTTTTTATATTTCTCATTTGGTATTAATAAAAAAAAAAACTGCTAAGGAAAACACCTCATGATCATGAAATAGCCAAAGTGACTATGATGAATCCATCTAATTCCAACAAATTCACATATATATATATATTTTATTTATTTATTTATTTATTTATTTATTTTGAGATGGGGTTTCACTCTGTCGCCCAGACTGGCTGGAGTGCAGTGGCGTGATCTCGGCTCACTGCAACCTCCACCTCCCAGGTTCAAACAATTCTCCTGCCTCAGCCTCCCAAGTAGCTGGGACTACAGGTGCATGACACCACGCCCAGCTAATCTTTTTGTATTCTTAGTAGAGACAGGGTTTCACCTTGTTAGCCAGGATGGTCTCAATCTCCTGACCTTGTGATCTGCCCACCTCGGCCTCCCAAAGTGCTGGGATTACAGGCGTGAGCCACCGTGTCCGGCCTCACCTGATATTTTAATTTGCCTAAGTAGTCTTATCATAGGTAAATGTGCCATTTAAAATGTCAGGCTTTTCCAAACTTTGCAGAACCCCAAGGGTTCTAGGAAACCTATTTTGAGATCCATTAAAAACTCTACTAAAAACCTGGGATTTTAAATGGGTATGTATTAAAATGCTTGCCAGGCTTGACTACCTCCTTACAGGACTTGAAAGAGGTGAACCAGATAGACGTAGCCCAATCCACATAATGGCAAAGGCAAGACTGCAGCCTCCACTTATTCCCTCAAAACGAGTGCATTTCGGGTGTTTTGGTGTGAAAACTTTTAGAGTCCAAAGAGACGCTGAGTGAACCTGCTTTACCCAGAATTTCTTGGAGAACCCAGTTAAAGACACTCCCACTCTGGCCCAAAATAGAAACCTGGAGTCATATTTGATTCTTCCCTATTCTTCAACCCCTACATCTTGTCAGTCACTGATTCCGCTTGATGTTACCTCCTAAAGTCACTTAAATCTGTCCCCTCACATCTCCTCGCTGCTATGCTGCCTTATGCCAGGTTCCCTCATCACCTCTCACGAGAATTTCTCCAACAGTCCCCCTGGACCTTTCTTCTCTCCAGGATGCCAATCTTCCACACTTGAGCCTGAGTTGCAAACCTGACCACATCACATCCCAATTACATGCTGTAATAGGCTGGGCATGATGGCTCACGCCTGTAATCCCAGCACTTTGGGAGGCCGAGGCGGGCAGATCACCTGAGGTCAGGAGTTCGAGACCAGTCTGGCCAACGTGGTGAAACCCCGTCTCTACAAAAAATACAAAAATTAGCCGGGCGTGATGGTGGGCACCCGTAATACCAGCTACTCGGGAGGCTGAGGCAGGAGAATTGCTTGAACCTGGGAGGCAGAGGTTACAGTGAGCCGAGATTGCGCCATTGCACTCCAGCCTGGGCGACAAGAGCGAGACTCTGTCTCCAAAAAAAAAAAAAAAAAAAAAAAAAAATGCTGTAATAGATGCCCACCACCTACATAAAGAATAAAAGCTAACTTAGTTGATAGATAAGGCCCTTCCATAGCCTGGAATGCCCAGGTCTCCATTTACCATCTTAAAGTGGATACGTCAGCAGTATCAAACTGCTTGCAGCACCACATTCAAACTATGCTGTTTCATGTCTCCATGTTCCCACTCATGCTGTTCCTCCTATCTGGAATCCAACACATCCTATCCAGCTCCTCTTGTTTGCCTGGCTAACTCCTCATCCTTGTAGGTTCAGGATCTCCAGAAACCTCTCTTTTACCTCCCTTCCTCCCACTGACTCTCCTGCACTCCCCCAGGATACTGTGGGGACTGCTCTCACAGTACTGTGCTGAAACTCCCTACTATATTTGTGTCCTCTCAGCAAGGCTCAAAAGCACTGACTGGGTCTCATTCTTTTTGTATCCCTAACACTGAGCAACCTGCATGGCAGAGAACAAAATAAATATTGGCTAAATTCTAGAGATTCCATCATTAAGTTCTGCCCACCATGTCCCAAGGATTCCTGCTCACCTGTACTTGTGAGCGCAACTGATCCATCTTCTGCTGCTGCTTCTCCACAATCTGAAAGGCAAAGTTATCAAGGAAGGCTGCGAGCACAAGGCTGACGGTGAGGACAGAGGGCAAGGGGGCTGCACTAGGACATGTGGTCTGGCTATTAGACCATTAAGAGTAAGACCAGGATAAAGATTAGTGAACTCTACCTATAGGAATATAAACCAGACTCCTAATCCTGGCTAACTAGCTTCACAGTTGTGCTCCAATCACAAAGGTTTATACAGGAATGTAGTGTGAACACATAACCACTACTGGGGGAAAGGGAACTCTCACCCTAATAACTGCAGGCCAGTGGAATCAATTTTATAAACAGCCAGTGCAAACTCTTGTTCTTTGGTACAAGGACATGGCTAAAAATTCAGTCTAATGAAGCTTGCCATTTCTAGCACTATGATGGTTGTTGTTATTTACAGCTCTGGTCGTACTGATTATCCAAGAAGGGACCCTAAATAGGCCTGGTTTCTTTGAATCATTTATGGGTCTTCTTTTTTTTTTACTAACCTGCAGTCAGTTTCACCAGCCGGCCCCTGGCTCTCTCGTCTTTGCTGAATTAAGAAACCAGGGCACCTCACTGGTTAGAACTCTGTTCAATTCAAGGGTTTCTGTATGGGCCTGAGCCATGAATAAAGTGCACCAAACTTTACTGCACCATTTTGGGTCATCTAATCTAGATATTCAGAGGCATATCACCCCTCCTCTTACTTTTGCCTATATTCTAAATGAGTGAAGTTTGCCTGTTACAAGGATGACTATCTAAATACAAATTACTATGCAGGGTGACTTCTCCGAAAAGAAAGAAAAGCTCTTGGTAACAAATCCTAGATAGCCCAAAGCCAAGAATTCACGTATCCCTCCTAATACACAATCTTCTCTTTCCTCCCAGCCTACCCTCCGTTACAGCCTGGACACCCTCAGTCACCTTTTGGAGCGAATCGTATCGCTTCTGCCAGGACTCCATTTCCACTTCTGGACCTTCTCCACTGGTCTCCTCCACAGACTGTTTATCTTGCAGGCTGAAAGACAGTGGCCTCTTCAAGAACTCTGAAGTTAGACACAAGTGGCTTTGATTCTTGGTTCTGCTACTTATTGCACATTTTGAGGCAAGACACTTAGTCCAAGCAGTAGCTGGGGATAATACTTGGGTCTGCTGTAATATATGGGGTGCCACACAAAAGCTGCTCAGTGTATGTTAATTCTCTTCCCTAAGGGCCAGAATCTATACAATGTGACACCAATTCTCTACCTGCCCAAGGCTCTTGTGTATTTTGTTTTGATATTTAAAAAATACATATTTATCACATGTATTTAGATTGTAAGTCATACATGTACATTGTAGAAAGTTTGGAAAATACAAAAGCTGTTTTCTTGGCACACACAGTCTGGGGCAAAGCCAACTTTGTCCTCTAACCCCACTTCTGACTCTAACCAATGGTTTCCTCCAGTGGGTCCCTACAATTACTTATAGCAAAGCCCATCTGCTGAGATAAACAACAGGGACACTGTGGTTAAATATGGGATGAGAAATCCAATCTATCCCATTAGAAACTGGATTTGGTCCAAGAGGCTGTTGAAACACACCATTATTTTCAGAAACTGCTATTAATATGGAGAAGGCTCCCAAGACATCCTGAGAGTACATTATGGCATCTTGTTTTGTTCTCAGAACCTGTCATGGCAATGGAGAACAATCCCTAGGGCTGAGGAGAAAGGCTCCTGGTAGCCTTTAGCCTACACAGCTCGAACTGTGGATAACTCTCAGTTCTTATCACCAGTACCCACTTTTGAAAGTATACAGACACCTCATTTCCCAGTTTACAAAGTGCTTTCATTTATTCAACACATACATACTAAGAATTATGTGCCAGGCACTGGGTTAGATCCTTACAAAGGCTATGAAGATAAGCCCCCACTGCATCCATACTCCATGCCAAAGATATAAAAGCCGCTTCCTGGCCGGGCGCGGTGGCTCACACCTGTAATCCCAGCACTTTGGGAGGCCAAGGAGGGTGGATCACGAGGTCAGGAGATCGAGACCACGGTGAAACCCCGTCTCTACTAAAAATACAAAAAAGATTAGCCAGGCGCAGTGGCGGGCGCCTGTAGTCCCAGCTACTCAGGAGGCTGAGGCAGGAGAATGGTGTGAACCTGGGAGGCGGAGCTTGCAGTGAGCCAAGATTGCACCACTGCACTCCAGCCTGGGCGACAGAGCAAGACTCCGTCTCAAAAAAAAAAAAAAAAAAAAAAGCCGCTTCCCATAAGCAGCTTTCCTATTATTCACAGTCCAAAGAAAACAAAGCTCAGATAAGTAAAATGATTTTCCCAAATCACCCAAAGTCACACAGGTAAGTGAGCAGGATGGCTATGACAAAAAACTTAACTCTCCACTCCTCTCAGTCCCACAGGGTTATTTACCTATGTCCAGCGGAGGAGAATTCTGCTTCTCTCTGCCTCAGGCTTTCCAGTTGAATCTCCTTCTCTCTGCAGATTGCCTGGGTCTCCTCCAGCAAACTCTCCAGCTCAGTCACTTTCTCCTGCAGCTCTGTGCTCTTCAACTCAGAATCCTTAAGCTGAGAGACAGGATCCCATGTTTAGGTCAAATAAGCCAAGTGTTATAAATGCAAAATGCTTGTTCCTCGGTGTCACAAAGAAATAGCACTCAAACCTATATTTAATTTCCTCAGCAAGGCAATTTTTACTTTCTGCAGAAAGGGTGCTCCTCGCAGATGGAACAATGGTGAGAACACAACTGGACAGGGGAGGGGAAGGAGTTCTTATTTCTGACGCAGGTAGTCCCTACTGCTATGTCGTTCCCCTATTGGCTAGGGTTGAACCACACAGTCTAAGCTAATTCTGATTGGCTATTTTAAAGGGAACAGGTTTATGAGCCAGAGTGGTGGGGTGAGTAGTTTGGTGGGAAGGACAGTTAGGAACAGGTAATTAAAGGTGACTTAGGTCAGAGCAGGTGACCAGGGTGACTCAGGTCAAAGCAGGTGACCGGGATGAGTCAGGACGGAGTAGGTGACCGGGGGAACAGATGTGAACTACTGATTAAAACTGGTGGAAAAGGTTGTTTACTGAAACTAGAAGCAAGAGGGCGAAGAGAACCAGGAAGTTAAACTTTAAAATAGTGAATCAAAGAGTAAGAGACCTGAACTTACTGATTCTTTGAAGAGAAACTTGGGGTTCACTTTAACATAAGGAAGACTCTGTCTGGGTACCTCAAAAAATTTGCAGTCTGGTTACAAATCTGACAATTATGAATCTGGACATGACTGCTTTGGGATTCTCCTTTCAGCAAGTCACAGGATAACTGCATACAGCAGATGATGAAAAAGTTCCCCTGCCTGGCCACTCCCTGATCACCCCAGGCATGCCAAGACATTGCTGCTACCTGCTGGCTCTGCTTCTGATGGTCTTCCAGTGTGGGCAGGTCAGCCAGGTAGCGCTCCAAGGTCTCAATACGCTGCTGCTTCTCCCGGTTCTGCTCTGATTCCTTCTGGCATTTCTTTTTCAAATTATTGATATGTTTATCACGACCTTTGACCTAGGAAAATAAATGTCAAGTCTGTCTCCACCATTCACTCCACTATGACCCTGCTGGAGTGCAGTGCTGTGATCTCAGCTGACTGCAGCCTCCACCTCCCAGGCTCAAGTGATCCTCCTACCTCAGCCCCTGGAGTAGCTGGGACTGCAGGCACACACTACCACGGCAGGCTAATTTTTCTATGTTTTGTAGAGACAGAGTTTCGCCATGTTTTTCAGGCTGGTCTCCAATTCCTGGCCTCAAGCCATCCGCCCACCTTGGCCTCCCAAACTGCTGGGATTACAGGCATGGGCCACCACACCCAGCCACATCAACTTTTTTTGAAGCAACCCTTGAGGCTGTGAATGTTGTTCTACTGCAATGAAGGTAGGAAGCTAAACAAATTTTGCCATTTAGGATTTGAGTATAAAACTAAAGAATTAATGAACTTTCAAATCAAGGACGGAGAAAGTCTTCTAGGGCAGTTTTTAAAAACTGGCAGCATTTCTGTTGTAAAATACAGAATTTGTCTGGTCTCTGTACCTGGTTCCTGGGAGGCCTGTAACCTCTAAGCCCTTGGAATTTCCTGAATTGGACAGGAGTGGGCCAGATCCCATCATGAGTAAATTTATGCCAATACTATGACTCAGAATGGATGCAGATCACCAGAAAAATCAACTGCTTTAAGCCTAATCTACTATGGGGAAGGCAGAGGGACGGGTGATTGAGTTCAATCATGCCTACATAGATAAAACTCCAACTAAAAACTCTGGACACAGCAGCTCACTGGAGCTTCCTGGTAGGTAAACACATAAATGTGCTGTGTTTACATGCTCTTATTCCACAAGGAGAGGGCATGGAAGCTCTGCTCTCAGGATGCTCCTGGACCTCACCCTATGTCATTTGGCTGGTCCTGAATTGTATCCCACCCCCCTTTTTTTGAGACAGTTTCGCTCTTGTTGCCCAGGCTGGAATGCAATGGTGCAATCTTGGCTCACTGCGACCTTCGCCTCCTGGGTTCAAGAGAGTCTCCTGCCTCAGTTTCCCGAGTAGCTGGGATTACAGGCACCCGCCACCATGCCCAGCTAATTTTTCTATTTTTAGTACAGATGGGATTTCACCATGTTGGCCAGGCTGGTCTCGAACCCCTGACTTCAGGTGATCCACCTGCCTCGGCCTCCCAAAGTGCTGGGATTACAGGCATGAGCCACTGCACCCAGCCCTGAATTGTATCCCTTATAATAAAACTGTAATAATAAGTATAGCACTTTCCTAAGTTCTGTGAGTAATTCTGGGAATTATTAAACCTGAAGGGGTCATAGAAGCCTACAGATCTGCAGCCAGTTGGTCAGAAATACGGGTGGCCTGAAGACCCCAAAATTTGCTGTTGGCATCTGAAGTAAACACAGTTTTGCTGAGAACTGTGCCCTTAAACCTGTGGAGTCTGACACTAACTCCAGATGGTGTGCATCTGAATTGGACTGCAGAAGTATACATAACTTTCTGATAAGACATATAACCAGTTTGGTCAGAAAGGTAATATATTCTTCCCTAAATACCACACATGATATAAAGCCATGCAATCAACTGGAAAGGCTAATGAGACTTGAGAGAAAGAGCTATGTCTGTTTGCTAATAATCATATACTAAACACACGGCAGAAGGCCTGGCACAGAGCAGGTATTCAATAAAGATTTGAACAGAGGCTTTTTCTTCACCATTATGGTGCTTTGTTTTATTTTGTTTGCTTATGAACAAGGAAGGTGAGGAAAGCAAGAGAAAACAGAAAAAGTGATGCAGATCTACTAAATGTCAAAGAGGCGGCAAAGGCCTAATTTAATCCAAAGATATAACAGTACAAAGAAAGATCCCTGAAAATCAGCCAAAAGCTTATCCTAGGTCCAATCTGTACTCTTAAATTTCTGAACCAGTGATTTTCACATTTCAGTATGTATCAGAATCACCTGGGAAGCTTACTGAAAATGGTAAACTGACCATAAATGTTTATCTCTTCTCCCTTCCAAAAACATCTTTAAAATGACAGAAAAGAAATAAAGTATTAACTGAGAAACAACAGGGGAGGAAACAAAAGTCTAGGAAAGATTTATTATTTTTTTGAGACAGGGTCTTGCTCTGTCACCCATGCTGAAGTGCAGTGACACGGACACAGCCCACTGCAGCCTTGACCTCCTGGGCTCAAGTGATGCTCCCACCTCAGCCTCTCAGTAGCTTAGACTACAAGCGTGTACCACCATGCCCAGCTAATATTTAAAGAAAAAACAATTTTTTTTTTTTAGATGGAGTTTCATTCTTGTTGCCCAGGCTGGAGTGCAGTGGTGTGATCTCAGCTCACTGGAACCTCCACCTCCCGGGTTCAAGCGATTCTCCTGCCTCAGCCTCCCGAGGAGCTGGGGTTACAGGTGTCCACCACCACGCCCAGCTAATTTTTTGTATTATTGGTAGAGACAGTGTTTCACCATGTTGGCCACGCTGATCTTGAACTCCTGACCTTAGGTGATCCACCCACCTCGGCCTCCCAAAGTGCTGGGATTACAGGCGTGAGCCACCGAGCCTGGCTTAAAATTTTTTATAGAGATGGAGTCTCGTCATGTTGCCCAGGCTGTTCTTGAACTGGGCTCAAGCAATTCTCCTGCCTTGGCCTCCCAAAGTACCAGGATTAAGAGGAGTGAGCCACCATGCCCAGCCTATGAAAGATTTTAATGTTTTTAAAAGATGAAAGTGAACAGGGGAGATAAATGACTTGGGGCAGAAAAGTTATAATCTGCAGTGGGAGTTACAGACAACAGGGAAGAAAATCTGCTCCTCCCAATTCTCAAGAGCCTCTGAACTGAAGTATCAGCTCACTATGGAGGCAAGTATCAACCACAGAGCTGAAAAATAGGGGAATTCCCTAGAAATCTATATACAAATTAGCTAGATATCAGCCTCACCCTGGGCTTCCCCATCAGGAGACTATTCTCTGGAGAAATCAATCAGAGAGATTCCCAACTCAAGAATACCCAGTCACAGCAGAGAGGGTGAAGTATTGGGTTGAAAACAAGTATAAGTAAAAATCTATGTATATGGCCGGGTGTGGTGGCTCACACCTGTAATCCCAGTACTTTGGGAGGCTGAGGTGGGCAGATTAATTGAGGCCAGGAGTTCAAGACCAGCCTGACCAAAATGGTAAAACTCTATCTCTATAAAAAATACAAAAATTAGGCCAGTGCAGTGGCTCAAGCCTGTAATCCTAGCACTTTGGGAAGTCGAGGCGGGCAGATCACATGAGGTCAGGAGTTTGAGACCCGCCTGGTCAACATGGCAAAATCCTGTCTCTACTAAAAATACAAAAATTAGCCGGGCATGGTGGTGGGTGCCTGTAATCCCAGCTACTCGGGAGGCTGAGGCAGGAGAATCGCTTGAACCCGGGAGATGGAGGCTGCAGTGGCCAAGATCACGCCACTGCACTCCAGCCCAGGCAACAAAGCGAGACTCTATCTAAAAAAAAAAAAAAAAAAAAAAAGCCGGGTGTGGTGGTACATGCCTGTAATCCCAGCTACTCAGGTAGCTGAGGCATGAGAGAGAATAGTTTGAATCTGGGAGGTGGAGGCTGCAGTGAGCCTAAATCGTGACACTGCACTCCAGCAACTCCAGAGTCTCCAGCGAGACTGTGTCTCAAAAACAAACAAAAAAAACTATGTATAGAACTGTGGGGACTCTAAGCCCAATCTCCTCAACATCAAGAATCCAAAGGCTAAAAAGCATTCCTGCCTCTAGCCTCTCCACCAGGCAGCAGGTTGAAGATTCTTCCCTAGAGAGAGTGAGAGAAGACATCCAGAGATTGACATTTGAGCATTCCCAAGTGAAAAGGGTAGTCTAAGTCTGATACTACAGTGAAGTCCAACAGGTAACCACCATGAATCCAGAGCTTTCATCCAGCTTTTAAATGCTTCCTTTTTATTTTATTTTTTTGAAGGAGTCTCACTCTCATTGCCAAGGCTGGAATGCAGTGGCGTGATCTCAGCTCACTGCAACCTCCACCTCCCAGGTTCAAGCGATTCTCCTGCCTCAGCCTCCCGAGTAGCTGGGATTACAGGCACCCACCACCATGCCCAGCTAATTTTTGTATTTTTAGTTGAGACAGGATTTCACCATGTTGGCCAGGCTGGTCTTGAACTCCCGACCTCAGGTGATCCACTTGCCTCAGCCTCCCAAAGTGCTGGGATCACAGGCGTGAGCCACCGCGCCCAGCCTGCTACCTTCTTAAATATGAATGCCCATCCATTCAATGATCACCAGGCCTCTAACATGAAAGACACCAAAAACAGAAAAAAAGGACCTTAAGAAAACAAGAAATACTATAAACAGATGTAAACACCCAAAACAATTACAATCAATACTGTCAGAGAGATACTGTACCCATGAAACAAAAACAGATGTATAAAATTCACTGAAGAAAAAAAGCGCAGGAAAAGCATACTATTCAGAAATACAGTCGTCCCTTGGTGTACACGGGGGACTGGTTCCAAGACCACCTTTGTATATCCAAATCTGCTCATACTCGAGTCCCACAGCTGGTCCTGAAGAAACCACATATATGTCGGCCCTCCATATACTCTGGTTTTGCATCTCTTGAATACATGATTTTTGATCTGTGTTTGGTTGAAAAAAATACACGTACAAGTGGAACTGTGCAGTTTAAATGTATTGTTCCAAGGTCAACTATATATATATATCAGGTGAAAGAGAAGAGCTCAAGATAGATACACAATTGTGGGGTTGTGCTGGGGCACAGAACTACTGATCTTTTTCCTTTTTTTTTTTGAGACAATGTCTTGCTGTCACCCAGACTGGAGTGTAACTGTGAGATCATGGCTTACTGCAGCCTTGACCTTTTGGGCTCCAGTGAGTGATTCTCCCACTTCAGCTTCCTGAGTAGCTGGGACTACAGGAGGGACCACCATGCCTGGCTAATTTTTAAAAATTTTTTGTAGCTTTTGCCATCCGGCAGCCATTCAGCCCAGCCACTTCCAGGTCCCTGCCATCCTGCTCCTTTGCTTCCCGGGAACCATCCCAGTTCTGAGCCGCCCACCAAGCCCTTGGGAATGCCTGGCTATAAGCTGGCTTTAATCTTGACAGCCATGCCGCAGCCAGAGACTACTGCTGCTTTGAAAAGTATGATACAAGCCCTGATGAACAGAGGAGCAATAGTGAGGGACTTGCAAAACCTGGGCAAATGAGCACTTCCTTATAAGATCTTCGTCAACAGCACAGCAGAGGTGGGTATTTCTTGGTGAATTTTTATGCACCAACCACAACTGTTGAAAGCATGATGGAGCACTTGTCTAGAGATGTAGATGTGATTGGACAGAGTACTGTAAAACATCCCAGGAACTAAAAGAATATGAAGAGATTGTCCTAGTCTCACTTGAAGAAAAACTGTATTCCACAAAGCAGCAGCAGTGAGGGCCAGGCGCAGTGGCTCATGTCTGTAATCCCAGCACTTTGGGAGGCCAAGGTGGGTGAATCACCTGAGGCCAGGAGTTTAAGACCAGCCTGGCCAACATGGTGAAACCCCATCTCTAATAAAAGTACAAAATTTAGCCCAGTGTGGTGGCATGTGCCTATCATCCCAGCTACTTGGGAGGCTAAGTCACAAGAATGACTTGAGCCAGAGAGGTGGAAATTGAAGTGAGAAGATTCACTAGATTTTAGCCTTATATAGAATTCCTTCACATTTGAGCAACATGGATGAGGAGGAATAGTTTGCAAGCTTGGCCTTTATTTAAGAGTGTGTTGCAGGTGCCGTTTGATTTTTCTAAAATATTTTTAGCCCATGCTCCCCTTTGCTGCAAGAAGTAGGGAACTGCTCACTGACAAGCTTCTCTATCATCTGTGGTACCAGTGGATCATTCTTGATTTTATTTTCATTAGTGTCATTTCTTTGTCAGCGAGGACTTTTCCCCTTCCAACAGTCACATCCCCCGCCCCCCGCCTTTTTTTGTTTTGTTTTGTTTTTTTTGAGACAGACTCTCACTCACTCTGTTGCCCAGATTAGAGAGCAGTGGTGCTATCTCGGCTCACTGCAACATCTACCTCCTGGGTTCAAGCAACTCTCTTGCCCCAGCCTCTTAAGTAGCTGAGGTTACAGGAGCCCACCACCATACCCCGCTAATTTTTGCATTTTGTTTTTTTTTGAGACAGAGTCTTGCTCTGTTGCCAGGCTGGAAGTGCAGTGGTGTGATCTTGGCTCACTGCAACCTCCGCCTCCTGTGTTCAAGTGATTCTCCTGCCTCAGCCTCCCAAGTAGCTGGGACTATAGGCGTGCGCCACCACCCCCAGCTAATTTTTTGTATTTTTAGTAGAGATGGGGTTTCACCATGTTGGCCAGGATGTTCTTGATCTCCTGACCTTGTGATCTGCCCTCCTCAGCCTCCCAAAGTGTTGGGATTACAGGTGTAAGCCATCGTGCCTGGCCATTTTTGTATTTTTTTTAGTACAGAGAGGGTTTCACCATGTTGGCCAGACTGGTCTCGAACTCCTGACCTCAAGTGATTCGCCTGCCTTGGCCTCCCCATATGCTGGGATTACAGGTGTGAGCCACCATGCCTGGCCAGTAAAAGCAAAACTTATAATACCACCTGGGATTGTAAACTAGTCATTCAGACTGTATAACCATGCAGAAATAAAAATTGAAGAGCAACGTATTATATGGGCAACTTTTGCTCTGAGTAATAAACTTGATTTTAGGGAAAAAAAAAATTTTTTTTTTTTTTTAAGAGAGTCTCACTATGTTGTTCAGGCTTGTCTTAAACTCCTGAGCTCAAGCAATTCTCTTGCCACAGTCTCCCAAAGTGCTGGAATTATAGGTATGAGCCACTGAGTCTGGCCAGAACTACTAAATTTTTTATTTTTTCATTTGTTTTTAGAACTACTAGTTTTATTATAAATCTATTGGTATTTAATTACCTAACAGATATATAAATTATTATTTTTTTAAACTCACTAACCCAACTTTCTTTTATTTTTTTGAGATGGAGTTTCGCTCTTGTTGCCTAGGCTGGGGTGCAATGGAGCGATCTTGCCTCATTGCAACTTCCGCCTCCTGGGTTAAAGTGATTCTCCTGCTTCAGCCTCCTGAGTAGCTGGGATTATAGGCATGTGCCACCACGCCCAGCTAATTTTGTATTTTTAGTAGAGACAGGGTTTCTCCATGTTGGTCAGGCTGGTCTCGAACCCCTGACCTCAGGTGATCTGCCCACCTCAGCCTCCCAAAGTGCAGGGATTACAAGCATGAGCCACGGCGCCCAGCCTAACTCAACTTTAAATTTTCTTTTTTAACAAACCCTCTTAAGTCCTTCCAGTACCAACAACATCAGCATCACCTGGGAGCTTGTCAGAAATGCAGAATCCAGCTGGGTGCAGTGGGTCACATCTGTAATCCCAGCACTTTGGGAGGCTGAGGTGGGTGGATCACCTGAGGTCAGGAGTTCGAGACCAGCCTGGCCAACATGGTGAAACCCCATCTCCACTAAAATTACAAAAATTAGCTGGGTGTGGTAGCAGGCGCCTGTAATCCCAACTACTTGGGAGGCTGAAGCAGGAGAATCGCTTGAACCCAGGAGGCTGAGGTTGCAGTGAGCTGAGATTGCACCACTGCACTCCAGCCCAGATGCCAGAGCGAAATTCCATCTCAAAAAAAAAAAAAAGAAAGGCAGGATCTCAGGCTTCCTCCTAGAACTATGAATCTGATGTACATTTTTAACAAGATCCCCAAGTGATTCTGAAACAATGAAGTTTGAGAAGTATTGCTCTAGTTGTTTTAAGTGGTCTAGAACTTTAACATTACTAAACTGGTTCCCCAAAAACACATGCTTTAGAGCAAGCCGTGAATTGGGAGATACCAACAAAACCAAATAACTTTAAACCTAAGGCAATTCTAAGAGTACTGGCAAATATACACACCCAAACTAGCTGTGCACATGGAATTTTTTTTTTTTTTCCTGAGACGGAGTCTTGCTCTATCACCTAGGCTGGAGTGCAATGGCATGATGGCGTGATCCTGGTTCACTGCAACCTCTGTCTCCCGGGTTCAAGCTATTCTCCTGCTTCAGCCTCCCAAGTAGCTGAGATTACAGGCGCCAGCCACCACACCCAGCTAATTTTTGCATTTTTAGTAGAGACGGGGTTTCACCATGTTGGCCAGGCTGGTCTCGAACTCTGGACCTCAGGTGATCCACCCGTTTCAGCCTCCCAAAGTGCTGGGATTACAGGCGTGAGCCACCATGCCTGATGCACATGGAATTTTTCTCTACTTTTTAGGAAGGGTGAGAAACCAGACTGAATGATACAAATATACCACAGGTGTATTTTGCAACAGTGCCACCTGGTATGAGTACTCAGGTTGGTTTTCTACCCAGACCAGCTGGTGGTACATTGCACAGCACAACCTGGGACAGTGAGGGATCATACAACTTTCTCTGACTGTTGTGGTTTTGTGGAGATGAAGCAAAAATGAGGGAGGGAGGAGAGTTCCATTTCTAGCAAAAAGGAGATCTGTGACGATTCTGTGTGAGAAGCCAGTGGAGGATCTCACCCAATTGTCTCCTCTTAGTTCCAGGCCAGAAACAGCTTAGGCTTTAGAGTAGACAGCTGACTGCCAACTCCTTTGTGAACTAGGGCTATCAGCTACTCAGCTCACCCTTTCTTCCTGTTTCTTCACTTCCTCAGAATGCTTCTGCAACGCCACTTTGAGCGACTCTCTGATGAGCTGGACTTCAACTTCAGAAGCAGAGAGTTTCTTTTCAAGGTCAATCTTTTCTCTGCTCAAGGCTTCTGTCTTCTGTGCAAACTGTGCACGTAAGAAAGTGTTTTCTCGCTGCAATTCCTGCCAGAAAGATTCTCAATATGTAACTGTTCTCTACCCTTATAGTCTCATGTACTTTACTTATTCCCAGCATACTTCACGGTCAAATATCATTTTTCTCCAAGAATCTCTTTAAGAAGTGGTTCTCAACTAGGTCTTAGGGTTAACAGCATCAGCATTACCTGATGATGTAATTTGTTAGCAATGCAATGTCTTAAGCCTAACTCCTAGGCCCACCAAACCAGAAACTGTAGGGATGGGTCCCAATAATCTGTATTTTAACAAGCGCTCCAGGGATTCTGATGCACACTCACATTTGAGAACCACTGCCTTAAAGCAATACCTAAGCCATTGTATACTGGAAGGAACCTAGGACAAGACATCAGAAGACCTGGGCTCAAAGCCTGGCTTCCCTCCACTCATTCTCTATATGATCTCAGGCAAGGTCTTCCTCTTTCTCAGGTTTCAATTCTTTAATCAGTAAATTCGAAGAATTAACTAGTTTTATTTAAGGCACTTCCCACTCTTAACATTCTGATTCTATGAGACAGGATACTGCCTTAATTAGGTAGCAAAGCCAGTGCTATAACCTGTCAAATATCCAACATTCAAATGCCCAAATTGCAGAAGCTTGGTCAACAAAGCAGGCTTCTTTTCAAACTCTAAAGCCCCACAACCATTGATCTCAGTGAGAATATTATCTTCTTCAGCTGCTCCTAGATATGGAGGATAAAAATGAGAATGCCCGGGTGCAGTGACTCCCGCCTGTAATCCCAGCACTTTGGGAAGCCGAGGTAGGCGGATCACGAGGTCAGGAGTTCGAGACCAGCCTGGCCAACATGATGAAACCCCGTCTCTACTAAAAATATAAAAATTAGCCAGGCATGGTGGCAGGCACCTGTAATCCTAGCTACTTGGGAGGCTGAGGCAGGAGAATTGCTTGAACCCGGGAGGCGGAGGTTGCAGTGAGCCGAGATTGTGCCACTGCACTCCAGCCTGGGTGACAGAGCAGGGGAAAAAAAAAAAAAGAGAGAGAATAGCTCTAAATCCTGCATTACCTTTGCCTCTCTCTCCTTTGGCTAGGGCTAGAAAATTAAGACTTCTCATAACATCACCCAACTCTAGGACCTTACTATCTACCTTTCTTCCAAGTATGTCTTCACACCCAGGCATCTGGACTTTCACCTGGTTCTTAGCCTTTTCTGCTCCCACAAGGGCATGATAAAGGGTGCTTTATAATTAGTATGCCCTCTTTGAGGGCAGGGACACTTACATCACTTGAGCTCTTTTCTATCTCCTGGATACCTAATGGTGTCAAGCATAGGGAAGACACCGAGTTATGACAAACAGAATGCCATCCTGATGGCCAATACTTACCTGTAGCCTCAGCAAGCAGACATCACCAAAGGGGGCAGGGCGGCCCAAGAGGGCACTGTGGACTTGCAGTTCGCTCTCTCGCACTTTCTGCTCCAGCTGAGAGATGTGTTTCCTCTGCCTGCACAAGCCGGTAGAATCAGGTCAGGGTCCTGATGCTAACCCCTCACAATATGAGCCCCTACTAAGTACAATCCCTATTACGTAAGCAAGATCTTAGATTCTGGATATCACTATTTTCTGAAGGAAGAAGAACAAATGAGAAAGATAACTGGGGAAATGAGGAAAAGATCAGAAGCAATGAACTGGCTACCCCCTTAGGCACTCCCTAGAGCCCCTAAAGAAATACATAACTGGTCTATTATATTAGTTATATATACACGACTAGGCTGCTTATCAAACTACCTCCACCATGAGGCAAGACATGGACCTAAACAGAGGAGGAATGCTTTGCCCTTGGGAAGACTCCATTAGGTGTCTTCAATGGGGCCTGGGAGAGTAGTCTGGCTCTGTGGTACCCCTTGCCCTCTTACTTGTCAATGAGAAGCTCTTTTTCCTTCAGAAGGTGTTCATTACTGTTCAAGATGCTGATCCACTGTGCTGGCTCTAAGATGGGCAGTGAAGGACCAAAAGCAGCAGGATGGTGGCAGATGGCTCCATTCTGAAGCTGAAAGGCAAGTAGGCCCAGATGAGCTTGATCTTGACCCATACACGCCTGAAAACACCTGAGCAGTAATCAGCTGGGTCTGTAGTCAAAGCCCAACTTGGCTCAGCCTGATGAGGCCCAATGTTTATGAAATAATTTTAGCTCTGAGGCATGACTGGAAAGAACCTGCCAGGAAGGCTTCTGCCAACTGAACACTCCCTGTTCAAAAAGGCTCTAGTTTCTAAGAAAAGGTCAGTTATCTTTTATTATCTAGCAACAGAGGCAAACCAGGAGCTAGGATGTCCTCACCAACCAAGGAAGGGGAATATGTCTGCTCCCTTCCTTCCCACTCTTCAGCAGCACAAGGATTTTTTAAAAGAAAATATGCTGGGTGCGGTGGCTCACGCCTGTAATCCCAGCACTTTGGAAGGCCAAGGTGGGCAGATTGCCCAAGCTCAGGAGTTCTAAACCAGCATGGGCAACAGGGTGAAAACCCGTCTCTAATAAAAAATACAAAAAATTAGCCAGGCGTGGTGGCATGCGCCTGTGGTCCTAGCTACTCAGGAGGCTGAGGCAGGAAAATTGCTTGAACCTGAGAGGTGGAGGTTGCAGTGAGCCAAGATCATGCCACTGGGCGACAGAGCAAGACTCTGTCTCCAAAACACACACACACACACACACACACACACCAAAACAAAACAAAACAAAAAAAGGAAAATACAGGCAGGCACAGTAACTCACCCCTGTAATCCCAGCACTTTCGGAGGCTGAGGCGGGCGGATCACAAGGTCAGGAGTTCGAGACTAGGCGGGCCAGCATGGTGAAACCCTGTTTCTACTAATAATACAAAAAAGAGCTGGGCGTGTTGGCACGCACCTGTAGTCCCAGCTACTCGGGAGGTTAAGGCAGGAGAATCACTTGACCTTGGGAGGTAGAGGTTGCAGTGAGCCGAGAACACGCCACTGCACTCCAGCCTGGGCAACAGAGCAAGACTCCATCTCAAAAAAAAAAAAAAAAGAAAATACAAAAGTGGTAGAGAGAACACAGGGGCTCAAAGAAGGTTTTCACATTTATTTATTTATTTTTTGAGACAGAGCCTCGCTCTGTCATCCAGACTGGAGTGCAATGGCGCAGTCTCGGCTCACTGCAACCTCCGCCTCCCAGGTTCAAGCAATTCTCCTGCCACAGCCTCCTGAGTAGTTGGGACTACAGGCGCATGCCACCACACCTGGCTAATTTTTATATTTTTAGTAGAGGCAGGGTTTCACTCTGCTGGCCAGGCTGGTCTCGAACTCCTGCCCGCCTCGGCCTCCCAAAATGCTGGGATTATAGGCGTGAGCCACCTGGCCTCAAAGATGGTTTTTAAACCCCAGCTCTGCCAATTACCAACTCTATGACCCCGTACAGATTATGTAGTCTAAGAACCTGGTAAGTTTCTACATCTACCTCGTTAGTACACTATGAAGATTAAATAAAATGCTGTATGTGAAAGTACTTAGCCTAGTGACGTATAAATACGTTTTTAGGTTTTCCTTTGTAACCTTTTGCTATTTTGGAGACCCTATCTGGTGCTTAATTTGACTACCAAACAGATTCAATGGCCAACAGCTCACAAGCCTGTATTTCCTGTCTACAAACATCTTCCTTCTTTTTACAGCTATTTTCTTTAAGCCAAAATTCAAAGGACAAAAGCTATTACAATTCTAAGAACTGTACAGAACCTAGAAAATCCAAGGAAAGATAGACCTCTACCTGCATTTGCTCCATCTGTAAACGAATCAATTCCAGCTGCTGCCGACAAGTGCTGAGTTCACAAGATTGCTCTCGGGGATGCCAAGTGTCAGGACTCGGCTGCCACACCTGAGAGGGCAGAGGCTTGGAGAGCCCGGGAGCAGGCTGGAGTCCCAAAGGGAGGACCCCACTGCTATTAGAATGTGGTCCATTCCGCTCAAACACTGCCCCGCTGCCCGGTGCCTTCTTGGCCTCAGGCAACACTCTGTACAACTCCTTACTTGTGCTGGTTCTTGGGTTGTGGAAGCGGACTCGGTGGTGAGGATCTGAATAAAGTGTCTCCATCATTGCCGACTGATTGAGGGTAGATTCCATGCTAGGAATATCAAACTTCCTCGCCTCTTCTTGTCTTTCATGGCCCACTGCTGGAAACCAGGACTGCTCAATTCCATTTTCTCCAGTAGCACCAGAGAAATACATGAGATCTCTAGATAGGCCTGGAGAATGTTTCATTGCACCGAGGTCTCCATTTCTTGTCATTCCCACACTTTCAGCCAACCCTGACAAAGGGAGTTTAGAGGAAGAGGGTCCAACAGGTGTAGAATTTGGCTTGGCAGGAGAGGTCCCTAAAGTAGAAGGCATCACATGGGCTGTTGGAATGGTTACGTGGCTTTTGATGGGCTGGAAAGGAGGACTGCCACTTGAGCTGCAAAAATCTGGGGAGAGAATAGTCTTCCATAAGTAAAAATTGAAGTAGCAAGCTTTCTTGAGTTTGAATGCTATGCCAGAAGCTCTCGGCCTGTCCTGAGACCAAGCAGAGAGAGCACCATCATCAAAAGTATCAGGCAGAAAGAAACGGCAACCAAACTGGGAGATGTATGTTCCAGGATCTCAAATGCCATTCACAAGGTAAACTAACAAAAGGCAATAATGACTTCACTTTTAACTTAGTCCTTTGTACTGGAATAAAAAAAATCTTGTCAGTCAACAGACAAAGCTGAAAAACTTTTAAAAAGTTTTTTAAAAAATTTAAACTTTAAAACAAATTACTTACTTAAGGAAAATGAGTTAGGTCCTACTCTTCTGGAAGCTGGACAACTCTCAGCTATAATCAAATCTAATAAAAATATCCTTTCCAAGAGTCACCAGAATCTTCTGCGACCTCCAAAAGCTCCCCCAGGAAGGTGAGCAACGAGTCCAAACTATCTGAAGAATGAAGCGAACTAGACAGTCTTGCTCAGTATGCAGGACAGGGAGTATGGCATCTGAGGCAGGATTCTGTTCTCTCTCCCATACCCCAAACCTGACTGCCTGGATATGTGAAGTTATTCTTAGTAACTCTCAGGTTTCACTCTAGCACAGTGAGCACTCTCAATTGGGTACACACTGAAATCCTCTATTTTATATTTTGCCTTTCACTTGCCCCCTTGTGTGTACCCAACTGTGTTTTTTTTTTTTTAACTTTTCCTTCAGACTGAATTTGTGTTTCCTTTGGCTCCTGCCTGGTCTTGGGAGACAACCCTTGATTAGCCCTACTATACAAGGTTCACATTTCTACCTATTTCCAACTTTCAAGTACTACTCTGAGGGGGACTACTGCAAGCAAACAATAAGGGAGGAATGTGAGGTAACATACTTATTGCTTTCAGCAGGCAGAAAACTGAATAAGGAAATAAGGAATACCAATTTCTTCTCTTTTCAACTATATTCAGTACTCGTTCCCAAATCAAGCATATCTACCACGGAGAAGAGCGACTACCAACTTGTTTCTTTTTCTCCCCAGCAACCAACACAGAGAACACTCAGATAACAACAACAAATACTATAATTGTTCCCAGAATTATGTAAGTATAGATCAGCTACGACCTTCTCATTAAACAACTTTTTTTTTTGAAATGGGGTCTCACTCTGTCACCCAGGCTGGAGCACAGTGGCGTGATCACAGTTCACTGCAGCCTCGACCTCCCCAGGCTCAGGTGATCTTCCCACCTCAGTTTTTGTATTTTTAGGAGAGATGGGGTTTCGCCATGTTGCCCAGACTGGTCTCGAACTCATGGGCTCAAGTGATCCACCTGCCTCAGCCTCCCAAAGTGCTAGGATTACAGGTGTGAGCCACCATGCCCGGCCTTAAGCAACTCTTTAAAAATATGGGCAAGCCACCTCACACCTGTCAGAATGGCTATGATGAAAAAGATGAGGCCGGGCGCAGTGGCTCATGCCTGTAATCCCCAGCACTTTGGGAGGCTGAGGAGGGGGGATCATGAGGTCAGGAGATCGAAACCATCCTGGCTAACACGGTGAAACCCTGTCTCTACTAAAAATACAAAATATTAGCCAGGTATGGTGGCACGCGCCTGTAGTCCCAGCTATTCGGGAGGCTGAGGCAGGAGGATCGCTTGAACCCAGGAGGTGGAGGTTGCAATGAGCCAGGATCGCACTACTGCACTCCAGCCTGGGCGACAGAGTGAGACTCCATCTCAAAAAAAAAAAAAAAAAGATGAAAGATAACAAGTTTGGAGAGGATGCAGAGAAAAGGGAACTCTAGTACACAGTTGGGGGGAATGTAACACAGCCACTGTGGAAAACAATGGAGTATGTAGCTCCTCAAAAAACTAAAAATAGTTACCATATGATCCAGCAATCCACTTCTGGGTATATATCCAAACGATATGAAATATGTATGTCCAAGAGATATCTACAATCCCATGTTTACTGAGTAATTATTCACAATAGCCAAGTTATAGAATCAACAGACGAACAGATAAGGAAAATGCAGTATATTACACAACGGAATACCAGCCTTATAAAAGATGTCAATTGTGTCACTTGCAACAACATGGATGAAACTGGAGGACACTAAGAGAAATAAGCCAGGCACAAAATGACAAATACTGCACGTTCTTACTTATATGTGGAAGCTAAAAAAAACCTCGACACATAGAAACAGAGAGAATAATTGTGGTTACCAGAAGCTGGGAGCAGGGGGAATCGAGAGATGCTGATCAAAGGGTAAAACATTTCGGTTAGACAGGAGGAATAAATACTTTAAAAAAAGACGTGCAAGCCTTATATTACATGCATAGTATCTAATTTGCTATACTGAAGATGATCTTGGGGATATATAAAAGGCCACACTAAAAAAACACACACACACGTAACAAAACAAAAACCTGAATAAGTTCTGATAACATGCATTAGTCTCTCAGGACCAAGAAAGAAATTTCTCAGTTAAAGGACCCAGTTTCTGATGTCTCACAACTTAAATATAGGACTAGTACACAAGGTTAAGGCAGACTGCTAGTGATAAAGACTTCAAAGACTAGTAAGCAATACAATTTTTTGTTTTATTTTTTGGAGCCGGAATTTCACTCTTGTTGCCCAGGCTGGAGTGCAATGGCGCGATCTTGGCTCACCACAACCTCCTCCTCCTGGGTTCAAGCGATTCTCCTGCCTCAGCCTCCCAAGTAGCTGGGATTAAAGGCATGCTCCACCACGCCCGGCTAATTTTGTATTTTTAGTAGAGACAGGGCTTCTCCATGCTGGTCAGGCTGGTCTTGAACTCCCAACCTCAGGTGATCCGCCCGCCTCGGCCTCCCAAAGTGCTGGGATTACAGGTGTGAGCCACTGCCCCCGGCCCAATTTTTTCTTTTTTGAGATGGGGTCTCACTCACTCTGTTGTCCAGGCTGGAGTGCAGTGGCACGATCTTGGCTCACCGCAACCTCTGCCTCCTGGGTTCAAGCGACTCTTCTGCCTCAGCCTCTCGAGTAGCTGGGATTACAGGAGCCCGCCACCATGCCTGGCTAATTTTTGTATTTTTAGTAGACGGGGTTTCACCATGTTGGCCAGGCTGGTCTTGAATTCCTAACCTCAAGTGATTCACCTGTCTCGGCCTCCCAAAGTGCTGGGATTACAGGGATGAGCCACCGTGCTTAACCATAAGCAATATGTTTTAAATCCTCCATAACAGCACCATAGTTATCAGTTCTTACCAAGGGTCACTGCTCCCACGGTGTAATTACAAAACAGAAGACTGTGAGGTTGTAGCACATGAGGGGTTGCTACCATGAACTTTGCAATACCTCCTTCCAGTCTCCATCCATAGCACCACTCTCTCTAGATTCACCAAATTCAGTTTTGAGCCCACACCCCCTGCTGTGGTTTGAAAGTGTCTGTCCCCCAAAAGTTCATGTGTTGGAAACTTAATTGCCAATGTAACAGTATTAAGAGGTGGGGGCCTCTAAGAGGTGACTGGGTCATGAGGGTAGAAGCCTCATAATAGATTAGCAGAAGTGAGTTAGTTCTCAAAGCAGTGGGTTGTTATAAAAGCAAGCTTGGGGCCGGGCATGGTGGCTCATGCCTGTAATCCCAGCACTTTGGGAGGCTGAGGTGGGCGGATCACCTGAGGTCCGGAGTTTGAGACCAGCCTGATCAACGTGGAGAAACCCTGTCTCCACTAAAAATACAAGATTAGCTGGGCGTGGTGACGCATGCCTGTAGTCCCAGCTTCTCAGGAGGCTGAGGCAGGAGAATCGCCTGAAACCGGGAGGCAGACGTTGCAGTGAGCCGAGATTGCACCATTGCACTCCAGCCTGGGCAACAAGAGCTAAACTCCACCTCAAAAAAAAAAAAAAAAACCAAGCTTGGGTTGGGCACGGTGGTTTATGCCTGTAATCCTAGCACTTTGGGAGGCAGAGGCAAGCGGATCATTTGAGGTCAGGAGTTCAAGGCCAGCCTGGCTAACATGGTGAAACCCCATCTCTACTAAAAATACAAAAATTAGCTGGGCATGATGGCGGGTGCCTGTAATCCCAGCTACTCGGGAGGCTGAGGCAGGAGAAATCACTTGAACATGGGAGGCGGAAGCTGCAGTGAGCCAAGATCCCACCACTGCACTCCAGCCTGAGTGACAGAAATAAGACTCTGTCTCAAAAAAAAAAAAAAAAAAAAAAAAAAGAAAAAAGAAAAAAAAAAGGCAAGCTTGGCTCACTCTAGTGGTCTCTGCTTTTCCACCATGTTATGATACAGCACAAAAGCCTTCGCCAGATGCTGCCACTATGCCTTTGGACTTCTCACTCTCCAGAACCCTGGGCAAAATAAACATCTTTTCTGTATAAGTTACACTGTCTCAGGTATTCTCTTACAGTAACAGAAAATACACTAAGATAACCCCAAAATAATGCCAAAACCAAAGCCAAGAAGAAAAGTACCAACTGACCCAGAAGAATATGGCTTTTCTAATTTTTTATAGATGATAAATGGACATATTAGAAAATTAAGGTGAGGTCTTTGTCCACATTTTTAACTTATCTATTGGGTTTATCTATTTATATTAAGTAAACTGCCTGATTCAGACTAACTGTGCTATGAAATGTAAAGTTACACCAGCGGTTCCCAACCTTTTTGTTACCAGGGAATCGTTTTGTGGAACACAATTTTTCCACAGACGATGGTTGGGGGGATGGTTTCAGGATGAAACTGTTCCACCTCAGATCATCAGGCATTAGATTCTCGTAAGGACTGAGCAACCTAGATCCCTCACATGCACAGTTCACAATAGGGTTCGTGCTCCTATGAGAATCTAATGTCACCACTGATCTGACAGAAGGCGCAAGCTCAGGCAGTAATGCTTGCTCGCCTGCTGCTCACCTCCAGCTGTGTGGCCTGGTTCCTAATATGCCATGGACTGGTACTGGTCCACGGGCCAGGAGTTGGGGACCTCTGAGTTACACCGTAAGTCTGGTCTGTGGTTTAGAATATTTTGAAATGAAATAGCAACACTCATTTTCAAAGGGACCTCTATCTTCTACAATTTTCAAAGGCATTCAAAATTTAGTGTATGGGAACCAGGCAGGTGGTGCATCTCTGTAGGCCCAGCTACTCAGTAGTCTAACTCAGGAGGATTACTTGAGCCCCACCGAGTTCATGGCTATAGTACACTATGATGGTACCTGTGTGAACAGTCATTGCACTCCAGTGTAGGCAACACAGTGAGATCCATCTCTTTAAAAAATACAATGCATGGGATATGTGATTTTTATTTACAGAAATCTACAGTTCCCAAAAACTTTGGGGTTTTGCCATTTTAAGAATATAGTTCTAAATCTCTCCCCTACTTAACCACATTTTATGACCCCTCCCCACCCTAAAAAACAACTCATTTTTGAGCAAACTTCCTTTCACAGTAAGGGTAGATTCAGCTATTACCAAATCTCAGTCACTTCAGTCTACACCTGAAGTGATTCAGTAGCCTGAATTACACCAGTGACTATTTCAGTCTTTTGCAAAGAGCTGAAAGCATTCTGAACTCTTCAGTACCCACCTCTACTCTGTCCCTCGAGAATCTTTCAAGGTAAAACACCTTAGTGAAGAAGGGTGGAATCAAAAGCATGCCTATTAAATTTAAAGATGCAACAATGAACTATACTGTATACCAGTCACAGGGGTTCTTGTCAACTAGACCGCAAGCTAGATTCATGAACAAAATGTGTAAGAGTTAAGATTAGAGGCCAGGAGCAGTGGCTCACGCCTATAATCCCAACACTTTGAGAGGCCAAGGTGAGTGGATCAGCTGAGGTCAGGACTTCGAGACCAGTCTGGCCAACAAGGTGAAACCCCGTCTTTACTAAAAATACAAAAATTAGCTGGGTGTGGTGGCACACGCCTGTAATCCCAACTACTCAGAAGGCTGAGGCAGAAGAATCGCTTGAACCCGGGAGGCGGAGGTTGCAGTGAGCCAAGATCATGCCACTGCACTCCAGCCTGGGTGACAGAGTGAGACTCCGTCTCAAAACAAACACACAAAAAGAGTTAAGATTAGGATCATGGTATGTAACAAACATAGCAGTTTAAAAAATGTCTAGGCCTGGGCGTGGTGGCTCACGCCTGTAATCCCAGCACTTTGAGAAGCCGAGGTGGGCAGATCGTGAGGTCAGGAGATCGAGACCATTCTGGCTAACACGGTGAAACCCCGTCTCTACTAAAAATACAAAAAATTAGCCGGGCGTAGTGGCGGGTGCCTGTAGTACCAGCTACTTGGGAGGCTGAGGCAGGAGAATGGCATTAACCCGGAAGGCGGAGCTTGCAGTGAGCCGAGATTGCCCCACTGCACTCCAGCCTGGGCAACAGAGCGAGACTCGGTCTCAAAAAAAAAAAAAAAAAAAAAAGAGTTCAAGACCCAGACTGGCCAACATGGTGAAACCCCATCTCTACTAAAAATACAAAAATTAGCCAGGCATGGTGGTACACGCCTGTAATCCCAGTTACTCGGGAGGCTGAAAGAGGAGAATCGCTTGAACCCAGGAGGTGGAGGTTACAGTGAGCCGAGATTGGGCCACTGCACTCCAGCCTGGGCGACAGAGCGACTCTGTCTCGAAAAAATAAGAAGAAGTAAAAAAAACTTCTAGACCAATATCTTTGACCCCTATCTCGAGAAGACTATTACAACTTTTAAAAAATGCACTAGAATGTAAGTTATTTTCCCAAAAGAATAAAAAAGAGAGTCACACACACAATCTGTGTAGCAATGTAACTGAATTAAATACAGCTGGTCATTTCAATGGGGGAAAAATCTAGACCACTGATTGATTTTAAAAATATCTATTATTTAATCAAAATAAAAAGGTCCTATGACTGCACATGTAGACAAAACCTTAACAAGTGAAAATTAAATTAACAGTAAGATTTTTGATTACACAATTGATAGAATATTACACAGTCAGGAGACCAGAATCTGATAACCAGCTGTATGATGTTAGGCAAGTTACTTAACTCCTTGGGGAATTTTTGTTATTCACCAATCAAAACGAGCAGAGGCAATTTTTGAAGTCCTGTGTACCTCAAAATCTATGATTCAATTCTACTCAATAGTTACTGAGCACAGTCCCCATTATACACATAGTTGTCAAACTATCAAAATTAACTCTAGGGGCTGGGTGCAGTGGCTCACACCTGTAATCCCAGCACTTTGGAAAGTCAGGGCAGGAGGACTGCTTGAGCCCAGAAGTTCAAGAACCATCCTGGGCAAGATGGTGAGAACCTGACTCCACACGCAAAACAAAACAAAACAAAACAAAACAAACTGGCTGAGTGTGATGGTACACGCCTGTAGTCCCAGCTACTTGGAAGGCTTAGGTGGAAAGATAGGTTGAGCCCAGGAGTTCAAGGCTGCAATGAGCTTGTGATCACGCCATTGCACTCAAGCCTGGGTGACAAAAAGAGACCCTATCTTTATAAAACAAACAAACAAAAACTAAAATTAATGCTAGATGTCTAGGAACCAGTAATAGTAGATGTGGTCCCCACTACCCTCTTTTTTTTTTGGAGACAAGATCTCACTATGTTGCCCAGACTGTACTCAAACTCGTGGGCTCAAGTGATTTTCCCACCTCAGCCTTGGGAGCAGCTGGGACTATAGGTACAGACCACTGTCCCTGGCTTTTTTTTTTTCTTTTCATTTTTAAATTTACTCCTCTCAGCTCATACCTATTTAAGAAAAACAAAAAACAAAAACCTTTATTGAAATACAATTCACATATTATACAATTTGCTCACTTGAGGTGTACAATTCAATGGGTTTTAGTATATTAATGGAGTTGCATAATCACTACAATCAATTTTACAACATTTTCATCACTCCAAAAAGAAAACCTCTTACCCTTTGGCAGTCATGCTGTTTCCACCAGCTTCCGAAGCCCTAGAAAACCATTAATCTACTTTGTGTTTCTGTACATTCACCTATTCTGGACTTTAGGCATTAGTTTGATCCTCATAAAGAGCACACAACCTAGATCCCTCAAATGCACATTTCACAATAGGGTTCCTGCTCCTGTGAGAATTTAATCCCGCCACTGATCTGACAGGAGATGGAGCTCAGGCGGTAACGCTCGACCTGCTGCTCACCTCCTGCTGTGTGGTTCCTAACAGGCCAGACTGGTACCGGTCCTTGGCCCAGGGGTTGGAGACCCCTGATATAAAGGGAATCATGCAATATACAGCCTTTTGTGTCTGGCTTTTTTTTAACTTCATATATAATGGTTATTTCATTTTATTTTCTTTTTCTTAACGGTGCTCTACACATTCAGAAAAACTTCTCTAGTAACATACTACAGAAACGATCCCTGAAAATACAGTCTTAGTATATAATTTTTTTTTTTTTTTAAAGACGGAGTCTCACTCTGTTGCCCAAGCTGGAGTGCAATGGCACGATCTCACCTCACTGCAACCTCTGCCTCCCGGGTTCAAGCAATTCTCTTGTCTCAGCCTCCCGAGTAGATTACAGGCATACATCACCACGCCCAGCTAATTTTTTGTATTTTAGTAAAGATGGGCTTTCACCGTGTTGCCCAGGCTGGTCTCGAACTCCTGAGCTCAGGCAATCCACCCGCCTTGGCCTCCCAAAGCGCTAGGATTATAGACATCAGCCCCTACATCTGGCCAGTATATGTTTTTAAGGTAGCATGTACCAGTATTTCATTTCTTTTTATTGCTGAATAATATTCTACTGTATTATATGGATATTCATTCATTCATCAGTTGTGGGTTTTGGATTGTTTCTACTTTTGACTATCATGAATAATGCTGCTACCAACATTTATGTACAAGTCCACACAAAAACTTGTGTATTCATTTCTCCTGGGTATATATCTAAGAGTAGAACTATCGGGTCAGGAATAACTCTATGTTTAACCTTTTGAGGAACTGCCTGTTTTCCAAAGCAGCTGCAATACTTTACATTCCTACCAGCAATGCACAAAAGTTTCCATTTCTCTACATTCTCACCAAAAAGGCTGCTACAATTTAAAAAGAGTGCACAGAAGGGAAATACATATGTATTTCCCTAGAGGAATAAAAAACGGAGTCACACACGCAACCTGTGTAACAAAGTGATTGAACTTACTTTTTTTTTTTGAGACAGGGTCTCACTATGCTGCCCAGGCTAGTCTCAAACTCCTGGGCTCAAGTGATCCTCCTGCCTCAGCCTCCCAAGTAGCTAGGATTGTTATCTTCTGGAATATAGCCATCCAAGTGGCTGTGGAGTAGATGTTTTAAAATTACAACATATGATTATCAAAGTGACAAGTTTTGTGACTTTAAGAAACTCATTCAATCACTTTGAAATTCAGCCTTTTCATCCGTAAAATGGAAATAAGAAGACATATTATAGGCTTCTTAAGGGCTTTAGTGAAATAATACAGAAAAAATTTATAGTATCTATCACAAAGCATACAATCAACAGTAGTTAATTATTATCAATTAGGTTCTCTGCCTTCTAGAACTCACCAATCTAAACGGAAAAACAAAATGCCCTTATAAAGTATTGCCTGTCAATACTTAAGTGTGAAAACAAGTGGCAGAGATAATAAAGATACAAGAATGCAAGGAGAATGATATGACTAATGAGCGTAAGGGATGGGAAAAGCCTGCGGGACATTTGCTGGATCTTGAATAGTAACATCAGCATAGCTAGGAAAGGCAAGAGGAGGCAGGCATCGCATACATGGGCCCAGATTAAAGAAGGAAAAAAAGAGCCCCAGTATCAGAAACCAAAAACCAGCTGGGTATGGTGGTTCCAGCCTGTAATCCCAGCACTCAGCACTTTGGGAGGCTGAGGCAATAGGATCGTTTCAGGCAAAGAGTTTGAGACCAGCCTGGGCTATATAGCAAGATCTCAATTCTACAAAAAATGAAAAAAAAAAAAAATAGCTGGGTGTGGTGGCACCATGCTAGTAGTCCCTGCTACTCAGGAGCCTAGGAGTTTACGGCTGCAGTGAGCATGATGGCACTACTGCACTCCAGCCTGGGTGACAGAGTGAGACCATCTCAAAAAATTAATAGAAACAAAACAAAAAACAGGACTTTACGTTCAGACTTGGTGACAGCAGGAAATATGTTTGAGTGGGTGGGATAGGGACGATCACAGAACGGAAGACTCTGAACTTCATCGCCCAAGCAATAGGAGTTATTGAAGATTTATAGGAAACTATGAAATTAGGCTTTTAGCAAAAATAATCTGGCAGCAGAGGGAAAGACTTGAGGCCAATTAACCTATCAGAAAGTTGTTTCAAAGGCTAGGCACAGGGGCTCATTCCTGTAATCTCAGCACTTTGGGAGGCCGAGGCAGGTGGTTCTCTTGAGTCTGGGAGTCCAGACCAGCCTGGGCAACATGGCAAAACGCCATCTCTATAAAAACACACAAAAAATTAGCCAGCCACGGTGGTGCATACCTGCAGTCTCAGCTACCTAGGAGGCTGAGGTGGGAGGATTACCTCAGCATGGGAGGCTGCAGCGAGCTATGATCATGCCAGTGCACTCCAACCTGAGTGACAGAGTGAGACCCTGTCTCCCCACCCCCCAACAAAGTTGTTTCAGATAAGATAAAAAGTAGAAATTTAGATAAAGGGACCAGATGTGAGAAGCACAGGGTAAGAAGAATGAGAGACTCCTTGAATGAAATGGAATGACGTTATGAACATTCTGGAAATAACACAATCTGGAAATGCCAATATACCCAAAATGCAATCTGAAAATGAGAACACATATTGGTAATCAAATCATTAATACAAACTTACCCTCCGCAATATCTGAGCATGATGTACCAATGGCTGTGTCCCCACTGTCGGCTACACTTGAACAGCGGCTGAAGCGGCTCCGAAAGGGCTCCGAGATAACTGGGGTCTGCCATTCAGTCCCCAGGGAACTGCCCTTCTGAATCACATCGGAACCTGAAACAAGAGGCATTTCCCACCTTTACTGTGAACCAGCTGATGTAACCCCATCAGATCTTTTTTTAAAAAATCACATAAACCTAAGAGAATAGCAGCAACCCACCCCTTTCTCTCTCCTGTGCCTATTTCAGCTGCTCCGATCTAGTTTTTTTTTTTTTTTTTTTTTTTTTTGAGACGGAGTCTGCTCTGTCACCCAGGCTTGAGTGCAGTGGCGCGCAGCTCACTGCAGCCTCCACCTCCTGGGTTCAAGCAATTCTCTGCCTTAGCCTCCCGAGTAGCTGGGATTACAGGCGCCCACCACCACGCCCAGTTAATTTTTATATTTTTAGTAGAGACGCGGTTTCACCATCTTGGCCAGGCTGGTCTTGAACTCCTGATCTCATAATCCACCCGCCTTGGCCTCCCAAAGTGCTGGGATTACAGGTGTGAGCCACTGCGCCAAGCCTGAGCTAGTTAATTTTAAGTGGAAATAGTATGAGAAGTGAGAATATTCAAAGATGTTAATAAGACCCATGAAGAATCCAGGAGTACTGGAACAGAAAACAATCATATTTAATAGCAGTGGCCATTTATTGAAACCTGTAAAGCCACAGGACCTTACAAACATAATCTTGCCTACCTACTTACTGAAAAGTATTACCACCCCTATTTTACAGAGGGGAGGGCTGATATTTGAATCCAGTTCTTTCTGATTCCAAAACCCACATTCTTTCCTCTTTCTTACAGTTTCTCAATGGTGCTTTTGGCATTCTGGGGATGACCATTCTTCAATGTGTAGTCTATACATTACAGAATGGTTTAGCATCCCTGGTTCCCACTCACTGAATGCCAGCAGCAACCCTCAACCAAGACCACCATCACTGTGAAACCAGAAAATAACCATATAGTTCCAAATGATTCCTAGGGCAACAAGCAGTCCAGTCCCCAGTTGAAAATCATTGCTTCGAGGTTGCAGTGAGCAAAGATTGCGCCACTGCACTCCAGCCTAGGCAACAAGAGCGAAACCCCATCTCAGAAAAAAAAAAAAAAAAAAAGAAAATCACTGCTTCACTGAACCAGGGTACCCTCAATAGGTGAATCCTATTGAGATCAAGGTGAGTTTTGAAAGTCAATCTGAAGAGCCTAGGGCTTTATCTTGAGAGCAACGTGAAGATATCACTAAAACTGCTGAGAAGGTTAAGACAAAAAGACTGATGAGATTTATTTGATTTAAAATATGCTGTTTGGGGGGAGGTAGGTAGGAAGTGTTCAATAAATACTTGATTCACTAACATTCTAGCAAAGACTTAAATTTATTTTCTAAAAACCACTATAATTTTCCTAAGGTGTATCTGGTGATCCATGTAAACAAATAAACAAACAAACAAAAAAACTAATGGCAGCTACTTATCCTCCATTTAACTTAAAGTGTGAAAGCCGATTTCAGAAAATACGGTTCTACAGACTCGCTGATCTAGTGGGAGGCAAATGATTGCTCCCACTAAATGATTACGCCCAAAGTAATTTGGACACAAATTACTTTATTCCTTTCTTCCAAGTTTAGTGCTTCTCTCATCTTTTTAATCTATTTTCTTCTACTTTTGCTCATTTTTTGCTACCCTTACTTTGGCTTTCTACTGAAGGCAACCTGACTTTCCCCAAATACTTCTTCTATTCTTTGGATCACAGTGACTGCCTGATTTGAAAGAATCTTTATACACTCAGTAATCTGTAATTGTTATAGAAGACACAGGCAACAATCCGAGTTTCTGAGCGGCATGAGATTAGCCAATGCTACTATACTAAGTTGGTGTAATTCTAGCCCAAAGCAAAGAAATCCCACCTTCTGGTGAGTCTACACAGCTTTTTCTCTCTAGTCAGTGTAAAATTTGCCAGGCCTTTTGAAACAGTTAAGATTGAGGGCCTCTATTACCATCTTCCTGACTTCCTACTGGAAACCGCTTCCCTGTTACTACTACTAATCTTCCACTCTTCATCGCTACCATTTTTCCATCCACCTACTCCATACCCTAATTCCAAAGAGTTATTTGTTAAAAATATATTTTGGTATATTTATAGAGGTTTACACTTATTTCAAAATTGAAGTTTAAATGCTGAAGTTGGCCGGGTGCAGTGGCTCATGCCTGTAATCCTAGCACTTTGGGAGGCGGGGGTGGGCAGATTACCTGAGCTCAGGAGTTGGAGACCAGCCTGGGCATATGGCGAAACCCGTCTCTACTAAAAATACAAAAAAATTAGCCAGGTGTGGTGGTGCATGCCTGTAATCCCAGCTACTTGGGAGGCTGAGGCACAAGAATCACTTAAACCCAGGAGACAGAAGTTGCAGTGAGCTGAGATTGTGCCACTGCACTCCAGCCTGGGCCACAGAACAAGACTCCGTCTCCAAAAAAAAAAAAGAAAAGCTGAAATTTTTTGTGTTATAGTGCATGTCCTATCAGTAGCATCCTTATCAATTATTAAGACCATTATTAATCTGAATGAGATACTATTGAAGAGAGAAAAAAGCCATAGGAAAGGCATTGTTCCAAAAACTTGCATTATATACATAATTGTCATAGAAACTGTACAAACCTAAGAGAATGTGCAGCACATAGCAGATGTTTAAAAAATATTTCCTGAGGCCGGGTGCAGTGGCTCACGCCTGTAATCCCAGCACTTTGCGAGGCCCAGGCGGGCAGATCACAAGGTCAGGAGATTGAGACCATCCTGGCTAACATGGTGAAACCCCGTCTCTATTAAAAAATGCAAAAAAATTAGCTGGGCATGGTGGCGGGCACCTGTAGTCCCAGCTACTTGGGAGGCTGAGGCAGGAGAATGGCATGAACCCGGGAAGCGGAGCTTGTAGTGAGCCGAGATCACGCCACTGCACTCTAGCCTGGGTGACAGAGCGAGACTCCATTTCAAAAAAAAAAAAAAAATTCTGCTGAATGAATCTTGAATTGATTCAACCAAAGCTTATAATGGTGCCTACTCTATGCAAGGCAGCATGCCTAAGAGAATACACCAAACATTTACCAAATATCTACGCTGAGTAAGGCACTGTGAGATTTTAAAGTTAAATAAAACATACCCTGAGTTGAATTAAACGTGCCCTCTTCTTTACCAATACCCCAGAATTCAACAAGTCATTTTTCTAAAATATTACTTATTTGAAATATATATTATCTACTTAATATGCCTGCACAGTGCATACATATATTTATGTGTTTAATATACAGTCAGCTCTCCATATCCATGGTTTCTTTTTTTTCCCCTTTTTTTTTTTGAGACACAGTCTCACTCTGTTGCCCAGGCTGGAGTGCAGTGGCGTCATCTCAGCTCACCTCAACCTCTGCTTCCCGTGTTCAAGTGATTCTCCTGCCTCAGCCTCCCAAGTAGCTGGGATTATTATAGGCACATGCCACTGCACCCGGCTAATTTTTGTATTTTTAGTAGACATGGAGTTTTACCATGTTGGCCAGGCTGGTCTCAAACTCCTGACCTCAGGTGATCCACCCGCCTTGGGCTCCCAAAGTGCTGGGATTACAGGCATGAGCCACAGCGCCTGGCCATATCCGTGGTTTCTACGTTTGTGAATTCAACCAATTTTTTTTTTTAATGGTATCTTACTGAATGTGCATAAGACTTGTTTTTCTTCTTATTCCCCAAACAATACAGTATAACTATTTACATAGCATTTACATTGCATTGGGTATTACAAGTAATCTAGAGACGATTTAAGGTAAACATTAGGATATACACAGGTTATATGCAAATACCACACCATTTTATATCAGGGACTTGAGTATCTGTGGATTTTGCTATCTGCAGGAGGTCTTGGAACCAGTCCGCCATGGACACTTAAGGACTGTATATATTTAATATATCTACTGAAGTTTCAAAATCTTGTTAATCCATTCTGAAGATAAATTCCTGAGTTTCTAGTAACAATGCAACGGAATCTGTTGGCATCCAAGCAGAATTCCTATTTTTGTGGGCTAGCAGATGACTGACCCACCCAGAGGACAAAGACAACATAGAACACAGTAATTTATGCTGTGTTTTTCTGATTTCAAATGGAACTATGTTCCAAAGTCATTCTGTTCCAATCCTTTATATGTCGTCCTCTCCCAACCACGTGGTCCTGTTGAAAGCCACATAGCACAAGAGATAAATACTTGTTCCCTCAGAGACCTGTTTTTATATTCAATGAAGCCCCATGTTATTTTTATTCTTTTAGCACCAGCATTTCAGTGAATGCTTGTTTGTTCAATATTTACCTTAAGGAATATGAAAAAACAGAACAAAGGTCAGAATTTAACCCAGAAAACTTCTGACTACTCACTCGGTGAAGTGACGTGAGAGATCCCCTCAGTTGGATATTTCTCCTGCATGGCCATCAATCACAGTTATTTAAGCCAACTGTAGAATGAAGGAATAACCAGTCAGTTCTCTGAAGTATCTTTAATTCCCCGCAACTCAGTTCCCATTCAACTGAAACTGTCAAAACCATATAGAATATTCAAGTATTTGGCCAGGCACAGTGGCTCACACCTGTAATCCCAGCACTTTGGGAGGCCAAGGCGGGCAGATCAACTGAGGTCAGGAGTTCGAGACCAGCCTGACCAACATGGGGAAACCCCATTTCTACTAAAAACACAAAAATTGGCCGGGCATGGTGGCACACATCTGTAGTCCCAGCTACTTGGGAGGCTGAGGCACAAGGATTGCTTGAACCCGGGAGGCAGAGGTTTCAGTGAGCCAAGATCACACCACTGCACTCCAGCCTGGGCAACTGAGCAAGACTCCATCTCAAAAAAAATAAAAAAGAATATTCCAGTATTCTAAATGTTATATTCCTAAGGATATTTAGGAGTAAATATGTTTTTACATGTTTTACTTCTAAGGATATTTTTAAGACAAAGTAAATCCCAATACTCCACTCTACTTCTCTTCCCAAATCCAGTATAGAAAACCTAGAACCAGAGATTACCAATACAGATTCCATACGGTCCTAGAACCCTTCTGATTTTTATAAAATTTAAAAATATTACTTTTAATTAACAAACTTTACCATGAATCTTCTTAGCCATGGGGACCTGATGACAGGACGAGGTGGATAAAGAACTAAAGAACTAAACCAACAGTGAAGTATTACAGCATCAATTATGATTAACACAAAACAAATTCCTCAATTCTTCCAGTAATTAAAGTCAGTCATACGATGTAAAAAGATGGGAAAGAATTCTTGCTCATAAGTAGAACTCCAATCCTGAGCTAGGAACGTGAAGTTCTCGTCCCATGTTCTCACTCCTTAAAATATTTATATTTACAGTACACTAGGGGTAGGTGCTGAGAATTCAGCAGAAGTGGATTTGAAGTCTAAACAAATACACTTGAACCCACTAAACATTAAGTTATCAATTTATTAGCTGTGTAACCTTGGGCAAATTTCTTAGTATCTCTGTTCCTCATTTTCTTCATATAAAAATGAGGATAACAACACAACCTAATTCATGTTAATTCACTTATAATTAACTTACAACAGTTCCTGACACATACTAAGTGCTGTTATTACTTGGCAATTTACATCAACAAAAGTAGCACTGTACAGCCCATGGAAGATCAAGGAGTATCAACTCAGAAACTCTAAATTTATAAAAGCCCCAAAAGAGTTTGGGACAATTCGGCCGGGCTCAGTGGCTCACGCCTGTAATCCCAGCACTTTGGGAGGCCGAGGCAGGCGGATCACCTGAGGTCAGGAGTTCGAGACCAGCCAACATGGTGAAACCCCGTCTCTACTAAAAATACAAAAATTAGCCAGGCATGGTGGCAGGCGCCTGTAATCCCAGCTACTTGGGAGGCTGAGGCAGGAGAATCGCTTGGACCATGGAGGCGGAGGCTGCAGTGAGCCAAGATCGCGCCATTGCACTCCAGCCTGGGCGACAGAGCAAGACTCCGTCTCAAAAAAAAAAAAAAAAGAGTTTGGGACAATTCACAGAACATAATTCTATCACTCTGGAGAAAAAAGACTATATGGTACTATTTCTCTAATGTACTTTAGTGACCTCTATAGTATTCTCTTGTTACTAAGAGAATACTATAGAGGTCACTAAAGTACATAACAACCCAAACCCTTATTAATTCACTGCATCTACAATAGAAAGGGTATCATCCTCCACAATTCCAGTTCTTCACATACTGGGTGAGGGAAGCTTTGTTCAGTAATAAAAGCTTTAGTTTATGGCAAGTATGATTCAGTGAGTTAAATGATGACATAGAATGATTAGATTACCTCCTTACTAGTGATTTCCTTTCTTGTCAATATCAAAATCCTTTTCTTCACTCCTTTCTTTAAAGGATAACAAAATGGTAGGCGCACTGGATTCTAAGGTGTTTCTAAATTCAGACAAGTTGAAAATACGGTGACAGAAGGAGAACTCCGAGTTACCCTATGACTCAGCAATTCCACACTGAAGTATACACCCAAGAGAAATGAAAACACAGGTTTACACAAAAGCTTCAATAAGAATGTTCGTAGCAGCATTATTTACAATAGCCAAAAAGTGGAAACAACACAAACGTCCATGAGCTAATGAATGGATACATAAAATGTGGTATATCCAAAAAACAGAGTATTATTCAGCAATAAAAGGAAGTACTGATACATGTGACAACATGGATGAACACTGAAGACATGCAAAGTCAAAGAAGCCAAACAAAAGGCTTGATCCTATTTATATGAAATGTCAGAATAGGCAAATCCATAGAGACACAGATTAGTGATTGCAAAGGACTGAGAGGAGGGAGGGTAGGAGAATAGGAAGGGACTGCTAATGGATACCGGGTTTCTTTTCAGGGTGATCAAAATGTTCTGAGATTAGATAGTGGTGACTGACTGCACAACCTTGCCAATATATTAAAAACCTCTGAATTGCACACACATAAAATTAAATTTTATGTTATGTGATATAAGCCAAAAAAAAAATTCTAAGACATCCCCAACCACCTGAATGGATCCCTCCCCTTGGCCAATGGCATTCCAAAGTTAAGCTGAAAAACCTGTTAAGGCCATGATGGTGGTAGTGGTGGTGGAGTCCTACACCCCTCATTATACCCTCCTCCCTTCTGGAATTTAGGAAAAGCATTAACATTAACACAGATGTCTGTAAGAAACATTTATAATCTATTCTCTCTAAAGCCTACTATTTGGAGGCTTCATCTGTACAATAAAATGTTGATCCCCAGGATACCTTAACCCAGACATTCCTTTCTATTGATAACAACTTTCAACCAACTGCCAATCAGAAAATTTTGAAATCTACCTATGACCTGGAAGCCCCCACCCACTAAGAGTTGTCTTACCCTTCCAGATCAATGTAAATCTTACATGTATTTGACTGATGTCTCATGTCTACCTAAAATGTTTAAAACCAGGGCACACGTTATCAGGATCACCTGAGGGCTGTGTCAGGGGCCACTGGTCACCCATATTTGGCTCAGAATAAATCCCTTCAAATATTTCAGAGTCTGACCCTCATTGACAACAAATATCTCAAAAAAGAAAAACAGAAAGAAAGAAACCCCGTAAGGAGTAAAACAATACAAAATAAATCATTCTTGACTTAAGAATTAGATGAGCTACTGGTGGAAATTTTTGGGACAACTGAAGGAGACAGAAATTTCCTGGGATAAAAATGAGAGAAGTGAATGTACAAGAAGTAACACACCAGTTATAAAGCTTAGAAAGGGAGTGAATGGAGGCAGACAGAGGGGAAAAAAAAAAAAAGCACCCAACAGGATTGGTTTCCATCTTCAAAGCCCTTTAAACTACAGAAACAGTCACTCATTCAACAAATTTAACATGCATTCTGCACTTACTACCTATCAAACACTGTGCTCAACACTTTTTAAGTATCATGTCTCATGTTTCATGTTCACATCAACCCTATGAGGCAGTTACTATTATCCTCATTTTATGGATGAGAAAATAAAGGTTTACAGTAGTGAAGGTCATATGGCTAGGAAGAGGCTTCAAAGCCAGGACTGTACTCTAACGCTACAGTAGTCTAGTCAGCATTCTACATGTGACAAAACACAAAAAAAGAGATCAAGCATGGCACCACAAGTTGGAGTTTCTGCCTCAGACAGCTAGAGCTGCAAGCCTCAATTATATGAGCAGTAAAAGCTCATAAAATTTCTTCACTTTGTCCTTGGTCATCACCTAGGCTTTATTTCTCAAGTTGCTACCCAAGAATTAGATTTTGACTGCCGTAAGTATTTTTCCCCTATAAGAATTACAATCTAAGTGTGGCCGGGCGTGGTGGCTCACGCCTGTAATCCCAGCATTTTGGGAGGCCGAGGCGGGCGGATCACCTGAGGTCGGGAGTTTGAGACCAGCCTGACCAACATGGAGAAACGCCGTCTCTACTAAAAATACAAAATTATCCGTGCATGGTGGCGCATGCCTGTAATCCCAGCTACTCGGGAGGCTGAGGCAGGAGAATCGCTTGAACCTGGGAGGCGGAGGTTGCGGTGAGCCGACATCGCGCCACGGCACTCCAGCCTGGGCAACAAGAGCAAAACTCCGTCTCACAAAAAAAAAAAAAAAAAAAAGAATTACAATCTAAGTGTGGAACATCATGCTTGGCAGCTGTTAAGAGAACCACATCAAGACAAGAGAGGATTTGAAGGGATACACAGACAGCTGACACAGACACACGAAGGATCTCACACCATTACACTATTTTCACCGCCTTGATCATTCATTAAACCTTGTGAAAGAGAAGCCAAATCCTTGACAAGAAGTTGCCTTTACAAAGAAAAGTCGTGAGACATACAAAACCACCAGATCACTATAAAGCAGACAAGGTTTGAGGGCAAATAAATGAGGCCTGGCTAGCTTCATCGTCCTTGTATCACCACCGCCCCCTACTTATCCCAGTGTTCAATTCATCAACCGAAATTTACTGCGTGCCTACTATGCGCCTGGCTCTGAGCCACGTGTTGGGAATGTACTGGTGTAAAGGATCGCTCTCATTAACTGAGGTGAAGTAAGCGTTGAATATACTGTTGAACAAATAAACCTGAACACACTAACTTTCAGTTCAACCAAAGCACCAGCTCCTTCTCGCTGAAGGAAGCTTCCTCACCTTCCGCCCTACTGACATTTTGGGGGATTTTTCTTTGTTGTTGGGGGCGTCCTACACACAGTAGGCTGTGTAACAGCATCCCTGGCTTCTTCGCACTAGATGCCAGTAGCAAGCCCTGGAGCTGTGACTATCAAAAGTGTTTCCAGACATCGACCAATGTCCCCAGGGAAGCAAAATCGCCCCGGCCGAGAAGTACCGGGGTAAGGCCCCGCCAAGTGCTTTCCGTCCCACAACCTTAATTCTCTACACAGCCTTCCAATCTCGGCTCAAACTTCTCCTCCTCGGGGAGGGCTCCCTGACCTCTCCGACTAGATCCGCGCCTTCTGTTTTGCGCTCTTTGTAAGATTTCTCCACTCTACCCTCACTGCGCGCCGAGGGATTACCCCGCTTAACGTCGACTCCCAGGGCTGTGCGCTCCGCAAGGGCAAGGAATGCGCCGCTCGCTGTGTCCCTGGCTATCGGCACAGGGCCTGGCACGCAGGTAAAGTGACTGCCGTGGGGTGAACCACGGACGGCAAAGCAAGGCAACGGGGGAAGCGAGGGGAATGGGACGCGAGAGGGCGTATGCCGGGGCACTGGCTTCGGAGCCGAGGCGCATGCGCTTCGCTCTCCCCGGCCCCTCACGGTGGCAGGTCGCGAGCGTCTGAGGCTTCGCCGGAGCTATGGGAGGAGAGGCAAGGTCGGCCACTAGGACTGAGGCTCCCGAAGGAGGAAAACTTACACGGGCCTGAAAGCGGGCGGCGAAATCCCTCACTCGGGAAGACTGACTGCAGCCACCACGTCTGCGGTGAGCGGTGGTTCCCTCCCTCAGCTCCTCTAACGGCCGTTGCACGCCCGCCAGGCCGCGCGCCACAGAACGCGCGTCGTTTGGCCCCACCCCGTTCTGCCGCCTCTGGCCAATCGGGAGTCGAGCCGCGCCGGCTTCCCGCCCCTTTCTATCCTCTTCTGACCAATCGGCAGCCGAGCCGCGTCGGTATCCCGCCCCCACACGCTACCCTCTGCTCAGAGAGCCGGACGGATCTTTCTGCGCATGACCACGTCGCCACTTGGCTCCTTCTCTGCCCCTTGCCGCGTTTTACCTGTAGGTGGAGCTCTGCTCACCTAGACCTGGAGGGGCCCTGCTGGGCCTGTGCAGGTTGGGAAGCTGGCGGCCCGCGGGCGGGGCTGGGGACACGAGAATCCCACTCAGCTTGCCTCACCCTCCTTCCATTCCAACGCCGGTCTATCAGTTCTCACACCTGAAGCAGGGGTTCAGGTTGTGACCAGGAGTTAGGGTGTGGCCTGGGTCACTGACTAGTCAGGGTCAAGGCTTGGTCTGGGTTGGACGCAGTGGTCAGCCTGTGACCAAGGTTCAGGTTGAAGGGTAAAGGATCAGTCCTGCCTCCCTCCCCAAACTTGGTCCACAGGAAAAGGAACTGTTAAGTCCATTTGCATTAATATGCGCTTGAAGAGTCAGACAGGAAAATTGTTTGAAAGGAGAACAGAACCATCAGCCAAAGGAATGAATCTCAGATAGTGAAATTCTGGGTATCTAGAAACCTGACTTGGCAGGGAGAGATACTAAAAAATTGTATAGGAGGCCGGGCGCGGTGGCTCATGCCTGTAATCCCAGCACTTTGGGAGACAGAGGAGGGCGGATCACGAGGTCAGGAGATCGAGACCATCCTGGCCAATATGGTGAAACCCCGTCTCTACTAAAAATACAAAAATTAGCTGGGTGTGGTGGCGCATACCTGTAATCCCAGCTACTCGGGAGGCTGAGGCAGCAGAATCGCCTGAACCAGGGAGCCGGAGGTTGCAGTGAGCCGAGATCGTGCCCCTGCACTCCAAAAAAAAGTTGTATGGAAAAAAAAAGTTGTATAATTTCTTAGCTTTAAGAGCCAGACAAAGTGAGTTCATTACTGAATAAAAGTCACTCTAGAGGAAAGACCCTAGGGATGTGCCCCAAGGTTGTATCCTTTGTCCTCTCTTTTAGTATTTTAAGATAAGAATATAGAAGACATAAAATAGCAGATTTAATGGATAATGAAAATGAACCTGGGTATGATATGAAATTAGGACCAGAAGCCTCTGTTAACGTAAAGGCTAAAAAAAAAAATGTTAAGACAGGGTGTCTAAATGAATAAATTTATGGACTGAAGGGTAGAAAGCTAGAAAGTGTTAGTCCTGGCCGGGCACGGTGGCTCACGCCTGTAATCCCAGCACTTTGGGAGGCCCAGGCAGGTGGATCACTTGAGGTCGGGAGTTTGAGACCAGCCTGTGGCCAACATGATAAAACCCTACTAAAAATACAAAATTAGCCAGGTGTGGTGGTGGGCACCTGTAATCCCAGCTACTGGGGAAGCTGGGGCAAGAGAATCACTTGAACTCAGGAGGAGAGGTTGCAGTGAGCCAAGATCACTGCACTCCAGCCTGGGCAACAGAGCGAGGTTCTGAAAGAAAGAAGGAAAGAAGGAAAGACGGAAGGAAAGAAGGAAAGAAAGAAAAAGAAAGAAAGAAAGAGAAAGAAGAGTCAGAAAACATTGAAAGGCTTCCATTTCTTTTGTGAAAGGCATATGTGAGGAGGGAGGGAACAGGGGCATCTAGAGGACTGAGAAGAATTAGGAAGATGTGAATTGCTGATACAGAGGATAGAAGAGAAATCCGACTGGAAACATAGTGGAAGTGTTGAGATTTAAATTTACAAATAGCAAACAGTACATTTGTACAGTTCTTTGTAATAGATATCTATAGTTTAAAAGTAATTCCATTATCTACTGTCAATTTTCTTTTTTGTTTTGTTTTGAGACAGAGTCTTGCTCTGTCACCCAGGCTGGAGTGCAGTGGCACGATCTCAGCTCACTGCAACCTCTGCCTCCCAGGTTCAAGCAATTCTCCTGTCTCAGCCTCCTGAGTAGCTGGGACTATAGGCACCCACCACTACACCCGGCTAATTTTTGTATTTTTAGTAGAGACGGGGTTGCACCATGTTGGCCAGGCTGGTCTCGAACTCCTGACCTCAGGTGATCTGCCCGCCTTGGCCTCCCAAAATCCTGGGATTACAGGCGTGAGCCACCGTGGCCGGCCCTACTGCCAATTTTCAAATGTGAATGACTTGTCATATGTATATATATACATATATGCTAGTCAGGGTTATTGCACAGTCTGAGGCTAGGGTCAGGGCTTGGTCTGGGTTGGAGGCACTGGTCAGCCTGTGACCAGGGTTTAGTTTGAAGGGTAAGGAATCAGTCCTGCCTTCCTCCCCAAACTTAGTCCCCAGGAAAAGGAACCATTAAGTCCATTTGCGTTAATATGAGCTTGAAGAATCAGACTGGAAAATTGTTTCAAAGGAGGAACACACACACACACACACACACACACACACAGACACACATGCATTTGAGAAGGAGTCTCTTTATGTTGCCCAGGCTGGGCTCAAACTCCTGGGCTCAAGCTATCCTCCCGTTCAACCTCCAGAGTAGCTGGGACTACCAGCATGTGCCACCACTCTCAGCTCATTTATATTTTAACAGAGACTTTTGGTCCTAGTTTCAGAGAATATTCATGACCAACCTCTTTAGATATATTCTTTGTTTTTTTCTGAGATGGAGTCTTGCTTTGTCGCCCAGGCTGGAGTGCAGTGGAGCGATCTCGGCTCACTGCAACCTCTGCCTCCCGGGTTCAAGCGATTCTTCTGCCTCAGCCTCCTGATTAGCTGGGACTACAGGCGCACGCCACCATGCCTGACTAATTTTTGTATTTTTAATAGAGACGGGGTTTCACCATGTTGGCCAGTCTGGTCTCAAATTCCTGACCTTGTGATCCACCCACCTTGGCCTCCCAAAGTGTTGGGATTACCGGTGTGAGCGCCTGGCCAATATAAGATATTCTTAAATTGTCAGTTACATTATTATTTTTAAAAGACTAGCTGGATGTATTAGTCTGTTCTCACGGTGAGAACAGACTAATGTTCACTGGGTAAGACATACCTGAGACTAGGTAATTTATAAAGGGAAGAGGTTTAATTGACTCACAGTTCCACAGGGCTGGGGAGGCCTCAGGAAACTTACAATCATGGCAGAAGGGGAAGCAAACACATCCTTCTTCACATGGTGACAGCAAGGAGAAGTGCCCAGCAAAAAGGGGAAAAGCCCTTTATAAAACCATCAGATCTTGTGAGAAGTCACTTTCATGAGACCAGCATGAGGGCAACCGCCCCCATGATTAAATTACCTCCCTTCAGTTCCCTCCTATGACACATGGAGATTATGGGAACAAGATGAGATTTGGGTAGGGACACAGCGAAATCATATCACTGAATATTTTAATAAAATATATCAAGTACACTGACTTAATGACTGAAAAGGGACAGGGTTAGTCCAGATGTGACCCACCTCAGTATAAAAAAAAAATTGCAACTTAGTTACAATCATATAATTAGAGTTATCACTTTCATATGCACTGTGTGGTCTGGTGGATTATTTTATAAGCATCTATTGTTACACAGCACTGAGGCTTCTTTAACATGGTCAACTAATTTAGTTTAAATGCAATAGCTTCCTTGTTTACTTAATTTTATTTCATTTATTTTCTTTTTGAGATATTTAAGCGGAGTCAATATTTTGTCCTTATCCTTCAAGATATATATGTATATATTTTTTCTACTTCCCTTCTTCCCTCAGGATATATTTTATCTATTTATTTTTGAGACAGAGTCTTGCTCTGCCACCCAGGCGGGAGTGCAATGGCACAATCTCGGCTTACTGCAAACTTCCACCTCTTGGGTTCAAGCAATTCTCCTGCCTCATCCTCCCGAGTAGCTGGGATTACAGGCACCTGCCACCACACCCAGCTAATTTTTGTATTTTTAGTAGAGACAGGATTTCACTATTATGGCCAGGCTGGGCTTGCATGCCTAACCTCAGGTGATCCGCCCACCCCAACATCCCAAAATGTGGGGATTACAAGCGTGAGCCACAGTGCCTGGCCAGGATACATTTTAAATAACGGCAAGGGCTAATGCCTTTGATAGCAGGACTGTTTAAAGTCTACTACAGACGTATAAAGTCAATATGAATTCACAATGAAATGTAATTTATTGCTGATTTAATAAATGTGTGACTTTGATGTGCATGAAAAAATAACATGGATTGATCATTTGACATGATTTTTTTCAGGAGCTGTTAAGGCATTAAAGACAACAAAATGTTCCTGCAAATGAATTTTTTATTTTTTATTTTTTTTATTTTTATTTATTTATTTTTTTTGAGATGGAGTCTCGCTCTGTCACCCAGGCTGGAGTGCAGTGGCGCGATCTCGGCTCACTGCAACCTCTGCCTCCCGGGTTCATGCCATTCTCCTGTCTCAGCCTCCTGAGTAACTGAGACTACAGGCTCCCGCCACCACGCCCGGCAAATTTTTTGTGTTTTTAGTAGAGACGGGGTTTCACCGTGTTAGCTAGGATGGTCTCGATCTCCTGACTTCATGATCCGCCCGCCTCGGCCTCCCAAAGTGCTGGGATTACAGGTGTGAGCCACCGTGCCCGGCCAACCTGCAAATGAAATATTAAGACTGTTAAATTTAAATTAAATTTAGCTTTTTTTTTTTTTTTTTACAAGGTCTTACTGTCACCCAGGCTGGAGTACAGTGGCAGGAACACAGCTCACTGCAGCCTTGACCTCCTGGGCTCAGGTGATTCTCCCACCTCAGCCTCCCGAGTAGCTGGAACTACAGGTTCCTGGCTAATTTTTAAATTTTTTGTAGAGAAGAAGGTCTCAAGAAGGTCTCACTATGTTGCCCAGACTGCTCTCAAACTCTGGGGCTCAAGCTATCTGGCACACCTTGGCCTCCCAAAGTGTTGGGATTACAGGTGTGAGCCACTGTGCCTGGCCAAATTTAACTTTTTTTTTTTTGAGACAGAGTCTCGCCCTGTCACCCAAGCTGGAGTGCAGTAGCATGATCTCGGCTCACTGCAACCTCTGCCTCCCGGTTCAAGCAATCCTCTTGCCTCAGCCTCCCGCGTAGCTGGGATTACAGGCCCGTGCCACCATGCCTGGCTGGCTAATTTTTGTATTTTTAGTAGAGACGGGGTTTCACCATGCTGGCCAGGCTGGTCTTGAACTCCTGACCTCGTGATTCACCCACCTTGGCCTCCCAAAGTACTGGGATTACAGGCATGAGCCACTGTGCCCAGCCCAAATTTAACTTTTATTGTGTTGCTTGTACTCATGTTTTCCCCCAGGAAATTAATTTCTAAAATAATCATGGATATTAACAAAAAATTGTATTTCAAAAATGAAACATCAAAAGAAGGCACAGGGCCTTCCTGTGTTTTTGTGAAATTCTACCTTATGGGTAGGTCCCACCTCTGCCAACTTATAAACCCTGTCTTGCTTCCTGGTCCTCACTACCTACTCCCCAAACTCAACTGTTTTCTCTGTAAGGTCAAAGACTCTGTCTTTTGTACTGTTGAATCCCCCAGGCCTAATACAGTTAACAAGTGCATAGCAGATTCCAACCTGTTTTTGAATAAAGGAATGATATTCACACAAACACTGCTGCCATATCCACCCTCTACTAGGAAGGGGGAGCTAATGAGGTCAGAAATAATTAAGGGGCAGGAGAAGGAGGCTTGGATAATAGTGTGTGTATACATTTATCCTCATTCTGAAATTGAATAGTTCGTGCCCATTTTGCAGAAAAAAAGAAAGGAGACTTAGGGCCAGCTGGCCAAGGCCCAGGAACTTTCCCTGGAATGAGAGTCATAGAGTCTCCATGTTGAAGCAGAGATCATCAGTTCAAACTCTCATTTTACATATGGAGAGATAGAGGATAAAGTGACTTCTCCCTGCCATCCCCAACCCCCTCAATATAAGATCTGGATTACACAGAAAGGAGTCAGACAAAGTAGAATTCCCGGCTGTTTATTAGCCATACCCTCTGCACCTCCCCATACCATACTAAGTAACTCAATCTCCCCCTAGAAGAGTTCCAGAGATAGGAAGCAAAGGTGGGATGAGGAAGCAGAGCCCAAGGCTGATCAGCCACACTCCTTACCAGATGTTGGTTTCATCTGCACCCCCAACCTCTCTGGTCCGTAACAATAAAACGGACTACTTGCTTTCCCTAAATCTTCCTCCACTCTACCCTTGCCTCAGGCGAGTAAACTAGAGGCCAAGGACTAGGGTTGGAGGAGGTATCAGGCTTCTATCCCAGCATCCAGCTTATTGCTATCAGAAGAAAGATGGCCATCCAGGCTCCTGCAGGAAAGAAAGAAATGATTATAAAACAGAATTAAGTGGCATTGAGAGCAGGGGAAAGTTTTTAGGCTTAGATATTCCCCTTTAGGGAATTATTTAGAAATCCATTCATTCATTCAACAAGCTTTCTTGGGACTGACTGTGTGTAAGTTAAATTGGGGGTGGGGAGGATGGGGATGAAAGGCACTGTCTAGTTCAGTGTGGACCCTACTCAGCCACCTTCACCTGTCCTTGTTACCTGTCTGGCTCTGTATCTTGAATTTTCTTTTTTCTTTTAGAGACAGGGTCTCACTCTGTCTCCCAGGCTGGAGTGTGGTGGCGCCATCATAGTTCACTGCACCCTCAAACTCCTGGTCTCAAGCGATCCTTCTGCCTCAGCCTCTCAAGTAGCTAGGATTACAAGCATGTGCCATGATGCCCAGCTAATTTTTAAATTTTTTATAGAGACAGCATCTTGCTGTGTTGTCCAGGCTGGTGTCAAACTCCTGGCCCCAACCACTCCTCCCACTTTGGTCTCGCAAAATGCTGGGATTACAAGTGTGAGCCACTGCCTGGCCTGTATCTTGAATTTTCACCTCCTACCTGCTTGCCCCTGTATCTTGAATTTTCAATCATTTCTGGATAGACTCAGGTTCTGATGAAGGATAAACCACCAGCCCCACAATGACAAGTGCCATGTACTGTTGAGACCCAAGAAGCTGAGACTCAAATAAGTTAACTGCCGGGCATGATGGCTCACACCTATAATCCCAGCATTTTGGGAGGCTGAGGCAGGCAGATCGTCTGGGGTCAGGAGTTCGAGACCAGCCAGGCCAACATGGTGAAACCCTCCCTCTACTAAAGTACAAAAATTAGCTGGGCATGGTGGTGCGTGCCTGTAATCCCAGATACTCGGGAGGCTGAGGCAGGAGAATGGCTTGAACCCGGGGGGCAGAGGTTGCAGTGAGCTGAGATCACGCCACTGCACTCCAGCCTGGGCATCAGAGTGAGACTCTGTCTCAAAAAAAAAAAAAAAAAAAAGAAAGAAAAAAAAAAAGGTTAACTGACTTCTCTCAGCTCGTATAGAGTGGAGCAGAAACAAAATCCAAAACCAGCACCTGCCAAGACCCAGCAGCGTGTATCCTCAGACCCTGGTGCAACCATCAGAACTTCATCACAGCAATATCTTTGTACCAACCTGCCGAGCTTCTGCTGCTGGAGGCATTGGACTATGAAACCACATAGAAAGAGAGATCAAGCTTAAGGTGCCATTCTGGCAGGACAAGGCTAGCATTCTCCCATTATTTTATCAAGACTGGGCAAAGGGCTTGGTCTCTTTGAAACTGAGATTCAGAAGGGTGTGATGATGGACCTCCTGCCTCTAATAAGAATGGACTTAGTAGAAGATGGGCTTTCCCAAGAGGGTTGGAGTTTTTGTTTTGTTTTGTTTTGTTTGTTTTTGCTTTTTGAGACGGAGTCTTGCTCTGTCGCCCAGGCTGGAGTGCAGTGGCAAGATCTTGGCTCATTGCAAGCTCCGCCTCCCGGGTTCACGCCATTCTCCTGCCTCAGCCTCCCGAGTACCTGGGACTACAGGGGCCCGCCCCCACGCCCGGCTAATTTTTTTTTTTTCCTGTATTTTTAGTAGAGATAGTGTTTCACCTTGTTAGCCAGGATGGTCTCGATCTCCTGACCTTATGATCCGCCCACCTCGGCCTTCCAAAGTGCTGGGATTACAGGCGTGAGCCACCGCGCCCGGCGAGGGTTGGGGTTTTGAAGGACCATTATGGAATAGAAAGAAGGGAGAGACTGTTTCTAGATCATTAAGGAAGATTTACCAAAAAAGTTTGGCACGAGGGACAGCCTGGGAGAAGAGTGATCTGGTGTGACAGGAAAGGTGAGAATGGAAGGAGACAGGCAGAGAAGGCTCAGACTTGAAGTTGACTGAGTGAGACCGGTGAGGAGAGCAGAGGGGAAGCCGAGGAGGACATGGGCTTGGGGAGGAGACTTGCATTTAGGGAAGAGTGGAGGGCATGAAGGAAGGAGGGGACAGAGCAGGTCGGTAGGAGGCTCTGGAAGAGGAGTCAGGGAGGCCCCAGAAATGATCCATTTACCGCTTATTCGGATGGGCCCGAATGCTATCCAGCTGCCGCCGCGCTCCAGGCCCTCCCGCGTTCGGATCTCCCAGGAGCGATCCCTCCCAGGCGAGTTCTTCTGACTACAAGCTTGTGGGCAACGCAAGCACAAGGGTAGCGAAGCCGGCCAGGCGAGGACTTTGCCCAAGACCCCAGGGTAGCCCCACCTCCCTCCCCGCCCCAAGTGAGTTCACCATCCACAAGACCTAGGTCTTCAAAATCCCGCCCAGTCTTCCACAAGCCCCGCCCCCGGTAGGACTGGCCAGTCCCCAGCACCGCAGTCCCCCAGGTCCCGCATCAGCACCGCTTCCGTGAAGACGGCGCAGCTGGGAGTCCGGCTACCCAGCCTGCCCGGCAGGAACTGCTTTGCAGGCAAGGCTGCGGCGGCTGCGCAGGAGGTCCCGGGGCTGCCCACTCACTGGTTGGCATGGGCGTCTTGCCCGCGTGTCACACAGGGTCACTCGGCCGTGCAGGTACAGTGTATCGCTGGTCGAGAAGCGGATCAGGTTGAAGGCCAAGGTCACCTCCAGAGAGGCCCCGTTGGCCCGCAGGCCCTGGAGCAGCCGGTTGCTGACGGGGCAGCTGTGGGGAGAGGCAGCGTCAGGGGCCCGCGGTGCCGATGGATGAACACCGAGCACCGTTGCCCACTTTTTACGTTTGCTTGTATAGGTGCAGATGCTGGTTTCATGCTGAGAACTTTACATGGATTGTTTCATTTCATCCTCACCGAACCCGTGAAGAAGACAATACTTTTGCCCCCCACCACCCCTTTTTTAAAGATGAGGAAACTGAGGCTCAAACTGAGGTTCAAAGAGCGTTGCCCAAGGTTCTGCAGGGAGCAGCCTGGCCCCAGCGCCCGCCCACACCCTTAATCACTGGGTTCTATATCCTCCTGACAAGGGAGGAATGACAGGCGAGGACAGGTTTGGCCGTGGTGTGTTTCAGAGCCTGGACTCTGGAGACTGATGGTGTGTCCTGGTTGAAGTCCCCTAAACTCAGAGTCTTCTCTTGTTCTGTCAGCTGTACAGTGGGGGAAATAATACTTCATAGGGTTGTTTGGAGGAATAAATAAGGTAATAAATGATTCCCTGTGCTCTGTGAAGCCTTGTTACTAAAATATGACCTAGAAGTCAGGAGACCCAACTCCTTCCCAAGAACGTTGAGGACGAACTTGAATTTACTGTCTCTGTGTTCCCAACACTTAGCAAGATCTGCAACTTATTGTGTGAACTGAGCCTCAGTTTCTCTATAAAGTGGGAATGAAAATATAACTATCTCGGCCGGGCGCGGTGGCTCACGCCTGTAATCCCAGCACTTTGGGAGGCTGAGGCGGGTGGATCACCTGAGGTCAAAAGTTTGAGACCAGCCTGGCCAATATGGTGAAACCCCATATCTACTAAAAATACAAAAATTAGCCAGGTGTGATGGCCGGTGCCTGTAGTCCCAGCTACTCCGGAGGCTGAGACAGGAGAATTGCTTGAACCTGGGAGGCAGAGGTGGCAGTGAGCCGAGATCGTGCCACTTCACTCCAGCCTGGGTGACAGAGCGAGACTCCATCTCAAAAAAAAGAAGAAAAGAAAATATAACTATCTCATAGAGTGTGTTGTGAGGCTTAAATGAGTTAATATATGTGAAGTGATTCAAACTGTGTCTGGCATAGAGTCAATGCTATGTCAGTATTAGATATTATTAGCTACTAAATATAATGAATGTCCAATATATAGCATATATATAGCACTCTGAAATGTTGTGTCTTTGTTTTTTAGTTTTATCATTGTAGGCCCTCAGTAATTGAGCAAAGAATAAAAGAAATGCATGTTATTTGTTGGCTGCAAGATCTTGGGCAGGCTTTAATCTCTGAGCCTTAATTTACTTATCTTCAAAATGGGAATGAGAGCATTATTCAAGAAACATTCACCCAGCACTTACTTTCTTCCAGTGTTTGCATGCCAGGGATACCAAGAAGAGTGACAGAATCTGTGCTCGAGGGTATAAAAGCACACAGCACAAGCCAAATCCAGGGGCTGGTCTGGCACTCACAGGAGGTTACCAGGCCTGACTGACCCTTGCCTCTTGTTCACAAAGTGGTAGGTGGCCTTAACAGCACCTGTCCTGGAGATGTTGGTGCTGGCAAAGACCTCACTGACCACCAGGGCAAATCACTGCTTATTGTCTTGAGGACTACGTAGAAGGGCATGCCAAGAGGAACAGTTCTGTTTTCAAGCAGAGTTAAGAGCTGAAGGTCTGTGAAGATGCCCAAGATGATGATGGTGTCCCCAGTGCCCAGAACATGGATGGTGCTATATCTGGAGAGGGACAGGAGTGAAACCCTCATCATGAAATCCCAGAGGGAGAGACATTCACCCACACCTTCTGCATCCGCAAGGTCACTGAGCACTGGTAACCATAGAGAATAAAGGGCGGACGGAACAAACCTGCTTACCTTCTTCCTGGTCTGCCTAAAAAGTGAGGTGCCACCTCATAGATCCCCAGACCTAGGACCCTTGAAGCTATCCACAGTAATTTACATAAACAACTTGTATGTATTCCTTCATAGAAGCATCTTTTTTTTTTTTTTAATTGAGACAGGGTCTCACTCTGTTGCCTGTCCTGGAGGGCAGTGGCATGATTATGGCTCACTGCAGCCTCCACCCCCCAGGCTCAAACAATCCCTCCACCTCAGCCTCCCAAGTAGCTGAGACTATAAGCACACACCATCAAGCCCAGCCTGAAGCATCTCTTTTCTTCCACTAATGCTTTGAATTTCCATCTAAGAGGTGCCTCTGTTTGAGCATAGGGGAGCAACATCCTGAGGGTGCTAACTCTTGTGCTTGGATTAGAGGTAGAGAGGTAGAGAACTCAGTAGGCTCCCACGGCCCAACCAGAGTGGAAGCTGATGAGGCAGAACTTACGGGAAGGAGAATACCTGGTAGGGGTGGGTCTGGCTGACATTCACCACCAGGGTATACGTGCAGCTGAAGCTGAGCATTGTGGAGTCATTGCTGATGAAGCCAGGGAGAACCTGCAGAAGCTGCACCTCCAGAGAGTACAGGGCGTGGCTGCTGTTGGTCTAGAGAGGACAAGAAGACTGCCATTACTCTCAGATCTCCAGAGAAGATGCCTTCTCCCACCCTCATTTGCTGCAAATTGTTTACTTATTTTATTTTATTTATTTTTTTAAGACAGTCTTGCTGTGTTGCCCAGGCTGGAGTGCAGTGGCACGATCTCGGCTCACTGCAACCTCCGCCTCCCCGGTTCAAGTGATTCCCGGCTGCAAGTTGTTTATTTAAATAAAAGTGATTGCTGGGCGTGGTGGCTGTAATCCCAGCACTTTGGGAGGCCGAGGCATGTGGATTGCTTGAGATCAGGAGTTCCAGACCAGTCTGGCCAATATGATGAAACCCCGTCTCTACTAAAAATACAAAAAATTAGCTGGTCATGGTGGCAGGCACCTATAATCCCAGCTATTCGGGAGGCTGAGGCAGGAGGATCACTTCAACCTGGGAGGCAGGGGTTGGAGTGAGCAGAGATCGTGCCACTGCACTCCAGCCTGGGTGACTGAGCAAGACTCTGTCTCAAAAAAAAGAAAAAAGAAAAAAAAAAGTGGTAGCTGAAGTTTACTGAGCATGGGCTGTATTCCAGGCACTGTGGCTTAACCACAATTCTCTGAGGGGAGTTATCCCATTTTACAGAAGATCAAACAGGCTTAGAAAGGTTAAAAGTCTTATCCGGGCTGGGCACTGTGGCTCACGCCTGTAATCCCAGCACTTTGGGATGCCGAGGAGGGTGGATCACCTGAGGTCAGGAGTTAGACACCAGACTGACCAACATGGAGAAACCCCGTCTCTACTGAAAATACAAAATTACCTGGGCTTGGTGGTGCATGCCTGTTATCCCAGCTACTTGGGAGGTTGAGGCAGGAGGATCGCTTGAACCTGGGAGGTGGAGGTTGCGGTGAGCAGAGATCACGCCATTGCACTTCAGCCTGGGCAACAAGAGCGAAACTCCATTATCAAAAAAAAAAAAAAAGTCTTATCCAAAGCAAGTTCTGGAGCCAGAATTCTCTGTTTCCAGGGCTTGTATGTTTGTGGTTTGTTTTGTTTTGTTTTGTTTTTGTTTTGTTTTTTTGAGACAAGTTCTCGCTCTGTCGCCCAAGCTGGAGTGCAGTGATGTGATCTTGGCTCACTACAACCTTCACCTCCAGAGTTCAAGTGATTCTTGTGCCTCAGCCTCCTGAGTAGCTGGGATTACAGGGGCACGCCACCATGCCCTGGTAATGTTAGTATTTTTAGTAGAGATGGGGTTTTGTCATGCTGGCAAGGCTGGTCTCAAACTCCTGACCTCAAGAGATCAGCCTACTTTGGCCTCCCAAAGTGCTGGGATTACCGGCATGAGCCACCACACCAGGCCTCTGATTCCAAGGTTCATGTTCTTAACCTCTGGGCCAGTGGTTCTCAAGTTTCAATGTGCATTTTAGAATCCCTTGGGAAAAATAAAAGAATCACTGGAGTGCTTATTAAAATGCCAAGTCCTGGTCTCTATCCCAAGATTTGAATATCTTTTCAGATTTTGTTTATATAGGTTTTTGTTTGTTCGTTTGTTTGTTCTTAGAGACAGGGTCTCCCTATGCAGCCTAGGCTAGATTTGAACTCCTGGCCTCAAGCTATCCTCCTGCCTCAGCTTACAGGGTAGCTGGGATTACAGGTGTGCACCATCATTCCCAGCTTATCTAGGTTTTTTGTTTGTTTATTTGTTTGTTTTAAGAATCAAAATGGCCCACAGTAGGCGTCCGCCCCGCAGGTGGAGTTGAGTAGGGCCAGCTCTGCGCTTGGCGAAGAGCTCGGGCTCCTCTAAGTTCACGTCGAGGCGCAGAGGGTCAGGTCTTGACTTAAGGCCAGCCTTCAGGAGCCAGGGACAGCCTGAGCTGAGGATACCTGGCGTGGGATGTGGGGGCCTGCCGCCCTCCACAGGCATTTCCTCTCCCCTCGCAACGGGTTCCTGTGGCTGGTCGCCCCCACAGCAAGTCTAACTACTGATGGGCGTCGGTCCCTGCTCGCCATTCCTGCCTTAGGGACTGAGCCCTTGGAGAATGGCTCTGCGGGGTTCAGGCCACCGTGTAAGGTGTGGGCACGGTGCTCTTCAGGAGTTCACAACGGGACAGAGCTTGTATTGTTCTCCTTGCATCGTGGTTTTTCCTATAGGTGGAAATCTTACTGACATCGTGGCACACAGAAAGATCACCATCCGGGAGCTGGCGGGGGTGGTGCATGGGCCCCATCTGGTCCAGTTACTATGGAAACTGTCATTCTCTCCTGGTAGGTTGTAATCCTATATGGGCTTCCTTTAGGGAAGTGTGTCTACATTTCTGTAATGTCCAGTCCCCAACCTTGCTGTGTGTAGAACGGCATTTTGGTTATTTAGTGACTATACTAGTCATGGAAACAGGTCCTACGCTAGTGTTGCTTCCTGCTGGGCACCCCATCTGGTTTCTGGTGCTTGCGCTCCCAGGCCCACGGTAGGAGCTCACACAGGGCTTGCTGAGGGCAGGGCTGCTGCTCCGCAGAGAACAGACTTAGCTCTCTGTGTTGCTCCCTGGTACGTCTGTGTTTATGTTGGATTTACACGTGCCTCTGGTTGGTCCCATCTTGACAAGACCTGTGCCCCAGATTCCAGTATGGAGAACTGATGGCCACATGAGGACAGAGACGAGTGACACCGGGTCGTCCTCATAAAACTCGATTCCCTCTGCTTCTGCCTGTTCCCAAAGCTTTGTTTAAAGCTGTTTTGGGCTGGGTGTGGTGGCTTACTCCTGTAATCCCAACACTTTGGGAGGCCGAGGTGGGCGAATCACGAGGTCAGGAGATGGAGACCATCCTGGCTAACATGGTGAAACCCCGTCTCTACTAAAAGCACAAAAAATTAGCCGGGCGTGGTGGTGGGCATCTGTAGTCCCACTTACTCGGGAGGCTGAGGCAGGAGGATCACTTGAACCCGGGAGGCGGAGGTTGCAGTGAGCCGAGATTGTGCCGCTGCACTTGGAGTGAGACTCCGCCTCAAAAAAAAAAATGCAGTTTTGCTCTCCCAGTGCCAGGTCAGTGAGGCCCAGGGGAGGAAGTTTGGCAGCAGGGCGTTGCTGCCATCTTTTTCTTTTTCCCCAGTTCATGATGGACGCCTCTGACCCCACCCAGCTCTCTGCATCCTGTGTGCAGCTCTTAGGTCTCCTTTCTTCAGAACAATTTGCAGAAGCATTGGTGCTGATACTACTTTTCAATAAAATGTATGTGTCTCTGAGCTGAGAGGGAGCACAGCAGGGGCGGGGGATCCCTGGGAGTACAGCTAGGAGCATGGCTTGGTAGGGAGGTGGTGTGGCTGGGGATCCGGGGCAGGTGTGTGGCAGCCACTACTCTGATGCGGCACTTCTTTGACTCCAGCGACCTACCCTGTTACATGTCCACGGAGGAGATGAAGTTATTAATCAGGCTTCCAGACATCATTGCTTGTGCCAAGCAGAATATCATCACGGCAGAAATCAGCGCCCGTGAAGGCACTGGCTTGGCAGGGGTGCTGGCCTGGCTCCAGGCCACCCACAAAGCCAACGGTTGACTGCATGGCAGAGGCGTGGCTGGCCTGCGCTGGGGAGAGGTGGCAGAGGGCAGTATGGCTTTGCTGCCAATAGTTTCTTCTCACAGGGGCAGAATAACCCAAAGTAACCCTACATGATGGGGCTCTGTGCTGAGATGCAATGATGGGTAAACTGAGGCATGCAGAGATGGAAGTTGACATCTGGCCTCTGAAAAAACTGTCCCCAGGGGCCAGGCACGGTGGCTCACGCCTGTAATCCCAGCACTTTGGGAGGTCGAGGCGGGTGGATCCCCTGAGGTCAGGAGTTTGAGACCAGCCTGACCAACATGGAGATACCATGTCTCTACTAAAAATACAAAATTAGCTGGGCATGGTAGCACATGCCTGTAATCCCAGCTACTCGAGAAGCTGAGGCAGGAGAACCCCTTGAACCCAGGAGGCGGAGGTTGCAGTGAGCCAAGATCACGCCATTGCACTCCACCTGGGCAACAAGAGCGAAACTCCATCTTAAAAAAAATAAAAACCTGTCTCCCCCCTCCCCCCAACCCCAAAAAAAAGGACCGGGTATGGTGGCTCATGCCTGTAATCCCAACACTTTGGCAGGCTGAGGTGGGTGGGTCACTTTAGGTCAGGAGTTCGAGACCAGCCTGGCCAACATGGTGAAGCCTCGTCTCTACTAAAAATACAAAAATTGAGCCAGGCACGGTGGCACGTGCCTGTAATTCCAGTTATTTCAGAGGCTGAGGCATGAGAATCACTTGAACCCAGGAGGCAGACGTTGCAGTAAGCAGAGATCATGCCACTGTGCTCCAGCCTGGGCAACAGAGCAAGACTCTGTCTCAAAAAAAAATATTTGTTTTGTTACTATAAATAAAGCAGTGTATGAAAAAGAACACTGAGAGGGTGGGTGCAGTGGCTCATGCCTGTAATCTCAGCACTTTGAGAGGCCGAGGCGGGTGGATCATGAGGTCAGGTGTTCGAGACCAGCCTGGCCAACATACTGAAACCCTGTCTCTACTAAAAATCAAATATTAGCTGGGCGTGGTGGCAGGCACCTGTAATCCCAGCTACCTGGGAGGCTGAGGCGGGAGAATCACTTGAACCTGGGAAGCGAAGGTTGCAGTGAGCCGAGATCATGCCATTGCACTCCTGTCCAGGCAACAGTGCGAGACTCTGTTTAAAAAAAAACAAAAACAAACAAAAAAACAAAACAAAACACTGAGAGAGTTCTGGGAGCCTAGCCATGGACTTAGCCATTCCATGTTGAAACTGCCGATTCTATTCCATAAGCTAAACAAGAGACCCCATGAATCCCTGGGTGGCAGAACCAGAGACAAAGGCAGACAACTGGGAGGAACTAAACCATCTAAACCATCTTTTTTTTTTTTTTTTTTTGAGATGGAGTCTCCCTCTGTCACCCAGGCTGGAGTGCAATGGCATGGTCTCGGCTCACTGCAACTTCCGCCTCCCGGGTTCAAGCAATTCTCCTGCCTCAGCCTCCTGAGTAGCTGGGACTACAGGTGCCTGCCACCACCCCCGGCTAATTTTTGTATTTTTAGTGGAGACAGTGTTTCACCATATTGGCCAGGCTGGTCTTGAACTCCTGACTTCATTATCTGTCCGCCTTGGCCTCCCAAAGTGCTGGGATTACAGGTGTGAGCCAGTGCGCCCGGCCTAAACCATGTCTTTAGGACAAACTCTGATTGTTAAACTGAGCCTGGGGAGCCCCGGCACCCCCTTGAAGGGATGTGAAAGCCAGTCTATGTGTTGAGGGGAACTGACCTGGCAGGGCACTCTCCCCCATTCAGTCAGAACTGCTCTACTTCTACGTATTTATTTTTATATTTGGCTTTTATGTAAGACCCCTCCCAAAGAAAGGAGGTGGCAGCATCAGTGAGCAGTGAGGAGCACAAACCACTCTGTAATAGCTAGCCGTGTGATTTGGGAAAATCCCTCAACATGACTGGGCCTTCCACTGTAGCAGGACAAGCTGCAGACAAAACTTCTTAGACACCGGATTAAAGAAGGAAGAGGTTTTTATTCGGCCGGGAGCATCGGCAGATTCACGTCTTAAGAGCCAAGCTCTCCGAAAGAGAAATTATTTTTAAGGGCTTACAACTTTAATGGGTCTACGTAAAACGGTCATGATAGATCAAGTAAGTGTGAGAACCTGACTGGGGGCTACATACATCAGCTAACAGAACAAAAAGTTTTACAGTGCTTTCTTATGCAATGTCTGGAATTTACAGATAACACCAGTAGTTTTGGTGAGGGGTTATTATTATTATTATAACTACCAGGGCCAGGTGGTGGCACCAAGGTCGTCTAGCTATTTATCTTACTTCTGCTTCTTTCTTACTTTTTGCTTTCTCTTTTTTCTCCTGTCTTATAAACTAGGGAAAAGGGGAGGTGGGGGAGAAGCTGGGAAGGACAACAGGAGAAGTGGTGGTCTCATTCCATACCACTACTATCTTTCAAATGGGAACCTCACAGGATTACTGTGAAAATTTAGTGAGATAATGCCTGTAAAAAAGTATTTGACCATGACACATGGCACATGGTAAGAAATTAATAAATATTGATTGTGGCTGTGATTGTTATTATTTTAGAGGGTTCCATGGCTGACAACAGTTTGGAAGCCAATAGCTCAATCCATCAAACATGGTATCACCCACAAAGGTGTTCCCAGTCTGAAGGGGGACAACACAGTCTTTTCTCTCAAAAAGACTGGTCCTGATGGCTGGGATTTGACTCCATTCCAGAGAATTTCTTAGTCAAATGGAAATAAAGTCATGACTGGTGGCCAATCACTCCTTTCCCGGTCCCTCCCACCATCAGGTGACCTCTCCCAGTTTGCTTACAGAGAGGCGAAGTCCACAGGTACCCTCCTTCTTCTCTAACAGGAAGACCTGGACACGGAGACCCTGTTCTATCTTGCTGATGCTGGAGCATCCTGAGAAGGCATCTTTCATCAGCATCCAGCGGCGAGTCTGCAGGATGCAGCTGCTCAGGACCACCTCGATTTTCTGCGGCCAGCAGTGTAGGCTCACCGACACCCTGGACAGTTCTGTAGGAGGACAAGAGCCAGGGCAGGAGCCTCCTGAGGCTCCTGGGATGATGCCACGGGAGGAGATTCGAGTTCTAATGTTGGGGGAGGAGACATTGTTGGGATATTAGCCCAATTCGCAAACACTTCCTTAAACAAGGACTCTCCGCCGGGTGTGGGAGCTCACGTCTGTAATCCCAGCACTCTGGGAAGCTGAGGCAGGCAGATCACCTGAGGTCAGGAGTTTGAGACCAGCCTGGCCAACATGGTGAAACCTGGTGTTTACTACAAACACAAAACTTAGCCGGACGCAGTGGCACATGACTGTAGTCCCAGCTACTCTGGAGGCTGAGGGTGGAGAATCTCTTGAACCCAGAGGCGGAGGTTGCAGTGAGCTGAGCTTGTGCCACTGCACTCCAGCCTGGGCGACAAAGCAAGACTCTGTCTAAAAAAAAACAAGGACTCTCCCTCACAGCCATAGTTGTTGCCCTGTGGGACCCTGGCCCCTGGCCTTAGCTGATCCACTCAGAATCTCTTTCCCAGAAATTAGGAACTGGGCCTCAAAGGAGGCAGCATAAAGCTTGAGAGGTGAGGTGGTCGTCTTCTGTCATGTGGGCTGGGAGGTGGGAGGGACAGAGTGGGTGCAGGTGTGGAATGGGAGGAGCAAGACTGAGTGGAGAGAGAAGCAGCCCCCTGGTTCCCACTACATTCCCAGATCCAGTTCCAGTCCTTGGAGAACCTGGCTGGAGCCTGCCCTTGGCCTCCGTGAGACACTGTTTTTCTTTAGCCCACTTGGTTTCTGTTACTTGTCTGGCAAGATTATTTTTTGAGATATTAATTTGTTAAGTTCTCTGTGATTTTCCTCCTATTCCAATCTGGAAGCCAGGCCTTGTAGTTTTTTCGAGGGGCCTAGACTGCTTGGAGTCAATGACTCTTTCAGTCTGGAGAAGTCTAAACTCATGGAAGAGAGCCCTGAGGGAAGGATGGGGGTGCTTGAGAACCTGGAGGGAGGGGCTTCAGAGTCTGCAGGTCCAGTTTCATGAGCCAACAAAGTTTGTTTTATTTTGTTTCATGTTTTCTTTTTCTTTTCTTTTTTTTTTTTTTTTTTTTTTTGGAGATGGATCTCACTCTGTCGCCCAAGCTGGAGTGTAATCTTGGCTCACTGCAATATCCACCTCCTGGGCTCAAGTGATCCTCCCACCTCAGCCTCCTGAGTAGCTGGGACTACAGGCATGCCACCATGCCTGGCTAATTTTTGTATTTTTTGTAGAGATGGGGTTTCGCCATGTTACTCAGGCTGGTCTCAAATTCCTGGACTCAAGCAATCCACCCACCTTGGCCTCCCAAAGTGCTGGGATTACAGGCGTGAGACACTGCGCCTGGCCTCATGTTTTCCTTTTTTTTTTTTTTTTTTTTTTTTTTTGAGTAAGGGTCTCTCTCTGTCACCCAGGCTGAAATGCAGTGGCATACTCTTGGCTCACTACAGCCTGAAAGTCCTAGGCTCAAGTGATCCTCCCACCTGCTTCCAAGTAGTTGGGACTACAGGTGCATGCCATCACACTGGCTCATTTCAATATTTTTGGTAGAGACAGGGTCTCCCTATGTTGGCTAGGCTCATGTTTTCAATTTTTAAAAAACATTTATGTATTTTACTCAAGCCAATTAGAGTTGGGTTTCTGCTACTTGCAACACAAAGTATCCTAACTGATACATGCCAAATACCAGTGCTATTTGAGTGATGAATGAGAAGCTAATACTTAACCTTCCCTTCTTTTTGCATCTGCTCTCTTCATACTTTCTATTGAATTTTGAATGAACTGCTTAAAAGTTAGTAATTTAAAAGTAAAGTTATGGCCGGGCGCGGTGGCTCACGCTTGTAATCCCAGTACTTTGGGAGGCCGAGGCAGGTGGATCACGAGGTCAGGAGATCGACACCACGGTGAAACCCCGTCTCTACTAAAAATACAAAAAATTAGCCGGGAGTGGTGGTGGGCGCCTGTAGTCCCAGCTACTCAGAGAGGCTGAGGCAGGAGAATGGCGTGAACCCGGGAGGCAGAGCTTGCAGTGAGCCGAGATTGCACCACTGCACTCCAGCCAGGGCGACAGAGCAAGACTCCGTCTTAAAAAAAAAAAAAAAAAAAAAAAAAAAAGTTAACTTTGGGAGCCCAAGGCGGGAGGATCGCTTGCATCCAGGCATTGAAGAGCAGGCTAGGCAACATGGGGAGATTCCCTTTCTACCAAAAAAAAAAAAAAAAAAATTAAAATTAGCCAGGCATGGTGGCATGTGCCTATAGTCCCATTTACTCAGAAGGCTGAAGTGGCAGGATCGCTTGAGCCCCTGAGGTCGAGACTGCAGTGAGCTGTGATTGTGCCACTGCTCTCCAGCCTGGGCCACAGAGCAAGACCCTGTCTCAAAAAAAAAAAAAAAAAAAAAAAATGGAAAACTGGCTGGACACAGTGGCTCATGCCTGTAATCCCAGCACTTTGGAAGGCCGAGGCAGAAGGATTGCTTAAGGCCAGGAATTTGACACCAGCCTGGGCAATAGCAAGAGCCTTGTCCCTACAAAAAAGAAAAAGAAAAGTAGCCAGGTGTAGTCCCCGCTACTGGAGAGGCTGAGGCAGGAGGACCACTTGAGCCCAGTAGTTTGAGGCTGCAGTGAGCTATAATTATGCCACTATACTCCAGTCTAAGTGACAGAGTGAGATCCTGTCCTAAAAATAATAAAATAATAATAATAATGGTAAAAAGTAAAACATAATGGAAATACCAATGCAAAACACTTCTGGACTTGTTTTATTACTTTGAATTTAAATATAATTTTCTTTCTTTTTTTAAAGTTTACTGTTTCTATTTTGGCAGGCATATTTGGTCAGAGGGATGAGCTGTAACTTAAGAGCAGATGCTGCTAGGTGCAGTGGTTCACGCCTATAATCCTAGCATTTTAGGAGCCTGAGGTGGCAGGATCACTTGAACCCAGGACTTCAAGACCATCCTGAGCAACATAGTGAGACCCCATCTCTACGAAAAATTTTAAAAATTAGCTGGGTGTGGTGGTGTGCACCTGTAGTTGCAGCTACTCAAGTGGCTGAGGTGAGATGATTGCTTCAACCCAGCAGGTCCAAGCTGCAGTGATCTGTGATCACGCCACTGCACCCCAGCCTGGGCAACAGAGCAAGACCCTGTCTCAAAAAAACAAAACAAAAAAAAGAGCAGATGCTTTATATTCATCAATGCGTATTGTTGAGAGGAGGGGGAGTTTGTCAGTCACGTAACATTCTGTTGTTGCAGTCAATTGCAGTCAATCGTATATTGTGATACAAAGTGCCAAATCATATTAATAATAGCTGGTAGGTAAATGCAGTCGTATACCTAGCGAAAGAAAATGAGACACAGTTCAAACCCAGTTTATCTGGCAGAGCCCATGTTCTTCTTACCCACAGGGGGAAAGAAATAACACAAAAGGAAAAGCTGTCTCATTCTCAATGTGTAAAAACTCGATGATGTACGTCATATTTTCTGTGGAGGGGCACATGCAGCATGTACAAGTTGGCACATAACCCTGGTTTTACTGAGAGTCTGCTGAGGTAGTGACAACCCTCTAATGGGCCAGCATCTGCCTCAAGGCTTGACTAAAAACCACCTGGATTGGACTTCTACCTTGCACAGCCCTGCTTAGCTCCCCTGCTCTGCAATAGATATCCCAAGGTGCTGCATGAACATTCCTTAGAATGAGGATTCTAGGAACAAATAATCTTAGGAAATATATGCTATAATCTGCTGCTAGGAAGTCACAGGAAACAGTGGAATATTAAAGGCTCTGAAAAGTTCTTCAGTCGAGACACAATTTTGTTGAATCCAGCATTTCCCAAATGTATATGACAATAGAACTTTTTTTTTTAAGTGAAATGTCTATTGCAATCACATAGCACTGGTGTCCCAGGAAATACATTTTGGAAAACAGTGACCCATAAGTTAAGCACTGCCGGTTTTGCATGTAACAAAAGCTTCATCCCAAGGCAGGACTACCCAATAGACCAAGGCAGGAATGCCAAAGAAATATTTTTTAAAGGAATTAGATTTTTTTAAAAAAAGACACAATAGTCATTTTAGGAAAAGCAGAATTTTGTTAAGTATATTTTATTATATTTTATTGAAAATAGAGACAGGGGTCTGGCGCAGTGGCTCACGCCTGTAATGCCAGCACTTTGGGAGGCTGAGGCGGATGGATCACAAGGTCAAGAGATTGAGACCATCCTGGCCAATATGGTGAAACCCCCTCTCTACTAAAAATACAAAAATTATCTAGGCATGGTGGCACGTGCCTGTAATCCCAGCTACTTGGGAGGCTGAGGCAGGAGAATCGCTTGAACCAGGGAGTCGGAGGTTGCAGTGAGCCAAGATTGCACCACTGCACTCCAGCCTGGCGACAGAATGACACTCCGTCTCAAAAAAAAAAAAAAAAAAAAAGGTAGAGATGGGATCCCACTAGGTTGCCCAGGCTGATCTTGAGCTCCCACCCTCAAGTGATCCTCCCATCTCAGCCTCCCAAAGTGCTGGGATTACGGGCATGAGTCACTGCGCCCAGACTTGTTAAATTTAAATGCTTGGGGGAGGAGAGGTTAGAATTATTTCAACCGTGAAGAACATATGTTTGGGGGATATTATTATCTTTTTGCTGTCTTAGACCCAGCTTCAGGCCTGCAGAGGATGGATCTGGGAGTTTGTGGCACTGCCTGTCGGAGGCCCTGTGAACTCAGCCTTTCTGTAATATCTGCCACACTGACTTGCCCCAACAGTCAGACTTTTGCCTTAGTTTTTCCACCTGGCCTTCCAGGCCTCCGCTGGAACTACAGTTCTTGTCTTTGGTGCAGCTCCTTCCCCCAGGAAAGTTTCATCTCTGGACAGTAGCTAGAGTCCTGGGGGCTGGAGCTGAAAAATTGTGCACTCTATCCCATATGCCCAGCTGCCTGTCTTCCCACCAGAAATCACCTCTACCCAGGTGGACTCAGAAGATGCCAACGTCTTACCAAACTTCACTGGCCCTCTCATACCCTTTGGACCCTTTGAGACTTCACAGAATTATGGTGTCCACTCTGGCCCCCACCTCTTCTTTGTTTTACTCACATGAGTTCCTCAGACTTACCCGCGTGGAAGTAGTAGCTGTCATTGCACATACAAACTCCCCTGCTACCTGCATACTCATCCAAAGCACAGGCTCCAACTCTGGGACCACTACTCTGGGTGTGTTTAGGGGAGGTTTGACTGGCCCCAGTTACAGCAGAGGATTTTGTTGTTTCCGAGGACCTGGGGAGAAGGCCTGTGGAATGAGCAGCTGTCATCTCATGTGACTGGATTATAGCAGTGGCAACACTGGAGGTTGATTCTGCCAGATGGGAAGGTGTCTGTGAGACTGTGTTATGATGTGTTCCAGACAACTTGCTTATCATGGAGGTGGTTGTTGGGGATAAGGATGCAGCTGTAGTTTTTCCTTCCTGAGTCTCAGATGTAGTTGTTCCAAGAAGAGTTGTCCCGAGAGTGGTTGTGTTTAGCAAGGTAGTGTGCATAACTTCGCTGGCTGTCATGGGTGAAGATTCTTTTATGCCAGTGGTTTTGTTCAGTGCTGTTGGGGATGTAGTTATAGCTGACTTCCCAGAGACAGTGGTTGCCATGGACCCGGATGATTGAACATGATGGCCTGGCGTGCTCTTTGCTGTTGGGGATGTAGTTATAGCTGACTTCCCAGAGACAGTGGTTGCCATGGACCCAGATGATTGAACATCACTGCCTGGTGTGTTCAGTGCTGTTGGGGATGTGATTGTGTCTGATTCCTGAAAGCCAATGGACACTGATGATTGTGTCCCATTGACTGTGGTGTTTGATGCTGATGGAGTTATAATTGGAGTTTCCTGATTCTGTTTTGGGGTCTCAACTGAAGAGGCCGTGCTGGATAAAGCTGTGGTTCTTGATATCCCTCCCTGGTCCTTCAATGTAGAAGTCATGATGGAATTTGGCAGCAGTGTACCCTTGGAGGTTGTGCTGATAGTTGTGTTTAATTTCTCTTCCTGAGTTTTTTGTATTGAAGTTGTCTGCTCAGTGGACCCATTAGAGCTGCTGTTTGTGGAGAGGTTGGAGGAGCAGCTGGTGTTGTATGCTTCTGGGACTCAGATGTTGATGTCTTGTCAGTTGTTGGTGAACTGTTAAGTACAGCTGGAGAGACATTGTCTTTCCCTTTGTTAAACAGAGTTGAAGTTGTAGATGAACACAATATAATTTCCTCAGGTGCAGAGTCTTCTGTGGAGTGTATTGTTTTTGACACAACTCCCCAGATTGTAACACTGCCTGTGAAAAAACAAATAAACAGAAGGTAATCTAGACTGGGTATTGTGACTCATGCCTATAATCCCAGCACTTTGGGAGACCGAGATGGGAGGAATACTTGAGGGCAGGAGTTTGAGACCAGCCTGCTCAACATAGCGAGACCCCATCTAAGTAGAGAAAAATAAAAATTAAAAAAAGAGGCCGGGCATGGTAGCTCATGCCTGTAATCCCAGCACTTTGGGAGGCTGAGGTGGGCAGATCATGAGGTCAGGAGTTCGAGATCAGCCGGGCCAACATGGTGAAACCCCATATCTACTGAAAAAAAAAAAAATTAGCCAGGTGTGGTGTCCCATGCCTGTAGTCCCAGCTACTTGGGAGGCTAAGTCAGGAGAATCACTTGAACCTGGGAGGCAGAGGTTGCAGTGAGCTGAGATCATGCCACCGTGCTCCAGCCTGGGTGACAGAGAGAAACTCCATCTCAAAATAAATAAATAGATAAATAAATAATAAAAGAGAAAGCAATCTACCTGTTCCTTCCACCAAACCAGAGTTATTTTCAGATGTTATGACTTGTCAAATATTCTTACTGGGAGACTCCCTAAAAATAATATCAGGTCGTGCACAGTGGCTCACGCCTATAATCTCAGCACTTTGGGAGGCTGAGGCGGGAGGATTGATTAAGCCCGGGAATCTAAGGTTATAGCAAGCTCTGATTGTGCCACTGCACTCCAGCCTGGATGACGAAGTGAGACCCTATCTCTAAAATAAAATTATATATATAAAATATATATACATATAAATATATATTATATATACATATAAATATATATTATATATACATATATAAATATATATTATATATAATGTAGTGGGTGTTGATTTACATACATATGTAAATCTTACCAGCTCACATTTATGTGCCAGCTCTGTGCCAATAGATTTCAACAGATGTATACCAGGGAGAGAGAATTTTACTTGTGCAGGTAACTATGTCTCATTCCACTCAATGGCTACTCTAGACAGTGCAAGTCAGTAAAAGACAGAAATCTGTTATCTCAATTGGTGTTTGATTTCTTGATGCCTTGTTTGATATTAGTTTCCTACTGCATTGAATATGATTCTAGTATTTAAAGATACGATTTTTTTCTTTTTTGAGACAGAATCTCGCTCTGTCACCCAGGCTGGAGTGCAATGGTGTAATCTCAGCTCACTGCAACCTCAGCTTCCCGGGTTCAAGCCATTTTCTTGCCTCAGACTCCTGAGCAGCTGGGACTACAGACATGAGCCACCATGCCTGGCTAATTTTTGTATTTTTAGTAGAGACAGGGTTTTACCATGTTGCCCAGGCTGGTCTCAAACTCCTGACCTCAAGTGATCTGCTTGTCTCAGCCTCCCAAAGTGCTGGGATTACAGGGATGAGCCACTGTGCCCGGCCTAAAGATATGAATTTTTTGAACAATATGACCCCTAACTGCAAGCCGAGTGTTTCATTGAGTGTCATAGCAGTCAAGGATCATTTTGATATTGTTCAAGTGTCACCCTGCCCAGGTAAGGTGCTGCTCCAATGCACAGGCACATTAAATCCTTACAACCAACCTGTAGAAAAGGACTATTATTTCCATTTATCAAATGAAGAAACTGAGGATCAGACAGGTGAAGACATCTGTCCAAGGTCACACAGCCAGGAAGTGGTGCCACTGCATTTGAAACAAAGTCCATCAGACACCAGAACCCAATGCCTTCCCTACCACACTGCACTGCCTTACAAAAACACAGCTTTATTCTCATGGTTGAGCCAGCTGCTCTCTCTAGAAAGGCCCAAATCAATTATGTTGGGCTGGATTCCTTGGAAACCTTCTTCTTTCCCCTGGGTAATGGGCAGAAATAGGCCCATCACCTGATGTGCTGTTTTTGCATTCTTGGCAGTTTTCTTTCTTTCTTTCTTTCTTTCTTTCTTTTTTTTTTTTTTGAGACAGCCTCACTCTGTCACCGAGGCTGGAGTGCAGTGGCGTCATGTTGGCTCACTGCAACCTCTGCATCCTGGGTTCAAGTGATTCTCCTGCCTCGGCCTCCCAAGTAGCTGGGACAACAGGCGCATGCCACCGTGCCCTGCTAATTTTTGTGTTTTTAGTAGAGATGGGTTTTTGCCATGTTGGCCAGGCTGGTCTCGAACTCCTGGCCTCAAATGATCCACCCGCCTCAGCCTCTCGAAGTGCTTGGATTATAGCCGTGAGCCACCGTGTCCAGCCTCTTGGCAGTTTTCAAAAGGCTAACTCAGAAAATTGGAGGCTGGCCAGGCATGGTGGCTCACGCCTGTAATCCCAGGATTTTGGGAGGCTGAGATGGGAGGATCACCTGAGGTCAGGAGTTCGAGACCAGCCTGACCAACATGGTGAAACCTCGTCTTTACAAAACACACAAAATTAGCCAGGCGTGGTGGCACACACCTGTAATCCCAGCTACTTGGAAGGCTGAGATAGGAGAATCGCTTGAACCCGGGAGGCACAGGTTGCAATGAGCCAAGATCATGCCATTGCACTCCAGCCTGGGCAACAAGAGCAAAACTCAAAAAAAAAAAAAAAAAGGAAAAGAAAAGAAAAGAAAAAAAACTGGAAGTGACCCAGCCCAGGTGGCAGGCTCATTCTTTGTCCTTCCCATCGCCTAATTCTGAAGATGCACCAACCCTTCTTTTCTGGCACCATCCACACCCTCACTTTTTTTTTAGAGACAGAGTCTCAGTTGCCCAGGCTGTAGTGCCGTGGTGCAATCATGGCTCACTGCAGCCTCAAACTCCTGGGCTCAAGTGATCCTCTTGCCTCAGCCTCCTGAGTAGCTGGGACTACAAGTGCGCACCACCACACTCGACTAACATTTTTCTTTTTATTATTTATTTATTTATTTGAGATGGAGTCTCACTCTGTCACCAGGCTGGAGTGCAGTGGCGTGATCTCAGCTCACTGCAACCTCTGCCTTCTGGGTTCAAACAATTCTCCTGCCTCAGCCTCCCGAGTAGCTGGGACTACAGGCGCACCACATTGCACACACATTGCACCACACCCAGTTGATTTTTTTTTTCCTCACTCTGTCACCAGGCTGGAGTGCAGTGGCACAATCTCAGCTCACTGCAACCTCCACCTCCTGGGTTCAAGTGATTCTCCTGCCTTAGCCTCCCGAGTAGCTGGGACTATAGGCGCATGCCACCACGCCCAGCTGATTTTTTTCTTTTCTTTCTTTCTTTCTTTCTTTCTTTCTTTTTAAAGACAGATTCTCACTCTGTTGCCAGGCTGGAGTAAAGTGGCACAATCTCAGTTCACTAAAACCTCCACCTCCCGGGTTCAAGTGATTCTCTTGCCTCAGCCTCCTGAGTAGCTGGGACTACAGGCGCGTGCCACCACGCCCAGCTAATTTATTTTTTATTTTTTTAGTAGAGACAGGGTTTCTCCATGTTGGCCAGGATGGTCTTGATCTCTTGACCTCATGACCTGCCCCCCTCAGCCTCCCAAAGTGCTGGGATTACAGGCGTGAACCACTGCACCCAGCCTTCTTTTTATTTTTTGTAGAGATGAGGTCTCACTATATTACCCAGGATGGTCTCAAACTCTTGGCCTCAAGCAATCCTCCTGCCTTGGCCTCTAAAAGTGCTGGGATTGTAGGCATGAGCCACCTTGCCCAGTCCCACACCCACTTTCTTCTGGCCCTGTGCAGAGCTAAGGGATTGCAACAGGCCAGGGGAATTGGCAAGGATGCTTGGAAAGGGTAGGGGGACCTACGCTCTACACCTGGCTCTATTACTGGCTTGCTGGGTGACGCTGGGGAAGGTCTCACCTCTCTCTGGGCCTCCATGTTCCTCTTAGCCTAGTGAGGGACTTGGCTCAGTGTGGAGGAGCATTGTAAACTCTAGTCATCTGTGGGGTCCATTTGCAACAAAGATCTAGTTTGCACTGAACCTATATGTCTTGCTATAGGGGTCTCAAGTTTTTATTTGCAGGGAGGGATGTTTCCACTGAATCTGACTTTATGTTTTTTCCATATAGTTAATCAGTTATCCCTGCCCCCTTATGGAAAAGTCCATCTTTCCCCCAACCAACACCACATTATCTTACTGTTACTTTATAGTAAGCCTCAATATTTGGTCGGGTGAGTCACCCATCTTGTGCTTCAAAATTATCTTGACAGGCCGGGCGCAGTGGCTCTCACCTGTAATCCCAGCACTTTGGGAAGCCGAGGTGGGCAGATCACTTGAGGTCAGGAGTTCGAGACCAGCCTGACCAACATGGTGAAACCCCATCTCTACTAAATACAAAAAATTAGCTGGGCTTGGTGGCGCATGCCTGTACTCCCACCTACTCGGAAGGCTGAGGCAGAAGAATTGCTTGAATCTGGGAGGTGGAGGTTGCAGTGAGCCAAGATCGTGCCATTGCACTCCAGCCTGGGCAACAAGAGCAAAACTCCGTCTCAAAAAAAAAAAAAAATTATCTTGACTATTCTTGGCCTTTTGTTCTTCCTTACATATGTTAGGATCAGCTTAACAATTTCTACAAGCAACCTGTTGGAATTGTGATTGGAGGTGCCCTGCAATTATAGGTTCAGTGAGGATTGACATCTTTATGATATTGAGGTTTCCTGCCCACAGAAGCTCCCTTGAGAAGTGTGACCTGGGCTCTGAAGTCAGACCTGGGTTAGGATCTCAGTTCTGTGATGGAGGATAAGTCCCCCGTGGGGACATATCCTCTTCATACCCACTTCACTGATGGTCATGAGGATGAAATACTGCGTGTGAAGCACTCAGCACCATGCTTAGCACCTAGTAGGTACTCAATGAGTAGAACTGCTATTGGGAATGATTATCCCCTGCTGCTCCTGTCATCAGAATTGGTGTCTGCTTCCTGGACAGTTTGCCAAGGATGCTCCTGTCCCTGGTAAAAGTTATGGACTCATAGGGAGTCCCCAGAGGTCCACTGATTGTAGCTGATGGGAAACCCATCAGGTGAGACCATAGGGGTGATGAGACACACAATTTCCAGCCACCTCCCAATATCTTCCCCCGCACTGTCCTAGGAGCTCAGAATCCGGGGCCCCACTCCTAACTCAGGCTCAGTAAGGCATGGGGAGTGGTAGTTGCTCTTTGCTGGAGTAGGGAAGGGGAAGGGGAAGGGGAGAGTATGACTTCCTGGGCCCTCAGTTCCAGGCCAGTTTGGGAAGGAACTAGCCTGCTGAAACTCCAGGCTGTTAGGTTGGCCCGGATGGGAAAGACAAAGGCAGAGACAGATGAGATGACAAACAAGATGAAGGGAGTAGATAGACAAAATAGCATCCTGGAGGAGATAGATGGTCAAGGCCAGGAGCTCCATGGAGGTCACCCTGCTGTGCTCCTGACTGTAAGCTCACTGATGCTCCAAGCCTTTCAGACAGTTAGGGGTGAAGGATAGCCATACTCAAACTGTTAGCTCCTCCTGAAGACACCATCTGATCTGCCACCTTCTTCCCTCTCTGGCCAACAAGAAGAGGGGCTGAGAGGGCCCCCAGAGAAAGATGGGTGGAAAGAGTATGTAGATACTCACCAGGCAGGTTGAGGGCGCCATCTCCAGTAAGTAGCAACAGCAGCAGCAAAATCCGCTGGGTGCCCTTCTCTGTGCTGCTGATGGTCCTGGAGGGTGCTGGGAAGAAGTCCTGGCTCAAACAGGGGAATAGATTAACGGCTCCGAGACAGTAAGGCACTGCTGGCTCTGTTGCTGCCTCTCATCTGCCTACTGAGTGCACCATCCATCCCCAGGGGCCAGACTCCTTCCCAACAGACCCCAGGGGGCTTTTCAGAGTTGGAACCAATGCTGATGGGAGGACGATGGGGGGTGGGGTTTCCCATCAGCTGCAATCAGTGGACCTCTGGGGACTCCCATTCCAACTGGTGAATATCGCCACGGCCCCTAAGTGTCAGGCTTCGCTGAACAACAGGGCAGATGTCCAGGCCTTCCAGGCTATCCCCTGACACCTGCATCCCAGGGACATAGCTGATCCCATGGGTCTTCCACTTCCTGGGATAAGAGGGGATTATTTGATTTTAGAGATGGAGATCAATCTCACCCTCTCTCCATCGCACAGATGGGGAAAACAAGGCCAAGTGACTCACTGAAGGACCAGAACCGAGGTTTCCTGTCCTCCAAGGCAGCTCTTTCTATTGCCCATAACTGCCACAATTTTCTGACTCTCCCCAGATTGCATAGCTCAGGAACCTGCTGAGGCTCTCAGTGGCCTTGAGTATGAAGATCCCAAATAGGCTTCACAGGTCCTAAGTTCCCCACCAGACTTCATTCATCTGACCCGCAAAATCTTCCTCTCCTCTAGGAAGCTGCCAGGACCCACATTTTAAGTAGTCAGTCTCCATTGCCCTAGGATGGAGGTGCCTGTACTTGTGTGACTTGGTCATTGGTGATCCCATCAGACAAGGGCTCCCCAGAGTGAGGACCAGTCTCCATCTTCAGACAGGGAGAGAGCAGGTAGGGCCATCTCCTTCATCAGACAGGGGCTCCCTCCCATGAGGACCAGACTTTCCTCCACAAAGCTTAGGACCCTGAGGGCAAGGGTTATATCTCTACCATTAAGTCAGAAATTTTTAGGGGTGCAATTCTCCCTCCCATTAGACTGGATGCTCTTCAGGGCAGCCTGTGACTCTCCCACCAGACAAACGGGATTTTGAGGGGCAAGATCTGTCTTTCCTATTAGACCCAGGCAAGTGCCCCAAGGAGTTGGAGATCCACCAGTCAGAGACATTGATTCCAACACAAAACTTTATTGTCAACACACAGATGTCTGGCCCCACTGGCCTTGCCTTTCTCTTCTTGGTTCTGGGGCCCACTGAGGCCCCCCACCAGCTCTGGGCAAGAGCAGGGGGCCAGGGATCCCCATCCTTAGGTCAAATCCTGGCTGCGTTGGCCAGCACCCCCTTCTGTGCTCATCCTTGCTGCTAGGGTTCCCACTCTCATCATCCAGCATCCTCCTCTCTCCTTGCTCCACCGGACCTGGGGCTCACAGGCACCAGACCTGCAGGTGCTGCCACCTTCACAGCCCCTGGCCTCTGCCCAGGTATAAGGGAGAGGATGGGCTCTGGCCAGGCTCTGCCAAGCCACACTAAGGACACAGGAAGACGCAGCGGCTGGGTGTGTGTGTGCAGGCCCCTTGGCTCCCATCCTGGCCTCTCAGTGGCTGCTCTTGTGTTTTTTAAGGAGTATTTGTGAGCTAGAGTCATGAACCTGCAAACCAAGAGGTCTTCTTGTTAATCCCCCACTCCCCCCGATATGGCAGCCTCCGTTACTCACCTCCTCCAGTCTCACCAGCTTCCCCAGCCAGGCCTCCCAGAGAAGTGCTTCATAGGTCTAACTTGAGCCTACCTAGTACCCCCTCTGAGTTTGGGAGCCCAGGGTATATCCCAGGCTGATGGTGTGGAGGGGCAGAAAAAGAAACTAAGTAACGTGGGTGTGTGCCTTTTTCTCTCCAGGAGTTCAGGAGACAGCTGGTTTTGTGCACCTTAGATAGGATCCTGGGTCCTGTGCCCACACTATACTTACAGCCTAAGTGTCTGCCACTAGGCAGGCACTGAGCTGGCTCATGCCACACACACTAAGAAAGGGTAGGTTTGAAGGCACTAGAGATGAAACTGGCAGGAAGGGTGGAGCCTTTCCGAGAAGGAAAGTGCAGAACCTAACCAGATAGGCAGTGACAGCTGAGGCAGATGGAAGTTTAAGAGGCAGACAGCCAGGTGCAGTGGCTCACGCCTGTAATCCCAGCACTTTGGGAGGCCAAGGAGGGTGGATCACGAGGTCAGGAGTTCAAGACCAGCCTGGCCAAGATGGTGAAACCCCCATCTCTACTAAAACTACAAAAATTAGCCAGGTGCAGTGACAAGCACCTGTAATCCCAGCTACTTGGGAGGCTGAAGCAGGAGAATCGCTTGAACCCAGGCCGCAGAGGTGGCAGCGAGCCGAGATCGCGCCACTGCACTCCAGCCTGGGCGATGGAGTAAGACTCCGTCTCAAAAAAAAAAAAAAAAAGGAAAGAAAGAAAGAAAAAGAAAAAAGAAAAAAAAGGAGGGGTGGTGGTGGTGAGGGGGACCAGATCTTGGAATAGACAGAAACTTTGACAAATGGTCCAGAGGCCCGGCTGGGCTGGGCTGAGCAGAGTGTCAGGGCGAGTACCCATTGGGTAGGAGAAGGAAGGCACACCTTTTCCATGCTAACGAGCGCACTGAGCAAGTCTTGCTGTTGAGACATCTGGCGGATGTCCTTGGATGACGTAGTCTCCAACGACCCGCTCGTCGACGAGCGCCTGTTCAACACCTCTGACTCCTGCTCCTGGTTGAAGCGGATTGCGCGCACCTCCTCCACAATCCTGGGGGTGGAGCAGTGAGTGCCTTTCAGAAGGCCTCAGGGGAGGGAAGCAGCCCTCCCACCTCTTCCCTGGCGTCACCCCCGCTTCGCTCTCCCACGCAGCCCTGACAGAGACCCAGGCCGAGCTGTGCCCTTGTGTGAGATGGAAGGAACCTGGAGTCTGGATTCCAGTTCCTCCACCAATAGGGTGGGGGACCTCTGTGGGGCCCAGGCTCTGCCTTATAAATGGTGAGGGCGTGAGGCCAGAAGACTCTGACGCTCCGCCCAGCCTTGACTCACATGACTTGGGGGCAGCCCCAGTACCCTCCCCTACATGTTGAGTTCATCTCGGATCTCCTTGTACTGCCTCAGGTTCTCCTGTATTGCCTCAAGCACCAAGCAAAAGTTGTCACACGTGTTTTCTGAGAGGTTCGACAGGGGGCCTCCCGCAAGGGGTTCCTGGAGGAGACCAGATTTCTCCGAGCGGGCGACCACACAATGCACCAGTGGCAGCTGGTCATTCTCCTCCTCTTCCTCTGCGCCTGTCTGGGAAGCGGGGGATAGAGAGGGGTCGGGACAGCTCAGGCAGGCACGCCCCCGGCACCCTTTTCCTGCTTGGCTTCAGGATGAGTCTCTTAGGACCCCAGGGTTCTAAGGCCCTCATTTCAGCTCTCACCAATCTTAGCCTCACTGCCTTGCTGGGGGAACCCAACTTTAAATGCACATGACCTCCCCCCACCTCTTTAAAAATTCTCACCCCATTTCAAAATTTAGCCCTGCCCCAGATTTCAACCCTGATAAACCCTACCCAGCAAATTTATAAAGCCCTGCCTACCCTCAAGCCCAGGCCTCCAGCACTCCACTCTTTTAGAAGTACTCCACCCCTTTCCCCAACCTTATGGAAGTACTGCCCTGAATGAATAATACCGTAGCTAACATTTATTGAGTGCTTACTATGCGCCAAGCACTGTTCATTTACCCATTAACCCTCATAAAATAACCCTATGAGTTAAGTACTATTATTATTCCCATTTTACAAAAGAAAAAAATTGAGGCTTAGAGTGGGTAAATGCCCCAAGGTCACCCAGCTGCTCAGTTTTGAGTTGCCATAGAAATCTAACATCTAGAAAATCCACACCCCTCAGAAGCCCCAGTTGGTGGGTGGGCACTCAAGATGGGGGGCTGCTGCCTCCAGGCCTCCAACTTGGCTTTCTCCAGGCCCTTGATTATGCAAGCACACACATACATGCACATATGTTCAAGTCCGCTCTCATACACACTCCTTTTCCTCCCTTCTGCCCTCCCCATCCCACGCACCTCACTAAAGGTTATTCGTTGCTGTTGTCCCTGCTCTCCTGCCTTCATCATTTGCTCCAGGTTGGTGGTCACCACGATGACGAACAGGTTGATGCCAATGAAGGCACCGATGGTGATGAAGATGGTAAAGTAGATGGCACCCCCAATCTCCATTGCATATTCCCTCTTCTCTGTCCTGCAGATGGCAGGCAGGGGCCCCATCATTTCCCTGGCCCTTCAAGCCTGAGTTTCCTTGTCATTGAAATGGGAAAATCATCCCAAGGCCTACTAGAACTTCTGCCTGTGTCACTGCTGTTGTGCAGATCCCATTCCCTACTCCTGTCTCAATAGCTGCTCTCTACTAAGCACCTACTGTGCTGCCAGACAGTGAGCTGATTCTCTAACCAACCCTGCAAGGTGGGGACGTGCACATCAACACTATTAAGTTTAATCTATTAGCTACACTCCTTTTTTTTTTTTTGAGATGGAGTCTCGCTGTGTTGCCCAGACTGGAGTGAAGTGGCGTGATCTCGGCTCACTGCAAGCTCCACCTCCTGGGTTCATGTCGTTCTCCCGCCTCAGCCTCCCAAGTAGCTGAGACTACAGGTGCTTGCCACCACGCCTGGCTAATTTTTTTTTTTTTTTTTTGAGACAGAGTCTCACTCTGTCACCTAAGCTGGAGTGCAGTGGCGTGATATGGGTTCACCGCAACCTCCGCCTCCCAGGTTCAAGCGATTCTCCTGCCTTAGCCTCCTGAGTAGCTGGGATTACAGGCGCCCCACCGTCCGGCTAATTTTTGTATATTTAGTAGAGACGGGGTTTCACCTTTTTGGCCAGGCTGGTCTTGAACTCCTGACCTTGTGATCCACCTGCCTCAGCCTCCCAAAGTGCTGGGATTACAGGTGTGAGCCACTGCACTGGGCTTTGTTTTTGTATTTTTAGTAGAGATGGGGTTTCACTGTGTTAGCCAGGATAGCCTTGATCTGACCTCGTGAGCTGCCCACCTCGGCCTCCCAAGGTGCTGGGATTACAGGCGTGAGCCACCGCGCCCGGCCCCGGCCAGCCTGATTTTTATCCACTACCTATGCCATAATGGAGAATGACTGTAGAAGCCCTTTATCTACTGGGCTTCTATACTCACATGTAGAAGATAAAAAGAAATCAGTTAAGGGGTCCCACTTTCTGGAATAAACTGGAAAGAAATAGGGCTTAGACTTAATAGAAAAGAGGTAAAGAACAGAACACAAAAATGAATGTGGGCAGTGGGTTTAAGAATGAATGAAATGAGACCTGAAGTTCCCAGGAGTTCAGGCAGTTTGGTGGGCTCCAAGGTGGGCTGGGAGGTTGCTCTGTAACCTGAGGCATAACTGCAGACCTGCTGCCTTATCCAAGGCCAACTACCCAGCTGGTTAGCATGATGGGAGAGGTCCCCATTACAGGGTGGGAATGGGACTCTGAATATATGGAGATTCAAGGGTGACAAGGCTTCAGGTATCACAAGTCCAGGTATTTCCTTTTCCTCTGTTTAAAGACCTGGGAACCCCCACTTCTACTGGGCCATCCTCATCCCAATCCCTGGAGCTCCCACTCTCAGCCTGGAGCTCCACCGGCTACCCTGCCCCATAGGTGGGATGAGGCTGGAAGTCCCACTGGCACTCACTGGAAGTCACTGTAGATGTCCACCCAGCCGTCCTGGGTGATGCAGATGAAGAGGGTGTACAGCGCAACCTGTATGTTCTGGAAATGCTTGGGCACGAATGCACCAAAGAGTGTTACTCCAAACACGGAAAAAACCTGTCAGAGAGAAAAGAGCCCCACCCCGACTTCACCAAAGGGCCTGGAAATAGGACACACAAATGTCATGTAAATGAACGCTGCTGAGGAAATCACAGGGATTCAGGCCCACAGGCCTCTCTGCTTTTCCAGACACCCCTCTATTTGCAATGACCCAAGGGCCCTGTTCAGGGAAGGGAAACAGCTGGGGGCGGGGGCAGGCACTGACCAGCATGAAGAAGAGGATGAGGACCATGATATTGGCCATGTCAGGCACCGACTGCAGGATGACGCGGATGATCCGGGCGAGGGGCTCCACCGCCATGCACACATGCACCAGACGAAGCGCCCTGTGGCAGAGCCTGTCAGGGGTGCCCCTAGGCCCTTCCCAGCCCCTTCCCTCCTCATTACCCCCACCAGCTGCCCAGAGAGGCAAAGCTGATCTCCAGCTGGTCGTTATCCCCCCATCTCATTCCTGGGTTCCAGATAGGTCCCCCTCATTTCTCCAGAGCTCCCCGCTCACCTGAGAGTGTAGTTGATGGAGGGAATATTGATTTCATTAATGAAGAACCGCAAGAGCAAGATAAAGACGATAATGAAGTTGAGGATGTTCCAGCCGTCCTGGGGAGTGGGCCAGCCCCAGTGGGGTCTGTCAGGCCCAGCCCATGGGGGCATCCTAGGTCTGCCCTCCCCACATCCCAGGGATGAGGGCTCAATGTCCCTCTCAGAGCAGGGCCAGTCAGCTGCCATCCACTGCTGTTACCCTGCCGCCCCCCAAACAAGCCACAAAACACACGTGTACTCTCTGTCCCATACATGTGTCAATAGCCAAATGCAGTCTCAGAGACACACAGCAAAGACCCTTACAGATACATGGCTGGTCCCTAAGCTGAGTGCCCACCTTGGCTAAAGCATGCTCAAAACAGCCTTGCCCTACAGGTAGGTAACATGAAAACACTTGGCTGTTCCTGCCTTTGTGTGACACACACTACAATTAATAATAAAATGAAAATGGATACTAGTAAAAACATAAGGAATACTGCTTCAGTAGCCAGTTCTGAGGTGAAATAGCTCTCACGGCACAAGAAAGGGAGACAGGCGGGCCAGGCGCGATGGCTCACACCTGTAATCCCAGCACTTTGGGAGTCTGAGGCAGGTGGATCACGATGTCAGGAGTTTGAGACCAGCCTGGCCAACATGGTGAAACTCCATCTCTACTAAAAATACAAAAATTATCTGGGCATGGTGGCACGTGCCTGTAGTCCCAGCTACTTGGGAGGCTGAGGCAGGAGAGTTGCTTGAACCCAGGAGGCGGAGGTTGCAGTGAGCCAAGATTGCGCCACTGCACTCCAGCCTGGGTGACAGAGTGATAATCTCAAAAAAAAAAAAAAAAGAAAGAAAAGAAAGAAAGGGAGACTGGTACATTTTGCAAGCCCTTTGTCCAATAAGACACTTACACAGGAATGAGATGGGGAGGAGAAGGAAACTCACAGGTATGAAAAATCTGAACAGGGATCACACTTCTAGAAATCTGATCCACAGATACTCTGGTTGAAGTACAAAATTACATTTGTATAAGGTTAAGAATAACCAACATGCCAGGTGCAGTGGTGCAAGCCTGTAATTCCAGCACTTTGGGAGGCTGAGGTGGGAGGATTGCTTGAGCTCAGGAGTTCCAGACCAGCCTGGGCAACATGGTGAAACCCTGTCTCTACAAAAAACTATAAAAATTAGACAGGGGTGTTGGCATGTGCCCCTGTAGTCCCAGCTACTTGGAGGGCTGAGAGGATCACTTGAACCCAGGAGGTCGAGGCTGCAGTGAGCCGAAATGGGTGTCATTGCACTCCAGCCTGAGCAACAGGGGTGAGACCCTGTCTCAAAAAAAAAAAAAAAAAAAAAAAAAAGGAAAAGAAAACCAACGTGTCAAATGATCAGAAGAGACTGATTGGATAAACTATGGCACATTAAATTCCATTAAATCAATGGAATACTATGTAGCTATGTAGCTATAAAAAGAAAAATGAGGCCAGGTATGGTGACCCTTGCCTGTAATCCTGGTGCTTTGAGAGGCTGGCGGGAGAGGATTGCTTGAGGCCAAGAGTTTGCGACCAACCTGGAAAACATAGCAAGACCTCATCTCTAAAGAAAAAAAAAAAAAAAAAGGAAAAGAAAGAAAAATGAGAAAGATCTCCATGTACTGATATAGAAAGATTGTCAGGATCCATTCAGTGACAAAAGTAAGTGCAGAATAATGTTTATACTATGTTACTGTTAGGAAACGGAAGATCGAGGGTATATACATATTTGCTGATTATTGTAAAAATAAATACTGTGAGGCTGCTATAGTTTGAATGTTTATCCCCTCCAAATCTCATGTTGAAATCTGATGTTCAGTGTTAGAGGTGGGACCTAATGGGAGGTATTGGGTCATGAATGGCTTGGTGCCATCCTGAAGGTAATGAATGAGTTCCCTCAAGAGCTGCTTATTAAAAAGAGCCTGGCATAGGCCGGGCGCGGTGGCTTATGCCTGTAATCCCAGCACTTTGGGAGGCTGAGGAGGGCGGATCACGAGGTCAGGAGATCAAGATCATCCTGGCTAACACGGTGAGACCCCCGTCTCTACTAAAAATACAAAAAATTAGCCAGGCGTGGTGGCGGGCGCCTGTAGTCCCAGCTACTCGGGAGGCTGAGGCAGAAGAATGGTGTGAACCCGGGGAGGCAGAGCTTGCAGTGAGCCGAGATCGCGCCACTGCACTCCAGCCCAGGCGACAGAGCGAGACTCCGTCTCAAAAAAAAAAAAGAAAAAGAAAAAGAAAAAAGAGCCTGGCATCTCCCATCTCCCCTCTCACTCTCTCTCTTTCTTCCTGTCTCGCCATGTGATCTGCACATGCTTCACCTTCTGCCATGAGTGGAAGCAGCCTGAAGCCCTCACCAGAAGCAGATGTTGGCACCATGCTTCTCACACAGCCTGCCGAACTGGGAGCCAAATACAACTCCTTTCTTTATAAGTTATTCAACCTCGGGTATTCCTTTATAGCAACACTAAATGGACAAAGACAATAAAAAAGAGACTATAAATATAAAAACATTACCTAGAAAGGATAGTGGTGGGAGAAGAGGGATGAGGGGACAAAAGAGAAGCAAGAATTCTGTGTGTACCTTTCAACATAGTTTTGACCAGCATGTATCTGCATTAAATATTCAAAAAGAAAACTTTTTTTTTGAAACAGAATCTCTCTCTGTCGCCCAGGCTGGAGTGCAGTGGCGCAATCTCAGCTCACTGCAAACTCCGCCTCCCGGGTTCAAGTGGTTCTCCTGCCTCGGCCTCTAAGTAGCTGGGATTACAGGCACGCGCCACCACGCCCAGCTAGTTTTTGTATTTTTAGTAGAGACGAGGTTTCACCATGTTGCCAGTCTGTCTCAAACTCCTAGCCTCAAGTGATCCTCTTACCTCAGCCTCCCAAAGTGTTGGGATTACAGGCATGAGCCACTGCAGCCAGCAAGAAAACTATACTTAATGAAAAAAAAAAGTTCTTCAATGTATTGGGGGTCCAGTAAGCACAAGTCCTCCTGGCCTCTCGTACTGAGTCTGCACCTTCACATACACAAGGAGATACAAGTCTGCCTGTCTGCAGATCCATCCATATATCAATTCAGCATGTAGCTCCTGTTGTGTGCCATACCCAGATCCAGTTCCTGAGAATATAGGATGCCTGCCCTGTTAGGCTCACAGACTATTTTGAGGAAGATGGATAAACAGAAAATTTTAACTCCATGCAAAAAAAATAAGTGCATAGCATCATGGAGACACAAAGCAGCACCTAACCTAGCCTGGGAGAGACAAGAAGACTTCCTGGAAGAGAAGACATCTGAATGAGTTTGTAAGTAGGAGTAAAGCAAGTGAATAGGGAAAATCAGATTTTATAACACATGAAAATTACATGAAATTCCAATTTGGGTGTCCACGAACACAGCCATGCCCACTTCATTTATGTGTGGTCCATGGTTGCTTTTGTGCTGCCATGGCAGAGGTGAGTCATGGTAACAGAGGCTGTACAGCCATGAAGCTTAAAATCTTTATTATCTGGTCCATTACAGAAAAAGTGTGCTGATCCCTGTTGATCTCTGTAAATTAAGGTAGATGCTTTCAGCCCCATTTCTCAGACAAGGAAGTCAGGTTTGTCCAAGACTACAGAGCTGGGGAAGGCTGGAGCAGGGATTGGAATTGGAGCCCAGGGAGGCTGCACTTCTAGTACCAGTTACTTTCTGCCACATCATACACATCTCTGAACTAACACACTCTGTCTACACACACACACATACTCACACCCTCAGTTTGTAGGGCCAGGAGTACAGGGGCAGACTGGGTGGTGTGCAGTCCCCAGGGGGAAGTAGGGGCAAAGGGCTCAGGATCTCACCTTCCAGAAAATCCAGAAGCCATTGAGCCAGCCAAGGAGAACCTCACAAAGAAGGATGGTCAGCACAATGTCATCTATGGTAGAGAACAACTCATAGTGTTTCTACATGGGAGACAGAGAAAAAAGAGGGGCAGAGAGGTCAGTGGAGCAGGGCCTGGGCAAGCCGGCAGGGAGAGGATGTATGTAGGGGAGGGAAGTCCCGTATCACTGCTGCTCTTGGTCCTCAGCAACCTTGTCACTTCCTTTAAAACACACTTTGCCTGTGCGTGCCAGGCACTGTGCTGGGGCTATCACACATCACTTCATGTTACCATCACTGTTGTCCTGCAAAGTAGGTTTTATTCCCGTCTTACAGAAGTGGAATCAGAGTGGCGCCTGTGTGCACAGCTAGTTGATAAAGATGGTTGTCTGACTATGAACTTTTGTCCCTAACTTCTAGAATAGGGATATTTTGGAGAGGGAGGTAGGAGAGGCAGAACAGCCTCCAGGATTGGGAGGAAAAGGCCTGGCCTCTGAGGGTGGAGAACACCAAGCTCCATCTGTCCTAACCTCTCCTGCTATTCCAGCTCTCCAAATACTCCAAGTTAGGCCTGACCAAACTCCTGGGTATCCTGCCACTCATGGGTCCAGGACATGCACCCTGGATGGATGAATTGGTAGATGGGTGACTGGGGTCTGTCCAGAGCCCAATTCACTTTCTCTCAACCTCGAAACTCCTTCAGCTTCCTTATGGCTGCGACCCCACTAACAGCCCCCATAGTGCCCGACTCCACCTAGCAGTCACCCAAGTCACCGTGTCTCCTCCCTTTCTTTCTTTTTTTTTTTAATGTGACATCTCAGCTCACTGCAAACTCCGCCTCCTGGGTTCAAGCGATTCTCCTACGTCAGCCTCCCAAGTAGCTGGGATTATAGGCGTGCGCACCATGCCTGGCTAATTTTGTATTTTTGTAGAGATGGGGTTTCACCACGTTGGTCAGGCTGGTCTCGAACCCTTGACCTCAAGTGATCTGCCTGTCTTGACCTCTCAAAGTGTCCTCCCCAAAAGTGCGCTTTACCCCAAAGTGCAACAGACTCAGTGCCTTAGGGCCCACTGTCACATATGGCCACTGGAGACAATAGGACATCCACACCATTATTCAAAAAAGCATTCTAAATAGTCCTCAGCCCAGCATGGTGGCTCACACCTATAATCTCAGCACTTTGGGAGGCCAAGGCTGGAGGATTGCTTGAGCCCAGGAGTTCCAGACCAGCCTGGGCGACAGAGCGAGAACCTGTCTCTACAAAAAAAATTTTTTTTTTGAGATAGAGTCTCGCTCTGTCGCCCAGGCTGGAGTGCAGTGGCACAAACTCGGCTCACCGCAACCTCCGCCTCCCTGCTTCAAGCGATTATCCTGCCTCAGCCTCTCAAGTGGCTGGGATTATAGGCGCCCACCACCATGCCTGGCTAATTTTTGTATTTTTAATAGAGACGGGGTTTCACCATGTTGGCCAGGCTGGTCTTGAACTCCTGACCTCAGGTGATCCACCCACTTTGGCCTGCCAAAGTGTTGGGATTACAGGCATGAACCACTGCGCCTGGCTCAAAAACATTTTTTTAATTAGGCATGGTAGCTCGTGCCTGTAGTCCTAGCTACTTGGGAGGCTGAGGCAGGAGGATCACTTGAGTCCAGGAGTTCAAGGCTGCATTGAGCCAAGATGGCGCCACTGCACACCAGCCTGGGTGACAGAGTGAGACCTTGTCTCTAAAAAAAAAAAAAAAGAAATTAAAACATCAAGGATAAGTCACACTAAACTTCAAGTTGGACACAGAGAAGTCTCTCACATGCTGTTTCTTTTCCCCAAAAAGTCTCCCCCACCTCTCTTTGCCTGGCCAACTCCTACGTGCTCTTTTTTTCTGTTTCTTTGTTGTGGTGACTGAGATCACATCCTACTTCTTTACTCTCAGCTCCAGTGTCACTTTCTCCAGGAAGCCAGCTCTGACCCCTGAGATTAGGTTCGAGTGCCTTCGTTGAGCCTCCATGTACTCTGGGTGCTACTTGAGCACTTGTAATGACAGTTTCTGTGTGTCTGAGACAGGACCCAGTTGTGCTTATTATCCCTGGGACCCTGGCAGTCTGCACAGTCAGTGCCTGGCACTGAGTGATTCTCCCTTAGTGACTGCTGGTTAGAATTGGATACCCCTTCTCCACAAGGCACCCATTTGCCTCCCTCTGCTCACACCATTCTTCTCCTGTCCCTCCTGTACAAATCCAATGCATTCCTCAAAGCCAGGCTGCAGAGCCCTCTCCATCATGAAGTCTTCCTTGATCTCCAGATTCCTAGAAGGTCAGAGCTGACAGACCCTTGAAGAGCATCCAATCCAACCATCATAGACAGATGAGGAGCCTGAGGCCGGAAGAGTTCTTGCCCCAGGCCCCCCATTAGGGTTAGTGGGGCAGAGGTCATGCTGGCATCCCACCTGGTCCAGGTAGGAGTTGGTACGGAGAGCGATGGTGATGGCATTGATCACCAGCAGCAGGGCCAGCAGCAGTTGGAAGGCGGGGTGTCGGAGCAGCTGCTTGATGTACATGTGAGTGATGAACTCCTGCATGTCCCAGGCGTCCTGGAAGAGGGCAGGACCTTCCTTCAGGCAGGTGTCACCATAGGAAGCCTCTGCCTGGGGGTTTGCTCTTAGAGAATGGGGGTTCCTGGGGCCCACTCTAGAGGGGGGAAATCATCTGAGAGTGGATCATGGAATGGAGACATCAGTGTAGAGATCACTATCTAAATGGCCACTAAAAGTGGGTTACTATCGGGGGATTTTGTGGAAGTCATTGCCAGAGAATCTCTTTGGGCTCTCTGATAGTGAAGATGATCGTTATATAAGGGTTCCTATGGGGGGCATTGCCAGAGAGTTACTAACATATCATGGGCAGTCACTCAGGGATCAGTGCTAGGGAGGGTCTTCTGGGGGCGTTTAGAGGGTAGAGGGGCAGAGTTACCATGAGGGCCTGCTGCCCATGAGCACAGCTGCAGAAGGGGCCACTGTGGGGCGAGAGCTATCCTTACCGCTTTGTTCGTGATTTCCTGGCGGTTGATGAGCACTTGCTCCTCTGGCCGACCGTAGGACTCGTGAATGGTACTCTGCAGGGGAGAGGGGCGGCCCCTCAGTGCAGCTACTGCCCCTCCAAACCCCATACGGTCCTCCTGAGTCCCGCCCCACCCCTCGAGGCCTGTATGGGAGGTCCATTGCTGCCACCAGGCCTTTTCATTATCCCTCATGTTTGCTCAGTCTCTTCCTTCTCCTCAAAGAATCTTCACTCCAAGTGGTCTCACTCCCCCTCGTGGTGATATCACAGAGGCCTCTGTGACCTCCAGCCGTCTGCATTCTACTGAGGAATTCCAACCTGGAGAGAAGCTCCTCCCATTGGCCCTCCTCCGCATCCCACAGAGGAAGTCTGGGGATGCTGTGGGGATGCTGGGCTGGGGTTGGAAGTCAGAGGCTGATGGGAGCAGGTCAGATTTCCCGTGCAGCCTGAATGGAGTCACAGGGACATGTCCCTGCCTTGGATCCAGGAGGTGGAGGTGAGGCTGGAATGAGGAGTGAAGGAGAGAAGTGTTTTCCCCAGGGCCTTCCCAGGGCAGACCTCAACCTGCACCCTTCCCCACCAGCTGCCCTGTCCTACCAGCCCAGTCTCCAGGACTGTCCCCACCACCTTTCCGTGCAAAGTGCATTTCCCCATCTACAAAGTGGAAGTTTCTCATTGTGTGCCCCCCGGGAATGGGGTAGGAGATCACCATTAGCCTTCAAAGAGCTGGGGAGAGGTGGACATGAGTCGGAGCCCTCATTAGCCATGGGTCATCCCCCACCATCCTGGCAGGCTTGGAGCTCGGGTACAGAGCCCAGGCCAACGGGCTGCACGAAGGGTCTGCCACCCACCCTCTGGCCAAGAGCACTCACCCCAGTCCCCACAGGGGGGCAGATTTCCAATTCGAATATGGAAGTAAAGTTACATGTAGACTCATTCTTAGAAAAATTGACTTTATTTGGTTGGAAAGTAGCCCTCATGTAAAATAAAGAACACCTGTACAGACCTGGTTTGGGGGAGAACTGCCAAGGAACTGGAGGGGCAGGGCTGTGGCCCCAGAGGTTGGAGGATTTGGGGGGAGAGTTTCTTCTTTGGCAAGGGAGAGGGTGGCACAAAGCCCAGGCAGAGGGGTCAGCTCGGGGTGAGACCATGACTAGCAGTACTACTTCCCACCCTGAACAGAATCCAGGGATGCTCTGTCCTGGACACGTCAGAAGCTGGGGTTGAGGTGGCCCTCGGGTCAAAGGTCAGGAGCTAGAGTGCTGGCCAGGGTCAGAGGTCAGGAGGTCGGAGGCTGCTCTCTGAGGTCAGGGGGCAGAGATGGGAGTGCTCTTCAGGGTCAGAGGGCAGGGAGTGGGGGGACTGTTCTGTGGAGTCAGAGGTCAAGATGTGGGAGCTGCCTTCAGCCTGTGCCACTCCCCAGGCCCCCAGGCCCTCTGAGTACAGCTCCCGGTTCTGCTCCTTCCACTGGCGGAACTTCTCTCCTGTCAGCTCAGGGTCACCCAGCACTTCTTCTAGGACCTGCAGCTCCTGCAGCTTTGCCTGTGTGGAGAGGAGGGGCTAAGGGACCATGATCACCCAGGGAAGTGGGCAGAGCCCGAGGCCAGACTTCACTCCGGAGGTCCGGTGCCTGGAAGCCAGCACCTGGCCAGCGTGGCACGAGGAGCCTAGGTGAGACTCAAATCCCCACTCGGAACCCAGAGCCTGGCCCAGTCCACAGCTGAGCCCGCTGTCAGCTGCTAAGCCCAGGGTCCGGAGCTGAGTCTGGAGTCTGGAGTCTGGTGCCCAGGGTGGAGGTGACAGCCGCAAACCAAAGCCTGAAGCCCAGAGCCTAGTCCCTTGCTGTGCCCAGAGCCCCCCAGCTGACCTTGAGTGTGCTCTGTAGCGCCCGCACACGGTGCACTCGCTCATTGAGCTGAGGGTCTCGGTTGCGCCGCATGAAAGAGCTCCGCCACTGTTCCTGGGTCAGGGGCTGTGGCTGGCCTAGGAGGGACACGCCACCCTGCCTCAGCCCCCGTACCATTCCTTCCAGTGCCTCTTCACTGCTGTCTGTGGGAGGGAAGAGCAGGATGAGGATGTGCCCACCCCAGCCCCCAGCCCAGCTCCCAACTCCAGCCCAGCACCTGTCAGAGAGCCAAAGGAGGTCCGTGGGCTGCGCTGTGTGGGGGTGGCTGCAGGTGATGTGTCTCCATGGAGGGGACTCCCAGCTTGAGCAGGGCTGGGCTGCAGGCAGGGTGGAAAGCACAGAGGGTTTCTGTCTGAGCTCCACGCCCTGTTGTTTATCCCCACCTCCTACCCCCGGCAGCCCCCCACTCACCGAGGCTGAGTGGGACCCAGCCTCATCGTCCGGGTCCTCTGCTTCGGTCTCACTGTAGCAGTCTGGGGTGAGGAGCAGCAGTGGGTTTTTGGGAGGCCAGGGAGTGGCCTAGGGCATTTGAGTTCCTAGCCCCCATCCCAGGAAAGGCACAGGCTCAGGTGAGGGTTCCTCCCACTCAACCCTGCGAGACACCTACCTTCCTCTCGGGGTGGGGGGGCCCGGCCTGGAGACTGGTACTTGGAGATGCAGGTAATGAGATGACGCACCCACCTATGGAGAGCAAGCAGGTCTCACAGGGTTTCCATCCACTGGGGCCCTCTTGTATGCTGGGGGCTTTTTACCCACATCATCTTCTAATGATCCTCAGAGCAACTCTGAGAGGGATGAACTCTTAGTCACCCATTTTATAGATGATGAAACTGAGGCTTAGAGAAGTGAGTACTGGCTGCGTGCGGTGGCTCGCGTCTGTCACCCCAGCACTTTGGGAAGCTGAGGCAGGAGGATTGCTTGAGGCCAAGTGTTTGAGACCAGCTAGGGCAAACCCATCTCCCCACAAAACTTTTTAATTAAAAAAAAAGAGAGATGCCGGGTGCAGTGGCTCACACCTGTAATCCCAGCTCTTTGGGAGGCCGAGGCAGGCGGATCACAAGGTCAGGAGTTCAAGACCAGCCTGGCCAACATAGTGAAACCCCCTCTCTACTAAAAATACAAAAATTAGCCGGGTATGGTGGTAGGCACCTGTAGTCTCAGCTACCTAGGAAGCTGAGGCAGGAGAATCACTTGAGCCCAGGAGGCGGAGATTGCAGTGAGCCAAGATCACGCCACTGCACTCCAGCCTGGGTGACATAGTGAGACTCTGTCTCAAAAAAAAAAAAAAAAAAAAGAGAAAGAGAAGTGAGTATCTTGACCAACCACTCTCAGAGAGCTGGAATTTGTATCTCCAGGCTCCTGAGCCTAGGCTCCCAAGCTCACAGAGTTTGGGAATCATATGAGAGTAGGGGCTAAGGGAGGCGGCACTCACATGCTCAGATCTGTCAGGGTATCAGCAGCGAAGATGAAGGGTTTGTACACATCATGGGTGAGCTGAAACACACTGCCAGGTAGTGGAGGAGCATCACTCAGCCTGGGCGTGCCCACCCACAGCCCAGAGAGGCTGGATTCTGGGCGCCCCAGCCACTTGCCACACCTCCCACTGCTACCCCATCACCCTTCCTCTCCCTTTCTGTCTCCATCCCCCAGCCCATCACACCCCAAGACTTAACTATTTCTTCTTCTGATCATGTCCACTTTCCAGACTATAGTTGGAGACATTGATGAGGCCCTCAGCCTTCTCATCCTGGGGGGATCACAGCATGAGGGTCAGGTTGGAACCCCAATACCCTCAAGGCCCAGTCAGCTCCTAGTTACCCCTCGGGCTCCTGAGAGTTGTGGAGAGGAGAAGGCATCTCCTGGGCTCTCTAACAAGTCTCTCTGTTTCTGGAGCTCAGGGCTGGAATCTGGGGTCAGGGTAGGAGATGTGGCCAAAGGATGCCTCTAAGCCAGGAAAGGGGAGCCAAAGATATCAGAGAAACAGCCAAAAAAAAAAAAAAGAGGAGCCTGAAGGCCGGGCATGGTGGCTCATGCCTGTAATCCCAGCACTTTGGGAGGCCAAGGCAGGAGGACCATTTGAGCCTAGGAGTTTGAGACCAGACTGGGAAAAAAGCCCATTTCTACAAAAAATTAAAAACTTAGGTCGGGTGTGGTGGCTCACACCTGTAATCCCAGCACTTTGGGAGGCTGAGGCGGGCAGATCATGAGGTCAGGAGTTCGAGACCAGCCTGGCCAACATGGTGAAACCCCATCTCTACTAAAAATACAAAAAATTAGCCAGGCATGGTGGCAGGTGCCTGTAATCCCAGCTACTCGGGAGGCTGAAGTAGGAGAATTGCTCGAACCTGGGAGGAAAAGGTTGCCATGAGCTGCGATTGCGCCACTGCACTCCAGCCTGGGCAACAGAGCGAGACTGCGTCTCAAACAAAACAAAACAAACAAAAAACTTAGCTAGGCATGGTGGCATGTGCCTGTAGTCCCAGCTACTCAGGAGGCTGAGGCAGGAGGATCGCTTGAACCTGGGAGGCTGAGGCTGTAGTGAGCTGAGATCATGCCACTGCCCTCCAGCCTGGGTGACAAAGCAAGACTCTGTCTCAAAAACAAAAACCAAAAAACCAAACAAGAAGAGCTTGCTCATGCATTTGTTCCTTCAGTAGACACAAACCAAACTGCTTCACACCCCTGAGCTTTCTGAATGCTGCTTTCTCTTCCTGGTTTTCTTTCCCCTTCCCATGCAACTAACTGCCAGGTATTGCATTGTCAGGGGGCATCTGGACTCCTCAGGATGGACTGGACACCTCTGCTGTGCTCCCACATATCCCTTGGGCTTTCCCTTTATCTTAGCACACGGTCCCTACATTGTCCTTGAGTGTGTATTCATCCCTCTCCCCTACTAGCCTCTAAGTTCTGGAGAAGCAAAAATCATCCAATTCTTCTCTGTGTCCATAGTGCCCAGCCTAGAGCTGGGTTCACAGTAGGCACCTGAATCCTGAATGAATAAATGAGTAAATGAATGGCCCATCATTCGGATGGACAGAATATCAGAAGGATAAGGAGAAGTGGGCAGAATAGACGTGATTTTTCGGCCAGATGTGGTGGCTCACGCCTATAATCCCAGCATTCTGGCGGGCTGAAGCAGGCAGAACGCTTGAGCCCAGGAGTTTGAGACAAGGCTGGGCAACATAGCAAGACTCCATCTTGCTATGTTGCCCAGATTTTTCAGGGCCGGGTGTGGTGGCTCACGCCTGTAATCCCAGCACTTTGGGAGGCCGAGGCAGGTGGATCACGAGGTCAGGAGATCGAGACCATCCTGGCTAACACGGTGAAACCCTGTCTCTACTAAAAACACAAAAAATATGCTGGGCGTTGTGGCGGGCGCCTGTAGTTCCAGCTGCTCGGGAGGCTGAGGCAGGAGAATGGCGTGAACCCGGAAGGTAGAGCTTGCAGTGAGCCGAGATGATGCCACTGCACTCCGGCCTGGGCAACAGAGTGAGACTTTGTCTCCAAAAAAAAAAAAAAAAAGATTTTTCTCTATACCTCCTATGATACCTTTTCCAAACTGCTTTTATACATATATTAACTCATTTCTCTCTGAATAAAGTCCCCATTTTACAGATGGGGACATCAAAGCCTTGGACCAGGAATAAGAGTGGATGATAGAATAGAGATGAGAATCGAGGCCTGGAAGTGACTCACTTGCCTACCTGTTTTTGTGTATGGGGTCTTACCTGGGGCTGGCGGTACCAGTAGAGCGTGTGTCCCTTGAGCACAAACCAGCGGCGGCGCCAGCGCGGGCCCATGAAGCCGCCCGGTGCCTTTCGCAACAGGAGCCAGCCGTCACAGTCCGGCCGGCCCAGCTCACGGCATGACACCCGCCGGCGGCTCAGCCGGGTCGCCAGGCCTGTAGCAGCACAGCACAAGCTGGGCAGTGAGGGGCTGGCAAGGTGCCCCCGCTAAACCTACTCCCTGCCTTCCACAAGCATCCCCAAGTGAGATCTCTGAACCCACACTCTGCTCAGAATGCTACATGTGTCATCTCTGAGGTGGGATGACCCTTCTTATTTTAGAGATGAGCAAACTGAAGACTAGAGGCTAACCTGTTTGCTCAGTCACAGCAAACAGGTTAGCCTCTAGTCTGGTGAGAGGCCCAGACTGGGAGCACAGCTCTGTCTGACCCTAGAAACAGAGCTGTTTCCAGGAGAGGCTGTGTGGGAAGGATGGGGGTGGTCTTGCCCAGCATGTAAAGATTTTTAACAGCTCCTCAAACAGGGGAACCCCCACCTAGTCCAGCGCACCTCATACCTTTTGATTTCTTCCGACCAACAGGACTCTGAAAGGACAGCAGAAGGGTGAGAGAAGGATCTAGGTCCAGACCCACCCACCCCCTTGCTAAGCCCCTGAGCTTACCTTGTCAGGGGATTCAGGGAGCCCTGGAGTCCCTGCTACCCCTGCTGGGAGTATGGCTGGGGGTTCCGGGGGGATGGGCAGGGGCTCAGGGCCAAGGGAGGCAGAGTCTGTCAGGGAGGGAGGAGAGAGAGGGAAAGTCTATGAGCCCAGTCCCAGGCTTGGGGTCAGAACTGGGTGCCCAGATGCCGTGTCCGGGGCATCCATGGAGCTTTGAGACTACCTGTCCAGGCAGGGCTGGGTCCGGGACTGGGGTTTGAAGACAGGTCAAAGGCAAAGACGTCTTCAGATGGGGCCCTGGGGAGGGCAAGGGGGATGAGATGAGCCCACGGTCTCCCCACCAAGACACACCTGGACAGAGCCTGTTACCTGGGAGACAGTGGGGCCAGAGACAGTGATGGGCTCCTCTGGTGCGGGGAGTCCAGGACCTGAGGGGGCGTCTGGGGAACAACCAGGAACAAAGCAATGGAGACAGGGGTCTGAAAGCAGGTTGGGGGGCAACAGGGGTAGGGGAGCAGCAGGAGCAGGTACCTGTGGGGGGGTCTGAAGGGAGCTAGGGGGGCGCAGCAGGGGAAGGTGCCTGTTGGGGGGGGTCTGAAGGCAGGTGTGGGGGTGGTGGGGGCAGGTACCTGTGGAGGGGGGGGTCTGAAGGCAGGTCGGGGGGCGGCAGGGGAAGGTACCTGTGGGGGGGTCTCCGGTATCGGGATCTTCTTCAGCACTAAGCTGAGTCCGGCTGGCTCCCGCAGCAGTTCCCTCACCATGTTCTTACGGGGCCATCCCACCTGGGGGACAGAAACACTGGCTGGTATCAACCTGGGCAGGAGGCTCTAAAGCAACCACCAACTCTCACCCTCGTGCTGGGAGCTCTCTCTCAGCCTCCCACTTCTGCCTCCCACTCATGCAGCCTCCTGGGGGCTTCCATGGGCCCCATCACCTGGGCTCTGCAGAGGATGCTCTCACCAGACTTAGCTGGCTCATCTCCTGGAAGGCAGCTCCCACAACCCTGGTCAGAACCCTTGGTTGCCTCCCCACCCACCAGACTTGGGTTCCACTCGGTGACCCCTTCACCTCCTACCATGTCCCTCTCCTCACGCACCACCACCTGCTCGTTGATCTGGACAACCTCGTCTCCAGGCTGGATCTGCAGTCGGGAGTCAGTGGGAACCTGACGTGGGGAATGGGGCCTGAGGTTGGCCTGGCTTGCAGGTGAGAGGCCTCGGGGATGGGCGGCTGAGAAGGGTGTGGGGCTCTCACCTGGGTGTCCACTTGGGACACAAAGTGCTGGCAATTGCTGGTGGTGTGAATTTCTAGGCCCTGCAGAGGCAGAGGCTATAGTCACCGGGGGCTGGGGGGCAACAGGGCCAATAGGCAGGACCCCCGCCAGACACCAGGACTCTATGGTGGGTGGAACTGTGGCAAGAGCTGACCCCAAGCTGGTCCTGCCCAGACTTGCTGTATGACTTTGGACTTGCTACTCCTGTGGGCCTCTGCCTTCTCCTCTGCTAAGAGCCAGAGGGAAGCTGGAGACCCTGATTTCTGAGGTACCAGCTTCTCAGCAACATTCCTAAAGGGACAAGCAGGGACAGGGCAGGGATAGGGCTCTGGTCTTCCCCACTGGTCAAAGATTAAACCAAGAAAGGTCACATCCTCTCCCTTTCTCCTAACTGCCCCCAAGCCCCTGCCCCGTCTCCATCCCAAGGCTGGAACACACTACCTGAGGCCACACCCGCGTGGCCCCTCAGGACTGGGGAGGTGCAGAGCAACGGGAGACCCTGGCCAATCCTCTGGGCCTCCATTTTAGCATCTGTACAAAAAAGGCTTTCCAGCCATGGCAGCACAGGGTTCTGTGGGATCCTGGACCCTATTTCAGGGCCCAGACAAGGCTGCCAAGGGGTCAGAAGTGAGAGGTGGGAGGGCAGGGCTCACCAATGGACTGTCCAGCTGCACCTGCTCGAGCACGGCCTTCTGTTCCAGCAGCTCCTTGGGGCAGCAGACCAGGATGTTGTGGCAGATCCCAGCCACGTGGCTGCACTGGGGGAGGGGAGCGGGCTATGTAGCCTGAGCCCGATCGCCCCTACCCCCACTCTCTTCCCACCCCACAGACTCACGATCCTCAGGACTGTGCCCTCCTTCTCAGCCGCTGGACCATCCTGGAAGTAGAATGAGAGAGCAGGGGCCTCCCCTGAGCAAGGGCCATAAGGGGACTGCCTTCTCCTGGGGGCAGGGTGGGATTCCGTACAGTCCCTCCCTGCCTTCCCTACACTGGCCCCCTGCCCAGAACCACAGGGCCTCAGCGTTTTAACCAGAGGGCTCGTTTCCCTGATACCAGGCCCCCAGAAGTCACCACACGTGCCCTCCCCTCCTTCCCTGTCCTGAGTGTCAAAATTCCCCTGCCAGCTAGGGGACCCCAGGCCCCATTGTCCCATACCCAGTGGCAGGGCCTCCTCTCCTCCTTTCTCGCCCGTCTCAATCCTCATACTCGATCCTGGGCTGATTCACAGGTTATAAAAAGCTCTAGCCCAGCTTGGTCTCTAGGGCATGGGCCAAGCCTGGCCCTTGGTTCTCCTACCTCATGCAAGACCTGGCTCAGCTCCTCCAACAAGTCTCGGATCTCCTGGCATGCTGAGAAATCATTTAAGTGGGAGAAGAGGTACCTGGCAGGGGAAGAATAGCACAGTGGTTAAGGGACTATGCTTAACCACTCAGAGCCAATTACTCACCAATTACTCACCTCAGAGACTTGGGGATAATACCTGCTCTGATGGGTTTTGGTTTAGAGTAAAGGAGATGATTGAGACATCTAAAGAGATTAGCACAGGACTTATTTGTCATGTGCCTACCACATGCCAAGCCCTGTTCTAGGCACTGGGGAAACAGACAGTAAAGACATCATACATCAATATCAATTTAACTTTGGCTGTAATGAGTATCATGAAACATTGGATAATGAGTTTATAATAAGTTATTATTTATTATTTATTAATAGTATAGCTTGGAGAGTGTACAACAGGGAAGGCTTCCCCGAGATGACATTTGAGGTGGGGTCTGTAGGACAAGCAGCAGCCAGTGCACAGGGTTGGGGAGGCTCTCCATTCAGTGGTTGTTGATGAGATCGATTATTACAAGCTGGAGGGTGGGGTGGGAACTCTGGCATCCCAGTGCCCCTGCACAGGTGGATTAATCCCTCTGCCCTGCTCCACCATATCTTTTTTTTTTTTTTTTTTTTTTTTGAGAGGGAGTCTCACTCTGTCGCCCAGGCTGGAGTACAGTGGCATGATCTCGGCTCACTGGAACTTCCACCTCCCAGGTTTGAGTGATTCTCCTGCCTCAGCCTCCCCAGTAGCTGGGATTACAGGTGCGCACCACCACACCTGGCTAATTTTGTATATTTTTGGTAAAGATGGGGTTTCACCATGTTGGCCAGGCTGGTCTCCAACTCCTGACCTCAAGTGATCTGCCCGCTTCGGCCTCCCAAAGTGCTGGGATTACAGACCTAAGCCACCACGCCTGGCTCACCATATCTGAACAAGAGCCAAGATCTGTTTTTCTCTCCCACGCCCTGAAGGAGGCCAAGGATGACAATAGTCCCTCACTCGTCACCCCAACCCGGGTACCTGCTGAGCCAGAAGAGGAGGGCGTCAGCTTCATGCAACAGCTCCACAGCTGCACAGAGGACATCAATAGGGGTCTTGGCACAGTCCCCCAGGCAGCCTTGGACTATGCTCTGGAAGTCATGGGTTGCCCCCAGAAGTCCCTCTGTCAGGCTTTGCAGGTTCTCTGTCTGTAGCCTGGAGCTCTGTGCCAGAAAGAGGGCAAGTCACCTCCCTGGCAGCAGCCAGCCCCCCATCACACCCCCCAGGTTGGTGGAAGCTGCAGCCAGTGTGACCAGCATTCACTCACCAGGGCCTGGAGCTGTTCCACCCCGCCCAGGATGAGCTCCTGGTGTCCCAGAGACCGCACAGCCAGAGCCTCGAGGCTTTGGGGGCAGAGCTGGAGCAGGTTCTTGCCAGGCAGCTGCCAGTCCTCAAAGGGATAGTCCTGCAGGGAGTCGTCAAGACCTGGAGGGAGAGTAAGGCTCAGCTCGGGGAAGCAGAGGTGTCAGGACCTTTTGGGATGGTTCTTCATGCCTGCAAAGCTCTTTTCCCTCTAGTCTAACCCTAATGACAACTCTGACACCCAGGCTGTTCTGCCCATTTCACAGATGAGGCCACTGAGTTGAGAAGCAGGAAAGTATAGGACATGGGTTCTTAAAAGTGGCCCCCAGACCAGCAGCAGCAGACTCACCGGAGAACTTGTTAGAAATGCAAATTATCAGGCCTCACCCCACACCTGCTGAATCAGAAACTCTGAGGTTGGGGCCCAGCAGTCTTTTTTTTGTTTTTGTTTTGTTTTTTCTTTTTGAGACAGGGGCTTGAGACACAGTCACGGCTCACTGCAGCCTTGACCTCCTAGGCTCAATCCATCCTCCCACCTCAGCCTCCCAAGTAGCTGGGACTACAGGCACACACCACCACACCCAGCTAATTTTTGTATTTTTTGCAGAGGTGGGATTTCACCATGTTGCCCAGGCTAGTCTCGAACTCCTGGGCTCAAGCAATTTGACTGCCTCAGTCTCTGAAAGTGCTAGAATTACAGGTGTGAGCCACGACGCCCAGCCAGCAGTTTGTATTTTAATGCAGGTGACTGTGATGCTCCCTTAAGTTTGAGAACTAATGATACAGGGGATAAGAACAAGAGGCTATGGAGTCACTGAGACACTGTGAACACTTGAGCAAGTAATAGCACTGCTCTGTGCCCAGTTTTCTCACCTGTAATGTGAGAATAATAAAAGTACCTACCTTCTAATCATGTGTGTATTGAATGACACAACATATGTCAAGGCCTTGGCCACTGTCTGGTTCGTGGGAGACAGCCAATAATAGCCATCATATTATTATTGCCAGACTTTACCATGACCTACAGGCCCTGTATGATTAGGCTACTACCTCCCTTTCCAGCATCATATCCTGAAGAGCCCCCTAAACTCAACATTTCAGATGCACAGAGCTAATTCCTTGCAGCTCCTGGAACACCCTTTTACCTCAGCGTCCTTGCAAGTGCTATTCCTCCTGCTGGCGTTGCTCTTCTATCTCCTTCACTTCCTTTTTCATCTAACTTCCTCCAGGAAGCCTTCCATAACTTCCCAGGCTGAGTGGGATGGAGGGCTCTCCTCTTGTTCCCACTGCCCCTGAGCCTCCACAAACCCCTGCACTTGACCATCGGTCTTTCCCATTTTATCACAGGCTCTTCAAAGATCAGGCCTTAGATAACCATTTGTCTCTAACCCCCGGCCTGTGCCTGGACAAGGTAGGCACTGAAAAATAAGAAAAGTGTCTATTGAGGGCTTACTATGTGCTATGCAAATCTATAAGAGCTTTACACATATTAACACATTTGATTCTCACTGCATTTCTAGGAGGTAAAGACTATCATTATCCTGCTTACAGATGGGAAAACTGACACAGAGGTTAAGTAGCTTGCTCACTCTTCGAAGGAATTCTTCCCCTTCTAAGCCAGGCTCCTTCACTGGGGGAGGTGTGTGTGTGTGTTCCCTGTGTCACATTGAGAGCACTGGACTGGGAGTTCATGAACCTATCACTCCCTGGCTATGGGCCCCTGAGCCACCTCCTTCCTGCACGGTGACTGTATTGGGCTGGTGCCCTCCCAATAGACCCAGGCATTGAGCTACAAATGAACTATGTCATGATTGTCTCACTTTGTCGACTTCATAAGGTCAGAGTTGCCTTTCCCATTTGATGGACAGAAAAACTAAGACCTATGGTCACAGAGCTGGCAAGCGGTGGGGGTGGGCCTGGAATCCAGCCTGGGAGTCTGAACCCAGCCCTGAATTCCTGCCCTTACCCGGGCTGGTCCTCCTGAGCCTGTCTCTAGTGCGCTCCAGCTCCCCACTCTGGGAGGGGTGTCCTGACTGCCTGCTCCTGGTCGCACTGTGTGTCAGGAGGCCCTTCCTTCTCTGAGTCTGCCTGTGGGGTGTGTTGCTTCCCATCTGTGTGGGCTCGCTGAGCCTGGACAGCACCTTGCCCCTTGGATAGGAGCCCCAGGGTGGGGCTGTGTCAACCTCTTCAGTCTGGCCTAGGGCTTCTGCTTCTGTCACTAGGAGCTCAGGGTGTGGAGCGGGGAAAATGACACCAGAGACTGAGCAAATCATTTCCTGGCTCTGTGTGTCAGTTTCTGACTCTAAGAAACGGATTTAACAACAGCCCACTGGCCCTGGGGCCAGGGAAGATGAAGGAGATACAGTGGGTGTGGGCCTGTCAGGCCTCCCTCCTGTTTTCATGACACCGCCTCCCCATTATCACCCTAGAGGCCTCTTGGGCTACTGCCATGATGAGGGGCCCCCTTCTGGGTCCTTGGGCCCCCCAGGGTCATCTCATCTGTCTCTCTGCCCAGCACGGTTCCTGGAACATGTTAGGTGCTCTGTAAATATTTGTTGACTGACTGACCGACTGATAGAGCCCGCAGTTTATTATTTTTTTTTTTCTTTTGAGCTGAATCTCGCTCTGTCGTCCAGACTGGAGTGCAGCGGTGCAATCTCGGCTCACTGTAACCTCTGCCTCCTGGGTTCAAGCGATTCTCCTGCCTCAGCCTCCCAAGTAGCTGGGATTACAGGCACCTGCCACCACCCCCAGATAATTTTTGTATTTTTAGTAGAGACGGGGTTTCACCATGCTGGTCTTGAACTCCCGACCTCAGGTGACCCACCCACCTTGGCTTCCCAAAGTGCTGGGATTACAGGTGTGAACCAGCGCACCCAGTCCGCAGATTTTTTTTCCTTTTCCTCTCCTCCCGCTTCCCGGTGGGACACCACACCTAGTCCCCTTCAAGCCCAACTCTACCCCAGCCCCACCCACCTCTCAGCCAAGTTGCCACCTTTCCGGGGGTCCAGGTCTCTACCGGTTCCATGGCCCAGCTCTGCCAGCTCGAATCAGCTCCTGTTTTGCCCTGCTGTCGCCGGAATTTCCGCTCCCAGAGCCCAGGCCTAAGGAGGGGCCGGGCTGGGTCCTGGGCGGAGCCTACTGCATACCTGGGCTCACACAGACGGCAAGATGAGGCACTGCGACAGCCATTGGCCCACGCCCGTCCGCCTCCTGCCCGGCCCTTCAGACATCCTAGGGCTCTGGCATCTCGCGCCTGCTAGGGGGCAGTGCCACTGGCCTCATATCGCGGGGTGGGACCCTGACCCTTGGGCTCCTCAAGAAAAAGCCACAAGAGGAGCGCTGAAATCAGTAGCAAAGCACAGAGGCTAGGGGGCCAGGTCCCTGGGTGCCTAGGCCAGCTCTTGTTAGCTGTGTGACCTGGGGCTGACCCTAACTTCTGCGCCTCAGTTTCTGGGTCTGTAAAAGAGATATAATAGACCGTACTTCAAAGGGCAGCTGTGCACAGTATCTGAATGGCTTGAAAACATTTAGAACTGGGGTGTTTAGCCTCCCTTGGATTTTGCAGTATGGACTCTGGCATCTGGTGAGGCCTGTGAATGCTTTCTCAGAATAGCTGCTTATAAAGGCATAAAACAGGCCGGGCGCGGTGGCTCACGCCTGTAATCCCAGCACTTTGGGAGGCCGAGGTGGGCGGATCACTTGAGATCAGGAGTTCAAGACCAGCCTGGCCAATATGGTGAAACACCATCTCTACTAAAAATACAAAAAATTAGCTGGGCGTAGTGGGTGCTTGTAATCCCAGCTACTCAGGAGGCTGAGGCAGGAGAATCCCTTGAACCCAGGAGGGGGAGGTTCCAGTGAGCCAAGATCGTGCCACTGCACTCCAGCCTGGGCAACAGAGCAAAACTCTGTATTATAAATAAATAAATAAATGCACAAAACAAAATGCTTAGGATTACAATGAGAACAATTATCAAAACTATATTTAAAAACAAATTTGGCCGGGCATGGTGGTTCACGCCTGTAATTCCAGCACTTTGGAAGGCCAAGGCGGGTGGATCATGAGGTTAAGAGATGGAAACCAGCCTGCCCAACATGGTGAAACCCCGTCTCTACTAAAAATACAAAAATTAGCTGGGTGTGGTGGTGCACGCCTGTAGTCACAGCTACTCAGGAGGCTGAGGCAGGAGAATCGCTTGAACCTGGGAGGCGGAGGTTGCAGTGAGCTGAGATCACGCCTCTGCACTCCAGCCTGGCAACAAAGCAAGACTCCGTCTCAAAAAAAAAACCCACAAAAAACAAAAAAAAAATTTGGAGCTGGGGAGTGCTGGCACACGACTGTAGTCCCAGCTACTCGAGAGGTTGAGAGGTTGAGCGGGGGAGTATCACTCAAGCCCAGGAGTCAAAGCCACCCTGGGCAACATAGCAGGAGCCCATCTCAAAAAAATAAAACCAGAAATTTATATTATGTGTTTACTAACATTAATAAGACTGGCCGAAAGTTAAATTTTTCTTTTTTAATGACCTCAGTGTGTTGTCGACCAGCTTGAATAAGGACATTAAACTGTGGGGTGGTCTTTGACGCCCCTCCTCTTACATATTGATCAGCAAACAACTAAAAACAGGGAATGCTGGGCCGGGCATGGTGGCTCACGCCTATAATCGAGACGGGCGGATTATGAGGTCAGGAGATCGAGACCATCCTGGCTAACATGGTGAAACCCCGTCTCTACTAAAAATACAAAAAATTAGCCAGGCATGGTGGCGGGCGCCTGTAGTCCCAGCTACTCAGGAGGCTGAGGCAGGAGAATGGCGTGAACCCAGGAGGCAGAGCTTGCAGTGAGCCGAGTTCGCGCCACTGCACTCTAGCCTGGGCGACAGAGCAAGACTTCGTCTCAAAAAAAAAAAAAAAAAGACAGGGAATGCAGAAGAGTGGAGAAGCCCTACTCAGAACAGGCAGATTCGCCCTTTGGTCACTGAACCACTGCTAAGCCTGGAGGTAACCAATTAATGGCGGCTACATCACAGGAGCATCTGAAACAGAAGTTGCTCACGAACAATTTAGTGGTGGTTTAACAACCACTGTGATTTTGAAATCACTTGAGCATAAATATTTTGAGATACTTGCAATAACTACAATTTGATATGAAAATATGTGATTTCTATTGGTGACTAAGCCAAAGATACTGCTACTGCTTCAATCCATATAGAAGGAAATCATAAATTTTGGTTAGAGTTTAGCAAAAATAAAAATATAATTTTTTCCCATCCAAGTTTATGGATCCCCTGAATTCTGAACCTCAGAGCAAGAGCTTTAATCTTAGAAAAATATCTGACACATAGTAAATGTTCATTTTCATCATCATCATCAGGTCAGGGGACTCCCAGGACTTTAGAATCAGATAAAATCAGCCGGGCGTGGTGGCTCAGGCCTGTAATCCCAGCACTTCAGGAGACCTATGCGGGCGGATCACCTGAGGTCAGGAGTTCGAGACCAGCCTGACCAACATGGAGCAACCCCATCTCTACTAAAAATACAAAATTAGCCGGGTGTGGTGGCACATGCCTGTAATCCCAGGTACTCGGGAGGCTGAGGCAGGAGAATTGCTTGAACTCATGAGGTAGAGGTAGCGGTGAGCTGAGATCGCGTCATTGCACTCCAGCCTGGGCAACAAAAGTGAAACTCCACCTCAAAAAAAAAAAGGCCGGGCGCGGTGGCTCATGCCTGTAATCCCAGCACTTTGGGAGGCCAAGGCGGGTGGATCATCTGAGGTCAGGAGTTCGAGATCAGCCTGGCCAACATAGAGAAGCCCTGTCTGTACTAAAAATCCAAAAAATTAGCCGGTCGTGGTGGCGGGCGCCTATAATCCCAGCAACTCGGAAGGCTGAGACAGGAGAATTGCTTGAACCCGGAAGCAGAGGTTGCAGTGAGCCGAGATTGCGCCACTGCACTCCAACCTGGGCAACAAGAGCAAAACTCTGTCTCAAAAAAAAAAAAAATCAGATAAAATCAGTTCCATACTCAACTGCTATGTGACTCAGCCCAACTTCTACAGCTCTCTGAATCTGTTTCTTTGTCTCCAGAAGGGGATTCCTAGGCCTTAGCACTGTGATGACATTAAGTACTTTGAAATCTGTATCATGGGGTAGATATGAGTTATTATTGCTTTAATTCTGTGGGGAGGAGCTACCTGTTGTCACCTACTTCAGAATTTCTGCAGCACCCCCAGTCATCAAAGCCTGTCACGACCTTACCTGTAACCCAGAGACCCAAAGTCTGAATTTCGCCCATGGTTGGCCCATGTAGTGTACGTGTGTTGTCATCATTTAATAACGTCACATCCAAATTGAGATTTCCAGCTTCTCTGAACTTGGCCAGCTCTGGTGATGCCATCCCACCTTCACACTTGGTATTAACAGCCTCTTTCATTTTGTGAGCCAGTTGGCTTCAAATTTGCAAAATGCCCGTCTCCAGCTTTGTCTTTTGCCTCAGGTCTGTGTCCCTTGAACACTCCGTGCTGCATCCTCGTTTAACATTTTTGCCTCTTCATGCAGCAGCCTCCCTGTGGCACTCTGGGGAAGTCCAGTAAATTCTAATAGAGCCTTTATCAGTGTTCGGTAGACAGATCTTGATTTCATCAAATATCTTTCCTGAGCTGCCACCAGAGGTGAGAACCAGCCCCCTCTCTCCCTGAACCACGGCGCCTTTACTCTACGCTCCCAGCATCTGCCAGGGTTAGGCAGTTAGGAACACAGTAAGTGGCAGCTTCTATTTATTTTTATCTATTTTTTTGAGACAGAGCTTTGCTCTTGTTGCCCAGGCTGGAGTGCAATGGCATGATCTTGGCTCACTGCAACCTCCGCCTCCCAGGTTCAAGCTATTCTCCTGCCTCTGCCTCCCAAGTAGCTGGGATTACAGGCGTGTGCCACCATGCTCGGCTAATTTTGTATTTTTAGTAGAGATGGGGTTTCACCATGTTGACCAGGCTGGTCTCAAACTCCTGACCTCAAGTGATCTCCTTGCCTCGGCCTCTCAAAGTGCTGGGATTACAGGCGTAAACCACCACGCCCGGCTGACAACTTCTATTTTAAAGGGTTTCATTTTGTTTTTTGAGAGAGTCTTGCTCCGCTGCCCAGGTTGGAGTGCAGTGGCGCAGTCTTGGCTCACTGCAACCTCTCCCTCCCAGGTTCAAGTGATTCTCGTGCCTCAATCTCCCAAGTAGCTGGGATTACAGGTGTGCGCCACCACACCCAGCTAATTTTTTTATTTTTAGTAGAGACAGGGTTTTGCCATGTTGGCCAGGCTGGTCTCGGACTCCTGACCTCAAGTGATTCACCTACCTTGGCCTCCCAAAGTGCTGGGATTACAGGTGTGAGCCACCATGCCCAGCCTATTTTAAAAAGCTTTATGAATATAAAGTTCTACATATTTGCTGTATACATTTCAAAGGTAATAGGTTAAGTGAAAGAAGGATGTGCCCTTTCCCCAGTGTGTCTCTATCATGTTCCCCAGTGGGGGCCACTACTAAATTTGGGATATTCTTCTATTTTCTATATCTGCAGATAGTCTACATACTATTCTGCAAATTGTACTTTTTCTTTTTTATTTTTATTGGAGACAGGGTCTGGCTCTGTCACCCATGCTGGAGTGCAATGGTGCAACCTCAGCTCATTGCAGCCTCCACCTCCTGGGCTCAAGTGATCCTCCCACCTCAGCCTCCTGAGTAGCTGGGACTACAGGCATGCACCACCATGCCTGGCTAAATTTTTTTTTTTTTTTTTGGTAGAGATGAGGTTTCACCACGTTGCCCAGGCTGGTCTTGAACTCCTGGGCTCAAGCCATCTGCCTGCCTCAGCCTCCCAAAGTGCTGCCCAGCCATACTTTTTCATTTAAGAGATAATCGATAGCAAATGAAATAATACAAGTTAAGTGCTTAGAACAATGACTACTATTTTTAACGTATCACGGGCAGCTTCCTTAATTGGTATATGCAGATATGCTTTTATTATTGTTTCAAGCTGAGGGCAGGGAAGTCCCTGAAGAAACTTTGTCTTGAAAAAATGGGTTAAATTGGCCGGGCGCAGTGGCTCACACCTGTAATCCCAACACTTTGGGACGCCAAGGCGGGGGGATCATGAGGTCAGGAGTTCAAGACCAGCCTGACCAATATGGTGAAACCCCGTCTCTACTACAAATACAAAAATTAGCTGGGCGCGGTGGCAGGTGCCTGTAATTTCAGCTACTCAGGAGGCTGAGGCTGGAGAATCGCTTGAACCTGGGTGGCAGTGAGACGAGATCATGCCACTGCACTCAAGCCTGGGTGACAGAGTGAGACTTCTGTCTTAAAAAAAAAAAAAAAAAGGGTTATATGTGCCCTCCCTTGAGGTAGGGGCGGTTGATTTCACAGAAATCAAATGGAAAAGGCATACTGTTGTGGGAGCTAATAACACATCCTTCCTTCGATAATGCTGATTGGTGGCATCCAATCATCTAAGGTAGCGATGGGGCCTGGACCAGGGCTGAGGGAGGCCCGCCCAGTACCTGGTCCAGGCCTGGGACTCCTGAGCACTGCCAGCCAAGGCCTCTCCTGCCTAACCGGACCCGCCTCCTCGGAGAGTGGGGGAGGTGCCGCTCAAGCCTGATGCTGATCTCTTTTGACAGCTGCTTCTAAGGCTGGCAGGATGGTAGGCAGTGGGGGAAGGGACCAGATTTAAAGGTCCAGTTGCTCCGCCCCCTGCCAGACCTGGGCAGGCAGGCGCGGGTGAGCATCCTCTGAGAGCTTGGGTCTTGCGTATGTGGAAGGTCAGAGACCCCTCTACCCTAGTTTCCACTTCTTGGTGTCATGAAGACCACTGGTCTTCACGTCCGCTCCCACCCTACAGGCCGCCAGGGAGACCAGTGCCGCCCACCATGCGATTTCGACGCTTGACCCCTGGTTACTTCCGGGTGTTACAGGTAAGTACCCCTGATCAACGGTTTCTGGCACGACTGACCCCTTCCTCCCCCTACCATAGCTGGGTTGACACCCCCAACAGCCAGGCTGTCACGTTCCCTGCCGCCTGAGCAGGCAGGCCCAGATGGGCAGTGAGGCGAAAGGGATTGGGGTGGAATCTCCCTGGGGCAGGACCGGCGTCCATGTCTCCTTCCCCTAGCTACATCTACTCAGCCCTTTCCCACTCCCCACCTTCCTGGCAGTCTCAACTGACCCCTGAGGCACACCCTCTGTGCACCTCCAGATGCAGGTAGCTGGTGAGCTGAAGGCAGAGCCCCGGAGTCTGCTGGCAGGAGTTGTGGCTACAGTGCTAGCTGTCCTCGGCCTGGGTGGCTCCTGCTATGCCGTCTGGAAGATGGTGGGGCAGCGGCGGGTGCCACGGGCCCCGTAACGAAGAAGAGAGACTCTCACTTGGATGCTGGGGGTAGGTGACTCGGGAGGGGGGTGCAATCTCAGAAGCCTTCTTTTCTGGGGATCAGTCTCTGTCAGAAGCAGGACAGAGTAATCTGATCCCACTCCCGCCACCCCACACTGCATCAGGCCTCCATCTGGGTGCTCCAGTTCAGATGCTAGGACCTCAGAGGGAAGGCAGAGATAGACCAAGTGGGGAGTAGACACCCTAGGCCTGGTGTACAGAAAGTAGTAGAGAAGCCCTTCCAGGGCAGGAGTTTGAGACAGCGGCCTGGAAGTTAGAGTTGGAGGCAAGTTCTCTTTGTCCAGTTCCTTTATTTGGGGCAGGGCACCAAGAAGAGGCCCTCCGCTCCCCAAACCCAGAGGCAAAAGGGGTTGGCACGCTCCCTCCCAGCCTAGTCCTTGCGTCACTGTCCATGGGCAATTCCTCTGCCCTGCATCTTCAGGCCATGTCAGGTAGAGGTATCCATCTCAGGGACCTCAGTGGACACTTCCGTGGGCACTGCCAGCCGCCTGGGGGGCACATAGGATCCCATACCCGCTGCCCTCTCCGCCTCTTCCTGACTGTAGGGCTCGACGCTCAGCTGCTTCAGCCTGGGAGAAAGAAAAACAGGAGTTGGGAGCTGACCAGGTGAGAGCCCTATCTGCTGAGCACCCATCCATCAATCCTCTCCTTACTCCTTCATACCTTTTCTTGTGGTCTTTGGATCGGAAGTGGGTCTTCAGGTTGGTGGAATCGATGAAGTACCTCCTGTAGGAATGGAAGTGAGAAGGAGAGTGAGGAGGTGATAGTCTCCCAAGTGCACCTATCTCCCTAGCCCTAGCTTGTCCCTGACGCCAGGATCCGGGTCTGAGAAACGGGAGGCGGGCGGACCCACGGGTCCCAAGAGAGAAGACTCTGCGCTGCCTGGGGCTTCAACTTCACATCTCCCGGCCGGTACCGCGGACCCTCCTCCGCCCCAGGCCGGGCTCGTCCGGGACTCACGCGCAGGCCAGACAGCGGTGCAGACCGCCCCCTGGCAGGTCGGGGTCGAACTCGGCGTTTGGGTCGGGCTGGGGTCGTGCGGATCCCTGAGGCCGCAGCTCGCGGTGAATCTCATCCAAGTCCGGCCGCCGCCGCTTCGCCTTCATCTGCCGGGCTAGAGAGTGCGCTCGGTGCGCGCCTGTCCGGCGGGAGCGACCCATGGCCAGAAACAGCCCGGCCGGCCAAGGGGCCAGGAGCAGGGCAGGGAGCACACGTGTGAGCACTTCCGGGCCGATCAGCTACGTCAGGCCACGCCGGGGGGCTAGGCAGGCTCGGCCGGACCGCCTCTGATGACGTCACTCTCGGCCAGCGGCTCGAGCGCCGCCAGGCGGCCGTCGACGTCAGTGACCGAGCTCAGGACGGGCTCCCAGAAGTGTGCCCACTGAAGGGCATGGCCCCGCGGGCCCTCGCTGGGGAGGCGCGGGGTGGTGCGTGCGCCTGGGGGTTTCGGGGCCGTCTTGCTGCCCTGCTCTTCCTGGCCTGGTCCAACCAGTATCAGTGCCAACCTGTACTCCTGTCATCCCTTCCTGTTTCCCAGACCTTGGACTCCGCGGTGGGGGTGGGATGCTTTATCTCTGGAAAGCACTGATAAATGTCTGTGTCATGAATAAATTAGTAAATGACTGAGAGTGAATAAGTTTGGAATCCCAGCCCCACCAGGGCTTCCCGAGATAATCTCCAGTCCCTGAAAAAGCCCTCACTTCTCCGGGCTCCCGTTATTCCCTTGAGTCTCCATCCTCTCTCTGACCCCAACCAAATCCGTGAAGGGTGTTCCTCCCCAGAGAGTGCAGTCCTCAGGCATCCAGACTCCAGAGGGATCAGTTCCTCTCACAAGTACTCATAGAAGGACCTCTCCATCTTTGCCTCCTTTCTCTAAGCCCTGGGCTCCCAGAGGTGGGCTGGCAGCAAAGGCCTAGGTGTTGCATGCTCAGAGTGGCTAGAGGGCCTTTCCCCATTCACAGGAGCCTGGTGCCTCCCAGGCTGGCCAGAGCCAACTCAGCTGGAAGGGGCCAGAGGAGCTTAGCAATAATTCAGGGGCTCCAGCTCTTTGGAGTCTGTTGCCAGGAAACAAGGAGACAGGCACGTGTATCCCTGGGGAGAGGAATCAGTTTCCAGCCCAGACAAAGGAGTGAAATGTAAGCCCAAGGTGCCCACTGGGGGCCTGCGGACCTTCCTGCTCCAGTTCATTGAGGCTAAGTAGGGACACAGGGTGGAGCCCTGCTGAGGACACAACTAGTATGACTACAGTCACAGGGGCTCCAGTGTGGGTCCCAGACCTCAGGATTTTGTGAATGGAAGAAGATTTTCCTGGAGGCATGCTAAGAGATGAACAACTCAAGTACTCCTAGGCCCAGGAAGAAAGCCTCTCTAGAGACAAATGACTTCATTATTCTTGGCCAATATGGGTCAAGACAAGGGGCTAAGGTGGCAGAAGCTTGTTCCATCCCCCACTCCCCGACTCCTTTGGATCAGGTTCACCTCCTGGGCACTGTGCCAGCTGGGGAGGCTGGTGCATCTTTAATGAAGTCACTGGATCCCTCGGACAGGCTCTTGGCCTCACCAAGTTCCTAGAGCCAGACTCACTGGTATCCACTGAGCCACCACCTTCCTGTGCTTGCGTGCCAGGCCCCTTCCCCCTGCAGCCATGAACCAGGCCTTCTGGAAAACCTACAAGTCCAAAGTGCTACAGACCCTGAGTGGGGAATCTGAAGAAGACCTGGCAGAGGAGGTGGGTGCCATCCATGCATGGTGGGTGGAGCATGTGCAGAGGGGCAGCAGGAATGAGCAGTATGAAGTGGGGCACAGGATAGGCTTGGAGGTGGGGGGGCCACATTTGTGCAGATGCCACATTCAGGGATGGTAAAAACCATGGTGCAGCATCAGAAAGCCAGGACATTCAAGAAAACTGAGGAAGAAAAGACTTAGGGACCATGGGAGGAGTGGCCACTGTCTCCAAAGATCTCGAGGCTGCCACATGGAAGAGATTCTTCTAGGACCAGTGGGCAGTAGGCACACGGGCACACTTAGCTGGACACAACTTTCTAATGGGAGCAGAAGTAGGAGTGATGTAGTGAGCCCCATGTTACTAGAGGTAGGGGGAGTGGCGCCTGTACTAGAAAGGTCACTGCAGCAGCATCAGATCAAAGCCATACTTAGACCATGCTTTGTTCTGACATTACAAAAAACAAGCAAACAAACAACAACAACAAAAAACAGGCTGGGCCGGGCACGGTGGCTCATGCCTGTAATCCTAGCACTTTGGGAGGCCGAGGTGGGTGGATTGCCTGAGCTCAGGAGTTCAAGACCAGCCTGGGCAACACGGTGAAACCCAGTCTCTATTAAAATACAAAAAAAAGTAGCCAGGCATGGCGGCGTGCACCTGTAATCCCAGCCACTTGGGAGGCTGAGGTAGGAGAATTGCTTGAGCCTGGGAGGCAGAGGTTGCAATGAGCTGAGATTGAGCCATTGCACTCCAGCCTGGGCGACAGAGCAAGACTCCATCTCAAAAACAAACAAACAGGCCAGGCGCAGTGGCTTCTGCCTGTAATACTAGCACTTTGGAAGGCCACGGAGGGTGGATCACCTGAGGTTAGGAGTTCGAGACCAGCCTGGCTAACATGGCGAAACCCTGCCTCTACTAAAAATACAAAAATTAGCTGGGCATGGTGGTGGGCACCTATAATCCCATCTACTCAGGGGGCTGAGGCAGGAGGATCACTTGAGCCCAGGATTTCGAGACCAGCCTGGGTGACATGGTGAAACCCTATCTCAACAAAAAAATACAAAATTAGACAGGCATGGTGGCACACACCTGTAGTCCCAGCTACTCAGGCTGAGGCGGGTGGATTGCTTGAGCCCAGGGAGGTCGAGGCTCCACTGCACTACAGCCTGTGTGACAGGTGAGACTTTGTCTCAAAACAACAACAGCAAAGTTTCTGAAACCAGGGACAGTCTTATGTCTGGAGGCTGTGATAAGTGGCAGTCACACAATCACACAAAATGTGGCAGAGGCAGGAATCGGTTCAGAGGGGCGGGGAATGGTTTGAATTCTTAAATGTCTGGAGAGGTTGGTGTCTAAGGCTGGGCTTGTGCAGAAATGTCAGTGGGTAACTGGTGTGATCAGTATCTGGGTGGAATCCCCAGTGAAAGTGTATGTGAAGGTGTGAACATTTTGGGTAGCAGTCTGCCTGCATGCCTCTGTGTAGACATTTGCAGGTGTTGTTTGTATGGTGTATGTGTTTTGGTATCTGTGGTTGGGTGGAGAGGTTTTGTGTGTTGTGGATAGGCCTCTGTGCAGCTGTCTGTGGTTGTATAAGTGCACAGGTGTGAATGATATAACTGTGTGTGTCCTTGTATAGGTGCTTCACAACACGTATGTCTATGTACAGGTGAAGAGCTGTAGCCATGTGGGGGCATGCTCATGTACAGGTGTGTGTCTACATCAGAGTGCATGCCCATGTCCACGTGCTTTTGGGTGTATATGGATGTGTCTGTGGTGGGCAGGTATGTGTGCTCAAGGGTGTCTGCAGCTCGGACTGGCGGCTCACGCCTGTAATCCCAGCACTTTGGGAGGCCGAGGTGGGAGGATCACTTGAGGCCAGGAGTTCGAGACCAGCCTGGCCAACATGGCAAAACCCCATCTCTATTTAAAATACAAAAATTAGCAGGGCGGTGGTGGGTGCCTGTAGGCCCAGATACTCAGGAGGCTAAGGCAGGAGAATCACTTGAACATGGGAGGCAGAGGTTGCAGTGAGCCGAGATCGCACCACTGCACCCCACGGCAAGACTCCATCACACACACACACGCACACACAAAGGAAAAAAAGGGTGTCTGCAGGGATTTACTCTGCAGGTATACCTGTATGCATTCCCATGTGCCCTTGTGGATCTGTGGAGTGTATAGGTGTGTGTTTAGTTCTGTGGGATTTGGGGTGCCTGGTCTGTGTGTACTAGGCTAGCAGTGGAGGAGGGAGATCTCACTCCTCTGCGGCCTCTCTCATGCTGTGTGGGGGTCTTGTGTCCCAGAGGGAGAACCCAGCATTAGTGGGGTCTGAGACAGCAGAACCGACCGAGGAGACCTTCAATCCCATGTCACAGCTGGCCCGCCGGGTGAGTATTCTCCCTTCTTCCACCCCAACCCTGGGCAGCCTGGCAGAGGCTTCTGTGGAGTCCTGGGAGGTTGTGCTGGACCCCCTCCCTGACTCCCAACCCCTTTCCCAGGTTCAGGGGGTCGGGGTGAAAGGCTGGCTGACAATGTCATCTCTGTTTAACAAAGAAGATGAAGATAAGCTGCTGCCATCAGAGCCTTGCGCTGACCAGTATGTGCGTGTGTGTTTGTGGTGGTTCTGGAAGGGGCCTGAGGTCCCCCTTCTGCCTGGTCCTTTCCTTCTGGTTTGTTTGTCTTTCTAACCACTGAGGGCTGGGGAGGGGCAGTCCCAGGCTGTTTCTGTTTCTCTCAGCAGGAAACAGGCCAAATCAGCATATCTGGGAGATTAGGGTAAATCTCAGGAGGAATCGACCAGCTGTTGGGATTGAGGTGCTAGAAGGTATTTATGGGCTCTCACGACCCATCCGCTTGGGAGGGGCCATCTCTCTAAAATCCAAGAACGCAGAATACCTTTAGGTGTTTGCAACAGCTGATCCAACTCAAAGGTTCTCAAATATTGCCTAAACCCTCACCCTCCAAGGAAGCGTGTCACAAACATATTCTTGGACCCTCCTTCAGAGACTCCGATTTCGCTGGTGTGGCAGAGTCTTGGGGATCTAGCCATGTTTTCAGCAAGCTCCCCCAGGGCCCTGCAGCTTGCAGCTTTGGGAACCACCGTCTGAGGTCTTTGAGGCCAAGGATTAGCGGGTGGGACCTGGGACCTCAGTCTCCCTCCTGGCTCTATCTCTGGCACATTCTCCATTTCTGCCTTTTCTCCATCCTGATCACATCCCCCTCTCACCGTTGACCCTATTCTTTTCTCCTAGGGTCCCCATGACCCATCAGCCTCTCCCGCCCCCAGGTTTCCATTCTTTTCCCCCACCCCCAACCCCAGTTCCCCAAGGAACTTCCTGGACTTGAGGCTTCCACTTCAAGCTTCATCACCTCTCCGTGACTGCCCTTCCCCCCAACATCTTCCCACTTCTCTTGAGTCCCGCGCTCTCCCCTAAGCCTCTGACCTAGGCCTTCCTGTCGCTCCACCTTTCTCCCGTGCTCCTAGTCCCCCTTTCCCTCAATCTCAGAACCTGATTCCTGTCTGTGCCCCGCCTCTTTTCCCCAGGGCTTCCCTCAGGGGGGATCTGAACAGCCCTCCCGCTCCCACCTGCTTTCCCAGGGATCCTTCCAGCTTCCCAGACCTGCGCACGCCTCCAGCGTCCCTCCTCGAGCCTCGCCTGAAACCCTGACCTCATTCTCTCCCCAGGGATCCTGATCCCGGTCCCCTCCCTCCACATCCCTCGCCTAATCCCCTGACCCTGTCCCACCCCAGACCCCTTTCCCAGGGCCTCTGAGCCCTCCCCTTGCCTCCAGGCCCTGACCCTCCTCCTCGTCCCGGTCCCCCACTGGTCACCTGACCCCGCTCCTCACCACTGCCCCTGACTCCGCCCAGGTTCCCCCGGCCCCACTAAACTCCTCCGTCAGCCCAGCCGATGTTCCTCCGCGGGACCGCCCGGCCGCTTCCCTGACCGCGGCCCTCTCCCGCAGCCCTCTGGCGGCGCGACCCCCCTCGCAGGCGGCGGCGGCGGCGGAGGCGCGCGGCCCGGGCTTCTGGGACGCGTTCGCCAGCAGGTGGCAGCAGCAGCAGGCCGCGGCGGCGTCCATGCTGCGCGGCACCGAGCCCACTCCGGAGCCGGACCCCGAACCCGCGGACGAGGCCGCGGAGGAGGCCGCAGAGCGCCCCGAGTCGCAGGAGGCCGAGCCGGTGGCCGGCTTCAAGTGGGGCTTCCTCACTCACAAACTGGCCGAGATGAGGGTGAAGGCTGCGCCCAAGGGTGACTAGCAGGCTGGCAGAACCCCGCGCCCGCTGCTCCCACCCCTGATAAAAAACCCTGGCCCGACAGCCTGTGTGACCGCGTGCTTTTGTCCAGACATCCAGAAAGACTGCTTTTGCGGGGGTCGACCTCGGGCGGGGTCCAGCTGGAGGGGTCCTCACCTCATCAAACATACAAGGCGAAAATGACCAGAGTCAGCCCGCATATCAGGATGGGTTTTTTATTTAAGGTACAACTTTCCAGGAAGTTGGAGAGCTCCAGAGGACTGCGTCCATCGCCCTCTCCAGCCTCATTTAATTCAACAAACTGTGCCTGTGGCCCTACTATGTGCGCCGTCCCTGTACTAGGAAAAAGGTCAAAGATTAACTAGAGAACCCAGAGTACCAGCGGGTCCCACAAAAGGTGACAAATTGAGGCCCAAAAATAGGACTGTACTTGGGAGCTCAGAGCAGGTGAGGCTGACTGGGGGCATTCAGGACGGCTTCCTGGAGGAGAATATACGTTATCTCCGAGAAGGAAGAAGGGGGCCGGGCGCGGTGGCTCACGCCTGTAATCCCAGCACTTTGGGAGGCCGAGGCGGGCGGATCACGAGGTCAGGAGATCGAGACCATCCCGGCTAAAACGGTGAAACCCCGTCTCTACTAAAAATACAAAAAATTAGCCGGGCGTAGTGGCGGGCGCCTGTAGTCCCAGCTACTTGGGAGGCTGAGGCAGGAGAATGGCGTGAACCCGGGAGGCGGAGCTTGCAGTGAGCCGAGATCCCGCCACTGCACTCCAGCCTGGGCGACAGAGCGAGACTCCGTCTCAAAAAAAAAAAAAAAAAAAAAAAAAAAAAAGAGAAGGAAGAGCAGAGAGAAAAGGAACGGCAACCCAGGCAAAGGAAGGAGGTGCATGAAGGATGCAGGCTTGGAGGTGCGAACCTGTGATGAAAATAGGCGAACTTGTGTGTCCTTGCAGGAAAGGGAGGCAGTGGCAGGAGCCTGCCGGCTGGCAGGAAAGGTTTCCTTCTTTTCTTTTTTTATTTTTATTTTTATTTTTTGAGACGGAGTCTGGCCCTGTTGCCCAGGCTGGAGTGCAATGGCTCGATCTCGGCTCACTGCAACCTCCGCCTCTGGGATTCAAGCGATTCTCCTGCCTCAGCCTCCCGAGTAGCTGGGATTACAGGCGCGCGCCTCCAAGCTCAGCTAATTTTTGTATTTTTAGTAGAGCCCATGTTGGCCAGGCTGGTCTCGAACTCCTGATCTCGTGATCTACCCTCCTCAGCCTCCCAAAGTGCTGGGATTACAGGCCTGAGCCACCGCGCCCGGCCCGGTTCCCTTCTTTTTGTGTCCGAAAGGTTGGATCTCAGCCCTTCATACCCAGTGACCACAACTGGGGCAGCAAAACTCCGGGAATGGGGCCTTTTAGGATCTGGTGGAGCCCAGATTTCTGGAGCAGACGCCTCCTCGGGCTCCCAAAGCGCATTATTCCCAGCTCCCAGCTCTAGTTTGGATCGACCTGGAGGCCAGTGGAGATCACAACAGTGTTAGTACTCATTCGGTAGAAGTCACAGCAGTTATCGTTTATTGAGCACTTTCTATATGCTGGGCACTTTGCCATGCGCATTACAACTATTTTGAAATACTTCTATCCCCTACTCCTCCCTCCTTAATAACCGAGGGGTGCCGCTGCGTCCAGGGAGGTCAAGTTCTTGCCCAGGATCACACAGCCGGGAACACACATTCCAAAACCCACGGGTTTAACCGCGAAAACCCGTTTGCTCCTTCCTCAGCTCCCCATTTAAATAACGTTTTAACTTTATTCAGCAGGTTTGCTCATCTCCCACCCCAATCGTGACTCCCCAGACCGGGTCTCCACAGGGACCAAGAGGCCTCTCCCTCCCCCTTCGCCGCGGGAGCAGGGAAGGGCCTTCGGCAGCAACTTGTTCCACCTCCCCAAGGTTCAGACGCGAAACTGAGTTCCAGAAGGAAGGGCTTACGCAAAGGCACCCAGCGCGCCAGAAGAGGGGTGTCCTTTTCCGTGCCCGGGGCCAGTCCCGGGGCCAGTCCGGAGCCGCGGCGGTCACACCTCGGACTCGCGCGGCGGTCCGCGGGCGCGCTGGCAGCCGTACAGCCACTGGATGACGCGCGCGTTGCGCTCCACCACCGACACCGGGGGGCGCCGGTCCCGCGCCGAGCCCGCTGCCTCCGAGCCGCCGCCGCCGCCCGCGCCGCCCGGGCTGTCCACGCCCCTGTCGCTGGATGTCCAGTCGCTGGCGTCCCCGGAGCCGGGCGGCGGCGAAGTTCCGGCCTGCGGGCTGGCGTCGGCTCCCCAGCTCTGCGGGGAGAAGCGCTCTGCGCCCAGCACCTCCACCAGCGCGCGCTCCAGGCCGCAGTAGTTGAAGAAGCGCTCCTTCTCCGACAGGGGCAGCGAGCACGTGGGACACAGCGCCCGCTTTCCCGCCGCTTCCGGGGCATCCTGGGGCGCAGCCCAACCCCCTGAAGCCGCAGGTCGCTCTGTGGAGGCCGGGCTGCTCGGGGCAGCGTCCCGCGGGGCACCCAGAAAGAGGCGCCGCACCAGACCCTGGCCCTTGGCGTTCTCTTTGTTCACCGAAGCCTTGCAGTCCCGCTTCTGGCGGTAGAAGATGAGGGAATCAGGCCTCGGCAGCCGCCTGCCGCTTCCCCGGCGGACCGGCCTGGGCGTCCTGGGCGATGCAGGGGGCCCCAGCTCGTTGCAGGGGTGCGGCGTGAGCGGCCCAGGACTCCCACGCAGGGCTGGCTCCTGTCGCCTAGCTATCACCTGGTGCGTCTTGACATACTTGGCTTTGTCGGCTTCCAGCCTCTCCACGGCGCTGGGGGTCCGTCCTCTGGACGGGGTGGAGGGAGGGGCCAGGAGCATCTTAGCAGAGCTGGTCAGGACAGTGCCCCATAAGTAGCCAGCCACGGGGCCTAGAGCAATTGGCTTGGGCTCTCACTGACCTGCAGGGAGAGAGGAAGGTCAGGGGAAGGGTAGGAAATGCCCCTGGTCCTCTCCTGCCGGCATTCCTCAGTATAGGATCAGTCAGCCACCCTCTCCCATCCAGGTTAGCCGGTGCCACATCCAGGGAGCAGAGGCTCAGGCCATCCCCTTTCCCTGTCCTTCAGAGACATTGAGTGGGGTCTCTCTGGCCACTCAGAAACATATTCCCCTTTGAAGGTGCCCCAATCTGGCCACAGGGTCGTGCAAGCAGGCCTTAGCAAGCAGGACACTTGGAAAAGGAAACAGGGCTGGTCCCGGCCCAATTCCTGAAAGTGGCTTCAACCGGAAAAAATACCTCTTCCCAACCCAGCAGCTTTGAGCCCAAGACAAGAAGGCTCCCAGCCACAGGCTGGCTCCAGCAGGGCCCACCCTTCCCGCCCCCAAACACCGAGGTCGGGGATATAACCACAGGGTAGGAGCCTCCAGTAATTGCAGCCAACTGCCCTGCCCAGGCCCAGCAGGGCCATCGGGGCAGGAGAGGGAGGTGGTCCCCAGGCCCTATCAGCTACTGCCAGCTACTCTGCCCCTGCCAAGGGGATCGCAGAATGCCAAACTGTAAACATCACCTTGTTTAACCTTTGCATTTCCATTTCATGAAGAGGAAACTGGCTTGGAGAGGAGGGGGGCTTGCTCAGGTCCTATTGAGAGTTAGGAGCCAGGACTGGAACCCAGGTTTCTTTTTTTTTTTTCTTTAGACGGAGTCTTGCTTTGTCACCCAGGTTTCTTGCCTTGCAGTTCAGATTGGATCTCTCACTTGCCTATCAGAACTTCCCACTGAGGCCAGGCGCGATGGCTCATGCCTGTAATCCCAGCACTTTGGGAGGCCGAGGTGGGTGAATTACCTTAGGTGAGGAGTTCCAGACCAGCCTGGCCAACATGGCAAAACCCCATCTCTACTGAAAATACAAAAATTAGCCAGGCGGGGTGGCGCACACCTGTAATCCCAGCTACTTGGGAAGCTGAGGCAGGAGAATCGCTTGAAGCTGGGAGGCGGAGGTTGCAGTGAGCCGAGATCGCGCACCACTGCACTCCAGCCTGGGCAACAGAGCGAGACTCCGTCTCAAAAAAAAAAAAAGAAAAAAAAAAAGAACTCACTGATATTTTGCGTGTATTCCCGCTGCTATAAAACCAAGCAATTTCCGTTAGAAATGGGCCCCTTGCCTCACTAAAAAGTTCCTTCCACTAATTCTTCCTAATAACCTGCGCTCCCACTCCCAGAAATTTGCCCCCAGGGTCCTTGTCCCTTTTTTATCCTAAGACCTCATGACCCTTTTCCACCTCCCTTCTGCTGGGGCAAGGAGCGAGGAGGGGTTGTAAATCAAGAGCTGACAGTTCTCTTGGCAGTAACAGAATGGGCCACCCACATGGCCCTGCACACCCGACCCCACCCCTATCTTCCCCTACTCCCCCTGAGTCCTGGAGGCTGAGGGACCTTGGATCTGGGGACAACAAAGGAACAGAATTAGCCAGGGAAGTGGGGAAGGAGTCTGTGAGAGGCCTTGGGGCAGAGACCCTGCCAGGTCCAGCCCACCCCTGCACCCAGCATCTAGTGTGTAGTCAGTCTGCTCATAGGTAGTTGAGGCCTGGGAACCAAGGAGAGTCTGGCAGTGTCCCCCTCCCTGTCTCCCAGGGAGTCTCCTTGGCAGTGGGTCAGATTCCAAGGTCCCAGGAAGGCACTGCTTGTCTGACCCCATGGGTGCCCTCTGTCCTCTCCTCTTCTCCCCAGCCCTGAGCAGGGAGACTATAAAAAGTTCCTAATCACAAGGACCAAAATAGTCTGTCATCCACAGCCTCTTCCCTGCCTTCTGGGCTAGCCTGGAGGCCGGACCTCAGACATCCCGCCCTAGAAGCCTGGCAGGCAGCCTCGGGCCCTCCATTCCTTTGCCTGCCTTCTCCCAGTCCTGAAACTTGTGGTCTCAACTCTGCCCAAGGCTTCTGCTCTGGGCATGGGCCATCTTTTAGGCTCACTAGTTTGGCACCAGTCTCCCTGCCCTCAGGCCCCTGGGTTCCTTCTTACCCCAGCCCTGGGCTCAGGGTACACTCACCTCTGCATGGGAGGCCTAATTGCAGGGGTCCTTGGGCAGGTCCAGACTGAGGGCAGGAGTGGACAGCAAGGACTAGAAGTAACTTTGGTGGCAGCCAAACCTCACTCTCCACAGGAAAAGCAGAGAAAGCCTCCACCCCCCGCCCCCCAAATTAACCCTCGCCTTCCTGAGGCAGATCCTGGCCTCCATTAACTCTTTCCTGATCACAGTCCTGCGCTGTGGAGACCTGTGAACCAAGTCCAGCTCCTTTTATTTTACAGATGGTCAAACAGTCCCAGCCCGGTTAGGTGATTGGCTGTGGAAGCACTGTGAGCTTGGGCAGAGCCAGGACTCCAAACAAGGCCTCCTGATCCCCAGGCTTCCTCCAAAGGCCTGGGGTGGGGGCTCCGTATGTGGGATCAGCCCCCTCCCTGGGCTGTGGCAGATGCTCTGACAGTCTGAATGGGAAGGCAGAACAGGGTTCTAGTCAACTTGCTTTTTTCCCTCTGTAGCAGGCTGAGACCTGTCTTGGTCTGGGTGCTGGGTGGTGTCAAGCCTGCTTTCCCTGGGGGCGAGACCAGGAATCTGCAGCCTAAGGGTGGGGGCATTGGTGCTATAGATGTGCAGGTGAGCCTGTGGCGGCAAGTCTTGTCATGAAGGTGACCCTGGAGCCCACTGGAGCTGCCTCTGCCAAGGTCCTTTCATGGCAGATGGGATTGCCTGGGAAGACAGTGATGAGGGGCTGATTCCAGGGCCAAGCCCAGGTCCTTTGGCCCGCTTCCTTCTCTGCCCACACTTGGAGCCTCTTAGAGCTTCTTCCATCAGAGTTTCTTCTCTGACACCTTATGTCTCAAGGTGAAACCCTACCTCATAGGAGACACCTCCCCTCTCCCCAGCAGGCAAACTAAACTCTCCAGCCCAGACTAAGACCAGTGCTCAGGCCAAAGGTTCCTTTCCCCCCTTGGCTGGCCACCTTCCCCAAGTCCCTCCTCCTCCTTTCTAGCCCTCTTTCATGTTTGCAAAGCACATTCCCGTCTGTGCTCTCTGATCTCCTTTGACCGCCCCCAAACAAGGACCCTAGACAGGCGTCCAGCAGGAATGACCCCCCACTTAATGAGTAAGGAAACAGGAGCTGAGGGGGGAGAGAGATGCCCAAAGCCCAGCTCCAAATCCACATTTGGAACTGCATCCTCTGCCTGTCAAGTCAGTAGTGGGTCTGAAAACCCAAGGCCCATCTCCCGGTAAAAGGTTTTTATTACCTAAAGGGGGGATTTTGTTGGTGATAGTTCCATATTTTGTTGCTACAGCACTTTTCAAAATGCCATTAGCTGCTTTGTCATAATCCCCATGACAATCTTTGGGGGAGGTTTTATTATTTTTCACACTTACGGCTGAAGAGACTGAGGCTCAGAGAGGAGAAATGACTTATCCAAGCTCACCAAACTCTGTCACCCAGGCTGGAGTGCCGTGACGTGATCTTGGCTCACTGCAACCTCCGCCTCCTGGGTTCAAGCGATTATCCTGCCTCAGCCTCCCGAGTAGCTGGGATAACAGGCAAGTGCCTGGCTAATTTTGTGTTTTTAGTAGAGACAGGGTTTTACCATGTTGCTCAGGCTGATCTTGAACTTCTGACCTTGCGATCTGCCGGCCTCGGCCTCCCAAAGTGCTGGGATTACAGGTGTGAGCCACCTCTCCCGGCCAATAGCTAACTTTTATTGAGAGATTAATATATGTTAGGGGCTATTCTAAGTACCTCACATAAGGATTAACATATTTAATCCTCAAAACAACCCGATGAAATGGCACTTTCGGGCCGGGCGAGGTGGCTCACACCTGTAATCCCAGCACTTTGGGAGGTGAAGGCGGGCCGATCACTTGAGGCCAGGAGCTGGAGACCAGCCTGGCCAACACGGCGAAACCCTGTCTCTACTAAAAATACAAAAATTAGCTGGGCGTGGTGGTGCGCTCCTGTAATCTCAGCTACTAGGGAGGCTGGGGCAGGAGAATCACTTGAACCCAGGAGGCGGAGGTTGCAGTGAGCCAAGATCACACCACTGCACTCCAGCCTGGGTGACAAAGCTGCAAAAAAGAAAAACAAAAAAAGTCACTTTCATTCTCCTAACTTTCTAGGTGAAGGCTGAGGGTGCCAGCTTGGCTCTGAGATCTGGTCAGGAAGGGGTTAAGCATGGGAGGTGGGCAGGGCCAGCTGGGATGCTGTCAATGGCAGGAAACCTGGCCCGCCGCCTGGGGGGAGGATGGGGCTGTTGTGTCTGACTCTGCAACCCCCATCCCTTTGGTCTTAAAGGAGCATCCAGGTTGGGTGGTAGGACCGGTAGGGGCCCCTTCACAGCTCCCTTCTAGGGATCGAGGACAGATGCTGGACTACAGAAAGAGGGGACTCAGGGTGCAACGCAGGTGACACCCTGGGGCAGCTCTGGTCTGACAAGGGTGACTCAGTCCTCCACGCCAAAGCCCTCAGTCGGAAGTGCCCCCACCTCTGCTCGGGAGGGTTTTGTCAGGGAGGGGAGACAGCCCCAGCTCTGGGAGCCCCCAGTGAGACAGAAGTGGCACAGCTCTGCCCTCAGGGATCTCTGGTGGGGGCTGGGGGAGGGCTAAGCAGCCTTGCTCTCAGGAGCTGTCAGTGTGAGGGCAACAGACCCCTACCCTGATGCCAATGGACAGAATCCTGGGAGACAGGCACAGACCTTCCACCCTGTGGGCAGCGCAGGGTCAGGGAGGAGAGGTCAAATTGGATCGGCTTTCTGGGTAAGGGGGCCCTGAAAAAGTCAGCAGAGGAGAGGGGAGGTGGGGGCGGATGAGAAGATGAGGTGGGCTGCATCTATCTGGCCTCGGCTCCCAGCCACCCTCGCCATGAACCGGACCGTCCCTGTTTCTGGTTGTGGGTCCCCTGGGACTACCTTAAAGTAGCTCTTTCCGGCCCTAGAGCCAGGACCTCAGGCAAGGGGGAAGCGAGTCTTGGGGTGTTTCCTTCCTACTTCCTGCCTCATTCCCAGATCACCTTGGGGATGGAGATCGGGAATGGGCCTGAGTCAGAACGTCTCCTTCCAGGAGAGGGTGGTGGAAGGATGGGGGAGCAGCTCTGGTCAGTGTCGGGAATAACCAGCCAGGTCAGGGAGGCCTTCAGATCCAGTCTCACATCCCATGCCCACATTGTCACGGAGGAAACGTGTGTCACCCCCTTCACTAGCTGGCTACAGCCCCCACACCTCAGCCCTACCTTTGATTCCAGCCCTAGTCTACCTCTCGCTGGCTGTGTGGGCTTGAGCAAGAACTTAACCTCTCTGAGTTTCCTTCTGTGTCAGGCGGGAATGGTGAGACCCAGCTCCTGTGTGGCTTGGAGATGCAGGGAAGTGGAGCCTGCAACCAACCGCAAGGTGCTCTGGAATGTGGGGCCTGCAATCCGCAAGGTGCAAGTTAGATGAATCTGACTTCAGCTTTCGCCCTTTACCAACTCCTTGCTGCACTTCTGGCCCGCATCTCTTTTCCTAATCCCAGTCTTGCTCACAGCTGCCGGCAGCAAATCACCGAGAACACCTGCACTGTGCCATGGGGTCTGCAGATGGATCCAACGTGGTTTTGCTCTCAGTTGGTGGCAGAGGCAGGAAGCTTCACCACGACTGGTGAGAGACCAGTGCTACTGCAACCAAGATGAACACAGCAGAGGGGATGGTGACCTCTTCTGCCCGGGGTGGGGTGGGAAGCTTCAAAGAGGAGGGGTATCTGAGCCCTACTGGGAAGGGATTTTTGACTGGGTTTGGGGGAGACAGAGAGAGTGTTGGGCCGAGAGCACTGCAGGCGCCAGGTCTCAGTGAGGGCAAGAGGCCAGGGAAGGGTCGCGGAGAGTGAGAGAGGGAGGAGCGGGAGAGAAGGTGGGAGGGCATAAGAGAGAAGATGGGGTGCAGAGAAGTGATGGGGTTTGTGAATAGATGGGTAGGCTCAGACTGAGAGAAGGGGCTCGAGGGGACTTAGAGAAAAGATGGGAGCTCGGGGAAGGGAAGGGCTCAGGGAGGGGACTGGGGTTTCTTGAAACAAGAGTTGGGGAGAGGGTAGGCGCATCTGCCAGGCCCCAAGGCCACAGGAGAAGCCCCCCACAGAGATTAGAGCAGCCGTCCTCTAATTCAGGGCTTTCCGTTTCGGAAAGAATCTCAGCCACAACAATAGCCTGGCCCCAGTGCCTGCGCTCCCTCTGAGGGGTGTGGCCTCTGGGCAGAGCCAGGCCCCACACCCACCGCCCAAGACTCACGGAGGAGGGGGCAGGGGGAGAATGGGAAGGAAGATGCCATTAAGTTTTTTTCTTTTTTCTTTTCTTCTTTTTTTTTTTTCTGAGGCAGAGTCTTGCTCATTTGCCCAAGCTGGAGTGCAGTAGTGTGATCACGGCTCACTGCAGCCTCGACCTCCCAGGCTTGAGTGATCCTCTTGCCTTAGACTCTGAAGTAGCTGGGACCACAGGTGTGCAACATCACACACAGCTAATTATTGTATTTTTTTTGTAGAGATGGGGTTTTGCTATGTTGGCCAGGCTGGTCTCGAACTCCTGGCCTCAAGTGATCCTCCCACCTTGGCCTTCCAAAGTGCTGGGATTAAAGGCATAAGCCACCGAGCCCAGCCTAAGCATTTTTTTTCCTGAGTAATTATGTGTTGCTAGTGAACAAAGTGAATAAGATAAGATTTCTGCTCTCACGGAGTCTCCAGCATAGTGTCAGAATAACAAAACCAACTACATTTACTGTTCCCTATATGCTAGGCACTATGCCAAGTGCTTCACACTCAGTGCCCTGCTGACTTCTTACAAAATCCTATGTGAAATGGTGGGTGTTATTACTAGCTCACTTTTATACATGAGGAAACAGAGGCAGAGAGAGGTATAATAACTCACCCACAGTCACACAGCTTGCAGATGGTAGAGCTGGGGCTTTAACCTCGAGGGAGAGCTGTCCGCCCCTATGTGGCTCAGGCAGGGCTAGAGCAAATCTGTTCTCACTGCCTGCTGGCCTCCCTGCCTTGCTTGCTCTGTCTTCTGGACTGAGGCAAGGATGGGCATGAAGACAGTCCCAACTGCCATTCTCGTCATCTCCACCTCAGCCACCACCTCTCCACCTCCACCATCTCACCTTCCACTTACATGTCTTCATCACAGTTCCTTTAGATTGAGTACAAGGAACAAAAAACATCTCATCTAGACTAAGTAAAATAGGGGAACACATGGAAAAGAAACAGAGTTTCTCATGGAATGAGTTGGCAAGAAATCTATCATCCTCCTACATTGACAATATATATCTTCATAATGGCAATGTTAAAAAATATGGCCAGGTGTGGTGGCTCACACTTGTAATCACAGCCGTTTGGGAGGTGGAGGAGGGAGGATCCCTTGAGCCCAGAAGTTTGAGACCAGCCTGGCAACACAGGGAGACCCATCTCTACAAATCATAATAAAAGATATTAGCCAGGCATGGTGGTGTGCACACCTGTAGTCCCAGCTACTTGGGAAGCTGAAATGGGAGGATCACCTGAGCCCGGTAGATCAAGCCTTCAACGAGCTATGATTGTGCCACTGCGCTCTAGCCTGGGTGACAGAGCAAGACCCTAACTCAAAGAAAAAAACACCAACTATTTTTAAATTTTTTGAAACAGAGAGAGTTGGCAAGATGTCAAAGGTGACTGAATTTAATTAGTATTGAACACATATGGGTGTTCTGTTAAAGGGCCAGTAATGTTGGGTGAGTAAGAAAACAAAGAGCATATAAGGTATAAATTATATCTTTATCCTGTAAAATTTATTTTTCTTGCCTTGATTTCAGCAAAATTAATAATTGTGTTGCTGTAATCAAGTCTCACATAATTTGTATTCTACTGACAGTAATGCCTAATTAGACAACCTCTCCTATATCTGTGTTGGGGTGTTTTTTGTTTGTTTTTTTCTTTTTTAGTTTCAATTTAGAGAAACATTGCTCTGCTGAGATATTAGCAACTAGAAATCAAAATAAAGGGTGGGCAGGGTGGCTCACACCTGTAATTCCAGCACTTTGGGTGGCGGAGGCAGGTGGATCACTTGAGTTTGAGACCAGCCTGGCCAACATGGTGAAACCCCATCTCTACTAAAAATACAAAAATTAGCCCGGACGTGGTGGCACACACCTATAGTCCCAGCTACTCCTGAGACTGAGGCAGAAGAATCGCTTGAACCCGGGAGGCGGGGGTTGCAGTGAGCCAAGATCACGCCACTGCACTCCAGCCTGGGCGACAGGGTGAGACTCTGTCTCAAAAAAAAAAAAAAAAAAAAAAAAAGGAAACTATTAAAGTAATATTTAAATTTAGAGAGGAACTATGAATGTTACATAACAGGTTTAAATGTTGAAATGGAGTACATATGATAAATGATGGTGAACACAGGACACATTACAAGATATGTCAATGTCATCACATACACGCCTATCTCTTACATCATAATTTTCACATCTCATAAAGCAAACCTAGATTCATGAATTAATAGTAAGGAATTGGCACCATGCTTCATGCATATTATGCCTAGCCTTCACTTACAAATTTACGAGTAAAATGAATTGTTTCATGTTGCAGAATGTTCCTCAGCCATTCTATGCTTCTTTTGAAAATGCAGTAGTCCTCCCTTATCCGAGAGGGATATATTTCAAGACCCCCAAGGGATCCCTGCATCCACAGCTATTACCAAAGCCTATATATACTATATTTTTTCCTATTCATACATACCTATGATGAAGTCTAATTTATAAATTAGGCACAGTAAGATATTAATAACAAAAACCCATAATGAAATATAACAAAACAATATACTGCAATAAAAGTTATTCAAGGCCGGGCATGGTGGCTCACACCTGTAATCCCAGCACTCTGGGAGGCCGAGGTGGGCAGATCCACGAGGTCAGGAGTTCGAGACCAGCCTGGCCAACATAGTGAAACCCCGTCTCTACTAAAAATACAAAAATTAGCCGAGGGTGGTGGCATGCATCTGTAGTCCCAACTACTCAGGAGGCTGAGGCAGGAGAATAGCTTGAACCTGGGAGGCTGAGGTTGCAGTGAGCTGAGATCACACCACTGCACTCTAGCCTGGGCGATAGAGCAAGACTCTGTCTCTGAAAAAAAAAAACAAAGTTATGTGAATGTGGTCTCTCAAAATATCTTATTGTATTATGCTTCTTGTGATGGAGAAGGGATGGAGAGGGATGGCCTGTGATTTCATCACTGTACTCACAACGGCATGCAACTTAAAACTTATGAATTGTTTATTTCTGGAATTTTCCATTTAATATTTTCCAACTACCGTTGACTGTGGGTAACTGAAACTGTGGAAAGTTAAACTGCGTATAACGGGGGATACTGGGCTGTGCTACAAGTTGGAACACGAGGTGAATCGAGAAAATGGACACAGCACTGCTGGGAAACAACACTTTCTTATGCAAGAATCTACAGCACTCCTGCTCTCAGAGAGGACGGATTTGATGAGTTAATTGATGTCTTTTCTCTTACCTGAGTGCTTCCACCACTGAGTCTTTCCCACCTTCCAAACAGCTCTTTCTGCAACAATAGCAGCAGCACCACACACTAACTTTCCTGGCATTCGGATGCAGTAGGCTTCTGCTTCAAGGACACAGGGCAAGACATGTGGAGAAGCATGGTGTTTGGTTGTTTGTTGTTAAGCATGTGTTTCTCTGGATTGAATGGAATTAGGTGTGAGAGCAGATGTCGAGAGCTACAGCTTCCACTGTGCGGCACTGAGCACTGGGTCCTGCGTGACAGAGTCCCAGGGGATTTTTAATAAGTTCCTTTCTGGATGCTTTTGATATATGGGGTCCTTTATTTTCATTTTTGTTTATTTATTTACTTTTTTTTTTTTTTTTGAGATGGAGTTTTGCTCTTGTTGCCCAGGCTGGAGTGCAGTGGCGTGATCTCAGCTCACTGCAACTTCTGTCTCCTGGGTTCAAGTGATGCTCCTGCCTCAGCCTCCAGAGTAGCTGGGATTACAGGCGCCCACCACCATGCCTAGCTAATTTTTGTATTTTTAGTAGAGACGGGGTTTCACCGTGTTGGCCAGGCTGGTCTCCAACTCCTGACCTCAGGTGATCCTCCCGCCTCAGCCTCCCAAAGTGCTGGAATTACAGGCGTGAGACACCGGCCTATTTACTTATTTTTGGATACAGGATCTCATTGTCACCCAGGCTGGAGTGCAGTAGCATGATGATAGCTCACCGCAACCTTGAACTCCTGGGCTCAAGTTTCAGCCTTTTGAGTAGCTGGGACTACAGGCACAGCACCACCACACCTGGGTTATGGGGTCCTTTAAAGGGCAGGGGCCCCTCTATCCAGTTCTAAGGAGGGCACTGAGCTATGATCAGGGAGGTGTTTGTCACAGTGAACATATCCAACCCTGGGGAATTACCCTTTTATACCCAAGGAAGGCAATCCCCAGGCTTAACTCTGTCAGGTTAATTTTTCAGTCACTTACAACTGAAATAAACCTGAAAGAAGCACATCATTCCCTCCTAAACTAGGATCACCTTTTTCATGACGGTTGTAACGCTGAACATGTACAACCTCAGTTTGCTCACCATCCAATCCATCTCCATGGTAATTTGGAAGGTATGCTGACCAAATACTTCCAGGTTTGTTTAAAGCTGTTCTGGAAGTGCAGTAGACATTCCCCTAAGAAGTCAGGAGACCAAAGTTCTGGTCCTGACTTTACCATTAACTCACTGTTTGTCTAGAGCAAGTCACTTTCTTGAGCCTCTAGTTTCTGATCTGTTGAAAGGAGGGAAGTGGATTAGACTCAGGGTTCCCAAATGCCATTCCTTGGGTGGATTCCAGTTGGCTACATAAAAATGTATGTGGAGGCCAGGTGTGGTGGCTCATGCCTGTAATCCCAGCACTTTGGGAGGCCGAGGCAGGAGGGTCACTTGAGCCTGGGAGTTTGAGACTGGCCTGGGCAACATCGTGAGACCCTGTCTCTACAATTAAAAAAGAGAGAGAAAAAAAAATTTACATGGGGAGCTTGATAACAAGGCTAATGCCAGGCTCTCGTTCTCAGAGACCCTAAGTTAGTAGATCTGGGCTAGAGTCATGGAGGAAAGAAGAGAACACTGGATCAATCTGAATTTATTGGTATGAATGCTCTTATTAGAGATTCTAGATTTAATGGGTTACCTCTTGCAGCTGAAAGTAGCTCTAATAGTTTGCTTGTTTGGTCAACTGAGATTAGTACTCAACGTGACCTATATCAGTGAGGTTGAGACACCTGGCTAAATTCCTAAGGTCTCAAAAGACAAGAATATTGGAGAAAACTTAGATGAAAGTCTGTGGGCCAGGCACAGTGGCTCACGCCTGTAATCCCAGCACTTTGGGAGGTTGAGGTGGGTGGATCACCTGAGGTCGGGAGTTCCAGACCAGCCTGACCAACATGGTGAAACCCTGTCTCTACTAAAAATACAAAAAGTAGCTGGGCGTGGTGGCGCATGCCTGTAGTCCCAGCTACTCGAGAGGCTGAGGCAGGAAAATTGCTTGAACCTGGGGTGGTGGAGGTTGCAGTGAGCCAAGATCATGCGACTGCACTCCAGCCTGGGAGAGAGAATGACACTCCATCTCAAAAAAAAAAAGAAAGTGCATATACCCCAATCCCTCTGAGTGCCTATACACCGATCCCTCTGTGGATTCCCTGATCCCTCTGAGTGCATTCCCCGATCCTTCTGTGGATTCCCCGACCCCTCTGAGTGCATTCCCTGATCCCTCTGTGGATTCCCTGATCCCTCTGAGTGCATGTACCCCAATCCCTCTGTGGATTCCCTGAGAGGGCCCAGAGGATACGCTCTTCACCTAGGAGTTGAGAAAGCATTATTGACAGTAACATCTGCATCCTTGACAAATTTTATGGTGGATGTCCTTTGTTCTTGGGCATATTGGAAGAGGCCACCACTGAGATGGGCTCTCTGATCTCATTGGGGGTGATGGGGTCCCAGAGGGGCAGAAGCCAAGTGGCAGAGCTGAACTGCCAGAGTCAAGGGGCCTTCACTGTAACATGCAGTGGGATGGAGTGACAACCAGAACCCTGTGACTTGCAGGGATCTTTGACTGGAGTGTCCCTAGGAATGAAGTGGATGAGCAGTGTGTTAAATGTTATTGAGTTATAAAACAGAAAAGCCTCCATGTCATGGCCAGAGGCCTGACTTGAATTGTCATGAAGGAGCATCTCAGCCTCTCAGCTGATTTCCAGATCTCAGCCAGTCCACAGACCTGAAGCTCTGATTGAACAGGAGGCCAGGTCCCTTAAAGAAGGACCTCACAGCACTGCCACATGTACGTACTGTAAAACTTCCCCCAAGGAAGAAGGAAGGGGCAATTCAGACCATTTAGGAAGTACTAGATGTTGGCCTTAAAGTAATGCTAGTATCTGGAAACCCAAGATTCCCATGTCCAAAACTACGGAAAAACCTCGCTCTTTCACAAACCTGTTCTGCCACTGACTTCCTCATCTCATTCAAACCTTCCCTAACTCAGCACCTGTCCAATTGCTCAGGCCAGGGCTAACCTTTTGGCTAACCTTTGACCTGTCTCTCTCTCTTTCATTCCACATCTGATACATCAGCATCTGTAGGCTGTATCTTTGAAATCCATCCAGATTTAGAGCACTCTCTCCTGCTCCACTCCTTCTGCCCTGGTCCATGCCACCGTCCCCTCTTGCCTGGGACTGTAGTCGTCTCTATTATTTTATTTTTATTTGTTGAGATGGAGTCTCACTCTGTCACCTGGGCTGGAGTGCAGTGGTTCAATTTTGGCTCACTGCGACCTCCGCCTCCCAGTTCAAGTGATTCTCATGCCTCAGCCTCCTGAGTAGCTGGAACTACAGGCACCCACCACCACACCCAGCTAATATTTGTATTTTTAGTAGATGTGAGGTTTCATCGTGTTGGCCAGGCTGGTCTCGAACTTCTGACCTCAAGTGATCCACCTGCTTTGGGCCTCCCAAAGTGCTGGGATTACAGGCGTGAGCCACCGCACCCAGCTGTGGTAGTCTCTAGTAAGTCTCTCTCTTTCTAACCTCATCCTGCATAGAGTCTATTCTCAATGCCACTCTAGATCAATTCTTTAAAAATATATCAGTCATGTCACTTCTCTGCTCAAAACTCTGAAAAAGGTTCCCCATTTCACTCGAGATAAAGACAAATCCTTAGCAGCCTGCAGGCTTCCCGTGGCCACGCCCTGTGAGCTCCCTGCCCTCCCCGCCTGCCATCCTCCCTGTCCAGATGCACATGTCTTCCTTGTCTGTTCCTCTAACACAACAACCACGCTCCACCTGGGGGCCTGTGGACTCTGCTAGGAATGCTTTTCCTTCAGTTACGTGCTTTGCTGACTCCTTCCCCTCCTTTAAGACTTGTTTTTTTAAGAGAGTCTCGCTCTGTAGCCAGGCTGGAGTGCAGTGGCGCAATCTCGGCTCACTGCAACCTCCACCTCCCGGGTTCAAGTGATTCTCCTGCCTCAGCCTCCCAAGTAGCTGGGATTACAGGTGTGCACCACCACACCCAGCTAATTTTTGTATTTACCCAATGCCATGTTTACATGGTCTTTGTTCAGGCTGGCACGGTGGCTCATGCCTATAATCCCAGCACTCTGGGGGGCCGAGGTGGGAGGATCACTTGAGCCCAGGACCTTGAGAGCAGACTGGACAATGTAGCAAGACCCCATCTCTGTTTTAAGAAAATGAAGAAAAAAAGAAAACAAAAAGATAAAGGTCTTTGCTCAGCCGATGCTTTGGAGTGAGGATTGCCCATCAGTGTCCCACTTTGGGTCAAAAGGCCAGAACTTGGTACTCTCATCTCCCTCAATCACCAGAGGTGGTCTGCCCTGGGAAGAGCATGACCTTGGGGAAGGCGGATCTCAGCAGCTGAGGCAGACCCTGAGGGAGGTGATGGCCATAGGCAGTCAGCTGCCTACTCTCCCTGCAGATGGGCAGCAGGCCCTTCCTTGGATGAGTAAAAAGAAGTACAGGAGAAGAAAAAAGGAGAAGAAGAAAGATGTACAGGAAGAAAAAAGGAGTACAGGAACCAAGGGGTGGAAGGAAGAGTGACCCCACTTACTGTTACTCCAGTGGCCCAGAGGGAGACTTTGTACTTGCCAGCCCTGCAACTCTGGGCTCTGCAGGGTTAGAGGTCCTGGTCCTACAAGGGGGCACATTTTTCCCAAAAAGATATGTATTGAAGGGCTGAGCATGGTGGCTCATGCCTGTAATCCCAGCACTTTGGGAGGCCGAGGTGGGAGGATCACTTGAGGCCAGGAGTTCAAGACCAACCTGGCCAAGATAGTAAGACCCCCATCCCCCTACCCTCAAAAAAAAAGAAAGAAAAAGAAAAACAGATCTGCATTAAATTATAACCAGTGTCTACCTCCTGGGTGCTCTGAGCTGCTTGTGTCCAGGACTAGCCATCAAGAACAGGGGTCGCTGGGTACAGTGGCTCATGCCTGTAATCCCAGCATTTTGGGAGGGTGAGGTGGATGGATCACCTGAGTTCAGGAGTTCGAGACTAGCCTGGCCAACATGGTGAAACCTTGTCTCTACTAAAAATACAAAAATTAGTCGGGTGTGGTGGCGCGCGCCTGTGGTCCCAGCTACATGGGGGCTGAGGCATGAGAATCCAGGAGGCAGAGGTTGCAGTCAGCCGAGATCACACCACTACGCTCCAGCTTGGGCAACAGAGGGAGACTCCGTCTTAAAAAAAAAAAAAAAAAAAAGAAGCAGGGTCTTGGCACCCCTGTCTTGGCATTGGCACAGGTGTTTCACCCTGATTATAAATAGGAATAAGGCTGCTCTTATACAGTGGGGGCAAGAAGGATCCCTGTGGATCCAGGGTGATCTGCTCAGGTGCTTCTTGGTGTTCCTTTGTTCCACTATAACTGCAAATGGACAGGTCATGCAACTCTGGCCTGAGAAGGGCGTGATGACCAGGGGCTCAGGCTTCTTGGGGATGAAGGTCTGGATCCCACCACCACGTGAGCCACTGAGGCCAGCAGAAGTGGCAGCTGAGGGTGAGGGGAGTCTAGAACCAATGGAGGAGGAGGGAGATGAGGGCCATCACCTGCAGCCCCAGGACGGACTGCCGTGGTGGGGGCTGTAGTTCGTCCCACTGGCGTTCCTCCACTAAGTTCCCTCTTGGGAAGAGGGCCAGAGGAATTCTGAAGGGGCTGCGCCTTCAGTGTGTATGGGCGGGTTCTTGTAGACAGCAGCTTTCAATGGTGTCCACTGCTGCCCACTAGTAGGGGGTGCAGTTAGCAGATGGCCTGCCGCTGTCACCTCCTTCAGGGTCTGCCTCAGTGGCTGAGAGCCCACTCAGCCAAGCTCCCACCCTTCCTAGGGCAGCCTGTATCTGGTGATTGAAGGAGGTGGGGTGTAAAGGTCAGGCCATTCCAGTTTAATGCAGGACACGCAGATGGACAATAGTCACTCCAGACCTTCGAGCCTGGTCGGTTGAGCTAGAGAGGCCACGCTTGCCATTCCTAGTGATCTAAAAAGGATAGGTCACTGGGAGATGGGAGTCCAAGCCTTGGCTAGTGGTGCACTGTGGGGACCTATGGTAAATTGCTTACCGTTTAAAGACTGCCCCTAACGGAAGGACTCTGAGTTTAGGTGAGCTTGGCACCATGAGGCACAGGTCACAATAATTTTGTTTCCAAAATTATCCCACCCTACCCCAGAAGATCTGCAGAAAGCAAGACCATGGGATTGGGGAGATGTGAGACTCAGATTGAGGAACGGTTTCCCCAAGGACCTCTGGAAAGCTCGTCTGATTGAGTTTGAACAAGGGTTATCCACCAGAGGGCGGGCTTCACCCTCCAAGAAGCTTTCCTGATACCACTTCGCCCACGGGCTCTTCCTGAGCTTCACTAGCATAGGGGGCCGCCCCGCTGCCTGGTCTTGCTGCGCACACCTGGACATCCTCAGAGCTGCTGTTTCACCTGGGGACTGCTCAGATGGTTGCTTACCTTGACACTGCTGCTTGTAATACCAGTTAACTGATAAGAGCAGCGATTTCTGCGTTTATATTGTTCTCTGTAGTGTATGAAACATCTTCACATACATTATTCTCATTTGGTTTGCAAAGCAACTTGAAAAAATAATTTATTATTATGGCCACTTTTCAGAAGAGGTAACTAAGGCTCATAGAAGTCAAATGGCTTCACCAGTCACAGAGTATGTTCCTGCTGCTGCTATCACTGACATTTATTAAGCACTTGCTATGTGCCAAGGATGATGTTAAGGGTTCACTTATTTAATTCTACAGTAATAAAGACAGTGAAGTGTTGACAGGCAGTGTTAATTAAATGTGTGCCAGTTTAGAAATATTATCTCTTTCTCTGATGAATGGAACTTTTATCATTAGGTAGAAACTATCTCTAGTGATGCTTTTAGCTTCAATATAGCTATTTCATCCTCATTTTTTTTTGCCAAGTATTTCTTTTTCTAAACTTTGCCAATCTATGTCCTGATATTTTAGATTTGTCTTTGTAAACAGAACATATTAATAGTGGATTTTATTCTTTTATTTAGTCTGACATCCTTTATCTTTGGAGAATTTAGCCCACTTGTAGATATTGCTATATTTTTATTTATTTCACTCATTTGTAATGTACATTCTATTTGCTGTACTTTCCCTTTCTCTTAAAAAAAAAACTACTTTTTTTTTAAGATGGTGTCTCACTCTTGTTGCCCAAGCTGGAGTGTAGTGGCGTGATTTCGGCTCACTGCAACCTCTGACTCTTGGGTTCAAGCGATTCTCCTGCCTCAGCCTCCCAAGTAGCTGGGATTACAGGCATGTGCCACCATGCCCGGCTAATTTTTGTATTTTTAGTAGATACGGGGTTTCACCATGTTGGCCTGGCTGGTCTCAAACTCCTGACCTCAAGTGATCCTCCCACCTCGGCCTCCCAAAGTGCTGGGATTACAGGTGTGAGCCACCGTACCCAGCCTAAAAAACACTTTTTTAAACATTGATTTTTTTCCCCACTGTTAGTTTGGAGGTTATTGGTTCTAGGTCTGGTTTTTTTAATGGTTATCTCAACAATTCTAACCTAATGATGAGTCTGTTTACTGAGTTTTCCATTTCAGTTAGCATAATTTTTTCATTTTCAGAAATTGTATTTGGTTCTTTTGGAAATTTACTTGCTAACACATAGTATCAAGTCCTTTCTTTCTTTCTGTCCTTCTTTTCTTTTTTTTTTTAATGAGACAGGGTCTCACTTTGTCACGTAGGCTACAGTGCAGTGGTGTGATCTCGGCTCACTGCAGCCTCCACCTCTTGGGCCCAAGCTATCCTCCTGCCTCAGGTCCCCAAGTAGCTGAGACTACCGGTGGGTGCCATGATGCCCGGCTAATTTTTGTATGTGTTGTAGAGACGGAGTTTTGCCATGTTGCCCAGGCTGGTCTGGAACTCCAGAGCTCAAATGATCTGCCCGCCTCAACCGCCCAAGTGCTAGGATTACAGGTGTGAGCCACATGCCTGGCCTATTTCCTTAAACATATTAAGCAAGATTATCTTTTATTCTGTCTGATAATTTCAATATCTTTGAAGGTCTGTTTCCACCGCCTCCCAATCCTGCTTGTTCTTTCTCATGGTCCCTTATTATCTTGTGTTCAGTTATTTTTTGTCACTAGCTGCTCATGTTGTTTGGAAATCTGTGGGAATTATTTTAGACTTGTGTTGAAGTTGAGTTTCTTCAGAGACAATTTGAAATGATTTCTGTCAATAATGTGCTAGTACTACCAACTCATATCACTTTAAATTTTAAATTCTCTGAGGATTTTAGGATTACATAGTAATATGATTTGACTTGGGATTTCATGAGAGAGCTGGCTTGAAAGTTATGAACTCTTTGTTTCTTGGAAAGTTATGAAGTTTTTTTTTTTTTTTTTTTTTTGAGATGGAGTCTTGCTCTGTCACCCAGGCTGGAGTGCAGTGGTGTGAGCTCAGTTCACTGCAAACTCTGCCTCCCGAGTTCAAGCGATTCTCCTGCCTCAGCCTCCCAAGTAGCTGGGACTACAGGTGTGCACCATCACTCCCGGCTAATTTTTGTATTTTTGGTAGAGGTGGGGTTTCACCATGTTGGCCAGGCTGGTCTTGAACTCCTGAACTCAGGTGATCCGTCTGCCTCAGCCTCCCAAAGTGCTGGGATTATAGGCATGAGCCACTGCATCCAGCCAAAAGTTATGAATTCTTTTTTTTTTTTTTTTTTGAGACAGAGTCTAGCTTTGTCACCAGGCTGGAGTGCAGTGACACAATCTCAGCTCACCGCAACCTCCGCCTCCCGGGTTCAAGCGATTCTCTTGCCTCAGCCTCCCGAGTAGCTGGGATTACAGGCACATGCCACCACACCCAGCTAATTTTTGTTTTTTTTTCAGTAGTGACAGGGTTTCGCTATGTTACCCAGGATGGTCTTGATCTCCTGACTTCATGATCCGCCCGCCTCGGCCTCCCAAAGTACTGGGATTGCAGGCTTGAGACACCGCGCCTAGCCAAAAGCTATGAATTCTTAAAGGTGATTTTATTTTCTTCTCTTTCCAGGGCCAGAGTTGATATAGGAAGATTTCATTGGACCTCCCATCTGAGCGCTATGGTTTATTTATTTATTTATTTATTTATTTATTTTCTGAGACAAAGTCTGGCTCTATTGCCCAGGCTGGAGTGCAGTGGCATGATCTTAGCGCACTGCAACCTCTGCCTCCTGGGCTCAAACCATCCTCCCACCTCAGCCTCCTGGTGGACACACGCCATCACACCCAGCTAATTTTTTATAGTTTTTGGAGAGAAGGAGTTTCATCATGTTGCCCGGGCTGGTCTCCAACTTGTAAGCTCAAGCAATCTGCCTGCCTCAGCCTCCCAAAGTGCGGGGATTACAAGCGTGAGCCACCACGCCCAGCCGATTTATTTTACCTTAGCTCTTACACTGTAGTTATGACCCTCCGGGGTCTCCTATTAAGAGTTCCCATTTTGGAGAAGCCTTGGGATTTATCTCCTGTCCCCCAGGTATCCTATGCAAACATGAAAGGAGGATGTTAAGGTCTCTGGGGTTTGGCAGGCATCCTGAGGGTTAAACACGATGTTGGTATTTACTTTCCTTTTTCCATAGTTCCTGGTTTCACTTCATTTTGGGGCTTATTTCTTACTTTCATGCAGCTCAGCAACATAATAAAAAAAATTAAAAACTTTATACAATAATTTAGTTTTTTATCATCAGAAGGATCACTCGGGTATCTAATTCATCATATTACTGGGAAATTTTTTTCTTTTTTTTGAGACGAAGTCTCACTCTTGTCCCCCAGGTTGCAGTGCAGTGGCACGATCTCGGCTCACTGCAACCTCTGCCTCCCGGGTTCAAGCGATTCTCCTGCCGCAGTCTCCCAAGTAGCTGTGATTACAGGCGCCTGCCACCACACCTGGCTAATTTTTGTATTTTTAGTAGAGACTGAGTTTCACCATGTTGACCAGGCTGGTCTTGAACTCCTGACCTCAGGTGATCCGCCCGCCTCGGCCTTCCAAAGTGCTGGGATTACAGGCATGAACCATCACACCCGGCTACTGGGAAAATATTAAAACACAGATTTCATTGTCATAACTCACATTTGTTTTATGATATTTTATAGTCTTTGCACATTTTAATTTGAGTTTCATACAGTATGGCTTGTGCATATTATGATTTATAATAATAACATAATTTAATTTTTGCAACTCATGAAGGTAGATATTATTATTCCTGTTTTACAGATGAAGAAACATAGGCTCCAAGTTTTTTTTTTTTTTTTTTTTTGAGACGGAGTCTCGCTCTGTCGCCCAGGCTGGAGTGCAGTGGCACGATCTCGGCTCACTGCAAGCTCCGCCTCCCGGGTTCATGCCATTCTCCTGCCTCAGCCTCTCCGAGTAGCTGGGACTACAGGCACCCGCCACCACGCCCAGCTAATTTTTTGTATTTTTAGTAGAGATGGGGTTTCACCGTGGTCTCCATCTCCTGACCTCGTGATCCGCCCACCTCGGCCTTCCAAAGTGCTGGGATTACAAGGTGAGCCACCGCGCCTGGCCTGGCTCCAAGTTTCAAGAGTAAAGCTAAGTGGCTCAACAGAGCCTTCAGCCATTGGTATTCATACTCCAATGTTCTTAGCCCTTGGAGGACAGGAACTGCCCCCCGCCATTAAGAATCTGATAAAAACTCTAGACTATCTTCCCAGAAATACGTGCATTGATACAAGGACACTAAAACTTCAGGAGGTTTGGGATTCTCTGAGATCTATCCATGGATCCTACAATAAAGACCGCTGTATATTACAGCGCAGAAAAGCTGAACAAAAAGACACGTTCATTTTTTAGCTTTGATCACAAATTCAGATTTTTCTGCCTGTCTTTTTTTTTTATCTTTCTTTCTTTTTTTTTTTCAGACAGTCTCGTTCTGTTGCCCAGGCTGAAATGCAGTGGTGTGATCTTGGCTCACTGCAACCTCCGCCTCCTGGGTTCAAGTGATTCTCCTGCCTCAGGATCCCAAGTAGCTGGGATTACAGGCACATGCCACCATGCCCGGCTAATTTTTGTATTTTTAGTAGAGACGGGGTTTCACCATGTTGGCCAGGCTGAACTCCTGACCTCAGGTGATCTGCTTGCCTTGCCCTCCCAAGTGCTGGGATTACAGGTGTGAGTCACTGTGCCCGGCCTGCGTTTTTCATAGAGACGGGGCTTTCTCATGTTGCCCAGGCTGGTCTCGAACTCCTGGCCTCAAGTGATCCGCCCATCTCAGCCTCCCAAAGTTCTGGGATTACAGGTGTGAGCCACCATGCCCGGCCTCTTCTGCTTGTCTTGAAGACCCTTTATTCATCCAACCTTTTTTCCTAACACACATTTCCAGCAGTTTTCCACCTAGGCAGCTGTGCTTGTGTCTGTGATGATTCAGATCATGAGCTCCAAGGCCAAGGCTCCCTGTGTTTCACATCCTGGCTCTAAAACTTTCTGCGGACCTTGGTGGGTTATCTGACCTCTCTGTGCCTCTGTTTCTTTATCTGTAAAATGGTGAAGAATGGTACCTACCTTGCAGGGTTGTGGGGGATTATGTGAGTTGATGCATGTAAGGCACTCAAAGTGGTCCCTGGCACAGAGAAATTGGTTGGTACAGTTTTGCTTTTGTTACTGTTCTCTCCTATATCGTGTGTCATTATTAGTTTCTTAGATCTCATCTGCAAACTGGGAGAGGATTCTTACAAATAAAATCGCTTTTAAAGGTATCTAACAGGCTGGGCACAGTGGCTCATGCCTGTAATTCTAGCACTTTGGGAGGTTGAAGTGGGAGGATTACTTGAGTCCAAGAGTTTGAGACCAGCCTGGGCAACAGGCTGTCTCAAAGACCTTGTCTCTACAAACAACAAAATTAACTGGGTGTAGTGGCACAAACCTGTAGTCCCAGCTACTTGGGAGGCTGAGGTGGGAGTATTGCTTGAGCCTGGGAGGTCGAGGCTGCAATGAGCTGTGATTGTGCCACTGCACTCCAGCCTAGGTGACACAGCATGACCTGTCTCAAAAAAAAAAAAAAAAAAACAAACCAAAAAGTATCTAACAAAGTAGCCAGGTACAGTATTAGTCCCAGTTACTCGGGAGACTGAGGTGGGAGGAGTCCATCCTTGGCAACACAGGGAGACCCTGTCTCCAAACAAACAAACAAACAAACAAAAAGCTAACAAAGTGCCTGGCACATAGTAGGGCTTATTTTCTTGAGAGGCAATTTTCCTTTTGCCATTTCAAGATTGCAGTGGGACTTTATGTACTGGAGGCTTCACTTGTCCCGATGGAGAGACAAATGTTTCACTTTTCAAGTCTCAAGGGCAATGAAATAGCTCAAAGTGTTGAAAGACAGGAGAGTGATCCACCCCTTCTACCTCAACAAAAGTGGTATTTCCTCAGACTAGAGGAAATAGGTGGTTGATTCTGTGAGAGCTAAGATCAAGCAGTGACCCCTGACAGCAAGACTTCTGATGAGATGGAATAGAATGAAAGTCCTAGTGAGTGTTTGTAGGGCGTGAAGAGGGCTCCATGAACAGGAAATACAAGCTCATGTGGACTTGGTCAATAAGCATCTCAGTGGAGAGTTGGAATACCAGAGGCCCTTCTCCAAGCTTTGTGGATATTCTAGAGAGGATTAAGAGCCCCTTAAGGCATGGCTGTGTTGGAAAGATAAAGAAATGTGATGTTTCTTAAACCTTGGTGTCTTATGGCAAATTTATAATAATACACGTATATGTTAGCCTTTAATTTTTCTGCTAATTGTAACTTGCGTGTTTTGTTTTCTGAGCTGAGGGCAGGGGCTGTGTGACATTTCTTTGTGGCTCCCATATCTTTTCACTAGTAATTTTTCATGAACGGATAGAATCACTGAATTTTAGAGGTGGAAGTGCACTTGGAAAGTACACCTGGTTAGTGCTGATAGTGATTAATTATTGTGAAGGCCAAAGACCCCAATCTATTGAAGCCTTTTGGTCCTATGCTCTTTTTTTTTTTTTTTTTTTTTTTTTTTAAGGAGGAGTCTCACTCTGTCTCTTAGTCTGGAGTGCAGTGGCGCGATCTCAGCTCACCGCAACCTCTGCCTCCCGGGTTCAAGCTATTCTCCTGCCTCAGCCTCCCGAGTAGCTGGGATTACAGGCGTGCACCAACACGCCCGGCTAATATTTTTTTTTTTTTTTGAGAAAGAGTTTTGTTCTTTCACCCAGGCTGGAGTGAAGTGGCACAATCTTGGCTCACTGCAACCTCTACACCTCAGGTTCAAGTGATTCTCCTGCCTCAGCCTCCCAAGTAGCTGGGATTACAGGCCCGTGCCACTATGCCTACCTAATTTTTGTATTTTTAGTAGAGATAGGGTTTCTCCATGTTGGCCAGGCTGGTCTCAAACTCCTGACCTCAGGTGATCCACCTGCCTTGGCCTCCTAAAGTACTGGCCTCCTAAAGGCAAAAGCCACTGCATCCAGCTTTTTTTTTTTTTTTTGGACAGTGTCTTGCTGTGTCGCCCAGGCTGGAGTACAGTGACACAATCTCGGCTCACTGCAACCTCCACCTCCTGGGTTCAAGCGATTCTCCTGCCTCAGCTTCCTGAGTAGCTGGGATTACAGGCGTGCGGCCCCACGCCGGCTAATTTTTTGTATTTTTAGTAGAGACAGGGTTTCACCGTATTGGTCAGGCTGGTCTTGAACTCCTGACCTTGTGATCTGCCTGCCTCGGCCTCCCACAGTGTTGGGATTACAGGCGTGAGCCACTGCACCCAGCCCAGTCTTATGTTCTTAAAGGAAATCCTGAAGTCAAGAAATTTCACCTGTAAGGACTGGGCCTAGGCTGAAAGGCAGGCCTTAGATAAACATGAAATTTAACCCCAAACAATACATTATTTTCCACAGTCCACTGTAGCCCACAGGCACTGATATTCCTTTAGGAAAGACTAGAAGAACCAACTATCCTCCCCCATCTGGTAGCATTGATATAATTAGAGTGGAGCGGTTGAGGGCCCACAAGGTCTCTCATTAGCTTCAGGAAATCCTGCCACAAAACTGGGAGAAGCAGGGCCCAAGTCAAGACTCTGGAGCACACTAGTGAGTTTGTGAGCCAGCTGGAGCAGGATGAGAGCCCTGGCAGACACAGGGCTTTGTGTTCTGACATGTAGGCCTGGACCAGAGTGGTTGCCTCCTCCAGGGGACAGCCGATCAACTCTAGCCTGCCTTGGGCCAATCCGTGACTTTGCTCTCTGATCCCTTTGTTGCCCATTCTTTTTTTTTGTTTCTGTTTTTGTTTTTTTTTGAGACATAGTCTCACACTGTCGCCCAGGCTGGAGTGCAGTGGCGGGATCTCGGCTCACTGCAGCCTCCACCTCCCAGGTTCAAGCGATTCTCTTGCCTCAGCCTCCTGAGTAGCTGGGATTACAAGCGCCCACCACCACACCCAGCTAATTTTTTGTATTTTTAGTAGAGACGGGGTTTCACCACGTTGGCCAGGCTGGTCTCGAATTCCTGACCTCCTGATTTGCCTGCCTCAGCCTCCCAAAGTGCTGGGATTACAGGTGTGAGCCACTGCGCCCAGACTTTTTTTTTTTTGGAAACAGAGTTTCGCTCTTGTTGCCCAGGCTGGAGTGCAGTAGCGGGATCTTGGCTCACTGCAACCTCTGCCTCCCGGGTTCAAGCAATTCTCCTGCCTCAGCCTCCTGAGTAGCTGGGATTACAGGCGCCTGCCACCATGCCCGGCTAATTTTTTGTATTTTTAGTAGCGTTGGGGTTTCATCATATTGGCCAAGCTGGTCTCAAACTCCTGACCTCAGGTGATCCACCCGCCTCGGCCTCACAAAGTGTTGGGATTACAGGTGTGAGCCACCGCATCTGGCCCAGATTTTCTCTTATGTTGTCTTTTAGGTGTTTTGCATTTTACATTTAGGCCTGTGATCCATTTTGAGTTAATTTTTGGGAAGTATATAAGGTCTCTGTCTAGATTCTTTTTTTTCTTCATGTAGAGGCCCAGTTGTTCCAGCACCATTTGTTGAGAAGACTGTCTTTGCTCCATTGTATTGCTTTTGTTACCTTTGTCAAATTCAGTTGATGGTATTATATAGGTCTATTTCTAGGCTCTCTATTTTGTTCCATAGATCTATTTGTTTATTCTTTTGCAAATACCACACTGTCCTGATTACTGTAGGCTGATCGTTAAGTCTTGAGATTGGGTAGTGTCTGTACTCTGACTTCATTCTTCTTTGTTCAATTTTGAGTTGGCTATTCCGGGTCTTTTGCCTCTGCAAAATTCTCCTGCCTCAGCCTCCCGAGAAGCTGGGATTACAGGCGTGCACCACCACACCTGGCTAATTTTTGTAATTTTAGTAGAGACGGGGATTTCACCATGTTGGTCAGGCTGGTCTTGAACTCCTGACCTCATGATCCGCCTGCCTTGGCCTCCCAAAGTGCTGGGATTACAGGTGTGAGCCATCATGCCTGGCCAACTTCTTTGATATTTTTCCTCAGAGGTTTGTAGTTTTCTTCATGTAAGTCTTGTATACATTTTGTTAGATTTATACCTAAGTGGCTTTTTTGAGTAAACAACTTACATCAATTTAATGTAATTTATACACTTAATTTGTACAACTTAATGTAAATAGTAATGCATCTTTATTTTCAAATTCTGCTTGCTTATTTCTGATAGACTTTTGTACATTAATCTTGTATTCTACAACATTGCTATAACTGCTAATTAGTTCTAGGAGTTTTTGTTGTTGCTGATGATTCTTTTGGATTTTTCTACATAGACAATCATGTCATCTGTAAACAAATGGTTTTATTTCTTTCTTCCAAATCTGTATGCTTTCATTTCATTTTCTTGTTTTATTGTAATACCTAGGGCTTCTAGTATAATGCTAAAAAGCAGTGATGCCTTCTATTCCATTTCTGAGAGCTTTTTTAAAAATCATGAATGTGTGTTGGATTTTGTCAAATGATTTTTCTGTATCTATTGACATGATACTGTGATTTTTCTTGTATGGCTCATTGATGTGATAGATTGAATTAATTGATTTTCTAATATTGAACCAGCCTTCATACCTGGGATAAATCCCACTTGGTCATGGCATGTAATTCTTTTTTATACATTGTTGGATTCAATTTGCTAATATTTTGTTGAGAATTTTTGCATCTATGTTCATGAGGGAGCGGTATTAAGGTAATGCTGGCCTCATAGAATGAGTTAAGAGGTATTTCCTCTGCTTCAATTTTTTGGAAGAGTTTGTAGAGAGTTCGTATAATTTATTCCTTAAACATTTGGTAGAATTCACTGGTGAAACCATCTGGGCTGATGAATTCTGTTTTGAAGGTTACTATTTATTGATTCAATTTCTTTAATAAATATAGGCCTATTCAGACTGTGTTTCTTCTTGTATGAATTTTGGCAGATTATATCTTTCAAGGAATTGGCCCCTTTATCTAGGTTACCAAACTTGTGGGGATAGAGTTGTTCATAATGTTCCTTTATTCTCCTTTTGATGTCCATGGGGTCTGTAGTGATGTCCCCTCTTTTATTTCTGATATTAGAAATTTGTGTCTTCTTTCTTTTCTTTTTCTTTCTTTCTGGTTTTTTTTTTTTTTTTTTTTTTGAGACAGGGTCTCACTCTGTCACCTAGGCTGGAGTGCAGTGGCATGATCTCCGCTCACTGAAACCTTTGCTTCCTGGGTTCAAGTGATTCTCCCACCTCAGCCTCCCTAGTAGCTGGGACTACAGGTGCACACCACCACGTCTGGCTAAATTTTTTTTGTATTTTTGGTAGAAATGGGGTTTCACCATGTTATCTAGGCTGGTCTCAAACTCCTGGGCTCAAGTGATCCACCCGCTTCAGCCTCCCAAAGTGCTGGGGTTATAGGCGTGAGTCACCATGGCTGGCCTTCTTTCTTTTTTTCTTAGTTAGCCAGGTTAGAGGTTTGTTGATTTTATTGATCTTTTGAGTACTAGATTTTGGTTTCATTGATTTTGTCTGTTGATTTTCTGTTTTCAATTTTACTGATTTCTGCTCCAATTTTTATTATTTTTCTTTTGCTTACTTTGGATTTAATTTGCTCTTCTTTTTCTAGTTTACTAAAGTGGAAGATTAGACTATTGATTTTAGATTTTTATTCTTTCTAACAATGCCACAAATCTCCCTCTAAGCACTGCTTTCACTGCATCCCTCAAATTTTGATAAATTATATTTCATTTTCATTTAGTTCAAAATATTTTTAAAATTCTTTTGAAGTTTCTTTTTTGCGTGTGTTATTTAAAAGTGTGTTGTTTCAATCTCCAAGTATTTGGGGGATTTTCCAGGTACCATTCTGTTCATGTTTCTAGTTTAATTCCATTGTGGTCTGAATTTGCACACATTATGTGATTTCTATTCTTTTAAATTTGTAGAGGTGTGTTTTATGACCCAGAATGTGGTTAATCTTGGTGAATGTTCCATGTAAGCTGATAAGAGTGTGTAACCTGCTGTTATTGGATGAAGAAGTCTATAGATGTCAATCATATCCAGTTGATTGAAGTGTTGTTGAGTTCAACTATGTCCTTACCGATTTTCTGCCTGCTGGATCTGTCCATGTCTGACAGAGAGGTGTTAAAGTCTCCAATTAAAATAGTGGATTCAGTCGGGCATGGTGGCTCATGCCTGTAATCCCAGCACTTTGGGAGGCTGAGGCGAGCGGATCATGAGGTCAGGAGTTCGAGACCAGCCCGACCAACATGGTGAAACCCTATCTCTACTAAAAAAAAAAAAAAAAAAAAAAAAATTAGCCAGGCGTGGTGGTGCGCACCTATAATCCCAGCTACTCAGGAGGCTGAGGCAGGAGAATCGCTTGAACCCGGGAGGCGGAGGTTGTGGTGAGCCGAGATCATGCCATTGCGTCTCAAAAAAAAAAATAGTGGATTCATCTACTACTCCTCTAACTCTTGGGCTCAAGCGATCCTCCTGCCTCAGCCTCCCAAGTAGCTGGGATTACAGGTGCAAACCACCACACCTGGCTGCCTACTCTTATTTATTCATTTTTGAGACAGAGTCTCACTCTGTCACCCAGGCTGGAGTGCAGTAGTGCAATCTCGGCTCACTGCAGCCTCTGCCTCCCGGGTTCAAGCAATTCTTCTGCTCAGCTAATTTTTTGTACTTTTAGTAGAGATGGGGTTTCACAGTGTTAGCCAGGATTGTCTTGATCTCCTAATCTCGTGATCCGCCCGCCTCGGCCTTCCAAAGTGCTGGGATTACAGGTGTGAGCCACTGCGCCCAACGTTTCTTTCTTTCTTTCTTTCTTTCTTTTTTTTAAGAGACAAAGTTGGCTCTGTTGCCCAGGCTAGCCTTAAATTTCTGGATTCAAATGATTCTCCCACCTCAGCCTCCTGAGTAACTGGGACTACAGGCACATACCACTGCAACTGGCCCTCCATCACCTTTTTTTTGAAACAGGGTCTTGCTCTGTCACCCAGGCTGGAGTGCAGTGGCGTGATCATGGCTCACTGTGGCCTTGACTTTCAGGGCTCAAGCCTCAGGGCTCCCACCTCAACCTCCTGAGTAGCTGGGACTACAGGTGTGCACCACTGATGCAGGATAGGCATGCCCCAGAATTGGAGTTTAGCCCAGGAGGGTTGTTGGCTTCACCTAGGAAAGAATTCAATGGGAGCCAATGGCGGTAAACAGCAAGTTTTATTGAAGTAGCAGTGTACAGCAGCAGCAGAAGTACTGCTCCTTGTAGGGCAGGGCAGTGCCCAGAATAGCAGCTCAGAATATGTTCTTCACTCATATTTTTAGCCCACTTTTAATTATATGCAAATTAAGGGGTGGTTTATGCAGAAATTTCTAGGATAAGCATGGTAACTTCTGAGTCGTCAGGTCATTGCCATGGAAAGGGGTGGTAACTTCCAGGTGTTGCTATGACAACGGTAAACTGACATGGCACACTGGTGGGCGTGTCTTATGGAAAGCTGCTTCCATACAGGGACCTGTGTTAACTAGTCCTCAATTTGGTCTGATGTCCAAGCCCTGCCTCTGGAGTCGAGTTCTCCTACCTCACCACCACACCCAGCTATAATTTTTTAAATTTTTTATTTTGTAGAGATTGGGTCGCACTACATTGCCCAGGCTGCCCAGTGATTCTCAACCTAGGCCTCCCAAAGTGCTGGGATTATTGGTGTGAGCCACTGTGCCTGACCTCTCCATCACTTTTGAAGGACAACTTCACAGGGTACAGGATTCTAGGTTAGTGGGTTTTTTTCTCTCAACACTACACATTTTCCTACACTTGCTTCTTGCTTGCATGGTTTCTGAGAAGTTGAGTGTAATTCTTATCTTTACTCCTCTATAGGTAAGGTGCTTTTTTCTGTCTGACTTCTCTTAAGATTTTTTATTTTTGATTTCCTGAAATTTGAATATGTCTAGGTATAGTTTGAATATGTCTAGGTGTCATTTTGTGGGTTTTTTGGCATTTATCCTGCTTGGTGTTCTCTGAGTTTCCTGGATCTGTGGTTTGGTGTCTGACATTAATTTGGGGAAATTTGACTGGGCATGATGGCTCATACCTGTAATCCTAGCACTTTGGGAGGCCAAGGCAGGCAAATTGCTTGAGCTCAGGAGTTCAAGACTAGCCTGGACAACATGGCGAAACCCCATCTCTACAAAAAAATACAAAAATTAGCAGATGCCTGTAGTCCCAGCTACTAGGGAGGCTGAGGCAGGAGGATGGCTTGAGCCCAGGAGGCAGAGGTTGCAGTGAACCGAGATCGCACCATTGCACTCCAGTCTGGGTGACAGAACCAGACCCTGTCTCAAAAACAAAAAAACAAAAAAACAAAAAAATTGGGGGAGATTCTCAGTCATTATTACCTCAACTATTGCTTCTGTTCCTTTCTCTCCTTTTTCTCCCTGTCATAGTCCCATTACATGTAGGTTATACCTTTTATAGTTGGCCGACAATTATTTGATATTCCGTTCTTTAAAAAAATTTTTTTAGACGTTTTCTCTTTGCTTTTCAGTTTTGGAAGTTTGTTTTGTCATATGTTCAAGCTCAGAAATTCTTTCCTCAGCCATGTCCGGTCTGCTAATGAGCCCATCAAAAGCATTCTTCATCTCTATTACAGAGTTTTTGATTTCTAGCATCTTTTTGACCCTTAGAATTTCCATTTCTCTGCTTACATTATCCATCTGTGTGTGCATATTGTCTACTTTTTCCATTGAAGTCCTTAGCATATTAATCACAATTTAAAAAAAAATCCCTGGCCTGATAGTTCCAGGATTCTTGCCATAACTGACTCAGATTCTGATGATTGTTCAGACTTTTCAAATTGTATTTTTTGCTTTTTAGTATCCCTTGTACTTTTTTGTGAAAGGTGGATGGAATGTACTGGCTAAAGGAACTGCCATAAATAGGCCTTTAGTAATGTAGTAACATTTGGGGATGGTGGGTGTTCTATAATCCTATGATTTGGTCATGGGCTTTTCATAGGTGAGCCTGTGCCCTTGGACTGTGAACTTCACCAGTGCTTCTCTTGGTGAAGTTCCCTTAGGTGGTCAGGATGGCTAGAGGGGGCTGGAATACCCTCAGATAGGTTAGGGTCAGCTGATAAAACCACAACAGATGAGGCTGTGGTAAAATAGTTGCTCCTGAGGGTTGTCCTTGTTAAGAACAGAATGTTCAGGCAGGTTTCAAAATGGTTCCTTTCCCCCTCCCGTTAGCAGAAGAATGAGCACCTGTGAGGATCTGGCAGAGCTCCTGGAGGTAATAGTGTGGGGAGCCTCCTGTGATTGGGTCCCCCTGGGCTTTTTAACTCTCAGAGTTGACCATACTAAGCAATTCATCAATTACAGTTTAGGTTTTCCTACCCCTGCACCTTTTCCACACTAGTAAATTGTGATATTCTGTATCTACCAATGCATCTCTCCAATTACAGGGGCAGCAGTTTGCCCTGTGACCTCACTGCTCTGACATATCTAAGAAGAGTGGTTGATTTTTCCATGTGTTCAGCTTTTTAATTGTTGTTAGGATGGAGTGGTGACTTTTAGGCTCCTTTTGTGCCAAACCAGAAATTAGAAGTCCTAATTTTTTTTTTTTTTTTTTGAGTTGGGGTTTTGCTTTGTCTCCAGGCTGGAGTGCAGTGGTGCGATCTCGGCTCACTGCAGCCTCCAACTCCTGGGCTCAAGTGCTCCTCCCGCCTCAGCCTCCTGAATAGCTGGGACTACAGGCATGTGCCACCACACCAGAACCCCCAGCTAATTCCTTTTTTTTTTTTTCCCGGTAAAGATGAGGTCTCATTATGTTGCCCAGGCTGGTCTTGAACTTCTGGACTTAAGCAATCCTCTTGCCTTGGCCTTCCGAAGTGCTAGGATCACAGGCATGAGCCACTGTACCTGGCCCATTTCTAATATTTTTAATTGGCTGGCAGACATTTTGAATTTTATATTGTTGAGAAGTGGAATTTTTGGACTCAAGTATTTTTGAGCTTTGTTCTAGCACATTATGTTACTTAGAAAAAAATGTATTTTGTTAAATAAAATGTATAGGAGACCATTATTTTGGACTAGCCTCGTACACTAGCACTAGCAGACCGAGCCAAATCAGAATGGAGTCACTCATGCTGGGTGCCACATAATTAAACTGAACTCTGAAACAGGCCAGTCCACCCCCCACCCCGCTACCAAAAAAATACCCCCAGGAGATTCGCAGCAACCAATCAAAAGGGGCCCAGTTTACCTGAGCTGGCATGAAAATGAAGTTCCCTCTGTTTTTGTTGTTGTTGTTGTTTTTAATTTTTAAATTTTAATCTTTTTATTTATTTAGAGACTGGTTCATTTTTGCTAAATTGCTTGTCTTTCCGAGTTTCATAGCAGAGTTTTTGGTCTGTTTAAATTCATTATAAATAGACATTTAGGATGTCAGCTTCTGACCTCATGGACTGTGAGCTTACAAGTCCCCTGGTCTGTCACAGGCCATGCATATGAGGAATAAAAAATCAAAACATTTAAGTAATTTTGTTATAAAGAAATATAGTTATGCACCCCAAACACAGAAAACATTTCATTAAAAATTGGTCTTAGTCCTGCTGGGCGTGCCAGTGATTCTTTTAGGTTTGGACCTTGACTGAGAGAATTTCCAGTCGCTCTCTCCTCTCTGGGCAGAAGTTCCAGATCCTCTCTGGGCAGAAGTTCCAGATGATCTGATGGGCAGGGACTTAGGCTGTGTCCCCTGGGGGCTCTGGTCCACTAGTTGTTGGGACCGCCTGGGAGGGCGCAGCAACCCACTACGCCTGTGTCTGTTTTAACTCTATAAGGAAAGTAACTTTGAAACAACCAGACAATTTTCTGTTCTCTGTTTCTGCTTTTCTCAGGCCTTTTCTGTCTATAAAACCATACTTTTCTGCTTGGCTTATCGGAATACTCACTGTATTTTATAGAATAAGGTGTTGCCTTTTTCTAGAATCACAAAGAAAAGCCAATATAGATCTTTAAATCAAATTTGCTATAATTTTGTCTGTGTACCTTTCAAGACTTACTTTTAAGCTTGGATAGACAGGTCCAGAATAGCTGTTAGCCTTGGCCTCACTACTGAGACAATACTCTTCTGTGATGCTCTGTATATTGGAAGAAGGTCTTTCTGTTCTGGCTGGTGGAAATATCAATTATTCTTGGTCCTGTGTGAGCTCCAGGATTGTTCTGCCTAATCCTTTCAGGGGATCTTTCCTGCATTCAGGTCTGATAGTTTCTTCATAAGCATGACTGATTAGTACTTAGCTGATACTGTGTGTGTGAATGTGAGTGTGTGAGTGTGTGTGTGTGTGTGAGAGAGAGAGAGAGAGAGAGTGTGTGTGTGAGTGTGTATGTTTTCTTTAAGGCAGGTCTTGCTCTGCCGCCCAGGGTGGAGTGCAGCGTGGTGATTCCAGCTCACTGCAGCCTTGACTTTCCTGGGTTCAGGTGATTCTCCCAACTCAGCCTCCAAGTAGCTGGGACTATAGGCAAACACCATCACACCTGGATAATTTTATTTTATTTTTTGTAGAGACAGGGTTTCACCATGTTGCCTAGGCTGGTCTCCAACTCTTGGGCTCAAGTGATCATTCTGGCTTGGCCTCTTAAAGTACTGGGATTACAGATGTGAGTTACCTGGCCCTGCCTCAGCTGATGTCTTGAAAAAAACTTTCTGCAAAGGTCTGGAACTCTCACCGACAAATAAAAAACAGGACAAAAAAGAAAAGAAAAAAAATAAACAACAAGGTCTGGAATTCTTTGTTACCATCTGTCTCTCTCTCTCTCTCTGATACTCTGCCCCATGAATCCTAGCTGGCTTGTGCTCCCTGAACCCTAAATTCTGTCTCCTCAACTCAGGGAGACTGTTGAACCTTGTTTAGGTACTTATTCCCTGTACAGCAGCCTAAAGATTCCCTCCAAGTTGGGGCAACCACAGGGCTCACCCCATTTGATCCTTTTCTCCCAGGGATTGCTGTCGTGCACTGCTAGTTTCCCAGTGTCTGACATTTGAGTTGTTTATGGCAGGAATAGAACCCTGTTACTCCATAATGGCCAGAAGCAGAAGTCATCAGGATTTTTGCTTGCTTTTGCCCTCCTCAGGTTAAAATTGTAACAAGTAGCCAGAGTTGAGAAACACTGAGTCTACTGTAATTCCAACTTCCAAGTTCTAGCCATTGCTGCCCTGCTCCACGCCGCCCTCACAGCTGTGCTTCTACTGTTGCTTCTCAAATCACGTCAGTAAACGCTCCCTGCCTTCTACCTAAAGCCAGGAGAAATGGCATGTCATTCTAGTATTTGGTACTTATTACTACTTTCCTAATTTCCACGCATGGTAGTCTATGTGAAAGAGACAGTAAACATCCTGAATTACTATCAATCATGTGATCAGCAAGTAGAAGGAGGAAAGAAAACTGGGCTGAGGGGATTTTTATTGAACTATCCTTGTTCTTAAATAGGGCTGCAGGGCAAAGAGACACGCAGGACATCACCATAACCGAATGTATTTCTCTAATAATTGTGGTAAAAATGTAAGCTAAATTAAACAAACCAATCAACGTGCTCCCTATCAGCAGTACAAATTAGCAGTAAAGGCAGCTCAGAGTCATTTCCTAGGAGTCCTCCCGGGTGAACGGGAAGCACTGACATTTCCTGAGCATGCCACGCATTTCTACATGCATTGGCTCCTTTTATCTTCACAGCGCTCTGAGTCAGGTACTGTCTCTGCTTAAACATGTGGGAAACTGAATTTGAGGGGCTAGGGAACTCATGAAAGTCACACAGCTAGTAACAGAAAGGTAAAGAGTCTATTTTCAAAGTCTGTGTCCTTTCCTTCTGCCTGATAATAGCTGTCACCAGTAGCCCCAATGCACATTTTTTAAAAATAAAATTTTTCTTGAAGTATAACATACCTAGAGAAAAATGTAAACATTTTAAGTGCAGCTTGATGAATTTTTTCTTTTTTTAAGATGGAGTTTCGCTCATTGCCCAGGCTGAAGTGCAATGGTGCGGTCTCGGCTCACTGAAGCCTCTGCCTCCTGGGTTCAAGCGATTCTCCTGCCTCAGCCGCCCAAGTAGCTGGGATTACAGGCACCCGCCACCACACCCAGCTAATTTTTGTATTTTTAAAAATAGTGATGGGGTTTCACCATGTTGCCCAGGCTGGTCGCGAACTCCTGACCTCAGGTGATCCACCTACCTCGGCCTCCCAGAGTGCTGGGATTACAGGCATGAGCTACCACACAACATCTGCTACTCCAAAGCCTGGGCTTTTTCTGCTAGACCAGGATGCCTTTGGTAATATCAAGTTGCCCAACTTCTGCTCAGAACAAGCTGAGCTTGAAATACTGGGCTGAACAGGAAATAAAAGAGTAAAGTCAAAGCCCAAGCTTTTTTTTTTTCTCAATTTCCTTCTGTGCAATGAAAAATGATTGCAAAGGTGAAAGTACTGCCTTTAAAAGACGCACTTGGCCTTCAAGAGGTGTGGCAGCCTTGTAGGTTTTCTCAAGTGGGAGTTATTATCTAACCACAAACCAACCGTCTGTCATTACACTGCACTTTACAGGATGTCTATGATTGGTTGGCAAAGAGAGCAACATTTGAATTTAAAGAAAAGACCAAAACAACCAAGTGTCATTACATCAGTGAGAAAGATAAAGCTTCGTTGTCAGAGAAAACTCCAACTGGAGTCAGAGATTAGGCACCAAAACCCTGTCTTAAGGTAAAACCTTTTGTCATCATCTCAGTAACTGGTGTAATTACTGTTAATTTCATCAGGAAATCAGCCCCTATTTTAAGTAAAACTCAGTGAAAAAGATACGTAAAAACCATGTGAAGGTGCTTTGTAAACTGCAAAGGATTACAAAATGCTAGTAAATACAAATATTTAAAGCTTCAATTAAAAACAATCTCTAGAAAGCAAAATTTGCCTGTCTATAAAGGTTATACCAAGGGAAAGCAGAAGAGTAGGAAGCTACAATTCTTTTTTTTTCCCCTATTTTTTTGGTTTGATTTTTGAAGCCACAATTCTTGATGCCTACTTTCACTAGGTCACATGTAGAGTTGTTTTCTGTCTTCCATATTCTCCTCTGCTGTTCCATTGGACCACTAAATAGACTGTATCTTCAGGCAGAAATGATAAACATAAAAAAGTGGGCCCAAATTTTTAATAGAAAATTAAACCATCGTCTCAAGTTATAGATTGAAAAACTGCATCCTCTCATTTATTTAATATATATTATGCTGAGTCTGAGCTGCATCCTCAGCTTAATGAAACAGAAGGATAAATGAATAAAAAATTTCATCTCTGGCAATACGAGTTCTTCTTGTGTGCAAAGCAAATACAGCAAGACAGCACTAAAATTTCAGAGAACTTGAAATGCTGAAACTCCTATAATTCAATCATCTTTTCCTTGGCAATCACTTCTATTTCAGAATCATTTAAAAGGTAAGTCTGAAAAATACATTGTTTCAGATTTTATACCTTCTATTTTATGCTCATGAAGTAAAGTACTACAGAACTACTCACAGAGCCACTAAAGCAGCAATGTAGAATTTTCAGTTTTTTTTTTGTTGAAACTCACTTTATTTAAAAAAAAAAGTCATGAACAATAAATTACAATCATTTTCCCCTTTTATAAATTCTTCATAAAATATATTTGACAATTTTAACAGAAAATTTCAAAAGTTGCTTTCATTTCTTAAGTGCTGATGACTTATTTTTTGACCATTTTGTCATGCTGGTGAATTACTTTGTAGCTGCTACAATAGTTTGATTGATAACAATTTACAATTAAAAACAACAACAACGAAGAGAAAAAACAGACCAGCAGAAAGAACTATTCTGTGTGCTATTTATCTGACACTTAACACTTACTTCATCATAATGACAAAGTATCCCTTAGCACCAAAAAATCTACAGGAACCCCATCTTTCTAAGTGACAACTAGTGCAAAATAACATTCTAGGAACTAACTGTACAACCCCATATTTTCACTGGCCACAGCTGCCTATAAGCTCATTTGAAATATTTGGTCTTTTTTCAATTAAGACAAATTTCAAAAAACACCATAAATCATGGCAAAAGACTCTATGAGGAACAATTGCTTATTGAGTACCTATTATGGGCAAGGCACTGTGTACGAAGTTTTGCTTTCATTTTTCCTCTAGCAAATATCCAGGTATTTCCAAATATCACTAACCATCTTTTCTTACTCCTGGCTGAAAAGGCCTTTGGCTAAATGCCATTTTTTAATTGTCATTTTATCAACAAACCTTTAGTGCTGAGCACACAGTAGGTACTTAATAAATACCTCTGACTGAAAGAACAAAGACAAAGAATTTACTATCATTTTGCTTGGCTATTTTAGAATACAAGGACTTGATAAAATTCCAGAAGAAACTTCCTGATCACCTCATACCCTTACCCCCAATGAAAGAATTTCACTTCACAGGTAAAATCTTTCCAAGTAAATGATAATCATTAACTATTTTACATGAGGCAGGACCAAAAACTATGCGCTTAGGAAACTGTGGCTCCAAGCACATAGATATTTGAAGAGCAAATGATGCATGGGCATACCATCATCTATGAATCTCTGCTGAAGTGCCATGTTATTGACTAGACGTTATCATGATGCTTTTTCTTACTCCCTATAGCTCAACTTCCTTGGACATATCTGTTAAATTAAACTAATCTGGTGATCCAGAGGGTCAATTATCATGAGGTTCCAGTGTGTTTCCACCTCTAATTTCCAAAAGAATTCTTATATTTATTAGCTTAAAAGTGATGTTAAAAGTATATGATTTTTCATTTTAAGAGGCTTTATTTCAATAAAACCTTTTAGTCCAAATTTTAAACTTCCAGATCAAGTAACTAACATAGTCCAGAAATTTTATGTACTGCAATTTTTTTTGTGATGTTTTACATTCTATTTCCTCTGAACACATTTGAAACAGGGAAAAAAATTATGACATATTCCAAAAATTGTGGAAGTTCAAAAAAGCTGAGATTATGAAAGCTATCAATAATTTCAATATTCTAATACTATTTTGACTTTTGACCAAAAATTCTAGTGCTTTATAAAGATTAACTTAGATACAATGTAAAGTCTATTTAACCTTAAAGGCTAATGTTCTGTTTTAGGAAAGCATTCTATCCTTTAGATTTTAACTATCTGCATTTACAGGAAAACAAATTGTAGACAACCATACAAAGATAAAATCAAACTAACTTCAAGAGGAATAATGGTCTGTTGGTTTTTTGACATAGACTGTATCAGTGATTGTATAAAATGGATAGCTTTTCTACTTTAAAAGTAGTTGATGCCACAATATTTTATCCATTTGCCATACTGTGTATGTATCTTCTCCCACTTTAGATAAAGGTGATCACATTTTCAACAACCATATTATTACCAGTACTGTTTCAAATCAGACAAGAGAAAACAGCATCAGTGCCAAAATGAAAGGAACTCCAGTGACTCAACAAGTGATCATATCAGGGCAGGCAAAGTGAGGGTGGAGCTCATTTGGTTTCTTCAACTTCAGTATAATGAGGCTTAGACAAAGTCTTCAAACCAAAAATGTATCAAGTATTACAGTTCACACATAGCAAAGTTTTCAAACAGAATAATCCTGTATTCAGATTTATATCAGATTGTAGAAGCTCAAGTGCAGACGTCCCAATGCAGTGGTATAGTTGGTTAAATAAATGCTCGGTTACCTAAAGAAGGTCGGACTGAATCACCAACCTGCTGCCATATGACTGCATGACTAATTCAACTCTTGCAGCTATAGGGCACTGGAGAGTTCAAACATACTTCAGCAGCTTTGGATCACTTAATTTCATTTGTTTTACCAGATAATTTTAGACCCTCGAAAATGATGCCTTAAAAAAAAAGCTGTATATTACAAAAAAAAAAAAAAACAACTTAATATGATTTCATTAGGGGGAGGGGCAGAGTAGGAAGATAAGGGAAGGTTTATTTTTCGTCACTGACTTCACCAGCAAATCTCAAAAACCCAAACCTACATCAAATAATTTAAACAGACGTGGCATTTTTTTCATATGGAATGCAAAATGCGCACATTCACATACTTACATATACATAAATATATACATATATGTTTCCTTTACAAAGTTTCAAAGGTTGCATTACCAGCATGCAAACCTCTTTTCCCATGGAAATTCCTAATACTGACGAGGAATGTCTAAAATACTTAAAGACATATTTCCAGAAAACTGGACTCTCTTCTCTTGTTAGCTCTTAAAGAATTTTCCTGCCAAACTTCTATCAATAATCATTTTTTAAAAATTTACACCCACATTGGTAATACACATTTGAAACATACTAATAAAACGGCCAACTTGGATTTAAGAAAAATGAGGAAAAAAAAAATCCCACAAAAAATCTAAACCCTTAGAGGGTAGAGTCTAGCTTTTTATATTCTTTTTCAGCCACATAATGTTGCATCACTGTTAAACAGAAGCAGCATATCATCCATGGTATTTGCAAATAATATGTGTCACGTTTCCCAGCTGCTATCTTTAAATGCAATTTGTACTAATCTGAGTTCTAGTTCAAAAGCATCTGGACGATCCTGAGGGTTTGCAGCCAGCATTTCCTTAATCAGTTGTTTCATTCGCCCATTCATAGATTTTTTCTTCACAGGAATGAGAAGTTCCATTTTGGGATTTTCCAGAAGTGCCTCCCCAACAGGCACAATCTCAGTTCCTTGTTTTACATAACTCCCCAAGAGTTCCTTCTTTGTCTCTGTGTCTATGAATGTGATCCTTTCCAGCATTGCCCAGATGATAATCCCCAGAGCAAAGATGTCAGCTTTTGCTGTGTAATGTCCTTCCCAAACTTCAGGAGCCATGTAAAAATCTGTTCCACATGCTGTGGAAAGGAAACACTTGTTTACACTGACAGGTTCTTCTGGGTTCTGCCCAGAGGCTGAACAAACTTTACTTAGACCAAAATCAGCCACTTTGAGGGTAGGTTCCAAGTCACTGGTATCCAACCTGGTTTGAGAAATCAGGATGTTATCAGGCTTAAGATCTCGGTGGATGATCTGGTTTTTATGCAAGAAAGCCAGGGCACTGCTCAGCTGAAGCATGAAGCTGGTGTTAGTTTTACGATTGGGTTTCCTGGACAACAGATACTCATTCATATCTCCTCCGTCACAAAAATCCATCACAAACCACAAATAATAGGCGCTTCTGGGATCAAAGGCAATTTCTCCTTTTAATGAAGTTTCTACAAGCTACAAGAAGGAAGAAAAAAGATTACAATCATTTGCATAGGTTATACAATTCAGTTATAGGAAAATAATAATTGAAAGGTTAAGTCAGTCTCCACCTTTAAGTGGAAACTCTATAAATATTTTATTTAATCAGTGCTTTCAAATATGCATTTTAAACTTTAAAAAATGCTTCAACTTGTCATTTTGTCCCTGATAAATATACACCAAAGCTCTAAACCAAGGGGTAAAAATTTTAAAATAGCTTTATTTTGAAAAGCGTCCAAGTGGCCACACATTTTCTCCATGTGTCAGTGGAGCTGAACTCTACCCAGCTAGCTCATAGCTTCATGAAAAGACCAAAGTTTCAGCAGATAGACCTAGGAAATTGCCAGCTGGGGTATAAACCTCAATTAGGAAACGCTATTCAATGAAATCGCCTGAAATATACTTCTTACTGATTGCACAGACACTATCAACATAACCTGTGAAATCGAGAGAAAAATGATCAAGGAACAACCAGCTGTTGCAGAAATAGCTGTTCCTGTAGTCACTAATAAAATAAAGACTGACGTCGTTACTTCATAAACTTCTATAGGCAGAATGCAAATACGTTGGCTCTTTCACTGGATGACTTTTAAAAACCAATTTATAAAAATCAAATAGGCATTTTTTAAATTTTTAAATATTTATTTTGTTTTCAAATATGCATTTTGATATTAAAAAATCAACTCTGAATTTGTATATTTCTTCTTTCATACAAGCTGAAAACCTAGACTAAATCACAGTTTTATTTGTTATTATTATCTAGTTATAACGCTCCTTTACTTGAAATTCAATAGAATTACTTCACTGGACATGAACTATCACTCTAAAATACAGTACATAGTCTTTTTTTTTTTTTTTTTTTGAGACGGAGTCTTGCTCTGTCACCAGGCTGGAGTGCAATGGCGCAATCTCGGCTCACTGCAACCTCCGCCTCCCAGGTTCAAGAGATTCTCCTGCCTCGGCCTCCCAAGTAGCCGAGACTACAGGCGCGTGCCACCACGCCCAGCTAACTTTTGTATTTTTAGTAGAGACGGGGTTTCACCATGTTGGCCAGGATGGTCTCAATCTCTTTACCTCGTGATCCGCCCACCTCGGCCTCCCAAAGTGCTGGGACTATAGGCATGAGCCATGGCACCCGGCCCCGTATATTGTCTTTTAAAAGCATTTGTTGTATGGTGCCCTTTTCAGACCCATGAGTTGAACAGAAAAGGCCGAAGAGTTGCTGAAGAGTGAATGAATTGCTAATTTCACATTTAAATCTACTGGTACTTTCTCTACCATCTGGGAAAGCACAAGCAAAGAACATCTCTTCACGCCATCTCTCCACATGGCAGACAATAGTAATTGCGATGATCTGCAGATATCTCTTTTGCATGAGTTTTCCTTGTTGCACATGTTTGCCAGTGAGACAGAAAAATGAAAGAAAGGTACAGATCACATAATTATTTACCAGGTGCACTGATACTAAACATGCTTTTCTTCTTCTGTCTTTACTCTCAAAAGCAAACTTCCTAAATAGCTTTGAGCAATGCAGAGTCCCAGCGTTCAAAGAATGTTTTAGAGTAAGGCCAGATAGTAAATATTTCGGGCTTGACAGCCACATAAGGTCTCTGTACCATATACTTCTTCCTTTCTTTTTTACCCCCAGAAGTCTTAAAAAAAAATCTAAGAACTATTTTTAGCATCGAAACCATACGAAAACAGGCCACGGGGCCGCTGGCTGAGAGCTATGGAAATGCAGCACCCAATCTGCTTATTTTAACATGTAGAGGATGTTAGCCATTGATTTCTCTTGACTGAGGCCCTTCAATGGCTTCCCTGTTCTCTTAGGATATAGTCTAAACTCTTTAACATGGGTTATGAGACCTTGTGTGCTCTGACTCCTGCTGTCCCCTCTAGCCTCATCTAAAACAACTCTCACAATCTCACTATCTTTTTTCAATTTTTTTTTTATTGAGACAGAGTCTCACTCTGTTGCCAGGCTGGAGTGCAGTGGCGCGATCTCGGCTCACTGCAACCTCTGCTTCCCAGGTTCAAGAGACTCTCCTGCCTCAGCCTCCCAAGTAGCTGGGACTACAGGCATGCGCCACTATGCCCAGCTAATTTTTGAATTTTTTGTAGAGACAGGGTTTCACCATTGTGGCCAGGATGGTCTTGATGTATTGACCTTGTGATCCGCCTCTCGGCCTCCCAAAGTGCTGGGATTACAGGTGTGAGCCACTGCGCCCAGCCTCTTCTTTCAATTTTTAAACACTTCATGTGTTTTGCTTCACGACCTTTGTATGTACAGTTTTTTTCTGCCTAGGAAATTTTTCTCACTTATCTAGCTAACTCCTCTTCACACTACAAGTTTTAGACAATTATATATATATTTTGTGTGTGTGTGTGAGAGAGAGAGAGAGAGAGAGACAAGGTCTTGCTCTACTACCCAGGTTGGAGTGCAGTGGCACCATCATGGCTCACCGCAGCCTCAATCTCCCTGGCTCAAATGATCCTCCTGCCTCAGCCTCCCAAGTAGCTGAGACTACAGGCATGCACCACCACGCCCGTCTAATTTTTAAACTTTTTGTATTGATAGGGTTTCACCATGTTGTCCAGGCTAATCTTGAACTTCTGCACTCAAGTGATTCACCTGCCTCAGCCTCCCAAAGTGCTGGGATTGCAGGCGTAAGCCACTGCGTCCAGCCAACGATTCGTAACTTTTGAACCACGGGATTATGTAGGTTTCCCTGTTGTATGCATCCTGTACTTCTCATTCATGATATTTATCACAAGTACACAGACTGGCCACTAGGTTCCCATGCATGAGATTGTAACCTCTGTTAATTGTTTTACATTTTCTTCTAGATGAGGCTTTTGGCTATCAGGAACTGATTCAATGATTCCAACTGAGAACAAGGAAGAAGACATCAGGAAAAACATGGAGAAAAATTAAAATCCGTATGGAGAATATACCATGCATAGGGACTCTGAGGTCATACTACAGATTTGTTTGTCTTTACTAAATGTAAATATTGGTTGTCTTTACTAGATGTAAATTTAGAGAGGGCACTTGCTAAATGTGTTGATGAATGTCTGGACAACTAAACGAATCCACAGAAAGGGCAATTTTAATAGAGGTACCAATTACTGAGTACTTATATGTACCAAGTATTGTTTCTGCAACATCTCTAATTTTGACAACTCCTATACAAAGTAGATATTATTACCCCTTATCTTAAATATGAAGAAATAGAGGCTAGGAAGAGTTGGGTTATTTATCCAAGGTCATTCAGCTAGCAAAACATACCATAAGTGAAACACAAGTCTATCAGGCTTTAAAAGATGAAAGAGATTTACTAAACAAAAAGGTGCTTTAGATATAAAAATCACTGAATCAAGTCTGGTAGGCCTTTACATCTTAAAACTTTATGAGCTAATGCCTAGCTACTATAACAATTGCTGGATCTGGACTCAGCACTAAATAATATGTTTGTTTATTTGTTTATTTTTGAGACAGGGTCCCACTCTGTGATAAAGGCTAGAGTGCAGTGGTGCGATCATGGCTCACTGCAGTCTTGAACTCCTGGACTCTAGCAATCCTCCTGCCTCGGCTTCCTGAGTAGCTGGGACTAAAGGTGCGTGCCACCATGCTCAGCTAATAAATCTTTTGTTTAAATATCTTTGCTTTTCTAGTTCAAAATAGATCATGCCTCTTAGTCTCTAAAACTCAATGTAAAGTTCAGCAAGGTTCTATCCACTTTTTTTTTTTTTTTGAGACAGGGTCTGGCTCTTGCCCAGGCTGGAGTGCAGTGGCCCAATCTCGGCTCACTGTAACTTCCGCCTCCAAGGCTCAAGTGATCCTCCCACCTCAGCCTTCCAAGGAGATGGGACCACTGGTGTGTGCCACCACACCCAGCTAACTTTTTGTATTTTTCGTAGAGATGGGGTTTTGCCATGTTGCCCAGGCTGGTCTTGGAACTCCTGGCCTCAAGTGATCTGCCTGCCTCAGCCTCCCGAAGTGCCGGGATTACAGGTGTGAGCCACCATGTTTGGCTTTCTATCCACTTTTTGTTTTTGTTTTTGTTTTGGAGATGGAGTCTCGTTCTGTCACCCAGGCTGGAGTGCAGTGACATGATCTTGGCTCACTGCAATCTCTGCCTCCCGGGTTCAAGCAATTCTCCTGCCTCAGTCTCCTGGGTAGCTGGGACTACAGGCACACGCTGCCACACCTGGCTAATTTTTTGTATTTTAGTTTCACCGTGTTGCCGAGGCTGGTTTCAGACTCCTGAGCTCAGCCAATCTGCCTGCCTCGGCTAGGATTATAGGTGTGAACCATCATGCCTGGCCTCTATTCACTTTTCAGAGAGAACATAGTAAGAATGTTTCCAATATTTTCTATCAATTCAACTTACATAATAAGCACTTTAAGAAAAGCAAACAATAAAATGCACAGAGGCTAGTTATTTTTACTGTCATAAAACGGAAAACTTCAGGGCATTGGCTGGGCGAGGTGGCTCACGCCTGTAATCCCAGCACTTTGGGAGGCTGCAGCAGATGGATCACTTGAGGTCTGGAGTTCGAGACCAGCCTAGCCAACATGGTGAAACTCCATCTGTACTAAACATACAAAAATTAGCCAGGCATGGTGACGGGCACCTGTAGTCCCAACTACTCAGGAGGTTGAGCCAGGAGAATCACTTGAACCTGGGAGGCGGAGGTTGCAGTGAGCCGAGATCGCACCACTGCACTCCAGCCTGAGCGACAGAGCAAGACTCTGTCTCAAAAAAGAAAAAAAAAAAAAAAAAAAAAAAAAAAGGTTGGGCGCAGTGGCTCACGCCTGTAATCCCAACACTTTGGGAGGCCGAGGTGGGTGGATCACCTGAGGTCAGAAGTTCAAGACCAGCCTGGTCCACATGGTGAAATCTCATCTCTACTAAATACACAAAAATTAGCCGGGCGTGGTGGCAGTTGCCTGTAATCCCAGCTACTCGGGAGGCTGAGGCAGGAGAACTGCTTGAACCCGGGAGGCGGAGGTGGCAGTAAGCCGAGATTGCACCACTGCGCTCCAGCCTGGGCGACAAGAGCAAAAACTTCTTCTCAAAAACAAAAAACAAAAAACAAAAAACTTCAGGGCACAGAGTGCTAAACTGCAATATAAATTAATATAAATTAAGTTCTCAAGACTAATACTGCTCATCGTACAAGGAAACTTGCAAGTTTCTTAATACATACATTCGTGTATTTGTTTTCTTTGTTGTTCCTAGTCCAAAACTTTTCTTGTTTTAAAAACAGAGGTTTTGTTTTCTTTTTTGTTTTGGGGGACAGAATCTCGCTGTCACCCAGGCTGCAGTGCAGTGGCATGATGTCAGTTCACTGCAACCTCTGCCTCCTGGGTTCAAGTGATCCTCCCACCTCAGCCTCCCAAGTAGCTGGGACTATAAGGCACATGCCACCATGCCTGGCTAATTTTTGCACTTTTTTTTTGTACAGATGGGGTTTTGCTATGTTACCCAGGCTGGTCTTGAACTCCTGGGTTGAAGTGATCCTCCTGCTTCACCCTCCTAAATTGTTGGGATTAGAGGCGTAAGCCACCACGCCTGACCAAAAGCAGAGTTTTTTTTTTTTTTTGAGATGGAGTCTTGCTCTGTCCCCCAGGCTGGAGTGCAGTGGTGCGATCTTGGTTCACTGCAACCTCTGCCTCCTGGATTCAAGAGATTCTCCGGCCTCAGGCTTCTGAGTAGTTAGGACTACAGTTGCACGTTATCATGCCAGGCTAATTTTTGTAGTTTTTTAGTAGAGACAGGGTTTTGCCATGTTGGCCAGGCTGGTCTCAAACTCCTGACCTCAGGTGATCCGCCTGCCTCGGCCTCCCAAAGTGCTGGGATTACAGGCGTGATGAGCCACCATGCCCAGCCCAAAAGCAGACTTTTAAATGGTAAAAGTCTGATGGTAAATTCTGAATTTAGACACACTCAAAGAAAGTTGTTTTCTTTTCCAAGAATGACTAGTTTCTTTTTGTTTTTTTTTTTTTGACGGAGTCTCGCTCAGTTGCCCAGGCTGGAGTGCAGTGGCGCGATCTCGGCTCACGGCAAGCTCCGCCTCCCCGGTTCACGCCATTCTCCTGCCTCAGCCTCCCCAGTAGCTGGGACTACAGGCGTCCACCACTACGCCCAGCTAATTTTTTTGTATTTTTAGTAGAGACGGGGTTTCACCGTGTTAGCCAGGATGGTCTTGATCTCCTGACCTCGTGATCTGCCCGTCCTGGCCTCCCAAAGTGCTGGGATTACAGGCGTGAGCCACTGTGCCTGGCCCAAGAATGACTAGCTTTAAGAAATTCTGCCCTAGCCTTTAACAAGCTATGTCTTAATATATTTTCTATTCTTTGAGTATAGAGCTACTAGAGATTTTAATTTCTGGCAGAAGCCAACAAAAGAAAAACAGAAAAGCTTTTCCATTTTCCCAGGTTTACAGAAGAGTAATCTGGGAGTTAAGAAAGCATAAGCTTCAGCTGTCATTCTCAGCTCCAGCTCCCAATTGTACCACTTACTATGTATGTGATTTTGGATGAATTCATTATCTATACTATAAGCCTCAGTTTCTTCATTTGTAATGAAGATAATAATAGTCCTTTCCTCACAGGATTGTTTTGAGCAACTGCTTTTAAAGCACTCAGCACAGAGCATCGAACTGCATGCAAATTCAAATGTTAGCTGTTAGCACTGTTAATAACATTCAGGTGTTAAATCATGTACTTCATGAAAATTAACTGGAACTGCGTGGTGAAGAAACCAGATATCCCTCTAAAACAGCAGAGGCTTACATTCAAACCAGTGATTTATAAAAGAGATGCCCAATTACCTAGGGGTGTTGCTACTGGTTGTGGAATTTTTCCTTTTCTTCTGTCCTCAAGTCCAAAATTATTGATTTCAAAGAAATGAAGTTATTAGACTGTAGTCTCAAGCACCTCTCTAGTTCCTATCTTGCCCCATTCCTATGCAGACTGGCAAGTACCATTGCATAACAGGTGGCTTATGTTATTTTTAGGTATGTGCCTCACAGGTTTAAATAAAACCTTGTTTTAAAGCAAACATCTACTCAATTCTTGGCAGACACTTATCTACTTCTAACTACAAACACCTGCATTTAAAGGGAAACGTTCGTCTGACCCTTTCATTCCTCTTCTTGCTGGCCAATGCCATGTTCAAATCATTTCTATTTCCCAATCAACAACACATACCTGTAAATAAAGGGAAGAATTAGAGCCGTGGGACATCTTTTGCACCATCCCATCCTTTTGTAGGATGCATTCCTCCAAGTGAATCACATTTGGATGTTGGCTCTTGATACTGCTTAGTGCCCAGAACTCACGAAGGGCTAGTTCAACATTTTCAGGTGCGTGACATCGAATTTTCTTCACTGCCACCCGTGCAGAGGTCTTTCTGATGACTGCTTCATACACAACACCGTAACTACCTCGGCCTACCTCCCGTATTAGATCGTACTTTGGCTGGCTACTCACCATCTTCAAGGTCGAGGTTTCTGGAAAAATCAACAAAGTGCTCTGTTGAAATTATGTATACCTACTGGCTTGTATTTCTTCTTATGTATGATTTACTTGTCATCTGTCTGACTGTCTGCAGTGCTTGAAGGATATTTGCTATACCTAGGGGAAATCTAATTTTAAGAATAGTAACAATAAAGCTAACAGGTAGTATTTACCATGTATCAGGAACTGTTTTAAGCTCTTTAGAATATTAAATTCAGTTAATCCTCATAATAATCTGATGAGATAGATACTATTATGGTCTTTTTATAGATGAAACTATATAATGGAGAGGTTAAATGAAACGCCTAAGGTCAACAGCTAGTAACTGGTGGACCTGGGATTTGAAACCCGGCCATCTGCCTCAGACGACCACGATCTGAAGCACTACAGTATGCTGTCTCTTATATGAACTGCTTGAAAATGTCACTGTTAAAAATACACCCCCAAAATTCAGCATTCTTATTTACTGATCAGGAAAAAACAAGCAAGCAAGCAAAATCCCAGCTTCTCCTTCAGGCTGACACACACATAATGGTCATAAAACAGCAAAAACAAAACCCCCTCACAGTTAGAAATACAAACACCTGGCTTATGCTTAAGGCCTGAAAGTGAACCAAATCATTTATAGAACTGAAAATGTTTGTTTTCATTATGTAAAAGTAAGTGGCCAAACTCTATCTATTCATATTTTAATTTTGTCTCTTATGTCATCTCCTTATTTCTTACACAATAATGAAAATAAAGTTTGTGGAAAAGAAACGTTTCTTTTTTTTTTTTTTTTTTTTTAGACGGAGTCTCGCTCTCTCGCTCTGTCTCCCAGGCTGGAGTGCAATGACTTGATCTCGGCTCACTGCAAGCTCCGCCTCCCAGGTTCACGCCATTCTCCTGCCTCAGCCTCCCGAGTAGCTGGGACTATAGGCGCCTGCCACCACACCCGGCTATTTTTTTTTGTATTTTTTAGTAGAGACGGGGTTTCACTGTGTTAGCCAGGATGGTCTCGATCACCTGACCTCGTGATCCGCCCGCCTCGGCCTCCCAAAGTGCTGGGATTACGGGCGTGAGCCACCGCGCCCGGCCAGAAACATTTACTTAAAAATAAAGTAAGCTACTTGGATACTTAGAATACAGTTACCTTTTTGTAGTCATTTAACAATAGCTATTTTAAAATTTTTATGTTTCCTTTTTCCTAGTCATAAGACAGCTGGAGTAAACAATATCTATTTAGTTCTAGGTCATTTTTGCCAACAAAGATCCTGCATATCAAGGGGCTCTCTGACAGAGTTCTTGGGAATTCAACTTACTGAACGGTTTAAAGGCGAGGGCAAAGGCCCTGCACAGAAATGCTCATGTGTTGAATGGAGAAAGTCTAAAGTGGGCTTCCTCAGCGCCCAAAGAATTTCTAGATTATAACCAACTTCATGAACGAATTCTCATTTGTAGATTGTGACCACGGGCTAGAAAAGTAACCTGAGATTGTACAATATTTATTCTGTACAGCTGGGGAAGCAAAAGGCTACTGACCCTAGAGCCTGAGAAGTTGGGATCCACTGCTTTAAGTCTACAGGATAGATTTAATAAAAAGAAATGACTTCTGAGATTGTGTTCAGTCCCACTTCCTCTAACTGGACACCCACCCTTCAAATCGCTACTGAATTTCCTAGTGTCTAATTTCCTGCCACAGAATCCTCTGCGCCGGCTGCACAGCAGACGAGCTTTCCTGCTCTACGGGGATCGCCAATCACATCCACTCAAGGTGGTTCGTGTCTCTGAAGCAGTGCCATGTCCTCTCCAGCCTGGTACAGTCCCCATGGGGAAGAGCACCTTCCTGAATAGGGAGGAGAGAGGTGTTTATGAAACCCGTGGGATCCCGGATCCAATGATGCATCCGATGCGAACCTAAGTGACTTTCGACCGAAAGTGGCGGGCCCTCGCTCCCGCTGCTCTAACCAGGCGCTGGGACGCGAGCCGGCCAGGCCAGACACCTGCCGGCGCCCGGGAAGGGCCAGTCGCGGCCAGAGGTGTTGCCCGACGCGGCGGCTCAGGCCGCGCTCATTGGCCAAGTGTCAGGCCCTCCCCCTCCTCGGCCGTGCTCAGATGAAGCCCGGAGGGGAGCCTCCTGAGCCCCTTCGCTCTGAGGAGCCAGCCCTGCAGTTGCCTCAACTCCTCGGGGCTGGGGGCTGAGGGCCGGGGGGAGGTGGCCCCGGTATGAGAGGAGGCCGCGACTGGGGTCGGTGGCCTGAGGAGCGCAGGGCCTTCCCCAGGATGACTCCGCTGACACGTCTGTGACAAGCCTCCCAGGGAGGGAGGCACATGCAGGGCCATCGGCTCTGCAGCAAGACCTCTCCGCCACGCCGAAAGGCCAGATTTACCTCAGGGTAGACGCTGCCGCTTCTCCCTCTCATGGGCTCTGCAGGCCGCCATTATCGGGCAGCTCGCGCCTCCGCTGCCGCCGCCTCCAGTCAGCAGCCGGCGCGCGCCCCCGTGGTGCGCGCGGACACACCCCCTTACGCCGACGGCCCCGCCCCCCTCCGGCTTTCCGTAGCGCGAGCCGGGACGTTCCGCGCCACCGACGAGGCGCGCGGCCGGCGCTCCGCTCGCCTCCTCCCTCTCTCGAGGATTTGCAGAGCCGGGAGTCGTCGGAGGTGTGCGCGCTCCGGAGCGCACCACTGGTGCTGCTCCCCGCAGGGGTGGCCGGGCTCGGGAACCGCGAGGCCACGCCACGCCGGGGCTCGGCCACCCTCCAGCCGCAGCGGGCGCTCAGGGCCCGCGGCCCCGGGGACCGTCTGCAGCGGCAGGTCCGGGCCTGGGGCTGCGCGCGCCCGGCCGCGGCCTCCCCTCCCTCTACCCGCCCCCTTCCGACCTACCGAGCTGCGGGCTGGGGTGCGGGGCTCGCTGGGGTGGAACGCCCGGTGCATCTTCCGCGCGGGTCTCGGGTGCCTGCGGGGCGCGGTGCTCTTTGGCGGGCCTGCGGGGAGGTGCGGCCCGACCAAGGAGGCCTGGCGTCCGCCCCGCCGGGAGGGAGACTGCAGCTTTTCTCCGAGTCACTGAGCCATGTTTGCGGGCGGTGCAGTTGCGGAGACGGCGGCGGCGGCGGCGGCGCGGGGCTGGGTGCGATCATCTGGGAGGATGCCGTCCCCTGCCCCGCCGGCGCGGTGGTATCTCCCTTAAAGAGGCCGGCGCCTCATTGTTCCCCGGCTGCGGCCGCAGGGAGCCAGGGCCACCTCCTCGGCGTGGGGAGTGAGGGCGCGGAGGCGCCTGCACCTGGCTGCGGTGCCCACGGCGCCCCCCCGCGAGGCTCCTGGTGGAGGGTTGGTCTGCAGTCGGCGCAGGGGAGAGGCCTTGGTCCGAGCCAGGATCCACCGCGCTCCTGCCGCTCTCGGGGCTGGACAGTCAATGGGGTCCCCGCCGCTGCTGCAGTCGCTCGGCTGCCACACGCTGTTAGTCAGATCCCGCACGCTGTTGGCCCCACAGCCAGCCCGGGGTCACTTAGGACCGCATTCCTCAGTCATCCAGTTGTTAGATCAGTAAGCATCCGCCAGAAAAGTCCATTCCTTCTTACTCGATTTATTCTGCACCCATTACTTCTCAGCAGGGTGATGATTCCTCCTCCCAGCGCTCGCTCTGTAAGGCACGATGTACAAAAAATCCCTGTCGCTGTGCTCAAAGATCAACTCATTTTATTTTCTGTCCTTTATGCCCCTTCTCCCGAGAGTCTGGCACTGGGTTAGGTCTTTATATAAATGATCTTGCTTAATCCTAACCAAACCCCACAAGAGTAGGTTTTATTATCCTGTTTTTACAGGTGAGGAAACACCTCTGCCTCTTCTCACTGAAGTGTCTGTTTTGGGATGTGTCTACCTTGAATACCCATTCCTGGTGTAACACACCCTCCCCTTAAAAAAAAAAAACAACAACGGTTCTGTAATCTGTTCAGATTTTTGTCCTGAGTGCCATCCAAGTGTCAAGTCTTCAGCTGTTTGCTGGAAACACTGGTGTCAGCCAAGACTTATTTCCCGCCCTCAAAAGTAGAGGGAAAATATAGAAGGCTCTGCGTAGACAGCTAACTACCTGTGTGGGTTATTGATCCCAATCAGGGGAGGGACCTCTCTCTCGATCAAAGTAGCGTTTTCATTTTGTCTCAGTCATTAAATATCATAGGAACCCTTGCTCTTAAGTCAGCTGCAGATGAGATTTGAAATCCACTCTCGCCCCCAGTTTAGGCTCACTGTTAAGTCTGTGAGGGGGGTTTAGATCTTGTGGGACCTGAAACTTAAATAATTTGGGGTGTCCTCCTGAGGAAAAATGTTATAAAATGGCCCTGTGAACACATATCTGGAACACTGGAAAGGGTCCCTATAAGTAAAGGACTCTGAAGCTTAAGATTCATTAGTTTCAGGGTAAATCTGCCTCCTGCTTATTATGTCATTTTTTTTAGCCTTTAGGCCTCCTGGAGGACTGAGAATTCCTAGGGGCAGGAACCTTGTCTGTGATTCATCTCTGCAGCCTCCTCAATCTGATATGGTATCAAAATACACCTAAGGCTAGCATTCTCATACATAGCTGGTGGGAAGACAAAGTGATATAACAGTTAACAAGGAAATTTGGCAATATATAGCAATATTATTTGATCCAGTAACCCTAGATCAAATACTAGATTTCGAGGAATCTATCCTAGTAATATACTGGCAAACACACACACACAAAACAACAAACCTGTATGTACAGGGCTGTTCATTATGGCATTAATGAATAGCAAAAGATTGGAAACTGCTCACATGTCTAATGATAAAGAACTGGTTGAATAAATTATAGTACATACACAGGATAAAGTACTATGCAGCCATGAAAAGCTATGTGGAAGAGGCCTGGCATGGTGGCTCACACCTGTAATCCTAGCACTTTGGGAGGCCGAGGTGGGCAGATCACTTGAGGTCAGGAGTTTGAGACCAGCCTGGCCAACATGGTGAAACCCTGTCTCTACTAAAAATACAAAAATTAGGCGGGTGTGGTGGCACTTGCCTGTAGTCCCAGGTACTTGGGAGGCTGAGGCAGGAGAATCTCTTGAACCTGGGAGGCGGAGGTTGCAGTGAGCCGAGGTCAAGCCACTGCACTCCAGCTTGGGCGACAGAGCAAGACTCTGTCTCAAAAAAAAAAAAAAAACAGAGCAAGACTCTATCTCAAAAAAAAAAAGATGTGGAAGATTTCTTATATATACTAATAAACATATACTAATATCAAGTGATCTGTTTATTATTAAGTGAAATAAGCAAAGTGCATACAGTGTTTATAGTATGCTATTACATGTGAGTAATGGAGAGATAAATATACATTAAGTACTTATATTTAAAAGGTAAACAATGGAAGAATAAATCCCAAACTTCTAAAAAAATAGTTGCCTATGTGGGTTGGAGGGGATAGAGATGGGAATGAGACTTCTATGAATATACCTTTTATATAGTACAATTTTGGACTCTTGTAAACATTTCACATATTTATAAGACAAAGTTCAATAAAATAAAGCACTCCATAAAAATTAAAAACAAATGGAAACGAACCATCTGTAATGTCAGATTGGTGGTGTAACACAGAGAAAATAATTTCAAATGGCTTCTTAAGTATTTTGATTTTTTTTCTTTTTTAAAGAGATGAGTTCAGGCCGGGTGCAGTGGCTCACGCCTGTAATCCCAGCGCTTTGGGAGACCGAGGCAGGTGGATCATGAGGTCAGGAGATCAAGACCATCCTGGCTAACACGGTGAAACCCCGTCTCTACTAAAAATACAAAAAAATTAGCTGGGCATGGTGGTGGGCGCCTGTAGTTCCAGCTACTGGAGAGGCTGAGGCAGGAGAATGGCGTGAACCTGGGAGGCAGAGCTTGCAGTGAGCTGAGATCGAGCCATTGCACTCCAGCCTGGGCGAGAGAGCGAGACTCTCCATCTCAAAAAAATAAAAAATAAAGAGATATCATTCTGTCGCCCAGGCTTGAGTGCAGTGGTGATCATAGTTCACTAACTTCCAACTCCTGGGCTCAAGGGATCCTCCCACCTCAGCCTCCTGAGGAGCTGGGACTATAGGCATAGCTAATTTTAAAAAAGTTTTTGTTGGCTGGGCGCGGTGGCTCACGCCTGTAATCCCAGCACTTTGGGAGGCCGAGGCGGGCGGATCACGAGGTCAGGAGATAAGACCATCCTGGCTAACACGGTGAAACCCTGTCTCTACTAAAAATATAAAAAATTAGCCGGGCGTGGTGACGGGCACCCGTAGGCCTAGCTACTCGGGAGGCTGAGGCAGAAGAATGGCGTGAACCTGGGAGGCAGAGCCTGCAGTGAGTTGAGATCACGCCACTGCACTCCAGCCTGGGCAACAGAGCGAGACCCTGTCTCAAAAAAAAAAAAAAAATTTTTTTTTGTAGAGACAGGGTCTCGCTGTGTCGCCCAGGCTGCTCGTAAACTCCTGGCATCAAGTGATCCTCGTTTGTCTCTCAAGGTGTTGGGATTACAGTCATGTAATCCTTGTTTGTACCTGTCTAATGGGATACAGTCTAAGGACAAATAAAACTGCATAGAAATACAATTGTATTCATTAGTCTTATTGCCAGTAGTAATATTGATGTTGCTATTTTGAAACTATGATATAAGAAAAAATAAGTAATTATGTCAATAGCATTAGGAACCAAGATTTTTCAGTGTATGAGAAAGTGTTATAAGTGGAAAAGAAGCTTAGGATATACTTAGATCTGAATTAGATAGCAGTATGTATTTTTTCTCTTCAAAAATGTATTTTCAGCCTGGCATGGTGGCTCACGCCTGTAATCCCAGCACTTTGGGAGGCCGAGGCTGGTGGATCACCTGAAGTCATGAGTTCCAGACCAGCCTGGCCAATGTGGCGAAACCCTATCTCTACCAAAAATAGAAAAATTAGCTGGGCACGGTGGTGGGCACCTGTAGTCCCAGCTACTGGGGAGTCTGAGGCAGGAGAATCACTTGAACCCAGGAGGTGGAGGTTGCAGTGAGCTGAGATTGCACCACTGCACTCCAGCCTGGGTGACAGAGCAAGACTCCATCTCAAAAAAAAAAAAAAAAAAAGTATTTTTTAGCTCTGTCTGCTGAAAAGGCCTAGAAGCAATGACCAACTCAGTGGTAAGGAACACCCCTAGTGCACAGATTTAGTCTCTAAATACCATTTTGCAGTTTAAAAAAACATTAAAAATAATTTAAAAGTCATTGACCAACCTTAAAATCACTAAAATGTTTTAAGGTTAGTGTCTATTCCTGAAACAACAGTCCTGGAATTGAGTCTTGTTGGACTTGATTGGCTAGGGGAGAGGATAGGGGATAGGGTCCTTGGACTCTTCCTCGACAAGCTCTCTGTGTCCTAAAGGATGGGGCTTACTGACGGGCTTAAATCCAGAGGCTGTGGGGGCCACTAACAAATGTCTTGACATACACCTTCCTTGAAGAGTCAACTAGTGCCTGGCATGTGGTGGTGCTTTGTTCATTAAGTCAACAGTGCTCTCCATGAAATATTCTTGCCTTAAAAAAAAAAAAAAAAAAAAAGGCTGGGCATGGTGGCTCACACCTGTAATCCCAACACTTTGGGAGGCCGAGGCAGTCAGATCACCTGAGGTCAGAAGTTCGAGACCAGCCTGGCCAACATTGTGAAACTCCATCTCTACTAAAAAAAAAAAAAAAATACAAAAATTAGCCAGGTGTGGTTGTGCACACTTGTAGTCCCAGCTACTAGGGAGTCTGAGGAAGGAGGATTGCTTGAACCTGGGAGGTAGAGGTTGCAGTGAGCCGAGATCTCACCACTGCGCTCCAGCCTGGGTGACAGAGCGAGACCCTGTCTCAAAAAATAGAACAACAACAAAAAAAAGAAAGAAAGAAAGAAAAAGAGCCTAAGTCTTATCAAGCCAAAATCTAATTACCAGTTTTCGAGAAATATGAGGGATAGACAAAGATCATAATCAGTCAAACTCCAAATGTGGAGCATGCTACAGGACAGGACAAGTGTCCTGGATTCTCCAGTAGATTCATGATATAGAAGTAAAACTGGACCGTGGAATGTGAAAGTGACTTACCAAATGCAGTAAACTCATTTGGATCACGATTCAAATGAGTCAATTTGTCAAAAGATGTCTTCAGAAATTTAAATATAGGTTAGGCACGGCGACTCACACCTGAAATCCCAACACTTTGGGAGGCTGAGGTGGGCAGATCACTTGAGGCCAGGAGTTGGGTGAGACCAGCCTGGGCAACACAGTGAACGACCCAGTCTCTACCAAAAAATGCAAAAATTAGCCAGGCATGGTGGCACAAGCCTGTAGTCCCAGCTACTTGGGAGGCTGAGGCAGGAGAATCACTTGAACCCAGGAGGCAGAGGTTGCAGTGAGCGGAGATTATGCCACTGCACTCCAGCCTGGTCTAGAGACAGAGTGAGACCCTCAAAAAAAAGAAAGAAAAAAAGAAAAAAGAAATTTAAATATGAACTTAGATCAAATTAAGTAATTATTGTTCTTTTTTGTTAAGTGACACAGTGTTTGTGAAAATAAGTCTTTTTCTTTCTTTCTTTTTTTTTTTTGAGATGGAGTTTCGCTCTTGTTGCCCAGGCTGGAGTGCAATAGCGCAATCTCGGTTCACCGCAACCTCTGCCTCCCAGATTCAAGCGATTCTCCTGCCTCAGTCTCCTGAGTAGCAGGGATTATAGGCATGCGCCATCACGCTTGGCTAATTTTGTATTTTCAGTAGAGATGGGGTTTCTCCATGTTGGTCAGGCTGGTCTCAAACTCCTGACCACAGGTGATCCGCCCATCTCAGCCTCCCAAAGTGCTGGGATTACAGGTGTGAACCACAGTGCCTGGCCGAAAATAAGTCTTTTTCAATTCAGCACACGTGCATTATGGATGAAACGAAATGAGGCCTGGAATATACTTTAAAATACTCCACTATCAGCACAGCAAACAGAGAGGGGAAGATTGGCAAAATGTTGATAGTTGTTGAAACTTAGTGCTGGGCACGTGAGGCTTATTATACCATTCTACCTTTGTGTATGTTTGACTCTTTCCATAATAAAAAGTTAGACAATCACGCTCAAAAAAGGAAATGAGTATTTTGGACAAATGGGAACTTGGATGTAGCAAGCCTGCCCCCTGGTGGCAGGTTCCATTAGTGAAGCTGATGCTCCAGTCTCACTAAAGCAGGTCTGAATTCCCAGACCTGTCAAGATCCAAGTCCTTTATCCCGCAAGAACCCTACGAAGTGGAGAATATGAGCATAGCCTTTTACATCTGGAGAAACTGAGACTCAAAGGGACTCAGTAACTTAGGTTCCTAATAAGTCACTGGTGGAGCCAAGACTCCTGGAGTCTTTGGACTCCAGGTCCCCAGCCCCATAAATCAACATGAATCTGAGCCTTACTTTTCCTATCTGAAGAGAGGTCACATGGGAAGAGGCAAATGGGCTGTCCCTAATTAGAATGGGTCCACAGGAAGCAGATTATCATGGAGCAATTTTACCTATAAACTATAGATAAATAAATACAAATCGGTAATATAAATAAATAATAGGTAATATTCATACTAACTTCTGTGCGAGGCACTGTGCAAAGTACTGTTTATAGAGTGATCTCATCTAATCTGCACAGTGACCCTGTAAAGCATGTGCTATTATTGTCCTCCCTTTTACAACTGAGGAAACAAAGGTTCTAAGAGGTGAAAGAACTTGTCCAAAGTCACACAGGCACTTCAATTGGGGTCTAACTGCGTGTGTGTGTGTGTGTGTGTGTGTGTGTGTGTGTGTGTGTTTGAGATGGAGTCTCGCTCTGTCCCCCAGGCTGGAGTGCAGTGGCACAATCTTGGCTTACTGCAACCTCCGCCTCCTGGGTTCAAGCGATTCTCCCACCTCAGCCCCCTGAGTAGCTGGAATTACAGGCGCCCGAGTAGCTGGAATACAGGCGCATGCCACCACTCCTGGCTCATTTTTGTATTTTTAGTAGAGATGGGGTTTCACCATGTTGGCCAGGCTAGCCTTGAACCCCTGGCTTTAAGTGATCTGCCCGCCTTGGCCTCCCAAAGTGCTGGGATTTCAGGCATGAGCCACCATGCCCGGTTGTGTGTGTGTGTGTTTTAAAAGACTTTATTTTTAGAGAAGTTTTAGGTTCACAGTGAAGTTGAGTGGAAATTACAGACTTCCCATATACACCCTGTCCCCAAGGCACATCTTGGAGTCTTTCTTCCCACCAGATTGCTGACCCTGAATTTCTCCTCTGGAGAAATTATGAGAGGCATCATTGATGCATTGTTAGAGACCTAGTACCCACTGAGCCAACCACAAGTTGTTATCAAAATGCCACAATGAGGTCATTAAGGGCGACTGGCTAGGCCTGTCAGTGAATGTTTCCGGAGCAGCTCCTAACTGCTGTAGCAGAGAGAATCCCCGACAGTGTCCCCTCCCTTCTTCTTCCCAAGCTTGGGGAGCCCCAGCCCCATTTCTTTTCTTTTCTTTTCTTTTTTTTTTTTTTTTTTGAGATGGAGTCTTGCTCTGTTGCCTAGGCTCGAGTGCAATGGCACAATCTTGGCTCACTGCAACCTCTGCCTCCTGGGTTCAAGCGATTCTCCTGCCTGAGCCTCCTGCGTAGCTAGGATCATAGGCATGCGCCACCATGCCTGGCTAATTTTTGTATTTTTGATAGAGATGGGGTTTTGCCATATTGGCCAGGCTGGTCTCGAACTCCTGACCTCAGGTGATCCACCCACCTCGGCCTCCCAAAGTGTTGGGATTATAGGCGTGAGCCACTGTGCCCAGCCACCCCAGCCCCATTTCTGCAGGGGGAGGCTGAGGGAGAAACTCCTTTAGGAAGGGTATTAGCTTTGGCACTAACACGCTGTGTCATCTTGAGCAAGAAAGACTCCCCCCTGCTGTGGGCCTCAGTCTCCCCATCTGCAAAATGAGGGGGTCTGACCAGCTCATCTCTAAGGATCCTTATAGCTCCAACACTCTGATTCTTGAATCCTACACCTCCACTATGCTTGTAATAAGAAGATCAAAATGTTTATTTCTGATCCAGCCCCTGAGACAAGTGATCTGGGGGCCCACAAAGGTCTTGCACCAGGTATAACATTAGCTGTTTTTGTCTTTGGATGGGTCCTAGTTGTCTTCTTGGTGAGGACTGAGAACAGCTGGAGCAGCTGATGGTTAAGACCCAGGTTCACATCTCCTGCCCCTGGGTCCAAGAGCTGCTGGGGATGCCACCATCTGAAAACCATGCTGGATGGGGGTGTTGGGAGTGTCCCAAACTGAGGATTCACCCGACTCCTCAGCAGGTCCTGAAGTGTTAAAGCTTCGGCTTCCTCTGATTCTCTGGCCTCTTCTGGATGCTTCATGTTGCAAGAGCAGAAACTCAACTCAAAGTGACTGAAAGGAATGATTGGTACATTTACCTAAGAGAAATGGAGGTGGGAGGGCTAGCTTCGGGAAGGAAGTTTGATTCAGCAGCTCACATGTCACCAAAGACTCTAGTTTCCTCTGTTCTGCCTCCCATGATGCTGCCTTCATCTTAAGGCTGGCTTCCCTTGTGGGCCTCGGGGTCACCAGTGGGAATTCAGCCTTATGAGATCATATCCTGCAGGAATGAGAAAGTCAACTTCTCTATTCCTCAAACAACATTCCTGAAATTAAGTCTTGTTGGACCTGATTGGCTAGGGGCTAGGGAGTAGGGGGTAAGAGATAGGGTTGTGGGCCCCTCCTTGACCAAGCTCTGTGTCCTGAAGGATGGGGCTTACTGGCAGGCTTAAATTCAGAGGCTGGTGGGTGGCTAACAAATGTCTTGACATATACCCCTCTCTTCAGAAGTCAACTAGTGCCTGGCACATGGTGGCACTTTGTTCGTTAAGTCAACAGCTATTTGGTGAATATCCACCACGTGCAAGAAATTGTGCTTGATGCTGAGAAAAAGCAGTGAACAGAAAGATAAGGTCCCTGCCCTCATGGACTTTCTCTGGGAGGGGAGACAGACATATAAATATGCAGACAGTACAATTCAACCAGTGCCAGCTGAGGTTACATAGCCCAGGGGAGGAAATCCAAACTGTGCTTCTGTGGAGGGGAATGGCGGGCAGGAAAGCTTTAGAGAGGAGGTAGCATTTACACTGGGCCTTAAATTTAGCCATTCCACAATGTATTCATATTTCAAAGCATCATGTTGTACATATGAGTAAATAAATACAATTTTTGTCAATTTAAAAAATAAATAGAAATTTGAGGGTCAGAGTGAGACACTCCTTTAAGCTGACATTCTTCAAATATTTGCTCTATGGTTATTTAGAGCAGGGGCTGGGAAGGAGGCACAGATAACCACACTTAGCCTCTCGATGGTCCTGACCTCCTGGACCCTGGACAAACCTGTAGACTCCACAAGGCCCGCTAATTCATGTAGCTGCGAATATTACTTAGGCTGGCCCCTGACCTCCCAGCCCCAAGCCTTATCCACATTTGTCTTCCAACAGTATACAGAACTCTCCTGGAGAGGAGTGCTAGTGAATGGAATATTCTGCAATGTGTATGGGAGCCAAAGTGCCAGGCACCGTGCTAGGCACTGGGGATGTGGCCATGAAGGAAACATACGGCATACACAATGTGTCTTCGTCTGTTCATGCTGCTATAACAAAATACCTTAGACTGGGTAATTTATAAACAACAGAAATTTACTTCCCCCAGTCCTAGAAGCTGGGAAGACCAAGATCAAGGTGCCAGTAGATTCCATCTCTGGTGAGAGCTGCTGTCTCTGCTTCCAAGATGGTGGCTTGGTGCTGCATCCTCACAAGGCAGAAGTGGAAGGGCAAAAAGGGATGAATAGCTCCCTTGCACCCCTTTTATCTTTTTTTTTTTTTTTTTTTGAGACGGATTCGTGCTCTGTTGCCAAGCTAGAGTGCAGTGGCACAATCTCGGCTCACTGCAACCTCCGCCTCCCAGGTTCAAGTGATTCTCCTGCCTCTGCCTCCTGAGTAGCTGGGACTACATGCACGTGCCACCACACCTGGCTAATTTTTTTTTTTTTTTTTTTTTTTTAGTAGAGACGGAGTTTCACCATGTTGGCCAGGATGGTCTCAATCTATTGACCTCGTGATCTGCCTGCCTTGGCCTCACAAAGTGCTGGGATTACAGGCATGAGCCACCGTGCCCGGCCCCTTGCACGCTTTTTATAAGGTCACTAATCCTACCCATGATGGCTCCACCCTCATGACTTAATCACATACTAAAGGTCCTACCTCTTATCACACTAGCAATTCAGTTTTAACATGAATTTTAGGGGGACACATGGAGACCATAGCGCAGTGCCTGTTCTCATGAAACTTGCCTTCTTATTTACACCCACAATGATCATGGAAAGAGACACATAAATACAGTTCTGGAAAGCGCTATGCAGGAGAAGCTCTAGGGCGCATGAGACTTATTAGGAGGCAGGGAGGAGGGAGGTAGTATGGGCCACGGAAAGCCTCTGAGCATATGACAGAGGCCTTTTTTTTTTTTCTTTTTTTTTTTTGGAGACAGTCCCACTCCGTTCCTCAGGCTGGAGTGCAATAGTGCGATCCCAGCTCACTGTAACCTCTGCCTCCCGGGTCAAGTGATTCTCCTGCCTCAGCCTCACAGACAGCTTGGGACTACAGGCACACACCACCACTCCTGGCTAATTTTTTGTATTTTTAGTAGAGACGGGGTTTCGCCATGTTGGCCAGGCTGGTCTTGAACTCCTGGCCTCGAACTCCTGGCCTCAAGTGATCTGCCCGCCTCAGCCTCCCAAAGTGCTGAGATTACAGGCGTGAGGCAATGCACCCAGCCACATGTGACACTTATGCTAAGAAATGACCGAGGGGCAGAAATGAGCTAAGTGAGAAGCGGAGGGAGGAGCATGCTTGGCATTCAGGACGGCCGGTACCAGCTGCTCTATGCAGGCCTCAGCTGGAAGTTTAAATCAAGAGCTGGGGGGAAACGATGGGGAGAGGAAGATACTAGGAAGCTCCATTGTGGGTATAAATACAAGCTTTTGCTTCCAAAGCCCAACTTTATCAGTAATAAGGCCCATATTTTTATCTCTCCATTGCCTTGATTGCCATTGGGATTTCCTAATAGGTCCAGATCCCAACTGGAGGGGGAATAAGTTGTAAGGTTTAGCCTTAAAACCCCTACACAAGCAGGGGTGATATCCTGTAGGGTCTTGTAGATCATGTTATGGATTTGGGCATAAAAGCAACAGGTCAGCAAGGGTCTATTTTTTTTTTAATTGTGGTAAAATAGAGGTAACATAAAATTTGCTGATTTAATCATTTTAACTGTATAGTTCAACGGCATTAAGTACATTTATATTGTTGTGCAACCATCACCACCATCCAGAACTTTTATTTTTATTATTATTGTTTGAGATGAAGTCTTGTTCTGTCTCCCAGGCTGGAGGGCAATGGTGTGATCTCAGCTCACTGCAACCCCCACCTGCCGGTTCACACAATCTTCCCGCCTCAGCCTCCCAAGTAGCTGGGACTATAGGCATGTGCCACCATGTCTGGCTAATTTTTGTATTTTTAGTAGAGACAAGGTCTCACCATGTTGGCCAGGCTGGTCTCGAACTCCTGACCTCAAGTGATCCACCTGCCTCAGCCTCCCAGAATGCTGGGATTACAGGTGTGAACCATCCAGCCCGGACATTCGGGGTTTTTTTATCATCCCAAACTGCAACTCTGTATCCATTAAACAATAACTCTCCATTCCTTCTCTTCCCAGCCCCTGGTAACTGGATAACCACTATTTTACTTTTTTTTTTTTAAGACAGAGTTTCACTCTTTTCTCCCAGGCTGGAGTGCAATGGCGCAATCTCAGCTCACTGCAACCTCCACCTCCCAGGTTCAAGCGACTCTCCTGCCTCAGCCTCCCAAGTAGCTGGGATTATATGTGCCTGCCACCACACCTGGCTAATTTTTTGTATTTTTTGTAGAGATGGGGTTTCACCATGTTGGCCAGGCTGGTCTCGAACTCCTGACCTCAGGTAGATCTGCTAGCCTCGGCCTCCCATAGTGCTGGGATTACAGACATGAGCCACCGCACCCAGCCTCTACTTTCTGTCTCTATAATTTGACTATTCTAGGTACCTCATATGAATAGAATAATTCAGTATTTATTTTTTTGTGTCTGGCTTATTTCACTTAGTGTAAGGTCTCCAAGTTTCACCCATGTTGTAGCATGTGTCAGAATTTCATTCCTCTTTAAGGCTGAACAATATTCCGTTTTGTGTATATACTATATTTTGTTCATCTGTCAACCTGTCAATCACCAAAGAGTTTTAAGTAAAGATTTTATTTATTTTATTTTTATTTTTTTTTGAGGTAGGGTCTTGCTCTTTGCCCAGGCTGTAGTACAGTGACACGATCGCAGTCCACTGCAGCCTTGACTTCCTGGGCTCAAGCGATCCTCCCATCTCAGCTTCCCAAGTAGCTGAGACCACAGGTGCATGCAACCATACCCAGCTAATTATTTGTTTATTTACTTATGTGGAGACATAGTCTTGCTATGTTGCCCAAGCTAAACTTGAACTCCTGGCCTCAAGTGATCCTCCTGCCTTGGCCTCCCAAAGTGTTGGGATTGTAGTTATGAGCCAACACATTCAACTAAGTAGAGACTTTAAACACGCTCATATGTCCAGTTTAAAAGATCACTCTAGGCTGGGTGAGGCGGCTCACACCTGTAATTCCAGCACTTTAGGAGGCCAAGGCAGACAGATCATTTGAGGTCAGGAGTTTGAGACCAGCCTGGCCAACATGGTGAAACTCTGTCTCTACTAAAAGTACAAAAATTAGTCAGGCATGGTGGCACATGCCTGTAATTCCATCTACTCAGGAGGCTGAGGCATGAGAATCACTTGAACCCGAGAGATGGAGATTGCAGTGAGCCGAGATTGTGCCACTGCACTCCAGCCTGGGCAATAGAGTGAAACTCAGTCTCAAAAAACAAAAACAAAAAAAGATCACTCTAGCTGGCAGATGGAGACTGGATCAAGAGTGGGCAAGAGGGCAAGGAGAGATGAATTGCAAAGGTTTAGGCAAGAGATGATAGTGGTCTGGACCAGGCTGTGAATGAGGCGATGGGAAGAAATAGATTTAAGGGCAGGTGGGAGATTGCACAGGATCTGGTGTTTGGAAGTTTGGGGTGGGAAGGAGGAATAGCCAAGGAACTGCTGAACTTAAGGAAAACTTACTGCTCCTTATAGGCTCAGAGCTGAGGAGGTCTTTTGAGCTGAAGATAAGGGTGCCCTCTCTACACATTCCAGGGCTTCCTTCTCTGCTTTCTGACTCAGACTGAGACACCAAGAAATTTTCTGTTGATCATTTGGCTTCCCCTGTGGCTTTCTAACAAGGGGAGGACACACCAGTCTTTTGATATACTCACATTCTTGCATACTTGACAGATAAATTTATCTTTATAAACTCACAGATTGTTATCTGCTTTATGATTGAGTCAGACTCTTTTGGTTCATTATTGTTAGCCCAAGGGTGGATCCTCTCTTAATGTAAACAAAAAGTTAGAGTTTTGACATTGTAAAGTTGAGGCCCAAACTCCCTATTATGGCAACTTCAACAAGAGAGTCTTGTGGATCTTTCTCAAGGCGTTCAGACTTCTCGTGGAGACACCCTTCCAGACCACTGTATTATATGTGAGTATTCAAGCTCAAACAGGGATAGGGAGGTAGACAATTGAGTTGAGCTGGACACTGTAGGGATGCGCTGCACCCATAGCTTGCCCCTCCAGTTACATTCACTGTGGGTGCCACACACTCTTTCAGGAAAGCAATCTGTCGGTATTTACCAAGACGCTTTCAGTAGTCAGTCCTGCTTCTGAGAGTCTATAGCCTAAGGAAGTGATTTAAAATGTGACATTCAATGTAGCATTATTATTATTATTTTTGAGATGGAGTCCCGCTTTGCCGCTCAAGCTGGAGCGCAGTGGCGTGATCTCAGCTCGCTGTAACCTCCGCCTCCCAGATTCAAGCGATTCTCCTGCCTTAGCCTCCTGAATAGCTAGAATTACAGGCGCGTGCCACCATGCCTGGCTTTTTTTTTTTTTTTTTTTTGTATTTTTAGTAGAGACAGAGTTTCACCATGTTAGCCAGGCTGGTCTCAAACTCCCGATCTCAGGTGATTCATCTGCCTCAGCCTCCCAAAGTGCTGGGATTACAGGCGTGAGCCATCGCGCCTGGCCCAAGGTAGCGTTATTGATAACAGTGAGAAACTAAAAGTAAAACGTGTCCAACAACATATCCATAGGATAGAATATTCTGCAGCCATTAGAAAATGGACATTCTCAAAAGAGTGGATCTTGTTCTTAAACAGGTGAAACTAATCTATGTTGATAGAAGCCAGAAGGTTACATGAGGGGAAGAAAAGTAGTTATTGACTGGGAAGGTGAGGAAATCTTCTGGAGCACTGGAAATGTTCTGTATCTTGAGATGGGTGGTGGTTACATGGGTGACTACACACATGAACATTCACTGAACTTCACATTTCACATGTGTGCACTCTACTGTATGAAATTAGGCCTCAGTTTAAAAGAATGAGTTCTAAGACCATGTAGCAATCAATGCCCAGCGGGAAATGTCACCAAGCCCTTGAGAGAAGGGCTTTGTCTGTTCTGTTCCTGGAGAAAAAGGGCTTTGTTCTGTTGGCTGCTGTATACTCAGAGCTTAGAACAATGCTTGGTGCATAGTAGACCCTCAACAAAAACCTACTGAATTATTATAGAAAATGCTTAGGATAAAACGTTAAATGAAAAAAAAGTCCCAAAGTTACACAACTCTTTTTATTTATTTTTTTCTTTGGATGCAGAGTCTCACTCTGTCACCCACGCTGGAGTGCAATGGCGCAATCTTGGCTCACTGCAACCTCCGCCTCCCTGGTTCAAGTGATTCTCCTGCCTCAGCCTCCCAAGTAGCTGGGATTACAGGCTTGTACCACCACACCCAGCTAACTTTTGTAGTGGAGAGGGGGTTTTGTCATGTTAGCCAGGCTGGTCTCAAACTCTTGGTTTCAAGTAATCCTCCCACCTCAGCCTCCCAAAGTGCTGAGATTACAGGCGTGAGCCACCATGCCCAGCCAAAGTTTTACAACTTTTAAGCGTATGATGGTTACGATGTTATAAAAATGATGAACAGGAAAAAATCTAAAGGAAATAGAGTGAAATGGGGTTGGTGGTTGTGCTGAGTGGTGTAGGTATAGGAGACAGTTTTTTATTTTATTTTATTTTATTTTATTTTATTTTATTTTATTTTATTTATTTTTTGAGACGGAGTCTCACTCTGTCCTCCAGGCTGGAGTGCAGTGGCGCGATCTTGGCTCAGTGCAACCACCGCCTCCCAGGTTCAAGCGATTCTCCTGCCTCAGCCTCCCGAGTAGCTGGGATTACAGGCATGTGCCACTGCTCCGGGCTAATTTTTTTGTATTTTTAGTAGAAATGGGGTTTCACCATGTTAGCCAGGATGGTCTCAATCTCCTGACTTCGTGATCCACCTGCCTTGGCCTCCCAAAGTGCTGGGATTACAGGCATGAACCACCGCGTCTGGCCAGGGGACTGTTTTTGAAAATTTCTTTGATGGATGCCTTCTCTCCATTCTATCCATGATTCTGTATGTAACTTCATTTGGAAACAGCAGCTAACACTGAGAGAGTGCTTATTCTGTGCCAGGCTTCACACTTACAGAAATATCTACTTTACATTTATCAACTCATTGCATTTTTGCAAAAATCTTATGAAGTAGTTATTTATCCCTATCTTACAGACAGAGAAACTGAGGCACAGAGAGGTTAAGGAACCTGCCCAAGGTTAGGCAGCATTAAGTGGCGGCCCTGGGAGGGTGGCCGCCCAGCAGGAATCTTGCTCCAGGGGCTGCAGGCTTAACCATTATGCCTCACTGCCACTCAGATGCCAAGGTGCAAAGCCTAAATTTGAGGCCTCTGTGACTGAGAGCCTCGGACAAATGGGCTGCTCTGCTCTCCTCCCGCTGTGATTTTCCCTATTTCCTGGGAGACTCCAAATGTCAAGCACCTGAAAGGAGGGGAGGAGCGATGGATGGAGAACCAGGGACCAGAGGAGAGGAGGTGGGCAGAGGTGGAAAGGCCCTGCCTGCTCCAAGCACAACCTCACCTTCCCTGGGCAGAAACAGATGTTCCTGTTACCCGATTCCTCGCTTTAGAAGCCTGGGGAGGGCCCTTCTCCCAGGCTGGCCCTGCCCCTGCCCCCTGGGGCCATCACGAGGCCTGGGCCAACAGCCCTGATCTTGCTGTTCATCCACCGGAAAGGCGGCTTCCTGGAAGCTCGTCCCCTCCCTCTCTGCCGCATCCTAGTCCACTCTGTTCCTGGAAGTTGAAGAAACCAGGCACAGAACTTCCCTTGCGCACCAGCCAGCCGGAGCAGCGTGCCTCCCTCTGGCTCTCACCACCCACTAGGGGGGAGAAGACGAGGGTTTGGTTCTGCTGGAGGATAGGATTTGAGTTTCTCTCTGCGGCTCACTTGCTGTGCGTCCTGCGGCAAATTACTTGACCTCTCACAAGCCTCAGTTGTTTCATATATGAAATGGAGATACTAAAAGTACCTGAAGGGATGGCTGTAGGATTGAATGCAACAATGTGGGTGACGCATTTGGCACGGTGGCCTGGCACCTTACAGCACTCAAAACAGGGTAGCTATGGTTACTATTATTATCCTGCCACCCTCATTCTCTTCAGGGGCACTGAGGGGTTGGAGAGATGGCTGAGAAGGCATGCAGATGCCTTGGCTCCAGTAGGAAACGCCTTTCTTATCAGCATAGACGTCAGAGTCTGTCAGAGTCGAGTTATTAATACCCAGCCAGCCCACCAGCTTTGCATTTAGCATTCCGAGGTGGAGAGGTGGGGAGGGGAGGGCTAGGAAACAGGTGGCCAGGGCAGGAGAAGGAGCCGCTGGCCTCCCTTGCCATGGGAGCAGTCCTTCCCAGCCCCAGCAGGCAGTACTTGGCGCCTTCTCTGCCAGACACCCTCCACCTGCACTCTAAGGTCTGGGAAGGTGTGAAATTCCTGCATGAAGTCAAACGCCAGGCTGTCATCTCCTCAGTCCCCTACGGGCACAGCACTGTCCTTCCAGGGATCCAAAGCCCAAAAGAGCAGCGCTCCCAGAAGGAACAGATCCAGGCATGGAACAGAGGACCCTCAAAACTGGAAGGGGGCTTAAAGGACTCCCATCTGCCTTGGGGGTTTAGACACAGCGTCTGGACTCAGGCAGACCTGAGTGATGGGGAAAATCTACATCCTTCAGCCTGTTTCCTCAGCGGTTAACTGGGAATAATACTAAGTTTGAACCCTTTGTTTGAAATGTTTGTTCCTCGGTGCAGTAAAGAAATAGCACTTGGACATAAATTTAATTTATTTAGTAAGGCCATTTTTACTTCACACTCTCCAGCAGTTCTGCCACGAGAGTACACCGAACAAAGGAGACAGGGTCATTTATAACCTGATGCGTCCACCCTACTGCTGTGTCCGGTTTCCATTGGCTGGAACCTGACCTCACATTCTGTATTTGTCCCTATTGGCTAGAGACTTACAACTTTTTAAAAGAGGCAAAGGTAGAGGGGAACAAAGGAAGGAGGAAGTAACTTATGGAATGCTGAGAAAGGTAAAAACACTTTTAAATAAGGAAGAGGAACAGGCTATGACCTAATGCTTGCTTGGACCAGTATAAGCATGCCAGGGCAAATATTTAGGCTAAATTGTGGAAGCTAAGAACATAAAGTATATTGATTTCTTTATTATGGCTAGCAGATATTTAAGAATGTTAGCACAGGTCTTTGAATAAATTTTGCTTCTAAGAGAAGTTACTATTTATTCCTAATTAGATGGGGAGGAAAGTCTTTGAAGAGGAACCTCTACTTTACTTTTTACACCTTCCATGTATGAAAGGAAAATAAGATCTTGGGACCCCCAACTCACGGTGCCAAAAGGGAAAGTTAAGTTTGGAAACTGAGTCACACATAAACAATTGCCTTTCCTTCTCTTCTTAAATAGGTATCTCCCCAGGTGACCTCCCTCACCCTGACAATGTAAATGAGCATCTTATCTTGATGGGTATGGGACAAGAGGAGACTAGAAATAGTCCCACCGCCCACCCCAGAGGAATGCGTATTTGACTTCTTCCTCTGCTGTGTGTTTATCTTATGTAAAGTGTAGATTTACTGAGCACGTTGAGCATGAGAGGAATACATAATTTTTGTTTGTTTGTTTGTTTGTTTTTGAGATGGAGTCTTACTCTGTTGCGCAGGCTGGAGTGCGGTGGTGCGATCTCGGCTCACTACAACCTGCACCTCCCGGGTTCAAGTGATTCTCCTGCCTCAGCCTCCCGAGTAGCTGGGATTACAGGCATGCGCCACCATGCCCCACTAATTTTTGTATTTTTAGTAGAGACAGGGTTCACCATGTTGGCCAGGCTGGTCCCGAACCTCTGATCTCAGGTGATCCGCCCATCTCGCCCTCCCAAAGTGCTAGGATTACAGGCATGAGCCACTACACTCGCACCCAGCCGGAATACAGACTGTTCCTCTACCCCCTCCTTTTCACATGCAACATGTGGATTCAGTGAGGGCTCAGCAAAGCCTCAGAACAATGTAACCAGACTTGTCTCATTTTTTCTACCCTCCCTTTTTTTTTCTTTCCTCCTTCCTCTCCAGCTCAACGTTGGGAAAATAAACCTCTAAACTGATGGAGACCTGTCTTAGACACTCTTCTCGGTTTACACATGCAATAGGAACATTTTCATTTGGCTGTTGAAAGGACAAATGAAATAATTCCTAAAAGCACAGGGATTAGCGTACAGCAAGTGTCTGGGAAGTAGTGGGTGTTGGTATCCCAACTCCTCATTTTACACACAACTTCCCATTTTGTTCTTCCCCAGGGAAGCCGTGGCAGATCTTAAGGAACAAAGATCTTCCAGGAATTTTTCATTCTTCCACCTGAGCTAACAAATTATACCAGACAATGCTTCTTTGTTTTCTTAAAACAAAGAAAAAATATTTTAAAAATTGATTTAAAAAAAGTAATACCCTTTATTTTTTACAGCAGTTTTTAGGTTCACAGCAAAATCGAGAGGAAGGTACAGAGATACCCCATAGAGCCCTGGCCCCTACACATGCACAGCCTCCCCGACTATCAACATCCCCCACAAGAGCGGTACCTTGGTTTTTTTGTTTTTGTGTTTTTTGAGACAGTCTCGCTCTGTCGCCCAGGCTGGAGTGCAGTAGCCCAATCTCGGCTCATTGCCACCTCCCCCTCCCAGGTTCAAGCGATTCTCCTGTCTCAGCCTCCCAAGTAGCTGGGATTACAGACACCCACCACCACGCCCGGCTAAATTTTGTATTTTTAGTAGAGACAACGTTTTGCACGGTGGCCAGTGTGGTCTTGAATTTCTGACCTTAGGTGATCAGAGCGGTACCTTTGTTACAATTGATAAACCTATGTGGACACAGCACTATCACCCCAACCCAGAGTTTACATTAATGGTCACTCGGTGTTGTACATTCTTGGAGTTTGGACAAATGTATAGTGACATGTATTTACCACTTCAGTACCATACAGACTAATTTCACTCCCATAAAAATCCTCTGTGCTCTGCCAATTCATCCCTTCCTCCCTGCTTACCACTGACCACTAATTTTTTTTTTTTCTTTTTTTGAGATAAGAGTCTCACTCGCTCTGTCGCCCAGGCTGGAGTGCAGTGGCATGATCTTGGCTCACTGCAACCTCTGCCTCCTGGGTTCAAACAACTGTCCTGCTTCAGCCTCCTGAGTAGCTGGGATTACAGGCGTGTGCCACCATGCCTGGCTAATTTTTGTATTTTTTAGTAGAGATGGGGTTTCACATGTTGGCCAGGCTGGTCTTAAACTCCTGAGCTCAAGTAATCCATCTGCCTCGGCCTCCCAAAGTGCTGGGATTACAGACGTGAGCTACCGCACCTGGCCAATCACTAATTTTTTAATTGTCTCCATAGTTTTACCTTTTCCAGAATGTCATATAGTTGGAATCATACAGTATGTCAGCCTTTTCAGATGGTCTTCTTTCACTTAATTATATGCATTTAAGTTTCCTCTATGTCTTTCCATCACTTGTTAGCTCGTTTCTTTTTAGTGCAGAGTACTATTCCACTGTCTGGATGTACCACAGTTTATTTATCCATTCACCTGCTGAAGAACACCTTGGTTGCTTCCAAGTTTTGGCAATTATGAATAAAGCTGCTATAAACATTCCTGTGTAAGTTTTTGTGTGAACATAAGTTTTCAGCTCTTTTGAGTAAATACCAAGCAGTGTGATCACTGGCTAGTATGGTAAGAGTGTGTTTAGTTTTGTAAGAAACTGTCAAACTGTCTTCCAAGTGGCTGTACCATTTTGCATTCCCACCAGCAATGAATGAGAGTTACTGTTGTTCCACAGCCTTGTCAGCATTTGGTGGTGTCAGTGTTCTGGATTTTGGCTAATCTAGTTGGTATTTCATTCTAGTAGTGGCGTTTCGTTGTTGTGTTAATTTGCAATTCCCTAATGACACATGATGTTGAGCATATTTTCATGTGTTTATTTGCCATTCGTTTATCTTCTTTGGTGAAGTGTCTGTCCAGATCTTTTGTCCATGTTTTTTTTTTTCTCTTGTTTTGTTTTGTTTTGTTTTGTTTGAGACGGAGTCTTTTTCTGTTGCCCAGGCTGGAGTGCAATGGTGCCATCTCGGATCACTGCAAACTCCACCTCCCAGATTCAAATGATTCTCCTGTCTCAGCCTCCTGAGTAGCTGGGTTACAGGCGCCCACCACCACACCCAACTAATTTTTGTATTTTTAGTAGAAACGGAGTTTTACCATGTTGGCCAGGCTGGTCTCGAACTCCTGACCTTGTGATCAGTCCACCTCGGCCTCCCAAAGTGCTGGGATTACAGGCATGAGCCAGCAAGCCCAGCCTTGTCCATGTTTTAATTGAGTCATTTGTTTTCTTTTTCTTTTCTTTTTTTTTTTTTTTGAGACGGAGTCTCGTTCTGTCGCCCAAGCTAGAGTGCAGTGGCGCCATCTCGGCTCACTGCAAGCTCCACCTTCCAGGTTCATGCCATTCTCCTGCCTCAGCCTCCCGAGTAGCTGGGACTACATGCGCCCGCCACCACGCGCAGCTAATTTTTTGTATTTTTAGTAGAGACGGGGTTTCACCGTGTTAGCCAGGATGGTCTCAATCCCCTGACCTCGTGATCCACCCACCTTAGCCTCCTAAAGTGCTGGGATTACAGGCTTGAGCCACTGTGCCCGGCCCATTTGTTTTCTTATTGTTGAGTTTTAAGGGTTCTTTGTATATGTTGAATAATAGTCCTTTATTAGATGTGTCTTTTGCAAATATTTTCTCCCAGTCTGTTGACTTGGCTTGTCATTATCCTGACTGATTTTTATTAATGGCTCAGTGTTTCTTTTCCTCTGTTACCAAAAAGTAAGTGTTCTGACCAGGCGTAGTGGCTCACACCTGTAATCCCAGCACTTTGCGAGGCTGAGGTGGGTGGATCACTTGAGGTCAGGAGTTAGAGACCAGCAACATGGTGAGACGCCTGTCTCTACTAAAAATATAAAAATTAGCCGTGTGTGGTGGTGTGTGCCTGTCATTCCAGCTACTTGGGAGGCTGAGGCACGTGAATCTCTTGAACCTGGGAGGTGGAGGTTGCAGTGAGCCAAGATTGCACCACTGCACTCCAGCCTGGGCATCAGAGTGAGACTCCATCTCAAAAAAAAAAATTAAAAATTAAAAAATAGGTGTTCTTAAAAGTATGTATCGTATGAACAGCAGAAAGGCTTGACTTTGCCAGTGCTCTTGCCTGTGGAGAACCCCACATTTGGCAGGTATAGCAGGTGATGTGACATCCTGCATGTTCAGGATTGTGGCCCAGAGAGGGAGTGTGACTCACTTGAGATTGCACAGCATGTTCACTAAGATAATACATTCTTCTCACACGCATAGCCTTCGTAGTAATCAGAGAACTCTTATTTGGTTTGTATGAGACTCCTGGAATATTTCTTCTTTCTTCTGTACTTTAAAAAAGTTGCAAAAAGAAAAATGTAACAACAGCAGATTTTTTTGGAAAAGGACAAGAAAACCAAAACACCCATAATCACAGCACCTCAATAACTGACTGTTTCACTTTTCTCAGGATGTTATCTATCTGGCAAAGGTTGGGACCAGGTGAGCCCACGTATTGTAATAGTTGTCATCTTAGTGTATCTTATGCTTTTTTGTTTTACTTTTTTTTTTTTTTTGAGATGGAGTTTTGCTCTTGTTGCCCAGGCTGGAGTGCAATGGCGCATGTCGGCTCACTGCAACCTCTACCTCCCACATTCAAGCGATTCTCCTGTCTCAGCCTCCCGAGTAGCTGGGATTACAGGCATCCGCCACCACACCTGGCTAATTTTGTATTTTTAGTAGAGACGGGGTTTCTCCATGTTGTTCAGGCTGGTCTCTAACTCCCGACCTCAGGTGATCCGCCCGCCTCGGCCTCCCAAAGTGCTGGAGTTACTGGCGTGAGACACCGCACCCGGCCTTGTTTTACTTTTTTCCAGGTCTCAATACAATATATTAGAATGGCTGCATAACCCTTGGGGCTCTCTCTGGAGTGTCCTTCCCCAAGGTTGTCACTCAGTCAGCTCTTCCACAACATCCAAGTCTCAGATCGACTGTCGCCTCCTCAGGGGGCCTTCCTTGAACATCATATCTAAAGCATCCAAGGCAGTCTCCCTGAATGAAAGTCTCTCTCCATCCTATTACTCTACTTTATATATTTATATTTACATATACACACACATATATATTATATACACATACATATTTTATATATATATATTTGGGTTTTTTTTTTTTGGTAGAGATCGGGCCTTGCTGTGTTGCCCAGGCTGGTCTTAAATTTTTGGACTCAAGCGATACCCCCATCTCAGCCTCTCAAACTGCTGGGATTATAGGTATGAGCCACCACACCCAACCAACTAACTTTCTTTCTTTCTTTCTGTCTTTCTTTCTTTCTTTCTTAGAATACTTTATTATTGTTATTTTTTATAGAGACAGGGTCTAGCTATGTTGCACAGGCTGGAGTGCTGTGGAACCATCATAGCTCACTTCAGCCTCGAACTCCTGAACTCCTTCTCCCTCAGCCTTCCAAGTAGCTGGGACTACAAGCGTGTGCCACCATGCCCAGCTAAATTTTAAATTTTTTGTAGAGACAGGATGTCTCTATGTTGTCCAGGCTGGTCTCTAACTCCTGGGCCCAAGTGATCCTCCCACCTCGGCCTCCTACAGTGCTGGGATTGCAGGCATGAGCCATTGCTCCCAGTCGATTCTGGTTTCTTTTCTTTTTATTTTGGGGACAGAGTTTAACTCTGTCACACAGGTTGGAGTGCAGTGGTGTGATCTCGGCTCACTGCAACCTCCGCCCCCCGGGGTCAAGGGATTCTCCTGAATCAGCCTCCTAAGTAGCTGGGACTACAGGCATGCACCACCACGCCCAGCTAATTTTTTGTATATTTAGTAGAGACAGGGTTTTGCCATGTTGCCCAGGCTGGTCGCGAACTCCTGAGCTCAGGCAATCTGCCAACCTTGGCCTCCCAAAGTGCTAGGATTACAGGCATGAGCCATCGTGCCTGGCCTGGTTTATTTTCTTGATAGCATTTATTACATCAGAAATTATCTTTGTTTTTAAAAATCTGTCTTCTCCTGCCAAAATATAAGCTCCCTGGGGAGAAAAGGGAGCTTTTCTCTCTTGCTTTCTCTGTATCTCCAGTGCCTAGAACTGTGCCTGGCATGTAGTAGGTGCTCAACAGATAATTATTTTATCAACTTGAGAATTCAGCAGACCAGCCGGGCTCAAAGTGGCTCACGCCTGTAATCCCAGCACTTTGGGAGGCCGAGGTGGGTGGATCACCTGAGGTCAGGAGTTCGAGACCAGCCTGGCCAACATGGTGAAACCCCATCTCTACTAAAGATACAAAAATTAGCCAGGTGTAGTGGTGGGCACCTGTAATCCCAGCTACTTGGGAGGCTGAGGCAGGAGAATTGCTTGAACCCGGGAGGCGGAGGCTGCAGTGAGCCAAGATCGAGCCATTGCATTCCAGCCAGGGTGACAGAGTGAGACTCTGTCTCAAAAAAAAAAAAAAAAAAAAAAAAAGAGAATTCAGCAGACCACAGTTTACCTAGTTGGTCATTGAATATCCTTTTTAAAAATAGCTTATTAGCTGATGCTGCAATAGATGTCTTGGGGAGTCATTATATCAAGGAGTTTTGGAAGGAGGTTTTGGCAAAAGACGTGGGTTCCTCTCTCACCTCTGTCATTTACTAACTTTGTGATGTTGGGCAGTATATTTAACTTCTCTGAATCTCAGTTTCCTTATTTGAAATGAGGGTAATATTAGTGCCTACCTCAAAGGGTTATTGTGAGGTAAATAAAAGGAAAACAAAATTAAATAAAAATAATGCATGTAAAGAGAGTACTTAGCACAATGCCCATGAAACAGGAGCAACCCATCCCAGCATGTTCTCTGTGCCGGGCACTGCTCTAAGTATTTCCCACATGTCTCATGTAATCGTCAAAATCATCTTTTTTTGTTGATTACACAACAATGCTTATTTTGTGAAAATTTATTCAGCTACACATTTAATCATGTACAATTTGGTATTTGGATTACAGTCAGTAAAAGGTTTACTTAACAACAACAACAACAAAAGCTCTACGAGGAAGGAAACTTTATCATTCCCATTTTATAGATGAGGAAACTGAATCTCAAAGAAGTTAAATCATTGGCTCAAGATACAGTACAGCCAGGTGCAGTGGCTCATGCCTGTACTCTCGACTACCCAGAAGGCTAAGGTGGGAGGATTGCTTGAGCCCAGGAGGCAGAGGTTTGCATGAGTTGAGATCGTGCCATTTCACTCCAGCCTGGGTGACAGAGCAAGGAAAACAAAAAAGATCGGCCGAGCGTGGTGGCTCACGCCTATAATCCCAGCACTTTGGGAGGCCGAAGCAGGTGGATCACCTGAAGTCAGAGGTTCAAGACCAGCCTGGCCAACATGGTGAAACCCTGTCTCTACTAAAAATACAAAATTAGCCGGGTGTGGTGGCATATGCTTATAAATAATCCCAGCTACCTGGGAGGCTGAGGCAGGAGAATCATTTGAACCTGGGAGGCAAAGGTTGCAGTGAGCTGAGATTGCGCCATTGCACTCCGGCCTGGGCAACAGAGTGAGACTCCATTTCAAACAAACAAACAAACAAACTAAAAGATCATACAGTAAGTGGTGGGGCTGTGGGTCCAGAGCCTGTGTGCGTAACCACAGCTCTGAACCACAGCTGCTCACTGCCAGATCCATTTAAGCACTCATTACACAGTAGCTTTTTATTATTATTAACATTTAACATTTTTGTTGTTTCAAAAGCTTTTTTCTATTTTAAATAATACTTCAGGGTATATCTTTGGCCATTTCTGGCTTTTCTCTGGTTTTGAATGATTTCCTTTGGATGCAATACCGAGGATAGAATTAACTGGGGAAAATAGGTTCCAGAGAGTTGATATGACTTACTCAAGGTAAGTAGTGGTGCTTGGAGTAGGGCCACCATGTACAGTTGTATAGATTATTCATTTCACTTGATCTGGGGGTGAGTGGGCTTCCCAGGGGAGCTCAGCCTTGGGCAGGGCTTGAATGGGCAGAGGAGAGAGGGTATTCCAAGTAGGGGACCATAGAAGGGGAGAACGGGGAGGGTGCAATGGAGAAATAGTGGGAAATCAATTCCAACGGATCAGACAGTTGGAGACAGGATTTTAGGAGACAGCTGGGACTGGATCATTCATTCATTCCATAAACACGCTAAGCTGCATTGTATGCCAGGCGCTATTCCAGGAGCTGTAGATAGCAGTGAACAAGCTCATCCAATCCCTGCATTCATGGAGCAGATACTGTCTTGGGCGGAGGGTGGGGACAAACAACTGACAAAGAAATTGGGTAAAATATAGATTGTGATAAATATTGAGAAAGAACCAAGCACCAAGCAGGTGCTCAATCCAGGAGTAATGGGACGGGGCCTATCTAAATAGAGTGGTTAAAGAAGGCTTCTTTGAAGAGGTGACATCTCAGCTGAGGAGGAAATGACTATTCTAGGCAGATCACACAGCATGTGCAAAGGCCAGGAGGTAGGATGCTGCAGAGACGGCATTCAAAGCCATGCAGAAGAGGGTCTTGAGGGGTTGTAAGTTTAGAAGTCATTTCAGACAGCCTTGAGCAAAGGATTCTTTCCTCACAACCCCATCCCAGCTTTTTTCTTTTTCTCTCTCTCTTTCTTTTGGAGACTGGGTCTCACTCTGTTGCCCAGGCTGGAGTGCAGCAGTGTGATCTCAGGTCACTGCAATCCCCGCTTCCTGGGCTCAACCAATGCTCTCACCTCTGCCCCTGCAAAGTAGCTGGGACCATAGGTGTGCACCACCATGCCCGGCTAATTTTTGCATTTTTTGTAGAGACGAGGTTTCGCCATGTTGCCCAGGTTGGTCTCAAACTCCTGAACTCAAATGATCCTCCCGCCTCAGCCTCCCAATGTGCCGAGATTACAGATGCGAGCCACTGCGCCCAGCCTCCAGTCTGATCTTTCTTCTGAGTTCAGCTGTACTTTTCCATCTGCCTGCTGGTTGACCCATAGAACAGTCACCTCAAAGTCATGTGTTCTTCCCAAACAGCTCTCCACCTCCCATCTCCTTCTAAATCTCTACACTCTCCCTTGACTGTTGCTGAGCACCTTGAATCTCCCTTCCTCATTCTCTCACTTCTGTCTCTTCCTTGGCCACCTTCCTAGACCAGGGAGGCAGCCAAGTACCATAGTGTGATAGGATCACACGCAAGCACTTTGAAAGTACTCAGACCTGGGCTCAAATCCCAGCTCTGCCATTCAGTTCATTTCACAGGGTCTGGGTTTATTGGTCTGTGTAGGGAAGTTGTGCCTTGCTGGTGGCTGAAGAGTAAGTGAGATGATGTTGGAGGTGACAACAGCTGGCACACAGTAGGTATTTGATGAGTGACAGTGCCTTGCCCTTTCCCTACCAATCTTGGGGAACTGTCTTGTTTTCCTCATAGCTTGGCTCGTTCTACTTAGGAAGCAGAGAGGTAGTTGAAGTTCTTGGGTAATCATTGACTCTCAAAATATCTCTCTGGGGGAACCAAGATCTCCAATATCCCTTTTCAAAGTATTTTAAACAGTTAGCTTAATTTGCAATCATAATGCTATCATTAACTGAGTGTTTATTACCTGTCAGTTACTTTGCTAAGTGCTTTATGTATTTTGTCTTCTTTCATCCTCATGACAACTCTATGAAAAAAGTTCCATTATCGTCTCCATTTTATAGTTCAGGAAACTGAGGCTCAGAAAAATGAATTGACTGGCTTAAAGTCACATAGCTAGTTAAAGGATGAAACTGGGACTTGAACCTACATTTATCTGGCACCAAAAACCTGAGTGCCTGATCACTAGACCATCCTGCCTCACAGCCTATCTGGCCAAAGTAGGGAGAGTCAACATGTTTCATTTCCTGCATGGCTAGAAGCTCAGAAAAGTGAGAGGTTTGTTCAGAGTCCCATAATGGACTGGACACTAAGCCAGGGTATGGTGGGTCTGGCCCCAGGTCCCAAACCTGCCCCAGCAGAGAAAACTGGGAGGTCTGAGACTTCAGGGCAGCTTGGACCTTCCTCCTAGAGCTGGACTGCCTCCCCAGAGCAACCGAGCCATAAACACAAGCAGCTCTTTCAACACGACACTGAGCCTGAGTCACTGAGTATTTATAGATGGGCCTCTTCTCCTCGCCTCAGCTTTGCCAGGATTTATCAGGTTCACCTGGGGTTTGGAGGGTGACAACCTGTTTATCATCCAAGGTGCCCAAGCAGGATGTTGGGACATTCTCCGAGAACGAGATCTGGAGTCCTGCCTGTGTTTAGACCTGGCCTGACCCCCCACACCCAGACTGAGGCAATTCTCCCTATCCAAGGTGTGCCCTCTTCTACCAAATACTCCCCATGCTTACCCCATCACAACCTTATATACCTAGGGAATTCATGGTCTCAGGTTAAAATGGGACAGAAATGCTGCTTCTTTCAGGAAGACATCCTGGATTGATCTAGGAAGGTTAAAAACTTTCCCTAACCCCACTGCTCTGAGGGAGTAAACTCTCTCATTGGTCAGATAATTAAATTAATCATAATAACATTTGCTAAGACTGGGAGGACAAGGTAGGAGGATTGCTTGAGGGCAAGAGTTCGAGACCAGCCTGGTTACATAGAGAGACCCTGTCTCTACAAAAAAAAATAAAAAGAATTACCCGGGTGTGGTGGCACATGCCTGTAGTCCCAGCTACTCAGAGGCTGAGGCAGGAGGATCACTTGAGCCCGGGAGGTTGAGGCTGCAGTGAGCTGTGACTGCATCACTGCACTTCAGCCTGGACAACAGAGACAGAGAGAGAGAGAGAGAGAGAGAGAGAGAGAGAGAGAGAGAGAGCCTGTCTCAAAAAAAAGTAAAACAAACATTTTCTAAGGACATTCTATGTGCCAGATACTATGCTAAGACTTTTAACATTACCTTTTTGTTTTTTTTTTTAAAGATGGGGTCTTGCTGTGTTGCCCAGGCTGGAGTGCAGTGGTGCAATGACAGCTCACTACAGCCTCAAACTCCTGGGCTCAAGCGATCCTCCCGCTTCAGCCCCCTGAGCAGCTTGAATTACAGGTGTGTGCCACAGCACTCAGATTAACGTTATCTTTTTGAATCCTCACAATTTTATAAGTTAAATATTAATTTAACATCATCTTTATAGATAAGGAAACTGAGGCTCACAGAGGTAAAGTAACTTGCCCAAGCCACACGGCTTTCCTCCTAGTAAGTAGCAGGACTGTGCTCAAAATCTACGTTTTCCTTGGTTCAGTGGTCCAAGCTGTAGGTGACCTTGGACAAGTTACTTCACCTCTGAACTCAGTTTATCTGTAAAACAGAGACATTAATACCGACAGTTGTACAGACTGAATAAACCCAGTACACAGTAGGCTCCCAACTGCTGACTGCTGTCCCACACCTGATAAATTTGTTTGTTCTAAGTTGCTTAGGACAATCAGCCAGGCCACATCTGGCTCAACTCTGGGGACTTGAACCTGGGACCCAGGCTGTTCCAGCCACCCCTGCTCCTCTGCCCCTACTCTTTCCATCTCCTTAATAGCCATCATGTCCTGAGTGACTCAGAACACAGGGGCGGGGTGGGTGAAGGGGGCTGGGGAAAGTAGGGTGGTGAGTGAATAGGGGGATTGGGGGTGGTTGTGTACAGAGGCACAGTAGATAGACCTGGCTCTCGCTCCTGGGATCTATTTTGGATGGGGCCAGCCTCCAGGCTGCTGGAAGCTGGAGGTGGAGGTCAGTGCTGAGTTAACGGAGCGGCTCTTGGAGCCAGATTTAGTGGTTGAGTTCTGACCACAGAGGGTGGCTTAGCTGCGGGCACTGGGCCAAAGCCACTTCTGTGATTCCTGCCGTGGGGTTCTGGGTCTTTGTACAGGGCACCATGCTCCTTTCTACTGTCTTTACCACACCCTCCCCAGCCCAGTACAGAGCCTCTAACTTGAGATTCAAACAGATTTGGGATCAAGGCCTGGCTGTTCCACCTACTAACAGTATGACCTTGGTGTCCTGAGGGTTTTGATGATTAATTGGGGTGTCCAGATAGGGCTGTCTTCCCCCCACTTCCCCCAACACCACTGGGGCCCATGAGGCCAGGGCTAATTCTCCTGTCTTCATCCTACCTCTCAGGGTCCATTCCCCCGGCCTTGACCTGGCTGTTCCAGGGCCCCCAGGGCTCGCCTTGCATGGTGCTTCCAGAAACTCTGATCCTAAGTGGCCCCTGGCCTACCCAGGGCTGTGCCAGGGCCCAGCTCTGACAGAGGTGAGGGCCCAGTTCTGCTCAGCTGTAGCTCAAGTTTCCTGCTGGGCCTCGTTAAATGGGCTTATTAAGGAGCCTTTAGAGGGCCTCATTAAGGAGCCCTGGCTCCTAGTTTTTAACAGTTTGGAGATTTCTTTCCATCCATTTTCTATGCCTGTACCACATATTTGTTACATACGTTTATTTAGATACCCATGTATAATATTTTTTAGAAGAATAGGATCAGATTATATTTAATAGGCGTGTGTTTTTCTGTTTGTGCCTAACAATATATTGCTGACATCTTTTGATATTGGTATTCAATATGGAAAGCTCAATGTCCATTGTTTTAAAATTGGAGGAATATTTATGTATATATATAAGCATTTATTTTTCTGCATGGACATTTGGAATGCTTATTGGGGTATGCTTTTTGTTGTTGTTATTGTTTAGTAAACTTTTTCTTCAAGTATAATATACATTCAGAAAAGTACACATTGCAATCCCAGCACTTTGGGAGGCTGAGGTGGGTGGATCACTTGAGGTCAGGAGTTTGAGACCAGCCTGGCCAACATGGTGAAACCCCATCTCTACCAAGCAATACAAAAATGAGCCTGTAGGTCCAGCTACTCGGGAGGCTGAGGCGGGAGAATTGGTTGAACCTGGGAGGTGGAGGTTGCAGTGAGCCGAGATTGCGTCACTGCATTCCAGCCTGGGTGACAAGAGTGAAACCCTGTCTCAAAAAAACAAAATAAGTACACAATTCCTAAGTGTACAATTCAAGGCATTTTCACAGAGTGAGTATACCTGCATCACCCACACCCAGGTCAAGAAACAGGCCATCACCAGCACTCGCAGGGGCTCCATGCTTCCTTCTGGCCTCCTCAAGGATAACCACCATCCTGAATGCTGACAGCTCAGATTCGTTTTGCCTTTTTCAAAGTTTATATAAACAGAATTATACAGGATGTCCTCTTTTGCTTGACATTCTATTTATGAGCTTCCCTCATGTTGTTACGTGTGGCAAGATTTGTTTATTCTAATTCTGTATAATATTCCACTAGGTGACTATACGGCAATTTATTTATTTGTCCCATTGATGGACATTTGGGCTGTTTCCAAGGTTTTGCTACTGCAAACAAAATTGCAAAAACGTCCTGGTGTGTAAATAGCTCTCTATATCTGCATATCTGTATCTATCTATCTAATTATATCTTTCTGTTATCTTTCTAGTCTTTTGATAAGATAGAGTCCTCAGAATATAATTGCTGAGTCACATGTATGTATTGTTAACATTTTTCTTTGTCAGATTGCACTCTCCTGCTCCCCCAGGGCCAAGAGCAGTGCCAGTGCCCATGTCCCTACCCCTCACCGAGCTTGGATATTATTAATCTTTAATACTTTTGTCTATTGGATCAAAGAAAAATCAGATTTTATTGTGGTTTTAATGTGATATTTTTAAATTAGTGGGGATAAGCACTTTTTTTCGCTTTTGTTTTTGGGGACATTGACATTTATTCTTCTGTGAATTGCCATTTTATATCTTTTGCTTATTCTTAAAATTTTAACGTATTATGGATTTTGACATTTGGTCTTTTCATGTTTCTAGTGTTTTCCCCCCACCAGCTTTGTTTGTGAAGCAACTGCTGTTTTAAATATAGTTTGTTTTCCTCCTGCTCACTGTTTATGATCTGGATAGTCCCTGAGGGTGTGTGTGGCAAACCCCAGGTTCAAGCTGTGGGGGTGGGGAGCGGCAGGCCAGGTGGGGTGGGCAGCTGAGCCCCCAAGACTGTCTCCCAGGGGTATAAACAAAGGAACATCTGGGCCAGCACTGAATCCTTGGACTTGGAGTTTGCCCCAGAGGCTTCCCCCAGTCCTGTTTCCAAGTCTTCCCAGTGGCACGTAGGGCCTCACTGTCAGTGAAAAGAGCCTCTCACCCAGCAAACGGGCCAGGCGGGAATCAGGGGGCGCCAGGGCCTGTGTTTGTCCCGGAGAAAGAGGGAAAGGTTAAGAACAAGGGCTAAACAGTCAGCGCTCTGAAGTCAAATCCTGAACCCTCTGAGTGCAAAGCCTCATGAGTCTGCTAAAATCCCACAGCTTGGGTGGCTTAAACAACAGAAATTTACTTCTCACAGTTCTGGAGGCTGGCAAGTCCAAGATCTAGGTGATTTTATTCTGAGTTCTCTTCTCTTGCCTTGTAGGTAGCTACCCTCTTGCTATGTGTTCACATGGTCTTACCTTGGTGTGTATGCATAGAGAATGGGAGAGAGAGGCAACCGCCCAACAGGTTCACCTTGCCCACTGCCTAGGCAGAGACAATTTATCAAGACAGGGGAATTGCAATGGAGAAAGAATAATTCATGCAAAGTCGGCTGTGTGGGAGGCTGGAGTTTTATTGTTACTCATATCAGTCTCCCCAAGCATTCGGGGATCGGAGTTTTTAAAGATAATTTGGTGAGTAGGGGCTCCGGAAGTGGGGAGTGCTGATTGGTCAGGTTGGAGATGGAATCATAGAGGGGGTCAAAGTCAAGTTTTCTTGCTGTCCTCAGTTCCTGGATAAGATCGCAGAACTGGTTGAGTCAGATTACTGGCCTGGGTGGTGTCAGCTGATCCATCAAGTGCGGGATCTGCAAAATATCTTAAGCACTGATCTTAGGTTTTACAATAGTGATGTCCCCAGGAGCAATTTGGGGGAGGTTCAGACTTGGAGTCAGAGGCTGCATGACCCCTAAACCATAATTTCTAATCTTGTAGCTAATTTGTTAGTCCTACAAAAGCAGACTGGTCCCAACAGAAGAAGGGGGTCTTTTCAGGAAAGGGCTATTATCAATTTTGTTTCAGAGTCAAACTAAATTCCTCCCTAGGTTAGTTTGGCTTAAGCCCAGAAATGAACAAGGACTGCTTAAAGGTTAGAAACAAGACGGAGTTGGTTAGATCTGAAATCTTTCACTGTCATAGTTTCCTCAGTTATAATTTTTGCAAAGGCAGTTTCAGAGAGACATAGAGACAGCCACAGAAACAGAGAGAGAAGAAAGGAGAGCAAGCTTTCTTGTGTCTCTTTTCTTTTTTTTAAAGATGGGTCTCTCTCCGTGGCCCAGGCTGGAGAGCAGTGGTGTGATCATAGCTCACTGCAGCAGCCTTCAGCTCCTGGGCTCAAGAAATTCTCCCGCCTCAGCCTCCCAAGTAGCTGGGACTACAGGTGTGTGGCATTACACCCAGCTAATTTTTTTTTTTTTTTTTTTTTTGGTAGAGACAAGGTCTGTTCTATTGCCCAGGCTGGTCTTGAACTCCTGGGCTCAAGTGATCCTTCCACCTTGACCTCCCAAAGTGCTGGAATTACAGGTGTGAGCCACCGTGCCCATCTGCCCATCTGCTCAGCTGCCCAGCCTTATGTCTCTTCTTATAAGGGCACTAATCCCACTGGACCTACTTTCATGAACTCATCTAACCCTAATTACCTCCTAAAGGCCCCATCTTCAAATACCTTCACATTTGGGGTTAGGGCTTCCACATGTGAATTTTGGGGGAACACAAGTATTCAGTCCATCACAACACCCCAGTCCATTTCCTAGAAGTGTAACCTTAAGCAAGTCACCTAATCTCTGTGTGACTCAGTTTTCTCATCTGTAAAATGGGGATGGTAGTGGTATCAATGTCATGAATTAACACATGAATTAATACCTATAAAACACTTAGAACAGACTGTGATAGCCTCCAAGATACAGCTCAATAATTCTTGCCTCCTGGTAATCAGGTCCTGTGCAGTTGCCTCCCGTACTGTATCAGGGTTGGTCTGTGTGTCCAGTAGAATACAATGGAAATGATAGTGTGTGACTTCTGGGGCTAGGTCATAAAAGATAGTACCACTTTTGTCTTGCTCTTTTGGATCACTTGCCCTGGGGGAAGCCAGTGCCATGTTATAAGGATGCTCAAGCAGCCCTATGGAGAGGTATGTGTACTGAGGAACTGAGGCCTCCCACCAATTTGCCAACCATGAGTGTGCCATCTTGGTAGTGGATCCTCCAGCTCCAGTCAAGCATTCTGCTAAACTCAACTGCAGCCCCAGCCTATATATATATATATATATATATATATATATATATTTTTTTTTTTTTTTTTTTTTTTTTTTTTTTTTTTGAGACAGAGTCTCACTGTGTTGCCCAGGCTGGAGTGGCACTATCACAGCTTGCTGCAGTTTTGACCTCCTGGGCTCAAGCAATCCTCCTACCTTAGCCTCTTGAGTAGCTAGGACTACAGGCACGCAAAACCATGCCCAGGTAATTTTTTTTTTTTTTTGTAGAGACAAGGTCTCCTTGTGTTGCCCACGCAGGTCCCAAACTCTTGGATCAAGCAATCCTCCTGCCTCAGCCTCCCAAACTGTTGGGATTACAGGCGTGAGCCACCGCGCCCAGCCCCAGCCAACATCTTGACTACAACCTCCTTAGAGACCAGATCCAGAACCACCCAGCTTAGCTGCTCTTGAATTCCTGACCCATAGAAACTGTATGAGATAATAAATGTTTACTATTGTCTTAAGCTGCTACATTTTGGGATAATTTGTTATGCAACAACAGATGGTACGCAAGCCATGGGGTTACCCATACTAACTGTTCAGTAAATGCTAACCCGTGTTATTCCCAACTGTGATAATGTTAACAGCGTTTGTTAAGTGTCTGCCATGTGTCAAACGTGTGCTACGTGCCTGTGCAAATGGACTCCCACTTCTGTGCCATCAGTTTTCAGCAAGGCATAGAATGCTGGGGGAGGATAGTCACTAGGAACCCTTGACTCTCAGGATTAGAAATGCCCACAGACATCATTACTCTACCCAATTGTCATTTCATAGATGAGGAAACTCACACACACAGGTCACGTAACCTGCCCAAGATAAAAGAGCTGATATGTGAAGAAGTCAAAACTTGAACTCAGATCCATCCGTCCTGGGGCAGCCTCTTTGTTGCTCTGCACTCTTAGGTTCTTATAGTAAGGATTTATTGCATTTCACAGTTTATATGTTGCACAGTTTATAAAGCACTTTCAATACTTCATTTCAGGATCATCAGTGCAGAGCCCCCTCCTGACCCTACTTGCCTCCATTTGCCCTGGGGCAGTCCCTTTCTCTAAAGACCACCCACTCCCCAGAGCCTTTGTAGCTGTCCACAAGCATTATCTGGTCCTGGGGACAGTGGGAGGAGGCCTGTGTGGCTCCCAGCCCAGGCCATGAGTGAGTAGGTCCTGGGACATTCTGCTCCCCTTCTGTGGCATGCAGGCCAGGCCCAGTGGACTTTGCCCTGGCACTGAGGGCACTGCTTCATGTCCCAGACCCCATAGACCTGCCTCTGCCAACTGCTCCAGCTTTAGCCACTAGATCAAATGACCCATTGGTTTGATCCTGTGATTTGGGATGATTCTTCAATGAGGATGACATCAAAGCATGTGATACGGATCTTAAACCATAAGAAAAAAACAGTCCCTGTGCCACGCCTGTTCCACTTCCTGAGGGTGCTCCAAGCAGAGGCTTGAGGGGAAATGCAGAGCAAGGCAGGGCAGACCTCACACTCCTAGGGAGGAAATGAGGGAGAACAGGTACACACATGTGAAAAAGATCTGCTCCATGATGTACCAGGGAAGCACTTCCACAAGCCTGAACTATGTGGACATGAAAGGGGAGATGGACAGTTGTTTCCTCTCCAGCATCACCACCCCTTGGGCCTGTGTCATCACCGGAGCACTCCTCTGAGAACTTGGCCACTGGGGATGTGGAAGGACCATTCAGGATCATCTCCTGTAGATGCTCCATTTGGCAGATGAAGAAACTGAGGGTGGGTATGGTTTGCAGGGCATCACATTTCAGGTCTCCAACAGAGATGGAGATGGAACCCAGGTGTCTGGGCCCTAGGCCAGGGTTTTCTCCTCTGAACCAAGAGGCATCAAAAAAATCTCAGATCTCTGAAAAGTTCCCTTTCTAGAGACAATTAAAAAAAAAACAAAAACATAGGCTGGTAACGATGGCTCATGCCTGTAATCCCAGCACTTTGGGAGGCTGGGGCAGGCAGATCACCTGAGGTCAGGATTTAGAGACTGGCCAACATGGTGAAAACCCATCTCTACTAAAAATACAACAAATTAGCCAGGCGTGGTGGTGGGCACCTGTAATCTCATCTACTCGGGAGGCTGAGGCATGAGAATCGCTTGAACCCAGGAGGTGGAGGGTGCAGTGAGCTGAGATAGCGCCACTGCACTCCAGCCTGAGTGACAGACAGCAAGACTCTGTCTAAAAAAAGAAAAAGAAAAAGCATAGACTTTGAGGGTTAAACAGGCCTGTTGCAGCTTTGCCTACATGAGCTGTGGGTCTTGGGGCAACTCCATACCCTAAACTGTGCCTCATCTGTGAAATGAGGACAATAAGTATGACATGTATACTTGAAAATTGCTAAGAGAGTAGATTTTAAGTGTTCCCACCATGAAACAATAAGTATGTGAGGTCATGCATATGTTAAATAGCTTGATTTAGCCATTCCACAATATATACATATATCAAAACATCATGTGGTACACCATAAATATATGCAATTTTTACTTGTCGATTAAAAAAATTTAAGGATAACCTATTTATAGTTGTTGTGAGGACTGAATAAAATAGTGCCTCAAAACTCTTTGTAGATGCCCAGCCACTTGCAAGCACTGAAATCAATAAAACACAGCATTATAATTGCTATTACCCTCTACCTCCCCTTTTTCCTTGCCAGGCCTAGACCATTCTCCCTGATGCCTTGCCTGTCTTCTACCCAGCTGGGACCCTCTTGGGCACTACAGCTTCCTACACTCATGACACAGACTTTGGGAGCAATTCTAAATGACAGGTCTGTTGCTTAGCTGGGTGACTTTCTACAAGTCACTTAAGCTTCAGTGCCTGATATATAAAAATGAGAATCATAATACCCAGAATAATTCTCTGATAAATCAATGGCACAGAAGAATGAGAGGGATGACAGTTGTTACAGTTTAAAAGAGATCCATGAGACAAAAACAACAGAGGTCTCAGCCTGAGTAACGGAGTGAGACCCTGTCTCAGAAAAAAAAAAACTTTAATTATTGTTTGTTAACATAATGGCATGGTGATTATGTAACAAAAATCCTTATCTATGAGAAATGCATATTGGAGTATTTATGGGTGAAATGACTTAATGTCTAACATTTTCTTTAAAATATTTTAGAAAAGGCTGGGCACGGAGGCTGAGGCAGAGAATTGCTTGAACCCAGGAGGTGGAGGTTGCAGTGAGCCAAGATTGCACCACTTCAGCCAGCCTGGACAACAGAGTGAGACTCCTTCTGAGAAAAGAAAAGAAAAGAAAAAATAAGAAAAGAAAAGAGGCTGGGTGCAGTGGTTCACGCCTGTAATCCCAGCACTTTGGGAAACCAAAGTGGGAGGATCACCTGAGGTCAAGAGTTTGAGACCAGCCTGGCCAACATAGTGAAACCTTGTCTCTACTAAAAGTAAAAACAAAATTAGCTGGGCGTGATGGCGAGTGCCTGTAATCCCAGTTACTCGGGAGGCTGAGGCAGAAGAATCGCTTGAACCTGGGAGGTGGAGGTTGCAGTGAGCCAAGATCACGCCACTGCACTCCAGGCTGGACAATAGAGTGAGACTTTGTTTCAAAAAAAAAAATTTAGACAAAAGAAGCGTGGGCCAGGCACGGTAGCTCACGTCTGTAATCCCAGTAGCTTGGGAGGCTGAGGTGGGCTGATCACTTGAGGTCAGGAGTTCGAGACCAGCCTGGCCAACATGGTGAAACCCCGTCTCTACTAAAAATACAAAAATTAGCCGGGTATTGTGGCATGCGCCTGTAATCCCAGCTACTCGGGAGGCTGAGGCAGGAGAATTGCTTGAACCCGGGAGGCAGAGGTTGCAGTGAGCCAAGATCGCACCAATGCACCCCAGCTTGCGCAACAAGAGCGAAACTCCGTCTCAAAAAAAAAAGAAAGAAAAGATAAAAGAAGTGTATGGGAATATTGGGGCAATGATTAACGAGTTAAGCTGGGTTTGATTACGTGAGCCCATTATACTGTTCTCTCTAGTTTTGTGTGTTTGAAACTTTCATTCATAAGGAATAAAAATAAATGAAGTGACTTGCAGAGAGGGAGGCAGTAAATATAGTGGTTAAGAGCTCTGGGTCCAGACACCCACTGGTGTTCCGTAATTGTCTCTTCATCTGCCAGTACTATAGTGTTACGGTATGTTCTCATAACTGTAATGATGCTGGTTTATAACTTCCTGATTCTGATGCTGGCTCTGCTACCCACTGCTGGGGGACTTTGTCTGTGTGACTTATCCTCACTGAGCCTCTGAAGCTCACCTGCAAAACAGGGAAAATTATGATCCCTGCTGTACCAAGTTATTTGGAGGACTGAACGGGAGGATGGATGGAAAGGACTTAGCACAATGCCTGAACATAATAAGCGCTCAGTAAATCCTCCAGTGAGGGGAGCACAGGTTGAAGAATCAGGCTGCCGTGGATATGAACCCCAGCTCGGCTCTGCCACTTGTGGCTGTGTGACTCTGGCCAAGCCAATTAACTCTCTGAGCCTCATTTCCTCCTGGGAAAAAACCCGAAGATCATAAAACCTCCCCTGCAGGACTATGGTGAGGATTAAATGACATGTTTTGATGTCCAGCACAGCCCACGTGGGAATTTCCCTTCCTCACCCCTTGACTTTCAGCAGCACTGGCCTTGCCAGCGCCCCGGCTGGAATCGATCCCACTGTCCATTTGTTTGGCATCTGCACCTGGACTGCCAAGTGCGGCTGGAGAAAGTCAACAGGGCCATGTGAATGGCTCCTCACAAATGACACATCAGTACTGGGAAACATCAGCAAGGCTCTTCTGCCCCTAGACAATCCTTCCATTTCTCTCCAGGGCACTTCCTGTTGTGTTCCACACTGGCCAGTCCAAATCTTTTTCACCACTGATTCCTAAGCCTCAGAAGTTGACCTCAATGCTCTCTTGATCAAGGTCATCAAATATGAACACCTTTCTCTCCACCTCCCAACACCTCCATCCATTCCTCTCCTTCCATCCTTCCAACTCAAAGGTTGGAGCGTCCCTCTCTTTCCCAAGGCTTTAGAATTTACTCCATCATCCCCAAAACCCCATCTCCAGTACTTTTTTTCCATTGGCTGCACCAACTCAGCCAAAAAAAAAAACAACAACAAAAAAAAAAAAACTGCTGGGCGCAGTGGCTCACGCCTGTAATCCCAGCACTTTGGGAGGCCGAGGCGGGCAGATCACGAGGTTAGGAGATCGAGACCATCCTGGCCCACATGATGAAACCCCGTCTCTACTAAAAATACAAAAATTAGCTGGGCATGGTGGTGGGTGCCTGTAATCCCAGCTACTCGGGAAGCTGAGGCAGGAGAATGGCTCGAACCCGGGAGGCAGAGGTTGCAGTGAGCCAAGTTCACACCACTGCACTCCAGCCTGGTGAAGAGCGAGACTCTGTCTCAAAAAAAAAAAAAAAACTTGCTCAAGTATCTGAACCTTCTCCAAGTCTGACAGTGATGCAGCTGCTCCTTTATATTTAACCCACTCATTCACTTGTCCACTCATTTCAGAATCTTTGTTTTTTTTGAGACAGGGTCTCACTCTGTCACCCAGGCTGGAGTGCAGTGGTGTGATCACAGCATGCTGCAGCCTCAACCTCCCAGGCTCAAGCAATCCTCCCACCTCAGTCTACTGAGTAGTTGGGACTACAGATGGGCAACACTACGACCAGCTAATTTTTAATTTTTTGTAGAGATAGTATCTCACTATGTTGCCCAGGCTGGTCTCACACTAACTCCTGGGCTCAAGTGATCCTTCCACCTTGACCTCCCAAAGTGCTGGGATTATAGGTGTGAGCTACCGCGCCCAGCCAAGAAACATTTGTTGAGTGCCTACTAGGTACCAGGCATTGGGGGTACAGAGATGAATAGAGACCATCTTTGCCCTCAATGTCTTCAAAGTCCAGAGAGAGAGTCGGACTCACAAGCAGACGATGGTAATACGGCAAGTGAGATGCAAAGATGGGCCATGCCTGACACAGAGATTAAGTAGGCATGTGATGAGAAGAAGAGGGAGCCCTAAGATGACTCTCAGCTTCCTGGTTGGTGCAAATGGGTGGACAGTAGTGCTGTTCACTAAGATGCGAGACAAGAAAAATGGAGGGAGGAGCTAGGTATCGGGGAAGATGGTGTATTCTGGCTGGAGTATGATGAATTTGAGATACTATTAGAACATCCCAGTAGAAATCTCCAACAAATCTTTAGCTTAGGGGAGAGAGGAGAAGTCGGAACTGGAATTAGAGAGTTGAGAATCATCAGCATATGGGAGTCGGAATCATGCAGGTTTATGAGGTGCTTACTGCTTCAAGTAACAGAGTAATTACACTATAATGGCATTTGTAATCTCACGTCTTAAGTAGTCAAGAGACAGGCAGCTCTAGGGTTGGATAAATTGGCAACAAAATGATGGCATCTCTAACCCAGGTGCCTCCTATGGTTCCTCTATGCTATCCTCAGGGTGTTGACATCATCCTCAGCCTTGTCCCCTTGTGGTTGCAAGATAGCTGCTCTACCCTCTCACAGCCCCATTCAAAGGTATGGACAAAGCTTTCTTCTTGCACATTCATTTTTATTGTGGAGGAAATCCTTTATCTTTAGCCAACAGACATATCCTTGGGTCTCATTGACCATAACTGCATCATTAGGCAAAAGAGAATGGGGTTGTATGATAGGCTTAAACTGTGTGTGACTCATCTCCTGAGGCAGTGGAGAGGGCCATCTTCCTGGAGCACAATGCTGCCAATGCCTGAACTAAACTGAGGTCCCATGAGCAAGGAAGAAGAAGTGGCCTTTTTTCAGTCAGTGTTGACTTGACCTAAACACAGTTCAATAGAGTCTACATGAGGAGCTTGGGTTCCTAAGTCAAGCATATTTGGGTTCATGTCCTAGAGCCACCTCGTGCTATCGGTGGGACCTCATACAAGTTATTTTACCTGTGTGCCTGAGTTTCCTCACTTGTGGAATGGGGATATTATGGGTCTTTTGTTATTGGCTATTGAGATGGTAAAATGAAATAATGCATACAAAGCATTTAGCACAATGCATAGCACATAGTAAGTGCTCAGCAAAACCTAAGTGCTCAGCAAAATTTTGGGGGGACAACTCTCTCCTCGAAATCCTCCAGCCCTTTGTTTTTAAGGCCTCTTCTTTTTTCTGTAACTTGTCCCTCTTCTTCTCCCATTTCCTCTCTTCCAAGGTTTGCTTCTCTGCTCTATGTCTTGTCTCATTGCTCCCATCATTCCTCTTTCCTGAAATCCTTCATACTCCTCCTGAGTATTCCACAGCCTCTTAGGCTCATCTTGGGCCCTGATACCACTGCTCCATATCTCTGCCCCATCGCCTTGGACCAGATGACCCCACAGTCCTTTCATTAGATGCTACCTTAAAAACAGCTACTGGAGGCCAGGTACAGTGGCTCACGCCTGTAATCCCAGCACTTTGGGAGGTCGAGGCAGGTGGATTGCCTGAGGTCAGGAGTTCGAGACCAGCCTGGCTAACATGGTGAAAACCTGTCTCTATTAAAAATACAAAAATTAGTCGGGTGTCATGACACATGCCTGTAGTCCCAGCTACTCAGGAGGCTGAGGCAGGAGATTCACTTCAACCTGGGAGGCGGAGGTTGCAGTGAGCTGAGATGGCGCCACTGCACTCCAGCCTCTGGGCAACACAGTGAAACTACATCTCGGGAAAAAAAAAAAAAAAAACCAGCCACTGGAACTGCTCTAATGACTTCTACTTGCCAACGTGGAAGATGTCCTAAAATACATGGAGAAAAGTTAAAATGTGTGCAGCGAGCTGAGGGACGCCTTCTAAGTGTCCAGGCAGGGCTTTGTGGCACCGCATGAGGGGTTTCCCTTTCTTTCTTTCTTTTTTCTTTTTCTTTTTTTTTTTTTTTTGGAGACAGAGTCTCACTCTATCACCGGGCTGGAGTGCGGTGGTGCAATCTCGACTCACCGCAACCTCCTCTTCCTGGGTTCAAACGATTCTCCTGCCTCAGCCTACTGAGTAGCTGGGATTATAGGCACCTGCCATCATACCCAGCTAATTTTTGTATTTTTAGTAGAGACAGGGTTTCACCATGTTGGCCAGGATGGTCTCCATCTCCTGACCTCGTGGTCTGCCCACCTCGACCTCCTAAAGTGCTGGGTTTACAGGCGTGAGTCACTGTGCCCTCTGGGTTTTTCCTTTCTATCTCCCTTCCTGGGCTGTGAGTTTCTTGGGGCAGGGAAACAGATCACTCATCCATCTGTCACGTTGTGATGTATACTAGTTACCTGATGTATACTAGTACTCAGAAAAATGTCTGATGAATGAATAAAATTTCTGTCTTTGCCACTTATTTTCTTTCTTTTTTGTTTTGTTTTGTTTTGTTTGGAGATGGCGTTTCACTCTTGTCACCCAGGCTGGAGTGCAGTGGCGCGATCTCAGCTCACTGCAACCTCCACCTCCTGGGTTCAAGTGATTCTCCTGCTTCAGCCTCCTGAGTAGCTGGGATTACAGGCGCGTACCACCACACCCAGCTAAGTTTTGTGTTTTTAGTAGAGACAGGGTTTTACCATGTTGGCCAGGCTAGTCTCGAACTCCTGACCTCAAGTGATCCACCTGCCTCAGCCTTCCAAAGTGCTGGGATTACAGGTGTGAGACACCACGCCCGGCTGCCACTTACTTTCCAACTGACTTTGAATATAATCCTTTTCTTCTCTAGTCCCATTTCAAAATCTGTAAGATGAGGGGACTGGACTGTGTTTCAAAGGAGGCTTTTCAGCACTAAGTGAAATAAGTGGCCGAGGGATGGAGGATGGGCTGGTTGGAGTGGGGGTCTCCATCATCTCCAGCAAAATGCTGTGCTGAAGTCTGAGGCAGAGGGATGGGCTCAGAGAGAGGGGCTGCCCGACCCTTCCATCTAGGAGCTGCCCAGGACTCCAGAGGAGGGGATGGAATTGATTTAGGTCAGTGAGGGGTTGCGTGGGGCTGGGAGGGGGTTGAGGTTGGGAGGCTGAAGGAGGAGACTCCCTTCAACCTGGGAGGTGGAGGTTGCAGTGAGCAGAGATCGTGCCACTGCACAATCCTTTCTATCTCCCTTCCTGGGCTGTGAGTTTCTCGGGGCAGGGAAACAGATCACTCATCCATCTGTCACGTTGTGATGTATACTAGTTGCCTGATGTATATACTAGTACTCAGAAAAATGTCTGATGAATGAATAAAATTCATTCATCGAACATTTTCATCATAGCATTGGCTATTAACCCCTTGAATCCCCGTGGCTCACTTGCTGGGTCCCATCCCTGACCCACTAGCCTGGTGCCGGGGGGAGACCAATTTCTGGAGGAAGCTCTGGGTACCCAGTCTTGCCCTAAGCCTGCCTCTGAACAGGCTGTTCTTGTTTATGACCCCCGTCCCAGCAGAATAGTGATTGCTCATCCCTGCATGTGATTTGAGAGGGCCAGTCTTTCAGGCCTGGAGGAAACTCAAGCCCCACCAGCCGCTTGGCATCGGAATGCTCAGCTGGTCCCCTCCTGGGGCTCATGTGACCAAGATCTAGCTATAAATATCAGAGGGGCCTCAGACCAAGACAGAATTCGGGCACCAGGAGAAGGAAGCCAACAGGATCCGACCCGGTGTTTTGTGACAAAGGCAAGACCCCCAGGTCTACTTAGAGCAAAGTTAGTAGAGGAGGCAGCTAGGCGTGGCTCTCATTCCTTCCCACAGAATGGATTATAAGTCGAGCCTGATCCAGGATGGGAATCCCATGGAGAACTTGGAGAAGCAGCTGATCTGCCCTATCTGCCTGGAGATGTTTACCAAGCCAGTGGTCATCTTGCCGTGCCAGCACAACCTGTGCCGGAAGTGTGCCAATGACATCTTCCAGGTAAGTGCCGGGTGCAGCTTCATTTGGGGTCCCCAGGTGGCTACTTGGCTTCCCTGTGATGAAACCCTTCTCCCTTAGACTTCCAACCTGGACAGCCTCTTTCCCCTTGGAAGTGAACCCCTGCAGAGGCCTCTGGACAGGGCTGAGAGGGGGCTGGGAGGCGGCTCTGGCTGCTGCGGTTCTTCTCCATAACACAAGTTTCCCCTCCCTGCCCTGCCCACAGCTCCCCCACCCCTGCCCTGAGCACTGCTGTTGACTCTCCAATCAAGAGTCAAATGCCTCAAGTGATAAGCGGGGTAGGCAGGGACAGGAGAGAGAAACCAGACCCCTGGGGCTGGAGCCAGGTCCTGGTGGCAAGAGGCCCAGAGCTTTGGGAGGAGGGTGTCAGGGAGGCAGTGGGCAGTAGAGGCATCTTCCCTTTTGAGGCTGTTCCCTATGATATGGGGGCAGAAGGGGCTCCAACTCCCCGAGAAAGGAAGGGGGTAGATGTCCTGGCTGGGAGGCAGGATGCGAGGTTCCCCATGGACACTTTACAAAATGTTCTTTCACGATATTATCTTTAAAGTAGCAGCCTTAGGAGCTTGCTCTCATTGTAATACCTATTTCATAAGTGGGCAAACTGAGGCCTACACAGATAAGGTTGCTTGCCCAAAATCACTCAGAGAATAAACATGACTTGAACCCAGGTCTCCTGCCTCCCCATCCTGACGATTGCTTAGCTGCTTCTCAGGTGCTCTGTGTGTGAGGACTGGTTCTCATCACAGTCTGCAGAGCTCCAGGTTGTTAGGTTTGACGGGGGTGGTTCGGATAGGCAGAGGAAAGGATAAGAGGAGATTAGAAAAGAGAAGGGCTAAGTAGGGAGCCCAGGCCTCACCTTGACCTTTGCCACCTGCAGGCTGCAAATCCCTACTGGACCAGCCGGGGCAGCTCAGTGTCCATGTCTGGAGGCCGTTTCCGCTGCCCCACCTGCCGCCACGAGGTGATCATGGATCGTCACGGAGTGTACGGCCTGCAGAGGAACCTGCTGGTGGAGAACATCATCGACATCTACAAACAGGAGTGCTCCAGGTCGGTTCTCGTGCCTGCTGGGGGCCCGCCCTCCTTCCCAGCCATGCTGTGCCTAGATCCCCCACGCTCCTTCCCCCTCCTTCATCTGCTCAGGATCCAGGCCTCTAGCTGGACTAGCTACACAAGCCATTCAGAGACAGGACTGGAGACCCATACACCCCAACCCAGCTCTCAGGATTGCTCAGCGGATGGGAAGGGGCCCAGACATTAGGCTGCCCTTCCAGGCAATACCAAGACAGAGACTGGGGGAAAGATGAGATGTGAGAGGGAGAGAAAGGCCCTGGGGCCAGCTAAGTGGCTCTGGTCAGCAGAGAAAATGCCCGGTGAGAAACAGCCAGGTTGTCTATAAGGATAGCAACAGCTACTCTCCCGTGTGCCATGAGGAACAGCGTCAGGCACTGGGAATGCTTCATCTAAGTACCTCCCAATAACTCTGTGAATCAGGCATGACTTTATTATCCTCATTTCACAGATGAGGAAACTGAGGCTCAAGAAGTGAAATCAATTAGCTAAGGTTTCCCAGCTGGGAAGTGAAAGAGCTGGGAGTTGACCCAGTCAATCTAGCTCTGAGTCTTCCTGCTAATAAAATAGCAGCTCATTCATAGGCAGAATGTGTGAGTGGTGGAGGTTGTGAAGGGTTGGCCTCAAACTGGGGAGAGAGGGCCAGGCATGGTGGCTCATGCCCATAATCCCAACACTCTGGGAGGCCAAGGTGGGATGATTGTTTGAGGCCAGGAGTTCAAGACAAGTCAGGGCAACATAGTGAGACCCTGTTTCTACAAAGTTTAAAAACTAGCTGGGCGTGGTGGGGCATGCCTGTAGTCCCAGCTCTTCAGGAGAATTGTTGAGCCAGGGAGGTCAAGGCTGCAGAGCCATGATTGTGCTACTGCACTCCAGCCTGGGTGACAGTGAGACCATGCCTCAAACAGACAAAAACACTGAGAGGCCGGGTGCGGTGGCCCACACCTGTAATCCCAGCACTTTGGGAGGCCAAGGTGTGTGGATCATTCGAGGTCAGGAGTTGGAGACCAGACTGGCCAACATGGTGAAACCCCGTCTCTACTAAAAATACAAAAATTAGCCAGGCGTGGTGGCGCGTGCCTGTCATCCCAGCTACTTAGGAGGCTGAGGCAGGAGAATTGCTTGAACAAGGGAGGCGGAGGTTGTAGTGAGCAGAGATCGTGCCACTGCACTCCAGCCTGGGTGACAGAGTGAGACTCCATCTAAACACACACACACACACACACACAACACAACACAACACAAAAATTTGGGAGAGACACAGCTCCAGGAAAGATCTTTACAAATCAGGACATCCTGGTAAGACTCCAGGAGTGCTGACCTCACAGCCTTTAAGGTCCAAAGCCTTCACCAAGGCATCTGCCTGCAGGCAGTGCCCAGCCCAGGGGAAGGTGACAGACCAGATCTCAGGTGAAAAAACCCTGACCCGGGGAACTGTGCTTGCTAGTCAGCCTCTGTGACTAATGTACTGTACCATGCTGGGTAAGCCTTTAGAGCTTCATTTCCTCTGTCTGCAAACAGAAACAGTAAGATCTGTTATTGTGGCTGTCAAATAAGATATTAATGGAAAATGGTTAATGTATCAACCATTTATTGGGTACCTATTGTGTGCAGGCGCTGTTCTAAGTACTTTCAGGCATTTTTCCTATCTGCTTCTCATAGTAACCCGGGAAGGCATTCCTGTCTCCATTTTACCATGAGGAAATGGAAGCTCAGAGAGGATCAGAGATTTGTCCAAGCCCACACAGCTAGCAAGTGGTAGAGCTAAGAGAGAGAGGGTGTGAGAATATTTTTTATTTTTTTAATTTTTTTTTTTGAGGCAGAGTCTTGGTCTGTTGCCCAGGCTAGAGGGCAGTGGTACGATCTTGGCTCACTGCAACCTCCACCTCCTCGGTTCAAGTGATTCCCCAGCCTCAGCTTCCCGAGTAGCAGGGACTACAGATGCGTGCCAACGTGCCCAGCTAATTATTATATTTTTAGTAGAGACAGGGTTTCACCATGTTGGCCAGGCTGGTCTCAAACTCCTGACCTCAGGTGATCTGCCCGCCTCAGCCTCCCAAAGTGCTGGGATTACAGACGTGCACCACCACACCCAGCTAATTTTTGTATTTTTTGTAGAGACAGGGTTTCACCACGTTGGCCGGGCTGGTCTTGAACTTCTGACCTCAGGTAATGCGCCCGCCTTGGCCTCCCAAAGTTCTGGCATTACAGGCGTGGGCCACCGCGCCTGGCCGGCCGGTGAATATTCTTAATTGCTGAGCTAGATTGCCTCTCATGTTGCTAGAGCACAACACTACAAAATGCAAACATATTGTTGATCATAAGGAATAATAAAATCAATTCCACACCAATGTTAGCCTACCCAGTGCCGACCTATGAAGAGCATGTTATATGTGAACCTTTGAGGCCTTTCCGCATAGTTGAATGACAATGACAGCTGCCCTCTATTGAGGGTCTGCTCTGTGCCGGGCACTCTACATTCATTATAGACAATTTCTACAGACAGATTGCAGTAGTTCTGGGAGGAATCCCACAGGCAAGAGAGGTGAAATCACTAGTCCAAAATCACAAAAATGAATGTAAGAGAACAATCTGGATATGAACCCCGATGCCAAAGTCTGAGCTTGGGAGGGTGGGCATCTGGGAGGGCTGCGGGCGCATGAACCAGACCCTCAGGCTCTTGCCTCACCTCTGCACTCCCTGCCATCCCTTTATCAGGGGATGGAGGCAGGTGGCAATGGCAGACCCCTGCCAGCATAGGGACCCTGGGGTAAACTATGCAAAAAGACAAGCCTGGAAAGGGGCATATTTAAGAACTTCAGAGGACAATAGAGCCCAGGGTGTGATCAGTCATGTAAGGCTGTTTGGAGGTGAGGCATTGACACTGATGGGAACAGTCACCATTTGACATTTGCAAGATGCCTGTTCTGTTTGGGGCTGGGAATCGAAGGTAGTGTTGGCTTTCAATGAGTGTATAGTCTAGCCGGAGACAGAAGACTCAAAAAATCGAATCTACACCAGGCATGGTGGTATGCACCAGTTGCAGCTACTGGGGAGACTGAGGTAGGAGGATTGCTCAGCCCAGGAGTTCGAGGCTGCAGTGTATCTGTGAATCGCTGCTGCACTCCAGCCTGGACAATATGGTGAGACCCTGTCTCAAAACAAACAAACAAACAAACAAACAAACAAAGGCTGGGTGCTGTGGATCACGCCTGTAATCCCAGCACTTTGGGAGGCTGAGGTGGGTGGATCACATGAGGCCAGGAGTTTGAGACCAGCCTGCCCAACATGGTGAAACCCCATCTCTACTAAAAAATACAAAAATTAGCTGGGCATGGTGGTGCACGTCTGTAATCTCAGCTACTCAGGAGGCTGAGGCATCAGAAACTCAGGAGGTGGAGTTTGCAGTGAGCTAAGATCACACCACTGCACTCCAGCCTGGGCAAAAAATCAAAACAGAACAACACAACAACAAAAAAATCCCCCCCAGGCCCCAATGAATCTAGGTTAGGAAATGACTGATGTCCCAAGAGAAGCACAAATAACAGGTTGGAGGTCTCAAGGAAGAAAGGTAGTTCTAAGCATATGTGTTAGGGGAGAAAGTAGAGGAAGAGACTTGGGCCTTTGAAAGAATCTCTGGACTAGAAGTCAGGCTTGTGCTGGGCTGTTGGACAGCCCTGGGCTACCCACTCACCAGTCACCATGACATGGGGCATACACACTGCTCCTTCTCTGAGCCTCAGGGGCAACCTCATGGCTCAGAGAGGGTCAGAGGTTTATCCAAGGCCATACAGCTAGAAAGTGGTGAAGCTAAGAGAAAGAGAGAGGGTATGACTGACTCTGTGGTGAATATTCTTTTTTAAAAAAATTGTTTTCTTATGGAGAATGTTAATAAATTCAAGATGGTGAATATTATTGATTCCTATGCTAGTTATTAATTTATTCTTTCTTTCTTTCTTTCTTTTTTTTTTTTTTTGAGACGGAGTTTTGCTCTTGTTGCCCAGGCTGGAGTGCAATGGTGCGATCTCGGCTCACCGCAACCTCTGCCTCCTGGTTTCAAGTGATTCTCCTGCCTCAGCCTCCCGAGTAGCTGGGATTACAGGTGCATGCCACCATGCCTGGTTAATTTTTTTGAGTTTTTAGTAGAGACGGGGTTTCATCATATTGGTCAAGCTGGTCTTGAACTCCTGACCTCAGGTGACTCTCCCACCTCGGCCTCCCAAAGTGCTGGGATTACAGGCGTGAGCCACTGCGCCCAGCCTTATTGATTTATTCTTTCTACCTTTGTTTAATTACCACCTCCTCTATGCCAGGCACTGTACAGTGTAGGCACAGGGGTGAAGAAAACAGGCAAGTTTCCCTACCTTGATGGAGGTTACAGTCTGGTAGATTAAATATAGAATTAAATGAGGCCATCAGTATAAATTTCTCAGCTCAGAGCCCAGCCTGCAGTAACCAAAGCTAAGGTGACTATAATTAGAGCAACTGAACTCTAGGCTCCTCTGCCCTTACTTGCTGTATGACCTTGGACGAGTCAATTCACTTTTCTGGAGCCCAGTTTCCTCTTCTCTAAAACATCTCCAGGTCTGACTCTGGAATTCTATGGCCCTTTCTGTGTCCTTGGCACTGGCAGAGCCTCAGGCTAACTCCCTCTTAGGATGTGGGGACAGATTTGGTGTCATTGGCTTCCCAAGTCCTTGGTCCCCAGAAGATGAAAGATTTTAGGGCAGCCAAACACTGAGGGCCCAGGGCATAAATCTGGAGATTCACAGACACACTGCAGCCTCGAATTCCTGGGCTGAGCAATCCTCCTGCCTCAGCCTCCCCAGTAGCTGCGACTGGTGCATTGGAGCTGGGGAGGGGGATGCAGGGACACAGGACCCCCATGACTTGTGACTGTTCTCCACTGCAGTCGGCCGCTGCAGAAGGGCAGTCACCCCATGTGCAAGGAGCACGAAGATGAGAAAATCAACATCTACTGTCTCACGTGTGAGGTGCCCACCTGCTCCATGTGCAAGGTGTTTGGGATCCACAAGGCCTGCGAGGTGGCCCCATTGCAGAGTGTCTTCCAGGGACAAAAGGTACTGTCTCCAGCCACTTTTACCCCCAGCCTGGGCCTGCTGGGCACGGCCTGATGATTCAGGAGGCAGATTTGATCCCTGTAGATCTGCTGATCTGGCCTTTCAGGAATAGTCTCTCTGGAGGGACTTCCCAGGCCACAGGGACAGCAGCCCTGGCCTTCCTAGGGGAGGCAGCTGAGCTCATGGTTATACTTAGAGCCACTCGAGAGCACCTGGGTGTGGCCACAGGGGAGCGGTCAGACGCCCCAGCCAGGCCACTGGGGTCCTCTCAGGCCACGGCTTCTCCATCCCCCAGACACCTCTTCCTGTGCCTCTCACCTCTTCTCCAAGACTTCACATTCCCCCACAGCAGGAGGCAGCTTAGAGCCTTCTCCCTGGGTCCCTGGGCCTGTGAGGGCCCACCACCCTGTCCGTGCAGTAAGCCGTAGCCACCCCCTTTCCATACTCTCTCTTCCCTACTCCCCACTCTTCTCTAGGTCTCTCTCTTCTAGACGTCTCCAACTCTATTTCTTTTTTTGTCCCTTCTTTCTTAGAAACAAGCCCCTCCTCTGTCAGTTCCTTGCTGTGTGTTTTGGGCAGCTCACTTGCCTGCTGTTGGCCTCACCTGTAAAATAAGGGATGCAGTATCTTTCTAATATCCTCTACTCTGGAGCTGAGCTATACCCGAAAGAGGGGCCAGATCCCTACTGGAGGCTCTTTCTAGCAGAGAGGGGAGGGAGGAAGCCATGTTGCTGCCATGCCCCAGTGGGTAGGCCCTGAGGCTATTTGTGTCTCTCCTCTCCTGACCCCCACACCCCCATCTAGACTGAACTGAATAACTGTATCTCCATGCTGGTGGCGGGGAATGACCGTGTGCAGACCATCATCACTCAGCTGGAGGATTCCCGTCGAGTGACCAAGGTGAGCGGACAGAATAGTCCTGCCTGGGGATTTGGAGCTTTCCAGGGCAGCCTGGTCTCTGGGGAAGGCTCACCCATAGGTTGTGGCTAAAGGTTGGGGCCCGGAGCCTGGGGCGGTCAAGCAGGGATGGCAGGGGAGGGACTAATCCATTCATCCAGTCTCTCAACAAATGCTTCTTAAGCACAGCTGTGTGTCCGGCCCCACCCAAGATGTGGGGGATGGAGGAGTGAACCAGACAGACGTGGTCCCTGAGCTCAGGGAGTGTCCCATCAATAATTCTCAGTATTTATTCAGCACAAATTGTTTTCAGAGCACAGTTCTTCAGTGTGCTGTAGACCAACACTTCCCAAACTTTGAAGTGCGTGAAAATTACGCTGGGATCATGTTGAAATTCAGGTTTTGATTCAGTTGGTTTGGAATGAGGCATAAGAGCTGCATTTCTAGCCAGTTCCCAGGATTTGCCCAAGCTGCTGGGTCCACAGACCACATGTTGAGTAGTGAGACTGTTGAGGGCAGAAGGGAACTTTTCTATCCCTGAAAAAAGCTTCCACGATTTTCCATGTTCACTTGGGGTAGGGATCTGGAGATGAGATGAGGGGAAGGGGTCATCATAATTGCTAGTGGATGAAGAGTTGGGCGAAGGGTAGGAAGGAGGGGAACATTGTGATCACCCACGAGAGGCTCCCGGTCTGATGAGATGCTATTGTCACACCCATTTTATAGAAAAGAACATAGAGAGAAGGGAGCTTCGGTTGAGGAGGGTGCTAGGAAAGGAGCTGTTTTTCCACCTCTCCTAGGACCAAATGATGCAGAGCTTCCCGAATCCAGTCTTGGTCCTGAAAGGGAGGGAAGAGTGTGAACTGGGACATATGGGAGGCCCAGGAAACGTTAATTTGTTGAAGGTCACACAGCTAAAAGGGAAACACAGCTAAAAGGCAACAGAGAGCTGGGCACAGTGGCTCATGCCTATAATCCCAGCACTTTGGGAGGTCAAGCTGGGTGGATCATGAGGTCAGGAGATCGAGACCATCCTGGCCAACATGGTGAAACCCCATCTCTACTAAAAATACAAAAAAATAGCCAGGCGTGGTAGCGTATCTATAATCCCAGCTACTCGGGAGGCTGAGGCAGGAGAATCGCTTGAACCTGGGAGGTGGAGGTTGCAGTGAGCCAAGATCGCACCACTGCACTCCAGCGGGGGCAACAGAGCGAGACTCCATCTCAAAAAAAAAAAAAAAAAAAGGGCAACAGAGAAAGACAGGGCAGATCCCACATTGGGTGACTGTTGCATTGGTCTAAGAGGTGATGCTCCAATGACCAGCTGAGGTTGGGGGACAGGGGGAGGGTGCAGGAACAAGGAAGAACATGTTGTGTCATGTGACCCTAGAGCCTCTATTTTGGAAGAAGGGGCTAGCTGTTTTTCAAGGCATCATCCTCCAAATATCACTGGCGTACTAAATAGCTGTGAGGCCAGATGAGTGTTTTCTTCTTGTTAAGTCTTTGTTTCTTCTTCTGTAGTGTGGGGATGTATGTAGTGAGATCTCTTCTAGCTTTAGATTCCTTGCTACTGTCCTAGGAAGGCAGTGTAGTGGGCAGGGAATAAAGACCCTACAGAACGTGACCACAAGACTTCCGTCCTCAGGAGAACAGTCACCAGGTAAAGGAAGAGCTGAGCCAGAAGTTTGACACGTTGTATGCCATCCTGGATGAGAAGAAAAGTGAGTTGCTGCAGCGGATCACGCAGGAGCAGGAGAAAAAGCTTAGCTTCATCGAGGCCCTCATCCAGCAGTACCAGGAGCAGCTGGACAAGTCCACAAAGCTGGTGGAAACTGCCATCCAGTCCCTGGACGAGCCTGGGGGAGCCACCTTCCTCTTGGTGAGCAGGACTAGAAGGGTCTGGGTGGGGTCAGTTCAACTCTACAGCTCTAAGGTTCAAGTTATGCTTCCCCACTGACCACCCATGGGCCCTTGGAAAAGCCATTTAAACCTCTGTGAGCCTCAGTTTCCTCATCTGTCAAATGGGCATGTAACACCCCCCACCTTCCTCTTACTGATTTTATGATGATAAGATAAGAGGATGTTTATGAAATGACTTTGTAAGCTGCAAAATACAGTGTCCCATCTACAGACTATTAATTGAGCCCCTACTGTAGGCCAGGCACTGAGGTGGAAGACAAGGAGATAAACCAGACACAGCCCTGCCCTCAAAGAGCTTGTTGGGGAGGACAGAAAAGGCTCAGTTATAAGACTTCATAGTTCAGTTCAATAAAAATGTTCTAGGCTTCTACTGTGGGCCAGGCTTTTTGCTAGACATTAGGTATGAAAAGGTGGTTAGGATTGGGGAGTTCAGGGTTTAGGAGTTTTGGGATTGATACCCCTAGAATCCAAGCTTCCTGTCAAGACAGTGGGTCCTAGGGTGATGACCAAGACCTGTACAGACCACAGACAGAGGGAAAAGTTCCAGATTCTGCTCAGTTTGGGGTGGGGAGCAGGTCACAACTGGGCTAGGGAATGGCACCAAATATCTACCTACAACACCTAGTTCACTAGTTTTGCTGATTTCCTGCGGTTACCTCTTCTGCGGTCCTAATCCTTTGTTCTCTCTCCCCCTGCAGACTGCCAAGCAACTCATCAAAAGGTCAGTGTCTTCCTAGAGGCTATGATCCAAGCACCTAGTTCCCACCAGGACCTCTGTCCAGGAAGCCTCATCCTGGGCATTAGGCCTGCTGGGAGGGTCTCACTCTAGGCTGGCTTCCCTGACCCTTTGCATCCCTGACTTTTTGGACCACTCCTTGTGCTTGAGGTTGGAGAGGAAATACTCCATCCCTCCAGGGGAGCCTCTGGGTAGAAGGCCTGGGCGTGGCAAAGCATGTGCCCTCTCTTCCCTGCACTGAGCCCCAGAGACCTCATCCTGCCTCTCTTTCTGTCTCCCCTGCAGCATTGTGGAAGCTTCCAAGGGCTGCCAGCTGGGGAAGACAGAGCAGGGCTTTGAGAACATGGACTTCTTTACTTTGGATTTAGAGCACATAGCAGACGCCCTGAGAGCCATTGACTTTGGGACAGGTAAAGGAGGTGGTGATGCCACTTGTCTATTTGCCTGCCTGACCCCTGGAAACCAGCATCCCTCCAACTGAGCCCGATGGGGAGGCAGATACACTAATAAAGATCCCCAAATATCAATCAAACTCATATAGCCAACTTCTGGCCGGCTGTGGTGGCTCATGCCTGTAATCCCAGCACTTTGGGAGGCCAAGGTGGGCGGATCACTTGAGGTCAGGAGTTTGAGACCAGCCTGACCAACGTGGTGAAACCTCATCTCTACTAAAAATACAAAAATTAGCCAGGCGTGATGGCATGTGCCTGTAATTCCAGCTACTTGGGAAGCTGAGGCAGGAGAATCACTTGAATCCAGGAGGTAGAGGTTGCAGTGAGCCGAGATTGTGCCACTGCACTCCAGCCTGGGCAAAAGAGCCAGCCAAACTCCATCTCAAAAAAAAAAAAAAAAAAATTCATATAGTCGATTTCTAGATGAGCCCAGAGCCTAGCACAGTGCCTGGTGCAGAATTCCTGCTTCATAAATTACATATGGATCCATGGCAGGGAGGCCTCTTGGGGCAGTAGAAATAATATGCCCTCTGGAATCAGACAGTCCTGAGTTTAAATCCTGGTTCTGTCATTTGTTTATCTGTGTGACCTTTGGCAAGCCCCCTTCTGCCTGAGTTTTATTTTCTAATTTAAAAAGTCAGGTTAGAAGTGAGCCCTCTAATAATGACCAACTCATGGTGCTGTTGCAAAAAATCAGATATCAATGCAGAAAGGTCCTGTAGAGCCCTAAAGATGTACTAGTTATTGCCTAAAGGTAGTCTTAGCTTCAGTTTCTTAATGCTATCACCTATGATACCCAGGCACCTTAATTGATCAACATCATGTCCTCATTTCTGTTTATAATTACTCTTCCATAGAGTGCCTATAATAATTGTAACAATGCAACCGTAACAATAATAAGGGTGAAAATAACAAAGGAAATGAAGAAACTGAATGGAAGCAAATATGTTAATTTGCTAAAGGTCACACAGCTAAAAGGGAAACACAGCTAAAAGGCAACAGAGAAAGAGAGGGCAGATCCCACATTGCTGACTGTTGCGTTGGTCTGAGAGGTGGTGCTCCAATGACCAGCTGAGGTTGGGGGACAAGGGGATGATGAAGGAACAAGGAAGAACTGTAAATGGCTGGCGTGAGAAAGAGAAGAGCTTCTTGGCACCTCCTGTGTCGCTCTCCTACAAACCTTCAGTAGCTGGTGCTAAGTCTGTTTTCAGAGCCCCAGATATACCCCATTCATAGGTAAGGACAAAATACATCCCAAAGCAGAGACACCAATGGCCTTGGGGACATCCACTGCTGTAGTGAGCTGCTCCACTGTCAGCTTCCCTAAGCTAAGATATTCAAGAGTGGGTCAGCCAGGCACAGTGACTCACGTCTGTAATCTCAGCACTTTGGGGGTCCAAGGCAGGTGGATCACCTGAGGTCAGGAGTTCCAGACCAGCCTGACCAACACGGAGAAACCCCGTCTCTACTAAAAATACAAAATTAGCTGGGCATGGTGGTGCATGCCTGTAATCCCAGCTAACTCGGGAGGCTGAAGCAGCAGAATTGCTTGAATCCGGGAGGAGGAGGTTGCAGTGAGCTGTGATCACGCCATTGCACTCCAGCCTGGGCAACAGGAGTGAAACTCCATCTCAAAAAAAAAAAAAAAAGAAAGAAATAGATATTCAAGAGTGGGTCATACGGTGTGAACATAACATTGTGAAGTCCTGCACTGGCCTTCCTAATCTCCCTGAGCCTCAGTTTCTCCACAAGTAAAATGAGGAGAGTACCAACAGTCACCAGTTACTGAATATTCTGTATGTCCTAGGCGCTAAGCCCTTAACATAAGTTTTATCATTTAACACAACTTCATGGGATAGGTTCTGTTACCATCTCTATTTTGTAGTTGAGGGAACTTAAAGCTCAGAGAGGGTAAGCCACTTGTTCAAGGCCACACAGCTGGCAAGTAGCCTGTGCAGATTCTACTGAGGGCCATTTGGCTTGCAAAACTCTTGTGAGGATTTTATAAGACGATGCAGATTCAACACTGAGCACACTACTTGGCACATAGTAAGTACTCAGCAACTGCTATTAAATGTAGTCATTGTGACAATGATTAAACAACAGAACTCCCTGGGTTATACTCTGATATCAGTTACTTGGCTGGAATTTTGGTTGTCATTTTGGAGATACTATTTTTTTTTTTTTTTTTTGAGACGGAGTTTTGCTCTTGTCGCCCAGGTTGGAGTGCAATGGTGTGATCTCAGCTCACTGCAACGTTTGCCTCCTGGGTTCAAGAGATTCTCCTGCCTCAGCCTCCCAAGTAGCTGGGATTACAGGTGCATGCCACCACACCCAGCTAATTTTTTGTATTTTTAGTAGAGACAGGGTTTTACCATGTTGGCCAGGCAGGTCTTGAACTCCTGACCTCAGGTGATCTGACCGCCTCAGCCTCCCAAAGTGCTGGGATTACAGGTGTGAGCGACCAAGCCTGGCCTGAAGATACTCTTGACAAATGTTCTGATTCTGTGGTGACCCCTTCAGGGCCCCAAAAGGTTAAGGAGGTAGCTTGGGAGAGGAGCGGGGAAGGGAGATGTTCCCTGTTAAAGCTTGACGGTGACATCTCAGGATAAAAAAGTGGGGACATGAGTTGCAGCTCAGTCACTGTCCCTCTGGTGCTCAGCTTCAGGGAGCAGAGGTGGCTCCAGAAGTGCTTCCCCATCATGTCCACCCCTCCCCTCCACAGGCTAAGGAATGAGGAAAATGGGACAGTGGCTGCTGAACAAGCAGATCTCATAGGCTAAGTAGCTTCCTTCAAGACAAGGACTCTGATCCCTGAGGATCGAGGAGGTTTTTCCTCCTCAGGCAATGTTTATCTGCCTACCCGAGAGATGTGCAGAAGCACAGAGTGCGCTTCCTCAGAGTCCCCTCTCTGGTCACAGGCGAGCAGGTGATAGAAGCTGCTGTTGCTGGAGCAAGGAAGTGACTTGAGCCCAGCTCCCTGGGACGGAGTGCGGGGGATTGCAGGAGCAGGGCCTCTGTGCAGCGTGGGTCTGGCAAGCCCATCCCCTCCCAGACCACTGCCGCCGCTGTGTGGCCGTTTGACCCGACTGGGCACAGGAAGGGGTTTAGACCGTGCTCTCTCTTGCCTGGTTCCTCTTCAAGTAGCTCCTCAAGGAACCGGCCCCATCCTAACACAAATGTTTTTTTGTCACAGATGAGGAAGAGGAAGAATTCATTGAAGAAGAAGATCAGGAAGAGGAAGAGTCCACAGAAGGGAAGGAAGAAGGTAAGAAATTCATCTACCTCCATTCCTTCGTTCCTTCATTCATTCCACAACAATCTGAGGTGCCTACTGTATGTGAAGCACTGTGTTAGACATTGGCAATGACGCTCAGAACTGTCCCCAGCACGTGCTTTAACCCTACTGAGGGTAAAGTCCTGTTCTCTTTACCCTTAGAAAAGAAAAAAACCCCAAACTATTCATAATAAAATGCTCCCATTTCACATCTAAATGATCTTCTTAAATGGAAAGCAATATGGCACAGCAGAGGGAAAAGACAGGGGCTCATGAGCTAGGCTGGGCCCATTGAGGTGTTTTGTTTGGCCAGCACTGTGTTTAAATTAAAACAAACAAACAAACAAACAAAACTACTTGCTGGACAGGCACGGTGGCTCGAGCCTGTAATCCCAGCACTTGGGGAGGCCAAGGCCAGCCTGGCCAACATGGTGAAACCCTGTCTCTACTAAACATACAAAAAATTAGCTGAATTTGGTGGCAGGCGCCTGTAGTACCAGCTACTTAGGAGGCTGAGGCAGGAGAATCGCTTGAACCTGGGAGGTGGAGGTTGCAGTGAGCCGAGATCGTGCCACTGCACTCCAGCCTGGGTGACAAGAGTGAGACTCCATCTCAAAAAATAAATAAATAAATACTTGCTGGCTGGGTGTGGTGGTACGTGCCTATAATCCCAGCACTTTGGGAGGCTGAGGCGGGAGGATTGCTTGAGACCTGGAGTTTGGGACCAGCCTGGTCAACAGCAAGTCCTCGTCTTTACAAAAATAATTTAAAAATTAGCCAGGCATGGTGGTACATATCTGTAGTCCTAGCTACTCGGAAGGCTGAGGCTGGAGGATTGCTTGAGCCCAAGAGGTAGAGGCTGCAGTGAGCTATGATTGCGCCACTGCACTCTTGCCTTGGCAACAGAGGACACTACACTGTCTCTTAAAAGAAAAAATTAATTGCTAACATTTTTAAAATTAGGTTTTTTTTAAGGGTTAAGAAAAAGGAGATTTGAACTAAGAATCTGCATTTTCACCTTGTGAAAGTTTAGAAAAAGCAAACAATGCTGGACTTGAACTTCCTTGTAGTCCCAGAGTGCTGGCTCTGGGCAGTGGCTCTCCCCTTTAAAGGGGACACGCTGGCATGGTGGCTCACGCCTGTAATCCTAGCACTTTGGGAGGCCGAGGCAGGCGGATCACCTGAGGTCAGGAGTTTGACACCATCCTGGCCAACATGGTGAAACCCCGTCTCTACTAAAAATACAAAAATTAGCCAGGCGTGGTGACGGGCACCTGTAATCCCAGCTACTTGGGAGGCTGAGGCAGGAGAATCGCTAGAACCCCAGGGGGGCGGAGCTTGCAGTGAGCCGAGATCACGCCACTTCACTCCAGCCTGGGCAAAAGAGTGAAACTCCATCTCAAAAAAAAACAAAGAAAAGAAAAGAAAAATGGGACATGCCCTTGCCAGTTTGCCCAGCCCCACCACCACCAGTCCCGCTTGCTTCACTCATTCATGTTATCTGCTGGCTCCTTGTAGGCATCTGAGTTTGCCAGCCTGGCAGAGTTTGATTAGGAGCCTGGGTTCTGAATCACAGCAGCTCACAATTTCTCTGAGTCTTGGGCTACTCATCTGTGTATGGGGGTCTAACAGTACTGACGTCAAAAGGTTGTAGTGGGAAGTGAATAAGATAATCGTTTAGCACGGTGTCTGATGCATAGGAAGGACGTTTGCTAATTAGCACATGCTTGCAAATGTTATTTTTCAAACCACAGGTACTGAAACTAAATTCCAATCCAGTTGAAAACTATAGGTAGTCTTTTGGAGTTTTGTACTGATGTACAATCCATAATATTTGGGCAGCTAAATTCTATTTTGGTTTTAAAAGGAAGAGACCGGGAGGAATTGGAGTTTGATGTTTTATTCAAACTCCTGTTTGAATAAACAGTAGCTTGGTAAGCCTTGGATCCTCCTGAGTCCCTGTCTCACCCCTTGCCTCTGTATCTTTTTCTTCATTTCAGGACACCAGTAAGGAGCTGGATGAATGAGAGGCCCCCAGATGCAGAGAGACTGGAGAGGGTGGGGAGGGGCCCAGCGGCCTTGGTGACAGGCCCAGGGTGGGAGGGGTCGGGGCCCCTGGAGGGGCAATGGGGAGGTGATGTCTTCTCTCTGCTCAGAGAGCAGGGACTAGGGTAGGACCCTCACCGCTGCGTCCAGCAGACACTGAACCAGAATTGGAAACGTGCTTGAAACAATCACACAGGACACTTTTCTACATTGGTGCAAAATGGAATATTTTGTACATTTTTAAAATGTGATTTTTGTATATACTTGTATATGTATGCCAATTTGGTGCTTTTTGTAAAGGAACTTTTGTATAATAATGCCTGGTCGTTGGGTGACCTGCGATTGTCAGAAAGAGGGGAAGGAAGCCAGGTTGATACAGCTGCCCACTTCCTTTCCTGAGCAGGAGGATGGGGTAGCACTCACAGGGACGATGTGCTGTATTTCAGTGCCTATCCCAGACATACGGGGTGGTAACTGAGTTTGTGTTATATGTTGTTTTAATAAATGCACAATGCTCTCTTCCTGTTCTTCAAAGGAGCCGGGGTTTCATTCAGCCTTTTTTTCCTGGAGATGAGGGTTGAGTGTGAATGAACAGGACCCCTGGTAGGAGGCAATGGCAGGGCTAGGCTTAGGTCCCAGTAAAGGAGTTCTCGACACCACCATTTCCCAATGTGGACTCCATGGAAAGCCAGCCCTGAGCTGGTCCTTCAAGAACAGGTTCAATGTGTTGTTGCTCTGGTTCTCCAGAAAACAGAGCCTGAGGCAAAATTTAAATGCTTTAGTTGCAGGTTATAGGGACTTCCCCGTGCTCACTGAAGGCTCACTGAAGGCTCACTGAAAATCATCAAGAAGAGGCAGATTAAGGCTGGGCAGGTGCAGTGGTTCATGCCTGTAATCCCAGCACTTTGGGAGGACAAGGAGGGCAGATCATCTGAGGTCAGGAGTTCCAGACCAGCCCGACCAACATGGTGAAGCCCCGTCTCTACTAAAAATACAAAATTAGTTGGGCGTGGTGGCGCATGCCTGCAATCCTAGCTACTTGGGAGGCTGAGGCATGAGAATTGCTTGAACCCAGGAGGCGGAGGTTGTAGTGAGCCAAGATCGCACCACTGCACTCCAGCCTGGGCAACAAGAGTGAAACTCCGTCTCAAAAAAAAAAAAAAAAAAAAAAGAGGCAGATTAATAGGAGAAAAGGCAAACAAATACACAAATTTATTTGACCATGGTTTTATGAGATACAAGAACCTTCAGAATGAACACCCAAAGATACAGGAGAAACTGTCCATTTTTAGGCTTCAGTTCAACAAAGTATGGATGGCCGTGTAGAAATACGGTTGGACAAAAGAGCCTGATCTAATGCTGATAGACTGAGTGGGGAACCCAGCGAGGCCTGTCTGTCAAGATTCTTTTCGGCCTCTCTGCGCAGCATTCCTTCCTTCCTCATATGGCGCAGGACTCTCTCTGGATGGGGGTCTTCTGACCTACAATCAGACAAAGGTCAAATAATTTCCTATGGCCAATTTTACACAGAAAGAAAGAGGAAAGTTAGAGTAATATTTTTAGGTTTTAGGGCAGGCTTTTGGTGAAGAGGGATTGTAGTTTTTATAGCTAGCCTTGGGGGAGAATAAGGGACCAGAGACAGGAGGGCAGGAGAAGGTCAGAGAGAAATGTTTGCTTCCGAGGGAGGCCTTCATTTCGGGGTATTGTTTTCTGAGACCCTATGAGGCACACTCCCAAGGCCAACAGAGGGAAGGAAAATGGAAGCGAGGCAGGCAAGGAGGGAAGCAAGTACAAGGTGTCACGTGGCTGAGCTGGCCACAGCTTCACCAAAGACTGGGCTGGCTGCTTAGTCATGTGAGATGTTTCCAGCAGGCCATAAAGAACAGAACATGATTCAAAGTCCTTCATCTAGAGAAGAAAAAAAAAAAGAAATGTGTCTGCTGGCTCCTTCCTGTCTCCCGCCTCCCATACTGTTCATTCCACCTTGACTTCAGGTGGTGCAGGTGCAGGGGCAGCAAGGTCACCTGCCCCATTGGGTGGTACTTCAGCTGAGTCTGGAGATGGTGGGAGGTGCCAGGGCCTCCATGGTCCAGTTGGGTTGGACAAGGGTGGGGCAGCTGCTGTCTCCACCTCAGTGAACACAATGGGGCCAGGCTGGTGCCCAGACTCACGCCAGGAAAGGCCAAGTCAGCCACCGGCAGTAGGGGATGAATTCATGACTGTGGCCCAGTAGCATCCAGGATCTCCATGAGCAAGAAGCCAAGGGCCTGGAGAGAGGCAAGGCTGAGCGAATCCGAGGCAGCGCATTCACCGGGGCTGATACACCAGAGACTTACAACTTTGAGGAGCATTGCAGAGCCTGTTCCCCCTTTTAGACATTCAGATCACAGTAGCAAATTAAGGGGTCCGAGTCGTCCCACCGTAAAGAAAGCGAATTAACTTTAGATGAGGACCATCAAGTTCATGGTGCTTGGAATGCTGCCTGACCCTAAGTCTTTCATTTTGTGTGTGTGGACTGAATTTCCCAACTTATTCATATGACATCCTCCGGAACTAGAGTTATGTGGAACTTGCTTTAGGACAGTGCTCAAAAACCCTCACAACCTCTGCCCATTTTCACTTCTGGGAGTTTGGTAGGTTTTCTAAGGCTAACTCAGTTCCTAACTTTGAATTTCAAAGAATCAGATTTTGCTCTCATTTCCAGTCCTTTCTCAAGTTCTGAAGCATTTTGTTTTAGTTTTTAAAACACGGTGTAATACACACACACACACCCTTAAAAGTGCACAAAACTCATCGTAGAGTTTAATAACCTATTGTAAAATGAAACCTTATGTTACTACCACTCAGGTGAAAAAAAAAAAAGAACATTGCCAGCCCTCAGAAGCCCTCCATGTGCCCCTCTACCACATCACAGCTCCTCTTTCTGATTGGGGCAGCGGAAAGAGGAGCGGTCAATTTTTTTGTTTTTTTGACAATCACATACTTGTTTTTCTTTATGGTTTGGTCTCCTAAAGTATCCTCCCATAGAAAACTGAAGGGATTTGAGTCCAGAAGGAGAAATTTGAGGCCAGAAAGAGAGAGGTTTTCATCACCTTGAAATCACAAGAATCAGTATTATAACGTGTGTATGTTCTGTTACTTCTCCAGGCTACTGATCATGTAAGCAGCAAGCATTTCAGCCCCGTATCTTGTCACTTATGGAAGAGAAGAGAGAGCAGTTGAGACTTTGGGTAATCAGTTAAAGATTAAATTCCAGGAAGATACCTGTTAATTGCAACTAAGGGGATCTTTCCTTTGCCATAGGAAGGGCTCTTCCTGTACTTGCAAACTAGAACCCTTAAGATGGTATGAAGGGTTCTTGATCAACATGCTTCCTTTAAAATCATGCTGCAAGAGAGGACAGCTGGCTTCAAGGGGGTTCTTTCAATGAATCTTGAATACAGCTCCATGGGCTGCTACATCAGAATTGCCAGGAAAGGTTTATTTTTCCCCAAGTCTTTAATTCTGAAACTTTTTTTTTTTTTTTTTTTAGACAGAGTTTCACTCTTGATTGCCCACGCTGGAGTGCAATGGCATGATCTCGGCTCACTGCAACCTCTACCTCCCGGGTTCAAGTGATTCTCCTGCCTCAGAATTCTGAGTAGCTGGGATTACAGGCGCCTGCCACCATGCCTGGCTAATTTTCTTATTTTTAGTAGAGACGAGGTTTTGCCATGTTGACCAGGCTGGTCTCGAACTCTTGACCTCAGGTGATCCGCCTGCCTCAGCCTCCCAAAGTGCTGGGATTATAGGCGTGAGCCGCCGCACCCAGCCAACATTTTTTAAATACTGAAAAGTAGAGGGAATAGTTATAGTGTACCCCATTTACCCATCACTCAGTTTCAACAGCTGGTGACATATTTATTTCTTCTATACCAGTACCGTACTCTCCCCACTGGGATTATTTTAAGGCAAAACCCAGATGACATTTTATCCCTAAATACTTTAGATAAAGGTGTTCTTTGAAAAAAATCATAACCTCAGGACCAGCCTGGCCAACATGGTGAAACCCTGTCTGTACTAAAAATACAAAAATTAGCTTGGCATGGTCGTGGGCACCTGTAATCCCAGCTACTCAGGAAGCTGAGGCAGGAGAATCACTTGAATCCGGGAAGCAGAGATTGCAGTGAGCTGAGATTGCAGTCGAGCCTGGGCGACAGAGACAGAAATGAAACTCTGTCTCAAAAACAAACAAACAAAAAAACCACTATACATAAAAATGAACAATGATGCCACAATAGCACCAGAGAATTTTATAAATACAGATTCCCAGGCCCTGCCCCAGACCTACTGAATCCTGGAAATATTCAGGCTCCACACCCAGAGATTCTGGTTCGGTTGGTCTGATGCAGGGACCTGTAACCTGCGTTGTAACACCTTCTCCAGGTAATGCTGAGCCTGCTGGTGCTCAGAGTAGACAGACCTGGAGAAAACCAGGGTGTCTGAGGTTTTCCAGAAGAAAACCAGAGTCCAGAGAAGCAGAGAGGCACTCAGTGAGGACCCAAGCAGAGCGGGTGCACCTCACATCCTCACTCCTGGCACCCCGTCTCCTACAAGATGAGAGACTGAAAGAGCCCCTTCCTGTCCCCAGTGGTGTGGGCAAGAGGCCTGCACCTCTGACTCTTGGCTCTGTGAAAGGCCATACCCACCAAGCCTATGGTCCTAGCGACAAAGGGTGCTGGGGAGACGAATTGACCAGACAGGGAGGTCTCCAGCAGCTTCTTTCTACACAGAGGGCACCTGTCAGAGGCCAGCGTGGGGGCCACAGGCTCCCCAATCCCCAAGAACCGCCAGGGAAGGAGGCTGCTTCAAGTGGGTGGGGCACCAAGCTGGCCAGGAAGGACAGGGCTTCTCCCAGCGGTACCAACACGGTGGCACCTCCGGCCTGCATCTCCCAGGCTTGCTTGTCAGGCTTCCTGGGGCTCCCAGGAGCCGCTGCGGGGGAGGGGAGAAGGGGTGGCAGCAGTGGCAGTGGTCGTCTCTGCTCCGATGGTGACTGCCGATGACACTGTTCTCTGTGCGGGTGGAGACAAAGCCGGCCACTCCAGATTCTCCTGCGCGCAGGAGAGGAGGAGCTGGCGCTGCTTCAGTGGCGAGGATGGGTCGATCAGTCCCAGCCGGTCCTAGGGAGAGACACTGCCCCAGCCTGAGGGCGGCGCAGCCCACCCCACCCCAGGACCCTCCTAGCAGGAGGACAGGAACGCAAGCCGACCTCGGGGGGTCTCCGGCCTGAGAGGGGAACATGATCAAGCCCAGGGCAGCCGCCAGTCGGAGGGGGCAGACGCGGCCCCAGTAGCCTCTGGAGACCCTCTTCCGAGGCAAGGAGCCACATTCCTGCCGTCGGGACCACCAAAGCGGATTTCTACAAACTAAAGTCGAGAACTTTTCGGCGGCGAGGCGGCGCACCCCGCGCGGGAGAGGGGGCGCAGGCGTCACCCCGTCCTCACTCAGCAACACCCGGCGCCGCGCCGGGCGAAGGCTGGCAAACTTCTCGCGGCCGGCAGGTGGGCTCCGCGGGCCCCATGGGCGCAGGCACAGGTGTGCGGGGCCACAGCCGGGCCTTTTGCAGCCGGCGACCGCCCCCCCTTCCCCGCGGGCTTTTGCACACGACGCGCCGACGGCAGCTTCACACGGGTTGGCGAGGGCCGGATAAAGCCGGCGGCCGCGGGGCGCAGCGGCTGACCCGAGACACGGGAGCGCTTGGCACGCGGAGCCAGAGCCGGAGCTGCAGCCGCAGCGGGAGCCGGGGGAGCTCAGGGGCCGCAGGAGCCGGGCCGGAGTGAGCGCACCTCGCGGGGCCCTCGGGGCAGGTGGGTGAGCGCCACCCGGAGTCCCGCGCGCAACTTTCAGGGCGCACTCGGCGGGGCGGCTGCGCGGCTGCCGGGACTCGGCGCGGGACTGCATGGAGGCCAAGGAGAAGCAGCATCTGTTGGACGCCAGGCCGGCAATCCGGTAAGGCGAGAGCCTGGGGACGGGCGGGAATTTTGGCGGCAGCCGACGCACCTCCGCATTTGCCATCCTAGCAGTGGTTGGTTTTGGCTGCGGCTTGAGCTGGGACCATGCAGGAGGGGTGGGGTGAGGTGAGGGAACGAAGATAATGGGCTGTGGCCCAAGGACCGTCTCTCCCTTGGGGCGCAGCCCAGATTCTGACCCCTGCCCGCGGGGGGCCTGGGGCCGGGGGATTGGCGGTTCCCATGCCTGGAGTCCCGCCCCGCCCAGCACTTTGCCCCAGGCAGCCCCGCCCCGGGGAGGCCCTGTGTCCCAAGTGCGCTGGAGGGGGCCTGCTGTTCTCCCAGAGCCTGCGCTCTGTTCCTTCCCCGCGCTCCACTGGACAGCACGCCCCTTGGCCGGTTCCCAGGGTCTTCACCTCCTCTGGCCTCTGAAGGGCCCCGGGCCCCAGGACTCCCATTCCCCTATCATCCCCGTCTGAATACAGGCTTCTCACCTCTGGTTTGTCGAGCTCGGAGCGTCCTTAGCTATTTTTCCCAGTGGACACAAGGCCTCACAGAGAAATGGGACTAGAGTCGGCCCTCCTTACCTCATCTCAGAGCTGAGCGTTCCCTCTCTTCCCCTCTGGCCAGGTCATACACGGGATCTCTGTGGCAGGAAGGGGCTGGCTGGATTCCTCTGCCCCGACCTGGCCTGGACTTGCAGGCCATTGAGCTGGCTGCCCAGAGCAACCATCACTGCCATGCTCAGAAGGGTCCTGACAGTCACTGTGACCCCAAGAAGGGGAAGGCCCAGCGCCAGCTGTATGTAGCCTCTGCCATCTGCCTGTTGTTCATGATCGGAGAAGTCGTTGGTAAGCACTTTTGGGCTAATTAAATGAAGTTGGTGCATGGATAGACTGGATGTTCCCAGCAATACTGACACTAAAAGCCCCAATTACTGAACACACACTACAGTAAGCCTTTATATACACATTATCTGATGCAGGTCTAACAACAACCTGTGTTCTCACATGGGTGACGTTATTCTCCTTACTTTACAGATGATGAAACTGAGGCATGTTCAGGTGAAGTAACTTGCCAAAGATCACGCACAACTCGTAGCTAAGGGAAGGCCTGAATTCCTAGAAGGGAAGAGCATTTACTGAGTATCTGCTATGTTTTCCAGTCCCTATTTGAACTTGATGTGCACATTCACCCTCTAAGTAGATATTGGTGGCCCATTTCACAGAGAGTGGAAGTTGAGGCTCAGAGAGAGTAGGTCACTTGTCACGGTGGTACAGCTCATGGGTAGAGAGATCTTGAGCCCAGAATGTCCTCTTCCAGAGCCTGTGGTCTCCCTGCTGCACACACAGTCTTGGGAGCCAGCTCTCTGGGGGAGCTGATAAGGACCCTCCACCCTGCAGGTGGGTACCTGGCACACAGCTTGGCTGTCATGACTGACGCAGCACACCTGCTCACTGACTTTGCCAGCATGCTCATCAGCCTCTTCTCCCTCTGGATGTCCTCCCGGCCAGCCACCAAGACCATGAACTTTGGCTGGCAGAGAGCTGGTGAGGATCGCGGTTTGGCTGGAGATGGGGTTGAGAGAGAGGGTGGGTTAGAACAGGGGTTCTTAGGTGGCTGTAATGGGTGGATCCCCCCTTCCTCCCCTGAGTGAGGCCAGGAGGGTGATCTGGATGGGGGAAGAGGATGTCAACCATGGCCTCTGTCCTCTGGGAAATCCTAGTCTGATGGGGGAGCCCTGGTCCCAGTCATCCAGGAGCTCTCAGTCTGCAGGGAAGCAAAGTTGACCTTCCTAAGAAGTGCAGTAGCCAAGCTTCAAGAACAAATGACAATGGCATTAACACTGCACATAACTCTGTGGATCAGCTCTGGGGGGAGGGGAAGGCCAGCAAAGGCTGCTGGAAGATATAGGCTTTAACCTCTCTTCCGTTCACCCTGGACTGCATCGTCACCTTCCTCTTTGTGGGAGATGGCCCAGCCTGTCTTCCCCAGAAGCCTCAGTTTACTAGCTGAACAAAAGGCACATACTTTAATAAGTCAGCTTCTTTACATGTACAACCAAAAAGGTGGACTCAGATGATGACTTATTAGTTCCTTCTAGCTCTTACATTCCTAGATATATGAGGGGTGGGGTAAGGGGCAGCCATACCGGCCATACCTTCAGCAGAGCCCAGTGGGACCCAGGCCCTGACTTTGTGTGGGAGGTGGGTGGGGAGGATCCTGAAGGAAGGGGGAAGACTCCTTAGCTCCAGGCCCATGCCAAGGTGGGTGTTGGGGTTGGGTTCTTCCTCAGAGATCTTGGGAGCCCTGGTCTCTGTACTGTCCATCTGGGTCGTGACGGGGGTACTGGTGTACCTGGCTGTGGAGCGGCTGATCTCTGGGGACTATGAAATTGACGGGGGGACCATGCTGATCACGTCGGGCTGCGCTGTGGCTGTGAACATCATGTGAGTGGGGCCCCAGTTTCCCTCGTCTCCCCTCCTCCTCCCGCCTCTCACACCCACACCTATGTCTGCTTTGCGGAAAGAGACTGTGCCACTTTCCAGCATACGCTACAGGGACAGAACTTCCCTAATGGTCTGAGCTCTGGCACCTGGAACACCTGGGTCCTACCTTAGGCCTAGGCCAAGAACACTGGGAGCTGTAAATCGGAGTCTTCATCCACTCTACCCACTCCCTGATACATGTCAGGGACTAGCCTTGGTGGCTTCATACCTGAAGTGGGGCGGGAAGAGGCCAGTTGTTGCAGGAGTAGCTGTCCCTAGGGGCAGAACCCAAGTCTGAAATTGGTCTCAGTTAGAGACAATGGGTGTCTCTTTCGGGGTCTTTGTTCAGAGGCCTCAGTTTCCCCATCTGTGACATGATGGAGTGAACTGACAGTGACCTCCCTAATGCCCTCCTGCTCTGAGATTTGACACTGTGGCATTGTTGTGCCCAGGCTCAGCCTGGCATTGGCGCTGGGCCCTATCTCTCATGGCTGTCTGAACCAAGGCCACGTGGGTTGGACTTCTCACATGGCCAAAGAGATCACAAGGTTTAGGGGCTTGAGATTTTTGCCCTACAAGTTGGCTAGTCCTAATAGGTGACCTCCATCTGCGACCTCAGTGAGCCCTTGGCTTTGTCTCCACTTCCATAGAATGGGGTTGACCCTTCACCAGTCTGGCCATGGGCACAGCCACGGCACCACCAACCAGCAGGAGGAGAACCCCAGCGTCCGAGCTGCCTTCATCCATGTGATCGGCGACTTTATGCAGAGCATGGGTGTCCTAGTGGCAGCCTATATTTTATACTTCAAGGTCAGAGCTGGGACACAGGGTGGTGGGGGTGGCAGGGGAGTGTAGACCACCTGAGTATACTCTCTACCGGGGTTTCTTTTCAGATTCTAGCTCCCTCCCAGTTCTAGGGAAAAGGGTGGGGAGAGGAAAGGAACATTTATCCAATACCTACCAAGTGTCAGCACTTCTGATCCTCACAACAACCTGAAGGGTAGGTGGTAGTGTTTTCTGTAGCTCAGAAAGGTTCAGTGACTTGCACAGTGTCACACAGCCGGTAAAGCATAGAGCCAGATTCAAGCCTACGACTGTGTGTTGTCAAACCCTGGGCAATGCCCATCACATAGAGGCAGGGAGCTGTAGTGGAAAGAGGCAGGCATTTGCTCTGAAGCTTGGCTCTCCTCCTTGCTAGCCATGTGACATTGGATGAGTTTGCTTGCTCTAATGGAGCCTCAATTTCCCCATCTGTCAAATGGGGACGGATGGCGGATCAGATGGTATCTAAGATGCCTTTTTGCTCTGTCCATGTCTCAGCTCCTTGAGAAGGAGGGGTGGGAAGGGACTGCCTTATTCTGAACTGTGGTCTGTCCTTTCTGCTCTTGCAGATGTGAAATAAAGAGCAGAAAACTGGGAGGCAGGGCCAGGGCGAGGCTCATGCCCACCCAGCAGAGAGAGCACCTCTCCCCAGCAGTGCTGGGTGGGAGGGGAGAAGGGAAGCTGAGGTGTTAGATGGTGAACTCCAGGTCTGCCTTCCTGTCTTCCTGCAGCCAGAATACAAGTATGTAGACCCCATCTGCACCTTCGTCTTCTCCATCCTGGTCCTGGGGACAACCTTGACCATCCTGAGAGATGTGATCCTGGTGTTGATGGAAGGTAACCTGGGCTTTGTGGCTCCCTTTTTGCTCTTGGCTCTCAAGCGCTAATCAGCTCAAATAGGGTATGTGTGTGTCTGGGGCATCCTAGCACATGGGCGGGGAGCCAGGATCCGGAGCCCCGGCATAGGCTGGAAAACCTCCTGGGGCCCCTGGGCTGATCTTGACATAGAGCCTGGGCTTTCAGGTGTGGCAGTTCCTGGAACCGTCCCCCAGCCCGAGTCTTCCCTTCCCCCTACCCCTAAGGGTGCCTCCTCTGCCTAGTCAGGTGGCTTCTGGGGGACATCTGTAGCATCTGGAGCTCTCCAGCCCTCCCCTATACACTTCCCCAGGCTCTGGCTGCCTTCTCTCAGGAAGAGAGAGGGGGTGAGGATTATGCTTCTCATTGCACAGAGGGGCAGACTGAGGCTCAGAGAAGGACAGTCAGCCTTGGACAAAGCTACTGAATCCACTGCAGCGCAGGCCTTTCCTACATCTCAGGGACCAAACAATGCCACACCCTGTGGGGACATGGCTGTGCTTTGTGGGGTTGGAGAACGGTCAGTGGTGGAGAATGATCTGGTCTGCCCTGAATTACCTTTTTTTTTTCTTTTTTCTTTTTTTTGAAACAGGGTCTTGCTCTGTCATCCAAGCTAGAGTGCAGTGGTGCCACCAAGGCTCACCGCAGCCTTGACCTCCTAGGCTCAAGTAATCCTCCTGCCTCAGCCTCCCAAGTAGCTGGGACCACAGGCGCATGCCACCATGTCTGGCTAACTTTTAAATGTTTGTAGAGATGGGGGGGGGGTCTCACTATGTTGCCCTGGCTGGTCTCGAACTTTTGGGCTCAAGCAATCATCTCACTTCGGCCTCTCAAAGTGCTGGAGTTACAGATGTGAGCCACCACACCTGGCCCTGCACCTTGGCTTTCTTATGCTCTAGGCCTGGGGTCTTGGGCCAGGGTCATAGGCCTCTGCGTGGTCAGGGTCAGTCTGGAATGGAGTAGGATGCTGGCCTGGGCTTAGCAGTATTTGGCTGCAGGTCAGAGCTTTTTCTCCAAGAATATGCTAACCCAGATGAAAGCGATAATGATGAAGATGATGATCGTGCCCTGGGTGGGTCCAAGGATTCTCAGGATCTGTTCTTTCCTTCTTTCCATTCAAAAATATATTTATTGGCCAGGTGCGGTGGCTCACACCTGTAATCCCAGCACTGTGGGAGGCCGAGGCAGGCAGATTACCTGAGGTCAGGAGTTCAAGACCAGCCTGGCTAACACAGTGAAACCCTGTCTCTACCAAAAATACAAAAATTAGCCGGGCGTGGTGGCATGCGCCTGTAGTCCCAGCTACTCAGGAGGCTGAGGCAGGATAATTGCTTGAACCAGGGAGGCAGAGGTTGCAGTGAGCCAAGATCACGCCACTGCACTCCAGCCTGGGTGACAGAGCAAGATTCCGTCTCAAAAAAAACCAAAAAATATATTTATTGAGCACCTACTATGGAGTAGGTGCTGTTTTAGGCACCAAGGATACTGTGGTAATCAAAGGAGACTGTCCTGCCCTCATGGAGTGTCCATTTTAGAGGGAGAAACTGACAATAAGTACATTCATAAATAATTTCAGTGTTAAGAGTGGAGAGGAAATACAACAGAGTGATAGGGCAGAGACCTTGGGAGGTGAAGGCAGCCTCAGACCTGCAGGCCAAAGAGGTCTTCTTTGAGGGGATGACACCTGAGGATCAGGAGCCAGCCCTGCACCAATGGGCAGGCGTGGGAGGGGTAGTTTCCTTTAGTTTCCCCTGTCCTTGCCGTCCTCAGGGACCCCCAAGGGCGTTGACTTCACAGCTGTTCGTGATCTGCTGCTGTCGGTGGAGGGGGTAGAAGCCCTGCACAGCCTGCATATCTGGGCACTGACGGTGGCCCAGCCTGTTCTGTCTGTCCACATCGCCATTGGTGAGTGCTTGGGACACTCAGGGTGGGGTGGGAGACAGGCAGCCAAAGGCCTAGTGCCATCCCCAACGGGTCCAGGTGACCCCAGATGCTCACAGTGCCCATGCATCAAGCCCAGCCTCATGCTGAGTACTTGATACGCATTATTCCATCTGATCAGCACAATCTCATTTATCCATGAAGAAACTGAGGCTGGGGTTGGGTGGTAAAGTTACTTGCCCAGGCTTTTACAGCTAGTATATGGCAGTAGGTGGCAGATTCCTGGCCTTAAGGCCAGTGCTTTACCAGCTCTTTCAGGCATGAGCCAGGTCTGGGCTGGGAGGCTACCTGGCAGAGGAATGGAATCTGGGGGCTTCTCCATGTTCATGGTCCCCCATCCTGTTCTGCTGGGGATGGGGTATGAGATTTGGGCTCCTGATGGTTCCAAAGGGCCAGAGTAAATGGCTTCCCCCGCTGTGTCCTCTCGGCCCCCAGCTCAGAATACAGACGCCCAGGCTGTGCTGAAGACAGCCAGCAGCCGCCTCCAAGGGAAGTTCCACTTCCACACCGTGACCATCCAGATCGAGGACTACTCGGAGGACATGAAGGACTGTCAGGCATGCCAGGGCCCCTCAGACTGACTGCTCAGCCAGGCACCAACTGGGGCATGAACAGGACCTGCAGGTGGCTGGACTGAGTGTCCCCCAGGCCCAGCCAGGACTTTGCCTACCCCAGCTGTGTTGTAAACCAGGTCCCCCTCCTGACCTCTGCCCCACTCCAGGAATGGAGCTCTTCCCAGCCTCCCATCTGACTACAGCCAGGGTGGGGACTCAGCGGGTATAAAGCTAGTGTGACCCTGCTCTTCCAGCTCCTGGGCCAGCTCTGGAAGGGCTGTATTTGGGCCTAATCCTCAGCAAATGTTCTACCACTCGCAGGGGCAAAGGTGGTGAGCCACGGGACGTCCAAGGGGAGGCTGGCCCCAGCGCGCCCATACTGCCTGCCTCATGCCCCATTCTCAGCCTGGCTGGCCTTTGCCTTTATGAATCTGAGCCCCTCCATCTGCCTATAGCAATAGGCACGGGGGTGAGGACCCTCACACTCTCATTTGAGCCTCCCTGAGGCAGGGAGCCAGGAGGCACCTGAGGCCTATCTGTGCCTTAGTCACTTCAGCTATGAGCCAAATGTTCCCTTTCCTGGAGGGGAGAGGCTTCTTACTAGGTAAGAGACAGGTTTCCTCTTTCCTTATTTCCTCAGCTGTGCCAACACAAAAAACAACTTTGGCACAGGTGGTGGGCAGGGGGTAGAGAGATTTCAGCTTGGGTTCTGCACTAACAGCCTCCAAGCCCCCTGGCACTTCTGTTGCCCTGAGAGTGTCCCAGGGGATTCAGAGTCTCCAGAAAGATATGGCTGGGCCAACTCTGTTGCCTACCTGGCCTGACCCAGTCGGAGCCTGACATGGTGGAGGGAAAGGGAGACAAGTGGGGCTGCACTCGGTCCAGAGGCCAGCTAGGAGGGAAACCGCAGCTTCCTGGGGCTTGTGTGTGAAGATTCCTGACTTAGGGGTGGCTTTTGTTTACAAGATGCAAGAGGGGAAACCTGTCCCCGACTCATCGAGACAACATGCCCAGTTATCAGGGAGTCCTGTGTCACAAGGTCTGTCTCTGCCATTGTAAGCAAGTGCCTTGGGCGAGCTGGCCTCTGCCCCACAGTCTCATCTGTACACCGACAGGGTTGATGCCTCCCTCACAGGGTTGAGAACAAGAGCCAGTTGGCCAAGTACCTGTGGTTGTTGAAGATTGGTTACTTTTACCATCCTGGGGACAGGGAACTCTGTGGCCCGAGGCTGCCTCACTGAGGAGTCAGGTGGGCTTCCCAGCCTCCCCAGGGGCAGTGCTGAGTTTGTCTTGACTGTTCTGGCCCAAGGTGGGAGGAGGTGGGTTTGGTCACTTGCCTCCCACTTTAAATCTCTGTCTTTCCATCTGTGAAATGACCTCTTTGTGCCTTCCCAGCACTGTCATCCTGATCGCCTGTGTTCTAGGTAGGTGGGTCCTTCAGCCCCTCCAGGTCTGTGAAAAGTCTGTGGAAAGCACTGGCCTGGAGAGGGGTGGGGGGTTGCTGGTGGGTGCTCCATTCCACCACAATCTCAGGGGACTCAACCTCCCCTACCCAACTCCCCACCCCCACCCAAGCCATGGCAGGCCCCAGGAACTTGATCCTGGGCTTTGCCGTATGCCAAGTCCTTACACCCCTCTCAAGAGACAGTCATTGGCTGGGCACGGTGGCTCATGCCTGCAATCCCAGCACCTTGGGAGGCTGAGGCAGGCAGATGACTTGAGGCCAGGAGTTCGAGACCAGCCTGGCCAATATGGCGAAACCTCATTTCTACTAAAAATACAAAAACTAGCCAGGCGTGGTGGCTTGTGCCTGTAATCCCAGCTACTCGGGAGGCTGAGGCAGGAGAATCGCTTGAACCGGGGAGGCAGAGGTTGCAGTGAGCTGAGATCACACCACTGCACTCCAGCCTGGGTGACAGAGCGAGACTCCAGCTTAAAAAAAAAAAAAAAAAAAAAAAAAGGAGACCATCACTGCTGTCCTGCATTCTTACAGATGAAAAAACAGGCTCAGAGGTTGAATCGTTTTCCTGAAGTCAGACAGCCAGTGCAGGCAGGTCTGGGATTTCTGCCTCATTTCGGTAGACCTTCCTCTACAGCAGGGTCTGGGGGCCTGTCGGTCTGCGCTGCCTGTTGGTACAATACAAACCCCTGGGACCAGCAGTGCCCGGCCCATGGGTGAGGACATGCCAAGGCAGTTCAGTGTCCTGGGTGTCACAGCTGTGATTGGAAAGGTGCCTCTTTCACCTGGCTGGGCCTGGCATCCAGCGCCCTCCCCACCCTGGGAAGGCTGCCTGGGCCCCAGCTGTATGCTTTCCCACCCACCCTCAGTTCTTGACTCCGGGCCGGACTGCCTCTCCCCCACCTCTTTAATTTCCAGTCCGCCCTGTACCTCAAGCATCTCACAGCACCACGCCTCCCAAGGGTAACCCACTCTGCCACTCAGCTGTGACTGGCTCTAGGGAGGACCTGAGTCATCCAGGGGCCCGCCGAGGTCAAGCTGGGGGGTGGGGGTGGAAGGCCTTGGAGAGGCCTAAGGGGACAGTATGTTCCTGCCAGTGAGACAGTCACGGGAGTTTCCAGAGCTGCCAGGCCATCAAAGCAGGAAAACACCTGACACCCTGGACCTGGGCTGGACCCACCACCCTCACCCTCTGGAGTCGCACGCGCTCCCAGGCGAGCCCTGAGCCCTGAGCCCCTCCCTCGAGCAGCTGCTGTAAGGGTATTTATAGCCTGGAGCGTGAGGGGGCAAGGACACGCGCTTTATTTCGGAAGTGATAATTCCAGCTCCAGGTGGGTGAACCCCGGAGGACCTAGTGTCCCCCCCCAACTCCATTCTCACCTATACCGCTCGGGACAGTCCCTGCTCGCGCCCAGCCCACCTAGAAACAGTCCCTTCTTGCTGAGTTCCAAGTGTGCAGGCGAAAGAGATGGGGCTGTTCTTCAGATTTCTCTTCCCAGCTTTCAGCCCCCGAGCTGCCCACAGCGCTCACCCTCCACATCCCGGCCGCCCTCTGGACATGCGGGTGAAGAGTGCGGCGCGACGCTGACCTCTAGTGGTCGGCCTTGGTAGTGCAGGGCAGACGGCCGAGGCTGAGCCGCGGGCCGTGCGGGGACAGGCCACTTGTTCCCATCCCGCTTTCCTCGCCCCACTCCTCGTTTACCCGCACCCCTCTGCTCCTTGGTTGAGGCTCAAGGATTGAGCCTGACAACCCAGGCGTCTTTGGGTAGTTGCCTTCCCGGGACTAGGAACCCTAGGAATGGGTGGCGGGGTGGGGCGGGGACAGTTCTGTCTCTCCGCTCACCCTGTCCCGCCGCCGCCCTCATAGGGCCAGGCACGCAGTTAATGTCTGCCATCCATCTATTCGTCAAATATTTGCGGCACACCTGCCTAGCCAGAGAGAAAAGGACACGACACGACCCGCCCCCCGGGGCTCGCAAGCCAGTCCTGGGGCCTGACCGTGCGGGAACCGCGGCAAACACTGGACTGCGAAAGCGCAAAGGAGACCGAACCCATTGGGGGCGGAGGGGGAGGAGGGCCAGGCAAGTCCCTGGAGGAGACAATGCTCTGAAAGACGAGCAGAAGTTAGCTGGGTGGAGAAGCGGAGAGCGGCGCTCCGGTCGCGGGGCTCAGCCTCCGCAGAGGCTCCGCGGCTGAGGGCGAGCAGGAGAAGGTAAGGCCACGCCCCCCTGTTGTGATTGGCCAACCGGGGTCCGACGTGTGGGCCCGCTGGCTGACATGATAGGTTCTCCGGTGTCCCAAGAGCGGAGCCCGCCGGCAGGCGCCGGGCCCCCTGGGAGCTGGGCTGCGACCTCTGCTGGGGTCTCCGCGGGTCGCCCCCCTAGGGCTTCTCCAGGCTGCGGTACTTCTTGCGCTGCACGGACACCGGGTCCTTAAACAGCACCGGGTCCAGACGCAGACGAGAGGACAGCAAGGGCATGTGGCCGAACGCTGCCGCTATCTGGTTGATGCAGTCGGGGGCTGGGGCAGGCGGCTTTGGCCTGGGCCCCGGGCCCCCAGGCGCCTAAGAGGGAAAGAAGCAATGCATTAACGGGCTTCTCTGCCCTTCCGAACTCCCCACGCCCGTGCAGCAAGAAAGACTGGAATTAGACAGTGAGAGGGAATCCTCTCCGGCATCCCCGCCCAATCCCTGCCAGTTCCGACCAATCCCCCTCAGCCCTCACCAGTGGAGCAGCCTCCTGGCGCTGCTTGCCATAGGGCACCTTGATAGGGGGCAGCTTGGTGACTGCTGCTACTATGAAATTCATCAGGACGTCCACACAGGTGGGTGCCTCATCTGCCAGGGTCCTCAGAGCCTTGGGCAGGGAGTGGGTGAAGAGAGTGTGGTAATACCTGGGCAAGAGGAAAAGACAGGGAGAGGCTGCAGCCAAATCCATCCCCAGGCCCCATTCTCCTCCCTCCTGACCTCACCTCTCCCTTTGACCCCCATCCCCAAGCCTCTGAGCCCTGGCTGCCTCAGAGAGCTCCCATCCCTGGCGTGAACAGCTCTCCATTGTGCTGTGCCCCGTGGCTTATCTGCAGTTAGTGGTGTGTTCCCTGCCCTCTCCCTCACAGCTCCTTGGGCCCCCCATCCTTGGGCTCTGAGCGCTGAACTCAGAGCCAGAATTAGATGGGTTTGGATCAGCTGGTTTCAAAGCCATCAAACATGGAAGCCCAAAGAACAGTTGTGGATGAACCAGGCTGATACCGCTCCGGGTGAGCTCACTTCACACGGCCCTCAGACAGGCCAGCCTCATCTCGCAGACATTAGGTAATTCTTCACTCTACTGAGAATTCCCTGCAGAGCTCCTGAGTAATCTATAAGAGGTTCCACGTTATGCATATTTGATTTAAACATGTTTAAGGAACCCCTCTAAAGAGGTCTTACAGAATTCAGTCTCTGCCCTAAGACCGGAGCACTTCAGGCAGCTTCTGGAAGGTCTGGGATGTTCCCCAACTCATAACATCCACATTCATAAAGCATCAGGACTATTTTCTTGTCACCCCACCACCAGCAAACCCACACACTGCCCTTACTCACTGCATGGCTCTACTTCAAATAACAATAGCTACCATTTGTGGAACCTCTGTGCCAGGGACTTCATTTAATGTTCACACCAGCCCTGGGAGGTGAATCCATCCCATTTTACAGATGAGAAAACAAACTCTAGAGAAGTGAGGAGATTTGCCCAGGATCCCACAGCTGGGAAGTGGCAGATCTCGGCCTTGAACCTGGATCCCTGGGGTCTAGGCCACTCTGCTCCGTTCGGGGTGGGGGTGGGGTCTCTGGTCCTCTGATACTCTGATCCCTGTGCAGGGTAGGGGTCTGTACCTATGGTAGAAGGCGGCTGTGGTGAGAACCATGGAGAATTCGTTGGTCCTCTCAGCAGTGTAGCCCCAGCCACCATGGGCCTCGTCCCAGAAATGGCTCGACGTCAGGAAGCCCACCATCCGCTCTGGGAAGCTCTGCCACACCAGAAAGGCAAAGTCCACCTGGGGAGGGACTCAAGTGAGCTGTGAGGAAGGACCTCCTAAATGCCTAGAACATCCAGGGAAATGGAGGCAGGGGCAGCCTGGCTGAGGGGCCCGGGCAGGACTCAGGGGAGAGGGCGCGGGAGCCAAGACTTGGAATTGGCTGGAAGTGTGGCATGAAAGCTTCCAGGGGCCACAAAAACAATTTCTCAAAAGAGTCCATGGAAAGCCTCAACGAGACTCCTAAAGAGGAGGCTGCCTGGCTTGCTGGGGTGGTTTCAAATGCAAGAGGCTGGACCTCATGACCTGGGGTCCCCTCAACCCTGGGAACCTGAGGGGCTGCCAGGGCCCTCTGGCTCTGTGTCTACCCACACTGGGCTTCTCTTGGGCCCAGCCCTCACCTCACTTGTGGAAAGACTGCTGCGGGCATCGAGGCTGAGGATGGCATCTGTTCTGATGGTGCTATATGGGTAGAAGCGATCACTAACCTGCAGGGAGTGGGGGAGGGGAACTCAGCCATTGGAACATTCCCCCCACCCCCATCCAATAAGTAGGAGCCATTCAGGCACAGTGTAGACGCCTGAGCCATGAATAAAGCCTCCCTTCAGGCACAGTGTAGACGCCTGGGCCTCAAATATGGCAAGCCTGTGCAGAGCTCGTTTTGGGACCTGGGCAACTCATTTGACCTCTTTGGATCTCAGTTTCCCCTTTGGTCAAATGGGGCAGTTGGTCTCTAGGGGCCCTTCCACTTTTGACATCTTGGAATTCCTCCATTGTCATATTGTCACATCAACTCTGGGAGGAGTTGTCAAACTTCCCTCATTTGAAAGAAACAGATCTAGAGAGACGAAGGGACTTGCCCACAACCATGCGGCAGGCAGGTGGTTCACACCAACCACGGTTCCCAGAAGCCTCCCCTTCCTGGCCCCGTGTGCTGCCCTTGGTCCGTATTTTCTCAAGAACCTGGGTTTCTCCTCTGTTCCTCTTCTGAGATGTCAGCGCTCTCCTCTGTCTTTCCCCATCATGTAAGCCCCAGTGCTCTGGAAGCACAGCTCACAGGGACCAGGGAGGGAAAAGAATCATTACTATTAGCCCTGTGGCTGAAACCTACTGTGTCATTCTTCAGGCCCAACTGCGGCTCAGGCCCAAGTATTCATAAAACACCCCATGGGTGCCCTCCCCCAGCTCCCAGCATGGGCCCACCCCTTTCATGGCTCTCCTCATCCCTTACCTTCCTGTGCCCATCAATGACTGTCAAGGGCACAGCTGTCTCCGGCCACCTGGATGGGAGTGGCCTCTCATTGCTCCAGAGAACCAAGATCTAGAGGATAGGGGGTTGTTCTTGAAGTCTGGGATCTGGGGCAGAAGGCGGGTTGCGAGGGGCAGGAGTGATCTTTCTCAAGGTGGAAGAAGTTTGAGAAGTCAGCTTTGTAAACTGCACATGGGAGAAGGGTTAGTTGGATCCATGGTCCTTTCACCGCTGCTCTGTCCTTGCCTCTGGGCTTGTAGAAGGCAGGGATTCTGGTGACATGAGGGTAGTGACCTGTGGCTTCAGAACTCAAGAGAGTTGTCTGTGGTAGTCCCTAGCCTGGGCCCTGACTCCATGCTCCATCCTCATCTTTTCTCGAAGCCTTCATTCTCTTCCTCAGGCTCTTTTATGACTCCCAGCCCAGCTCAATGGCCTGTTTGGAGCCTTCCTGTGTGCACCCTGGCTGAGCTAACTGCTTCACTTCCTCTACAAGGACTCTTATTAATCTATCTGGCTTCTCTAGAAGTAAGATTTGACAGTCTGTGTGCTGGAAAATGCTAACCCAGTCTGACTCTCTGGGCAGAATCCTTCCTTACTTTTTATCTGCTCAGCCTTAAGCCCAGGGCCTAGTGCTCAGAAAATGACTGCTGAGTAAAGGAATGAATGTTTCCTTCTCCAGCCTCCCCAAGAGACATCTGCTTTTCACGTGGCTTCATCAATTTCCATGGGGAAAAGGCAACAGAATCTTGGGACTTACAGGAGGCAGCAAGAACACTTGGAAATCTTCCCCGTGCCTCCCCTCAAATAGTGGTCATCTTTGGGGTCTGGAAGTCATCAGGGCCCTGCCCTGTCCCTTACCCCCACCCTGGATCCCAGGACTCCAGCTGGGAAGGGGGCAGACCTGGGCACAGTGCTGGGAGCCTGCCACCGCCTGGATGAGCTTCAGAGGGGGCTGGCCTGGGGGCCCCACCCAGATCAGGGCGCTGAATCTGCCCTCAGGGCGGGAGCCTGGGGGAATGAGACACAGGCTATTAGAGTGGGAGGGAACAGAACCCCATGAAGAATGACCTGAGTAGGGAATCCCCGGGGGCCAGGAAAAATGTTAGGGCTTGGAAAGGGTCTTGGTGGGGCTCTCCAGATGAGGCTGGGGCAGCCCTGGGTAGAGCTGAGGGGACTTCAGGTTGTCCCATCCCCAGGGCATACCCTGTTGCAGGTAGTAGAAGGGGAAGTCCTGGGGGCTTGTGGAAAAAGTAGACAGGGCCAGGAGTGCCCCTGGGGGGCTGTTCCACAGCAGTGAGGGGTGAGCTGATGTTCCAAAAATCCGGTCCTGAATAACCTAAAATGAGAGAGAAGCTGAGCAGAGCGAGTGGCCTGTGTGACCATGGCCACACCTCCCCTTCCAGGCTCTGGGGAGGGTGGCAGCTGCATCACCAGACCCCTGGGGTCAGAAGCTGAGTCTAGAGTAGGGGGCACTCCATGATGTTGCTCCAGAGGTGGGAGATGGTGGCAGGGTCACTGCTTCCCCTTCCTTCCTCACTCATGACAGATGTCACTAATGGGTCATGACATTCTTTCAGGACTCAGAATCCCTCCCAACATAGCATCCCAGGCAGCCATCGGCGGTCAACTGGCATTGGTGCATGCTTTGACATCTATTTGCCACAGCGGTCTTCTCTAAAGATGGGGAAACTGAGGCCAAGATTGGAGAAGAAACTTGCCCCAAATCTCACAGCCAAGTCTCAGATTCATCCCAGGACCATCTTCAAGGAAGGGGGGGGGGTTCCCCAAACACTGTGGCAGAGAAGTATGGAGAGGTGACAGGGATGAAGCAGGAGTCAAGAGCCAGGACCCCCATCAGGTGAGACCCCTCACCTCCAGAGTGGTATGGATGACCTTCTCCACTGAGGAGAAGTAGGCATCCCATAGAAACTGGGTCTGCTGACGCAGGGCGAGGACCCGTGCAGGGGACATCTCCTGGAGGGCAGCCAGGACCTGGAGCAGAGAGGGAGAAAAGTGCCAGGTAATAGAGCAATTTTGAGCCCAGGAGGTCGACGCTGCAGTGAGCCATATTCGTGCCACTGCACTCCAGCCTGAGCAACAGAGCAAGATCCTATCTCAAAAAAAAAAAAAAAAAAAAGAAGCATTCAGGGGTCACACAGAGTTGGGTCTGAATGCCACTTGGTAACCACGTGACTGTGGTTGAGCTATTTAACCTGAGTATTTGCTCATTAATTGCTTAGTACATTGTAGAGGCTCAATTAAAAAAATGGTAATTACTATTAACCCCCTCTGCCATTCTCAGGGGATTCAAGGCAGGTCACACATATATTTTTCAGAGCTGGACAAAATTAGTTTCATCAGATGGAAAAGTCGCCATGCGTTTTGCTTTCCCACTCCAGTCCCCATGGAGGCGCTCTGAGTTTGAATTTTTTTGTAGCCTTCCCCTAAATTGGTATTTAAGCAGTCACAGGCCATTGGAGCTGGGCCCATGGGGATTGTCTGGTCTAGCTCATCCTATTGTAGAGATGATAAAACTGAGGCTGGAAGAGGATCAGGACTTGCTCTCAGAACCCTTAGGAATCTCTAGCTCCATCAGATCCTCTGGGAGCCCCAGAGGGGAGACTTGGTGCTAGGAGAAATTCACCAGTATCCATAGAAGGCAGATAGGAATGAGGACTGAGGCCAGCCTCGATCCAGGATTCTAGGTCCCTCCCCTGTCCTGGGTCCAGTTCCCACCCTGTGGGCAGGGCTCTGAGCTACCTGAAGTGGGAGCCTCTCATCAGCTACGATGGCTGCCTTGGTCCAGTCGATGACCTCGGAGAAGGGCAGCTCCCAGCGGGGGCTGAGAAGCACTGGGATGCAGCCGGCCTGGGGGGCGGGGAGGTCACTGGGGAGCCCAGCCCCACCCTGCACATACTCACCCCCCGCCCAGTTCCAAGTCAGTAGCTGCTGCTGTTGGGGGCAAGGGGCAAAGAGGACAGGAACATGGGATTTTTCAGGGAGGGGAGGTTATGGTTGTTCTGCAGAGGGTGCAGTGAATGGGGACACAGGCATGCCTGAGTCCAGGAGTAAAGGAGCAGGCAGCTTACTGCCCCTTCTCATTGGCCTGGACCCAGAGTACCCTGCCAGCTCATGAGTGCTGGGGGACAGAGGATGGGTGATGCTCAAATTGGGGTTGTACCTGCAGGGCTTGGAGGAAGCGCGAGGCAGCCTCGGGACGGTGGCCAGAGATGAGGCAGAAGGTGGCATTGGGCAGCGTCTCCTGGCGCTGGGTCCTAAAGAGGCACATGGGGAGGTCCCACCACACATGAGCCTGGACAGTGACCTTCGCCCCCTGGGCTCCCTCAATGGGAGAACCCCACACCCCTGCACCCCACACCCACACTCCCAAATGTGTAAACCCACTCATGCATATGCACAGCCGCACACTGACGCACTAACACAAACACAAGCATCACACCAGCCACGCATCTGTGGTTGGACTAGGAGGCAGGAGCCCTGCATTCTAGCTCTGCCTCTGCCCTCAGTGGCCTTAGACACCTCCCTTGCCTTTCTCTGGCCTCAGTTTCCTCATCTGTAAAATGGGAGGCAGCGGACGCTGATGTTTCCGAGGCCCTGCCTGACTTAGACATGCACGTCTGCCCTCCCCCACTCGGCCACAGGCAGACTTTCAGCACCCCTTGCCTGCGTGGCCTCTGAGCCCAGCCCTCCCCGATGCTAAAAGCCAGGCCCGTGAAAGGCTCCTCTGTCATGAGGTGGGCTGGGCCCCCAGCCTGGAACCACACAGGAAACTGCTGCCCAGAGGTCCCCTGGCCCAGAGGACAGGCTCCCTCTGTTCCTCCCACCTACCCCCTCCACCACCCTAGCCCAGGGCCACACTCAGGCTGTGTGTGCCTGTGGGGGAGGGCAGGAGTCCCAGCCTCCTCAGAGCCAGCCTGGCAATTGTCCACCCAGGGGACCATTGCCTGCAACCCAGCCAGGGGAGGGATAAAGGGAGGGACCAGGACACAGGCCTGCTCAGTGTGGGACTCATGACTAGGGCCCAGAGGGTACTAGGACCCTCCTCAGTTACAGCCTGTTTGGCTCTGAGCCTGAACCTCCAAGAAGCAGACCTGGGAGTACTTAGGCAGCCTCGGGGCCATGCCCCATTGAACAGATGGGGAAACTGAGGCCCAGAGAGACCCAAGGACTGGCTCAGGGTCACAGATAGGGTTGAGTGGAGCTGGGACTAGAGCAGAGATTTGCCAGCTCCTGACCCTGAGTTATCTGAACCACCCCAGAGCTGCTGCTTTAGGGGTCTTCCAGGGGACCCCAGCCTTCTTTGTCCTCCCTCCATGCTTAAGTGTCCACCAGGCCCTCCTTGGAAGAAGCCACAAGTAAGCATCAGGACACCCTTCACCTCATGAAAAGCCACAGCAGAAGCCAACCAGGTACAGCCCCCTTCACCCTTAAGTCAACCTCTAATGAATTGAAAACCTCTAGGTTAAGGCTGAATCAACTGCACCACTGAGCCTTAACCTCCCTTGATCCTCTGTGCCTTTAAGATCCCTTCTCCCTCACGTTGGAGGGCCCCTCCCTGCCTTGTCAGCCTGAGGAAGTCCTCCTACTCATCTTTTTCTTCTGAGACAAGCTCTTGCTCTGTCACCCAGCCTGGAGTGCAGTGGTGCCATCACAGCTCACTGCAGCCTCAACTTCCCAGGATCAAGCAATTCTCCTGCCTCAGCCTCTGGAGTAGCTGGGACTACAGGCACGTGCTGGCTTTTTTTTTTTTTTTTTTTAGAGATGGGGTCTCTCTGTGTTGCCCAGGCTGTCTCAAACTCCTGGCCTCAAGTGATCCTCCTGCCTCAGTCTCCCAAAGTGTTGAGATTACAGACATGAGCCACCACACCTGGCCTTCTTCTACGCTGTCTTAATGTCTAAGCTGAAACATCACCTCCTCTGGGAAACCCTCCTTGATCTCTCCAGAGATGGCTTTCTCTACTCCCACCTCCCAGTGGACTGCAGTAGTAATGATCCAAGCTAACCTATATTGAGTATGTACTTTGATCCAGGTACTGTTCTAAGTGCTTTACAGGTATTAACTCAGTTCATTCTCACAGCACCTCTATGAGATAGGAGGGGAGGTATGCACTGTTATTATCTCATTTTACAGATGAGAAAACTGAAGCCCAAAGAGGTCACACAGCTCTTGAGTAGAGGAGCCAGGGAGGCAGCCGGTGCAGCCTCTCTCTGCTTAACAATGTGTGTCAAACAATTGACTTGCCTGTCTCTCTTACAAGGCTGAGCTCCTTGAGGATGGGGCTGTACCTCCCTCATCTCAGTATCCCTAGGGCCTAGCAGAGTGCTTGGTGGAGAATGGGAGCTCAGTGGGTGCTGCCGAATGCTCAGTGAGACACTAGGGAATAGATCTGGGACCAAGAGACCAGGTATCTGGGAGGTCAATTTCAGCAGAAATTCTAGTGATGGAGCTGGTTGAGCGTGCAGCCAGTGGGTGGTCTTTGGAGGTGGTGAGTTCCCCATCAGTAAAGGGAAATAAGTAGAGACTGGATGAGCACCTTTGGCGGGGAACAGGGAATGTGTTACAGAGGAAACTTGTGCATCTATGTGGTGACCACTGAAGAAGTCTTAGGCTTCTGTGACCATGTAAGGTACCTGCCATAGACTCAGGGCCTCAGTGCCCAAGGGTGGTCAGCGTGGCTGTGCCCATGGCCTCAGTGCTCTGCTGGGGCCTGGCCATAGGTAGGGCTGCATTGTGACTTCCATGTGCCCTACTAGGCACTTTGGCCTTCACAGTCTCTCCTGCCATAAAAAAAGAATATAGTTGATAACTGTGTTGGTATAAAAACAAGCAATATTATATATTAAAACATTTTCTGCTGGGCGCCGTGGCTCATGCCTGTAATCTCAGCACTTTGGGAGGCCGAGGCAGGCAGATCATTTGAAGTCAGGAGTTTGAGACCAGCCTGACCAACATGGTGAAACCCCATCTCTACTAAAAATACAAAAATTAGCTGGGTGTAGTGGTGCGTGCCTGTAATCCCAGCTACTTGGGAGGCTGAGGCAGGGGAATCGCTTGAACCCAGGAAGTGGAGGTCGCAGTGAGCCAAGATTGTGCCATTGCACTCCAGCCTGGGTGACAGAGAAAGACTTTGTCTCAAAAAAAAAAAAAATTTTTTTCTTCTACCTGAAAGTTCATTTTTAATTCTGCCTTTTTTTTTTTTTTTTGAAACAGAGTCTCTCTCACTCTGCTGCCCAGGCTGGAGTGCAGTGGCATGATCCCAGCTCACTCTAGCCTTGACACCCTGGGCTCAAGCGATCCTCTCACTTCAGCCTCCCAAGTAGCTGGGACTACAGGCTTGCACCACCACACCCAGCTAATGTTTGTAATTCTTGTAGAGACAGGGTCTCACCATGTTGCCTAAGCTCAGGCGATCCACCCGCCTCAGCCTCCCAAAGTGCTGGGATCACAGGTGTAAGCCACTATGCCCAGCCCTGATTTTCAAAAAATGAAAATATTTTCATGAGCCTATAAAAGTATCATGGGCCCTAGGTACTGACTGTGCCCCTTGTTCCCAATGGATACAGCCTGGGGGACTTTGAAGCATGCCTCAAATTTATGTTAAAAAATGGGGGAGAATATACATATTGCTTGTACACACGCAGAGTTTCTCAGAAAAGACACGTAAGAAACTGGAAGCAGTGTTTGGCTCCAGGCAGGAAAACCGGGTGGCCGAGAGACAGGGATAGAAGGGAGGCTTTTCACTCTATGCCCTTTTGTGCCTTTGGAATTCTGTACCATGTGAATGAATTACCTATTCATAAAAATGAATAAATAACAATTTGAATGGGTGGAGATTTATTCCAAAGCAACAAGAGACCGTTCAACCAAGGTGGAAAAACATGGGCTTTGGAGCCAGAAGTACAGGGTTGAATCCCAACTCCACTGCTTCCAAGCGCCTGATTAGAAAAGTGAGGGGCTCATGGAGAAGAGGGAACCTTGTCACCCTGGGCTATTCCACCTCTCTGGGCCTCAGTTTTCCATACCCTGAAATGGAGATAATAATACCTCCCTTGAAGGGTGCATGACAGGATCAGCAGTGACTTAAGTAAAGTGCCTGGCACAGCACCTGGCCCAAGCCAGGCACTCCTCAAATGTAGCCTCCTCCTCTCCCCACTCTCGCCCGGCTGAGTGAATGTGGGGAGGTGGCAGGGACTGTGAATGGCCTCTTTCTCTGGCCAGGACTTGTTTATTCAGGCTATCTCTCTCACTCTGTCCCTAGGCTGTCTGGCCCAGGCAGCTGCCCGGCACTTCGGAGAAACTGAGGCTCAAACCACTCCAGAGATGACAAGTCCTGTCACCTTCAGGGAGGCGGAGGCCAAAGACAAAACTTGAAGGTCAGAGTCCAAGGCTGCCAAGCTTCGCCCCTGGGAAATAAAACTTATCAAAAATGCTACTCAGAGGGTGACCCACGCTAATTAGAAAACCGTGGCCGGCTCTGGCCAATTTCAGATCCATTAGTAAACATTTAATGAGCACCTACCTGCTGTGTGCAGCTCCCTAACTTCCAGTTTCTCAAAGAAGTTCAGACTGAAATCACTTTCAGGTTCATCAATAATGAACTGTGCTTAGCGGTAACTAAAGTCAGCTGAAAAAAGAACTTCCTGCAAGCAAGAGTACCTGAGTGCCTCATCAGAAAAGTGAGGGAGGGCATGGCAAAGGGAGAGCCTTGTCGCTCAAAGTGAGCTTCTGCCTGAGCGCTGAGCTGCAGGGGCTTGGGGGAGATCCCTGACTTTTCAGGCTCCCACCTTGGAGACCACTAGGGATAGGTCCCAGCAAAAGGACCCTGGGGCTGACCGGGACAAGTCCATTCTTACTCCTGGCTGTGAGGGCTCCCTGGAGGCCTCCATGTACCTTCAGGAAGTGGAAGGATCCCATTCCCACGAGAGCCCTTTGGCCGAGAGAAGTCCCGGGAGCCCCAAGCAGAGGCAAGAATTCCTGGGAGGGAGTGGAGCTCAGAATAGTTGATGTTGTTGGAGCAGAGAATAGGGAGAGAGACCTGAGGGAGGAGCAAAAGGAGGATACCAGAGTGACAGTTCCCGACTCAGGTAGGCCCTGGGAGATGGTGGGATACAGAAGGAACCCTCTGCCACCGGGGCCCTGGACAACCTCAGAGGGACTCCCATTCTTGCCTGCCCAGCTAGCCTTTAGAGGCTGCTGGCCTGCTGGGGACACAGAGGGTTAGAGTGCTTAGGGGATAACTATCACCTGAGGCGCATCACCCCCAACTAGCCCAGGCGGAAAGAGTTTCTGTACAAGCTCACCACATCCCACAGGCCCCCAGTCCCTTATATATGTCAAGGGCCTCTCACTGGCAGGAAATTCTTTAGATCTGACCTGCGTCATATTTGCTATAACCAAAGGCTGTTTCTTTGAGAGGTTAATCCCCAAAATTAGACACGGGAGCAGCTTCCAGCTGTGACTGTGAGGCCCTTCTGAGGCATTTGATGAGGTTGATCATAAACTTTTACTTAAAACTCAGAATTCTCATACTGAAGGCTTTGGAGATAGGCAATTCTGGATCAAAATACTGGCTCTTTCCGGCTGGGTGGCCTGAGAAAAATTACTTAACCTGTCTGAGCTTTCGTGCCTGGTACACAAACACTTAAATGCTAACAACTAGCATATTTTATTATAATCATTATTTATATAAGTGCTTAGCACAGAGTAAGCACTATACAACTGTATGTGGGGAAAAAAAATATTAGGGTAGGAGGTTTGGAATGAGTCGTGTTTTATGTTTTGAAAGATCCCCAGGGGAGAATTCCAAAACCTACCTTAGACAACCCTTGCTTCAAGTCCCCATCTTAATGGAAGTGCTCTCTGCCATCTAACCTGGCTCCCTCCTGCTGCTGCAGCTGAGGCCTAAGTCTACCAGGACTACCTGGTTCTCCCATCTCAGTCCTGCCTTCTACCCTCGTTTTTGGGCTTGCGTCTATTCCAGCCCCCTCCCATCCAGCCCCCAAGGCAAAAGGTTCACTTACTGCCCAGGTCCAGGGTCTTGCTCACAGCGCCCATCCCAGGGGCAGGCAGAGGAGCCAGTGTCTGCTGTGCGCCACCCACCCCTCTCCTCTTCCAGGGCTAGCAGGGCTACCCCGGGCTGGGGGCTGTGTTGCCGCAGCTGGCCAGGAGCCCCACCTCGCAACGGGTGGGCTTCAGGGAGAAAAGGGAGGGCCACATCAAAGCCGGGCCGGAAGGAGTCCACCGTGGGGCTGGCCTCAGCCACCATAGCCTGTCCCAGCTGGAAGGTCCTGGGGCAGGGAGCCGGGTGGAGACGGAGGACCAGATGGTTCCTGCCCCTGTTCCATTGCAGAGGCATTGAGCTGCACTCTCCAGTCTGGGCGTCCAGGCTGAGGAGGAGGAGGAGGCAGGCCCCAGCAGGGCTGAATGTGTAGAAGCGAGAGCCCTCAATGGAAGCCAGGATCCTGCGATGAGTCTCAGAGATGGTTCCAACCGCTGGGTACACGAATACCTTAAGGCCATCGCCCCTGCACTTTGAGGTATCAAAGCAAGATTCCCAGTTGCAGCTGCCACCATGAGGGGCTTGAGGAGGTGAAACGGCATCTTCTGGGAGCTCTCCAGGCTGGGAGAAGCTCTGCAGGAGCTCTGCATCCAGCCAGCGGGGCCAGCCTTGGGAAGCCCCGGGCCGAGGTCTGGGAGGCAATGCCAGGCGGAGAAGGGAGAAGCCTCCCAGCAGGACAAGCAGGAGCCAGGAGGCTGACAGTGCCAGCCACAGGGACTTTCTTCTCCTCCACGACTGCATGTGGCCACCCACAGTCAGGGCTAGGGAAGCTGGGAGGCCTCTGCCAGCAAGCAGGAAGAGCAGGGCCTGGGGCGGGAGACCAGAGCTGGGACCGACCTGCTAGTCCTGTGCTGTCATTGTACAGATGGGAAGACTGAGGCCCATCGAGACCAGGCCGCCTGTCTAAGGTCAGATAGTGAGTCACCAGCCAGGCAGGAGGAGGCCAGGTGGGACCCAGCTTGCTGGCCTGGCCCCCCTGCTCTCAGGACTCTGCCTTCTCGGCCTTTGGACAACCAAGCCAGCCTTTTCCCTCCCAGCAGGGACCCCTGCCCCTGGGCACTGCTCTGGCTGACGCAACCCCTGTCCAGAATGCAGGGCCGTGTCCCCCTGCCCTCCTGGCTGCACCCCTTGACCTTGCCCTCAACTGAGAGGAGGGCTGTCTGCCAGGCCATGGGGACCAGTCAGAGCTCCCACAGGAGGCGGCTTGGCCAGGGACAGGCTGGAGGGAGCTGGGCTGGTCTTCCCACTCCTCCCCTTGCCTGAGCAGCCCTGGCTGCCCCTGTGCCCGCTGGCAGACGCTTCTGGGCTGTGGCCCCTGTGGCTGGAGCTAAAATTAGACCCTGCATCCCATGTGGATCATCGGCGTCAGCTGAGGTCACAGCCTGGGTGCAGCCGGTGTCCCCCTGCCTTGGAGGGCCAGGAGGGCTCGGGGTCCTGATCCTTATCCACTCTGCCGCTGCACCAGCTCAGGAAGTGCAGCCCCTCTTCCCCGCAGCCCAGCAGCTGCCTTGCACCATCTGGCTTGGAGCTATCACAGTGCAGAGGCCAGGGCCGCTGTGCCAAGCCCCCCAAACCCTATGGTATCTCCTCCCATCCCTCTCCAGTCGGCAACTGGCCCATCCTGATCTCTTTCCTTAGCAGCAGCCTGGCTCCTCCCCTCCCAGCCCTGATTCGCTCCTGGCTGGGAGGCAGGGTCTCCATTTAACCCCTTCCAAACCAGTTTCCTCAATTGCTAATCCAACCAGCAAGTACTGCAACTCACAGCTGGCCATGAGTTATCACAGCCTCTGTCTCTCAGTCCTCCAGCCACCCTCCAAGGCAGAGATTTACCTGTCATTTCTTACAGATGAGGAAAGCTCAGAGAGGGGATGAACTCTTCCTAAGGTGACCCAGCTAAGAAGTGGCAGGGTGGGGATTTCAATCCTGAGCTCCTGGTCGTTGGTCACCCCAGCTGTGGGCCCTGTGGCTGGAGAAAAACTAGACCCTGCACCTGCTGTGGGCCATCAGAGTCAGTGGAGGTCAGAGCCTGAGTGTGAGGAATCTCTGAATCGGCACATGAGAAGGTCAACAGGTGAGACAAGTGAGGAGTTAAGGGGCGGGGGTGGAGGAATTGGGTAAGGTGCCCCCAACTGTCCCCAGGATTGGTCTCTCCTCCTTCAGCAGCCCCACCCCCAATCTCCTCCAATTCCCAGCCTTTTGCTCCAGTCCTTATGGAAAGTTCTTCCTGCACTTGACTCTTCCATAGTCCAGGCCCCATGGAGGGATTTCCCCGGTCAGTGCCCTGTGAGGGGAGTCAGGAGTGGGTGATGTCAGCCACTGAGGAATCTCTGGGGTGACGGGGGAGACACACTCTGGCCATGAGGAGTTCTGGGCTGATGAGGGAAGGCACAGGGAGTGGACAGACTTGAGTGGGTTCTGCCTCTTCCCCTGACTGCCTCGGGGGTGTTGGGCCTCTGTCCCCTTATCTCTGGGATGGGCATAATGTCAGCCAGGAATGGGTTGCCAGGTTGACGCAGGCCTGTCCCCTGAGGTCCCTCAACAAGTGGTGGCCTCCTTTCCCCTGCGTGCCTCCCCTTGATCTTGGAGGGCTGCTGATCAGACCAGGGAGCCACCGTGGGATGTTTTGCCCTCAGTGAGCAGCCAGTGTGAGAGTCCTAAAAATGGCCCACAAAGGGGACACTTGCCTCTTGGCACTAATGGCTCAGCCACTCGGTGATGAACTGCAGTTCCTGCATAACTCAGTCCTCCCACACTGAGAGGCATCCACAAAGGCCACTGGCTGCTTCGCACGCCCCCCCTTTCACTGTGCCCAGCCAACTCCTCATCCTGCAGGAGTCAGCTGAAAGCTCCCTCCCCACAAGAAGCTTCTCCAATGCTCCGCAGGCTGGGTTAGAGCCCCCGTCTAGGTCCTCATGTCATTCCTTCATCCCTCTATCCCCATACACAGTCATCCATTCATCTAACAAACACTTATGAGTGTTGAATATGGGCCAGGTTCTGAGCTAGGCCAGGAACACAACCCTGAGTAAGAGTAATCATAGCTGACACTCGTATTGCACTTACAGCGTGCCAAGCATCCCTCTTTTGTATCAGCTTGTTTCATCCTTTCCCCAACCCTAGGAGGGAGAAACTGTGATGATCCACATTTTACAGTTGGGAAAACTGAGGCCGAGGGAGCTTAAGTAATTTGCCTGAATTCTCACGGCTTAGCCAGGACTTGGACCCAGGTAGTGTGCTCCTATATCCGCTGCACCATTCCAGCTCCCAACAGGGAGGGAGACAGACGCGTCCCCACCCTCCAGAGCTCGCTGTCCTGGAGAAGACAATTATAGAACTAGGCAATTGCAGGCAATTACAGAATGAGGGGAGGGGACCCTGAGAGTACACAGAGGGGCTGCCTAGCCCAGGGGGCCAGAGAAGGCTTCCGAGGAAGTGATACCTACCCTAAGACCTGAAAGACAGCAATGTGGTTTTTAGAAAAATCGCTGTGGCTGTCTGTGTGGGATCAGACAGGAAATGGCAGGACTGGAGGCAGGGACAGCTTTTTGACTGGTCTGTCACCCCACAAGTCTCTCATTCATTCAACAGCTATTTACTGAACCCCTATTGTGGGGCCAGGCAGGTCTTAAGGGCAGTGAGCAAAGCAGAAAAAATCTTGCCCTCCTGGAACTTACCCTCCAGGGAGGGGAAATAGGCAAGAAACAAAATGAATAAATATCTCATACTATTTGACAATAACTGCTGGGGAGATGGGATGGGTTGCAATGTTAGACAGAAATACGGGAGGCCTCATAAAAAAGCTGGCATTTGGGAGGCTGAGGCAGGCGGATTACAAGGTCAGGAGATTGAGACCGTCCTGGCTAACACGGTGAAACCCCGTCTCTACTAAAAATACAAAAAATTAGCCGGGCGTGGTTGCAGGCGCCTGTAGTCCCAGCTACTCGGGAGGCTGAGGCAGGAGAATGGCCTGAACCCGGGAGGCAGAGCTTGCAGTGAGCCGAGATCGTGCCACTGCACTCCAGCCTGGGGGACAGAGCGAAACTCCATCTCAAAAAAAAAAAAAAGCTGGCATTTGTGGCCTGGTGCAGTGGCTCACATCTGTCATCTCAGCAATTTGGGAGGCCAAAGTGTGCAGATCACTTGAGGCCAAGAGTTCGAGACCAGCCTGGCCAACAAAGCAAGACCCCATCTCTACTAAAAATACAAAAACTAGCCCGGCGTGGTGGCGCACGCCTGTAATCCCAGCTACTTGGGAGGTTGAGACATGAGAATTGCTTGAAGCTGGGAGGTGGAGATTGCAGTGAGCCGAGATTACGCCACTACACTCCAGCCTGGGTGACAGAGCGAGTCTGCCTCAAAAAACAAAACAAAACAAAACAAAAAAAACTCTGGCATTTGTGTAAATTTCTGAGAAAGTGAGGGAGTGAGTGAAGAAGTATATTTCTAGGGGAAAATCGCTCCAGGCAAGAGGAACAGCCGGGCCACAGGTTCTGAGGCAGGAGTGTGCCTGCCACGTGATTGGTACGCTCTGACCTTGTTTTCACAGCACGACTCAGGCTGCAGGGAAGAGGCCGGCTGTAGGGTCAGGGACAGCAGCAGGGAGCCCTGCTGGGCCAGGCTGTAGTGCAAGTGAGCCACTGCGGTGGCTGGGACCAGGATGGCAGGGGTGGGATGAATAGAAGTAGTTGGATTCTGGGTATATTTTAAGCCAGGGCAAATTGACAGATTTGCTGATAGATTAGATGTGAGGTCCGGCCTGCACCACAGACAGGGTGGAGTTGTCATTAACTGAGATGGGGAAAACTGAGGGGAACAGTTTTAGGGAAGAAGATCAGAAGTCTGGTTCTCATATATCCTTCTTATCCCCAGCAATAATAAAATAAATGTCCAGGTTGGGCACAGTGGTTCACACCTGTGATCCTAGCATTTTGGGAGGCTTAGGCAGGAGGATCCCTTGAGCCCAAGAGTTTGAGACCAGCCTGGGCAACATAGCGAGTCTTTGTCTCTACAAAAAAAAAATTTTTTTTAACTGGAGCTGGTGGCTCATGCCTGTAATCCCAGCTGCTCGGGAGGATGAGGTAGGAGGATTGCTTGATCCCAGGAATTTTAGGCTGTAATGAGCTATGGGTGCCACTGCATTCTAGCCTGGGCACAAGAGGAAGACCCCATCTTTAAAAATATAAAACAAATATAAATAAATAAATAAGCCAGGCATGATGGCATGCACCTGTAGTCCCAGCTACTCAGGTAGCTAAGGTTGGAAGGTCAGCGGGAGGATCTCTTGAGCCCAGGAGTTTGAGATCAGCCTAGGCAACATAGCAAGTCTGTCTTTATTTATTTATTTTTTTAAAGATATATGTATCCAACAAATACTTGTTGAATGAGTGAAGGAATGGAGGGACGGACAAAGTTGAGATAGCTAGGAAGCCAAGCCCAGCTGGTTTGGGGTTTGGAGGAATACCTAATCCCGTTCTATTAATAGCTCTATGTGTCTCCCACCCCAGCCCTGGGGATGCTGGCTGGCTCCTGCCCATGCCCATATTTGTGCACACACATAAGCCTTCTCCTACCTTCATCCCTGTGGAGGAGGCTCTCAGGCCAGCTGGAATCTGGGCTTGTCTAGCCTGCGATTCACGTGGTTGCCCTGGGGCTTGGATGGAGGAAGAGAAGGCCAGGGCATCCTGGCAGGCAGGACTGAGGTCAGGGATCTGCCAGGGGCCTCCGTCGGGCTTTTCAGTGCTCAACAAAGCCACCAGGAGCCTCCATCCTATACCTGGGCTCTGATCAGTGGGACAGAAATGATCACTTTGGGCGACGGGAATGAGCCAGAGCAGGAAGGAGAGGACAGCACTGAGTGGGAGGAGAGGCCCTGGCCTCAGGTGCAATGAAGGAGGCTTCCTGGAGGAGGCAGAGGACTTGTTTCTTACAGGACAGGATTGAAGCAGGCCTTTGTGTGAATTTGAGGACACAGATGCCTCTGGAGGCATCGCAGAGCTCTGAGCACTGCAGCGTGTGTCATAGCTGCGGTGGTGTCACAGCTGCCTGGGGGCTGCCTGGGCATGGGGGTGCTTCCTGCCTGAAGCACCAGGTGTCATATTGGCTAGGATGCCCAGGCAGAAAATGGGGGCTAACAATACCGTGTTTCACCTGAAGTGTTTCCTCTCTGCACCCTGCTTGGCCTTCCTTCCCTCCCTCCCGCTTCAGGCTGGGCCTGAAATCTGCAGAAGGAATGGCCCTGGCCCTCAGAGGAAGGGACCCAGCACTATAGAATGCTGTGGTTAAGAGCACAGCTCAAGTGCTCTTAACAAGCCGTGTGTTCCTGTGAAGTTACTTCACCTCTCTGTGCTTCTGTTTCCTATCAGTAAAATGGGGATGCTAATAATAGCTCCTTCCCTAAAGGCTTACTGGGAAGGAGATTAAAGAAATGAGGTAGTGAGTGTGCAGCATTCAGCATACCACGCCTGGTGTGGAGCAGGCGCCTAGCAAATGGCATCCTTCTGTCCCTCCTCAGACCCAGGGAGTTGAGGTGACTTGCCCAAGGAGCGCCAAGGTATCCATCTGGGTGGATTGGGACCAAGACTTGGGCTTCCCCCTCCCTGTTTCTCTTGCTGCATCTCCACCTCCATTCAGGAAGAAAGAAGATACTTGGACTCCAGGAAATGATCACCGTGGAAACCCATCTGCTGCTTCTTGTCTACGGCTGTTTGTTCCTCCAGCTCTGGGCTGCCTGAGTGTCTCACAGCAGAATTAGCAAGTGCGGAGGCTGAAGGTTTCTAGAGGCTCTGAGGTCACAGCTCTCGCTTGAGTGCACATAACTATAAGCCATGGTGAGTCCCAAGACTCTGCAATATCAGTCAACTCCAGCAGACACTTCAGTCTGGCCCTGTAGACAACCCCCTAACCCCCGCCAGGATGCAGAGCAGTTCCTGGACCCCACAGGGTGCAGGGCCAGGCAAGCCATCCAGGGGACCTGGGGACGGGGGTTGGAGAAAGTAGGTTCTAGCCTCTGCTCCTCTTCTAGGCGTGGCTATGTGATCTTGGACAAGTCACACCCTTTTCCTGGGCCTTCATTTTCTTTTTTATTTATTTTTTAAATTTATTTTTCATTTTAAAATTTGTTTTAGAAACTGGGTCCTACTCTGTCACCCAGGCTGGAGCGCAGAGGTACAATCACAGCTCACAGCAGCCTCAAACTCCTGGGCTCAAGTGATCCTCTCACCTCGGCCTCTTATACCGGGACTATGGATGTGAGCCACCAGAACTGGTCCCGGGTTTTTCTTTTCTTTCTTTTTTTTTTTTTTTTTTTGAGACAAAGTCTCACTGTGTCGCCCAGGCTGGGGTGCAGTGGCGCGATCTCCACTCACTGCAACCTCTGCCTCCCAGGTTCAAATGATTCTCCCACCTCAGCCTCCTGAGTGGCTGGGATTACAGGCAACCACCACCATGCCTGGCTAATTTTTGTATTTTTAATAGAGACAGGGTTTTGCCATGTTGACCCGGCTGGTCTTGAACTCTCAACCTCAGGTGATCTACCCACCTCAGCCTCCCAAAGTGCTGGGATTACAGGCATGAGCCACCGCACCCAGCCTTGGGCTTTCATTTTCTTATCATCAACCTGAAGTGGTAGCAGAACTAGGCTTTTCAGAGCAAAAAGATTTGAAATTCTTACTCAGAAGTAATCCTGACAGAGCTTGGAAGGTCAATCCTTCCATTTCCCATCCTGTCAACACCACTTTGTTAAGGAAAATTTTGTAAAGCTTGGAAGTGAAGCAATGAGGAGCCTGTGTGGCCTTAATCCTCCCACTGGGGCATTGCGTAACAAGCCCTCAAGTGTTGTAGGACTCCCTAAAGGGAAGTAACTTTGTTTGACCTTTTTTTTTTTGGAGACAGGGTCTCGCTCTGTCACCCAGGCTGGAGTGCAGTTGTGTGATCATGGCTCACTGCAGCCTTGACCTCCCAGGCTCAAGTGATCCTCCCAACTCAACTTCCTGAGTAGCCAGGACTACAGGCCCACACCACCACACCTGGCTAATTTTTTTTTCTTTTTTAGAGATGAATTCTTTGTTGCCCAGGCTGGTCTCTAACACCTGGGCCCAAGCCATACTCCTGCCTCACCCTCCCAAAGTGTTGGGATTACAGGCATGAGCCACTGTGCCTGGCCTTGTTTGACTTTTTACTCCCTATGTACAAACTTTTTTCATTTTGTTTTGTTTTGTTTTGTTTTTGTTTTAGATGGAGTTTTGCTCTTGTCGCACAGGCTGGAGTGCAATGGCGCGATCTCGGCTCACTGCAACCTCTGCCTCCCAGATTCAAGCAATTCTCCTGCCTCAGCCTCCCAAGTAGCTGAGATTACAGGTGCCCACCATTACACCCGGCTAATTTTTGTATTTTTAGTAGAGACGGGGTTTCAACACATTGGCCAGGCTGGTCTTCAACTCCTGACCCCAAGTGATCCACCCACCTCGGCCTCCCAAATGCTGGGAATACAGGCGTCAGCCACCGCGCCCAGCCTGGCCCAAACATTTAATAAGTCTGAGAACTATGGTGCTAATGTATAGAAAACAGATTTTTGTCCAATAGTGATACAAATGACTTCTGACCAATAGGGATCACCCCTAAAGGTTCTAGTTCATGCACTATAGAGCATTCCCCAATTTGGAATCTAACTAGCAATCTTGTTCTGGCATTCCCTGTGCTTCCTCAACTCCCATCAGTGGGTTCTCTGAACCAGCTCTGTCATCCTGAGAGTTGCCTCATGAATAAGTGAAACAACAGAGACATGTGCTTACTGTGTATTTGTATGATTTTTTTTTTTTTTTTACATTTAGAGGATTATAATTTGGGAGCTCACTGAGGCTCATTTTCCTCTTCTGTAAAATAGGGAATTCAAGGGAGAAGTTGAATGTGTGTCAGGCACTACTGAGCTCTTTAGATCCAGAATTTCATTTAAGCCTCACAAGAAAACTGCCAGGGCAGATGGCTATTCCCCTGATTTTACAGATGAGGTTCAGAGAGGTGAAGTGATTGCCCCAAGGCCACACAGCCAGTGAGTAACAGGCTGGATTTGAGCCACTGCATCACAGGAGGCTAATTCCCTCCTCACAGGCTTACGGTGGGACTCATTGGATGAGATAAGGGTGGAAAAGTGCTTAGCAAACTGTACAGGTAGATACACAACTGATCATTATAGTCAATCCGAGCCCACCTTGCCTTACCTTTCTCCTCATGCCACCTTGCCTAAGACCAAGTCTACCTCTAATTAATGTTGTCCCAGACCCATATGGACTTCCACTGGGATGGCACCAGTTTCAAGAGGCTACAGAAGAGAAATGAAGCCAGAAAATGAGACATAGGATTTATTTGAGGAGGCTTACATACAGGATGGTCCCATGGTGGCAAGCTGGATGGGAGAACCACAACCGCTTGCAAAAAAAATGCAGTTTATACAGTACCCTCGGCCAGGCACAGTGGCTCATGCCTGTGCCAGCATTTTGGGAGGCCGAGGTGGGTGGATCATGAGGTCAGGAGTTTGAGACCAGCCTGGCCAACATGGTGAAACCTCATCTCTACTAAAAATACAAAAATTAGCTGGGTGGGTGGCAGGCGCCTGTAATCCCAGCTACTCTGGAGGCTGAGGCAGGAGAATCATTTGAACCTGGGAGGCAGAGGTTGCAGTGAGCCGAGATGGTGCCATTATACTCCAGCCTGGGTGACAGGGCAAGACTCTGTCTCAAAACAAACATATATATATATATATATATGGCATCCCCACATAGCACCCTCCCTCAGCATCCTTCATGTGGCAGCTCTTGTTTCTTCAGTTATTGCTGTCAGGTGCATCTACCATACACCAGCCACCCCTAAACACCACCCAGGGCCTCTCCCTCTGGGAGGTGGGTCTCTGCTTCCTCTAGAGTGAGTTTCTGTTATCCAGAGAAAGCCAGGGGGGATTAAGGTGACCAGGCATCCCTGGTCCATCCCCTCACACACAGGACCTTGTTCATACCTCAAGCTGCAGGTTGAGCTTTTAGTCCTGGCCACCTCTTTGGGGGCTGTATTCCTGGGACAGGGGTCTGGGGAACATCCCATATTCCTGGGACAGGGGTCTGGGGACAAGCCAAGTGAAGTAAATTTCAAACCCTGATTCTGAAGCCATTCTGTGCCATCCTCCTGAATGTCTCACCTGAATTGGACCTGTTTGAAGGCTACAGAAGCCGTGCCCAGCCTCCCTCAAGTTAGTTTCTGGACCCTTCTAGAGCAGCCCACGTCTGAACACCTCAGCTCTGGGTACCAAGGGGTTAATGCATGGAGCCAGCTTGGCAAATGTTTACCTAACAGGCAGGCTGCTGCCAACCCCAGGTAATTAACAGTCTGCTTTCCAAAGCCCAGACACGAAGATTTCTTTCTCCTCTCCTCCTTTCCCAGGGATGCCTCTTGGCAGAGTGAACACAGCTGTCTGTTGGCTCTTTGAGAAGATGCCCAGCAGAGGTGGGAGCTGAGGGCAGGGATCAGGCCTGGAGGGAAGCAGGCCCAGAGGTGGGCACCAAGGAGGAGATGGAGGGAGCTTTGTCCCATTTCTCTCTGAGTCTTGGCCCCATCTTGGAAACCTGGCCCCAGACTGCCATTCTTGAATATGTGATAATTACTGCTATAATTGGTGGAGCCCCTGCAAGGGGCTTACATACTTTGCCTCACTTAACTTTCACAACTACTAGAAGAGCGAGGCCCTCTTATCTCTGCTTTCAGATTAAGGAAGGGAGATGCAGGGTGATGAAATCACTTGTCCAGGCTGGGGGCAGTGGCTCACGCCTGTAATCCTGGCCCTTTGGGAGGCCAAGGCGGGTGAATCACGAGGTCAGGAGTTCGAGACCAGCCTGGCTAACATGGTGAAACCCTGTCTCTACTAAAAATACAAAAAATAATTAACCGGGCGTGGTGGCAGGCGCCTGTAATCCCAGCTACTCAGGAGGCTGAGGCAGGAGAATCGCTTGAACCCAGGAGGCGGAGGTTGCAGTGAGCAAAGATCACGCCACTGCATTCCAGCCTGGGTGACAAGAGTGAGACTCCATCTCAAAAAAAAAAGAAAGAAAGAAAGAAAGAAAGAAGTCACTTGTCTAGGGTCACCCAACCAGTGTGGGGTAAAGCCCATACTTGAACCACAGTCTACTTTCCCTTATGGAAGAAAAAGCAGTGGATTTGTTCAGTACCTACTATATACTGGACGCTATGTTGGACACTTTATGTTTACCTCTAATCCTGGAGGTGTCATTTCCTTAAATTGCTTTAATAAGCCATTAGCATCAGAAGAGTGAGATAGTCACTTGAGCCCAGGAGTTCAAGACCAACCTGGGCAACATAGTGAGACCCCCCCCCGCCCATTTCTTTTTCTCTCCTTTTTTTTTTTAGACGGAGTTTCTCTCTTGTTGCCCAGGCTAGAGTGCAATGGTGTGATCTCGGCTCACTGCAACCTCTGCCTCCCAGGTTCAAGCAATTCTCCTGCCTCAGCCTCTCGAGTAGCTGGGATTACAGGCATGCACCACCACGCTCAGCTAATTTTGTATTTTTAGTAGAGATGGGGTTTCTCCATGTTGAGGCTGGTCTCGAACTCCTGACCCTAAGTGATCCACCCGCCTTGGCCTCCCAAAGTGCTGGGATTACAGGCGTGAGCCACCACGCCCGGCCACAAGACGCCCCCTCATTTCTTAAAAAAAAAACAAAAACCTAGCCTGGCATGGTGGCACGTGCCTGTGGTCCCAGCTGCTTGAGGCTGAGGTGGCAGGATCACTTGAGCCCGGGAAGTTGAGGCTGCAGTCAGCTGTGATTGTACCCTTGCACTCCAGCATGAGTGACAGAGCTAAAAAAAAAAAAAAGAAGAGTGAGATAGTACAATTCATAAGTAGGGGAGGAAGCATAAATGTGCATCTCAGAAATAAGAATAGAATGAGCCTCAAGTTGCTTCTTGTAATCTGAAAGGCTCCTTGTTGGATGGTCATCAGCCTCATCTTCAAAGAAACCCTGAAACCAGCCTCGCTCCCACCTCCCCTGCCCTCACCCTAAGCTAAGCCGCCTTGCTCACCCGGGATCATTGCATTGGCTTCTGGTCCCTGCTTTCCTCTCGCCTCACTAAAGTACTTTCTCCTCCCAGCAGCCAGAGGATCTTGGTAAAATATAAGCCCACTCTCTCCTTGGCTTTGACACTGTATTAACCATTGTCTTTTTATTGCCTGTATTTTAATGCTCTGTCTCACTGGGGCCTGCCCTGGAAAGACTGCCCCTCCCAGAGCTAGCCAGTTCCTAGAGAGAGCAAGCCAAGGGCCCTTGAATATGCCTTTCAAGTGCAAAGCAACCAATCAAGAGCTCACACCCCATGCCACCTCCTCTACTGGGCTCTCACACTCAGGGCCACGATTCTCCGGCCCTCATCACCCCAGAGCCAGGTACCAGACTACTAGGGAAAGCCCCTATCCCCTGAGCTGACAGTGTTCAAACTAGAAAATGCTAAGCCTGCTTACCCTGCCTTGCCCGTTCCTTTCCAAGGAAGCTAGACAGAGTGGGAATGGGGTTTGGCTTCAGCTCACCCCCACTAGAGCATTCTTTCACACATTCTCACTGATCATAAAACCCATACCATTACCTCGCTGACACCATCCCCGCTAACGCCAAGGCTTTAGCCAAACAAAGAAAGTCGCCACTGCCGGGCACGGTGGCTCACGCCTGTAATCCCAGCACTTTGGGAGGCCGAGGTGGGAGGATCACGAGGTCAGGGGATCGAGACCATCCTGGCTAACATGGTGAAACCCCGTCTCTACTAAAAAAATTCAAAAAATTAGCCGGGCGTGGTGGCGGGCACCTATAGTCCCAGCTACGTGGGAGGCTGAGGCAGGAGAATGGCGTGAACCTGGGAGGCGGAGCTTGCAGTGAGCCGAGATCACGCCACTGCACTCCAGCCTGGGGCAACAGAACGAGACTCCGACTCAAAAAATAAAAATAAAAAAAGAAAGTCACCATTCTATATTGTAGAGTAACTGATTTACAGGTTTGTTGCTGCTGGTCAGACCACCACCAGATGGCCCATTACTCAAGAAAACCATCCAACCGGATGTGCTGACCTGCATCTCCTACCTCTCACATGCTTTGCCCAGCCCAGCCTGCATAACCTACCCACCATCATTTCCCATGCTTTGCCTAATAAAAAATCCCAGCCAGCTCTTTTCAGAGAGTCAGCCAGGGAATTCTCTCGCTCTCTTGTGCTGCCTCCCTTATGCTGAAGCATAAGCTCCAATGAAGTCTTGTCTGGTTAAACTCTTTTGGCCTCATGTCAATTTCTATTGCATTGGCAGCCCAACAACCTGTGGTTGGTATCAAAATCACACTAAAGGCTCTTGCCCACCCTTTCTCCCCTCTGCCACCTGACAGACCCTGGTGTTTCCTCATGTGTCTCCCATGCATAGCATGCCCCCTTTGGGATCTGTGAGTGTAACACACTTCTTTTTTTCTTTCTTTCTTTCTTTTTTTTTTTTTGAGACAGAGTCTGGCTCTGTCTCACCCAGGCTGGAGTGCAGTGGTGTGATCTCGGCTCACTGCAACCTCCGCCTCCCGGGTTCAAGTGATTCTCCTACCTCAGCCTCCTGAATAGCTAGGATTACAGGCGCCCACCACCATGCCCAGCAAATTTTTGTATTTTTAGTAGAGACGGAGTTTCACCATGTTGGCCAGGATGGTCTCAATCTCTTGACCTCGTGATCCACCCACCTCGGCCTCCCAAAGTGCTTGGATTATAGGTGCGAGCCACTGCGCCCTGCCACAAACTTCTTTTCAATAGTAGTCATCTCCTGATCTCCTGGCCTCACCATACCTAAACAATAATAAGCAATAATAATAATAATAATAATAATAATAATAATATTCATGCCTTCCATCATACTTAGAATAAAATCCAGACTTCTTTCCGCGGCCTAGAAGGCCCGCCAAGCGCTGGCCCCTCCCTCTCCTCCAGGCCCTCGCCTCTGCCCTCTCTTGCTCGGGGCTCCAGCCCCACTGCCTTCTTCCTGCCCTCACACCCAGCAGAGCCTCAGGGGCCTTCCTCTGCTGTTCCCTCTGCCTGGAATGTCTTCGCCCAGAGCTCAGCAGGGGTGGCCCCTTTCCCATGTCCAGGGCTCAGTTTATGGTCACCTTCTCAGCCAGGCCTTCCATGAACACTCACCATCAAGGAACAATAACAGCCAACACTTCCTGGATGTTTTCCATGGGCCAGACACTATTTTATGTGCTTTCTGTTTACTATTCACTCTTTGAATCCTCACAACCCTCTAAGGTAGATATTGTTATACTTTCTATTTTGCAGATGAGGAAACTGAGGCTTAGAGAGGTTAAATGACATGACCAAAGTGTCAACAGCTAACAGGCAGGAAAGCCAGGACTCAAATCCGGCAGCCTGTTTCCAGAGTCCACGCTTGGAACCACGGAGCTGTATTTCTTAACAAAGAGTAAGCATACAATAAATACTAGCATATTGTTGTTTTATCAGAGACTATGTTTCACCCACCAATTTTCTTTCTCTTTTTTTTTAAAAATAGTATCTTGACTGTAGGACCCTAAAAGCAGGAGCCTGATGACTTTTTATTTATTTATTAATTTTGAGACGGAGTTTCACTCTTGTCGCCCAGGCTGGGGTGCAGAGGCACAATCTTGGCTCACTGCAACCTCTACCTCCTGGGTTCAAGCGATTCTCCTGCCTCAGCCTCCCAAGTAGCTGGGATTATAGGCATGCACCACGACACTCAGATAATTTTGTATTTTTAGTAGAGATGGGGTTTCACCGTGTTGGCCAGGCTGCTCTCGAACTCCTGACCTCAGGTGATCAAGTCTCCTTGGCCTCCCAAAGTGCTGAGATTACAGGTATAAGCCACCACATGTGGCCAACATTATTTTTTATATTATTATTAGTATTAGTATTAGTATTAGTATTATTTTGAGACAGAATCTCACTCTGTTGCCCAGGCTGGAGTGCAGTGGCGCAATCTTGGCTCACTGCAACCTCCACCTCCCGAGTAACTGGGACTACAGGCGCTCACCACCATACCCAGCTAATTTTTGTATTTTTAGTAGAGATGGGGTTTTGCAATGTTGGTCAGAGTAGTCTTGAACTCCTGACCTCAGGTGATCTGCTCGCCTCGCCTCCCAAAATGCTGGGATTACAGGCGTGAGCCACCGCTCTCAGCCCCATTATTTTTTAATGTAGAGGCTGGGTCTCACTCTGTTGCCCAGGCTGGAGTACCATAGCTATTCATAGATGTGATCATAGCTCACTCATCCTTGACCTCCTGGGCTGAAGCGATCCTCCCACCTCAGCCTCTTGAGTAGCCAGGATTAGAGGCACGGGCTGCCACCCTCTCCCCAATTTTCTTTCATTGAGTTTGAATCCCTTCACACAAGTCATTCACTGTCTAGTTTGTCCCTCCTGCTCCCTATTGTCTTAGGCCAATTTAACTGACTTGGTTGAACCTTGAAGGCATTTATACCTCTTACTCAGCCCCTCATTCTTTTGTTGTTGTCGTTGTTGTTGTTGTTTTTGAGGCAGACTTTTGCTCTGTCACCAAGGCTGGAGTGCAATGGAGCAATCATGGCTCACTGCAGCCTCCACCTTCTGGGCTCAAGCGATCCTCCCCCCTCAGCTTCCTGAGTAGCTGGGACTGTAGGCACGCACCACCACACCTGGCTAATTTTTTTTTTTTTTTTTTTTTTTTCAGTTTTGTAGAGCCGGGCTTTGTGGCTCATGCCTGTAATCCCAGTGCTTGGGAGGCTGAGGTGGGCGGATCACTTGAGGTCAGAAGTTTGAGACCAGCCTGGCCAACATGGTGAAACCCTGTCTCCACTAAAAATACAAAAATTATCCCGCTGTGGTGTGGTGGTGCATGCCTGTAGTCCCAGCTACTCAAGAGGCTGAGGCAGGAGAATCACTTGAACCCAGGAGGCCATTGCATTCCAGTCTGGACAACAGAGTGAGACTCTGTTTCAAAAAAAATTTTCTGTAGAGACATGGTGTCGCCATGTTACCTGGGCTGGCCCCTCATCTTTTAACCAATACCCACCGTGTCAGGTGCTGTGCTAGGCCTTATTCAGAAATGAATAAGAAGGTACTCTCACCCTCCAGGAGCCCACGGTCACATGCGGAGGCAGACCTGCACTCTGGTCACTTCATTGCAGGGTTATGTGTACTGTCCTGGGGATGCCAACAAGTGTTAGAGAAGCACCTGGGAGTACAGAGCAATCAGCCAAGGAGGACATCCCAGAGAAAGTGACATCTCACTGGGTTTGAAGGAGGAGACAGGAAGCAGACAGGGAGAAGGGCAGCACAAACAAATGCACGAAAGGGGCTGAGCGCATGGGTGTCTAGGGACCGGCTGATCACGTTAGGTGTGAAATGTGTCTAGGGACCGGCTGATCACGTTAGGTGTGAAATGTGTTTAGGGACCGGCTGGTCACGTTGGGTGTGAAATGCATGGAGGTGGCTGAGCGCACGTGTCAAGGGACCAGCTGGTCACGTTGGGTATGAAATGCGTGGAGGTGGCTGAGCGCATGTGTGTCGAGGGACCGGCTGGTCACGTTGGATGTGAAGGGGGTGTGAATCTGCCTGGCTGAGGGAAATTGATCCAGATCTTGAAGGGCTTCTGTAAGGCCTGCAACTTCTGTTGTGGAGGCGCAAGCAATCCCAGAGGGATTTTATTTTATTTTATTTTTTCTTATCTTATTTTGCCTGGCCTCAGTTCATTCTTTTTATTATTTATTTATTTATTTATTTATTTTTGAGACAGAATCTCACTCTGTCGCCCAGGCTAGAGTGCAATGGCGCAATCTCGGCTCACTGCAAGCTCCGCCTCCCGGGTTCAAGCGATTTCTCCTGCCTCAGCCTCCCGAGTAGCTGGGATTACAGGTAGGTGCCAACATGCCGGACTAATTTTTTTGTATTTTTAGTAGAGATGGGGTTTCAGCACGTTGGCCAGGCTGGTCTCCAACTCCTGATCTCAGGTGATCCACCCGCCTCAGCCTCCCAAAGTGCTGGGATTACAGGCATGAGCCACTGCACCCGGCCCTCAGTCCATTCTTGGAACACACTCCATCACCTGGTTCCCAGAACTCAGACTGCACTAATGGTGACTTCATCACTGGCCAGGGCTCACAGTTATTGCAGCAGAGGCCTCTCTATACCTCCCTCCCCTCCAGCCTTGCCCACTGCCCCTCACCACTCCTGCCCCCACCCTGGGTCCCCTGACCCCACCTTACCTGCCATGTTTGTATAATTTTCTTAGGCTCACAGCAGGCATTGCCGCCTACAATGGGATCTGATCATGGAAGGAAAACACTCCCCTGGGGACCTAAGAACACCCTACCCTACTACACATGCTGCACCCCATCTGCTGCCAACCTCTCTGCCCTGCCCCTGTACCCAAAACCAGTGCTATGTCAGGCTAAGCAGTATCCCTAGAAATTTTAAGCAGAGATTGGCACGATATTGCTGGCAAGGTTTCCACCCCCACTCCCATTGCAACCCCATCCAATTTCTCCAAAACTACTGAGAACTTGGTGCTCACCAAATCATCTCATGTTCTGCAGGCTGGCAACCCTTTACCAGGCATTTGATAGACTTGATGATAACAATGCTGGGAGCCAGGAAGAGAACATTAAGAGCAGGAATTCAGCCCTGCCTTGGCCTCTAGGCATCCCCGAACTGGCCCAGTTTCCAAGAATCATTTTTGATGAGAGATTCTGGGAAGCAGGACATTGTTGAGGCCAAGTAAACTCCCAAAGGCCTGGAAGGAGCCAGAAAGCAGAAAGGGTAATGCTTCCCCCTCCCAGGTAGGAGTGAGCAGGATGACCAGCTCTTTTCCTTGCAGGAAGCCCCCTCAGCCTGGCCTCCTTCTGGGCTCCGTAGTCCCTTCTCCACCTAGCTAGGGCTCTGGCAGCTGCCTTGGCAGATGCCCCCCATCTCTACACTTAGGCTTGGCAGACAGGGAATGTGAGAGCAGCCTCAGAAAACCCAGTTCCCATCCCTTCCCTCCAGCCAGGCATCAAGGTATGGTGGCAGAACAGGGAAATCTGAGTTTAATCCTGGTTTTGCCAGCCATTAACTGTAAGACCTTGGGTAAGTCACCTGGCCTTTGCGTACCTTGGTTTCCGAACCTGCAAACTGAGGGTGGAGCTACTGACCTCTCAGAATCATTGTGCAAACTGAATGAGCTCAGATGTGCCGAGCACTTGGCACAAACATGTTCCTTCCCAGGGCTGGACACTGGCATTTGGCATTCTTTGGGTGGAGTGGGGCCAGGGTGGTTATTGTCTGGACCACACAGATTCAACCCATATTTTGGCAGAAAAGACAGCATTTGCAAAGATATGCAGGGGTGACAGGGCATGGCAGGGTTGGAGAACGTTATGTTCCCAAGCAGTTTGCTGTCCCTGGAGCAAGGGGTGACCAAGAATGAGGAGGTGGGAGATAAGTCAAAAAAGATCAGCTAGGGTCAGGATGTGAAGGGCCTTGAGCCAGACTAAAAAGCTTAGGCTCCAAATGTACCCCTTAAACTTAAAAGTTGGAAAGAAAAAACTATTCCATATATATATATATATATATATATATATATATATATATATATATATGTATATATATATAAAATAAAATAAAAGGCTTAGCTCCATCTCAGGCTTACTGTCATGGGGTGCAGCAGTGAGGATTGTGAAATGTGATCCAGGCAGACCTGGCTGCACATTTCAGTTCTGCCACTAGGTTGGGTGGCCTTGGGCAAGTCACTTAGTCTTAGCTTGAGTTCTCCCATCAGCAGATCCTGAGACTCAGGTGCTGGAACTAAATTGTGGAGGTAATTTCAGGAAGCAGAAGAAGGGCATGGAGAAAGTAAGACCGGGAAGAGAAAAGGTAATAAAGGGTGCGTGAATGTGCGGGTTGCTGCCAGGAGCACCTGGGCGCAGTTCTGCTGGAGACCTTCTGAGAGACAGTGTGAAATCATCCTATTTGATGGGGAGATCGCTTGAGCCCAGGAGTTTGAGGCTGCAGTGAGCAATATTTGTGCCACTGCACTCCAGCCTGGGCGACAGAGCCAGACCCTGTTTCTTAATTTAAAGGGAAAGGAAGGGTGGGGAAGGGAGGGGAGGGAAGGGGAGGGGAGGGAAGCGGAGGGGAGGGGAAGGAAGGGGAAGAAGAAGGGGAAGTGGAAAAAAAAGAGAGAGAGAAAGAAAGAAGAAAGAAAGAGAAAGAAAGGAAGGAGAGGAAAGAAAGAAAGAAAAAGAAAAGACTCTCCTATGTGAAGATGAGGAGGTTGGGCATTTAGGCACCAACTCTCTTGATGGTTGAAGGTTGCCCTTGGGATACATAACACGCCTGTTCCTCCTGGTTCATAGATACTTAAGAAAGCTCTCAGGCAAGGAAGCCAAGAGAAGCAGGCTCTTGTGTGGTGGAGCCCTGAGCATGCTGAAAACTACCACACTGGCAAGGGAACTCAGAGAAGGGATGAGGGGCTATGAGGCAGGTGTCAACACTGTCCGCTGTTACCTCTTTGAGCCTCTGTTTTCTCATCTGAAAAATGGAAAAGACATGACATACTTCACAGGAAGATTAAATGTAAAGTATTTGAAAGTTACCTAATGACATGGCTGACACATAGGAGATAATCAATAAATGGTAGGTATGCTTGGGCTCAGCTCAGATGCCAGCTCCTCAGAGAATCCTTCCCTCCCACCCTATTGAGAGTAGCTCACTCCCTTCATTCTCCACCAAAGCAGTATCCTACTTCCTGTGAAGCATTTAACATAGTATATAATTATCTTGGTTATGTGTTTGTTTGGAGTTTTGTTTTTGTTTTTGCTTTAGAGACAAGGTCTCACTCTGTCACCCAGGCTGCAATGCGGTGTCGCAATCGTAGCTCACTGCAGCTTCAAACTCCTAGGCTCAAATTGTCCTCCCACTTCAGCCTTGTAGTAATTAGGACTACAGGCATGCACTACCACGCCCAGCTATTTTCTTTTTTAATTTTTTATAAGGCAGGGTCTCACTATGTTGCCCAGGCCAGTCTCAAACTCCAGGCCTCAAGTGATCCACCTGCCTCAGCTTCTCAAAGTGCTGGGATTACAGGCGTGAGCCACCACGCTCCACCTGTTTGTTTGTTTAACTCTGTCTCTCCTCACTAGAATGAAAGCACCGTGTGAGCAGGGAATTGGTCCCTCTTATTCACTGCTTTATATGCAGTGCCAAGCATAATGCCTGGGACATACTAAGTGCTCAATACTTTTTTTTTTTTTTTTGAGACAGGGTCTCACTCTGTCGCCCAGGCTGGAGTGCAGTGACGCGACCTTGGCTTACTGCAACCTCCGCCTCCCAGGTTCAAGCAATTCTCCTGCCTTAACCTCCCTAGTAGCTGGGATTACAGGTGCCCACCACCGTGCCTGGCTAATTTTTGTGTTTTTAGTAGAGACGGGGTTTCGTCATGTTGGCCAGGCTGGCCTTGAAATCCTGACTTCAAGTGATCTGCCCGCCTCGGCCTCCCAAAGTGCTGGGATTACAGGCATGAACCACCGCACCTGGCCTCAATACATATTTTTTGAATGGAAGAATGATTACAGTAGCAAAGTAAGGAAGGACAATTCCTGTTCTTGACCTTTGTTAAGCACATCTTGTTAACAAGATGTTAAAAAGGATTCATTTGAACTCCACTTGGGTCCCAATGCTGATAAAGACTAGGTGTAGCTATATGCAGAACCAGACCTAAGTCAGTTTCTCCATCACTAGTGCATTGCCCACTGACTTGTAAGCTATAATACAAGAAAGAGCTAAGAGTACTGGAGCAGTTTTCAGCTAAGGGCAAGGACATTTTGGCAGCGCTTGTTTGAAGACAGTGATTTGAAAAGAATAAAGCTATTGTATAATTTTGCCTCTTTGTCTCTTCCCACAGTCAGAATTATTGAGAAAGTAATGAAGTTTTAGCTCCAGAACCTCTTCTCAGGCCCTGGAAGGAGACCTAGCAATGTGTTCCCAGGTCATACGTTTTGCAAATTTTGAAAAAGATATTTTTAAATTCTTTTTCTTTCTTTTTTTTTTGGTGGATCTTACTCTGTCGCCCAGGCTGGAGTGCAGTGGCACGATCTCAGCTCACTGCAGCCCCCACCTCCCTAGTAGCTGGGAATGCAGGCACATGCCTCCACACCCAGCTAATCTTTGTATATTTAGTAGAGATGGGGGTTTCATCATGTTGGTCAGGTTGGTCTCGAACCCCTAACCTTGGGTGATCCACCCGCCTCGGCCTCCCAAAGTGCTGGGATTACAGGCATGAGCCACGGTGCCCGGCCTAAAATTCTTTTTCTTAAAGAGAGCCCCCCAAAACTGTGTAAGTTTCAAGCCCCAAAACTTGGATCCATCCCGGCCCCCTCCCAAGTCCAAGCTGCTTAAGTAACCAGTGATCCATGTTTAGTTCATTGAACCCTTGAAACAATTCTATAATATAAATACTATTGTCATTCCAATTTACAGATGAGGAAACTGAGGCTTAGGGAATAGTCATTGCCCAAGTTCTCACAGTTAGTAAGTGGTAGAGCTGGGATTTAAATTCAGTAGCCTGTCTCCAGAGACCAGACCCTTCACTCCCTTCACTAGAGTGCTTGATAATGGTGTCTATTTGTTTTCTTGTCCATTTTTCCCCACTAACTAGGAAGTCCCCAAGGACACAAAGACAAATCATTTCTTTTTCTTTTTTCTTTTCTTTTCTTTTTTTTTTTGAGATGGAGTCTCACTCTGTTGCCAAGCTGGAGTGCAGTGGCAAGATTTCAGCTCATTGCAATCTCTGCCTCACAGGTTCAAGTGATTCTCTTGCCTTGGCCTCCTGAGATTACAGGCGCACGCCACCATACCTAGCTAATTTTTGTATTTTTGGTAGAGATGGGATTTCACCATGTTGTCCAGGATGGTCTTGATTTCCTGACCTCGTGATCTGCCCACCTCGGCCTCCCAAAGTGCTGGGGTTACAGGCGTGAGCCACCGCGCCCGGCCAAGACAAATCATTTCTACATGCCAAGCATACAGCCCAGAAGAGACGTCACCATATGTTGGGATGTAAGAAAGAGGAAAGTAGCCCCCAAAGTCCAGAGGCCAGCCTGACACTCACAGCCAGGACTTGGCCTTGTCCTGTTGAACATAAACAACTTCATAGAACATCAACAGCAGACAAGGCCACTCTGTGACTGTAATGGATCAAAACACAAATAGGACCACTCTGTCATCATGTCTGAACACAAACAAAAAATGGATATTGTCCAAACCATGAAAAAGACCAACCCCCCGTCCGTGCTAAAATGAGAGACTGCTGCTTCTTACCTATGACAGCTTTAGCCTTGGTCTAGCCTCCCCTCCTTCTAGATACATTTTATCAAGACCCCCAGTCATAGAATTACCCTTGCTCTTGACAGCATCCAATCCAAAGCCAAGCCCTGCTTCCTTAAACTCTCCCCAGATTGTCTAACAAAAGCCCAAATTCTGTAAATTCTTTCTTCCACCTTCCTACAGAAATGCACCCCCTTTGCCCTTATTTCCCCATTGCCTGCCTTCTCTCTTGCTGCAATGAATAATTAATACAACTTCTTTAATACAGGTGTGTTTCCGGTGGTCTTTGACTGGAATGGCATCGACACAAGTATCAGCTATCAGTGAGCATAAAATGTTATTATCAAAGTTAAAAAATGTTGCTTCTCAAAACTAGTTGATGATAAGAGACGGAAAGTAGTTGTTCCTTCTGGAGGATGGGTGGGGGTGATTGATTACAACTGAGAAGCCAACCTTTCAGGATATTGGAAACGTCCTACATTTTGAAGTAAATGGTAGTTATAGCAAATGTTTTTAAGAAGTTAAGCTGTATACTTTAGTGCCCATTACATACTTTATTGTATACCTATTCTACCTTTATTTTAAAAGTTTTGTCCACTGGTGGTGCGTGGTGGCTCACACCTGTAATCCCAGCACTTTGGAAGGCCAAGGTGGGCAGATTACTTGAGGCCAGGAGTCCAAGATCAGCCTGGCCAACATGATGAAAACCCATCTCTACTAAAAATACAAAAATTAGCCAGGTGTGGTAATGTGCCTGTAATCCCAGCTACTATGGAGGCTGAGATGGGAGAACTGCTTGAACCCAGGAGGCGGAGGCTGCGGTGAGCTGAGATCCCGCCACTGGGCCACAGAGCGAGACTCTGTCCCCCCCGCCCCCCTAAAAAAAAGGAAATCCAAAGCTGGTCACCCAAATACCAACTTGAAGCAATTTAGCAACAAAGTAAAGGCCAGAGTTGGGATGGTAGCTGATAGATTTGAAGGGAACTTTGGGCTACTGGAGGATGAGATCTATGATGAAAATGCTGGAAAATCAACCATTTGCTTAAAAAGGTAAAGGCATTTGGGTTGTTTATCCTAGAAAAGACCGGATTGGAAGGAAGTATAGTTAAACTCAACTGTTTTATTTTGCAACAGGGAAGAATCTGATTGTGCCCAAGGAAGAGCTTCCTAACTGTGACAAAGGAGGTAAAGGAGGTGGTGACATGCCCATCCCTGGGAAATTTTAAACTCAGCTGGCCAGCAAATGGCTCCAGCATGGCCTGGTCTGGGAGTAGGAGACTGAAAGAAATGACCTCCAGCTGTCCCTCTCATGACCAAGGACCTCTGGCTTGTCGTGAGTGTTCTGGCCAGCTGCACAGCACGGATTAATGGGCCAAAGGGAGCCGCTCTCTGATCTGCGCTAAGCTTTTCAGGTTCTGTGGCCACCGCCATCAGCCACAGATTTAATGAGATCCGAGGCTTAATTACCACAGTGCAGGGCTGCCAGCACTCTCTCCTGATGACTTTATCTTGGCTCCTGGAAGGATGGGGGTGACAACAGTGTGTCGGCAGGAGAGGAGAGCCTAAAGCAGGGACTCTGGACCCTGGTGTTTCGGGGGGATGTGGGCTGCAAGAGTAGGGTGGAGGGGGCGACTGCAGGACTCAGTACCTGACCTCAAAGAGCTCACAATGTGTCAAGAGTTAAGACCTCTAATACAGGAGATACCCAAGGCAGTGTGAGTCGACTCACATGTGCGAGGCACACACAGATGTCGGCGGAAACTTTGGAGGCATGAACAAAGCTCCCAGAGGAGGGGCGCTGAAGGGTGGGGGGTGGGGCGTGGGGGAGTGCAGGTTGGAGAAGACCTTGAATGTCAGGCTAAGCAGTTGGGACTTCACTTCATAGGTAGTAGAGGGCCGTTGAACGTTTTTGAGCTGCCTGAACGATCCAAATTTCCTATAGAAGTTTACAGAACTCCTGAGGATGGGCTCTGCCTAACGCCCACTCCCCCGAGAATACTCTCCTTCCATCCCTCACACTTAGCTGCAGCCAGCACTGAACTTAATGCCATACTCTGAAACGTCCTTCACAGTCTCTGTACTCCTGGCTACGTTCTTTCCTTATATCGGGTCTCAATGTTAACAAACATCACTCCCTCTAAAAAGCCTTGCGGACACCGCCCTTTTCCCCCAAGCCTGGCCAGAGGCCCCTTTTCAAGGCTCCCACGCTTGCTGTGTCTCCCCATGAGATCACGGCTCTGTGCTGTCATTATTCATTTGTCTGAATTCTCTGCTAGACTGTGATTCTGTTGAGGCTAGGAGCGGTATCTTGTCCATCAGTGTCGCTAAGAACCAGCATTAGACAGTAATGTGGGATGGATGCGGCCCAGCAGATTACTCGGGTTCCTCCCCTTTCTCTGCCAGGGAGTCTTTTGAGGACAATGGAAAATCACAGGTGTCAACAGATGCAGGCTGGTAGGGAATGTCCCCTTAATTTGAATGATCAGTCTATTATTCTTACAGGAAGCAAAGTGTGCAGAAGACACAAAACAAACTCCAACCTCCTCCCACCTCCTTGAGAATAAAGCGAAGCGGGGACCATTTCTAGGCACGCCTGAGGACTATTTGAGGAGGGTGAGGCGGAGGGTTACGCACGGGACTAAGGCAAAACCCTCCGCTCGAGAGCAGAAATCGCGGCGGCACCTCTTCAGGCCACCAGGGGGAGGAATCACACCGCATCCCAGGCCTTGGGCGGTTTCGCACGACCACGCGGGGCTGGACGGTCGCGTAGAACTCTGGGAGGTGTAGTTTTAGAGTTGTAATGCGCAATCTCGCGCACTGTACATCGGGAATTGTAGTTCTAGATTGAGGAACGAGAAGTGCTTCCAAGCGTCCATTTTGAGCCTTGGAAACTACGACGACCAAAGGGCCACGGGTTCATGGGTCGTTTCTCATTTCCGTCGAGTTAAACGTCTGGGGCTGCTTCTGAGGAATCAGCTTGACTGGGTAAGTTTGATTGGAGAAAACACCTATATCTCAATTGAGCTTCCTGCAGACTTTTGTATTCTGGCCCGGTTTGGGGCCTCGGCGTCTCTCAGTCATAGGAATTGCACATTAATCTTCGTCCTTTACGTTTCCTATTCAGACACCTGTAGCCACCCGCTCCCTTGACCCTCCCACGGTCGCCTCGCACTTTTAACGGCCAGTGCCCCTGGAATCCCCACTGAGCTCCCGTCCCAGGACCCAGCCCCCGCAGCCCCACCTTGGACCCCACAGCCCTACCCTGATTCCTCGGCCCTACCTTCACCCTGCAGCCTCACATCCCTGAACCCCGGGCTTCTTTATGCTCCTCCACCCTTTGTGTACTTTACTCTTACTCTCAGTTTTCTGTTTTTCATGGCGGTGGAAGAAGGGTCCCCATTCCTTCTTTCCGATCCGCGATTACCCTGGACTCGAAGTCAGCAGACCCGGTTCTAGGCCAGCTCTGCCTCTCACCCTCTGTGACCTTGGGCAAATCATACAACTCTGGGACTCAGTTTCTTCCTCTCTAAAACGGAGATGACTGTTGCTCCATCAGTCTCAGGTGAGGAGTGTTGAGGAGCCAACAAGCTAGTATGTGTGAAGATGCCTTGTAAACTGTAAGACCTTCACAAGAGACAGAGATTATTTTTATCACAATTATTAATGCTCTGGAACACTCTTATCAGGCCTCTTCTCTAGCTCTGCCACCTTGTTGCTCAATCTCATCCCTCGAGTGCTTGGTGTCTTCATTGTCTACGAGCTGGATGATATTTCCTCACTTCCTCCAGAGACCAAAGGTCAGGCCAATGAGCTTTTAGTCTTCAGAGAGCTTTGTCTGAAAGGAAGCACAAGAGAAGTGCTTATCTTGGACTGTATCTTGAAATAGCCAGTGATGAAAGTGTCACACAGCTGGCAGAGCAGCAGTCCTCTGCTCACCAGAAACAGGGTCCCAGCAGGAGAGGACAGCTGCAACCTAAGCCCCATCCATTCCCTCTGGGCTCCTCTGGGCCTGTTCAGTAGACACTGGCTTTGGTAGGGGTGTCTGAGGCCTGAAAAGGCTGCTGGGAAAGAATCTGTTTTGCCAAAGGGCTTAATCCAGGAAAAATGAGAGACCTTGGCTAGGAAAGAGAGACATAGCATTGTTAATTAGTTCCTAACATTTTATAAGCACTGAAAATGCACCAGGCCCTAGGCAATATTTTCACTTACGAAGTATCCATTTTACGTATAAGGAACTTGAGAGGCATGTAGTTAAAATAATTATAGTTGCCTCCTATGGTTATAGTACCTTCTATCCATCGAGTGCTTTACATGCATTATTTAATCCTCATCAACAATCTCGTGAGTAGTTACTATTTCTTTTTTTTTGAGATGGAGTCTCGCTCTGTCGCCCAGGCTAGAGTGCAGTAGCGCGATCTCGGCTCACTGCAAGCTCCGCCTCCCGGGTTCACGCCATTCTCCTGCTTCAGCCTCCCAAGTAGCTGGGACTACAGGCGCCCGCCACCAGGCCCAGCTAATATTTTGTATTTTTTTTAGTACAGACAGGGTTTCACCGTGTTAGCCAGGATGGTCTCGATCTCCTGACCTCCTGATCCGCCCGCCTCGGCCTCCCACCGCGCCCGGCCCATAGTTACTATTTCTTTTTGAGACAAGACCTCGCTCTGTCACCCAGGCCGAAGTGCAGTGGCACAATCTTGGTTCACTGTGGCCTCCGGCTCCCAAGCCCCAGCAATCCTCCTACCTCAGCCTCCTGAGTAACTGGGACTGCAGTTGCATACCACCACATCCAGCTAATTTTTTTTTTTTTTAATTTTTTTATAGAGACAGGATTTTGCCATGTTGCCCAGGCTGGTCTTGAACTCCTGGGCTGAAGCAATCCTTCCCATTTGATCTCCCAAAGTTCTGGGATTATAGGCATGAGCCACTGCGTCTGGCCATAGTTATTATTTCTGTTGTGAGAATAAATTATCAGAAGCTTAGAGTTTGAGGAACTTGTTCAAGATCACACAGCTAATAAGTGACAGGGGTAGAATTCAGAGTCATCAAAACCTTTGTCCCCCATTATTTCATATAGCCTTATTTTTAGATCAAAAACAAAGATTAAAGAAGACTTGAGATGGGTTTAAATCATAGCCAAATGAAGGAACATTTATTGAGTCCCAACTATATGGGGAAAGCATGCAGATAGACAGTTTGGTCTACAAAAAAATATAAAACCCAATCTTTACCCCCGGAGTAGATCTGAAGAGATGAGGCATAAGTGTGCCAAAAATTAAATAGTATTCATTGGATAAATTAATTATTGAGACCAGCTATATGCAGGGCACTACATTAAGTCTAGTGATAGGAACATGCTTCTGGGTGGCCATGGGGATTATAGCAAGTGAAATCGTAGTCGTGAAAATGTGGACCAGAACACAGTATATACTCAGTAAGCGTCTGCTGCATGCATACGTGTCTGAATGAAAGAAAAGTTCATCCAGAGACATTTCTAATCAAAGTCTAGACCAGAGGTTCTCAAACTTTGCTGATCAGAAACACCTGGGAAGCTTTTACAAACGAATTGATCACTAGAAATAGGGGCCCCCAGAATATACATTTTTGAAAAGCTTCCCAGGTGATTGTGACAATAGGTTCAGGAACCTAAGATCTAGATTCTCTATGGACCACTGTTGCAGGCAAGTCACTGGTTGAAAACTGCTAGAATAGGTGTTAATCCAAGAGCTGCCCTAAAGTAGTCTAAGATTGGTTACCAGATAATGGATGTGGACAGTGATCAGAGATGATAGGAGGAAAGGTTGGAAGGACCTGGGAAAGCTTCACAGAGGACTAGAGATTTCACTGGGCCTCAGTGGATGGAGAGGCTTCTGGACAGGTACTACCATGAACTATTTAGACAAAGTGAGCAAAAGAAGGTAGAGACACATAGACTGATTTCCTTGGAAAATTCCATGACTTTTATTAGAAATGACTCTGGATGCTTTGTGTAAATGTCTCTTTGGCAAAATTTGCAACTCAGATTGGATTTTTCCATCTCTCCATCCTATTTGGACATCAGTCAATGTGAGTCCAGGAAATAAAGATTCATTTGCGTGTTAGCTTCACTCTGGCCAATTAGCTTCTGTAATTTTTATTTCCAAACAATTTAGTTGATGATCTTCCCAGAAACTTTCCAGGAGCACCAGAGAGTTCTGCTGTCTTCTGTTTGGCCATTTCCAAGTCCGCTTATCCTGATTCCTATCCCAAGTGCTGTTCTCTATGCAGAGTGAGACAAAAATCTGTTCCCATAAGAAGCTTAAGGACTATTGTCCTGGTTCCCCAATCTTAAAACCTGACTTATTGGCTCTTGACTCCCCAGATTCACTCAGTGGCCAAACCCTAGTGTTTCTACTTTTCACTCAATCAGCACATTTCTTGGATGCTTCCTAAGAGTCAGGTACCACACCAGATGCTTTGAATGCATTATTTCATTTTATTTCCACAGCAACCCTGTGAGGATGGATAGTGTTCCCATTGTACAGATGGGGAATCAAGCTTAGAGAGATCAGATAACTTGCATAAGATAAGAAAGCTAGGCAGGGCTGGCACGGTGGCTCACTCCAGTAATCCCAAGCACCTTGGGAGGCTAAGGCAGGATTATCGCTTGAGCCCAAGAGGTTGAGACCAGCCTGGGCAACATGATGAAACTCCATCTCTACAAATAAATACAAAAATTAGCCGGGTGTGATGGCAAGTGCCTATAGTCCCAGCCACCCAGGAGGCTGAGGTGGGAGCATCACTTGAGCTGGGAGGGTGAGGCCACAGTGAGCCACTGCACTCCAGCCTGGGAGACAGAGCAAGACCCTGTCTCAAAAAAAAAAAAAAAAAGCTAGGCACCAAATGAGCTGGGCCTCCAATGTGGTTCTTTCAGACTATCTCTCATGGACATGACCTCATTTCCAGAGTAGATTCCAACTTTTTAGCTTAGCACTTGAGGGACTGCTCCTCCCCAAATCTGGTCACAACTTTCTCTTCTCACCTTGCGTTGTTTCTCACACAAGCTTCCTTCTTACCGTGCCTTTGCTTGCTCTCTCCTGCTTGAAAGAGCCTTTCCCATCTTCCCCTGCTCTCTACTTCCAAGCTAAAGGAGCACTGTTTCTTCTCAGAACTCCTGTGGTCTTTTATCTGCTTTTCTTTTATGACAGTTGAACTTGCAGCTGCTTCATTGTCATGTGAGTGACAGGTGTCTTGTGGCCCCAGCAGTAGGTCTTCCATTTGCAGACCTCAACAACAAGCGATGGGGAAAGGTCAGGGTCTCAGGCTAAGCAGAGCTCATCCCCCTTCACTCTGGCTGAACAACCCACTGACATCAGGAGCTTAGCTTCTTTTTCAAAAGAATTGGGTTTGTTTTTAAATTTGCTAAAAAGAAACAAAATGAAGATGCTATCTGTAGTAGAAAGAAAATAATTTCTTATCTTTCAAAGTTAAATAGAATGATGTTAGGATTGTTGAGACCAGACAAGTGGCAGCTGACAACCAGGAGACTGTGTGTTGTTATCATCGTTCTGCTTGTGACTCTGAGCAGCTCACTTAATCTCTCCGGACCTTGGTGTCTTCCCTGGTAAAGCACGTGTATGTACGCGGAGAAGGGGAAAACGATTGTGGAGGGGATTGACGGAAATGCTCCCTTAGGTCTCTTCTTACCCAGACATGCTTTGACTGGAACTCCTGAATCCCTCCCAGAGCATCTTAAAGGAAGCAGAATAATTTAATCATTAACATGTGGACCCCAGACTCAGTGTGTATCCATTTAGATGCTTTTGGTTACAACCAAAAGAAATCTAACTTCAGTTGGTTTAACCAAGAAAGGGAACTTACTGACTCATGTAACTAGAAAGTCTAGGAGTGGGTCAGGTTTCAGGTATGGTCTAATCTGTGGATTCTTAATGTCTTCACAAATGGGCCTCTATTTCTCTGTGATTCTTCTGGTTTTCCCATCCACCATGGGTATCTTCATCCTCAAGGTGGCAAAAGTGGCTGCTGTGGTTCAAGGCCACTTGACAGGTGACATCTGCACATCACACTAGTCCAACACAGGAAATAACTTTTCTCCCCTCAACCGTCATACCAAAGTCCCGGGTTTTACGCCTATTGGACCAACCTAATGCCATACGCGCACTTTTCATCCAAATACTGACCGGAGAATAAGAAGGACTGATTGGCTCCGGTTAATTAAGGCTCAACTCCGGAGGTTAAGGAGGGGTCAGCCCCACCCAAATCACAAGGCAAGGGACACTGGGAAGTTTGACATTCTCATGTTACAACCACATTGTCCATGATCGAATTCTGGCTCTGCTCGCCATATGTTATTGGGTAAATTGCCTTTGTCAAGCATCTGTTTCCTCATCTGTAAAATGAGATAATAATACGTATCTCAGAGGACTGTTGAAAGAATTAAATAAAATAATATGTGAAAAGCACTAAACATAGTTCCTGGCACAGAGTAAGTATGATGATGATGGTGGTGTTGGAGATGATGAAACTGAAGAGGGTTAGGGGAGCACTGGCACCAGTTTAGGAAGCAGCTGAGCCGTAGGAATGTTATCTAGTCAGGAGTGTGCATGCCTGTCATGCTGAAAGCATCTGTTTGATCTACTGCCCACATCATACTTTTCCCTACCTCTGCTTTTTTTCCTCTTAGGATTTTTTCTATAAGTGCTTTCTTCCTCCTCCCCTGCCTCTCAACTTCCTCATCTTTAAAGGCCCAGCATAAGTGCTACCCCATATTCAGTAGTTTAAAAGCTGGGTGTGGTGGCTCTTACCTGTAATCCCAGCTACTTGGGAGGCCTAGGCAGGTGTATTGTTTGAGCCCAGGAGTTTGAGACCAGCCTGGACAACATAGCAAGACCCTGTCTCTCAAAAAAATCAAACGGTTTTAAGAAAAAGCTTAGTTCAGTAACTTTGCATCTGTATAACTGAATCTCCCCCTGAGCAGGATCAGTAATGGTTAAGAACTTAGCTTCCGGATTAGGCAGAGATGGGTTTGCCACTGGGTAACTTGGGAAGGTTATTCAACCTCTTTATGCCTTAGTTTCCTCATCTGTAAAACAGGGTCTTTTGTTTGTTTGTTTGTTTTTTGAGACAGGGTCTCACTCTGTCACCCAGGCTGGAGTGCAGTGGTGCAATCTCGGCTCACTGCAACCTCTGCCTCCCAGGTTCAAGCGATTCTCTTGCCTCAGCTTCCTGAGTAGCTGGGACTATAGGTGCCTGCCACTGCACCCGGCTAATTTTTGTATTTTTAGTAGAGACGGGGTTTCGCCATGTTGGCCAGGCTGGTCTTGAACTCCTGACCTCAGGTGATCTGCCCGCCTCGACCTCCCAAAGTGCTTGGATTACAGGCGTGAGCCACCGTGCCTGGCCAAAACAAGGTCTTAATAGTACCTACCTCAGGCCAGGCGCGGTGGCTCACGCCTGTAATCCCAGCACTTTGGGAGGCCAAAGTGGGTAGATCACGAGGTCAGGAGATCAAGACCATCCTGGCCAACATGGCGAAACCCCGTCTCTACTAAAAATTAAACAAAAAATTAGCTGGGCATGGTGGCACGTGCCTGTAATCCCAGCTACTCAGGAGGCTGAGGCAGGAGAATCGCTTGAACCAGGGAGTCGGAGGTTGCAGCGAGCAAGATCATGCCACTGCACTCCAGCCTAGCAACAGAGCGAGACTCCGTCTCAAAAAAAAAAGTACCTACCTCAGAGAGTGGTTGAGACAATGAAATGATGCAATGTGTATAGTGTCTATAAAGAGGTCAGTACAGTGCTAACCGTAAATAATGGATCTTAGTGGTTACTATTAGCCTCAGGAGAGCAAGGTCTGTGTGACAGTCTCTGCAGCAGTAGCTGCTGGATAAACATACGTTAATGGGCTGTAAGGAGTATGGATGGCTCTCTTTCGTCTTCCAGCCATCTCCTCACCCTAGCAAAATAAAAAACAACCCCCAACCTTGGCAAAGGCAATGTAGCAAAGTAGTAGGTGCAAGATTTAATGAGCGACGGCAGGGAGGATGAGGTGCTAAGGAGGGGTGGACAGGGTAACAGATAACACATTTCAGCAACAGGAAGCCGAGAGGAAACCAGCAAGCGGCTGCTGTTCTGTGTTCCCCCATCCAGCCAGCAAGTTCAGCTCCGGCAAGTCATTTGATTCACCCGGTGATGAAATGGGGGTCAACCAGTCTGTGGGCTTTCCACCTGTCACAGGACCCCACCTCGTAGGCTGTGGGGATGTGATGGAGGGTCAGAATCTCCAGGTAAGTGTCCCCAGCTCCCTTTCTTCTGTTTGCACTGCTTCTGCCGGCACCGTGACTTACTGATCACAAGTCTGATCCTGTATTCCCACGGTGGGGAAAATGAATTAGAGCGGGTCTGGATTTGGTTATCAAGCCCCCAGGTCTGTCTTCCTGAGCTTTTTCTTCCTCTTTCCAAACATTAGAAACATCCCAATAGACAGAGATAATGCGTTCATTTTCCACCTAGGAGGAAAGGGGGGACTCTAGCTTTAGAGGCAGCTCGCAGATCCTCTCACCTTTCTTGAGGGCAGATGCCTGATCTTGGAAGGGTTTTAATCGTATCATAATCTGAGTGTGTGAGAGAAAGAGCCATGGGCGTGTGCCTTTGGCCTTGGACTCCCTGACCTGGGTAGGGGGACAGCTTCCTTTTCTCTCTCCTGCCTTGATCTGTTTTCCCCTCCTGCTTTGACTTCTGGACTGGTCCTCTATCTTATATATATGTATATATAGTAGAGACGAGGCCTTGCTATGTTGCCCAGGCTGATGTCTAACTCCTGGCCTCAAGCGACTCTCCTACCTCGGCTTCCCAAAGTGCTGGGATTACAGGCATGAGCCACTGTGCCTGGCTTAGTTCCTAGGTCTTTCTCTGCTAGCCCTTGGACTTCCTGTCTCCCTTGAGAGGCACACACTTCCTAGTAACCCCTCACCTACTCCCATGTAAAATGAGTGTGCTGTTGCTTCCCAGGGGCTGTCCTAGAGCAGAGTGGCCTGGATGAGCTACCAAGGCCACCCTGTTCAGCACGAGAACTAATCTCTAACTCCTGGGGCTCCTCTAGGCCTAGGTTCAGGGCCAGATTTAAATCTTTCATTGTCCCAAGCACTCAAATATTTTTGGTGCCCCCTCCCACAATGTAATTCAAAATACAGTTGGCTATTTGAAATAACGTAAGCTTTACATATATGCTAAAAATCAAATTGCTTCTTTCCAGATTTCTGAATGTGAAATTCAGGCATGCTAATTGAAACTTCAGTTTCCCTGTTTTGGTGCCCTGTTTTGCTGGTGCCCCAAACACCTGCTGAGTGTGGCTGTTGGGAAATCTAGCCTGGGCTCCTTGCTCTGAGCAGCTGCTCTCTTCTTTCCTACAGGGGAGCTTCTTTCGACTCTTCTACCCCTGCCAAAAGGCAGAGGAGACCATGGAGCAGCCCCTGTGGATTCCCCGCTATGAGTACTGCACTGGCCTGGCCGAGTACCTGCAGTTTAATAAGCGCTGCGGGGGCTTGCTGTTCAACCTGGCGGTGGGTAAGGGCTGGCCTGACCTCTGCATGCTTTCCCAGTTGCTTGGTTATGTTCCTGGGAGATCCCCAGGTGGACGCAGTACCTTATAGCCTGCAGTGTCCAGGCTTTTGTAAGGGGCATCCATTAGCCAGTGTGGTATGGAGAGTTGGGAGAGAATTACATATGAAAGAGCTTTGGTGACTGAGTTAGACTTTCCTGGATTCAAATCCAGACTTTATAAGTTACTAGCCATGGGGTTTGGGCAAGTTACTGAACCTGTCTAAATACATGTCTTTGGGGGTTTGTAGTACGGGATGTACGTAAAGCCTCTAATGCGGTGCTTGGGACATATAATGTGTTCCATAAATGGCACTGATTGCTCCTTTGTTTAGCATGTATTAATTCCTACTCTGTGCCAGCTATTGTGTGTATCAAAGAAAGATTCTTAACTGTCAAGGAGCGTACAGTTTCCTGCAGTTTTCCCTCCAGTCACCCCTCTTCTGAGTAGGGTAACATTGAGTCATCCACTTCCCCCAAAGGTCCCACACCTAGGAATTCCACCCAGTGCCTTGGCATCTCAGCAGTTTACCCCGGGTTCAGTACTGCCACTTTGGACTTAGCTTCCCATTTTCTTTTCCTTTTTTTTTTTTTTTTTTTTTTTTTTTGGTGAGATGGAGTCTTGCTCTTGTTGCCCAGGCTGGAGTGCAATGGCACAATCTCAGCTCACTGCAACCTTCGCCTCCAGGGTGCAAGTGATTCTCCTGCCTCAGCCTCCTGAGTAGCTGGGATTATAGGAGCCCGCCACCACGCCCAGCTAATTTTTGTATTTTTAGTAGAGACGGGGTTTCACTTGGCCAGGCTGGTCTCTTGACCTCGTGATCCGCCCTCCTTGGCCTGCCAAAGTGCTGGGAATACAGGCGTGAGCCACTGCGCCTGGCTTAGCTTCCCATTTTCTGTTGTGTTCACTCTTCCTAGGGAAGAAAGGGAGAAGAAATAGGTGATTAACTGCCCTGAGCTGCTCAGGGGCCGATGGTGGTTCTCCAGAGGGGAGAAACACATGTCCCCACCCATACCTATACTCAGGCTGCCCTTGGGATAACAGCTTTGGGGCAGCCAGATATTCTATAGCCCATGTCTCTGCTAGGATCTTGTCGCCTGCCTGTTAGCTGGAATGGCCCCTTTAAGACAAAGGACTCTGGATACCCCTTGATCATCTTCTCCCATGGCCTAGGAGCCTTCAGGTAAGAGCTTCTTTCCCCCAGACCTTGCCATACTCCTTGCCTGGTGACAGCTGCTGAGTCTTAGCTTATTCTCAAAGGGCAAAAAAAAGACATTTCCATCTGCTAGCTGTCTTATCTCCCATCTGCTTCGTCCCATAGCATTGGGTTCACCTTCCCCAGAAGGCCTTTTTCAAGTCCTTTTCACCTTGTGGAGCCTTTCAGCAGCCTTTATATGCTTTACTTCTCATGGTCCAGCATTTATATAAATAAACACTTTTAGCTTTCCTCCTATGTGATAGCCCAGAAATGCTAGAAGGAGCATGAGCTTTGTGATCAGAGCATCATTTATTTATCTATTTTATTTTTATTTTTTTCAGACAGGGTCTCATTCTGTTGCCCAGGCTGGAGTGCAGTGGTGTGATCACAGCTCACTGCAGCCTCAACCTCTTGGGCTCAAGCAGTGCTCCTGCCTCAGCCACCAAGTAGCTGGCACGTACCACCACGCCTGGCTATTTTTAAATTTTTTTTTTTTTTTTCAGGGACGAGATCTCACTGTGTTGCCCATGCTGATCTTGAATTCCTGAGCTCAAGCCATCCTCCCGTTCTAGCCTTCCAAAAGTGCTGAGATTATAGGCATGAGCCATTGTGCCCCACCAAGAGTCATTTATTTAACATGAGGGTTCACTCTGTGTGTGGCATTGGCGTAGTAGCGAATAAGAGACTTGCTCCCTGCACTTGTGGAGCCAGCAGCCTCGGCCTCCCAAAGTGCTGGGATTACAGGCGTGAGCCACTGCGCCCGGCCCCATGTGTTCTTATTTAAGCTTGTGAATGTTCTCTCTGTCTGTTCATCAACATATATGTCTAGTTTAGGTCCCAGAATGTTGCACATCTCAAAGGCATCTGTTTTTGCCTCTCAGCCCCCAAACCATTGTCCACATTGTAGCCATGGAGATCTTTTTATTTTATTTTATTTTATTTTATTTTATTTTATTTTATTTTATTTTATTTTATTTTTTCTGAGACAGAGTCTCGATCAGTCGCCCAGGCTGGAGTGCAGTGGCGTGATCTCGGCTCACTGCAACCTTTGCCTTCCGGGTTCAAGCGATTCTTCTGCCTCAGCCTCCAAGTAGCTGGGATTACAGGCACCCAACACCATGTCCAGCTAATTTTTGTAGAGACAGGGCTTCACCATGTTAGCCAGCCTGGTCTTAAACTCTTGACCTCAGGCAATCCACCTGCCTCAGCCTCCCAAAGTGCTAGGATTACAGGCATGAGCCACCGCGCCTGTCAGGGAGATCTATTTTAAAACGAAATATGATCTTGTCATTCCAGCACTCAAAGCAGTGCCCAGCATATAATAGGTACTCAATAAATATTTGTTGAGTGAATGAATGAATGTTTTTTCCCACTTAAAAATTTTTGGCCGAGCGCGGTGGCTCACGCCTGTAATCCCAGCATTTTGGGAGGCCGAGGTGGGTGGATCACCTGAGGTTGGGAGTTCGAGACTAGCCTGACCAACATGGAGAAACCCTGTCTCTACTAAAAATACAAGAAATTAGCCAGGTGTGGTGGTGCATGCCTGTAATCCCAGCTACTTGGGAGGCTGAGGTAGGAGAATTGCTTGAACCTGGGAGGTGGAGGTTGCAGTGAGCCAAGATTGTGCCATTGCACTCCAGCCTTGGCAACAAGAACAAAACTGCATCTCAGAAAAAAAAAATTTAATAGCTCTTTGAACCTAATTCAGTTCTTTTCATGGTCTTACCTCAATGCAGGTCCAAGACAAAGTTTCTAGGCCTGTTCCTTGCTATTTGCCCCAGTGTAGCTCTCCAGACAAAATGGCCTTCTTTCACTTACTGAAAGGCACTGGGTTATTTCCTCCCTCGCTGTCTTCATCTGTGCTATGCTTTGTGGCTGATCTTTTTGCCTGGACTATTCACCGTTCTGCTCTTCTCTTCCTCTTGCCCCTCTCCGTCTTTTCCTGCTAATTCCAGATTACCTTTAAGATCTTAGTTTGGATGTCATTGTCCTAGGGACACCCATCTTGACACCTATATTATATTAGGTTAATTTTTCCAGAATGTGCTTTCATAAGACAATCTATACTTCTCAGCATTTAACATAATTGTAATGAATTAATTACTTGTGTAATTATTCTTTAATGCCTGTCTTCTTCACTAGATTGTAAGCCTTCTGAAGGCAGAGACCACATCTGTCTTCTATTGCTCTGGCTTCTAGGACAGTGCCTGGAAAGTAGTTGTTTAGCCATAAGTATTTATTGAATGAATACAAGGGCTGTGCTGTGCTAGGTTCTCATTCATTCAGCAGACATCTGTGGAGCACCTGCTCTGTGCCAGCCCCTTGGCATGAGAGGAAGGTGGGACATACCAAGATTAACAAATCGAGGAAATCGCATCTGCTAGAGGAGCAGGAACATAGACTCCTGTAACTGTAGCCCATGGCAGGAAGTGGAGAGTAAATATGGAGATGAAGTTAGAAAGGCAAGTAGGTGGTTTTTGATGCTGCTTTCTTGTTCAATAAATTGAGTACCTGCTGTGTGCCGGGGCTGGGCATTCAGTAGTGAAGACGAGAGAATTCCTACCTTCAGGAAGATTATAGTCTAGCAGGGAAAAGAAGCAAAGAAACCTTTTCCTCCTAGGCCAACAGGTATTTATGGAGAGAGTAGGTGAGCACTTTGAGGTGGTCCTTTTGGTCTAAGAATCTGTATTGAGACTTCACACTTCATTAGACCTGGGCGAGGCAGTTAAAAATACTCTCATTAACCAGAGTGAAATTCCAAGGGAAAAGGAAGGGAGGATAAGGAACATTGTTTCCTCTCATTGCATCTGTGGTTAATTCAGGCTCTGAAATCCTTCCCATGGGTCATGGACCTATGGTTTCCTATCCTAAGTTGGAATATGTGCAGTTAAATACCTAACCATTCTCAGTGTGCCATTGTCTCATTTGATTCCCACATAGCCCTCTGAGGTGCACAGGCAGGAATGCCTATTTTTCAGCTGGGCAAACAGGCTCTGGAAGGCAGACTTGCCCAAGGTGACACAGTTTGAACTGGGAAGGGATCAGAAATCTCTCTGGCTGGCTGGGTGCGGTGGCTCATGCCTGTAATCCCAGCACTTTGGGAGGCCGAGGTGGGCGGATCACGAGGTCAGGAGTTTGAGACCAGCCTGACCAACATGGTAAAACCCCACCTCTACTAAAAATACAAAAAAAAATTAGCCGGGCATGGTGGTGCACGCCTGTAATCCCAGCTACTCAGGAGGCTGAGGCAGGAGAATCACTTGACCCCGGGAGGCAGAGGTTGCAGTGAGCCGAGGCCAAGATAGTCCCATTGTACTCCAGCCTGGGCAACAGAGCGAGACTCTGTCTCAAAAAAAAAAAAAAAAAAAAAGAAATCTCTCTGGCTCTGAAGTCCAGTTCACTGCCTTCCCTAGAAAAGTGGGAGAAGGTGAAAAGGAACTTAAGAACCTGATCTCCCTGTATCAATTGGAAATTGGGCAAGTTGTATTTAACAGAAAACTCCCAAATAATAGTGACTTAAATATGGTAATGTTTATTTCTCTCTCAAGTGAAAGGAAGCCAGAGGTAGACAGTTAAGGTTGATGTGGTAATTCCACAAGATGGCTGCTAGCAGAGCATTGTTGGAATGAGGGTGAAGGCTGGGCTGTTCTTTTGATCCCTTTTCCTTGTTCCTTTTTGAATCTCCAGGACTTTGTATTCAGCCTTCTGCATGGAGCTGGCCTCACGTGGCTTTGTGGTTGCTGTGCCAGAGCACAGGTGAGGGATGAGCCGCCATGGATTGGGTGCCTGCAGTGAGCTAGGATATAGGCTAGTCCCCTATCAATGTACTATTTCTAACCCTCTCGACAACCGTGCAAGCCAGCATTATACCACTTTTAAAGGAGAGAAAACCAAGGTTTAAAGATGTTAAATAATTTCCCAAAAGTGACATAGCTGAGTTGGAATTCAAACCCAGGTCTGTCTCTAAAATCTGTATTTTTTCCACTTCCCTATGCATGCCCCAGATCTCCTTCCCTACTAGCCAAAGGGTGATCTAGAGCCTCCTGGATGAAAGGGAGGCTTTGGTAAAGGGGAAAAATAAACTCAAGAATGTTTTCTGGTTTCTCTCTGATGATGTGTGTATTTCAGGGACCGGTCAGCGGCAACCACCTATTTCTGCAAGCAGGCCCCAGAAGAGAACCAGCCCACCAATGAATCGCTGCAGGAGGAATGGATCCCTTTCCGTCGAGTTGAGGAAGGGGAGAAGGAATTTCATGTTCGGAATCCCCAGGTAAGTTTGTGCCAGTTGGGGAGGGAGAGTTAATGAGCCTGTTCTCTCCCTACTATATTTGATAGCAAGACTTTTAGTTAACCCTCTCTTGAAATGTCAGTCATAGTGGGTCTGAGTTTGCCACATCAGTGGAAATACATAGGATATTAATCAGGACTCTTGCAATTGCTGTGACAGAACCCCAACTTAGGCTTACCTAGGCAAAAAAGGGAATGATGGGCTCATATAAGTAGACTGTAGGAAGAGAAGGACAATTGGAACCAGACTTAAATGCCGTCAGGATTTGTTCTTCATCCTCATTTCTGTCTCTCTCTTGGTTGGTGGGTCTCATCTTCAAACTGGCCTACTTTCCAAGGTTAGAACCATAAGTTGTTTTTTTTTTTGTTTTTGAGACAGGATCTTGCTCTGTCGCCCAGATTGGAGTGCAGTGGCATGATCATGGCTCACTGCAGTCTCAATCTTCTGGGCTCAAGAGATCTTCCTACCTCAGTGTCCTGAGTAGCTGGGACTACACACATGCACCACTATGCGCAGCTAATTTTTTTTTATTTTTATTTTTTTGGGACAGAGTCTCACTCTGTCACCCAGGCTAGAGTGCAGTGGCACCAACACGGCTCAATGGCAACCTCAATCTCCTAGGCTCGAGTGACCCTCCTACCTCAGCCTCCTGAGTAGCTGGGACTACAGGCACACACCACCACACAATTTTGTTTTTTTAGTAGAGACGGGGTCTTGCTATGTTGCCCAGGCTGGTCTCAAACTCCTGAACTCAAGCGATCCTCCCACTGTGGCCTTCCAAAGTGCTGGAGATATAGGTGTGAGCCACGGCACCCAGTCAGAACCACAGCTCTTGACAGCTCTGACCTTGTGTGTGTTCAGCCTTGTCACCTATGAGAATAGGACTGTGTTTGAGTTGCTCCCTCAGTCCCTTACCCTGGTGCCAAACTGCAGTTTGAAAAATCCTGGAGAGGGATTCCAGGCCTGGGGAGAAGTAACAAAATGGGAAGTTCCCACCAGAAATACATTGTTAGAATGGGAGTGGGAAGGCCATCCTCAAAAGCCAGGGTTAACAAGAGAAGGAAAGGGGGTAAGTGCTTGGGAGACAAAAACAATAGATGTCTGATGTAAATGGGCAGTGGAATCCAGTACTGGTTTGCTAATAACAGCACTCTTAATTCCTTTTGTTTTTAAAATGCTTTCATGTACATCATCTCATTGGATCCTTCTGACAGCCCTGTGGTTATGTAGTTAGAGTCAGAACAACAGGGCTGAGTCTGTTCTAATGTTAGGCAGTGCTTATGTGAGCTGCAAGGTAGCTGAGCCTTCTCAGGACATGGCACCCAAGGTGCTTGCTGAGGCGTGGGTGGGTAGACTATCTGTGCATTCTTCCTTGGCTCTGTACGTGAGGGAGATTCTCGCTGGACAGTTGTGGAGTGTTCCAGTCCCACTGGGACTGTCTCTGTTGCAGGTGCATCAGCGGGTAAGCGAGTGTTTACGGGTGTTGAAGATCCTGCAAGAGGTCACTGCTGGGCAGACTGTCTTCAACATCTTGCCTGGTGGCTTGGATCTGATGACTTTGAAGGTATGGAAGCAATTGGTATGACCTAGAGCCCAGTATTCAGGGTTTTCTCGGTTACAAGTAACAGAAACCTAACTAACTGGTATGAACCAAAAGAGAATTGATTGGCTCATATAACTATCAAGAAGATCAAAGGCCAACTTTAGGCCAGTGTAGTTAGACCCAGGGTCTCAGACATTGTCATCAAAGCCCTGGCACTCTTCTCTCCCCTCTCCTGGCTTGGTTTCTCTGTATATCTGTGGTTTTCTCACCAGACTCTCTCCTTTAGGCAAGAAAGGTGGTCGCTAGCAGTTCAAGCCTGCACACCAACTTACAGCTCCAGTTTTTTTGCTTTTTTTTTTTTTTGGAGACAAAGTCTCGCTCTTGTCCCCAGGCTAGAGTGCAATGGCACAATCTTGGCTTACTGCAACCTCCGCCTCCCGGGTTCAAGCGATTCTCCTGCCTCAGCCTCCTGAGTTTCTGGGATTATAGGCGCCTGCCACTGTGCCTGGCTAATTTTTGTATTTTTACTAGAGACGGGGTTTCACCATGTTGGCCAGGCTGGTCTCGAACTCCTGATCTCAAGTGATCCGCCCGCCTCGGCCTCCCTAAGTGCTGGGATTACAGGCGTGAACCACCACGCCAGGCATCAGCTCCAGGTTTAAAAAGAAAAGAGACTGTCTTAGCTTCCACTAATCTGGGAAAGCTGTGACCCTACGTGGGTCTCATGCCCCTCTGGGCCAGTCCCTTTGTCAGAGGGAGAGGGTATTCCGATTGGCCTGCCTAGGTTACATTCTCACTTCTGGGTCAGGTGATTGACCACCCACAGGACCAGATGGATGGCGGGGAGAAGATTCAGGCTACTGAGCAGCAAACAACCTGTGTCCACTGCAGGCTCAGTCCTTCCTTTGAGGGAATCCCAAGAACCCTCCCGGGAGGGTATAAAACCATCCTGGCCATGGAATTTGGTGCTTATGAAGATACATTCTTCATACCCCACCCCCACCCAATCTTTTTTTCTCCATAATTTCAAAAGTCATTCCGGCTGTATTCAGAGAACCAAGAAATTTCACAAAAGCATGAAGAAAAATGAAAAACCTTTTTCAATATTTTGATATTTGTCCTTCCAGTTATTTTTACATGTATTAATATGTGTATATTTTTTTTACACAATTATGTTATCATTTAATACAAGCTGTTTTGTGGCCTTATTTTCATTTAGCAAGACAGTATGAGTATCTTCTTATGCCAATTAATATTTTTGTATGGCATGATTTAAAAAAAATTTTTTTAGAGACAGGGTCTTGCTATCTGCCCAGGCTGGACTCAAACTCTTAGGCTCAAGCAATCCTCCTGTATAGCTTGACCTTTATTATTTGTTTTTATTTATTTATTTTTTTGAGACAGGGCCTCACTCTGTCACCCAGGCTGAGGTACAGTGATGTGATCACCACTCACTGTAGCTACCTCAGCCTCCCAAGTAGCTGGGACTCCAGGTGTGCGCCACCATGCCCAGCTAATTTTTTGTATTTTGTAGAGATGGGGTTTCACCATGTTTCCCAGGCTGATCTCAAACTCTTGGGCCCAGGCAGTCCACCTGCCTTGGCCTCACAAAGTGTTGGGATTACAGGTGTGAGCCACTGCACCCAACTGCATGATTTTTAATAGCCATATCATATTGTATTGTATGAATAAGAATGGTGTGTGTATGTGCATATGTGTATATATATGAATATATAAATAAATATATATAAAATATATATATATATATATATAAATATGGCCCAGTGCGGTGGCTCACGCCTGTAACCCCAGCATTTTGGGAGGCTGAGGTGGGTGGATCACAAGGTCAAGAGATTGAGACCATCCTGGCCAACATGGCGAAACCCCGTCTCTACTAAAAATACAAAAATTAGCTGGGCATATAGTCCTGGCTACTTGGGAGGCTGAGGCAGGAGAATCACTTGAACCCAAGAGGCGGAGGTTGCAGTGAGCCAAGATCGCGCCATTGTACTCCAGCCTGGTGACAGGGCGAGACTCCGTCTCAAAAAAAAAAAACTTATATATTTACGATTACTGCTTTATGAGACTTGCTATTTCAAGAGCTCCTCCCACAAACTTATGCAGTAAGCATTCATACCTCTTTACATAGAAAGAAACTAAGGATCAAAAAGGCTAAGTACCCAAGATTACCCAGCTAAGTAAGTGGTAGAGTCAAACATGAAATTGGGGCTTTTTGATTCTACAGCCTAAGCTGTGTGCCCCAAACCTTCTTCAGAACATATATTTTAAAGGCTTTGGTAATATCCTCCAGGGAGAAGCAGTCTGCCTGCATGCCCAGTAGGTAAGGCAGACCCTGGAATCTAGAGTGCTTTACCAACTACAGTGTTTGTATCATCAACCCCCACGAGACTTGGAGGTGCCCTGGGCACTGAGGTCCAGGCCTGAATGCCTGAGAAAGGCACTGGGAAACCAGGCTCATGCCTGTAATCCCAACAGTTTGGGAGGCTGAGTCGGGTGGATCACTTGAGCCCAGGAGTTCGATACCAGCCTGGCCAACGTGGCGAAACCCCATTTCTACTAAAAATACAAAATTCAGGCCAGGCGTGGTGGCTCACGCCTGTAATCCCAGCACTTTGGGAGGCTGAGGCGGGCGGACCACCTTAGGTCAGGAGTTCGAGACCAGCCTGGCCAGCATGGTGAAATCCCGTCTCTACTAAAAATACAAAAAAATTAGCTGGGCATGGTGGCAGACACCTGTGATCCCAGCTACTTGGGAGGCTGAGGCAGGAGAATCGCTTGTACCCGGGAGGCAGAGATTGTAGTGAGCCGAGACCACACCATTGCACTCCAGTCTGGGCAACAAGAGCAAAACTCCATCTCAAAAAAAATACAAAATTTAGCTGGGCGTGGTGACATGTGCCTATAGTTCCAGGTACTCGGGATGCTGAAGCACGAGAATTGCTTGACCTTGAGCCTAGGAGGTGGAGGTTGCAGTGAGCCAAGATTGTGCCACTGCACTCCAGCCTCGGTGACAAAGCAAGACTATCTCAAAAAAAAAAAAAAAAGGCATTGGTAAATGGCAGGCTACAGTCCAGTTAGATTAGTTAAGAGGGCAGCCTTTTAGGGGAAAATACAGCATATTAAAAAAGCTAAGTACATTTTCATCTATCAAATTGAGTAAGATCCAAAAATTGATTACTCACTCTGTTAACAAAGTTGTGGGGAAGTAGATATTCTCCTACATTGCTGGTGAGAATACAAATTGTCCCATGGAGGACATGTGGCAATTGATATCATCAACAGTACAAATGCATATGTTTCTTTGACCCAGTAATTTCCAGTTTGGGGAATTTATCCTACAAATAAATACCTGCACACATGCAGCATGATAGATGGACAGTGTTATTCATTCCAGCGTTGTTTGTTATGGCAAAAGTTTGATAGTAACCTAAACATTCACCAGTGAGGGAACTGGTTTAATTATGGGACAGTGGATGTATTTGCTTGGTTAATGCTAATTGCTAGAGTGTGTAAACGCCACATTTCAGTGGCTTAACACAGTATAAATGTATTTCTCTCCTACATAAAGTTCAATATGGGTGCTCCTGTGTAAGAGGCAACTCAGGGATCCCTGCTCCTTTTATAATCTCATATGGCTCTACCCTCTCACAAAATTTGTGAATCCCAAATTTGTTGTTTGCATTAAGCCAACAGAATGGGAAAGGGCATAGAGATTTGTATGAGACAATTTATGGACCAGGTCTGGAAGTAGAGATATCACTTTTGCTCACATTCTGTTGGCTAGAACAATCACAAGTCCTTATCTAACTGCTGGGAAACAGTTTAGCTGTGAGACCAGGAAGAAGAGGAAAAGATTTGGTGATCGGCTAGCTGTCTGTACCATGGCCAAGTCACTGTGAAAAAGGATGTGGAAACACTTTATATACTAATGTGGTTATGTACAAAAATATACAGCGCCAGGTGTATGAAAAGAGGGAAAGTGTATATATTCATGTTGACTTATGAATATAAGCAATCTCCTTAGGGGCACATAAGAAACTGTTACCTGTTTGGAGGTAGGTGGCGGGCAACTATATAGAAAAAGACAGGGGTAGGTAGGAGATTTCTTTGTATACCTCTGATTTTAGAGGTATATGAATATATTAACCTATTTTTTTTTAATGTTGAAGAGGCCATCCAACCAAGATGCTGATCCGAGGGTACTGAGTGAAGGGGGAGGATTTAGGTACAAAGCCTTGGAATAGACACTGGGGAGAGCAGAGCAAAAGTTCAGAGCAGAGGCTGGGCTGTAGAGCCTGGAGAGGCCTCCAGAGCCCCTTAGCAAGCAGCTGCAGTGGCTTTTTATATAACCATACCCTGAAGGCTTCTGGGGACGACTAGAAATAGATACGTGTGAAGCATGTTAGAGTGCACAGACTCACTCTTCCCCTTGGCTTTGGATAAAAATCACGACATATATCCAAAGAGGAAGTAGAACCTGCACTGGCAGTCTTTGCTCCAGAGTACAATGGATGGGCAGCAAGGAGCATCCCCGTTTCACCCTCAGCTCAGTCCATGTGTCATGGACCCTCGGACCAGTTTATAAGGCAGAGATTCTAGAGGATGGAGGTGGCCCTTATTCTTAACATGCTCATAAACTGATGGGTCAGTGTGGAATCTGACCATTTCGAGCCATTCATTTCTTCATAGATTTTTTTTTTTTTTTTTTTTGGAGACAGGGTCTCACTCTCACCCAGGCTGGAATGCAGTGGTGCAATCATGGCTCACTGCAGCCTCAACCTCCTGAGCTCAAGCGATCCTCTCACCTCAGCCTCCTGAGTAGCTGGGACCATACTTGCACGCCACCATGCCCAGCTAATTTTTGTACTTTTTTGTAAAGAGAAGGTTTTGCTGTGTTTGAGCCCTGGCTGGTCTCAAACTCCTAAGCTCAAGCAATCCGCCCGCCTTGGCTTCCCAGAGTGTTGGGATTACAGGTGTGAGCCACCACACCCGGCCTATTCATAGATATTTGAATGTCTGCCCTGGTCCACTATTGTTAGGTGGTGAGATTACAAAAGTAAACATGAGCCGGGCGCGGTGGCTCACGCCTGTAATCCCAGCACTTTGGGAGGCCGAGGCGGGCGGATCACGAGGTCAGGAGATCGAGACCCCGTCTCTACTAAAAATACAAAAAATTAGCCGGGCGTGGTAGCGGGCGCCTGTAGTCCCAGCTACTCGGGAGGCTGAGGCAGGAGAATGGCGTGAACCCGGGAGGCGGAGCTTGCAGTGAGCCGAGATCGCGCCACTGCACTCCAGCCTGGGCGACAGAGCGAGACTCCGTCTCAAAAAAAAAAAAAAAAAAAAAAAAAAGTAAACATGAAAAGTGTGATTCTCACAATTCCTGCCTACACAAGGCTGTTCAGTCTAAGGATTGCTTGACTGTTGCCCCTTCCATAGGTAAGAGATTCTTGACAGTGTGGTGTTGGTGGACTCACTTGCTGTATTGTGCCTTTGGCCTCATTGCCTCACTATTTCTTCCTCTTGCTCCTGATGAATTCCTAAAGAAGCAGTCCTGAGTTTCTGACTTGGCTAAGTTCTCCACTTTCCTCAGGGCAACATTGACATGAGCCGTGTGGCTGTGATGGGACATTCATTTGGAGGGGCCACAGCTATTCTGGCTTTGGCCAAGGAGACCCAATTTCGGTGAGTTTCCTAGTAGTGTTGCTGTGCTTAGCTCCATACACCGTTTATTCATTTAGAAAGTATTTGTTACACAAGTACTATATTCTTGGCACTGTTTAGGGACTGAGGATTCAGCGGTTAAACAAGAAAACAAGATCTCTGATTTCATGGGATTATATTATTGTGGGAGGAGACAGACTAGTGAAAAAGCCAACCGATAATAAAATCCCCATGACCAAGTGCAATGAAGAAAAATAAAGCTGAGCATGTTGGCTTACTCCTGTAACCCCAGCGATTTGGGAGGCTGAGGCAGGAGGATTGCTTGAAGCCAGGAGTTTGAGATCAGCCTAGGAAACATCACAAGACCCCATCTCTACAAAAAATTGAAAAAAACAAAACAGCCAAGTGTGATAGTGCATGCCTGTAGTCCCGGCTACTTTGAAGCCTGAGGCAGGAGGATCACTTGAGCCCAGGAGTTCCAGGTTACAGTGAGCTCTGACCGCACCACTTCAGCCTGGGCAATAGAGCAAGATCCTGTCTCAAAAAAAACAGAAAAAAGAAAACAGGCTGATATGTCTCTGAGAAAGTGAAATCAAGACTGGGAAGGCAAAGAAGCCAGTCGTGTGAAGATCTAGAGGAAGATCTTTCCAGCCAGCAGGAATAGCTAATGCAAAGGCCCTGCAGTGGAAAGAAGCTTGCTGTGTTAGGGTGGGAGGAGCGTAGTGAGTGAGGGGGAGGCAATTTAAGCTGTGATCAGAGAGAGAAGCAGGGGCCAGATCACAGGGTCATCTGGCCAGGGTAAGGAGGTGTATATTTTATTCTACGTATGATGGGAAACTGTTGAAGATTTTCAACAGAGAAATATCAGTCTTACATTTTAAAAGATCCTTCTGGCTACTATGTGAAGAATGGATTGTAGCAGGACAAGACTGAAAGCCTAGAGGCTCATTAGAGAGATTCTGTTTCAGAGTCAATGTGAAAGATGATAAATTTACATCAGGATTGAGATAGTGGGATGGAGAGAAGTGATTGGAGTCAGGATATGTCTTAGAGTTTTCAGGATTTGGTCATGTGGGAGGTGAAGGAAAGAGAGGAAATCCAGGTTTTTCTTCTTATTTTTTTCCCTCTGAGACAGGGTCTTGCTCTGTTGCCCTATGCTGGAGTGCAGTGGTACAATCAGCTCACTGCAGCCTCAACCTCCTGGGCTCAAGTGATGCCTCAACCTCTCAAATAGCTGGGACTACAGGTACATGCTACCATGCCCTGCTAATTTTTTAATTTTTTTTTTTAAGAGATGGTGTCTTGCTATGTTGCCCAGGCTGGTCTTGAACTCTTGGGCTCAAGTGATCCTCCTGCCTCAGCCTCCCAAAGTGCTGGGATTACAGGGATGAACCACCATGCCCAGCCCAAGGTTTTTCATTTGTGTATCTATTATTTGAGTGGAAGATGATTGTCCTTTATTGAGATGGAGAAGAATAGAGGAGCATTTCAGGGGTCTGAGGAAGGAAATGGCAAAATCTTAAGGCCCATAATATTGCTCTTGGTGACATGGTTTTGCTGTTGGCACCAAGGAGGCTTTTCCTGACCTCACATAGAACCTTGTGCAATCAGGGCACTAAGTTATATTGTTTTGCCACTTTGTCTATTCTGTCTTCCCTGCTGGACTGGGAGCTCCTTGAAAGCAGGAACACTCATTTATGTCTATATCCAAAGCACATAGTAGACACTCAATGAATGTTGAATGAATGAATAATTAAATGAATGAAGTGCCATTCTGTGGAACTCAGGTCAGTCACCTGAGAGTAGATCCAGGAGAAGAGGGATATCTGATCCTTGTTCTCAGAGAGTTTGAAATCTAGAAGGATCTTTGGTGAAAAGTAAAAGTGATCCCTACCTAAGATCCTGACTGAAGGCCGTGGGCCCTGGTACCCCCCTCCTGGCTTTCTGAGCCTTTACCCCACCAGAGGGAGGAACTCCGCCCTTCCCTCCACCACCCTAACTATTCTTGCCTGGGATCCGCATGGCAATTCCAAATGTCTGGTCCTATTCCAGGTGTGCGGTGGCTCTGGATGCTTGGATGTTTCCTCTGGAACGTGACTTTTACCCCAAGGCCCGAGGACCTGTGTTCTTTATCAATACTGAGAAATTCCAGACAATGGAGAGTGTCAATTTGATGAAGAAGATATGTGCCCAGCATGAACAGTCTAGGATCATAACCGTTCTGTGAGTAAACCACAAGGTCGTGATCCCAGGGCCCTCTCCATTTGCCACTTGCTGTGGTGCCCTTAACTTCTGGATTACCCAAAACTTTCTACCCATTAGTAGGATACCTGAATACTTCCTGAATTGCAAAGTCTAAATTCTTTTAGAATTTTCTGTCTGTCCTTCTTCTCCACTGAGCTCCATCTACAGTGATTTATTCCATAGTTTATCTGACTTTATGACAGGATTTACCTAGTACTTTCTGAAAAAGGGCATTATGGGGTTGGGTGTTGGAAAGGAAGTGGTGTGGGTTTGGATGAGTTCCAGAGATTGCTAGCCTCATTTGGGAATTTTATTGGGTCTTTGGAAGAGTGTGAATATGGTAGACCTTTGATATTCACCAGACACATTTCTAGAGACCTTCATGAATACCAGAATCACAGATCACTGTTAACATATGTTGTCTTCCATAAACCTTCTATATTCTGGTCAAGAGAAGCCACATTTTTTCACTTCCATCATCAGCACTATCAGTTAGTTTTCTTTTGGGAGCCATTTTTCACAGGGAAAAAAACATTTTTAGTGACTTTAAGAAATGTTCCACATGTGGGAGGTGATATTGAGCCACAGATGTCGGGCTGAGATCTCACGGACTGCTCCTGCCCTGCAGTTGAGCCCAGCGGCACACAGGATCCAGGGATCCATCTGGTTCCTATTTCAGCAGAATGACAAGTGACTGCATACCATGGACCTTTGGAGTCACTGGGTAGTTGAAGTGCCAAATCCAGAGCCCTCGAGCACTGGGGCCGGCAGTATGGCCAGTGGCTTCTTCCCTTGCTCATCTTGGTCCTGGCCCTCTTTCCTAGGGCCACCCCTCCTCGTTCAGTTAGGTTTCATGGCAGTAGACACTGCCTGAATGCTTCCCCAGGTCAGATTCAGGAGGGAAAGGAGGTGAGGCCAGTTGGGAAGGGGTACACTCAGGGGACTTAACGCCTGGCAATGTATCGTTTATTCAACTGAGTGCTGGATACTCAAGTATCCCATATATTATTCTATACACCTTTTTGTGTGCCTTAACTAATGCATTTTTTAAAGTCAGTTTTTCTGTGATATCAGACAAATACTTTAGCATTTAGATTCTCTTTCTCTCACTGAATTGACTAGTAAATTCAGTTATGAATAATTTAGCCCAAAATTAACCTAGCAAGGATTTCACCTGCAAATTAAATTTATTTTCTGCCAAAGGACTTAAGTTCCAACCCAGAAACCCCCTTTTACAAAGCACTCACTCTTACTTTTCTGATTGTTTAAATAAAGGCAAGTAATTCCTTTTCCCTCTTCACTCTGTGGTACAGTTCTGAAGAATAACTTCATTTGTTTTGTGAATGTTTGAAATTCACCAGGCAAAAGCCACAGCTAATAGATTGTAGTAACATAGAAATGCCACGTGCCACAGATCCCACCTCCTTGCTCCTGTCCCTGCTCCTGCTAGCTCAACCTTTTCCCTGCACTGCCAGGCATTGTAGTCTACGGGTCAAGCCAGCTTTGAAGCCAAGCACATCTGGCTTCAAATCCTAACTCCATCCCCAACTACTTGTATGACCTGACCCTAAGCAGATAGTTTCTCTCCTTGGATTCTGTCAAGGGGGAAAATACTTCCCTTACAAGGTTGCTGTGAAAATAAAGTGTGATAATACATGAAAAGCACCTTGCACATAGTAGGTGCCTAACACACATCTGTATGCCCTAGCCGCCAGACCCCTGCCAGTTGTTTTTCTTTTCCCCTAGTGGTTCTGTTCATCGGAGTCAAACTGACTTTGCTTTTGTGACTGGCAACTTGATTGGTAAATTCTTCTCCACTGAAACCCGTGGGAGCCTGGACCCCTATGAAGGGCAGGAGGTTATGGTACGGGCCATGTTGGCCTTCCTGCAGAAGCACCTCGGTAAGGAGAAAACTGGGGCTCTTGGGGCAGCTGTGGGGTCCCTTAGATTTCCTTGCAGCAGAGTGAGAACTCTGACATGTCTGGGATCTGGGAAGGAGATTTATGGCAAATGGAAAACCTGAGTGAAGGAGAGACTTACATAGAATTACAGAAAAAACAAGTCCAGGTGCAGTGGCTCACGCCTGTAATCCTAGCACTTTGGTGGGTTGAGGTGGGAGGATGGCTTGGGGCCAGGAGTTCGAGACCAGTCTGAGCAACATAGTGAGACTCTATCTTTACCAAAAAAAAAAAAAAATTAGCTGGGTGTGGTGGCACACACCTATAGTCCCAGCTACTCGAGAGGCTACGGTGGGAGGATCAGTTAAGCCTAGGAGGTCTAGGCTGCAGTGAGCCATGATTGCACCACTGAACTCCAGTCTGAGCAACAGAGCAAGACCTTGTTTCTAAATAAATAATTAAACAAATAAATAAGAAAAAATACTTAACTGAAAGTTTGGAGATCCTGACTATCTTACTTGCAGAATGACCTGGCCTAGTCATTTAACCTCTCTGAACCTTGGTTTCCTCCCTGTAAATGGAGTATTCACCTCTCTCTACTCCACCACCTCTCTCCTTACCCAGACTCATTATTGCCCACCTTATCTGCATTGTAGGGGAGTTTATGAGGATAACGGGCTAAATTTATGGAAGTGTTTTAAAGAAACAAAGCATGGAAGGACTATGAATAATGTCATCAGTCATAGAGCAGCTAAAGGGCGAGGCCTGCAGAGGTCCATGGTCCAGCTTCCACCCAGAGGAGGCATCCTCTTATTAAGCTTTATTGGTTACAAAGACTAGAGGTTCACAAACTTAGCTTGAGAAAAAAAGGGGAGTTTGTTTATGAGAGTGCACCTGGACTGGGTGGGAGTGCAGTTATAGAAATCAGGGTGGCTGGCAGGACTGACTTTTCTTTCCGTCTGTCTCATGGGTTCAGTCTCTCTGTGTCTTCCTCTCACGACATCTCTTTTTCTTTGTTCCGTTATGCATTTTTTTTTCTGCTCTGTGGTTTTTCTCTCACTGATAGCAGCTGTTTATTCCATTTCTGCTTCCTCATAACTTCACTCGGCTTGAACCACTCAGAGTGTGTTCCCTTTAGCTTGCGGCATCCTTTCATCTTCAGCTCCCACTGCTCACTGCCATATTTTTTTGGATTTCTTTGAACAGATTTCCAAGAGAGGCAATTTGATTGTATCAGCTCCTCTTTGCCCACCAGAACACACTGTAGCCCCGTCCCAGCTAGGCTCTGAGCTCTCTGCATCAGAGGTCCCTTTCTGATCCCTCAGCAGGTGCTGTGTGCAGGGCAGTTTCCATGAGAAAGGAGCCAGGCTTGTCTGAATTTCAAAGGTTTGACTTAACTCTAACCTAAGAGCAAGATCTCCTAGTTTGTAACCCTCCTCTACTTGCCCAGGTTAACCCCTCAAGAGCTACCCATAGAAGCCTCAGACGGCACCTGGCAGTTCCCTAGATATTTGAAGTCACCTATGCTAGTCTTCTCTGAGTGTTCTGTTTATTAAACTAAATGTTCGTGGTACCTCCACCTGTCCCGGTTCAATTCCCCATGTTGCTATTTGTTATCCCCTTCCTTTGGAGTCGCTGTTTTTTGGTGCCCCTTCTAAAGTGTAGTGCCCTGGCCGGGTGTGGTAGCTCAACATCTGTAATCCCAGCTACTTTGGGAGGCTGAGATGGGAGGATTGCTTGAGGCCACGGGTTTGAGACCAGCCTGTGCAACATAGTGAGACCCCATCTCAGCAAAAAAATAAATAAAATTAGCCAGGTATGGTGGCATGTGCCTATAGTCCCAGCTACTCGGGAGGCTGGGGTGGAAGGATCACTTGAGCCTGGGAGGTCAAGACTGCAGTGAGCCAAGATCATGCCATTGCACTCCAGCCTGGGCAACAGAGTGATACCGTCTCCAAAAAATAAAATAAATAGATAAACTGTGGTGCCCTGACTTGACTATAATGTATTAGATGTGGTCTGACCGGTGCCATCCTGGACAGTCTCTTCTGTGCTCTGTTTTTTGTTTTGTTTTGTTTTGTTTGAGACGGAGTCTCACTCTGTCTCTCAGGCTGGAGTGCAGTGGTGTGATCTCAGCTCACTGCAACCTCAACCTCCTGGGTTCAAGCGATTCTCCGGCAGTTCTCCTGCCACAGCCTCCCAAGTAGCTGGGACTACAGGCATGTGCCACCACACCCAGCTACTTTTTGTATTTTTAGTAGAGACAGGGTTTCACCATGTTGGCCTGGCTGGTCTCGAACTCCTAACCTCCAGTGATCCACCTGCCTCGGCCTCCCAAAGTGCTGGGATTACAGGTGTGAGCCATCGCGCCTGGCCGTCTCTGTGCTCTGGACACTAGCCTTTTAGTTGGATGACCTGAGTGCATTCACATTCCTCACAAGTGCACAACAAACAGCCTGGATTGAGTTTGCATTTAAAACACATCTGTCTTACGCATTTATTGACTTTTTGGAAGTAAATTTTCATTTTTATATTTCTGCCTGTTCGTTTCATCTTACACATCGTGAGCCTTGATTCCAGCCTGTGTTTGGAGACCTTAGGGTCAATAAGAGATTTTAGGGCATCATTCTTATCACCTGGCAAGCAGGGAATGGACCCATGTCTCAAGACTTTAATGGCGCCTGACTGCCTGGTCCTCAGCCCCCTTCCCCTGTCCCCTCATAGGCACCATGTCATTATAAAAGCTTAAGATGAAAGATGATGGGAAGCCCACCATGGCACGATTGGGCTCCCTTTAAAAGCAATACCCGTTGAGCTAAGATACTCACTGTTAGAAACCTGCTAGCAGACATGGAAATGGGAGGTAGGAGGCACTTAGACTGAAAGAAGATTTTTGAGGACTTACTTTATGCCAGGCCTTCTGCTCCTGCTTTATCGCGTGTAATTCTAGAGACAGCCCTTTCCAGTAGATACCTTTATTATTAACTGCATTTTACAGGGGAGGATACCAAAGCGTAGGAAATTTAAGTAATTTCTTTAAGGTTATCTGGTTATCAAGTGGCAAAGCCAATATGTAACCTAGACTGGCCAATTCCAAGGCCCATGCCCTTAGTCACTTCACTATGCTGGCGGTGACTCTGGTGACAATTCAGAGTGATAAGTTCCATGGCCACAGTAGGCACTCAGTCTTTAGACTGTCCACACGGAGGACAGTCTCCTAACTTTGACAGGAGAGGAAGAACAGCTAGGAAAGGGGGCTTCCTTGACAACACAATGTTTGCCTTTAATCTTAGTGGAGGGTTCACAGGCAGGAAAGGGCGAGGGTCTTCTGGACAGAAGGCATAAATGCTTGAGTGGGCCTGGTCAGGATTGGGAAACTGTGTTTAGTGTATCTGGAGCTCAGGAGAGTGAATTGTTGAAAGGCAAAGATAGAGAAGTGGGCAGAAGCCAGAGGAAGAAGCCTATGGATTTGCTGAAGTGAGTTTGAATGTTATTCCACAGGCTGTCAGGAGCCCCTGGTGAGTTCTAAGCAGGTGAATGTTGTGATTAGACTTGTGTTCACAGTCTGGTGCATTGTGGAGGATGGGGCAAGGTGAGAGGCAGGGAGCTCTTAGGTAGGAGGCTTTTGCAGTAATCCGAGTGATAAGAGATAAGACAGTCTGAAAAAGTTGGGCACAGTGGCTCACGTCTATAATCCCAGCATTTTAGGAGGCTGAGGCAGGAGGATTGCTTGAGCCTAGGAGGTTGAAGCTGCAGTGAGCTGTGATTGTGCCACTGCACTCCACCCTGGGTAACACAGTGAGACCCTGTCTCAAAAGAAAAGAAAAAGGCCAAGGCTGTGGGCTTGGGCAAATTAGCTTTACAAAGAGAGAAAAGCTTTTAGTAGGCACACAGTACATTGTCACATGGGAAACTAAAATAGGCTGTAAGTGGCTCAGCTGAACCTCTCACTCTGAAAAAAATTCCTTCTGAGAGCACTTGTTTGGCTGTTCTGGGGATATGATCTTCTATGAAGACTGGTGCTTCCTTCATATTAACTCCATGCAGCTCCTGTCTCCACCTACTCTCCTCTCCCACTCTCCTGGAAGACTATTTCACACCTTTTTTCTCCTCGAACCTCTCACACCTCTTCCCTTATCCTGTCTCTCAGTTAACTTTGCCTCCCACTTCACCAAGAAAATGGAAGCAACCAGCACTTCCTCAGACTCCCAACACCACCTCTCCCCACCTTCCTGTGTATAATCAGCTTTCCTTTCGGTTACTAGAGTTCCCACCTCAGTTGCCTCATTAAGGCCAACCCCCCAACACAAGATTCCATCCTCTTCTGTCTGCTCAACATGATTGCGCCAGTGATTTTTCCCTCTTTATTTTATTTATTTATTTATTTATTTATTTAGGACAGAGTCTCACTCTGTCACCCAGGCTGGAAGGCAGTAGCTGCCATCTCAGCTCACTGCAACCTCTGCTCCCAGGTTCAAGCAATTCTCCTGCCTCAGCCTCCCGAGTAGCTGGGATTACAGGCACCCACCACCATGCCCAGCTAATTTTTGCATTTTTAGTAGAGATGGAGTTTTGCCATGTTGGCCAGGCTGGACTCAAACTCTTGACCTCAAGTCATCCGCCCACCTCGGCCACCCAAAGTGCTGGGATTACAGGCGTGAGCTACCATGCCCAGCCCCTCTTTACTTTAGATCATCAATTTTTCCCTCTCTGCTGGTTCATTTCATGCTGAAGTTTCTCCTAGAAAAAAATAACTTTCTCTTGACCTCAATATCCCCTGCAGTTGCCACCCATCTCCCTGTTCCCCATCACAGCAAAACTCAAAAGAATGTCTGCTTTCGCTTTTTCTAATTCCTCTCTTCCCATTCCCTCTTAACCCACTCCAGGCTTTTGCATCACAGTACTCCATCAAAACCGCTATTGTCAGGGTGCCCAGTGACCTTCACAATGCTAGCTCCAGTAGTTCTCATTCCCCAACTTCTGGAACTCTCTGCAGCTTCTGATAAAGTTGATGGCCCCCTCCTCTGGGAAACCCCCATCTTCACTTCAGAGATCCACACTGTGGACTTCCCCCTATCTCCATGTTTGGGCCTCTTCCATCTGCTGTGCTGCTTGCGGGGCCCAGTGCCTGGACCTCTTCTAATGGCTTTCCGTGCCAACTCCATGCTGGGGACTCCCTCTGCCACTGCTCCCCAACTCTACTTAGTCATCTAATAGAAGTAACAAACAAAACCAATTTCAACTGCACTCTTTTCCTTCTTCGTTAATCGTAGCTCCATCCTTCTAGTTACTCAGGTCAAAGTCTTCATCCTTGTCTCTTCTCTCATGCCTCCTACCCAGTCCCTCAAACAATCCTATTGGCTCTACCTTCAAAATACACATGGAATTGAATCACTTGTCACCACCCCACAGCTACCATCCTGTCCAAATCATCTCTCATCCAAATTAGTGCAGTGGTTTCCTAACTGGTCTCCTCACTACCACCCTTGCCAGTCCCTCTCTTCACAGTCTTTTTTTTTTTTTTTTTTTGAGAAGGCGTCTCACTCTGTCGCCCAGACTGGAGTGCAGTGGCGCGATCTCGGCTCACTGCAAGCTCCGCCTCCCAGGTTCACGCCATTCTCCTGCCTCAGCCTCCCGAGTAGCTGGGACTACAGGCGCCCACCACCAGGCCCGACTAATTTTTTTGTATTTTTAGTAGAGATGGAGTTTCGCCATGTTAGCCAGGATGGTCTTGATCTCCTGACCTTGTGATCTGCCTGTGTTGGCCTCCCAAAGTGCTGGGTTTATTTGTATAGATGTAGGGGGTACAAGTGCAATTTTCTTACACAGCTATATTGCACGTGGTAAAGTCTGGGCTTTTAGTGTACCCATCACCCGAATAGTGAACATTGTATCCAGTAGGTAATTTTTCAGCCCTCACCCCTCTCCTACCTGCCCACCTTTTGGAGTCTCCAGTGTCTTATTTTTCTACTCTGTATGTCCATGTGTACCCATCATTTAGCTCCCACTTATAAGTGACAGCATTCGGTACAGCATTCGGTATTTGACTTTCTGTTTCTGAGTTATTTCACCTGGGATAATGGCCTGCGGTTCTGCAAAACGTGATTTCGTTCTTTTTTTATAACTGAGTAGTATCCCATGGTATATCTGTACACCACATTTTCTTTATCAGATCTTCTGTTGATGGGCACTTAGGGTGATTCCATATCTTTGCTATTGTGGCTAGTGCTGTGATAAACATATGTGTGCAGGTGTCTTTCTGGTGTAATGATTTCTTTCCCTTTGGGTAGATAGCCAGTAGTGGGATTGCTGGATCAAATGGTAGTTCTATTTTTAGTTCTCTGAGGGATCTCCATACCGTTTTCCATGGAAGTTGTACTAATTTACATTCCTACCAACGGTGCATAAGTGTTCCCTTTCTCTGCATCCTCACCAGCATTTATTGTTTCTGGACTTTTTAATAATGGCCATTCTGACTGGTGTAGTATCTCATTGTGGTTTTAATTTGCATTTCTCTGACGGTTAGTGATGTTGAACTTTTTTTTTTAAATATGTTTGTGGGACACTTGTATGTCTTCTTTTGAAAAAAATGTCTATTCATGTCCTTTGTCCACTTTTTTCTTTTTTTGAGTCCAGTTTCTGCAGAATGCCTACTTTTTAATGGGATTATGTGTTTTTTTTTTTCTTGTTGAGTTGTTTGAGTTCCTTGTAGATTCTTTTTTTTTTTTTTTTTTTTTTTTTTTGAGACAAAGTCTTGCTCTGTCACCCAGGCTGGAGTGCAGTGGTGTGATCTCGGCTTACTGTGACCTCTGCCCCCCAGGTTCAAGTGATTCTCCTACCTCAGCCTCCTGAGTAGCTGGGATTACAGGTGCCCGCCACCATGCCTGGCTGATTTTTTCGTATTTTTAATAGAGACAGGGTTTCACCATGTTAGCCAGACTGGTCTCAAACTCCTGACCTCAAGTGATCCACCAGCCTTGGCCTCCCAAAGTGCTGGCGTTACAGGCGTGAGCCACCATGCCCAGCCTTTCCTTATAGATTCTGGATATTAGCCCTTTGTTGGATATATAGTTCAGAAATATTTTCTTCCATTCTGTAGGTTGTCTATTTACTCTGTTGATTGTTTCTTTTGTGGTACATAAGCTTTTTAGTTTAATTCAGTCTCATTTGTCTGTTTTTGGTTTTGTTGCATTTGCTTTTAAGGACGAATTCTTTGCGTGAGCCAATGTCCAGAAGAGTTTTTCTTCTAGGATTTTTATAGTTTCAAGTCTTATGTTTAAGTCTTTAATCCATCTTGAGTTAATTTTTATATATGCTGAGAGATATGGGTCCTGTTTCATTCTTCTTCATATGGCTATCCAATTTTTCCAGCACCATTTGTTGAATAGGGTATCTTTTCCCCATGTATATATTTTTGTTGACTTTGACAAAGATCAGTTGGTTGTAGGTATGGGGGCTTTATTTCTGGGTTCTCTATTCTGTTTCATTTATCTATTTTTCTGTGTTTATACAAGTAACATGCTCTTTTGGTTACTATAACCTTGTAGTATAATTTGAAGTTGGGTCATGTGATGCCTCCAGCTTTGTTCTTTTTGCTTAAGGTTGCTTTGACAGGCTCTTTTTTGGTTCCATATGAATTTGAGGACTTTTTTTCTAATTCTGTAAAAAATGGCGTTGGTAGTTTAATAGGAATTGCGTTGAATCTGTAAATTGCTTTGAGCATTATGGTCATTTTTAACAACATTGATTCTTCCATTCCATGAGTGTGGGATGTTTTTTCCATTTGTTTGTGTCATCTACAATTTCTTTCATCAGTATTTTGTAGCTCTCTTTGTAGAGATCTTTCACCTCCTTGGTTAAATGTATTCCTAGGTTTTGTTTTGTTTTGTTCTTGTTTTTGTTTTTGTTTTGGTGGCCATTACAAATGGGATTGAGTTTATGATTGGGTTCTCAGCTTGATTGTTATTGGTGTATAGAAATGCTACTGATATTTTTGTTTGTTTCTTCATTTGTTTTTTATAGAGACAGTGTCTCACTTTATTGCCTGGGCTGGTCTCAAACTCCTGGGCTCAGGCGATCCTCCTGCCTCAGCCTCCCAAAGTGCTGGTGTTATAGGCATGAGCCAGTGCACCCAGAAAAATCACCACCACTGATTTTTGTACACCAACTTTGTATCCTGAAACTTTACTGAAGAGTCATTTTATTTATTTATTTATTATTTTGGCTTCCTCAATCATGGTATTATTATTTATTTCTCTTTAAAAATATGGAAAGCTTAACGAATTTGCATGTCATCCTTGTGCAAGCGCCGTGCTCATCTCTGTATTGTTCCAGTTTTAGTATATGTGCTGCCAAAGCGAGCACTGAAGAGTCTTTTCTTCATAGAGCAGCCAGAGTGATCCTTTTAGGAATTTAGTGAGATCTTCTCACTCTTCTGCTCCGAATTCTCCAGTGGCTCCCAGTCTCCCTAAGAGCCAAAGCCAGACTCGATTATCCTGCCAGGTATATGTCATGTGGCCCTCCAGTCCCTCCTGGCCTCCTCCCCTGCTGTTCTTCCCTTGGCTCACTTCACTCTCACCACATGAGCCTCGAACGCGCCAGGCACGCTGCAGCCTTAGGGCCTTTGCACTGCTCCTCCCTCTGTCTAGAACATTCCTCTCAGATAGTCTCGTGGCACACTCCCACTTCCTTCAAGCCTGGCCTCAAATCTCACCTTCTCAGTGAGGCCCACCCTGACCACCCTTTTTAAAACATTGGCCTGGCCAGGCACCGTGGCTCACGCCTGTAATCCCAACACTTTGGGAGGCCGAGGCGGGCGGATCACAAGGTCAAGAGATCGAGACCGTCCTGGCCGACATGGTGAAACCTCGTCTCTACTAAAAATACAAAATTAGCTGGGTGTGGTGGTGCATGCCTGTAGTCCCAGCTACTTAGGAGGCTGAGGCAGGAGAATCACTTGAACCTGGGAGGCAGAGGTTGCGTTGAGCCGAGATTGACCACTGCACTCCAGCCTGGTGACAGAGCAAGACTCCATCTCAAAGAAAAAACAAACAAACAAAAAACATTGGGTCCTTCCTTTCTCCCTTCACTCCAACCCCTGGCCACCACCAGTGCTTCCCTTAACGGGCTCTATTTTTTTTCCATGGCACCTCTCCCCTTTTCACATCCTATATAGTTATTATGTTTATTGTTTGTCTCTGCCACTAGATGATGAGCTCTGTGAGGACAGCAGTTTCCATCTGTTTTGTTTGTGGATATATTTTTAGCTCAAAGAACAGAGTGTGGCACATAGTGGATGTGCTTATTGTTTTTTGAATTAATGACTATGTAGTACTTATACATTGAGGACCTATTCCGTGCCAGGTTCCTGGCAGGGCACTGGGAATCCAAAAATGCATGAGAGTGGTCCCTGCCTTCTGTCCCAGAGTCTGTTTGTTTTGAGGAAGGACACCATTCATCTGCTTAGCTTGCCCTGCTCCCTCAGCCTGAGGGCTTGGACCCTTTGTGCCTGTTCTTGCCGTGTAGTTACCCCTATTGGCTGTGAGCTCAGGGCCCCTTCTTGAGTCATTCCTGGAGTTTCGCTGCTCCATGATGTTGCTGTCCTCTTGCTCCTGCCCTTCACTGAAGTGGTCCTGGATTTGCACCCACAGGCTGAGCTGTCAGATACTGCTTTTTGCCTAGTAACCTCCTTGAGCCTGGAACTAGACTTTTCATTTTCTCAGCCTTTTTTTTTTTTTTTCTGAGACATGGTCTTGCTGTTGCCCAGGTTGGAGTGCAGTGGCATTATCACAGCTCACTGCCGCCAACTCCTTGCCTCAAGCAATCCTCCAGTCTTGGCCTCCTGAGTAGGTAGGACTTCAGGCACACACCACCATACCTAGCTAATTTCTTAATTTTTTTGTAGAGTTGAGGTCTTGCTACGTTGCCCAGGCTGGTCTAGGAACTCCTAGCCTCAAGTGATCCTCTTGCCTCAGCCTCCCAAAGCACTAGGGTTACAGGCATAAGCCACCATGCCCAGCCCTCTCTGCCTTTCTGACTTGGATTTGAATTCTGTCTCTACCACTTAATAGCTCTAATGACCTTGGGCAACTCAGGTAGCTTCCCTGATCCTCAGTTTCCTGAATTACATAATAAGATTAGTATTAATACTTAGTTCATAGGGATATGGTGAAAATTAAATGAAACCATGAATGTAAAGCATTTAGTACAATCCTTAGAATGAATTCTCCATCAATAAATGTTACCCTCTGTTATTATTATCGTTATTGAATTGTTATGGATTATGTAAGTCATTTATAAAGGCACTGAATAAATGATAGTTATCGTTACCGCCACCACCACACAACCCCACCAAAACCAGTCCTTTTGGTATCCCAGGCGCTCCTCTCTCTAGGATGACCCCTTCAATGCATGTCAGCTACTCTTTGACCAAACCTCACAATGATTTGCCTAATGTTCCTGTTTTTTTCCTTTTCAGACCTGAAAGAAGACTATAATCAATGGAACAACCTTATTGAAGGCATTGGACCGTCGCTCACCCCAGGGGCCCCCCACCATCTGTCCAGCCTGTAGGCACAACTGGCCATTTGTAAAGTCACTTCAGCCAAGTTTTCATTTGGGAGCTACCCAAGGGCACCCATGAGCTCCTATCAAGAAGTGATCAACGTGACCCCTTTTCACAGATTGAAAGGTGTAATCACACTGCTGCTTGGATAACTGGGTACTTTGATCTTAGATTTGATCTTAAAATCACTTTGGGACTGGGATCCCTTGCTGATTGACAAACAGACTTTCTGGGACCTTGATGGAGTGGGGAACAAGCAGTAGAGTGGGACTGGGGGAGACCCAGGCCCCGGGCTGAGCACTGTGAGGCCTGGATGTGAAGACTCAGCCCAGCGAAGCTCATTCCCTTACCCCCGGCCAGTGCTGCTGCTTCAGTGGAAGAGATGAAGCCAAAGGACAGAATGAAAATCCCTACCTTCAGAGACTCTAGCCCAGCCCAACACCATCTCTTCCTACCTCTCAGCCTTCTCCCTCCCCAGGGCCACTTGTTGAAGTCTGAGCACTTTATGTAAATTTCTAGGTGTGAGCCGTGATCACATTTTCTATTTATTTCCAAGTCTTCTCATTGTATGGAACATAGTACTACTTATACTTACAGTAGTAAGTTATACTTGTGAGCCCACAGAGTGGCAGACAGCATGGCTCTCACAGCACAGGGAGAAAAACTGAGGTACACAGAGGTACCTCAGAAGCTCTGGATGTCTTTGGGGGTTTTGCTAAGTGTATCTTGATAGGAAACAACAAAAGCAGGTTGAGATGGGGAAGATGACAGAACAACAGTGTTAAATGGCCATTTGCACAGGCCTTTGCCACAACAGAGAAGTAGTTTGGTCAGCTAAAACTCAGCTGCAGCCTGGACAGTAGAGCGAGACCCCATCTTAAAAATAAAGAAGGCTGGGCGTGGTGGCTCATGCCTGTAATCCCAACACTTTGGGAGGCCAAGGCAGGCAGATCACTTAAGGCCAGGAGTTCAAGACCACCTGGCCAACATGGTGAAACCCCGTCTCTACTAAAAATACAAAAAATTAGCCTGGCGTAATGGCAGGCGCCTATAATCCCAGCTACTCAGGAGGCTGAAGCAGAAGAATCACTTGAACCTAGGAGGCGGAGGTTGCAGTGAGTCAAGATCGCGCCACTGCACTCCAGCCTGGGTGACAGAGCAAGACTCTGTCTTAAAAAAAAAAAAAAGAAAAAGAAAAATTTAAAATAAATAAAATTTAAAAACGCAGAAGGCCACTCCCAGAGAGGCCTAGGAGTACCTTGGTCATTTTTTCTTGCCTCAAATATTATAAACCTCCAACTTGCTCAGAATCAGGGTGCTTTTATTGTCTGTTTTCTGGCTCTGAGGCCCTTGCCCCAAATTTAAGTCAGATACAGACTGAATTTCCATTCTGTTCTGTTTATAATATGAATGATATTAATACTCTTGTTTGCTTAATGTTATGTTGGAATTTTCTGTTTAATCTGCAGTAGAGCAAGATGGAGAGCCATCTGGAATTGACTTCCTTCTGTCTTTCTTCTGTGTTCGCTTACTACTTGGGCCCATGTGGGAAAAAAACTTTAAAAGGAAGGAAGTCTTCTTAGGGATCCAGTTCAAAGCTATTTGGGGGCATCAAACTGAAACTCTCTTCTCCACTACTCAAGACTTCGTGCCTCAGTCCAAGTAGGTAAGAGCAAAAGGGAAATGCATCTCTACACAATGGCCCATGGTCAGGGCCACCAGAGCAAGCTGGGCCTAGATCTCCACCTGTCAGTGACTGGCCATTCTAAGAGGTGAAACAGCAGATCGTTGAGGCTGTGAGGGAGGATCTTTGAATTCCCATGAGACATAGCATAAGAAGGGTATCATTAAAGCCCTGGGCTCTAAAGTTACAGAGCCTGGTTTTGAGTCCTGGCTCCACCACTGCCAACTGGGTAAATTTGAGCAAATGGTATTCTCTTTCTTATCTCAGCTCCTGCGTTTCTAAAATGAGGGTCTGCGTTATGAATAGTTAGGAGGATTAAGTGAGAGGATGTATAACCCATGGGTTACTTAAAAGTATATTTCCTACCTTCCAAACATGAGATTTTTCTAGTTATAGTTTCTTTTCTAGCTTGATTGCTTTGTGGTCAGAGAAAATGACCCATATGGTTTCCATCCTTCAAAATTTGTTGAAACTTGGTTGTTGGCCTAGTATGAGATCAATGTTGTAAATGTGCCATGTATGTTTAAAAAGACTATATATTCTGAAGAAGTTGTTGGCTTGCTCTTTTACTCAAGAACACATCATAGATTTCTGTCTTTTTTTTTTGAGATGCAGTCTCACTCTGTCACCCAGACTGGAGTGCAGTAGCATGATCTCGGCTTACTGCAACCTTCGCCTCCCAGATTCAAGCAATTCTCCTGTCTCAGCCTTCTGAGAAGCTGGGACTACAAGTGCACGCCACCACACCCAGCTAATTTTTGTATTTTTTTAGTAGAGATGGGGTTTCACCATATTGGTCAGGCTGGTCGCAAACTCCTGACCTCAGATGATCCACCTGCCTCGGCCTCCCAAAGGGCTGGGATTACAGGCATGAGCCACCGTGCCGAGCCCATAGATTTCCTTCTATGAGAGCACAGACAGATATATAATGGGGCCTTCCAACTACCACATGGGCACCAGAGACCCTCAGCACTTGCAGAACCAGCCGTAGGCCAATCCTGAGCATACGCCACCCTTGTGCTGATTCCACAAATGCTGAGAGGCCGGTTCTGGCAGTAGCAGCATGTGAGACCCAGGTTCTACCTTAGCTCCATAAATAACACAGGTAAATTTTACAAAACCATGAACAAGAGACCTGGAGCCTCCCTAGTGAAGGGAGTGTTCCAGAAACTAGATCCCTTTCCTTCATTCAATTCATGTTCTGGTAATCACTCATTTATCCAGCAAACACTAGAGTATGTGAATTTTCCATATAATTGAAAATTATCCTAGAGGCAGCAAAATATAATATTGATTATTTTGAATGGTAATCTACCAAAAAGATAATACACACACTTTTTAATCAAAGTGAGCTGACCTCGTTCAACCTTTTAGGATGTTCCAGTCAGGATAGACTAGGTTGTATGGTGGTAACAGGCAATCCCAAAAGCAACAAAAGTTTATTTCTTGCCCATGCCACTTGTGCTCTTTGATCGGCTGCAGGCTCTGCTCTGCATCATTTTTATCCTCACTCTAGGATCCAGGCTGGTAGAGCTGCCATTATCAGAAAGTGTTGCTGTTCACCATGGTGGAACAGGAAGAAAGCCTGATGAATCACCCGCTAGCTCTGAGAGCTTCTGCCCGGGAGTGACTCTCGTTATTTCTATTCATGTGTCATAAGCCAAAGCACGTCCTGTGGCCATTCCTAACATCCCAAGAAAGCCAAAATATTTGTGACCAGGTCTCATGTCAGAGAAGTGGTGTCCTCTGATCTAGGAAGGTGCAGAAAGCTGTTTGGCTTGCATGGGGTTGCCCCCTGTGCTGCGTTGCTGTTCAGAGTTGGTGTTGTCTCATTTGTGGTCAGGCTGCAACCATCGCTCTTCAACGCACCAGCCCCTAGCAGCCCTCCCTGGCCACTTCAAGTTTATGACTTTCGATGCGCAATGGACTGATAAATCAGCCACATTATTTAAAACTCTGTCTAAGGGAAAACAAGGCAGTCAGTGAGCAAGGGTTTTAGGGACTCCCTTGCAGCTAAAGTATGTCACCTTTAGCGCATGGGCTTCGTAATCCTCTGACTGCTCCAGAAGGGGTATCACAAGGCCTTTGGTCTCTCATTCTGGTTTTTGGTTAGCTTCCAGGGGCCTGAAGGATACTTCATAAATGGCCTTTAGATAAGCAAGGAAATCCTGATGATAACTGACATGTGCTGATAAATTGCATCCTAGTGAATCTTTTCCAGAAAGAGGATGTCTTGGGTTTCTTTTCTTTTTTTTTTTTTTTTTAGTAGAGGCGGGGTTTCACTGTGTTAGCCAGGATGGTCTTGATCTCCTGACCTCGTGATCCACCCGCCTCGGCCTCCCAAAGTGCTGGGATTACAGGCATGAGCCACCGCGCCCGGCCTGTCTTGGGTTTCTTTGGCATCTTCTCATTCCCCATCCCGCTGCAAGACTCTGTGCCTATGGAGGCCTCCTAGTGGTATAATGTGAAGTTTCTGTGCATGGGATGGCAAGCCAGTTAGGAAGGAAGGTAAGTAAATATCCCTTCCACTTCCTGGACTTCAGACTAAGGCTGGTTGGATTCTTGCTGTGTCCCTAATGCAATCCCCGAGCCCCTTCCACTGTGCATTCTGACACAGCTGCCCCTCTTGTCCTTCCTCAAAAATTCTATTGGGCTCTTGAAATGTCAAATGATGGATTCCAACTCCGTGTCTTGACCTTGTGGGGACCTTCATCTACCCCCTTTTTTTCTGGAGCACCACTTATCCCTAGGCTCACAAAGTGACAGAGGGACAGGAGAGGCCATACTGTATGTTTGGGACTCATCCTCATTAGGAAGCTCACTTTCTATCCCATCATAGCCAGGTGCAGAGGGCAGCTGTCCCTGGCCATAGCTGCAGGGCACAGTGACAATGAGGGTGCTGAGGATGATTGTCGCTGTGTGTCAGGACTGTGCTCTGGGCTGACATGCATCATTTCACTTACTTCTCATGGTAACCCCACCAGCTCAGGTGGCATTGGCCTCATTTTATGTAGGAGGAAACAGGCTTCAAGAAGCGATTTCATCAGGCTCTCAGCAAGAATTTGGCAAAGCTGGGACATAGGCATCAAAGTTTGAGGGTTTTTTTTTTTTTTTGAGATGGAGTTTTGCTCTTGTTGCCCAGGCTGGAGTGCAATGGCATGATCTCGGCTCACTGCAACCTCTGCCTTCAGGGTTCAAGCGATTCTCCTGCCTCAGCCTCCAGAGTTGCTGGGATTATAGGCATGTGCCACCACGCCCAGCTAATTCTTGTATTTTTACTAGAGATGGGGTTTCACCATGTTGGTCAGGCTGGTCTTGAACTCCTGACCTCAGGGGATCCACCCGCCTCGGCCTCCCAAAGTGCTGGGATTACAGCCATGAGCCACCATGCCCAGCCAAGGGTTTTTGTTTTGTTTCGTTTTCTTGAGATGGTCTCCTGTCACCCAGGCTGGAGCGCAGTGGCGCAATCACAGCTCACTGCAGCCTCGACCTCCCAGCCTTAATCCATCTGCCTGCCTCAGCCTCCTGAGTAGCTGGGACCGCAAGCGCACACCACCATGCCCGGCTAATAAAATCTGAGCTCTTAATTACTGTGCTGTTAACCCTAATATACATACTTGGCTTTGCAGTTTCTCCCATTTCTTCAAACTCTCAGGATATAGGGAATGTATTAATCTCATGATCAATTAACTAAAAAATACCAAAATCTTCAGCAACTTCTACATGACCTGTGTTGAGTTTCAGTGATATCCTCAGCATTATTGAGAAATGGGTTGAGGGAGAAAAATGGCTTCACCGGAAACTGGGTCAGGTACTTGGTTGATGGGTGGGGTGTGGGGTGTTGTTTGTTTTTTGTTTGTTTTTGAGACAGTGTCACTCTGTTGCCCAGGCTGGAGTGCAGTGGCATGATCACTGCTCACTGTACCCTCAACCTCCCAGCCTTAAGCAATCCTCCCACCTCAGCCTTCCAAGTAGCTGGGACTACAGGTACATATCACCACACCTGGCTAATTTTTTGTTTATTTTTTGTAAAGACAGTGGTCTGTCTGTGTTGCCAGGGCTGGTCTCAAACTCCTGGGCTCCAATGATCCTCCTGCCTCAGCCTCCCAAAGGGCTGGGGTTACAGGTGTGAGCAGTTCAGGGACTAAGAACACAGTCTTTGAAATCAGACAGCTCCAACACTATTAGCCCTGTGACTTTATGCTAACTCATTCACTTCTATGGCCTTTAATGTTCTTATTTGTGAAATGGGGATTCTAATAGTATTTAACTCATAAGGTGGTTGTGATAATTAAATGAAATAATGCATGTAAAGCACTTAACATGGTGGCTAGATTAAGGACTTAATAAACATTAGCTATTACCAGTCTTGTTTCATTTGGGCCTCCTTACATAGCTGTAAGGTTAGGTACAATGGGCCCTTGAACTAAATGGCCCCAATGATCTTGGTCTAAGTGCTTTTTTTCTTTTTCTTTCTTTTTTCTTTCTTTCTTTCTTTCCTTCCTTCCTTCCTTCCTTCTTTCCTTTCCTTTCCTTTCACTCTTTTCCTTCCTTCCTTCCTCCTTCTTCCTTCCCTCCTTCCTTCCTTTTTCTCTTTCTCTTTTTCTCCTTTCTTTCTCTTTCTTTCCCTCCCTCTTCCCTTCCTCCCTCCCTCCCTCCCTCTCTTCCTTCCTTCCTTCTTTCCTTCCTTCCTTCCTTCCTTTCTTCCTTCCTTCCTTCTTGTCTGAGTCTTGCTGTCACCCAGGCTGGAGTGCAGTAGTGGGTTCACAGCTCACTGAAGCCTTGAATTCCCAGGCTCAAGCTATCCTCCTGCCTCAGTCTCCTGAGTAGCTGGGATTACAGGCATGCACCACCATGCTTGGCTAATTAAAAAACATTTTTTTTTTGTAAAAACAGGGTCTCCCTATGTTGCCCAAGCTGGTCTCAAACTCTTGGGATAAGTGATCCTCCCACTGCAGCCTCCCAAAGTGCTAGGATTATAGGCGTGAGCCACCATGCCTGACCATTGGTCTAAATTGTTATTCCAGCTTCTACAGTCTCACGGTTACCTTCCTCGAGTGGACCCTCCTAACTGCCAGCCACCTACTACCATTGTGTCCTCATGTCAGGGTGGAGCTAGGTGGAGAGACAGTTTCCCATTCTCTTTGCTCTGCTATCCCTGCTCCTCACATGAAAAATCAAAATCCCCACCCTAGTTCTAGCCTTGCTTGCTTTTCCACCTGGAAGAGTCCACACTCTTAGGTTCTGGTTTGGGTTTTAATTTCACACCAGATCATCCAAACACATCTATGCCTCAGCTGCAAATTGAAGATCCTAAAATGTCAAAAGGGAGAAACAGATCTGTGGAGAGGTTGGCCAAAGGGAGGAGCTGGGGGCAGGGGCTTTGTAGCAGAGGCTAGTTGTCTTAATTTTTGTCTGCTGCCTTTGACACCAGGTGAGGGGGTCAGAATGCATGGTGACCTCCTCAGGGGAAACCCCCAGGCCTGCAGATGGCCGGTGAATTGGCTCTGCACAGCTCCCTCCCTCACGGTTTCCTGCCAAGTCCTCCTGTTTCTTCACTCTTGGTGGTTCTCCCACTCAGCCCATCCTTTCCATCTTGTTTGAGCCTGCTGTCCTGCCAGCTCACCCCTGGGCTCATTTCGCAGTCTTCTGGACTGTAATCTCTCTTTCCCCCCGGCGTTCTGCTGCCAGATCTGCCTGAAATGCTGCTTTTGCATGAAAATACCAGCCTGGTAAGATGGTCTAATGGTAACAGGACGGACTCGTTGTCTGGAGCCCTGGGTTCTTGCCTCTATCACCTGTTTGCTCTGTGATGTGTACGTGTGCATGTGCATGTGTGTGTGCGTGTGTGTGTGGTTTTCCTCTCTCAACTTCAGCTTTAGTTTCCTTATCTGTAAATTGGGACATGGGTTGGTGGTTGTTGAATTGGCCGGTCTCTAAGGCCCCTTCAGTTCTGGCATTCAGTATCTCTGTTATTGAGGTGTCATGGATTTCCAGGAATCCCCTTTCCTTTTTTTCTGTTTCTTTTTTTTCTTTTTTCTTTCTTTTTTTTTTTTTTTTTTTTTTTTTTTTTTTTTGTGATGGAGTCTTCCTCTGTCGCCCAGGCTGGAGTGCAATAGCACGATCTCGGCTCACTGCAACCTCCGCCTTCCAGGTTCAAGCAGTGCTCCTGCCTCAGCCTCCCAAGTAGCTGAGATTACAGGCATGTGCCACCACACCTGGCTAATTTTTGCATTTTTAGTAGAGATGGAATTTCATCATGTTGGCCAGGATGGTCTCAAGCATCTGACCTCACGTGATCCACCCACCTTGGCCTCCCAAAGTGCTGGGATTACAGGCATGAGCCACCGCGCCTGGCTTCCCCTTTCCTGTAGAATCGCACTACACTTCTTCATTCTTTCTGACCTCGCCTCTCCTCTCCTGCCTTCTACTTCTTAATGTGCACTCTTCCCACAGTCCCCTTCATTTGCCCACACATTCCCCAAACAAAACGTCACCCAGGCTGGAGTGCGGTGGCGCAATCTCAGCTCACTGCAACCTCCACCTCTCAGGTTCAAGTGATTCTCCTGCCTCAGCCTCCCAAGTAGCTGGAATTACAGGCACGCACCAACACGCCTGGCCAATTTTTGTATTTTAGTAGAGATGGGGTTTCACCATGTTGGCGAGGCTGATCTCAAACTCCTGACCTCAAGTGATCCGCCTACCTCGGCCTCCCAAAGTGCTGGGATTACAGGCGTGAGCCACCGCGTCCAGCTCTCCTGAGGATTTTCTTGCCTGCAGGGCTTCCCCACCTCATCCCCACCTCCTTTCTGCACATCCAAATCTTGCTAATGCTTTAGGCTTATTTCTAATCCCACCTCTTCCATGAAAGCCTTCTTGATTAAATTTGACTAACATTTGATCTCTTGGCCTCCTGTTCCCCAAGAGAAATCCAGTCTGTGCCAGATTTAGTATTGCCCTTTATCACATTATTCCAGGAGCAGGGCCCATCTGTTGTACAGGAAAGAGCATCCTCCTGTTGACTGACATGGGGGACAGGGATCCTTGGCCCCAGCCCCCCATCAGCCCTCGTTCCCCAGACAGACTTGGGAACAGCTGGAGCTCACCCAGCCTTCTGACATCTCCAGCTGCCTCTGCTTCCTTTTCTTTTGGTTTTCCCAGGTCCCAGCTGTGGGGCCAGGGCAGAGCCAGCAGCAGCACAGCCAAAGCAGCTGGAGCGAACTTCTAAGTTGCACGGACAAGTAGCATTTGGGAGTTAGAAGGAGTGCAGAACTGAGCACAAATCACACCAGTGTTGAAAATGAGGGAAAGCAGTTTGCCAGCTTATTTTTCCCATCTTGCTTTCATCTAAAAAAAGAAGCTGCTCAGAAATACAGTTCTTTTCAGCCTGTTAAGCCAGATGGCCCCGAGATGCTCAGCCTGCCAAGTGTGTATATATAATTATTCATCTTCATGGAATCACACCCAGGTTTGAATCCAGACTCTGACATTTTTCTTTTGTTTGATCTGGAGCCAGTGAATCTTTCCGAGCCTTTGTTTCTTTTTCTGCAAAATGGGGACACTGGCATCTACCTTGCCCACCTCAGAATTTTTTGGGTAGGATTAGGGATGGGCTTAATGTAAGATGTCAAAGCACCGGACACATATACGTTGCTGTTAATTATAAAAAGTGCCATATTTTGGTTTTGTCCTAATGTGCTACTTCTTAATGAGCACTTATTCTGGCCAGATACTCTGCATTGTATCATTTAATCCTAACAACATTCCAGTAAGGTAGTGCGTGTTAGCCTCATTTTGTAGATCAGGAAGGCGAGACTCAGAAAGATTTGCTAGCCCAGCCAAGTCACCCAGCATGTAAGTGCTAGAACCAGTATTTGAACCTAAATGGTTGGGCTCCAAAGTCAGTGGGGTTTTGGGGGGTTTATTTTTTTGAGACAGTCTCACCCTGTCGCCCAGGCTGGAGTGCAGTGGTGCAATCTCGGCTCACTGCAAACTCCACCTCCTGGGTTCAAGCAATTCTCATGCCTCAGCCTCCCAAGTAGCTGGGACTACAGGTGCACTCCACCACACCCAGCTAATTTTTGTATTTTTAGTAGAGATGGGGTTTCACCATATTGGGCAGGCTGGTCTCAAACTCCTGGCCTCAAGTGATCTGTCCACCTTGGCCTCCCAAAGTGCTGGGATTACAGGTGTGAGCCACTGCACCGGGCCCAGAGTCAGTGCTCTTAACTCCTGGTCATTACTATCTCACAATAGGAAAGAGATTCTTGACCCTAGGTAGGCTAAAGTAGCCCACAACTTGATATCCAGCTAAATGCACTAAGCAGTTAGGTCCAAGAGCCGTTTTAATTGAAGACCAGACTGAGTTCTGACAGTAAAATGTACACCTTGAATTGTTTTTCTAGCAGTAAACGGGCTCCATTCATTCATACACCTTGTATAAAGTGAACAATTCAGGGGACAAACCCATTAGTACCATACCCTGTAAACCACAGAGCCAACCAGCTGGCAGAAAAAATTTTTTTAATCTCTAGCCTAAATATTGTAGATTAGCGATTCTCAGCTCTAGATGCACATCCAAATCACCTGGGAACTGCATAAAAATCCAGGCCAGGCACAGTGGCTCATGCCTGTAATCCCAGCATTTTAGGAGGCCGAGACGAGTGGATCATTTGAGGTTAGGAGTTTGAAACCAGCCTGGCCAACATGGTAAAACCCCTAAAAATACTACTAAAAATATAAAAATTAGCCGGGTGTGGTGGTGCATGCCTGTAATCCCAGCTACTCAGGAGGCTGAGGCAGTAGAATCACTTGACCCCGGGAGATAGAGGTTACAGTGAGCCAAGATCATGCCACTACACTTCAGCCTGGGCAACAGAGCAAGACTCCATCTCAAATAAATAAATAAATAAATAAAAATAAAGATACAGATACCCTGGCCATGACTCCAGAGATCCAGAGATGCTGATTCAGAAGGTCTGGAGGGGGGCCCAGGTGTGTACATGTGTGTAAGTTCCAGGAATATTACTTCCTGATACACAGTGAAGTTTGAGAATCCTTGCTGTGGTATAAGCCTTCTAGTCTATTTTTTTTTCTTTTTTTTTTTTTGACACAGAGTCTCGCTGTGTCACCCAGGCTGGAGTTCAATGGCATGGTCTTGGCTCACTGCAACCTCCGCCCCCCGGGTTCAAGCAATTCTCCCGCCTCAGCCTCCCAAGTAGCTGGGATTACAGGTGCCTGCCACCATGCCTGGCTAATTTTTGTATTTTTAATAGAGACAGGGTTTCACCATGTTGGCCAGGCTGGTCATGAACTGCTGACCTCGTGATCTGCCCGCCTCGGCCTCCCAAAGTGCTGGGATTACAGGCGTGAGCCACTGCACCTGGCCTACTAGCCTATTTTCTTTTATGAAATAAGAGTAATTGCTAGCTGAAAACACAGAATCATTAAATTTTAGAATTGGAAGAGGCCTTAAGTTATTTGGTCCATGAGGAAACCAGAGCTCAAAGAAATTCAGCAGGTGGTTGGCAGACTTGAATTAAAATCCAGATCTTCTGACTTGTAGTCTAGTGTTCTAGATACATCCGTGGATGCCAGGATTTTGTTGGATTATTAAGAAAATCCTCAGGACCCACCCTTTCACCATGACATCCGTGATTTCTGGCAACTGTACCATGGAGTTTTGGGTCTTTTTTTTTTTTTTTTAAGAGATGGGGTCTTATTCTGTTGCCCAGACTGGAGTGCAGGAGCACAATCATAGCTCACTACAGCCTCAAACTCCTGTGCTCAAGTGATCCTCCTGCCTCAGCCTTCCAAGTAGCTGGGACTACAGGTGTGTGCTACCACGTGAAGCTTTTGAAGTTTTTGTATAAGAAGAAGCCTGGGCTAGAAGGCCTATAGGAAATGACTCAGATGGCAGTTCTCATGCATATTCCTATATTCTACAAGCACACTGATTCCTGCACTATGGCCAGCCCTGTTCTTGTGGAATTGAACCTAAGGGCAAGAAGGGCAAGTCAACAGTTAGGGGTCATGTGATGAGTGCTGTAATAGGGGATATATATGGCTCAGAAGTGGCACAGGGTGGTCAGTTCAATTCAGCAGGGGAGAGGGCTAAGAAGACTTCACAGAGTGTCATATACTTGAGTGTGGTTTGTTTATTTGCTATCTATTACTGCCTAAGAAATTATTCCAAAATTTTAACAGAGATTTCAAAACTCCCCATGCCAAAGCTACGGCCATAGCAATTAAATAAGAATTTCTGGGAATAAACTCAGTCATCAGCTATTTGTAAAGTTTCTCAAGTGATTCCAATCTACAGTCAAGGTTGAGAACCAGTGGTGTAGGCAATACGAACAACAAACATCTCACATTTTCTATAGCTCAGGAATACTGGAGTGGTATAGTTGGGTGGTTCCAACTGAAGGTCTCTTGTGAGACTGCAGTCAAGACATCAGCTGGGATGATTATCATCTGAAGGCTTGAGTGGGGCTGGAAGATCCATTTCCAAGATGGTGCACTCACGTGGCTGTTGGCAAAAGGCCTCAGTTCCTCACCATGTGGAGCTCTCCACAGGGCGATGCTCAAGACTTGGCAGATAGCTTCTCCCAAAGTAGAGGATCCAAGAGTTAGATGGAAGCTACAGTTTCTTTTATAACCCATCCTCATGCTGGGCGCAGTGGCTCACGCCTGTAATCCCAACACTTTGGGAGACTGAGGCAGGTGGATCACAAGGTCAGGAGTTCGAGACCAGCCTGGCCAATAATGTGAAACCCCGTCTCTACCAAAAAATACAAAAAAAAAAAATTAGCCAGGCATGGTGGCACGCATCTGTAGTCCCAGCTATTTAGGAGGCTGAGGCAGGAGAATCGCTTGAACCTGGGAGGCAGAGGTTGTAGTGAGCCAAGATCGCGCCACTGCACTTCAGCCTAAGCAACAGAGTGAGACACTGTCTCAAAAAAATAAATAAATAAAATAAATAAAAATAACCCATCCTCAGAAGTCACACTCCATCATCGTTTCTACAATATTATATTATTACACAAGTCAGCCCTATTCAGTGCAGTAGAGCACTATATAGGAACATGAAAACCAGGAGGTAAGGATGACTGGGGCCATCTTGGAGGCTGGCTTGCCACAGTATTGAAGATGAGTGGAGCTTTCCAGATGGATGAGGGGGAAGAAAAGCATTCCAGGCAGAAGAAATAAGGTAAAGGCATGTAAAAAGCAAGGTGCAACATGTTCAGGACATTGTACCTGGATTGGAGAATAAAACATATAGGAGAGCATACTAAAGAAATCAGAAGGGGCCTTTCTATGCTAAGTGAAGGAGTTATGCCTTTATCCTCTAGGCCAGTGGCTTTCAAATGTTGCTACACATTGGAATCTCTTGAAGACATTTCAAAACTCCCCATGCCAAAGTTACGGCCATGGCAATTAAATAAGAATTTCTGGGAATAAACTCAGACATCAGCTATTTGTAAAGTTTCTCAAGTGATTCCATTCTACAGTCAAGGTTGAGAACCGGTGCTGTAGGCAATATGAAGTGACTGAAAAGCTTGAGGCAGGAGCCGTGTGGTCAGATTTCCAGTCTTCCCAGTGGTGACGAAGGGCAGCTGTGCCTCCCTTGTCTGCTTATCTAGAAAGTTCTGTATTAGGACTAGAAAGGCCCTATCATCTGTGCTTACCCAGATATTATCATAATCTCTACTAGCAAAAAGTCAAGCGTAGGGCCAGGCACTGTGGGTGGTGCATAGGGTGGCTCATGCCTGTAATCCTAGTACTTTGAGAGACTGAGGCAGGCAGATCACCTGAGGTCAGGAGTTCGACACCAGCCTGACCAACATGGTGAAACCCTGTCTCTACTAAAAATACAAAATTAGCGGGGCATGGTGGTGCATGCCTGTAATCCCAGCTACTCAGAAGGCTGAGGCAGGAGAATCACTAGAACCCAGGAGGCGGAGGTTGCAGTGAGCGGAGATCGTGCCATTGCAATCCAGCCTGGGCAACAAGAGCAGAACTCCATCTCAAAAAAAAAAAAAAAAAAAAAAGTTAAGCATAAATATCTGAGCTATAAATTCCCAATTTCCAAATCTAATGTTGACACCAACATTCTTATGTTATCACAGTCAGTCTTATTTTTGTTGTTTTGTTGTTGTTGTTGTTGTTTTTGGTCCTTTTTTTGAGACAGGGCCTCACTCTGTCATCCAGGCTGGAGTGCAGTGGCACTATCTCGGCTCACTCCAACCTCCACTGCCTGGGTTCAAGTGATTCTCCTGCCTCAGCCTCCCAAGTAGCTGGGATTGCAGGCGCCCGCCACCACACCTGGCTAATTTTTATATTTTTGGTAGAGACGGGGTTTTGCCATGTTGGCCAGGCTGGTCTGGAACTCTTGGCCTCAAGTGATTTGCCTGCCTCAGCCTCCCAAACTGCTGGGATTACAGGCATGAGCCACTACACCTGGCCCATAATCACTCTAGAGGTTTATTTCCCACTTAACATGTTACATATGTGCACTTCTCTATTTCCGTCCTTTTTTTTTTTTTCTGAGACAGGGTCTTGCTCTGTGGCCCAGGCTGGAGTGCAGTGCACTGGTGCACGATCTCAGCTCACTGCAGCCTCAAATTCATGGGCTTAATTTATCCTTCCGCCTCTGCCTCCCTAGTAGCTGGGACTACAAGCACGTGCCACCATGACCAGCTAATTTTTGTATTTTTTGTTTTGTGGGTTTTTTTTAAAGACAGGGTCTTGCCATGTTGCCGAAGCTGGTCTTAAACTCCTGGGCTCAGGCATTCCTCCTGCCTCAGCCTCCCAAAGTGCTGGGATTACAGGTGTGAGCCACCGCGCACAGCCAATTTTTGTATTTTTTGTAAGAGATGGGTTTTTGCCATGTTGTGCAGGCTGGTCTAGAACTCCTGGACTCAAGCAATTCACTAGCCTTGGCCTCCCATAGTGCTAGGGTTACAGAGATGAGCCACTATGCCTGGCCTACATCTCTATTTCTTACAGTCCTTACATCCAACAGTCTTCAACAGTAGTGTATAAGTAAAGGTTTGCAGCATGGGCTTTGGAGTCAGATGGACCTTTGAACTTGAGTCCTGACGTCATCAAGTATAAACTAGTTAGGTGACTTAACTTCTCATGGCCTCCGTGAACTCATCTGAAAAAATGATGATAGCTGGGCATGGTGGCTCAGGCCTGTAATCCCAACAATTTGGGAGGCCAAGGCAGGCAGATCACCTGAGGCCAGGAGTTTAAGACCAGCCTGGCCAACATGGTGAAACCCTGTCTCTACTAAAAATACAAAAATTAGCTGGGCGTGGTGGCGTGCACCTGTAGTCCCAGCTACTCGGGAAGTTGAGACAGGAGAATAGCTTGAACCCAGGAGGCGGAGGTTGCAGTGAGCCGAGATCTCACCACTGTACTACAGCCTCGGTGACAGAGCAAGTCTTGAAAAGAAAAAAAAGGAAGAATGGTGATAATAATACCTACCTCAGAAGACCCTTGAGGATATTAAATGAGATTATGCATGTAAAGACCTCTCTCTCTGCCAAGTGTCTGACATGTAGTTAGTGCTCAGTAAATGTTAGTTATTCCACTTTCTAAATAGCATTTCAAGATTCTGTTGCATCAACTCCGTGCTCCCAAGTCCACTTAGCAGTTCTTCCCATTTCCAGTTTTTAGCTATAATATTACATGTCTTTATGTAAATTGGTGGGGTTTTTAAAAATTTCCCTGTTTTTTTTGGTTGTTGTTTTTTTTTTTTGAGACGGAGTCTGGCTCTGTTGCCCAGGCTGGAGTGCAGTGGCACCATCTCGGCTCACTGCAACCTCCGCCTCCCGGGTTCAACCAATTCTCCTACCTCAGCCTCCCGAGTAGCTGGAATTACAGGCCCCCAACATCACACCTGGCTAATTTTTGTATTTTTAGTAGAGACGGGGTTTTACCATGTTGGCCAGGCTGGTCTCGAACTCCTGACCTCTAGTGATCTGCCCTTCTCGGTCTCCCAAAGTGCTGGGATTGCAGGGGTGAGCCACCGTGCCTGGCCTTCCCTGATTTTTTAGATGTGGAAACTGAAGACTGGAGAAGTGAAATAACTTGTCAAACAAAGATCATACTGCTTTTAATGTCAGAGCCAGGCCTAGGAACCAGGGCCCAGTTCTCTGAGCCTTGGCCTCGTGTTATCACCCTGCCAGCCCCCAGACTCACTGGAGACTTGAAGGCAGGTCCTTCCTGGCTTCTATTCACCAGGCTGAATGATTCGGATCTCCCATTGTGTCCTCTGACATCTCCTCTCTCTTTCATCACCCTGGAGGTCCCTCATCAATTGAGTATAATTGGATCAGCATCCCTGCTGGTCCCTGGGAAGTGGGAGCAGACAATGACTAATGCTTTAGAGACCTGGACTCCACCCTCGGCGCCTCTGGATCTCTGTTGGTTGATGTTGTGCAGTCAGATGGGGATGGGGATCCTGTCTGACTCAGGATCCCTCTCTCCTACCTGGAGCACTGTCTGATTTCACTGAATACACCCTCGTAGAACAGTAGAGCTTAAAGAAAACCTAGAGATTGGCTGGGTGCAGTGGCTCATGCCTGTAATCCCAGAATTTTGGAAGGCCAAGGCAGGCGGACCACTTGAGGTCAGGTCAAGACCCGCCTGCCCAACATGGTGAAACCCCGTCTTTCTACTAAAAATACAAAAATTAGCAAGGTGTGGTGGCGCACACCTGTAACCCCAACTACTCGGGAGGCTGAGGCAGGAGAATCGCTTGAACTCGGGAGGGAGAGGTTGCAGTGAGCTGAAATCTTGCCACTACACTCCAGCCTGGGCAATAGAGTGAGACTCCATCTAAAAAAAAAGAAAAAAGAAAAAAAAGAAAACAGAGAGAGCCCCCAGCCCCGGCCCCTGTTATTTAAAACATGAGGAAACTGAGCTTCAGCGATGCAGGTTGATCTGTGGCAGATGTGGGGCTGGGACCCAAACCTCCTGACTCCAGTGTGCTGTTGGGAAGAAAGCACTGGAGCCGGGCAGGTGAACCTGGGCAAGGGAGTGAAACAACACTCGATTTCCTGTTGTGTCAGATAGCTGTGCTCAGCTCAGGGAGGTGATAAGCATTAAATGAGATAACTATTATAGAGCATGGAGTGCTGTGCTCAGTAAACAATAGTTATTACTCAATAGAGCACAGTCATAAAGAGGCCAGCTGGGCTTTGGAGTCAGAAAAGCTATTCTATTCAAATCCTAGTTAACCACTTACTAGCTGTGTGATTTGGGACAACTTATCTAACAAGAGCTAATACTTATTGAATTTTACTTGTTCCCAGCATTAAGCTAAGTGCCTTAGAGATATTATTTCATGTAATTTTACTAACAGTTTTCTGACGTAGGTACTACCAGTATCCTGATTTTAGGATTGAAGATACTGAGGCATGAGTCAATTTCACTTCAGCAGCCTTTTTTTTTTTTTTTTTTTTTGAGACAGAGTCTCGCTTTGTCGCCCAGGCTGGAGTGCAATGGCGCGGTCTTGGCTCACTGCAACCTCCACCTCCCAGGTTCAAGCGATTCTCCTGCATCAGCTTCCTGAGTAGCTGGGACTATAGGCACATGCCACCACACCCAGCTAATTTTTGTATTTTTAGTAGAGATGAGGTTTTGCCATGTTGGCCAGGCTGGTCTCGACCTCCTGACCTCGTGATCTGCCCGCCTTGGCCTCCCAAAGTGCTGGGATTACAGGCATGAGCCACCACACCCAGCCAGCAGCCTATTTTTCTCTGATTATCCTCTAGCTTCCATTCTTTTCTGCCATGCACACATATCTTCTCCCCCCAGGGCTTGAGGATTCTCTCCTGCTTTTGAGCTTTGGAATAGGCCATAGTGTCTCTCTCTGTCTCTCTCTCTCTTTTTGAAACAGGGTCTCACTCTGTCACCCAGGCTGCAGTGCAGTGGCAAGATCACAGCTCACTGCAGCCTCAACCTCTTGGGCTCAGGCAATCCTCCCACCTCAGCCCCCTGAGTAGCTGGGACTACATGGGTGTGCCACCACACCAGGCCAATTTTTTTTTTTTGGTAGAGAGAAGATTTTTGCCATCTTTCTCAGGCTGGTCTCGAACTCCTGGGCTCAAGTGATCCCACCTCAGCCTCCCAAAGTGCTGGGATTACAGGTATAAGCCACCTCACCTGGCTCATTTTTCACTTATTCTCTTTTTTTCAGAGACAGGGTCTTGCTCTGTCACCCAGGCTGGAGTGCAGTGGTGCAAACATAGTGTAGCAGGACGAGCCGCAGACAAAACTCCTCAGACACCAAGTTAAAGAAGGAAGGGGTTTATTCGGCCGGGAACATCAGCAAGACTCCTGTCTCTCAAGCGCTGAGCTCCCCGAGTGAGCAATTCCTGTCCCTTTTAAGGGCTCACAACTCTAAGGGGGTCTGCATGAGAGGGTTGTGATTGATTGAGCAAGCAGGGGGTACATGACAGAGGCTGCATGCACCGGTGGTCGGAGTGAAACAGAACAGACCAGGAAGTTTCACAATGTCTTTTCTATACAATGTCTGAAATCTATAGATAACATAACTGGTTAGGTCAGGGGTCAATCTTTAACTACCAGGCTTAGGTCAGGCAGGCTCAGGCCTGGTTGCAGGTCTGGTTCCTTGGTTTCGGGTCTGGTTCCTAGGCACCGGGCTACAAGCCTTTAGTTTCGCTTCTGTTTTCTTTTCTGAGCATAAAGCAATATAAAACAATATGAGAGGGTCTGTCTCTCTTCTCTCATTTCCCCCCTTTGAGACTCTCACTTTTTATTAGTGGGAGTTCTCACTCTTATTTTTGCTACTTATGTCTTCCTGTGCAATAGACTGATAATGATTCATGTAGTACACTTGTGCTGATACATAACATGAAGTGACATTGAGAGACTGGGCTATATGCTCGGCTAATTACAAAAACAAATTTCTTGTTTTTCCTGGAATTTCTGGTACTGGCACATTCAGTTCATCATAGAAGTTTTGAAATACTGGCTCAGGAGAGCATTTATAAACTTTTTCTGAAACCACGATATTTACTTGAAGATCCAGTCCAGCTCCATCAATTTTTAGGGTTATACATTCTCTTTTTTCTAGCAAGGATTAAGGGGGTTGGTTATTACTAGTTCTAAGGGGTTACACTGACCACTGGTATAGGAAGGGCCACTTTTCCTTTGCTGAAGGTGGACAGGATTTTTTCATTTTTTTTTTAATTCAAGTAGCCTAAATGACACAAGACCAGTATCTACATTTATTTTCACACAGTCTTAATTCATGATAAATGTACTTTTTTTTTTTTTGCCATATAGTCTCTTTTCTAATCACTGAAGCCTTGAACTTCTGGGCTCAGGTGATCCTCCCACCTCAGCCTCTTGAGTAGCTAAGACTATAGTCATGCACCACCACACCCAGCTATGTTGCCCAGGCTGGCCTGGAACTCCTGGCCTCAAGCAGTCCTCCAGCCTCAGCCTCCACAAGTGCTGGGATGACAGGCATGAGCCTCCATGTCCTGCCTGCAGTCTGTTAAATACCTTCTCACCCCTTCTCTCCACCAAGTCTGTTCTTCCCCTCTGTTCCAGCGTTGCTGCTGACATTCCTCTAAGGAACCTTCCCTGCACGCCTGTGCAAGCTCCTCCAGCGTCCTCTCCCTCCTGCCTGCTAAAAGCAGCTGGATCTATTTCTCAGGTTTGTTAGTTTTACTTCTCTTCTATGTATCACCTATCAGGCCTCATTGTGCACCCTGGTTCCCTCTTAACACAGAAGACTTCCTAAGGAACACATCTCCCTGGCCAATTCAATTCAGTCAACATGGTTTGCACATGCTAATTTGGCTGAGTAGAGGATTCTAGGTACAAATTCCTATTTTTTCCCTCAGAATATTGAAGACCTCACTCCTTTGTCTTCTAGCATGCAGTTCTGTCAGTTGAAGATCTGATGCAGTCTGTGTCTCAGTCCTTTATTTCTGGAAACTTTGATTGCTGACTATTATCCTTTTTTTTTTTTTTTTTGGAGGCAGAGTCTCACTCGATCCCCTAGGCTAGAGTGCAGTGGCACAGTCTCGGCTCACTGCAACCTCCGCTGTCTGGGTTCAAGCGATTCTCCTGCCTCAGCCTCCCGAGTAGCTGGGATTACAGGCACCTGCCACCATGCCTAGCTGATTTTTGTATTTTTAGTAGAGATGGTGTTTCACCATGTCGGCCAGGCTGGTCTCGAACTCTTGACCTCAGGTGATCTGCCTGTCTCACCCTCCCAAAGTGCTGGGATTACAGGTGTGAGCCACCTAGCCCAGCCCCTTTATCCCTAAAGGTCAGATACTTTACCAATATGGGTACATAGATATGCTTCTCTTTTTCATTGGAAGACTTTCAGAAGTAGAAGATTTGGGCCGGGCATGGTTGCTCACACCATAATCCCAGCACTTTGGGTGGCCGAAGTGGATTACGAAATCAAGAGATCGAGACCATCCTGGCCAACACGGTGAAACCCCCTCTACTAAAAATACAAAAGTTAGCTGAGCATGGCACGTGCCTGTAAACCCAGCTATTTGGGAGGCTGAGGTAGGAGAATCGCTTGAACCTGGGAGGTGGAGCTTGCAGTAAGCCGAGATTGTGCCATTGCATTCCAGCCTGGGCAACGAGAACGAAACTTCGTCTCAAAAAAACAAAAACAAAAACAAAAACAAAAAAAAAGAGTGAGTCTGTTATAAAAGCCATTGTGGCCATTTCTAGTGAGCCCCCTTACCATATGATACCCTGCACCACCTTGGGACTCTGCAGAGGGTCCCCACTAGCAAGAAGGTCCTCACTGGATGCAGCCCCTAAACATGGGACTTCCCAATATTTATAAATTACCCAGTCTCAGGTATTCAGTTAGAGCAAAAGAAAACAGACTAACACAGGCCCAATCTCTTGTGGAATTATGTGGAAACCTCTTGGACCAGTCATGTGGACAGGAGAGCTACTGAGATACCTGTGCCATGACCTACCTCATGCAGCCAAGGCAGGCAAGGTGCTGTGACTGTTTACCACAACCATGTGGGATGGCAGAAGCCCTGCAAAGGGCAGAATTCCAGGCAGACAGACTACCCATATCCTCATAAGGACTTTAGAGTATTTCTTCTGGGATGGAGTTGCCTTTTTCTTTCCCCTCTGGGACCTCTTTTTTTCTTTTTTTTAAACTGGGATCCCTCCCTAAGATCTCTCACTTTGTTTAGAAAGCATTTCGAATACCTTTAGCAGATTTTAAAAAGCCATTCAATTATGAATGCATTGACACAACACTATTCAGAAGGACATTTGCCCTAAAAATCAAATGATTAAATTGATAACATTTTTTAGTCATCAAGTGGCATATGCTAAGCAGACACCTTCCCTTCCCTTCTGAGCTCCACCCCAATGCCAGCTCTCAACGCTGGAAATCAGGGATGATTGGCAGTGGAGAGGGAATCAGAGGCATGGTTCAAACCAAGAATGGAGTCAAGGTCAACAGTCCAGTGAAACTCAGGGGTAGGGTGAACATCAGAGAAAGTAAGCATTGAGTATGTCTTTCATAACCTGCCTGGTAATTTTTTTTTAAACAGCGATTTTATATTTTGACTCAATTCTAACAAAATATCTCCCATATCAAAATGTTCCTTTTATCAAATTGGGTTTCCCTAACTAAGCTTCTTTGAGGCATAGTTGGACTAAGACTCAAATAGCTAACTCCTAGACCACTACTTTTATCAGATAGGGCACAGTCTCCTGGCAGAGGGGTCCCTGGCGCAGGCAGGACAGATTCCAGGCCCAGACTCTGCTGTTATTTGTCTCCCATGGGTGGCTGCCTAAGCAGTTGTTAGATGGAGGAGATGCTCCACCCAGCCTTTGTCTCACTCTTCACACCCCCTTCCTCTCCCTTCTGCACTGCAGATCTGGAAGGTGAGGCTGGAAGTGGCAAGGGTGACCTGACTGTCTGTGTCCCCAGTCCCCAGTCCCAGGCCTTGCCACTGTCTTGCCTCCTTGTCTTCGATAAATAAAAGTGAGGCCCAAGAGATACCCTCACCTTCTTGCTCCCCGCAGTTCAAAACTCAGGAGCTGCAGAGCCTGTAAGACGTTTTCTGAGCTCTTCTTTTAGGTGGCTGGGAAGAGAGCTAGGGCACAGCCCCTGGATCCCTGGACCCTTCATGTAAACAAGGAGATTACCTCCCCCAGGGAGCTGTCCCTTGGCACTTTAGGGTCTCAGCCTTGAGTAGCTACTTTTATTTTGTTTTTATTTTGATTTATCTTGGGCTTTCCCCTAGTTCTGTTTACTCTCACACGCCCTATTTCCTTGCTCTTTGGGAAACAGGCTGTCTTAGTCTGTTTGGGCTGCCGTAGCATAATACCATGGACTGGGTGGCTTAAACAACAGACTTTTATTTCTCCTAATTCTGGAGACTGGGAAGTTCATGATCAAGGTGCCAGCTGATGAAGCTTCTGGTGAGTTGCCCTCTTCCTGGCTTGCATATGGCTGCCTTCTTGCTATGTCCTCACACAGCAGAGAGTGAATGAGCTCTGGTCTTTCTTCCTCTTCTTATAAGGACATTAATCCCATCATAGAGCCCCCAGCCTGATGACCTCATCCAAACCTAATCACCCCCCAAAGGCCTCACCTCTGAATACCATCACGTTAGGCGTTAACGGCTTCAACATATACATTTTAGGGGAACACATTCAGTCATAATAGATGCTTATTGTAGAAATTTTTGAAAAATACAAAAATATAAAACAAAAGAAAACCACAAACTATCCTGACAACCAAAGAAAAGCACAAATGCCATCCTGTCATTCAAAGAAACTTCTAGCATATTTTCAAATCTTTTTAAGCACCTACTTTTAAAAATATACATCATATATAGGCTGGGCGCAGTGGCTCATGCCTGTAATCCCAGCGCTTCGGGAGGCTGAGGTAGGAGGATCACCTGAGGTCAGGAGTTCAAGACCAGCCTGGCCAACATGGTGAAATCCCGTCTCTACAAAAATGCAAAAATTAGCTGGGCATTGTGGCGGGCACCTGTAATCCCAGCTACTCTGGAGGCTGAAGCAGGAGGATTGCTTGAACCTGGGAAGCAGAAGTTGCAGTGAGCCAAGATGGTGCCACTGCACTCCAGCTGGGCAACAAGAGACTCCATGTCAAAAAAAAAATATATATAGATATATAGATATATAGATATATAGATATATAGATATATAGATATATATGTGTGTGTGTGTGTGTATGTACCTCATAAGCACTTTTCCATATTAAACAATCTTTATAAACATTTTTAATGTTCATGTACATAACATTTATATGACTAAATATCTTACTTTATAACTGTAACACAATTTATGTAACCAACTTCCCAGTATTGGATGCTGAGGTTATTTTTATTTTTTTCCTGTAAAAGTTAACATTATTATTTGTAATGGAACTGTTCTGTGTCATGACTATGGTAGGGTGGTTCCACAAATCTACATGTGACAAAATTTGGTTGAACTAAATACACACACACACACACACACACACACACACAGACAAATGCGTACTTGAACAGTAGTGAAATCTGAATAAGGTGGGTGGATTATATGAATGTCAATTATCTGATTGTTATTATGCAAGATGTTATATTTGGGGAAAACTGGGTGAAGGGTATATGGGATCTCCCAATATTATTTCTTTTCTCTTTTTTTTTTTTTTTTTTTTTGAGACAGAGTCTCTCTCTTGTTGCCCAGGCTGGAGTACAACGGCACGATCTCGGCTCACTGCAACCTCTGACTCCTGGGTTCAAGTGATTCTCCTGCCTCATCCTCCCAAGTAGCTGGGATTATGGGCATGCACTACTGCGCCTGATTAATTTTTTTTTTTTTTTTAAGACGGAGTCTTGCTCTGTCGCCCAGGCTGGAGTGCAGTGGTGCTATCTCGGCTCACTGCAAGCTCCGCCTCCCAGGTTCACGCCATTCTCCTGCCTCAGCCTCCCGAACAGTTGGGACTACAGGCACCCGCCACCATGCCTGGCTAATTTTTTTGTATTTTTAGTAGAGACGAGGTTTCACTGTGTTAGCCAGGATGGTCTCGATCTCCTGACCTCATGATCCACCTGTCTCGGCCTCCCAAAGTGCTGGGATTACAGGCGTGAGCCACTGCGCCCAGCCTAATTTTGTATTTTTAGTAGAGACGGGGTTTCTCCATGTTGGTCAGGCTGGTCTCAAACTCCCGACTTCAGGTGATCCACCTGCCTTGGCCTCTCAAAGTGCTGGGATTACAGGTGTGAGCCACTGCGCCCGGCCTCCCAATATTATTTCTTACAACTGCGTGTTAATCTACAAATTAATTCAAAATAAAAAGTTTTGGCCATGTGCTGTGGCTCATACCTATAATTTCAGCACTTTGGGATACCAAGGCAGGAGGATTGCTTAAGCCCAGGAGTTTGAGACCAGCCTGGGCAACACAGTAAGACCCCATCTCTACAAAAAATTTAAAAATTAGCTGGGCATGGTGGCATGGGCCTGTGGTCCCAGCCAGGTCCCATCTACTCAGAGGGCTGAAATGGAATGATTGCTTGAGCCCAGGAGGTCGAGGCTGCAGTGAGCTGTGATCATGCCACTGAGCTCCAGCCTAGACAACAAATCAAGACCCTGTCTCAAAAATAATAATAGGCCGGGCACGGTGGCTCACGCCTGTAATCCCAGCACTTTGGGAGGCCGAGACAGGCAGATCACTTGAGGTCAGGAGTTCGAGACCAGCCTGGCCAACATGGCGAAACCCTGCCTCTACTAAAAATACAAAAATTAGCCAGGTGTGGTGGCACACACCTGTAATCCCAGCTACTCAGTAGGCTGAGGCAGGAGAATTGCTTGAACCCAGGAGGCAGAGGTTGCAGTGAGCTTAGATCACGCCATTGCACTCCAGCCTGGGCAACAGAGAGAGGCCCTGTCTCAAAAATAAATAAATAAATATAATAATAATAGGTGTTTAAAAACCACTACACTGGACATCTTTTGTAAGTACACGTGTACTTCTGAACTTTTAGTTTTTCCTTTGAGTAGATTCCTATGAGAGAAATTACTCATAAGAAAATTCAATAAGAAGTAAGAGCTCTCAATCTCAGCACATTAGGGTTTCCTGGCCATCACCCAAGGAGCTCTGCGGGCATAGAAAACTGATATGCGTGCTGCTGAGGAACAGGGCTTAGCCATACTCACAGAGCTTTCCACAAACCTGGAGTGCCGGCCAACTAATGTACAATGAGAAATGTAACCAGAGGATCCAAGACCCCTGCCCCTAGCCTGAGTTTCCTCTCCCTACAGCCCTTCACAGGCAAAGCCACATTCTAATTGGAAGATTGACTTGTGATGTGAAGCAAGGGAAATTAAGAGACATGATCCCAATGTTAAAGATACCAGGGTAAGCCCTGCTGTGCACATCTCCATAGCAGGACTTAAACCACTGCTACCAGAGACAGGCACACGGGTTCTCGGGCAGGGCACCCCTCCTTAGCGCTGCTTGAAAGGGGACAGCCTATATTTGCCTCTGTAACACTATTTCTGGGCTTCCAAGGTTTGCTAACCCCTGTTCCATCAGTGCATTGCTACTTTAGGTGTGTGAAGATGCTCCAATGAGTTACAGATCAATCTTGTTGGCCTGGAAGCTGGTCTGTCTCACGACACTTGTTTTTCTTGTTTTTGAGATGGAGTCTCGCTCTGTCGCCCAGGCTGGAGTGCGGTAGCATGATCTTGGCTCACTGCAACCTCTGCCTCCCAGGTTCAAGCGATTCTCCTGCCTCAGCCTCCTGAGTAGCTGGGATTACAGGTACGTGCCACCACGCCTGCCTAATTTTTGTATTTTTATAGAGACGGGGGTCTCTCCATGTTGGCTAGGCTGGTCTTGACCTCCTGACCTCAAGTGATCCACACGACGCCTTGGCCTCCCAAAGTGCTGGGATTATAGGCAGGAGCCACCGTGTCCAGCCCAGCACTTGTTCTTAACCCTTAGTTCAACAGACCTCTGCAGTGCTCTTTTCTTCTGATATTGTATGCAAAATTTTGAATGTGTGATCAAATGTGTATTTTCTGGAGAGACAGTTCATACTGTTTACTATATTTTCAGAATTTAATAGTGAACATCGTGTGAGCCCCAAGTTACAGGCATTATACTGCATGCATTAATTACCTCATTTAATCCCCACTGAGGTCAAGAATCTTGCCCCAAGTTACCAGTTTGGACAAGTTAAAGAATACTGCTTTAAAGTGGCTTTGGGCCTGGCATGGTGGCTCACGTCTATAATCCCAGAACTTTAAGAGGGTGAGGCAGGAGGATCGCTTGAGCTCAGGAGTTTGAGACAAGCCTGGGCAACATGGTAAAACCTGTCTCTACAAAAAATTTTAAAAAGCCGGGGGTGGTGCCATGCCTGTAGTCCCAGCTACTTGGGAGGCTGAGGTGGGAGGATAGCTTGAGCCTGGGAGGTCGAGGCTGTAGTGCACTGTAATCATGCCACTGCACTCCAGCCTGGGCAACAGAGTGAGACCCTGCCTCAAAAATAAATGAATGAATAAATAAAGTGACTTGTAAGTCTGTTCTCTGGTGTAGTCGATGTTTGTACTAAGGAGAGTCTTATTTCCCTTTTATCTTCCTACATGAAGAAAAAAAATTATTGGTGGCAAGCACAGAACCCATGCCAAAGAGAACTGTGGAATGGCTTTGTTGCTGCCTCCCAGAGGCTAAACTCCGCTGTCTGTGCCAGCATCTCTAGTTACCTGCTTTCTCTTCTTGCTCACAGGTCTGTGTATGCACTCAGACTAACCTGTGAACTGGCACCTTGTGCCTGCATCTCACTGACTTTGGCAGCTTGGATGCCATCTTCTCCTATAAATGCCCTTTCTTCCAAAAAGCAGCCCTGCTGCCTGTTTACTCTCTCACTGTATCAGAATCTAGAACCTGCAGGTTTTCTAAAAGATCATTGTGTTGCTGTTTATCAAAAGCGGCGTGCATTTCCGTCAGCTTTCCAACAGAAAATCAGGCGAGAGGCTATTCAACATTCACTTATTCACTGAATACTCATTAATTTTCCAGACATTCTTCTAGGTACCAGGGATACCGGTAAAAAAATATTTACCCTCATGGAGCCTGGGTTCTAGGGGATGAAAACAGACAATAAGCAAATAAACGAATAAATGAATATTCAGTGAATAAGTGAATGTTGAAGAACCTCTCTCCTGATTTTCTGTTGGAAAGCTGACAGAAATGCATGCCGCCTTCGACAAAAAGCAACGCAATGATCCCTTAGAAAATCCGCAGGTTCTGCCAGGCATGGTGGCTCACGCCTGTAATCCTAGCACTTTGGGAGGCAGGCGGATCACGAGGTCAGGAGTTTGAGACCAGCCTGGCCATGGCGAAACCCCGTCTCTACTAAAAATACAAAAATTAGCCGGGCGTGGTGGCATGCGCCTGTAATCCCAGCTACTCGGGAGGCTGAGACAGGAGGATCGCTTGAACCCGGGAGGCAGAGGTTGCAGTGGGCCGAGATCGCACCACTGCACTCCAGCCTGGGTGACAGAGCAACTCTGTATTAAAAAAAAAAATGGTATTGTAAGGTCCGAATGAAATTATATATGTGTGTGCGTGTGTGAAATATATAAATGGGAACCATTGTCATAGCTTTTGCTAGATAATCATGAGGGCCCAACCAGTCCAGGGTTCCTGTGTTCTTGAAGGGTCTTACTTGGGTCCACAGGCCCAAGGGGAGGGACTGGAGCTCTCCTTCCCTTCCTGAGTCCAGCCCCAAGATAAAATCTGAACTTCTGTAGCCATGATTTAGATGGAATTCACTCTGCGGCAGTGTGAACACCCCTCTCTGAAAACAGAGGGTTTTCATTTTTAAGAAAGACTCCTCATAGTTCTCTCTACTCCCTGCCTGATGAAGGTGTGGTCTTAAATCTAGTTCACTGATTGCAAAAACCTGGCTTGATTCAACACACTTGATCTATTTTCATCTCTCTGCCGCTTGCTTAAAATAAGGAGCTCATTGCTATGCTGCCCACGGCTGCGTCTAAATCATAACTGAGAGCTGAATACATTTTTCTCTCTTCTGATAAATACCATTTTTATCTTTGCCGAGCCCACACGTCCTCAGTCGACAGTGCTTGCTTTAGCAGTCCATGCCTGGACCTGGAGGGATAGTCAGGTGACAAAAGACCCCTCCCAAGCTCCTAGTGAGCCTCCCTCCCTGTGACCTGTTTGTCTTCCAACAGGGCATTCTCCTACCCACGAGCTAGCCGAAGCCACCTTCCAGGCTGTCACCACAATTTCCGCTTTTATTTTCCCCACTCTTCATTGCTTGGTGAGGGCTAGGGAGGCTTTGTGAGCCTTTGGGTCCCTCATGTCTCCTGGCAAAGGCTTGAATCCTTGAATCTCAGCAACCTCTGGACTTCAGTCTCCCCTTCTTTGACTCTTATTATAGGATGTGGAAAATTAGCAAAATGGGGAATTCAAGGAACTCCAAAAAGCAGCTTCATAAACATGAATTAAAAGAGACTCGACTCCTGAAAGGAATGATGTCATGCTCAGAAACCAGCCTGAAACTCGTGCTTTTCATCTCTAATCTTCTCCTGTCCAAAGCCTTAACTCCTCCCACATATCTCCTCTCCTTCTTCTTCCCATGAGAAAGGTCAGCATTATTATCATCATTTTACAGACAGGCAAATGAGCCCCGCTGGGGAGGGAGCCAGTGGCGCAGTCCAGATTAGGATGTGAGGCTCCCCTGAGGACAGGCTGGAGCCTGAGGTGTCCCTCAACTGCTTCATTATTTTAATCATTATGAATTTCTCCTTTTCAGTTAGCCTCTGTGCACGTGATAAGAAATCCTTGCCACCCACTATTGCAGACATCAAGTGTAAGGAAAGGCACTAGGGAAAAAAGTAAATCCTTTATTCTGCCGTTGGGAAAACAGGAGAATAACTGAGGTTAACTGGGAAAACAGAAAGGGTATGAGCCTCAGAGAAGGTCAGGAATACAGGACAGAGAATCAGAGCTGGCTCTGCCTCTCAGCTGGAGCCATTCGGAAATGGCACTGGGAAGCAAAGGATTTTTTTTTCTTTTTTGAGACGAAGTCTCACTCCGTTGCCCAGGCTACAGTGCAGTAGCACGATCTCAGCTCACTGCAACCTCTGCCTCCCGGTTTCAAGCGGTTCTCCTGCCTCAGCCTTCCAAGTAGCTGGGATTACAGGTGCCCGCCACCATGCCTGGCTAATTTTTGTATTTTTTAGTAGAAACAGGGTTTCACCATGTTGGCCATGCTGGTCTTGAACTCCTGACCTCAGGCAATCTACCCGCCTCGGCCTCCCAAAGTGCTGGGATTATAGGCATGAGCCACCGTGCCCAGCCAAAGCAAAGGATTTTTGGTTTCCAGCAGTGGAGGTGGATGGCACTGAGCCAGCTATAAGAAACGGTAAGAAAAAAGATTCTGAAGCTAGTCAGTCTCTATCCAATCCTGATTCTGCTACTTCCTAGCCATGTTACCCTGGACAAGTTACTTCGACTTTCTGAGTCTCAGTTTCCTTATGTGTAAAACAGGAATAATAATAGTATTTCCACTCGGCAGCATTATTGTAAGGATGATATATAAACAAGATGATATATAAAACATGCTTAGCACACTGTGCAGTACACAGTAGCTCTAATTATTGAATGTCCACAGTATGCCAGCATTATGCCCGTTACAGGAAGTGCTTATATGAATAAGGCAGATTCCTCACCTTCGAGGAGTTTATTGGCTTATGGATAGGACAGGCGAGCAAACATTTACTACACAGTACTTTGGGAGTGGTGCTGGCTAGAAGGAGTGGCACCGTCTGTCTACAGTTTTGGAATAGATCTTCCCAACTCTGGATAAAGTTAACTGTGTAAGAACAGAGACTGAACTCATGACCTTAAATAATGGGAACATAATAAAAAATAATTGTGGTATAGCAGCTGGCCATTTCCAGAGAGAGGGCGTAAATTGTCACCGCAGCCAGTGATTTCATTTTATCCTCCTCAAAGCCTTATAAGATTTGATGATGAGTAACTGAAGAGGGGAGTGTGGCTTTTTCTGGGGCCTTCAGACAAGTAATTGTCCCTCAGGCCCTGAGGGATAAAGATAAAGATAGGCAGGGTCAGTGCTATGGGTTATGTGCCCCCTACCTGTCCCATGGAGGGAAAACTAAGTAGCAAAATGGCCACAGGGTAATGTGGGGAGGCTGGTCAGAGCCTGAGGGATCTATAAGCTACCAGTAAGCAGATCATTTTTTTTTTTCCCCAGAGACGGAGTCTTGCTCTATTGCCCAGGCTGGAGTGCAGTAGCGTGATCTCGGCTCACTGCAACCTCCACCTCCTGTGTTCAAGCAATTCTGCCTCAACCTCCTGAGTAGCTGGGATTATAGGCGCCCGCCATCATGCCCAGCTAATTTTTGTATTTTTAGTAGAGATGGGGTTTCACCATGTTGGCCAGGCTGGTGCCCGGCCCAGATCATTTTTATGCTGTCAAATAATTTAGGAAAATGCCTTCTTGCAGGTGGAAGTGAAACTGTCTACCCTGCTCTCCCTTAGTAGGACATAGGGCAATGGAAGGAGAAGTGGAAGAGTGTGACAGAGGGCAGCCTGCCCCGTGGCTGTGCCAGTGATCTCTGCACACTGGGCTCCATCTAGGGCACAACCTAGCCTGGATCGGATACCCTGCTTTGTGTGTGCCATGTCATTTTTGTCTTTCCCCTCACATGCATATGATACTTTACAGGGCATAGAGTCCCGTCAGCCCTGAGAAGCAGGCACTTGTCACTTCTCAGGAAACTGAGACTCAGAGAAAGTAAGCAAACTATCCAAGATCAAATGATTAGAGAGTAGAAATCTTAAGACCAGAGCTCAGTTTGCTGGCTCTGAGACCAGTGCATCTACTGTTACAGATGCTTCCTTCCTTCCTTGGGGGTGTGGGTTTGGATTTTTGCTAAGAAGGAGTGGTTCCCCCAAGTGGGTCAATGGATCCTTGGAGACAAAGCTTCTCTCCTTTTCCTGATACAACTTTTATATGGGAGGTTTACAGGAACATCAGGAAGGCAGTTGAATTAGTCCATTCTCAAGCTGCTTATAAAGACATACCCAAGACTGGGTAATTTATAAAGTAAAAGAGGTTTAATGGACTCAGTTCCATGTGGCTGGGGAGGCCTCACAATCATGGTGGAAGGTGAAAGACGTATCTTACGTGGCAGAGAACAAGAAAGAAAATGAGAGCCAAGTGAGAGGGGTCTCCCCTTATAAAACCATCAGATCTCATGAGACTTATTCACTACCATGAGAACAGTATGGGGGAACTGCCCCCATGGTTCAATTATCTCCACCCAGGCCCTCCCAAAACACGTGAGAATTATGGGAACTACAATTCAAGATGAGATTTGGGTGGGGACACAGCCAACCATATCAGCAGTGAAGGGGGCCCCAGCGTCAGATAAAGAGGTAGGAATGCTCCACCAACTGCTGCCATCTCTCCTGTGACCTTGAGCAGGTCACTGTACCTGTGTCTGGGGTCCTTGTCAGCTATAGGGAGTCATGTTCCCTTCCCTGCCTACCTTCTGGTGATGATGTGAATCAAATGAAACAAGCAATATCAGAAACAGCTTGAGAATGTCAAAAGTACAATACAAACCCAAAGCATGATTCTGAACATCTTCATACAAAAATGAGAGCTGGTGGCCCTCAGGTTGCTTCTTTCATTTCTTTCATTCATTCACGCAATGCTAAAAAAATGTTGAATACATTCCCTGCGCCAGACTCTGCATTAGGTAGTGGGGACACAAGGGAGTCCCCAAGCTTTGAGGAATTCAAAGGGAGGAGAGACAGATTCAAACCAATAATTATGACACATAGATGGGAGGCCTTTTATTTTTGTTTTGTTTTGAGACAGGGTCTCCCTCTGTCACCCAGGCTCGATCGCAGTGGCGCAATCATAACTCACTGCAGCCTTGACCTTCCAGGCTTAAGTGATCCTCTCACCCCAGTCTCCCAATCAGCTGGGACCATGGGTGTCTACCACCACACTTGGCTAATTTTTTTTTTTTTTTTTTTTTAGTTTTTTGTAGAGATGGGGTCTCCCTGTGTTGCTGAGATTGGTCTCAAACTCCTGGGCTCAGGGCTCAAGCAATCCTCCCGCCTCAGCCTCTGAGTAGCTAGGAAGAATGCAGGCTTGCACCACTGCATCCAACTAATTTTTAAATATCTTATAGAAACAGGGTCTCACTCTGTTGCCCAGGCTTGTCCTGAGCTCCTGGCCTCAGCGATCTTCCCACCTTGGCCTCCCGAAGTGTTGGGACTGCAGGCATAAGCCACTGCACCCAGCTGGTGTGAGGCCTTTTAAAGAGGTGACCACAGCCAGGGAGCCCTGCATTGAGGTGCCCACAGATGCTGTGGAATGTGGGGTTGGGGGGCAGTGAGCAACAGTTGGAGCCAGAGAAGACCCCACAAGAGGAGGATGAGTAGGGGGCTGATGGAAAGGGGAGGGAGAAGGGAAAGGGCAGAGGAAACATCAGGCACAATGGCCTTGTGAGTCATTTAGCACAGCTGGGGCACAGGCTACTTGAAGGAAGTTTGATAGCCTTTCCTTCCTTCCTTCCTTCTTTCCTTTCTTCTTTTTTTTTTGAGAGAGTCGCTCTGTCACCCAGGATGGGGTGCAGTGGCACAATCTTAGCTCACTGCAACCTCTGCCTCCTGGGTTCAAGCAATTATCCTGCCTCAGCCTTCCAAGTAGCTGGGATTACAGGTGCCCACCACCACGCCTGGCTAATTTTTGTATTTTTAGTTGGCCAGGCTGGTCTTGAACTCCCGATCTCAAGTGATCTGCCCGCCTCGGACTCCCAAAGTGCTGGGATTACAAGCGTGAGCCACTGTGCCCGGCCATGATGGCTATTTCTTATTGTGGGAACGGAGGCTGCTGGTCATCCTGGAGTTCTTTTTGGGACATGTTTAGGTGTGTACATCTGTGTGTACTGGTTTGCCTCTCTGGGCTGCAAGGAAGAAGCCCACGTAAATGATCTCAGCAATAGAGCTTTGCTGTGAGGCCCCACGGGAAGCAAGATTTTTAGGAAATGATCTCAGCTGCTAGCTGGACGTGTGCTGGGACCTTAGGCTTCCAACTCAGTGCAGTGCAGTCCAGGTTTTGACCCGAGTTCCAGGGTCCCACCTTCTCTGTGAGCACCTGGTGTTGGTTATTGGTGGTTCCTGAGAGCAGAAGGGTCCAGTTGCATTGGTTTGCTGCTGACTGGTGTAACTCTCCCCATCAGGCAGGGCTTCAGCCTAGCCACCATGGCAGGAGTTGGTTTCCACTGGGTCCAGCATATACCAGGCCACCTGTCCCAGGTCCAAGCAGGACTAGTTTTAATCATAATGCACTACAACCTTATATGAAGAGAACTCTGGATCTTGACCTGGTTCCTCCTACGGAGAGCTCTGTAGATTTCTCTCTTGGAGAGATGGCTGAGGAGAACCCTTTAGAGATCACAGTCCCATTTACTCACTTCACAGAGTGGGATAGGAAGGCCCAGAAAAGGCAGTAGACTTGCTCAAACCTGTACGGCAAGTTCACTGCAGGGCCAGGCCTAGAACAGGTCTCCTGACTCCAGTCAAATTTTTTGGTTGGTGCATAAATGTGCTTCTGTGCTGTTGACATGTTCATGAACCCATGTACTGTGTACAAGGCAGTGGGCCATGTCCTGAGAATGGACAGGCCACATAATCCCTGTCCTCCAGAATGTTATAACGGGGGTATCAGAGCACACATAGAAAAAGATAGCTGTTCAATTTGCAGTGGCCCTGGGGGAAGCCAATACAGTTAGGCAAATTATACCAGGTCCAGGGAAAAAATCTGTGAGACTCTGCCTGCCAGACCCTCGATGACCTTCTAAGAAAGGTGATTTTTGTGATTTTTTTTTTTGCCTATGTTGCCTAGGCTGGAGCGTAGTGGCTATTCACAGGTGTGATGGTGATGCATGACAGCCTGGAACTCCTGGGCTCACGCGATCCTCCCAACTCAGCTTCCCGAGTCGCTGGGACTACATGCATTTGTCTCTGCACTCACCTAAGATTTTTTGTTTTGGTCTGGTTAGAACCAGACAAGCCACAGCAGGACTTCTGGACCCAGCCATAGGCCAGCGGACAGCAGGGAGAAGCCTGAGGAAATGGAAAGGGGTAAGACTGGGGACTTCGTTGCATGTGACTGATTCCCTAAGCCATCTGCTCTTACAAATCCCTACTTAGCAGCCCAGAGCAGCTACAGAGAGGGACAGGGGTCTTTGAAACACAAATCACCAGTGATGACAAGGCCACAGGGTATGAGGCTGTTTGTTCTCTTCCTGAGTGGATAAGGTTTCTAAGGGATAAATGGAGTGTTCTTTCTGGCTGGCCCAGGACCTGCTGCTCCCATGCAATGGCTAGGGGATGCTGTCAGAGGCTCTAGGGAGTGGGAATGGCCTGACTTCCTGAAAGACTAGTTGAAAACTCAGCTACAAGGTAAGCTCCAGAGCCTGGACCCTGGCAAATTAGTCTTTTGGCCTGGTTGCCATGGAGACAGGCAGGCAGCAGCTGCTGGGGAAGAGGAAACAGCAGCTCCACCAACATCTAGGATTCTGAAACAGCCATGATGGGGGAGGGGGCTTGACACCACCCTTTCTCCCCCAGAAACTGAGGTCCCTGTTTGCCCCCCACCCCCCTGACCCCCTGACTCCCAGACTCACAGGATCTGGTGAGTTGCCAGGGTAACAAAACAAGACCGTGGCAGTACTGGATCCTGAAACCCCAGTTTCCTGCTTCCAAGCCAGTGCCCTACCCCTACTACACCACAGTTGCCTCCTGCTTCAGAGCGAAAGATCTTCCAGTGCACTGCTCCTGCGCCCTGGGAGGGTTCCCAGGCTGCCTCCTTGGAGGGGATAAGTCATTAGAGGTGAATCCCAGTGTGCTGGCCACCAGAGGCCAATTTGGCCCAGTGCTCTGTCGCTGTCTCTCTGGAAAACCTGGCAGCGTCTGCGTGGGTCTGTGACCAGCCATTGTCTAGGAAGGGAGCTTGAAGCGGAGCCCAGAGGGAACTCAGCAAATGATGGGGTTTGTTGTTCCCTCATTTGATGCTACATTGATAACATTAATTTGCGGCTTCACCGGCCATGCTGCCTGGCTGGCCGCCCTCCAAGTCCTGACCTCCCTAGCCTGGTGGAAACAGCCCTTGGCTCTCCCTCTCTTAGGGGTTATCTCTGGAAATTGAAGGTGGGAGAGGAGGGGCTTAGGATCCAGGTCACCTGAGTCCACTTTCGCAGCCCGGAGGTTGTGTCTCAGCATCTCAGTTTCATCCTCTTTGGTAAAAGGAGAAACGAGGCTGGTATTATCTAGGGCTTTGAGTTTCTGGGCTTTCGATGTGAGTAGGATCCTTACATAAGAGAACAGAGAGCTAGTGTGGAGAGACAGGAGAGGACTGGTGAAAAGCAGAGGCTACTACCAACCAGCCTGGGCTTTTGATGTTGCTGTTTTAATTATGAAGGTAGTTCATGTGTGGGCATTATGAAAGAAAAAAGTCAATGCCAAAGAATATAAAGGAAATGGAGAAAATGACCCATCACCTCAAGCCCCAATCCCTCTCCCCTGGTGGAAACCACTTATAATTTTGTTGTGTATCTTTTCAGATCTTCCTCTATTCTTACACTTTCCCCCCTATATTACTATTACTTTAAAATTACACAAATGATATGAACACATTTCTACAAAGATGCAAACACTACAGATAAATATAGAGCAAATAGTAAAAGTCTCCTTTTAGTCTATTCCCTTCATCAGACAGCTATTTTGTTTGTTTGTTTGTTTGTTTGTTTGTTTGTTTGTTTTTGAGCTGGGGTCTCCCTGTGTCACCCAGGCTGGAGTGCAGTGGGGCGATCATGGCTCACTGCAGCCTTGACCTCCTGGATTCAAGTGATTCTCCCACCTCAATCTTCCAAGCTGCTGGGACTATAGGCATGAATCACAATACCCAGCTAATTTTTTGTATTTTTTTTTTAGAGATGGGGTTTCACCATGTTACCCAGGCTGGTCTTGAACTCCTGGCTCAAGTGATCCACCCACCTCAGCCTCCCAAAGTGCTGGGATTACAGGTGTGAGCCACTGCACCCAGCCTGGATAGCTATTATTAACAGTTTAATGTCCTTCATACGTTTATGTACAAACACAAACACACACTTTCAGGTTTTCTTTCTTTAGCATAAATGCAATCATAACATCCATATGGCTCTGCAAGTTGCTTTTCCTACCATAATAATTCTTAGATTTTTCCACAGTAATAGACCTACCCCATTCTCTCTAACTGCTGCTTAATATTCTACATTTTGGATGTTCTGTAACTTATTTAAGTAATCTCCTCCAATAGACACAAGTTTTTTACAATCTTTTGTTAATAGTTACACTTTGAACATTTGTACAGCTTTTTTTTTTTTTTTCTTAAGAGGTAGGGTTTGGCACTGTCACTCAGGCTGGAGTGCAGTGGTGCAATCTCGGCTCACTGCAGCCTCAACCTCCTGGGCTCAAGCGATCTCCTGCCTCAGCCCCTTGAATAGCTGGGACTACAAGCACGCGCCACTACATCTGGGTAATTTTTGTATTTTTTGTAGAGATGGGGTTGTAATTTTTGTATTTTTTGTAGAATTGATGTTAACCCATCAATTCTACTTCTAGAAATAAACCCTGCATAAAGAGCTGTACGCCAGTCTGGGCAACATGGTGAAACCCCATATTTAATTAATAAGGAAAATTATCTTTAATTTTCCTAAATACTGTGGGGATTTATTTTTAAGTTAAAAAAAATCTTAGCCACAGAGGCCCATTACAAAAAAAAATTGAAAACTACAGAAAGCTACAGAGGGGCCAGGCGCAGCGGCTCACACCTATAATCCCAGCACTTTGGGAGGCCGAGGCAGGCAGATCACAAGGTCAAGAAATCGAGACCATCCTGGCCAACATGGTGAAACCACGTCTCTGCTAAAAATACAAAAATTAGCTGAGCGTAGTGGCATGCCCTGTAATCCCAGCTACTCGGGAGGCTGAGGCAGGAGAATTGCTTGAACCCGGGAGGTGGAGGTTGCAGTGAGCCGAGATCGTGCCACTGCACTCCAGCCTGGCGACAGAGCAAGACTCTGTCTCAAAAAAGAAGAAAAAAAAAAAGAAAAGAAAGAAAGCTACAGAGGGGGGAAAAATATCACTCACAGTGTCTCTGTCCAGCAACCACAATTGTTTACTTTTTGGCATGTTTTCTTCCATTATTTTTTTATGCCTGCTCCTGTTACAGTGGTCAGAGACTGGGTCTCCCTATATCACCCAGGCTGGTCTCAAAACTCCTGGCCTCAAGTGATCCCCCTGCCTCAGCCTCCCAAGTACTGAGACTGTAGGCGTGAGCCACCATGCCCAGCTTGCATACACAATTTTCTATCTAGGACTTCATTACTTAATGTTATAAGCATTTTCCCATGTCAATAAAATTTTTTATAAACATTCTTTTTATGATTTCATGGTAGGCAGTACATGTACATACCATAATTTTCTTATCTGTTCCTCTGTTGTTGGGCTTTTAAGTTGCCTACATCTTTTTCCTGTACGATAACACCTCAGTGAATATCTTCTTGCATAAATCTTTGTCTGAAATCCATTAACTTCCTTAAGCTAGATTCCAAAAAGGAGAAGTACTGGGTCTAGAGGCAGGGAATTTATTTTTTTAAGTTGAATTTCGAATTGTTGTTATGTAAACATGGCACACAATTCCAAAGGTACTAAAGGTTACACAATAAGAATAATAATTCTCCTGCTTGGTCGTTTAGCAGTGATTCCTTCTTTTTTTTTTGCTTTTTTCTTTCTTTTTTTTTTTTTTCACTTAAAGGCTAGTGTGATAGTTAGGTTTTTCTTCTTAAAGGCAATGTGGTTGCCTGTTTTCTTCATGTGTATATTTCTTATGGGGGAATCTATATATTTAAATATATATATTTTAAAATATAGATCCCTTTTTCATATAGAAACAGTAGCACATCAGATACTTTTGCACTTTCCTCTTTTTGCTTAATATTTCTTGATGATTGCTCTATACATAAAATAGAGAACTGCCTTATTTTCTTAAAATATTGCATAGAATTCCTTTAAATGGAAGTGCCAGATTAAATTAATCAATTCTATTGATACATTTCTGGGTTGTTTTTCATCCTTCGCTCCTGAAACAGTGCAGTCATGAACGTCCTTACGTGTGTATGCCATTTTGTATATGTGCAAGCACACCCATCTCTACAATGGATTCCCTTAAAAGGAATTGCTGGGTCCCAGGGATTTTACATGTGGAAAACTATTGCTATCTCCACAGAGGGTGGCCATTTCCCGAGTAGAGGATACGCACAGTTTTTAAAGCTCTCGATAGAAATGGCACTACTGCTTTCCAGAAAAGTGTTCGTTACCTGTTTACACTCTCATTCGCGCGCTGCTCCCTCCTCCCACGGACCTGCCTGGCTGACAAGTTAAAACACACACACACACACACACACACACACACACACACAAAACGGTATGGAGATGTCTGCAGGGTTTATTCTCAATAGTCATTATTTCAAAAGGATCTGTGAAAGATTAGCAAAGGTTTGCAAATATTTAACTTTTAGACCCTTTCTAATACAAAAATATTTAAAACCCAGGATCTGAATTTCCTAGCCCTCGTTTTTTCCACGCGTGACCTTGGCAAATGACTTCTCCTTTCCAAGCCTGTCATGTCTTACAATTGTCGTGGGGAGGAAGTGAGATATGACACTCAGTGAAGTGCTTGGCACACAGCAAGGACTCAAAAGTTGGTCGCTGGGAAGAAATGGTGGTGAAGGAAAAAGCGCCAGCCCTCCGAGTCGTCCCAGCGGTCAGAGGAAGGGAGCCAGCCTCCCAGGCTCCAAAAATTGGGCTGGGCGGTGCCGGCGGCTTTTGTTCTTTCCCTCGAATTCTCTCGCTGGTCTTTCCTTCCTTGAAGAGGAAAACGGAAACCTGCGACCAGCTCCCGGAGAGAAACACCCAGACCAAGACTGGCCCTTAACCGGGGATGGGGCCTAGGGGCTGGGTCCTCTCCCGAGTCACTGAATCCACTTCGGGGAAGCCCTAGCAGACTTTGGTCCGCACCCGGAGTGGAGGACCAGGTTCCTGCCGCGGGCGTCCCCAGCCTGCTCCGAGACCCGGAGTGCCAAGTGCTTCCATCCCTAGTCGTTTCTTACTCAATCCTAGTTCTTCCTGAAGCTAACGGCAGGCACTGGCCGCGGCGCCTCCCGGGCGGGCACCTCCCAGCGACCTGGGTGGGCGCGGCCGCGTGCGCCCGGGGGTCTGGGCTTCTCCGCCACTCGCGAACGCGACCTCGTGCGGTTTCCCGCAGCCCTGGCTCCCCGCCAGCCAGAGACCCCACCCGCTCCCAGGTCCCCGCGAGCTGCCGGGAGGGGACGTCGCGGCACGTGTCAGTACTGCGGTCGGGCTTGCACCTCCGCCCGGATGCGGATTGGCCCTGGCGGGCTCCGCACCGCCAGTGAGCCCGGCCTTCTCTTCTCCTAGCACAGAGCTGCTGCCCTGAAAAATCAGCTGTTAGAGACGCCATTTCGGTCCCCACCCTTGTCTCAGCCAAGGAAGAGCCAATCACAACGCTTGTGTGTCGCTGTGCAAGCCGCAGGTGGGGTGGGAGAGCAGATCCGTGGAGCGCAGCGAAGCCATTTTCTGGAGGATTCGCAGTCATGTCCACTGCTGCTGGATAACTTCCACTGATGGTGGGATAATCACCATGTTTAATTTCAGCCATTCCCTCCCCGCCAACTCCCTCTCACACCGTGGCCTTTCCTTTCCCCAAGCGATGTGGGGTCTAGTCTTGACCCTGAACCTAACCCACTCTGTGACCCAGCCTCAGGCCTCGGTCTTTTCAGCTACAAAAATGCAAGGAAGGAATAAAATTAGACAATGGCAAATATTGGTGAGGTTATGGGGAAATGCATTCTCTGGATTTGTCTTTAAACTGGAAATATTCATGACATGTGCCAGATAATCCTATGTCTTGGTCTCTACCCTAGAAAAATATTTGCACATGTACTCAGGAAGGCTGTCTCTTGCGGGACCATATCTAATAACAAACCACTGAAAAGAGCTCAAGGGCTGTCCATAGGGAATGAATGAATACAATGGGGTCTATCTACATAACGGGTCACTGCATCACAGAAGGAATAAGCCAGATCTATGCATGCAGAGAAATGGATAGAGCTCTAAAATATATTAAGTAAAAGTAGAAAGTTGCACAATAATGCATACAATATAATACAATTTTTGTAACATGTTAAGCAGAACTGTGGATTTTCTGTGATTACATTCAAACAGAACATAAAAGCATTTTTTAAAAAATAACTGAAAAATTATTTTCAATTCAGTTCTTTTCAGTTCAGTTCCAGTTCACTCCTAATTCATCTGAGTGGCTGTCTCTGGAGAGAGGGGCGGGGAGTTGGGATAGCAAGTGGAGATGAGAGGCAACTTCAGCTTTCTTTGTAATATTCTAATTTTATTTTTTAAAATGAGAGCCGGGTGCAGTGACTCACCCCTGTAATCCCAGCACTTTGGGAGGCCAAGGCAGGCAGATCACGAGGTCAGGCGTTCAAGACCAACCTGGCTAACATAGTGAAACCCCATCTCTACTAAAAATACAAAAATTAGCCGGGCGTGGTGGCGCCTGTAGTCCCAGTCACTCGGGAGGCTGAGGCAAGATAATCGCTTGAACCCAGGAGGCGGGGGTTGCAGTGAGCTGAGATCGCGCCACTGCCATCCAGCCTGGGTGACGCAGCGAGACTCTGTCTCAATAAATAAATAAATAAATAAATAAATAAAATAAAAATGGCAGTACATTAATATATTACTTAAGGAATTTTAAGCTGCATGTTCATGAAATACTGGAGACAAGTATGTCAAAATGTAAACAGTGGTTTAATTCCAGGTGATAGGAAATATGAATAATTGTTATTTTCTTCTTTGTACTTTTTGGGTTTTTAGTTTTTCAACATGCAGGGAAGGGATTCAAGAGTGACTGTGTGACCCATCAGGTCCCTCAGCTCAAAGAACCTGCAATGTTGTGATTCTAGATGGTCATCCTTAAAGTCCTAGCTCCCCGCCCAACCCCAAAGGGCTTACACATTTTGCAGGGCAGGGGAGCCTCAACACTGGCGCTCCACTGGGGAAAGTTCTTGGCTTCCACCAGGAAAGAATTCAAGGGTGAACTAGTGGTAGAAGAAAACAGCTTTATTGAGGCAGCAGTGTTACAGCTCCGTGACTGTTCCCACTGAGGAGAGAGTGGAGTCTAGCAGCTCAGGGGCAGTTCTGCAGTTTCATTTATATCCACTTTTAATTACATGCAAATTAAGGGGCAGGTTATTCAGAAATTTGTTTTTATTTGAGACACAGTCTCACTCTGTCGCCCAGGCTGGAGTACAGTGGTACAATCTCGGCTCACTGCAACCTCCACCTCCCGGGTTTAAGTGATTCTCCTGCCTCAACCTCCAGAGGTGCTGGGATTACAGGTGTGTGCCATCATGCCTGGCTAATTTGTGTATTTTTAGTAGAGATGGGGTTTCATCATGCTGGCCACGCTGGTCTCGAACTCCTGACCTCGTGATCCGCCTGCCTCAGCCTCCCAAAGTGCTGGGATTACAGGTGTGAGTCACCGCGCCTGGCCGGTTATCCAGAAATTTCTAGAAAAAGGTGGTAACTTCCAGGTTGTTGCTAGGGAATGGGTAAACTGTCATGGCACTGGTAGGCACGTCAGCCAGTCTTAAATCTCATTCAGTGTCGAGTCCTGCCTCCTACCTCACAAGGAATGGCCTTGGTGCTGCTGCCCCAGATCCCCTCCCCTGTCTCAAATCCAGGGTTAACATCCCTCAACTTGAAACCTGCTGGAGGGACAGGGCAAACTACTTGCAGTTCAGCTACTGCTCTAGGCTGGCTTCTTCTAGGCATTTGGCTGTGCTATTTCCTCTTCCTGGCACCCTCTCCCCATTCCTCTTTGCCTACAAGCTTCCTTCAGGCCTCATCAGCTCAGCCACCCCTTTCTCTAGGAGGCCTTCCTTGTTTCCCCTCCGCTGCCTGGGTTAGCCTCTGCTCCCCTGCGCCCCATCAGTGCTCTGAGCTGCTTGTCTACTTACTATGAGCTCTTGAGGCCAGGGACATGCCTTCTTTCTTCCTGTGCTCCCAGGGCCTAGTACAAGACATGACACCTCATGGTTCATCAGTAACCTTCTGTTGAATGAATGGACAATCAGCATCAAAACAACAAATTCTTCCCTGGGCTGAGTTTTCTGGTACTCATCCTAAAAACTCTGCGGAAGGTAAGAGGCAGAATCAGGATGTGAACTCAGAGACCCTGACTCCAGAGCCCACACTCTTAACCACTGTGCTCTGAGCCCCTAATGAACTTGGCTGGTTCATATACCAACTATGTATTGAGAACCTAGTATTTGTCAGGCACTGTTCTATGGTAATGAAGAAAACAGACTTGAAAAACCAACTGTTGGGTAATCTATGCTACCATCTGGGTGGCAAGATCATTGGTATCCCAAACCTCAGCATCACACATTATACCCATTTAAGAAATCTGCACATGTACCTCCTGAAATAAAAGTAGGATTTTTTTTTTTTTTTTTTTTTTTTTTTTTTTTAGACAGAGTCTCTCTCTGTCGCCCAGGCTAGAGTAAAGTGGCTCAATCTTGGATCACTGCAGCCTCAGCCTCCCAGGTTCAAGCATTCTCCTGCTTCATCCTCCCGAGTTGCTGGGACTACAGGTGTGAGCCACCACGGCCAGTATTTTTAGTAGAGATGGGGTTTCGCCATATTGGCCAGGCTGATCTGGAACTCCTGGGCTCAAGTGATCTGCCCATCTTGGCCTCCCAAAGTGTTGGGATTACAGGCGTGAGCCACCATGCCCAGCTGGAAAAATTTTTTTTTCTTTTTTTTTTTTTCAAGACCGAGTCTTGCTGTGTCGCCCAGGCTGGAGGGCAGTGGCGCAACCTCGGCTCACTGCAAGCTCCACCTCCCGGGTTCACGCCATTCTCCTGCCTCAGGCTCCCGAGTAGCTGGGACTACAGGCACCTGGCCACCATGCCTGGCTAATTTTTTTTGTATTTTTAGTAGAGACGGGGTTTCACCGCGTTAGCCAGGATGGTCTCGATCTCCTGACCTCATGATCCTCCCGCCTTGGCCTCCCAAAGTGCTGGGATTACTGGCGTGAGCCACCGCGCCAAGCCAATTTTTTTTTTTTTTTTAAGGTATCAGCAGAACATGCTCGTCCTCCTGCCCGGGTGGGGCCTGCACTCTCCAGTGTGCTGCCTGCTCTGTCCCCTCTGGTGCCGCCTCTTCTCCTGACCCCTCCGTAGGGATTTGGGTTATGAGCGCCTATGTGGGAGGGGCAGACTGAGGACCAATTGGGAGGCTGCCTGGTAATCCAGTAGAGTGATGGGGCCTGCATCCACCCCAGGGCAGTACTGCTTTCTCATTCATGCACGGGCTTAGTTGAAAGAGGTCTTGGTATCTAAGAGCAATAAGCCCCCAAGGTCTACAATCGAAGGGGTTCCAGGCTGGGGTGGTGGTTCACGCCTGTAATTCCAGCAGTTTGGGAAGCTGAGGCAGGCGAATCACTTAAGATCAGGAGTTTGAGACCACCCTAGCCAACGTGGTGAAACCCTGTCTCTAATAAAAATAGAAAAATTAGCTGGCTATGGTGGCGTGTGCCTTTAATCCCAGCCACTCTGATAGCTGAGGCAGGGAAATCGCTTGAACCCAAGAGGCTGAGGTTGCAGTGAACCAAGATCGCACCACTGCATTCCAGCCTGGGTGAGAGAGTGAGACTCCATCTCAAAAAAAAAAAAAAAAAATCAATGGAGTTCCAATGAATGACACATCTGCTTTTCTTCCCCTCCTGTATTTTCTCTTGCACAGCATCCCACCCTTTGCCACCTGACACCCCAGCCACCCCCAGCTTCCCAGCTTGACTTCTACAACGTGTAGACTTTCATCCGTCTCAGAATGGGTGTGATATCAGCAGCCTTCGTTTCCACTTCCTGTGACAGCTGTAACCTCTGTTCTCACTGAATTGCTAAGATTGCTGATAGAAGCCAACTGCTTGGAAGCTTTTTAAGTGACTAGGATCAAGCTCCGTGCCAAGGCATGGAAAAATGGGCTACGGAATGGCCCAGAAATTTAGTGAATTAAACTAGTAATTCCCCCTTGTTTCTAGGCCCACAAGAGCCCATTCAAGAAACAGAGTAGATCTAAAATGAAAATCATTTTAGCTTCATGTGGGAGGAAGCGTCAATCTTCCCATAGGAAGCACCAGAAGCCCAGCAGAGGACAAGAGCCGAGCCCTGGCCTCCTCATTAAAATAAATGTCACTGGCTAAGGAGGCAAGATGCAACGTGCAAGGTGGTATCCTGGATTAGATCCTGTAACACAAAAAGGGACCCCAGTGGAAAAATGGAGAATCCGATTAAATTCAGCCATTCAGTTAATAGTATTGTACCAATGTTAATCTGTTAGTTTGGATAAATGTACCATGATTATGTAAGATGTTAACACCAAATGAAGCTGGCTGAAGGGCATACGGGAACTCCGTGTACCATCTTTGCAACTCTCTGGAAATCGAAAATGGTTGATTTCAATTGAAGTTTAAAAACAAATAAAATAATTTAAAAAAAAAAAAAAGAGACCAGGCGCGGTGGCTCACACCTGTAATCTCAGCACTTTGGGAGGCCGAGGCAGGCGGATCACGAGGTCAGGAGTTTGAGACCAGCCTGACCAACATGCTGAAACTCCGTCTCTACTAAAAATACAAAAATTAGCCAGGTGTGGTGGTGCGCAACTGTAATCCCAGCTACTCAGGAGGCTGAGGCAGGAAAATCACTTGAACCCAGGAGGCAGAGTTTGCAGTGAGCTGAGATGGTGCCACTGCACTCCAGCTTGGGTGACAAAGCGAGACTCCATCTCAAAAAAAAAAAAAAAAGAAAGAAAGAGATGTCACTGGAATAGTCTTTTTGAATTTGCAAGGGACTAGACTGCAGATTATACACTCAGATATGCCATCTGACCTTAAGCCCTAAGTGTTGTTTGGTGGCCAAAAAGACACTGGCCAAATGATTCAACACTCACAGAGTGTCTGTGGCACTTCAGGGATGGCAAGACAGAATCACATAGGATCCTGCCCTGAAGGAGTTTACTCACTAGTGAGAGGGACAGACATGTATATGGATAGCTGCAACAGCAGCATAGTGGTGAGGGAGAGAGAGGTTAGTCAAGACCTTGAAGGTGGAGAGAATTTCAATATAGACAGAAGCCAAGGGACTCAAGGCCTTATGAGGGCTGGTACTGTAGACTGAATGTTGTGTTCTCTCCCACATTCATATGTTGAAGCCTATGGCCCACTGTAATGGTATTTGGAGGTAGAGCCTTTGGGAGGTAATTAGGTCATGAGGCTAGAGCCCTCATGAATGGGATTAGTGCCCGTATAAAAAGAGGAGACACGGAATCTCTTTGTGCTCTCAGCCATCTCAACAAGAAGATGTCTTTCTGCAAACCAGGAAAAGAGCCCTCACCAGCCATCAGATCTGCTGGCACCTTGAACTTGGACTTCCCAGCCTCCAGGACTGTGAGTTATAAATGTTTGTTGGTTAAGCCACCCAGTCAATGTTGTTCTGTTACAACAGCCTGAACTAAGGCAGTTGGTGTCAGCAAAACAATGGGACATATAGGCATGTAACCTTTCAGAGAGCTGCCAACAGTCCAATAAAGCTGAAACTTGGTGGGGGAGTGGAAGGAGTGAGAGTGAATATAGAGGTTTCAGAGACACAGGACATAAGATGGGCAAGGAGGACAAAAGTCTCTTCTATTTTTTAAATATAATTGTTGGGGCAAGGCACAGCGGCTCACGCCTGTAATCCCAGCACTTTGGGAGGCCGAGGCCAGCAGATCACCTGAGGTCAGGAGTTTGAGACCAGCCTGTTCAACATGGTGAGACCCCGTTTCTACTAAAAATACAAAAAATTAGCTGGGCGTAATGGCGTGCACCTGTGATCCCAGCTACTTCGGAGGCTGAGGCAGGAGAATGGCTTGAACCTGGGAGGCAGAAGTTGCAGTGAGCCGAGATCATGCCATTGCACTCTAGCTTGGGCAACAAGAGCAAAACTCTGCCTCAGAAAGAAAAAATATATATATAATTTTTGTCATTAATACAAGTAATACAAGTTCATTTTAAGAAGTTTGGAAAATCCAGAATAGTATAAAGAAGGAAAGCAAACTCAATTGTTATTTTCTTTCCAGAACTATTATTTTGGTGCATTTTCTTCAATGTATTTTGTTCCTAGTCGAACTCATATTGTGCAATTGGGTAGGCTTTGTTTGTTCTATTTAGCGCAATATAATGAGCCTTTCCCCATCTCATTAAAAAAGGACCTTAAAGCAGGAAGAGAGGTCATTTAGTCCACCTCTCTTCTAATGCAAGAATCCCGATTCAACATTTCTGATGTTTGACTTTGTCGGCACATGTCCCATAACAAGAATCTCATTCATGAATAGGTCCCAGTCCATTCTATTGTTGGCTAAGTCCAGTGATCACAGAGCTCTTCCGTTCATCTTAGTTGTGCTTCTCTATAACGATCCATCCGAGAAGACAGATTTTCTTTTTTTTTTTTTAGACAGAGTCTTGCTCTGTCACCCAGGCTGGAGTGCAGTGGCGTGATCTCGGCTCACTGCAAGCTCTGCCTCCCGGGTTCATGCCATTCTCCTGCCTCAGCCTCCTGAGTAGCTGGGACTATGGGCGCCCGCCCCCACACCTGGCTAATTTTTTGTATTTTTAGTAGAGATGGGGTTTCACCGTGTTAGCCAGGATGGTCTCGATCTCCTGACCTCGTGATCCGCCCGCCTCGGCCTCCCAAAGTGCTGAGATTACAGGCGTGAGCCACTGCCACCGGCCCAAGAAGACAGATTTTCACATGCATCAAGAATTAAAGAATCTCAGGGAAAAGGAGGGGGAGGTCCTTGAGGAAGACTGACCTGGAGGTCCTCATGGAGATAAAGACCTGCAATGACTTCACGGAGGGTTATAGCTGCTGTGCCAGGAATCCTTGGCCTCTAAGCCAAGAAAGGGAGTCTTTTTTTTTTTTTTTTTAGGTTTCAGAAATTTTTGCTTTTCTCATATCATGTGTCCCAAAGTTGAATTTGTCGAATGTTTTCAAGCAGAAAATGGCATGATCAGAGCTGTCCTTGATAGCTAATACCTTAGCTGTCACTTACTGAGGGTTTATTGTGTATAGACACAATGCTAGGGACTTTACATATATTATTTTATTTAGTCCTGGCAGCTCTATGAGGTAGGGGTGTTCTTCCCATTTCACAGATGATGGAACACAGGCCCCAAAAGGGGAAGTCACGTGCCCACACTCATACAAATAGTAACTGAGCAGTACCTGCTGCATCATATAAAGGACAGGATTCAAATTCCCCCTGACATGACACGAACTAGCCATGTGACATTGGGCAAATGTCTAGAGTTCTCTGGTCTTTTCTCCCCTATTTGTAAAATAACAGGGGTAGCCTGATAAAACAGTTTAGAGTGATAGCTGAAAGCATAGAGTCAGGGCCAGACTACAAAAGCTCTGCCGCTTCTGTGTGGCCTAGTTGAACAAGTGATCTAAGCTTGCTGCAAACCTGCTGCTAATGTTTGCCAGACCCAGGGCAGGAGTATAGAAGGGAAGCCCACATACCATATGGCTAAGTATTTAAGAGTTATAAATCAAGCTAACAAACTATTTTTTAAAAATATATGTTCTATCCTCCTACCTTGACAAATATACCTCCATAACAACCTAGAAAGCCAGGTTTTGAGTTGAGAATTCTTGGATTCCCTGGAGTTCCATGTGAGAATGTAGCAGAGCCAGCTCCCTTCTCTTCTCATTCCTGTGTGCATTCCCCAGCCCACATGCTCAGCCTCTGTTCACACCCCTTGCAAACAGCCAGCTCTAAGCACAGGGGTGCACTCACTGGCAGGAAGTTTGCCCTTGGGAGGATGGAACCAGGGAAAGGGTTGGCACAGATGCTGAAAATGGACTTGGGCCATTTTGGCAGGGAATTCTGGAGTCCTGGGTATTGAGAGGGTGGTCTAGAAGGGGTGCACAGGCTCCAGGCGGGCATATCTCTTTGGACCCAGGGAACTGTGAGGAGGGACACAGCTGGAGGAGGATTAGGGTGCAGCCCTCTAAAGAGTAGGGCCTAGGACAAGGACCCCATCTGACATATCTAAAAAAGGGGCCGGGTACGGTGGCTTATGCCTGTAATCCCAGCACTTTGGGAGGCCGAGGCAGGTGGATCACCTAAGGTCAGGAGTTCGAGACCAGCCTGACCAACATAGAGAAACCAACATGGAGAAACGTCTCTATTAAAAATACAAAATTAGCCGGGCATGGTGGTGCATGCCTGTAATCCCAGCTACTCGGGAGGCTGAGGCAGGAGAATCGCTTGAACCCGGAAGGTGGAGGTTGCGGTGAGCCGAGATTGCGCCATTGCACTCCAGCCTGACCAACAAGAGCGAAACTCTGTCTAAAACAAAAACAAAAACAAAAACAAAAACAAACTTTAAAAAGCTACTATCTTTCCATGCCTCAGTTTCCTTTATTTTATTATTATTTTTCCCTCTAAAAAAGGCATTCTGAATCAGTTCCTTTATTTAGAATGACCAACTCATCTGGGCTTGCCTGGAACTTTCCCTGTTTTAGCACTAAAAGTCTCAAGTCCTGGAAAAACCCTTCAGTCCCTGGTAAACCAGGAGAGTTGGTCACCTTCATTGCCTCATCTTTGCAATTAAGCTAATAATACCTCATAAGACTGTCATGAGAATTAAGTGAGTTAGTACATGTGGAGTGTTTAGACCAGTGGCTGCTGTGTGGTAAGCATTCTATGTGAGCTATTAACATTTAAAAGATTCCAGTCTAGGCCAGGTGTGCCTGGACTGGCTCATGCCTGTAACCCCACCACCTTGGGAGGCCAAGGCAGGAGGATCACTTAAGACCAGGAGTTCAAGACCAGCCTGGGCAAAGTGGTGAGACCCCATCTCTAAAAAATAATTTAAAATTAGCCAGGCATGGTGACACATACCTGTTGTCCCAGCTACTCAGAAGGCTGAGGCAGGAGGATCACTTGAGCCTGAGAGGTTGAAGCTGCAGTGAGCCATGTTCACACCACTGCACTCCAACCAGGGTGACAAAGTGAGAACCTGTCTCAAAACAACAAGAACAACAAAAAAGATAAAATGCTGCCAATAATTATAACATGCTATTTATTGACTATGAGGACCAACTGATTTCAAAGATAAAAAATGTGGGGGAAAAAATACATCTTAGAATTAATTAAATAAATAAGATCTGTGCCAGGCACATTGGGAGGGGAGTGAGATACAGCAATGAGAAAGACCCTGCCTTCAGAAAGCTTCCAGTCTCACAGCGCACTTCCAATCTCAGTGCAGTCCAGTCTCTTCCAATGGAAGTGCACTTCCAATCTCATTGCAGCCATGTGAGTCACAGGACTGAGACGGGTGCCACAGTGCAGGCACTAGAGCTGTTCTGAGATCAGCCTGTTGCTAGTCAAATATTTATAGGAGTTATTAATATAGACAGAATTGACAGCCATGTCTTTCTTGGGATTTTGGCTCCTCCCCCTCCTTTTCTCTAATGCCTGAAATTTCTAGGGACAAAGCCTTGCAAATCATTTTTGAATGAGTTGAGATAATGAATTAAAGTGCCACATGGTGAGTGTTGAATTGGTACAACGTGGAAGGCAATTTGGCACCATCCAAATTACAAATGTGCTTGCCTTTTAGCCCTGAAATACCATTTCTAGGAATATGTCTTGCAGATATACTCACACCCATAGGAAATGCCATATGAACTAGGTCATTCATTACAGCATGGTGAGCTATTCTGAATAACTGGGAATAACCTAAAGAGCCACAGATATCCCACTGGTTAACTGCATCTTGGAATATTCATACCATGGACACCAGATCAAAGAAATCCTTGATGTATGAACAGGGAAAAGACCCCTGACGTGGTTTTTGTTTGTTTGTTTAAGAGACAGCGTCTCTGGCCAGGTGTGGTGGCTCACATCTGTAATCCCAGCACTTTGGGAAGTCAAGGCGGGTGGATCACTTGAGGTCAGTAGTTCAAAGCCAGCCTGGCCAACATGGTGAAAACCCATCTCTACTAAAAATACAAAAAATTAGCCAGGCGTGGTGACATGTGCCTGTAATCCCAGTTACTCAGGAGGCTAAGGCAGGAGAATCCCTTGAACCCAGGAGGCGGAGGTTGTAATGAGTTGAGATTGTGCCGCTGCACTCCAGCCTGGGTGACAGAGCGAGATCCTGTCTCCTTCAGCTTGGGTTACAGAGTAAGATTCTGACTCAAAAAACAAAGAGACAGGGTCTCGTTCTGTCACCCAGGCTGGGGAACAGCGGCGTGATCATGGCTCACTGCAGGTGGTCCTCCCACCTTAGCTAGGACTACAGGCCCGTGCCACCATGCCCAGCTAATTTTATTTATTTATTTGTATTTTTTCATTTATTTGTAGAGACAGGTTCTTGCTATGTAGCCCAGGGTGGTCTCAAACTCTAAGCCTCAGGTGATTATTCTGCCCTGGCTTCCCAAAGTGCTGGGATTACAGGTGTGAGCTACCACACCCAGACCCTGACATGTATTGTTAAGTGAAAACTGCTAAGCAAAGAACAGTTACAGGAGGCTATCATGTGTGTAAAAAGAGAGGGGATATGAATGCATACCTACAAGTTTGCTTGTGTACACATGAAGAAACTCCTGGATACACAGGAAACTGATTAACAGAGATTATGGTGGGGGAGTGGTTGGTAGAGAACTTGGAAGATAAGGAGGGCTTCTTATACTTTATTTTTAAACCATGTGAATGTGTTACCTATTTAAAGTGTTACATGAGAGCTTCTGACCAGAGGCTACATTTCCCAGCCTGTAAGAATGGCCACCCTATAGGCTGCAAATCTTTATGAGAAATAAAGCTCTCCTTTCCAAATTTATGAACAGACCAACCAGCCCAAGGAACATCTCACTGATTTTAAATTGGATCTTCTCGGCTTAGCGACTGAAGACTGACACAGCCCGATCGCCTCGGAAGCCCCCTGGGCCATCATGGACGCCGAGCTTCGGGTAACTCTTACAGTGGAGGACAGGAATGTCAGGCCTCTGAGCCCAAGCTAAGCCATCATATCCCCAGTGACCTGCACGTATATATCAAGATGGCCTGAAGCAACTGAAGATCCACAGAAGTGAAAATAGCCTTAACTGATGACATTCCACCATTGTGATTTGTTTCTGCCCCACCTTAACTGATCAATGTACTTTGTAATCTCCCCCACCCTTAAGAAGGTTCTTTATAATGTCACCCACCCTTAAGAAGTTTCTTTGTAATTCTCCCCACCCTTGAGAATGTACTTTGTGAGATCCATCCCCTGCCCCCAAAACATTGCTCTTAACTCTACTGCCTATCCCAAAACCTATAAGAACCAATGATAATCCCACCACCCTTTGCTGACTCTCTTTTCGGACTCAGCCCGCCTGCATCCAGGTGAAATAAACAGCCTTGTTGCTCAAAAAAATAAAAATAAAAATAAAAATAAAAAATAAAGTGTTAAATGAATTGAATTTAACCCCATGGGAAGAGTTAACCCAGTAACTACAATTTCCATCAAAGGGTGAAAGTCTAATAGTCATTCACTCATTCAATAACCTATAGCAGGCCAGGCACCGCGGCTCACGCCTGTAATCCCTGCACTTTGGGAGGCCGAGGCAGGTGGATCACCTGAGGTCAGGAGTTTGAGACCAGCCTGATCAACGTGATGAAACCCCATCTCTACTAAAAATACAAAAAATTAGCTGGGCATGGTGGCGCACACCTGTAATCCCAGCTACTCAGGAGGCTGAGGCGGGAGAATCGCTTGAACCTGGGAGGCGGAGGTTGCAGTGAGCTGAGATTGCACCACTGCACTGCAGCCTGGGCAACAAAAGCAAAACTCCGTCTCAAAAAATAAAAATAAAATAATCTATAGCAATCAGGAAACATCTCTAGCAATGATACCTAACAAGTGCACAGCACTTTAAATGTGCCAGGCATTGTGCTGTTTTCATTTACATTATTTCATTTAATCCTCACCACTCCCAGAGTGCAAGTGTCTAATATCACAGAAGAGACAGAAGATCACAGAAGGATGAGAGAGGTTGTTCTTTTTTTTTTTTTTTGTGAGACGGAGTCTTGCTGTGTCGCCCAGGCTGGAAGGCAGTGGCGTGAACTCGGCTCACTGCAACCTCCACCTCCCAGGTTCATGCCATTCTCCTGCCTCAGCCTCGTGCGTAGCTGGGACTACAGGCGCCCGCCACCATGCCTGGCTAATTTTTTGTATTTTTAGTAGAGACGGGGTTTCATCGTGTTAGCCAGGATGGTCTCGATCTCCTGACCTTGTGATCCGCCTGCCTCAGCCTCCCAAAGTGCTGGGATTAGAGGTGTGAGCCAGCGTGCCCGGCCAAGAGGTTGTTCTTTCCCAAAGTTCTCTGCAAACATTCAGGCGCCATCATCCTGGGCCAGGCCTGAGGATGGGCACTGCACTAGGGATACCAAGACAAAGACAGCACCCTGCCCTCTAGGACCTAATGGTCTAGTGAGGGAGATCGATGTGTAAAACAGCAGACTCATAGACAGGTTTTGAATAGAGAAGGGAGTGTTAGAGCATAGTGCTTGAGGATTAGGAGACAAAGGGAACAGAGAGACCGGGGACAACAAGCAAACCTCTCCCACGACACCCTTTGGCCGAGGACAGGCCTCGAAAGCAGCTGTGGAACTTGGAGGCGCCATGTGGGAGACAAACCCTGCAGCCTCAAGCCCAACAATGAACAAAGGCTGCCGGGCTCTCTGGCAGGAGAGGAGATCTGACAACGGCCTGGCCCGCCGTTTGATCAGTGTAGACATTCCTTCTAGACTTTGAAGCCTGAAGTGCTCTCCTTTAGCTGTCTACACAGATCAAATAAGCTGGATGACTGCCCTATCTCCACTTCGTTGTGTGGCTCCATAGTCACAGCCAGCTCCATAACAATCCAACCAAACCATCTGAGCAGAAGCAAAAATAATTCTTATGGGCAAAGATAGACAGTTCCAAGATGTGAACATTAACTCCTTGCTGCCACTTCAGAAGAGAGTGGATCTTGAAGTTCGTTTTAGGAAGCTTTCGAGAAGGGCGATTCTGCCCCTCTCCAAGGTGAAGTGGCAAAACTGTTGTCTCTCCTTACAGTTGAAAGCCCTTCCTATTCCAAGGCTTATATAGGACACCCACAAAAGCTGACAATAATGAGCTGTGATCTGGCTCTTGGGAAGGCAGCCCCACCCTAAAGAACAAGGATCAGACTGGGTGTGGTGGCTCATGCCTGTAATCCCAGCACTTTGGGAGGCTGAGACAAGAGGATTGCTTGAACCCAGGAGTTCGAGGCCAACCTGGGCAACATAGTGAGACCCTGTCTCAATTTTTTTTAAGTCAAATAATAATAATAATAATAATAATAATAATAATAATAATAATAATAATAAAAGGACAGGAATCCCACCTCAAAAGCACCTTTTTATTCAAAGGCTCATTCTAGGGGAAACTTTAACCCAGCCCTCTCAGTCCTCAAGCAGCTGTGAGGAGCTTGGAACATTGTCACAGACTGGCAGAACCAGGCATCTCCCAACAAACCCAGAAGCCAAGTGGCATTGCTAAAAAAGATTAAAAATGAACATGAGTTCTAACATCTACGTTCCTTGCTATGGTTTCCATGGAAATAGACATCTGCTCTAGGGAGAAAGAAAATGTGGGGGGAAGCAGTGTAAGTGCTTTCAAATTATCAGTGTTTTGAAAGATTTATTTCTTTTTTCTGTCACAACATTAATAGTCAGGAATGTGAGACTTTTGTGTGGCAATTTATTGTACTTAAAAAAATGCATTAAATGAGTGGGACCTTCCTCTGTGAACCTCCAGATCAAATACAAAGACTTCAAGATAAAAAGCCTGTTCAGTGGGTAAGGACCTCTTGGGCTTGGGTTCCTTGCTCATTTGTGTTGCCTGCCTATCTGTCGCTTTCCTGAGGGGTCTCATGCCCATCCTTCTCCAACTTTTCTAATGATGTCTGAGATTCTGTTCAGAAAAATGACAGACGGAAGCACCTAGCCATTTTGAAGCTAAGTTTGGTCTGAGAAGAAGCCTTTCAAGGCTCAGTATCTGAATTATTCCTGGTCCTGCTCACAGGCTAAGTGAAAACCACTTCGATTGGCTTGGGGGGGAGGCCGACCCCACACAAGGGCGATTGTTGGAAAAAATGCCGCAACAAGCATATTTCAGGCAACAGCGCATTGCTAATTGTTTGCTTTGTGTAGTGTGCTGCTGCTTGTATGATCCAGTTTTTATTGTCTTGGGCACCCCTTAGTTGTATTTTATCTCTGGCACATCCCTGGTGACTAACTAGGCATGAGAGTCTTTCTAAATTAGGACTGTTGTTTCAGGAAGGTTGGTCACATTTGTTTCTTGATTTGGGGAGATGCAGCTCATTAATAAAATAAAGATATCTCTTCTGCTTAGTCAAGATCTCAAAGCAGGTGTCTTGGTGTATTGACCACCAACCGAGGACACGGTCTTGGTCAGAGAATGGGAGGAGGCGGGGACCATGTTCATTTCATTTATTTTTTTCCCCTTTTTGTGAGAGAAAGGGCCAGTTATTCTAAGGCACGGTCAGACCAATTTCCTTTGTGCCTTTGCTGAGGTTCTGAGCTATCCAGGTCAGGGAGAACAGTGACCTTGTGGCTCCTTTTTCGATTTTTAAAAAGAACCCAGTGCTGCTCTGGGGAGCACGTGCTCTGAGAACAAAAGCAACACTTAACTGCAATCTGTGTAGTCTAGAACGGCTATTGCTCTTCCTCCCCTATCATCCGCAGAAGGCTTGGAAGAACAGATGGAGTCTGCATTTAAGCTGAGTGGCTTTGTTAGACCAAAGGCGATCAAATTCCAGAGCCCCACGCTTTCCCGCACAGGTCCCTGGTCACCGGCTCGGGAACCTGAGGATGCTGGCAAGAACGCACACAGTGAGGGAAGGGCCACGCCCGCGACCTGTGGGCTGAGTGGATTAGAAATTACGATGATGTCACAATATGGGTGACACGCCGGTGTCGGTGTAGGGTGCCGGGGGCAGGGGGCCCTGCAGGGGCGTGGAGTGGCATTGTGCTGTCACAGGGGCTCGGGCGTCTTAGGCACCCATGTGGGTGGCGCACTAGAAGGGGCACTGCTCTGTCCGAGTGCTGCCCTTGGGGCGAGGCGGGCATGTGGCTCTACAAGGTGGAGTCCAGGCGGCCAAAGTTTGGAAAGGTAGGGAAGGACCCCCCCGCCCTCCGCCTGCTCCGCCCTGCCCTTGTTCTCGAGAATGGGGAGCTGGTTCGGACCTAGTCCGGGGTCCACTGCCACGCCCTCTTCCACGGCGAGACCACCCCCCTAGTCCCAGGCCCACACCTGGGGATGCTCCCCAGGCGCCCTGCAACCCCCGGCATTGTCCTCCTGCCCTCCGGGACAGGACTACACTTCCCGAGGTGCTTCGGGGTCCCGGGGGGCGGCGCTCCACGCGGGTTGTGGGGGGCGGGGGCGGCACGTGCCGCCGCTCTCGGCCAATGCGGAGCCCCGCGCGGAGGTCACGTGCCTCTGTTTGGCGCTTTTGTGCGCGCCCGGGTCTGTTGGTGCTCAGAGTGTGGTCAGGCGGCTCGGACTGAGCAGGTGGGTGCGGGGCTCGGAGGAGGCGGCGGCTGGCTGAGGCCAGCAAGAGGGACGCGGTCGGCGGGAGGGGCTGGGCCGTGGCAGCGACCCCCTGCTGCAGGGCGGCGGGCGGGGCTGCGGGCCTCGGAGGGGTTGGTGGGCGGGGGTCGCTCCGCTTTGTGTGTGGCTCGGGCGGAGCCTCGCCTTTGTCCCCGCTCTCCGGGGGCGCGGCTGTTCGTGGGCAGGGGGCTGGGCGATCACCGGGCGTCCGCTCCGGGGTGCCGTCGAGGAGACAATAGGGGGCGTGGGCCCTCGTTTACCTCCCTCCCTCCCTCCCTTCCCTGCGGGCCCCGCCGGGTTCCCCATTGTCTGAAGGGACGGGGCGGTGCCCCAGGGACCAGCGGCTTTAGGACCAAACTGCGGGCAGCCAGGGCCGCGACCCTCCCTGCGACCGTCCCCTGGCGACCGCAGCTGGTGATTGAGGGGCGGCGCTCCCGGGCCCCACGAGGGTTCTTCTGTCTTCGCGGCCGGACGCGCGGACAGCGTGGGTGGCGGCAGGTTGGGCATGGGGACGGCGGGAGGCGGTGGCGAGCTCACCGCGGGACCACCCGGGGGCCTGTTCCCGGGGCCTGCCCCACCCGCTGAACTGTGAAGGGGGTGGTGGCGGCGGCCTGGAGGTGTTTTTGGCGGGAGTTGGGGGGGGCGTCCGCGCAGGGGGAGTCAGGCAGGGGCGGAGTTACCCGGATTGGACCGTTAGCCCCGCCCACCCCTCCCCTTCCCACGCGCGCGGGCTCCGGGGTGTTGAGTTCGGGGAGATTCGAAAAGGCGCGGGGAGGAAGGGGGCGGGGCCAGGGGCCGGAGCGCAAGGCGTGCTCTGATTGGCCGGGGGCGACCGGTCCTCTTTTCCTCGCCCGGACCAGGGCCACGCCCATCCTGGGTCCGGTGCTGCGTCTAATTCTCTGCTTTTCTTAAATCTTGTCGCTGCCTCTGATTTTAATTCCTAGCTTTTGGGAACCTGTCATCCTACGTTTTTGGTACTAGCTGGCGTCTACAAAAGTCATAATGTTAAAAAGATCAACAAGAGATACAGCATTTTTCATGACATAACGGCAGCAAATATAAGTCAAAATCTAGAGGTTCATAAACATTTTGCTTGCTGTTGGGCAAGGAAGCTTAAACCTGAGGGACAATAGGAGTTCAACATTATTGGTTACTATTAGCTTGGGCGTTTTCTTATCCACCACGTCAGACACAGACAAAGCAGGGGTGGGTATTTCATTTGCACAATGAGTTGTAGGCAGTATTAAGATGGCTCCGGGGGCACTGTTGAGTTGAATCTGGAATATCTTCTTACAGTTTCGGTGAAATGTTAAAGAGTTTATGGGGGAAAAATTCTTCACCCTTGTGACTTTGTCTGATTTTAAAAATCCAAGAGTTTTATGACCGAGAAAGCTCAGTTAACTTGATTTTCTGGAACCAATATCATATTCAGGTCATATTTCCCAATGTTTATTTAGTAGATTTTGATAATTTTTTTCGTGGTTAATTTAGACGTCTTTATTCCACGTATTTTTCTGACGATGTATGTAGATGTGATGTGAGATTTTTTTGGGTTGATGACATATAGAAAGGCAAAGAAAGTGATTGCATGTTTTTGAAAATCATTTTCAGGACTTTCCTTATCCCAGTTGATTGTGCAGAATACACTGCCTGTCGCTTGTCTTCTATTCACCATGGCTTCTTCTGGTAGGTAATCTATTTGGAAAATCTGAAATTGTAATGGGCTTATGATTTTAGATTGAGATGGCTCAGGTCTTCGCCTTTGATTTGGCACTTATGTTTTGGTCTTACCAAAACCTATTTTATGAATAGGAGAAGAATTTAAAAATGATTATCACTTGAATGTGCCGAGAGCTCGTAATTGTTTATTGGACAGTTTGGCTTAGTCTGAAGCAAAATTGTGGAGTTTGCACAAGTCTTTTGTTTATGAAAGCGATTGTCAGATACTGATGTCTCAAAACAGTATTTATTAATCCAAAAATGTTGAGCTTTGTTTTTCTGGGAGATGGTTTTTATTTTTTTTGAGACAGGGTCTCACCTTGTTGCCCAGGCTGGAGTGCAGTGGCTTAATTATAGCTCATTGCAGCCTTGACTTCTGGAGCTCAAGTGGGCTCAAGCGATTCTCCCACCTCAGCCTCCATAGCATCTGGGACTATCGACATGGGCCACCACACCCACCTAATCAAAAAAAATTTTTTTTGTAGAGATGGGCTTTCCCTTTGTTGCCCAGGCTGGTCTCAAACTTCAGGGCTCAAGGGATCTTCCCATGTTGGCCTCCCACGGTGCTGGGATTATAGGCATGAGCCATGGTACCTGGCCTTGGGAAATGGTATTTAGATAATAATATCTTGCCTGCAAATACATCTTCCCCTAGTGTCAGTAGACTGATAGGAATAAAAAGGGGAAAAAAAACACAACTTTCCTCATCAGCCCTAGTTTAATACATTAAATTGATTTGGGTTTTAGAAAATTATAGTACAGTTTATTAGAACAGGAGAATCCTGGTTTTCTGAATTATAAATATAATCAATTCTAGATATCCAGGTGAAAGAACTGGAGAAGCGTGCCTCAGGCCAGGCTTTTGAGCTGATTCTCAGCCCTCGGTCAAAAGAATCTGTTCCAGAATTCCCCCTTTCCCCTCCAAAGAAGAAGGATCTTTCCCTGGAGGAAATTCAGAAGAAATTAGAAGCTGCAGAAGAAAGACGCAAGGTAAACGAAGCAATTCACAGAAAGCAGGATATTAATTTATGTAATGGGCAGATCAATTTTATTTCTATAACAGGAAGAAAACAGAATTGTAGCTACACTGTGATTATTACATATGCCAGTGACTGGAAGGAAATACCAGTCCTCATTTATTGAACTCCTGTTACATGCCCGCTCCTTTGTTTATATTTTTCTCCTTTAATACATGGTGTTGCCTCAAATAATGGAAATTAGAAACAGTTTCAGGAATGTTAAGTCGTTTTTCTGCAGTCATACAACTAGTAAGTGTTGGGGTCAGAATTCAAGCCCTGGTCTATCTTAAACCAAAGCTCATGCTTCTCTCATGCTTCCTCTTTGAAAAGATTTGTTGCCAGATGATTCTTTGGCACTTTGGTTTTGTTTTTTGAGAGCTGTACAATAACATTTTAAATTGCTAGTGTGATTGTGTTGCTCAGCTGGTATCATGGTAGCTTTTCTCTTATCTAAACAATTCTATTATAAAGTAACTATCTTTAAAAGCTAATCAGAAGAATCAATAAATATTAATATGCTAGTTGTAGAAAATTTGGGAAATACAGAAATTTATAAATGGAAATTAAAAGTATTCATTATCCCGCTTCCGAGAAGCAACCAGTGTTAACATTTTGGTGTGTTTCTTTCCATTCAATGTTACTCATTAACAACTGTACATAACTTTTCATTTAACTCCCTTTCTCAACAACCCTGATAGGATTGATTTTAAAGCTGGGGCAAGTGAGGCACAAAAGGTAAGGTAATAACCTTCCCCAGACCAGCATAGTGATTTGTAGTATACACACACACCCGCCCGAAGAGCCTCAGTGCTTACACTAAGGAGTCGTCTTCTATGCAATAGTGTGAGTTCATGGAGTAGGAGGAAGCAATACAACCAAAGGTTGGACAGTGGAAAGCTTTTTAGACATCAACCCTGGCCCTGTAGTCATTAGCCTGTGCTTTACATAGTAACTGGCTAAATATAATGAAACTCCCATCATGACTAGGATTTGGCAGAAGAGAATCAATAGAACCAGTGTCAGATGCTCTGTGGTTATCCTGCAAGTCAGTGGTTCCAATGTGTTTTGAGAACAAGCTGTTCTGTTGAAGGGGTCATACCAAGGTATGGTCTGGTAATTAATGCAGTTTCCTGAGACAAAAGCTAATAAGCCTTTTCCTTGAAACAAATTTTTCTGTCTTAAATAGTAATCTACAGACTTAGTCTTGAATTTCCTATCATTGTTTTATCAGTTATGGTTAAAATTTTTACAATGAGCTAGTTTTCTTTGGGTAGCTTTTGAAGTTAAATAGTGAAATTCTTTACAATAAAAGTGCCACTCGCAAGTACATATTCCTCAAGTCATCCAGATACCATTAAGCAGTAAATCTTACAAGGATTTCCTTAAGGACTAATTGGGTAAGATTTCTGAACAGATAAGCACTTTTCCAAAGTTAAATACAAATACTAGAAAAAGAATATCATTTTCACAGTATTTTATGATAGGGATAATTCAGGTCCTAATTTTGGTGTTATTTAAAGGGACCTTATTTTCTGCCCCTTTTCAATCCCCTTAGTAAATTATTTTTATTGTAATTTTAACTTATGCTGAATACATTTTATTTTTTGAGGCAGAGTCTCTGTCACCCAGGGTGGAGTGCAGTGGCACGATCTCAGTTCACTGCAACCTCCACCTCCCGGGTTCAAGCAATTCTTCTGCCTCAGCCTCCCAAGTAACTTAGACTACAGGCACCCGCCACCACGCCCGGCTAATTTTTGTATTTTTAGTATAGGTAGGATTTCACCATGTTGGCCAGGCTGGTCTTGAACTCCTGACCTCAAATGATCCACCCACCTTGGCCTCCCAAAGTGCTGGGATTACAGGCGTGAGCCACCACACCCAGCCTGAATACATTTTAGAGTGCCTAGCCTATTAAACTTTTTTTTCCAGTCCCATGAAGCTGAGGTCTTGAAGCAGCTGGCTGAGAAACGAGAGCACGAGAAAGAAGTGCTTCAGAAGGCAATAGAAGAGAACAACAACTTCAGTAAAATGGCAGAAGAGAAACTGACCCACAAAATGGAAGCTAATAAAGAGAACCGAGAGGCACAAATGGCTGCCAAACTGGAACGTTTGCGAGAGAAGGTTGGTTTCTTACTTTGTAAAAGGGTTGAGCTTGGAGTTTGATGCACCAATGAGTTGGCTTGAACTAAGTGCTTTGATAAAAGGTGTTTGGTGTCTTTTTGTCATCCATTTTGGGGCTTAACATATTAAATGAAAGGTATATTTTAAGATGGAATATTCAGTAATTCCCAGCATAATTGCACAGTCCTTGGAAGTCCAGTAGGCAGCTTGTTAGGTTCTACAAGGGACCCAGGAGATTTGATGATGATGTCTCAGAACTTAAATTGTGTGGTTCCCACAGGCTGTAATATATGCACTGAGGTTGTGTTGGGCCTCTTTGAGGTGGGGGCTGGGGGTCGTGACTTGACAGGCTTTTTTTTTTTTTTTTTTTTTTGACTGATGACACCTTACCCTTCCTTTACAGGATAAGCACATTGAAGAAGTGCGGAAGAACAAAGAATCCAAAGACCCTGCTGACGAGACTGAAGCTGACTAATTTGTTCTGAGAACTGACTTTCTCCCCATCCCCTTCCTAAATATCCAAAGACTGTACTGGCCAGTGTCATTTTATTTTTTCCCTCCTGACAAATATTTTAGAAGCTAATGTAGGACTGTATAGGTAGATCCAGATCCAGACTGTAAGATGTTGTTTTAGGGGCTAAAGGGGAGAAACTGAAAGTGTTTTACTCTTTTTCTAAAGTGTTGGTCTTTCTAATGTAGCTATTTTTCTTGTTGCATCTTTTCTACTTCAGTACACTTGGTGTACTGGGTTAATGGCTAGTACTGTATTGGCTCTGTGAAAACATATTTGTGAAAAGAGTATGTAGTGGCTTCTTTTGAACTGTTAGATGCTGAATATCTGTTCACTTTTCAATCCCAATTCTGTCCCAATCTTACCAGATGCTACTGGACTTGAATGGTTAATAAAACTGCACAGTGCTGTTGGTGGCAGTGACTTCTTTTGAGTTAGGTTAATAAATCAAGCCATAGAGCCCCTCCTGGTTGATACTTGTTCCAGATGGGGCCTTTGGGGCTGGTAGAAATACCCAACGCACAAATGACCGCACGTTCTCTGCCCCGTTTCTTGCCCCAGTGTGGTTTGCATTGTCTCCTTCCACAATGACTGCTTTGTTTGGATGCCTCAGCCCAGGTCAGCTGTTACTTTCTTTCAGATGTTTATTTGCAAACAACCATTTTTTGTTCTGTGTCCCTTTTAAAAGGCAGATTAAAAGCACAAGCGTGTTTCTAGAGAACAGTTGAGAGAGAATCTCAAGATTCTACTTGGTGGTTTGCTTGCTCTACGTTACAGGTGGGGCATGTCCTCATCCTTTCCTGCCATAAAAGCTATGACACGAGAATCAGAATATTAATAAAACTTTATGTACTGCTGTAGCAACTCCTGTGAAATGACTAAAGGGAACCTTAATTATTTCTAAAGTAGCATTTGACTCGGGTGGTTAAGGTTGGCAGATACGTCATCTTGTATCCAGAGGCTGTAATAGTCCCCATTGTCAGTGCTTTGCCTCTCAATTCAGGGAACGCCTTTGGCAGCTTTCCTGTGCTATTTGAGAAATAGCCTAATTATACATATTTTGTGCCTCTCAGACATCTGTATAAAAGCTCTTGGAAGCCAAGCACTTATAGCAAAAGATGATTGCTAATACTGCGGTGGGGTCCATGTGTTGCTAACGCATGTGCCTCTGCTGCTTGGGCTGTATCTTGAGATTGGGGTTTTACCAAACTTATTCATGAGAACAATAACAGCCTACCTCAACTTACCTCCTAAGATTGTTAGGATTAAATGGGTTTGTGGCAAGAGAGCACACTTAGAACATAGATATTTAGCATTCCGTATAAATCACGATTACTGTTTTCAACCAGAGGCTAATGAGTGATCTAAGTTTATACTCTTGAGTTGGAAATTATGCAGTTTTTATATTCCTTAAATTGACTTTTAAATTTACTTAAATGATCAATCAGAGGAATTCTGAACAAAGCTTGGTTTAAGGAGTTACGCCCATGTAGGGCAAATAGGAGCAAGTGCAAGTATAGTTGAATACAACAATAGGTTCTGAGCAATATCTAAACCAAGAGGACAGGATGAGGCTTGTGTGCAGTGGTGCAGCACAGTTCATCTTGGCTCCTGTCTCTGGCACATAGCAGGTGCTCTGGGATCTTTAAAATACCAGTTCTGAATAGATGGGAATATAAAGAGGGCCTGAGGGTAGAAACTTGGCATAATGATACGAGGTGTCCTACAAGTGGCAGTGAGCTTTTGTTCATCTAAGACATTTAGGGAGGGAAACTGGCCTCAGGAGAAAGCAAGGGAAGGATCAACAGGCCTGAAAGGATGCCTCATCAGTTACCACCCATCCCATGGTGGCCCTGACTTCCTATCAGAGGGCGATCCTGAGCCCCTGCCTTGTGACAGGCTTAAGTCACAGGAAACTGAAGGGGATGCATCTTACCACAGAAATAGAAGCTCTGGCTTTTCTATTTCACCTTGACCTTTGGAGAAGCACTTAGTCCTGGGCCCCCATTTTCTCCTGGATAAAATGAGATGGTTGGGGGAGATCAGTTAAGTAACTTTCACTCCCCCATTCTTTGCATCTGGCTTGGAGTGAAGAGGAGGAGCGGTGGCACCTACGAGCTTCTGGGGAAGTGTCTCTGGGTATGCATTCCCGGGCCCGGCATTCTCTGCCATCACGGGAGTCTGCGTCTGTCCCAGTGGGGCCAGCCTCTCCCAGCAGTACTTCCAATAGATTGGCCTAATAAGGCCAGAGTGGTTTGACAAGCAGTTGGGGCTGTCACCAAGGAGCAGACTCCATTCCTTTTGTCTTGAATGGAAAATGAGGCTTGTCCCTTCCTGAGGATTTTGTACTTGGGCCTTATGGTTGACTGGGCTCAGTGGAGAGAGGTTTGAAGGACGTGAAGGAGGCCCTTAAATTAACATTTGACAAGCACCTAGATTGTGCTCCACACTGGCCTTTGCGCTAGGGATGGAGAAAAGATGGGGTGGGACCAGCATATCACGTGCCCATGTGAGGGGAAGGAGAGCTGTAGAATGCTTACTTACCTGAGGGTGAGGCTCTCGACCACATACTTGTACTCACCAGGGTGCTTTAGTGCTTTGGTGAAAGGAGTGACCACAGAGGGCTTTGTGGTCTGGGAAGCTTTGAGAGGAGAAAGGACATGAGCTTGTCCTTTTGGAAGTCAGATGAACCTTCCAAGCCAAACCCCAATAAAGCACTTAATTGTTAAACACTTAGTAAGCCTGTGATTGCCACGTGCACAGAGAACCTGCCATAGTTAATGGCCTTTGGCAGGCCCTCCAGGCAGGCCCCCTCCCCATTTTTTTATTCTAAGCAGTGGAGGCTCTTTGAAGGCTTTTGAATGTGGGGGGCTGCAGTGGTCAGTAACAAAACCATTTTAAGGAAGAGAAAGTGGAGGCAGGGTGAGTTGACTGGAGAGTGGCTGCCGTTCAGGCTACGGTGGCCATGGTGGCTGTTGGGGCAGCACAGGGATGAGGTGGGAGGGCCTGCTGGGCTCTGGAGCAATCCATGTGACTGACACTGCACTGAGGAACTGGGACATGTGCTCTAAACTTGGGAAGCTGGAGGAGAAAGAAATCACTCCACTTGGGAAAATGGCAGTGCTACTATTTACTGAGCACTTAACGTCCAGGCATCGTGTTCATTTTCTCCACCATAGAGAAGTGAACAGGCAGAGTAACGTACCCAAGGTCCTAAGCTAGTAGGAGAAGCTTACCCAGGCAGATCTGCTCTAAGCCCTGCACAGGAAGGGGGGCTGCTCTGACAGCTCAGCATCCCCTCGTTGCCCGGAACAATTCCCCTCTGCCTCAGACCTGCTCACAAGTCTCAGCAAATGAAAGCCCTACTATTCAGCCGTTCCCACCTCCTTAAAAAGGCAGGGCCTCTTATCCTTGCATGCCTTGGAGTGAGGTCTCATCCCCCACCCCCAGCACCTTTATAAAGGTGCTCCTGTCTACTCTGTATCATTCTCCCAGTGGAGAATTCTGATTTTCAGTGATGTTTTAGCTGTCCCGGTAAACCTGTGCACCCAGATGACAGTTTGGCTACCTTACTGCGAATTCATTTGTTTGAATCACTGTTAAATGTGGTTCATTTAGGAATACAGAAGATAAAGGCCAAATTTTTTCTTTTCTTTTTTTTTTTTTTTCGAGACAGTCTTGCTCTGTTGCCCAGGCTGGAGTGCAGTGGCACGATCTTGGCTCACTGCAACCTCCGCCTCCCCAGTTCAAGCGATTCTCCTGCCTCAGCCTCCCAAGTAGCTGGGATTACAGGCGTGCACCACCGTGCCTGGCTAATTTTTGTATTCTTAGTAGAGACAGGGTTTCACCACGTTGGCCAGGCTGGTCTTGAACTCTTGACCTCATGATCTGCCTGCCTCAGCCTCCCAAAGTGCTGGCATTACAGGCATGAGCCACCGCGCCTGGCAAGGCCAAGTTTCTTATAGAAAAGCTTCCCCCTTTGGATGGAGGTTGGACTTAGATGCCCTAGAAGTTCCCTTCCAAATCCAAGACTGATTCTCTACAGGGTTGGATTGCAGACCACCTGAGATCAGAGACCATGTCATAGACACAGAGCTGAACTCCAAGGACCCAGACACATTGCTGGTGAGCCAAGTCTCTTGACACTTGCCTCCTCCCTTTTTGCCCAGGTGAAACGAAGGTCCAAAATGTCCCTGTGGCTGAGGCCTCTGCCAGCAGAAGCTGGTATTCTGTACTTAAGGGCGTAGGAAAGGGTTTCTGACTTGTTTCGTACATGCACTTAGATTTTTAAAACTTAGTTGTAGGGTTTGATGAGCTCCAAAATGCAGCAGCTTCATGGAAGGGCTCTGGTTCATAGTTAGAAAGGCCTGGCCTGCTTCCATCGTGGCCAAGAGCAGAGCAGTACCTGCCCAGTCCTTGGGCACCATATCCTACTGAGACAAGTAGGCTGCTGAAATTGGATCCATAGGAAGAAAAAACAGACAGGAAATGAGCCAGCTACCTCATAGCAGCCATCTCAGCAGAAAAGGACTGAGCCTCTCCTGGGCCTGGAGCTTCCAATCCCTGTGGCCTCCTGCTCCCCTCACTGGCAGAAAGCCCCAGTATTCACTGGGATGGGGAAGTCCCCATGCTAAGCCTAGCCTCCCCTCTTCCCTGCTCTCACAGCTCTCTATTTAATAGCAGCAACTAATAATTATTTGCATTGTCTCAGTGAATCCCCAGAACAGCCCTATGAGGTTATCATGGCCATTCCATAGGCGAGAAGTAAGGCAACTGGACCTAGATTAGGGGATTTACCTAAAATGACAACTAGCAAGCAGTAGAGTCAGGACTCAAACCCAGACTTTTAACCCCCATGCTGTACTGCAACTCCTCATGTATCACAAGTGTTACTCATTAATTCAAGTGTCTCCCCAGCTAGAACACAGGGTCCCTGAAAACAGGGACTCCTCCTGTCACATTCACCACTGGATCTCCTGGCTCGTGGTGGGAGGTTAATGTGCTGGATTAAATAATGATGAGTGGGTGGGTGACTCCCACGGTCTACCTCAGGGCACTGGCTTTGTCCTCATCCTTTGCGGACCCCATGTGGAGTAAACCCGATTTTCTAGAAGCAAATGAAGGGTCTGCACCAGCTTTGCAGATGGCTCTGAGGTGCACAATCCTTAATGGAATCCTCCTGGATCCGAACGCACAAACTGGTGGCCTGCAGCCAATGTTGAACCATAGGCATGTTGCATTCAGCCCATGCTGTGTTTTAAATTGTTGAATTAGCTGACAATTCCATGTGAAAATCTGATTTCAAGCTTATCTTGAAAAAAGCTGACAGATCTGGCAACCCTGGGCTTGCAGTCCCACCCAGCGGCCGTCAGCGGACTCTGGGCAGTTGCTGCCCCCTTGAGGCGGGACTTGTGTTCTGCAGCTCTCCATCCCCTTGGGCCCACCCACTTCTGTCTTTCGCTGGATCCGCCCTGCCCCTGCTGGAGGCCCAGCATTTGCAGTCCCTGACACAGAGACTAGTAACTCCATCACTCCAAGTCAGCCAAACTGTTTTTTAGATCAAAAGTCCAGTCAGTATAAAAGGACGTGTAATAGCCTGTAATCCCAGCACTTTGGGAGACCGAGGCGGGCAGATCACGAGGTCAGGAAATTGAGACCATCCTGGCTAACACGGTGAAACCCCGTCTCTACTAAAAATACAAAAACAAGATTAGCCGGGCGTGGTGGCGGGTGCCTGTAGTCCCAGCTACTCGGGAGGCTGAGGCAGGAGAATGGTATGAACCCGGGAGGTAGAGGTTGCAGTGAGCATAGATCACGCCACCGCACTCCAGTCTGGGCAACAGAGCGATACTGTGTCTCAAAAAAAAAAAAAAAAAAAAAGACGTATAATAAAAGTGAATCTCCCTCCCTCCCAGGTCACCTAGCTGTCTCCCGTGTCTCCTTCCAGAGATGTACTGTACCTCTAAGCCCAGTCACCAAACACTTGCTGGCACCTCTATGGGCCAGACACCAGCTGGGTATCAGGATCACATGGTACTTTTTCAAAATATGAGACTCAGGACCCTCAGACCTTTGGAGGTAGAATTTCTAAAATTGGAGCCAGCCTGTTGCTGGGTGTGGTGGTACACACCTGTAATCCCAGCACTTTGGGAGGCCGAGGAGGGAGGATCACTTGAGGCCAGGAGTTAGAGACCAGCCTTATTTATTTAGAGACATAGCAAGATTCTGTCTCTAAATAATTAAAAAATGAAAGTAAATAAAAAAATAAAATTGGAGCCCCAGTGTCTAGAATTTTTTTCAGACAGGGTCTCTCTCTTTGTCACCCAGGCCGGAGTGCAGTGGTGCAAACACAGCTCACTGCAGCCTCAACATCCTTGGCTCAAGCAATCCTCCAACCTCAATTTCCAGAGTAGCTTGGACTATAGGTGCATGCCACAATGGCCGGCTAATTTTCGTATTTTTTGTAGAGACAAGATTTCACCATGTTGCCCAGGCCGGTCTCGAACTCCTGAGCTCAAGCAATCCACCAGCCTCAACTTCCCAGAGTGCTGCGATTACAGGCATGGGCCATCGTGTCTGGCCTAGATTTTTTTTTTTAAGCCAGCGTTTCTGTTGCTCACCTAGGCAGAGACCCCTCAGGATGCAACATCTAAACACCATTGCCATCTCTCCAGTCCCCAACAGCCTGGTGGAGATGGGCCTGCAGCTGCACCCATCACAGCCCCTGCTCACAGTGTGCAGACTGTACCCTGCACAGGAGATCCCACTGAGGAGATGTGGGGCCTGAAATCCAGTCATACCCTACAACCAAGGCACACAGTACATTCCCTCATCTTCCCAGGAACAGGCACCACTTCCTAATTTACCATGTTACCCATTCAATACAAATACAGGGAGACCTGTGCTCTCCTCTGCTGTGGGACACAGATAGGGGCTCCTCAGGATGCAGGCCCAGGATGAATTCCTGTAGGAGATAATGCTTGGGTCAAGTTTGGTTTAGGGAATAGAAGCAAAGAAGTCACCTCTCTACTTTTTACCTCCCCAATCCAGGCTACCCCACCCCATGACTCCCTGTGGTTATCAGGGACATCACCATTCTCCTGGCCACTGACAGGGACACTTTAATAACAGTACACATTGGCCAGGCGCAGTGGCTCACACCTGTCATCCCAGCACTTTGGGAGGCCAAGGTGGGCGGATCACCTGAGGTCAGGAGTTTGAGACCGGCTTGGCCAACATGGTGAAACCCCGTCTCTGCTAAAAATACAAAAATTAGCCAGGCGTGATGGCGGGTGCCTGTAATCCCAGCTGCTTGGGAGGCTGAGGCAAGAGAATGGCTTGAACCTAGGAGGCGGAGGTTGCAGTGAGCCGAGTTCACACCATCGCAGTCCAGCCTGGTCAACAAGAACAAGACTGTGTCTCAAAAAAATAAATAAAAACCACTGTACATCAACAAGGCCCTTGGGGACAGCTGGGGCATAAGTAGGTGTCAGCCATACATCAGAGCAGTGTGCCTGCCCTGAGCTGCTTGGGGTTGACCAGCCTGGTGTCCAGAAATGCCTGCTGGAGGGAGTCGTGGTACAGGAACCTTGTGCTCTTAGAAGGTCTCCTGAGAGGCCCTGTAAAGCCAGAGTCCCTCTTAGCAGCTCAGATCAGTGCTATCAAAGTATAGCTCGGGGATTGCTGCCAGCATACAAACTTTTACTGGTCTGCAGCGAGATAAGTACAGAAATTGAAAGTAAGCATTTAGAAACTTTTATAACAATTTTACAAGGTCTTGTCAAATGTTATTAAAACAAAGCTGAGGCTGGAATTTCACCTTTTTCATTTCGTTTTTTTCAATTTAAACAAATTGTAGTAAAATATAGATAATATAAATGTACCATTTTAGCCATTTTTGAGCGTACAATTTAGTAGCAGTAAGTGCTTTCACAATATTGTGTAACCACTAGTATTATATAGTATATATTTTTAAAATTTTACAGAAGTATTAAGTTAGCAGCAGATTAAACATTTTTTTCTTAAATTGAGCTTGAGAAGCGCTGGCCTAAATGGTAACCTGTGGGGAAGCCTTGATGGTTTGGAGGCTCCTAATTGAGTCCATTGCTTGGCTTTTTTCCCCAAATCACGGAGTGGAGTTAGGTCCCAGAGAATGGTGTTGGCTGAGGCCCAGGCTCCCACCCGGGCTAGAAAACTGGGCAGATGGGCACCACCCTTGAAGGGAGGCCAGCCAGGCACTGCAAAGCCTGGGGTAGTGCTGTCCCGTGTGCCCGGGCCAGGAAGGCTAGATGAGAGGCCCGGGGGCGTTTGGTTTAGAGGCCCAGCAGGCTTTCCTTCTGACTCAGTGTAGGGAGGCGGTTGTTTAGAATCTCAAGAATCTCAGCTCCAGCTGGGAGGGGACCCTCAGCGGCTCAGCGGCTCAGCCGTGGTGGCATCTACCCTCCCTGTTTAAAGAAGGAATCTGAGGTAAGAGAGAAAGAACTGGTTCAAGCTTGCAACCAGTTAGTGATGTAGTAGTGATGGTCTCAAATACAGGCCTTTTAATTCCTAGGCAGAGGCAGGGCAGAGATTTTATTTAAAAAAAAAAAAAAAAAAAAAAGTCTTGCTCTGTCTCCCAGGCTGGAATGCAGTGGCGCAATCTCGGCTCACTGCAACCTCCGCCTCCTGGGTTTAAGCAATTCTTCTGCCTCAGCCTCCCAAGTAGCTGGGATTGCAGGCACCCCACCACCATGCCCAGCTAATTTTTGTATTTTTAGTAGAGACGAGGTTTTGCCATGTTGGCCAGGCTAGTCTCGAACTCGACCTCAGGTGATTCGCCCACCTCGGCCTCCCGAAGTGCTGGGATTACAGGCGTGAGCCACAGCACCTGGCCTAATTTATTTTTAATTTTAATTTTTAAATTTTTCTCAGACTTTAGTGAGCATAAGAATGGGCAGAGATTTTTAGAGTCACACAGAATAGTATTCCGGTTCTGGCTCTAAGAGCTTTTCAGGGGGCTTGGGCACCCATACCCTCATCTGTAAACTGCAGAGACCCCCTCGCAGGCTGCATGAGTATTGAGCCCAGTGCTGAAATGCCCAGCACAGGGCTGGCCCCTCCCTGCCCAGTGTTCCTCCTGCCAGCTTCATGGGTCTCCCCAGCCTGCCATTTCCCCCTCATTGTGTGTGTTGGTGGTGGGGGGTGGCGGGGTGCAGATGAAGGCAGATCCTCTTCCCCAGAATGAGGAGAGCAGGGGGCTCACAGCCTGCTGCACTGGCCCACCTCCACAGCCCTGTCCCCACTGGCCGCCTCTCTGTACTTGCCTCTGCCAACTCTCTGGGTCTTTGGCCTTTCTTTCCAAGATGCAGAACGTTTGTAAAACGAAGGGGTTGGACCAGAAGAACTCAGAAGTCCATTTTGAGAAGGGGAAGCTAAAGTTCAGATGCCTTAAAGTTCTGTGTCTTTTCTAGGAGGTCCAAACTCCCAGCATATCTGACTGGGCTGCCCCCAGGGGACTGGGACATCTGCTTTTGTGTCACCTGGCTCCATCATTTCTCCCTCCTCTCTTTTCTTTCTCTTACATGACTGAAGTTGTTTGAGCTCTTAAACAATTTGCCGTGCATTGTATAGGCATTTTACATAATCCATCTGAATTTTTTTTTTTTTTTTAAGATGGAGTTTTGCTCTTGTTGCCCAAGCTGGAGTGCAATGGCATGATCTCGGCTCACTGCAACCTCTGCCTCCTGGGTTCAAGCAATTATCCTGCCTTAGCCTCCTGCAGCTGGGATTACAGGTGCCTGCCACCATGCCCGGCAAATTTTTGTATTTTTAGTAGAGATGGGGTTTCACCATGTTGGTCAGGCTGGTCTTGAACTCCTGACCTCAGGTGATCCAGCCACCTCGGCCTCCCAAAGTGCTGGGATTACAGACATGAGCTGCTGTGCCCGGCCCCGATTGAATCCTTAAAACAACCTTGTGAAGTAAATACTATTCTTTTTTATCCCATTTTATAGATGAGGAAACTGAGGTTCAGAGAGGGTCAGGTCACTCATCCACTGCTAATTAGAGGCAGAGCCAGCAGGCTGCTTGCTCTCTCAATGCCATTTTCCAGATGGCGGGGGTCCCATTCTGGCTTGAATTCATGGGGCTCAATATGGCAGTGCCTGTGCTCACCTCTTCTTTCCAGTTTTTTCCAAATGGTCTCTGACTCAGTCCCTGGATACGCTCGCCTAGCAGGATCTCCTGGGCTGCTGGGTGTGTCCCGTAGACCCTGGCCGACCTACGGATGAAATGAGTAGTCAGACAGGTATGCAGTGTAACAGCAGCTAGATGACTACCTGGCTCTAGTGGCCAGAGAGCAGCCCCGAGAAGCTGGGGCTGCTTGCTTTTATTCCGTGCAGGCACAATGCCGGAAACCTGGAGCCAACACAACCTGTAGGTAATTAACATTTATTCTTCCCCTTTCAGGGAACTTCATGTGCAGATAATCAAAGGTCAGTTTCTGGTCAACATAAGTAAACAAGCCTGTTTAAGATAAATTCCCCCACACTCCCTTGTACCTACTCCTTGCCCTCTGCCTCAGGGTTATGGAACAGCTGCCTTCAGCTGTTCTCTCCTGGAGCTTTGCAGAGCCCTCTGACCTTTCAGAAGGCCTGCTCCTTTTCCCTGTAGTTTCTCCCACCACTCTGACTGATCTCCTACACTGGGCAATCAGGGAAGAGGGCTGGGATGTTAGTCCAGTTTCGGACATACCTCATGTGTTGCGTCCCCTTCCCCAAGCTCCTTCTTCTGCTTTCTCTTTAGATCTTCAAGAGCTAGAAGGTTCCCTAAGAGACCACCCGAAACAAGCCTCTCCATCCACGTATTCATTGAATGAATACACCTCCAGTCCTCCTACTTACCAGGCAGTGTTAGGTCCTGAGGATACAGCGATGGACAAGGCAGACAAGGTCTCTGCCCTTGTTTACATCCTGGGGGGAGAAGACAGACTATAAAAGAGATTAGGATGAGTGCTGTGAGGATGAAAAGGGTGATATAACAGACAATGACTGTGGGCAGGTGCAGTGTGTTCCTGGCAAAGGGAACTGCTAGTGCCAAGGCCTGATGGCAGGAACTAGCAGGTGTGAGGAAGGAGCCTAAGTGAGGCCCTCTTGGCTGGATGAGGTGGGCAAGGGGACCCCATACAAGGAGGTGCTCAGGGTCCAGCTGTGTAGCCTGGGGCCAGGGCGAGGGTTTGGTTATAGTCTGCATGATGCAGTTTTGAAGGGCTTTAAGGGGGGAGTGATGTGATCAGATTACATGTGTAAAGAATTCTTCAGCCACCAGGAGGAGAATGGACGGTAAGGAGAGCCGGAGTGCACAAGGGAGAGAGATGAGAGTGGCTTGGACAGTGAGGTGGAGGGTCATGGTTAGATTCAGGATCTAGGTCATGGTGAAGATAACAGGAGCTGTTGGACTGGATGTGGGCATGCAGTGAGGGCTGACTCTTGGGCTTTTCCCTTGGGGAGCTGAGTGAAGGGGGGTGCCATCTACTCAAACAAGCCTGGAGAAGGAGTAGGTGTGGGGGGATGGATGGAGGGGAACAATGGTTTCATTTGGCCATCATGGCAGACCTTGCTGGCTGCTCTCCCAGGACTGAGTCTCTCCTCCCTTATAACAGAAACCTGAAAAGTGTTTTATTTTGTTGTTTTTGTTGTTTGAAATGAAAGGTCTCACATATTTATTACTGAACCCAGCCAACCAACGCATTCATAACAGATTCAGAGAGGAAAAATGTATTCCCAATAAAACATGTCTAACTGCAGATAACGGTGACATTTTCAGCTTGATATGGTAATGTGATTGTGACCTTCAGACAGCATAAATGTGTGTGCCATCTCATGTGGAATTCCTTATAGACCCAGCTTGGTTCTCCTCCGATGTCTCCTTTTGGAGTTGTACCTGATTTTATTGCCAGTTTTCATCCTAATCCACTGGAGAATGGAACGATTTTGCTTTTGTTTCTTGACCAGGAAGTCTTGTGAGAAGACATGGCAAGAAGCGGAGTCAAGCACACACCACGATGGCAGAGAAAGGGAGAGAGGGGCCATTGTTTTTGTTGTTGTTAAGTAGTCACCTGTCTGGCTCCTTGTACCTTTTGCCCTTTTCCCATCCTCCTTTTTCCTGGAACAGAGACGTGATACCTAGAAGTACAGCAGCCATCTTGTGATCATCAGGGTAAAAGTCACATGATGGCTGGGACAGGGAGATGGATAGATCGTGGGTCCTTGATAATATCATTGAGCTGACATACCAGTCTAGGCAAGTTGATCATTTTACTTGTTTAAGCCACTGTTTTTGAGCCACCACACCTGGCCCATTGTGGCTTTTCATTGCTTGCTGCTGAATGAAGTCATAGCTGATGGAGTCATGTTGAGTTCAAGATTTTTGGAGGAGGGACGTGGGTCTAGGGAAGGAGGATGAGGTTACCCCATACACTGAGCTAGTCAACCCAGAGTTCAGTCGTTTATTCATTCAAGAAATATTTATTGAGGACCTACTATGCACCAGCACTATCCCAGGTGCCGAGAATTTAGCAGCAAATAAAGCAAGGATTCTCACCCTTGAGGAGTTTGCATTCTGCTGTAATCAAGAAGCCAGCCTGACTTATGGGCAATTGCATTTCATTTAATCCCAAGGGTGGTGGGGTATGAGGTGTGAACAGGTGATGGTGGTCGGGCATGGCATGTCTATTCCCACAGCCCTCCTCACCCACTCGTGATGTTAGCAAATCAAAATAGTCAACATGTTTCTTCAGTGTTTTCTAGGAGCCAAGCACTGTGCTGTGTTCTACCTCTGACGGAGGTGTTCTGATTATCCCCATGTTATAGGAAGGTTAAGAAAGCAGCTCTAGTCACACAGCTAACCAGCGGTTGTGCTAGATTTAAACCCAGGGCTTTCTGACTCCAGAAATTCACTGACCCCCCTCCCACCCCTGGGCAACCTCTTTAAAAAACAACAACAACAACAACAACAAGGGCCGGGCACGGTGGCTCACGCCTGTAATCCCAGCACTTTGGGAGGCCGAGGTGGGTGGATCACGAAGTCAAGAGATCGAGACCATCCTGGCCAAAATGGCGAAACCCCGTCTCTATTAAAAATACAAAAATTAGCCAGGCATGATGGCACATGCCTGTAGTCCCAGCTACTCAGGAGGCTGACGCAGGAGAACCACTTGAACTCGGGAGGCGGAGGTTACAGTGAGCCAAGATTGCGCCATTACAGTCCAGCCTGGCGACAGAGCGAGACTCCATCTCAAAAAAACAAAACAAAACAAAAAAACCCCAAAAAACACATCTTTATTGTCTAGAAATCTATATTTTCAAAATCCCCCAGAAAAGATGCTGTTCTCTCACTTCCCCCATTTTCTTCCTTTTCTTCCATACCTCTACTATAAAGGACATTTTTATACCATATTAAAACTTCACCCAGATGTCCAGACAGCTCCCCACCTATGTATTTCTCTTATTTGCAAGCTGCATGTTCATGTAGCCATCTAAGATGCCAGATAGCCCTTGTACTCCATTCCCCACTTTGTTTCAGCATCACCGGCTTTCCTGTTAACCCACTGAGGAAAGCTTCGGGATTGAGGGGTAGACTTACCGTAACTATGGGCAAATGCTGCAGGCTCCTGGACAACCTCTTGGCCCCTTTTCCTGTACCCCTTTTTGTCATTGTTTAACAAACCACTTCCTGATTTCCCCTTTCTCCTTGCTTTGGAAAGGGACAATGTCTCTTGTTCATTCCTGTGGTCCAGGCACCTGAACGAAGGCCTGGCAACCTTCATTCCTCCATCCCACTTTTTAAGAAGCTTTCTCTATGCTGAGTGCTGGGAATATAGACAAGTCACAGAACAAGACACACAACCCAGGAGGGAAACAGGTAATTAACAGGTGTCACAGTATAATGGGTCTGGTAGGATAATCAGAGGGACCTACCTTTCCTTGGTACAGGAAAGGGCATCCAAGTCAGAACAGGGTGGTGGGGACCGGTCAACGAGGGCTGCCTGGAGGAGTTGACACCTGAGCTGAGTCCCAGATGAGAAGCAGGAGTTGAGCAGATAAATAAAAGCAGTGGGGCCAGGCACGGTGGCTCATGCCTGTAATCCCAGCACTTTGGGAGACCGAGGCAGGCAGATCACGAGTTCAAGAGATCGAAACGATCCTGTCCATGGTGAAACCCCATCTCTCCTCAAAATACAAAAATATTAGCTAGGTGTGGTGGCAGGCATCTGTAGTCCCAGCTACTCAGGAGGCTGAGGCAGGAGAATCTCTTGAACCTGGGAGGCGGAGGTTGCAGTGAGCTGAGATCACACGACTGCATTCCAGCCTGGGCAACAGAGTGAGACTCCATCCCCCACCAAAAAAAAAAAAAAAAAAAAAAGTGGTGGGGGTGTTCCAGACAAAGGGAGCAGCACATGGAGGGTGGAGAGAGGCGAGATGGCAGCATGTGAGCATGGCTGGACTGTGGATGCAGGTGCACTCGTCTCCCACTAAGGAGTCCCGCCTAAGCATCCTAGAAATCTGGGGCCAGAAGGATCTTAATCATCAACAAATCCAACCTCCTCCTTTTCCAAATGAAGCCCAGAGAGGGGAAGCCATTTTTCCAAGGTCACATAGAAAGCTAATGATGGAGAATAGACTCAAACTTGCTGCACTGCCTGAGTTTTGGATTTTCTTTTTTTCCTTCCATTCCTTCCCTCTGCCCTTCCCTCCCACTGTCCTCCAATTCATATTTGTCACATGCCTACTTTGCACCAGCCCAGTACCCTGACCTCCTTGCCTTAGAACCTTAGGCTTCCAGAGCCTAGGTCATCACCACCTCTTCCTATCAAACCTCCTCCCCACACCCCGTTCCTGCCTGACCTTTCCTACTCGTTAAAAATCCAGATGCCTAGGTTGCTTCCCATACCAACAAGATCAGAATGTCTGGGGGTGGGGGCCAGGTGTCAGTATTTTTTAAAGATCCCTGGATGATTCCATTTGTAGCAAAGTTTGAGAACCACTGTTTTAGCCCTGATGAAGGGCCCCTCCACCTCCTGTCCCTTGGCCTCTGGGTTGCAGATGACCTGGTGATTTTTCTTTTTCTTCCAGATGTACTTCTGGACTCACGGGCCTGGGGCCCACCCAGCACAGATCTCTGCTGAGCAATCTTGTCTCCACTCTGTTCCTGCCCTTTGCCCAGCCCTGGGCCTCCAATCTGCATTGATTACCTGGTCTGATCTCTCTCACCATCACTAGGTACTTAATAAATATTTGCTGTTGATGATAGCAATGACCTTGAGACTGATGAACAGTCTGGCCAAGAGGATCCTTGATGTGGAAGATAGAAAAAGCCTTTGGGGTCAGGCAGACTTGGATTCTAATACCAGCCAGTTCTGCTTGCTGTGTCTGAGCCTCAGTTTACTCATCTGTGAAGAGGAGGTAGCAAGAATGAAAATGCCTGCCTTGTGGTTTGTTGTAAGGACAGACACTGCCAACGTAGAGGGCCCAGCAGCTCACAGACCAGTTGCTCTGAGAGCAGACCACTCTTGCCTTGATGGTAGGGAACTATTTTTGTGCGTGGCAAGTGGGACCTTAGGAAGGAAGGCAACTGTGAGGCTTCTGAGAAGGACCCTACACAAGGGAGTTTCCTCCCAGGGCAGGTGAATGGAGAGGGTGGCAGAAGCCTACGGGAAGGGGTCACAGGGATCAGCTAGAGAGTGCCACCACCCTTCCTGGGGAATGCAGGGCAAGGTCCCTGGTGGGAGTTTTCCTGGGAAGCCAAAGAAGCGCCCAACAAAGACAGAATCAACATTTGGGTACCTTTGGTACCCAGAGGCAGCAATGCCAACTACAACCACACTGGAAGAAGAAGACCTTCTCCGCATAGATTCTCTGATCTCTTCCTCCTTCATGGCACCAGCCCTGGGGAACCAGCATGGTGGGGAAATAATGAAGCTGGAATACAACCACTTACAGACTTCACAACCTCCTCCTGTAGATACCAAAGGGATTTTAGGATCACATTTTATTTCTCACCTGAGCAAGAAAAGCTACAGGAGCATCTCAAGCAGAGGGCAGGAGTCTCCAGAGGAGTTCAAGGGGCTCTGGCAAGAAAAATCAAGGGGCTGTGTTCAAGAACTGGCTCCCTTGGTGATTGTATTACGAAGCCCATGTGTGCTGGATGCTGATGAAATTGCTGCCAAATGCCTGTGCAGCCTTGGCAAGGCCCTTTATTTCTCTGGGTCTCCATTTCTCTCTCTCTTTTTTTTTTTTTTTTTTTTTTGAGGCAGAGTCTCACTCTGTCGCCCAGGCTGGAGGGCAGTGGCGTGATCTCGGCTCACTGCAAGCCCCACCTTCTGAGTTCACGCCATTCTACTGCCTCAGCCTCCCGAGTAGCTGGGACTACAGGCGCCCACCACCACGCCCGGCTTATTTTTTGTATTTTTAGTAGAGACGGGGTTTCACCGCATTAGCCAAGATGGTCTCGATCTCCTGACCTCGTGATTCACCCACCTCAGCCTCCCAAAGTGCTGGGATTACAGGCATGAGCCACTGCGCCCGGCCTGGGTCTCCGTTTCTCTAGCTGTGAAATGACTGTTCTAAAAGAGCCCTGCCGGACTTTGGCAGTCTGTAAGAAGACCTGAGTTCTTCTCTCAGTTCCAAGCAGGAAAATTGAACATACCCTGAGCCCAGAGCCTGCAACAAACTCTGGGCAGCCTCAGGAAGTCAGGCAGTGAAGTCGGAAAAATGATCTCTTCTGTATAGGGAGAAAATAAAAGTTTAAAAATTTGTAGTTTGAAGATGTCAGTTGCCATGTCAATTTTTATATTATTATTTTTTCCATTTCCTGGTAATGAGATGCTATGTTATCTTTATTTATTTATTTATTTATTTGTTAGAGACGGGGTCTCGCTTCGTCGCCCAGGCTGCAGGGTAGTGGCGCAACTATAAGCTCACTGCTGTCTGGAATTCCTGGGTTCAAGTGAACCTCCCACCTCAGCCTCAGCAGCTGGGACTAAAGGCACATAATACCACACCCAGCTAATATTTAAATGTTTTGTAGAGACTGTGTCTCACCATGTTGCCCAGGCTATTCTCCAACTCCTGGCTGAAGCAATCCTCTGGCCTCAGCCTCCCATATTCTTTTTTAAACAGCTTCTTTAGAGCACAATTTACATACCATAAAGTTGACCTCTTTTAAAAGTGTACATTGCGCCGGGCGCGGTGGCTCACACCTGTAATCCCAGCACTTTGGGAGGCCAAGGAGGGTGGATCACGAGGTCAGGAGATCGAGACCATCTTGCCGTCTTGGCTAACAGGGTGAAACCCCGTCTCTACTAAAAATATGAAAAATTAGCCAGGCGTGGTGGCACGCATCTGTAGTCCCAGCTACTTGGGAGGCTGAGGCCGGAGAATGGCGTGAACCTGGGAGGCAGAGCTTGCAGTGAGCTGAGATGGTACCACTGCACTCCAGCCTGGGTGACAGAGTGAGACTCCGTCTCATAAAAAAAGTGTACATTGCAATGACTTTTAGTAAATGTACAGGGTTTTGCAACCATTACCTCGATCTAATTTTATTTATTTATTTATTGAGATGGAGTTTCACTCTCGTTGTCCAGGCTGGAGTGCAATGGCGCGATCTCGGCTCCCTGCAACCTCTGCCTCCTGGGTTCAAGCAATTCTCCTGCTTCAGCCTCCTGAGTAGCAGGGATTACAGGCGCCTGCCACCATGCCCAGCTACTTTTTTTTTTTTTGTATTTTCAGTAGAGATGGGGTTTTGCCATGTTGGCCAAGCTGGTCTCGAACTCTTGACCTCAGTTGATCCACTCGCCTCAGCCTCCCAAAGTGTTGGAATTACAGGTGTGAGCCACTGCGCCCGGCCCTATTATTATTATTTTTTTCTTAGAGACAGAGTGTGGCTTTGTCACCCAGGCTGGAGCACAGTGGTGCAATCATAGCTCACTGCAGCCTTGAACTCCTGGCTTAAGCAATCCTCCCGCCTCAAGTCCTCCACCTCAGGCATGCACTACCATGCCCAGCTAATTAAGGTGACATTAAATAGACCTGAGGGAAGTGAGGAGACCAGCCCTGCCGCTGTTTGTTGTGTGACCTGAGCCAGGCACAGGGCCTGACACCTATCTTGAAGTTCTTAATTTTTATTTATTTATTTATTTATGTAGACAGTTTCGCTCTTGTTGCCCAGGCTGGAGTGCAATGGCGCGATCTCGGCTCACGGCAACCTCCGTCTCCTGGGTTCAAGTGATTCTCCTGCCTCAGTCTCCTGAGTAGCTGGGATTACAGGCATGTGCCACCATGCCTGGCTAATTTTGTATTTTTAGTAGAGACGAGGTTTCTCCATGTTGGTCAGGCTGATCTCAAACTCCCGACCTCAGGTGATCAGCCCATCTCAGCCTCCCAAAGTTCTGGGATTACAGGCATGAGCCACCGCACCCGGCCTGAAGTTCTTAATTTTTGTGTACATTTTCATTGTGTACAGGGTATGTAGCCAGTCCTGCTGAGGCCAAATGAATTCCAGGCAGAAGGAACACCAAGTGCAAAGCTCACGGAGTGGGCAGGTGTTAACATCTTTGAGTCTGGAGTAGGAAAGGAGGCCATGGTTGGTCTCTCCTCTCTTTCTGCCCTTTGCCCTTTCATCTCCTCCCCAGCTGCCCACTGTGGTTCTGGCACCTCCAGGGCTGATGCAGGAGGGAGAGGAAAGAGGTTCCGGAGTCAAGAAGGGCCTGACTCCTGGGTACTGTCTTGAGCAAGCATTGATGCTCTCTGGGCTTGGCAGGGGTTTAAAGCTGATGCTTGGCCCGGTGCAGTGGTTCAAGCCTGTAATTCCAGCACTTTGGGAGGCTGAGGTGGGTGGATCACCTAAGGTTAGGAGCTCGAGACCAACCTGACTAACATGGTGAAACCCCGTCTCTACTATAAGTACGAAAAATTAGCCGGGTGTGGTGGTGCGCGGCTGTAATCCCAGCTACTTGGGAGGCTGAGGTGGGAGAATAGCCAAGATTGCACCACTGCACTCCAGCCTACGCGACAAAGTGAGACTCTGTTTCAAACAAACAAACAAAAAGCTGACGCTCTTTCTCGTTTGGGGGGTGAGAGGAGCACTTTCATGGAAGTCCTGGTCCGGCTCCCCACCGCAAAGCCTGGGACAGAGACCTATGTGCCAGAGTTTGTATGGGAGGTGATCCCAGGAGGTCGAGTGAGACAGGAAGGAGGTTGCTGCTTTAGGTAATGGAGTCCAGATTCCAGGAAACCCAATGGGCAGACAGAACGGGTTGTTTTCTTTTGGACCAGAGTCCGGGGTTTCCTCAACTGCTCCCGCATCCCACTGGGTGTCAGCTGCGTGTGCCTCCAGTCTGCATCTGAGCTAGTGGGCTAGGCAGCCCTCCCAGCTTCAGAGGGAGCCCTGAGGCAGAAAGCGGAGGAACACCAGGTGGGCGAGTGGGGTGGGGCTGGTGTCAGCATGCGCGGCACTGTCCCCACTGTAGAGGCCGACCTGAGCTAGACCGAGAAGGTGTGACCTGGCACATTCTTATGCCTGCGGCCCTGGGGGTGGTCCCTGCAGGGTCTCCCAGCTGCACCCTTGTGGAAGGTGGATGGGTCTCCACCAGCCAGGTGCTCATGATGACTCCCTCAATCCCAGGACATCACAGATGCCTCCAGCTTCTTCCTGCTGAGGCCTCACGCCACCAGAGGAGAACTTCCTGGGATCTGGATCCGAGGCCGCCCCAGGTGGACTCTCTCTCCTGTGGCCACCTGTGTGTGCGGTGCCCTCTGGCCGCAGCCCTCTACTCCACCGCCTTAGGGGGCTTCAGCCAGTCCTTTCTCTTTGGCTTCTCAGGCAAGAGTCAGACACCAGGTCATAGGTCCTGGGGCACACCCAGCACATACTCTCTGACTAGTCTTTTGGAAGCCCCCTCCCTGGGCTTGAAGTGAGAGGGAAACTACCCCCTCCCACCCAACTTTCTACCTCTGCTTTCCTAATGTCATCTGCCACCACCAGGTCCCCTGTGCACCAGCCCCAGAGCATGACGAGGCCCCATTCCCTAAGCTTACCCCTCCCCTCCCACCTCTGTGCCCTGGACATACTGTTCCCTTTGCCTGGAAAGTCATTTCCCCTCCTCAAGGCTTGGTGAACTCCTCCTCATTCTGTGAGACTCATCCAAGGAGGCCATAAAGCAGTGAATCTGTCTTGGAAATCAGTCCTGCTTCATTGTGCTCCCACTGCACCGTGCTCACACTGCTCTGTGCTCACACTGCTCTGTGCTCCTACTGCACCGTGCTCCCATCACCTTGTGCTCCTGCTGCATTGTGCTCCCATTGCCCTGTGCTCCTGCTGCACCGTGCTCCCGATGTCCTGTACTCCTGCTGTGGAGTAAAGAATTGAAATAGAGTAATACTTGGCATTTCTTGAGCAGTTACTATACGCCAGGCACTGTAAGCCCTTTCCTTGTACGATTCCATTCGCTCCTCCTGCCAACTCTATGAGGTGAATATCATGACCCTGCTTTTGAGTTGAGGAGACTAGCGTCAGGCGAGGTTACAAAATTTGCCAGGGTCACAAAGACCTGGTACACAGTAGAGTTAAAGTGTGAACCCAGGCAGAATACGCCCATGTGCTTCGCTGCTTTGCTGCCTCTAGTGAATGATGGCCTTGTTTGGGGGGAAAAGAAAAGAAGGTGTTGGAGACAGCTCAGGCCCTACACATTGTTTCTCTTGCTTTAGGTCCACTGAAACCCTTACTGATGCTCTCCCAGCTCAGAGCCTGACTCCTTTTGGTCTCTGAGCTGATGGTCTCCCAGCTCAGAGCCTTTTGAGTCCTTTCAGGTACTGGACTTAGGTCTGCCCAGGAATCCAGGCTTGCTGGAGACCTTGATCTACTTGGGGCTGAACCTGGTAGCTGGAAGGGCAGCCTGATGATGCACAGGCTACCCACAAGGCTCCCTTCCAGGGTTCAGAGCTCACAGGGTTATAGGGGTCCGGGCTCCTGGAACCATGCATCACTGGGCCTTACCCAGGTGGCCAGAATGCTGTCAGACTGCCCAGACTGGACTGAGGATGGGGGGCAGGGAAGCACTTGGACTGGGGAAAGGAGTTGAGCAGAGCAGGACAGAGAAAGAAGTGTCTGGGCCCCCAGCTTCCCTGCTTGATATCAGCACTGTGGAGCAGATAAGAGCAGGCTTGGATCCAGGTCCACCACTAGCCAACTGGGTGGCCTTGGGCAAGTAGCATTCTCCCAGGCCTGTTTCCTCATCCACAGACGAACATATTGGCAGAACAGCCTCATGGACCTACAGCACATAAAAGGGGCTTTGCATCTGGCCATAACTGTCCACTGTCTTTACTTCTACTGTTTTATCCTTCAGCTCTCAAATAGCCACAGCCTAGTTTCATGCAGTGAATTCTCTCCCACAAGCACACCTCCAGATCCACTTTCCAGAACCTGAATACCTCTGGAGCTGTGTGACCTGGGACACGAAATTTCTCCTCTCTGGGCCTCAGTTTTCCTATCCATAAAATAGGGATTGTAGGGGCAGAAAGGGTAATCTCTTTCCTCTCTGTCATAAGGGTCATGGCTAACAAGCCTGTAACAAAGACAAGTTAACAAGAAAGAAGCATGACAAATTTATTTGATTATAGTTTTATGTGGCACAGAGCCTTCAGAATGAGGACCCAAAGACATGGGGGAAACTGTCCATTTTTATGCTTAGCATTAGAACATGCCCTTTTTGTCCAGTCATATTTCTCCACAGCTGTCCATATGCCATTAGAATCGCTTAAAATCGCTTGAACCTGGGAGGCAGAGGTTGCAGTGAGCCGAGATAGTGCCACTGCACTCCAGCCTGGGCAAGAAAGCGAGACTCTGTCTCCAAAAAAAGAAAAAAGGAGACTCAAAAGCAGTCTCTGTCCTGCCCTCCTGTCTCTGACCCCTAAACCATAGAAACTAGAACCTCCTAGAACTAGGTCTGCAACCTCCGCCTCCCAGGTTCAAGCGATTCCAAGCTATTCTAATTGCGTATGGACAGCTGTGGAGAAATATGACTGCTAATAAGAGACAGAGTGAGGAAGCCCAGCAAGACCTGTCTGTCCAGATTCTTCTTGGCCTTTCTGTGCAGCGTTCCTCCCTCCTGGGTATGGGGTAGGACCCTTCTGGAATAAGGGTCTTAATTTCTTTCTTTTTTTCTTTTTTTTTTTTTTGAGGGAGTCTAGCTCTGTCGCCCAGGCTGGAGTACAGTGGTACAATCTTGGCTCACAGCAACTTCCACCTCCTGGATTCAAGCAATTCTCCTGCCTCAGCCTCCCGAGTAGCTGGGATTACAGGCACCTGCCACCATGCCCAGCTAATTTTTTATTTTTAGTAGAGACAGGGTTTCACCATGTTGGCCAGGCTGATCTCGAACTCCCAACCTTGTGATCCACCTGCCTCAGCCTCCCAAAGTGCTGGGATTACTAGCGTGAGCCACCATACCCAGCCAAGGGTCTTAATTTCTTTATGGCCACATGTTACACAAAAAGACTGGGGTGGGGTGGGGTGGGGGTGGGAGGCAGGAAAGTTATATTTATATATATATATATATTTTTTTTTTTTTTTTTTTGAGATGGAGTCTCACTCTGTCACCAGGCTGCAGTGTAGTGGTGCAATCTTGGCTCACTGCAACCTCTGCCTCCTGGGTTCCAGTGATTATCCTGCCTCAGCCTCCTGAGTAGCTGGGACTACAGGTGCACACCACCACACCCAGCTAATTTTTGTATTTTTAGTAGAGACGGAGTTTTACCATGTTGGCCAGGATGGTCTCCATCTCTCGACCTCGTCATCCGTTCGCCTCGGCCTCCTAAAGTGCTGGGATTACAGGCGTGAGCCACCGCGCCCGGCCTGGAGCAATATTTTTAGGTGTTATGCCTGGTTTTGGGGGAAAAGGGTTCTAGTTTCTATGACCTGCATTGGGAAAGAAATATTCTAGTTTCTATGGTTTAGGGGTCAGAGACAGGAGGGCAGGACAGAGACTGCTTTTGAGTCTGCTTTTTTCTTTTTTTTTTGGAGACAGAGTCTCGCTTTCTTGCCCAGGCTGGAGTGCAGTGGCGCTATCTCGGCTCACTGCAACCTCCGCCTCCCAGGTTCAAGCGATTCTCCTGCTTCAGCCTCCTGAGTAGCTGGGATTACAGGTGTGCGTCACCATGCCCACCTAATTTTTGTATTTTTAGTAGAAATGGGGTTTCACCATGTTGGCCAGGCTGGTCTCGAACTCCCGGCCTCAAGTGATCCACCCGCTTCAGCCTCCCAAAGTGTTGGGATTACAGGAATTTGCTTTGTCTTTTCTTCTTTTTCCTTTTTTTTTTTTCATTCTTTCCTTCTTTCCATCCATCCATCAAGTGCAGTAGTGAGGAGGGGTAAAGAGTCGAACAAGGAGTTTGATCTGTAACTGACTGAACAATCAAACTGAGATAATTCACTACTTTTGGACCAGACTGAGGCTGCTTCTTAGACCTTCACTTTGGGGACTTTGGTGTATTATTTTCTGAGCCCCCACAGGATCATCACACTCACCTCAAAGGAATGAATGAGGGTTAAATGAGAACAGAAAAATCTCTTGTCACCTCTCTGAGCCTCAGCTTCCCAATTTGTAAAATGGGTTAATTATAGTATGTGCTTCGTAGAGTTGTCTGGATCAAAGGAGGTAGTCACTGCAACCATTTAGTGCACCGCTTGGCACATGGCAAGAGCTTAACAAACTGTAGCTTTCTAAAGGAGCCCAGCATGGAGCAGGTGTTCCAAAAATGAAGGCTGAGTCCAAGTCACCTTCCAAGTTTTTAATTTTTATTCACAATAACAGAATATATTCTATTATGCAGAATATCTTCTCCATAATGTCCTTACTTGTTTTCATTGCCTGTTCTCTATCAGCTGTAAATGAAGGTTTTCTATGCTACTCTTCCCATTCATGCAGGTAACAGATTTAACTAATTCTTATGGGTTTGTCTGAACCTGTTGAAGGAGAGACCGGTTTCATGCTATTACATTACGATTATATAACTAACCTTCCTTCCTTCCTTTCCTTGCTTCCTTCTTTCTCTCTCCCTTCCCTCCCCTCCTTTCTTTTCCCTTTCCCTTTCCTTTCCTTTCCACAGGGTCTCACTCTGTCACCCAGGCTGGAATGCAGTGCTACAATCATAGCTCTCTGTAACCTGGAACTCCTGGGCTCAACCAGTTCTCCCACCTTGGCCTTCCAAAGTGCTGGCATTACAGGCATGGGCCACCTTGCCTGGCCTGACTATATGAATTTCAAATATAATAGAGAAATACATCTTCTTCTAGGACTTTGCAGTGGACAAAGACCCTTCATGCTCATTGCTTTTTTTAATTCTTCTAACAGTGCTGGCAGATTGGTGGTATTATTTCTATTTTACAGATAATAAACCTGTGGCCCAGAGAGAACAAGGAGACTGTCCCAAGATTCCATGGTGAGTTACGGGAGCTCTGGGGCTGGGATCTTCGCATCGTGCTTAGGCACAACCGCCTCTCCCAGTGGTCTCAGAACTCCCTAAGGGCAGAGCGGCGTCTTCTCCTAGGCTGTCTCCTCTTGGCCTCCCATCCGGCAGACTGTGTGCTCCCAAGAGCCGCGGGAGTGGGGGTCTCCCAACTCTGCCTGTTCCAGGTCTTTGCATACTAGAGGAACGGGCAATCTGTGGCATTGTTGATCCAGTATTTACCGAGGGCCTGCTATGTGAAGGGATTCCTCACCCTTCAGGTGCTCCCAGGGCTGGGAATGTGTAACACCAGAGGGTAGAGAGTGGGTGTTTGAATACAGGTCCAGGCTGGGTGCACTCGGCTGGGCAGAGCCGGGGAAGCTGCCCGAGGGGCGGGTTTCGGGTGGGAACTTGAAGAAGCCAGGGGTGCCCAAAGAGGGGGTGGAGCTGCCCCAGCAGAGAAATGAAGGTGCGAACGCTGGGGCGTATCTCGAGCAGAGTGGCCTCGGGAGCAGGGGGCGGGGTGGGCTGAGTAAGCGTAGGGGCCGGCCGAGCTCTAGCTGGGAAACGCAGCCACTCTCCTGCGGCCGCCCTCCCCGACCCTCCCAGGGTCAGCCGGGCCCAGAAGCCGGAGCCTGCGCTTCCCGTCGTCCCGAAGTGCGAGAAGCGCGGCTGCAGCTCTGCGCCGAGGAGCCCCGGGAGTCCACTCCCGGGCCTCGGTCTTCCCATCTGTGTGACGCCACAGGAAGTCCTGAGACGCCACCTCTGCGCGGCCGACCCCTCTCCCGCGCGTGCAACACGTGGGCCTGGCGGGGCAGAGCTGCTTGTGCGCGGCGGGCGGGGTGCGGGGCGCTCGGCGTCGCCTGGGCCCGCGGAGGCGGCTGTAGCCAGAGCGCCCGAGGCCGCCCGCCCTCCCCCGGCTTGGGGCGGGGCCGCTGCCCGGCTGCTCTTTTATCTGCCAGCTCCGCCGACCCGGCCCCCGCGGCCCTCCCAGCTCGGCTCCGGCTCAGGTACGGGGCTGCCAAGACGGGGAGGCCTGGCTGGCCGCAGACGAGGGTGCTCTCCACGGGGCGCGGCGGGGCTGCGGGGCTGCGGGGCTGGACGTGGAAAGAGCAAGGCTCCGCGGGGCAGGGGCGGACTTGGGACCCGGGGAAGACAGGCAGGACGCGGAGCCGGAGGGGAGCACCTGGGCTAAGTGAGAGGACGCCCGCCCGGGGAAGCAGCCAGCGGAGGGCGCAGGAAGGAGGAGCTCGCTGGATGGGGGCGTCTTGGGAAGGGTGGGAGGAGCAGAAGGAGCACGGCTGAGGAGGATGCGGATGGGGGCCTGAGAGCCTGTTTGTCCAGTGAGCAGGGGAGGGGAGGGCTGCTTGGAGAAAATGAAGGATGGAGGGCAGGGAGTGGGTAGGGGCGTCTGGCCCGGGCAAGGCCGCTGCCTTCCTGGAGCAGGACAGTCAGGGAGCTCACTGCTTTCTGGAGGAGGAATGTAGGTGAGACCGGGACAGGAAGGGGTATGGGTGCCCAGAACCGGCTGATGTGAAGGAGTCCCACTTAGGGATCCAGGAACAGTGGGAATAGCACTGCTGGGGGCCAAGAGGGGCACTTGCTCCATGGGCCCAAGCAGTCTAGACACCTTGGGGGATGAGGGAGCCTCCCCTGGTGTCAGGAGAGCCTGGGGGTCCCCCACACACAGTGAGGGAAGGGGAAAACCCACAGCACTTGCCTCAAGGCTGCAGGTTTTGAAGACCTTCAGAAATTTCCCTGTAGCAGCCCCTGGAGGAGGCCTGTGGGGCTAGGTCAAGCCAAGGCCTCGGAGTCTGAACAGTTCGATGGATTCGGAGTCTGGCTGCTCCTGGGTGGACAGCCCAGGACCCCAAGTCTGAGCTCCTATCGGAGAGAGGGACCCAGCCTCTAGTCATGAGGCCTGTGCTACCTCTGGGTCCTTTTGTTGAGAGGCTGCCCCTCTCCAGCCTTAGTTTCTCTGTCCAGAGGGTTCCTTGCTGGTCAGCAGTGCAGCTCAGGTCCTTTTTCTGTGCCCCATGCTGGGTGACTATAGCTCGTTCACCCAACCTCTCTGGGCCTAAGAGATTCCCCCTCCTCAGAGCAGCTGTAAGTCTCAGCTCCACAGAATACTTTCTTTAAGAATTGCTTTTTCAGGCCATCTGTGGGAGCTCACACTTATAATCCCAGCGCTTTGGGAGGCTGAGGTGAGAGGATGGCTTAAGCCGTGAGTTCAAGGTTGCAGTGAGCTGAGATGGTGCCACTGTACTCCAGCCTGGGGGACAGAGCATAGACCCTGTTTAAAAAAAAAAAAAAAAGTCTGGGCATGGTGGCTCACACCTGTAATCCCAGTACTTTGGGAGGCCGAGGCAGGCGGATCACCTGAGGTTGGGAGTTTGAGACCAGCCTGACCAACATGGAGAAACCCCATCTCTACTAAAAATACAAAATTAGCCGGGTGTGGTGGTGCATGCCTGTAATCCCAGTTACTCAGGAGACTGAGGCAGGAGAATCGCTTGAAGCCGGGAGGCGGAGGTTGCAGTGAGCCGAGATCTTGCCATTGTACTTCAGCCTGGGCAACAAGAGTGAAACTTTGTCTCAAAAAATAAAAAAAGAAAAGAAAAGAATTAGGCTGGGCACAGTGGCTCATGATTGTAACCCCAGCACTTTGAGAGGCCAACGCAGGAGGATTGCTCAAGCCCAGGAATTCAAGACCAGCCTGGGCAACATAGTGAGACCTTGTCTCTACACATAATAAAAAAATTAGCCAGGCGTGGTGTTGTGTGCCTGTGGTCAGGGCTACTCAGGAGGCTGAGGTGGGAGGATGGCTTGAGCCTGGGCAGTTGAGGCTGCAGTGATGGCTGCACTGCACTTCAACCTGGGGACAGAGTGATACCCTATCTCAAGAAAAGAAATAGTTACTTATTTCATTCTGATCACATTTTCCAGTACAAATACATGGAGGTCCCAAGTGCCAAAGTTACAAAAAAAAAAAACAGTTTCTGTTCAGTTTTGGAAGACATGTAGGGACTTTTTCTTTAAACACTTTGGACCAAGTTGGGGAGTTAGCCTGCATTGAGGGAGGTGACCCAGTTGCTAAGAGACTGGGAGGCCAGCCAGGGATGAAAACTTTGCCTGTATAATCTGTGGTCACCACTGGGTGCCTGGGAGTTACCCACGGTGGACAAAGGGCAAGAGCGCTGGTTTTGGAGTCAGATAGATGTGCTCTGCCCTCCCGCCTCCAGGGCTGGGCTCCCAGGTTGGCTGTGGATCCAGAGAGTTGTGAGGGAGAGGTAAAATGTGTGTGAAAGTTCTTGGTAAACACCCAGCCACTATATATTATGAGTGGTAGCACCTAATCTCCTTAATGATATTTCAGGTGCCATATTGGGTCATCCTCACTAAAGACCCTTCAAGAGGGTTTTCCTCCAATAGCCCCAGTATTAACATTGGTCTGGCCTTATTATTTGTATCTAATGGGGTTAGACTTTCCCTTCCATGCTGAGAAAAAGTTGTCTTTAAGAGAATGTGCTGAACAATCAGGGCCCAGAAAGGCAACAACGAATATTTTGCATGCCAAGAAGGAGGCAAAAGAGGAAGTGGAATTGTACCCAAATAATGCTTATAATAGGTGTTATTTAGCTGAGCTGTAAGCTCCAGGAGGGCAGGGTATTAATATATTGAGGTGTTGGCTGAGCACTGTGGCTCACTCCTATAATCTCAACACTTTGGGAGGCCAAGGTGGGAGGATGACTTGAGACCAGGAGTTCGAGACCAGCCTGGGCAACATAGCAAGACCTCGTCTCTACACATAATTTAAAAAAATAGGCATGGTAGCGTGCGCCTGTGATTCCCAACTACTCAAGAGGCTGAAGAAGGATCACCGGAGACTGGGAGGTCAAGGCTGCAGTGAGCTGTGTTTGCACCACTGCACTCCAGCCTGGGGGACAGAGCATGACCCTGTCTCAAAAAAAAAAAAAAAAAAAAAAAATCCTGTGGTGTTACCATTGGTATGAATTCCCTGGGCTGTTAGTTCTGCGAGGGCAGTGGTTTAAATGGCTCTGTCACTGAGGAAGCTGCAGCGCCTGGCACATAGGAGGCCTAAAGTAAATATTCTTGGACTGTCCCAGGGCCTAAGGGCCCTTGGAAGTCACTGGTGAATTTACTCTCTCCTTTGACATTTGGAGAAACAGGGCCAAGAGGGGAGGGGACTTGTCCAAGGTCACACAGGGATTGAGTGGCTGAGTCAGGACGAGAATCCCACAGAAACGGCAGAGCCAGCACTGTGCCAGAGCCAACACCTGGCATCCATGGCTTTGTTTTGCTTCCACAAGAGCCCAAGAGGCAGCTATTTTAATCCTCTGATTCCAAAAGGAAACAAGCTCAGAGAGGTTGAGGGACTGTTGCAGAGTCACACAGCAGGTGAATTCCAGACCCGAAATTTCATCCTCACATAAAAATGAGGCCTGTGGCGTCTCTTGAAACAGCCTGCCGGAGAGCCTGCAGAGATTAGTGGAGGATGTCCACCACCAGGGCAGCAGTCTTCTCCAGTTCTCCAGGCTCACTACCTGGCTGGCTTCCCTCCAGGCTGGATCTTCCTAGGCCCTGTGGGCATTTGTGTGGGTGAGCCCGTTGGGGCAGGGAGCCTGTCTGCTTCATTTTCTGTGTGCCCCAGCACACAGAATGCCTGGGTAGCGTTGAGGCTGGCATATAGTATAAGCACTGAGTGAAATCTGTGAGATGGGGGTAACCCAGGGCTCTCCCTCTCCATAAGCCCATTTTCCACCACCTCCCTGCAGCCTGGTCTGTTTTGCCCCACGGGTGTTATGGGAACCTTTGACAGTGTGTATCCTTGGAGAGCAGGCTGGGGCTTGCAAGCCTTCGTTAAGGAGAGAGGTGAGGAGGGCTGACCTTGAGTTGAGGAATATGAATTGGGAGGGGTGAGGAAGTGGAGGGGAGGGGAAGGGAGGAAGGAGCGGCTCAGGCTGACAGAGGCACTCCCACTGGAGCCCTGGAGATCGCACTTCAGAGGTTCAGCCAACCCAGAAGACTCCCAAACCTTCTGCAAGACATGTCCAGGCCAGACCATATGCCATTTGGATCACCTGCTAATTTGGTTCACCCTCTTGTGCCCTCGTGCTCTCCAGGGCTTCTGAGCTGCTGGAGTTGAGGCCCCTTCCCCTGGGACTGTCACTGCTTAGCCACATCTCTTGGGCCTGTGGGTAAGCACCAATTTACAGGGCTCTGTGAATTCAAAACAGTTACTCTGAATGGTCTTTGCTAAGAACAATTTAATGATTAAGTAAGGTCAGTGTCCTTGGAAGTCCAAACTCTAGCCAGATTTCCCTGGTCTACACCCCTAGGGATAAGGTAAATGTTTAAGCACACAGTGAACTTCCTGAGGCCCCCAAATCTAATGGAACTAGCTATTGAGGGCTAAAAGAGGATGGTTTTTTTAGAAAACTCGAAGCAAATCTCTCAGGCTGGGGATATTTCAAAGACTACTACTATTATTATTAATAACAATTGCAATATTTGTTGAGTCCCTAAATGAAGCTAAAACTTTGTTCTAATAAATTTAATCTTTACAGCAACCTATGAGGTAGATAATATTGTCATTCCCATGAGGGAGCTAAGGATCAGAGAAGGTAAGTCACTTGTCTAAGGTCACATAGCTAGCATGTTATGCAATCAGGAGTCAAACCTGGTTTGTCTGAATCTGAAGTCCATCTGCTCTGTGCACTTTTATACCGTCTGCTTTTTCCTTTATTCCTAACCTTCTTCCATTCTGATTCCCACTGAGTAGTGGACAGGAACCACTGAAGTTTGCCTGACACCATCAACCAGGCCCTAGTCACCTGGCTTTGCCTTTGCCCTGCTGTGTGATCTTAGGTAAGTCAAACTTTTCAGCTGGCCCTCGGTTTCCCCGTAAGTCTCATGCAGAGGTGAATGGTGAGCTGCTTGCTGCAGCAGAGGCCTGGCTAGGAAGGCACACAGTTTAGCATGGATTTCACCACTATGGGAGTGGTGAAGTTGGGGAGGAGAGGTGTGGGAGGTTGTCTTTAGCCCCACCCTCTGGTGACATCACACAAGACACCCCCAGTCCCTGGAAGCCCCGCCCCTAGTGCCCCTCATCTGTGGAAGTGCTCAGCATCTGGTGAATTTGCCCAGTCCCATAGTAGAGGTCACCAGCCCCCAGGCTTGAGAGAAACCCCCAGGTACCCAGTGCAATTTGCCAGACTTGGAGGGGCCCATGGAGGTGGGCTGGGCTGAGCTGCCTGAATAGACAGGGCCCAGCAGCCTGGTGGGCACACGACTCAGAGGCTGACCACTCAGAGGATGCCCTGATGGTGCCCTCCGGATATCCATCCTCATCCTGCTGGCTCAGGCTTGACCCCTGCCCCTGCTTTTTCCTTTCCCCTGGATCAGAGTCCCTTTCCATGGAGTCAGGAGGTGGAAACTAATTCTGAAAACAGACCTACTTAGGTGGAGTGAGGCCTCTAGCTGAGGTCTAAAGAAAATAGGGCAGCGGGGTCTCTGTCATCCTAGCATGGTGCCTCAGGTTTTGTCCATAGGGCCCATTATATCTGGGGGAGGGAGGTATAAGCGAGCGCTGTCACTCACCTAAGGAGGTGGCTTGAGCCAGGGCCTCCCTGGAGAAGATCAGGTGCAAGCAGGTAGCCAGCAACTGAGGGAGACTGAATTGCTAGAAGCCTAAGAAAGTAATTTATAAGAAAGAGCCTGGTTGCCTGCTTTAGACCAGGATTTTGCAAAGTTGTTCTGTAGGATGCAGACAAGTGTGCCTGGAGCAGGGCAGCAGTAGTGTCTGCAAGCATCTACAGCCCAGTCCTGGCTCCACCTCCCTCCCCCATCCTCCAACCTTGGGTAAGGAGCTTTTTTTTTTCCTTTCTTTTTTCTTTTTTTTTTTTTTTAGAGAGTCTCACTTTGTCACCCAGACTGGAGTACAGTGGCACGATCTCGGCTCACTGCAATCTCAGCTCCCCGAGCTCAAGCGATTCTCCTGCCTCAGCCTCCTGAGTAGCTGGGATTACAAGCATGCACCACCATGCCCGGCTAATTTTTGTATTTTTAGTAGACATGGGGTTTCCCAATATTGGCCAGGCTGGTCTCGAACTCCTGACCTCAGGTGATCCGCCCACCTCGGCCTCCCAGTGAGCTGGGATTACAGGTGTGAGCCACTGCGCCCAGCTGGGAGCTTTTGACTTCTCTGAATTTCATTATCCGCAACAACAAAATGGGCAGAATAGTACTTACCTCCCAGGCAAGTTATGAGAGTTAATTGCAACAGGACTGTAAAGAGTGGGCATATAGTAAACACTTTCTACATTTAAACTGGCTTTTTTTTTTCTTCTTGAGATGGAGTCTCACTCTGTTGCCCAGGCTTGAGTGCAGTAGTGCGATCTTGGCTCACTGCAACCTCCGCCTCCCGGGTTCAAGGCCTTCTCCTGCCTTAGCTTCCCGAGTAGCTGGGACTACAGGCACGTGCCACCACGCCCAGCTAATTTTTGTATTTTTAGTAGAGACGGGGTTTCACCATGTTGGCCAGAATGGTCTCGATCTCTTGACCTCGTGATCCACCCACCTCGGCCTCCCAAAGTGCTGGGATTACAGGCGTGAGCCACTGCGCCCGGCCTCAAGTGGCTTTATAATATAATTATTACTACGGAAGGAATCCGTGGTCACATAAGCTTGGCAAATGTTGATTCAACAAAGCTAAGCCAACTTCTTTGCTGCAGGACTTCTTAGAGCTTTTTTTTTTTTTTTTTTTTTGAGAAAGGGTCTCACTCTGTCACCCAGGCTGGAGTGCAGTGGCACAATCTTGGCTCCCGGCAACCTCTGCCTCTGAGGCTCAAGGGATCTTCCTGCCTCAGCTTCCCAAGTAGCTGGGACTACAGGTGCACACCACCACACCTGGCGAATTTTTGTATTTTTTCATAGAGACAGGGTTTTACCATGTTGCCCAAGCTGGTTTCGAACTCCTGATTGCAAGTGATCCACCTGCCTCGGCCTCCCAAAGTGCTGGGATTACAGGCATGAGCCATCGTGTCCAGCCCTTCTGAGAGTCTTTAATGTGCTGTTATATCTTGGGAAGTTCCAAGAGTGGGATATGGAGCACAGGACTGGACTTATCAGATCACAGGCACCCAGGAGCTAGGTGTCCACAGGGCACAGCCATCGCCATCATTCGCTGGTCTTTGCCGCAGTAGTGGAATAGAAACCTTGCTGGGTGGGAGGACTCTGGGGAAGGCCTTCCAGTTTCTGGGCTCTGCTTTCCTAAGTGTAAAACAAGAGAGTTGCCCAAGATGCTTTCAGAGGTCTTTTCTGGTCCCCCCAAGGTTCTCAGTTGGGAAGACAAAGTTGTGGACAAGAGTGGGGGCCAGATTGTTGAGGTTGAAACCATCTCTTGGGGAGATGGAGAAATCCAGAACTGGCTCCCCAACCAGCAAGGCTGGCCAAGGGAGGTCTTGTGCTCTGGATGGAAGTGGCCCCGTCAATTAGTGCAGCAGCAATGTCTGCTTCCTAAATCTGCCCTGTGCCAGGCTCGCTGGGGAATAGAAGAGTCCTGCACATGCCTGTTGTCCTAAGTAGCAGCCCCTGTGCAGCAGTGTAACGACTCCTGCTTCCCCACTGGACTAGGAAAGACTGGGGAGCAGGGCTGATGCCAGAATCCTAATGCAGGAGGAGCTTAGGAATGCAAATCAGGCTCTGGAGATGTGGGCTTGTGGGGGTGGGGTCGTCTTGATGCTGCCCTTGCATAGCAAGCACTCTGCATTTACTTGGACTGTGTGTGACTTATTTGATTGGTTTTGGGGGTGATCACAGTGCCACTGGGGGCAGAGAACATGAATGCTTTATCCTGCCTGAATCTCTTTTCCTTGTCTGGTGACTGGTGCAGAGGTAGTCACAATAAATATCTGATGAACCTGAACACTGAGTCCAATAAGTAAGCTTGGAGGGAATTTATTTGGCAGGCAGGGAGGGATTGTCTGGCAGGTTTTTCAATAACTATTTGAGTTAATGAATAACACAATGAATGACGGTAAGCCTGAATTATGTAATTGAAGCCAGGTAAAACAGTATAAAATTAGGAAACGATAAATAGCCCTTGCCACCTTGTGTTGCAAAGTGCATTTTAGGGTAGTGGTTAAGAGCACAGTGGCTCACATTTGTAATCCCAGCACTTTGGGAGGCCGAGTGGGAGGGTCGCTTGAGGCCAGGAGTTCGAGACCAGCCTGGGCAACAAAGTGAGACCCTGACTCTATAATAAAGTAAAAATAAATTTAAAAAATCAGCTGAGCATGGTAACATGTACCTGTAGCCCCAGCCACTTGGGAGGCTGATAGGAGGATTGCTTGAGTCCATGAGGTCAAGGCTGCAGTGAGCTGTGATTATACCACTGTGCTCCAACCTGGGGGACAGAGCAAGACGCTATCTTAAAAACAAAACAAGGCTGGGTGCCGTGGCTCACGCCTGTAATCCCAACACTTTGGGAGGCCAAGGTAGGTGGATCACCTGAGGTCAGGAGTTCGAGACCAGCCTGGCCAATGTGGTGAAACCCTGTCTACTAAAAATACAAAAATTAGCTGGGCGTGGTGGCGGGCACCTGTAATCCTAGGTACTCGGGAGGCTGAGGCAGGAGAATTGCTTGAACCCAGGAGGCGGAGGTTGCAGTGAGCCGAGATTGAGCCATTGCACTCCAGCCTGGGTGACAGAGCAAGACTCTGTCTCAAACAAACAAACAAACAAAACACACAAAAAAACAGACTTGAGTTCAGAGCATGCCTCTGCCATCTGCTACTTCCTGGCTAGGTGGGTGGGCAAGGCACTTAACTTCTCTGTACTTCAGTTTCCTTACCTGGAAAATGGGAATAATGATAGTGTCTGCCTCTCAGGGTTGCTGGGAAGCGTCTAGCAGGTGCTGTGTGAGCATTTGCTATGATTTGTTTTTGTTTCTATATCTTTTGCCAGATCATGACATTCCTGAGGGCAGGGATCAAATCTTTCACTCTGTTCTTTGTCCCATCCAGCACAGGGTCTGAGGCAAAGAAGGGCTCAGTAAGTGTTTGTTAAATGAATGAATCAAGGTTAAACTGTGTAACCCATTATAGGTCAGGGGAAAGTGGGATTGGGGGAGCAGTAAGGAGGCCCCAGAGGTGGCAGCTTGTAGTGGTCTTAAAGGATTTCAGTGCAGGGAAAGGAAGGTGGCACAGGGTGTGACATTGGGGTTAGGTGGGGAATAAGGGTAGTAGGAGCAGGTCATGTGGGCCTTGAATGCCAGGGTAAGGGGTTATATTGGATTTATTTGGAACTAGCAACCATGGGCAGTTGGGGGAGGGCCTGGAGAGGGGATTTTGAGAGTGGGGGTGTGGTTCATCAGTTGTTAAATGGGGACTTTCAGGAAAAAAGTGGTCTTTTGAGTTGGGCCTGGAAAGATATGAAGTGTTATCAGAATGGTGTCATGTTGTTCTTTCTTTTTCTTTTTTTTTTTTTTTGAGACGGAGTTTCCCTCTTGTTGCCCAGGCTGGAGTGCAATGGTGCGATCTCGGCTCACCGCAACCTACGCCTCCTTGGTTCAAGTAATTCTCCTGCCTCAGCCTCTGGAGTAGCTGGGCTTATAGGCAGGTGCCACCACAACTGGCTAGTTTTGTATTTTTATTTATTTATTTATTTTTGAGATGGAGTCTCACTCTGTCGCCCAGGCTGGAGTGCAGTGGCGTGATCTTGGCTCACTGCAAGCTCCACCTCTCGGGTTCATGCCATTCTCCTGCCTCAGCTCCCGAGTAGCTGGGACTGCAGGTGTCTGCCACCACGCCTGGCTAATTTTTTGTATTTTAGTAGAGATGAGGTTTCACCGTGTTAGCCAGGATGGTCTCGATCTCCTGACCTCATGATCCGCCCGCCTCGGCCTCCCAAAGTGCTGGGATTACAGGCGTGAGCCACCATGCCCGGCCTAGTTTTGTATTTTTAGTAGAGACAGGATTTCTCCATGTTGGTCAGGCTGGTCTCGACCTCCCGACCTCAGGTGATCCGCCTGCCTCAGCCTCCCAAAGTGCTGGGATTACAGGCGTGAGCCACTGCGCCCGGTCATGTTGTTCTTTCATTCAGCAAACATTGAGTGCCAGCTATTTGCTAAGCACCAGGGATTCACAAAATAATGAGACAAACTGCCTCCCCTTGATGAGCTCACATGAACAATCATGAGAAATGTGAAAATCGTCAAAGGATGGTCTGATGATAAGCACTCAAGTGGAGGGGTCATCGTAGGAGGTTCAGGAGGCCAGGGAAAGCATCCCAGAAGAAATGTTTTTTTGTTTGTGGTTTTTTTTTTTTTTTTGAGACGGAGTCTCGCTGTCACCCAGGCTGGAGTGCAGTGGCGCGCACTGCAGGCTCCGCCCCCTGGGTTCACGCCATTCTCCTGCCTCAGCCTCCCGAGCAGCTGGGACTACAGGTGCCCCCCACCTCACCTGGCTAAATTTTTGTATTTTTAGTAGAGACGGGGTTTCACCGTGTTAGCCAGGATGGTCTCCATCTCCTGACCTTGTGATCCGCCCGTCTCAGCCTCCCAAAGTGCTGGGATTACAGATGTGAGCCACCGCACCTGGCCGCTGTTTGTTTTTTTAAGAGACAGGATCTCGCTTGAGATCAAGCTTGATCAAGCTTGAGAGTAGTAGTGTGATCAGAGCTCACTGTACATCAAATTCCTGGGCTCAAGGGATCCTCCTGCCCCAGCCTCTCCAGTAGCTGGGACTACAGGCACATGCCACCACACCTGGCTAACTTTTTTGTAGAGATAGGATCTCACTACATTGCCCAGGCTGGTCTTGAACTCCTGGCCCCAAGCAATCCTCCTGCTCTGACCTCTCAAAGTGCTGGGATTACAGGAGTGAGGCCGCATGCCTAGCCAAGAAATGGGTTTTTGAGGAATGAATAGGGGTTTGCCTAGTAGGCAAGATGAGGAAAATGTCTCAGGCAGAGGGAACGGCTCGTGTAAAGCTACAGACATGTGAAAGAGCAGTCCAGGGGTTGGTGGGGCTGTGTCTGGATTTGAAGTGCACTGTGGTTGTGCAACAAGACTGGAGAGGGTAGCAGGGACCAGGTCATGCAGGGTAATGGAGGGTCAGTAGGGGACCCTGGCCACTCTTGAGGAGCTAGATAGGTAGAGGCAGTGGGTCTATTAGCAAGGTCATTATTGCCACCAGTTGAACACTAATGGTGGCATGAACACGGGCTGAGAGCGCCTCACCCCTCTCATGTGTTTCACATGGCCAGATCTGTTCTTTAGGAGAGAAAACAGCTGGTGCTGCTGTGTGGAGCCTGGGACCGGAAAGGAAATTAACAAGACAGGGAGCCTTATTAGTTAATACATTCCTCAAACATTTATTGAGCACCTACTATGTGTCAGGCACTGTTCTAGGTACCTGGAATACATCAGGGATCCTTGCTCTCATGAGGTCAGAGATGAGGAATTCCATAGGATGAGTCTTCTGTTCTTAAACCGAGTGTAAGGATAAGGCTGTCGGAGAGGAGGGAGTAGGATTTGGGCATCAGAGCCCCCCAGCTGCTGCTCGTGGGGGTGAGGACACCAGGCCCCTGACTTTGCTCTGGTCTCTCTCCCAGCTCCCTGCCCAGGCCCACAGCCATGGCCATGGCCCAGAAACTCAGCCACCTCCTGCCGAGTCTGCGGCAGGTCATCCAGGAGCCTCAGCTATCTCTGCAGCCAGAGCCTGTCTTCACGGTGGATCGAGCTGAGGTGCCGCCGCTCTTCTGGAAGCCGTACATCTATGCGGGCTACCGGCCGCTGCATCAGACCTGGCGCTTCTATTTCCGCACGCTGTTCCAGCAGCACAACGAGGCCGTGAATGTCTGGACCCACCTGCTGGCGGCCCTGGTACTGCTGCTGCGGCTGGCCCTCTTTGTGGAGACCGTGGACTTCTGGGGAGACCCACACGCCCTGCCCCTCTTCATCATTGTCCTTGCCTCTTTCACCTACCTCTCCTTCAGTGCCTTGGCTCACCTCCTGCAGGCCAAGTCTGAGTTCTGGCATTACAGCTTCTTCTTCCTGGACTATGTGGGGGTGGCCGTGTACCAGTTTGGCAGTGCCTTGGCACACTTCTACTATGCTATCGAGCCCGCCTGGCATGCCCAGGTGCAGGCTGTTTTTCTGCCCATGGCTGCCTTTCTCGCCTGGCTTTCCTGCATTGGCTCCTGCTATAACAAGTACATCCAGAAACCAGGCCTGCTGGGCCGCACATGCCAGGAGGTGCCCTCCGTCCTGGCCTACGCACTGGACATTAGTCCTGTGGTGCATCGTATCTTCGTGTCCTCCGACCCCACCACGGATGATCCAGCTCTTCTCTACCACAAGTGCCAGGTGGTCTTCTTTCTGCTGGCTGCTGCCTTCTTCTCTACCTTCATGCCCGAGCGCTGGTTCCCTGGCAGCTGCCATGTCTTCGGGCAGGGCCACCAACTTTTCCACATCTTCTTGGTGCTGTGCACGCTGGCTCAGCTGGAGGCTGTGGCACTGGACTATGAGGCCCGACGGCCCATCTATGAGCCTCTGCACACGCACTGGCCTCACAACTTTTCTGGCCTCTTCCTGCTCACGGTGGGCAGCAGCATCCTCACTGCATTCCTCCTGAGCCAGCTGGTACAGCGCAAACTTGATCAGAAGACCAAGTGAAGGGGGATGGCATCTGGTAGGGAGGGAGGTATAGTTGGGGGACAGGGGTCTGGGTTTGGCTCCAGGTGGGAACAAGGCCTGGTAAAGTTGTTTGTGTCTGGCCCACAGTGACTCTCTGTGCACGACTCAACTGCCAAGGGCATCACTGGCCAATTCTTGGATTTAGGGATTGGCTAGGAGTTGCTGGGGTCCACTCCTGGGCCTGCCCCAGCTCCTTGCCCAGGGAGAGGGAAAGAGTTAACGGTGTGGGCCACTCCAGCTTGCCCTTCCACTGCCACTCACTGGGGTGAGGCTGGGGGTCAGCTTGGTGAGGATTGGGGCTTCTAGATTGTCTAGGCAGGAGGTGAAACTTAGGCCAGAGTCAGATTTGAGCTGAGCCAGGGGAGGCCTTGGCAACCTACTTCTACTCAGATTTCATTGCTGGATGCGGAAGGGGTAGGCCCAAAATATATACAGGATCTTACTGTCCCTTGAAGCCCAGCCACAAGTGTTGGAGCTGCAGAGAGACCCCAAAGGTAGTAGATTGTGCCAGATACAAATGGGTCCCATCCAGTGCTTCATACTCCTTCAGTCACTATCCCAGACAGTGAGCCCCAGATCTCCTAGCTCTGGCTTCTGTGTCCCACACGGCCTGTTCCCAGCTTCTCTCCTGGTTCCCTTGTTACGGATTCATTTATCCATTCAGTGTTTCCTGGGCCTCTGCTCAGAGGCAGGTCACCACTGGGCCCTGTGGATCAATGCAAGATGACAAAGGCTTTTTTTTTTTTTTTTTTTTTTTTTTTTTTTGAGGAGTTTCGCTCTTGTTGGCTAGGCTGGAGTAAAATGGTGCGATCTCGGCTCACTGCACCTCCGCCTCCCAGGTTCAAGCGATTTTCCTGCCTCAGCCTCCCGAGTAGCTGGGGTTACAGGCATGCACCACCATGCCTGGCTAATTTTCTGTATTTTTAGTAGAGACGGGGTTTCTCCATGTTGGTCAGGCTGGTCTTGAACTCCTGACCTCAGGTGATCTGCCCGTCTCGGCCTCCCAAAGTGCTGGGATTACCGGCATGAGCCACTGCGCCTGGCCGACAAAGGCTTTGATATCAGAATGAACTGTCAAGGGAGGTGCTGGAGAGGGATTAACCTGTGCTGCCTGGGACCCTCAGGGTCTTAGGTTGGGGAGTGTGAATAGGAGTTTGCAGATGGAGAATAGGAAGGGCATTCCAGGCAGAGGGAAACCTGTGCAGAGACCAAGAGGTGTGGAAGGAAAAGTGGGGTTGGGGCTGGGTGGTCTGGATTATGGCCTGGATGCAATAAAGTACTGTGACAGTAGCCACCTCTTTGTTTTTTGTCTCCTGTTTCCGGGAGGGGCCCCTGCTCACATTACTGGAGGTTTTCCGGAGGAAGCTGGGGCCCCTGGGAGTGGACACAGGGTGCAGGGAGCAGTTCTTGTTTTATCTTTGCTGGGGGATGGGGTTGGGGCCTTATATACCATATCTATATATACAAAATTTGTTTGGCAAGGGAGTGGGCGGCAGTTTTATTACTAAAGTTTTATAAGTAGTTAAAATAATGTGTTTAAAATATGATAATCCCACTTTATGATCTGACAAAGACTTTTTTTGTTTGGTTTTTCCTTCAATTAAGGAGGGTTTTTTTGTTTTGTTTTTAGTGGAGGGGGCAGGGGCGTGCACACTCCACCACACATATTGAGCCTCGTCGCATGCGCACCGAAGAAGTATGTTAACTTTTATAATATTGCTTTTTCCATAGTACACAGCAATATATATACAATGAAGGAAAATTGGGAAGATAAGAAAACCCAAATTAATTAGAAATATCACTTCACTGCTGAAATATCATGGGGGACCTTATGAAATACACACACACACACACACACACACACACACACACACACACATAAAATATGTGTATATAAATAAATATTTTGATATAGGCCAGGCATGGTGACTCACGCTTGTAATCCCAGCACTTTGGGAGGCTGAGGCAGGCATATCACCTGAGGGCAGGAAGTTGAGACCAGTCTGGCCAACATGGCGAAAACCCATCTCTACTAAAAATACAAAAATTAGCCAGGCGTGGTGGCACACACCTGTAGTCCCAGCTACTTGGGAGGCTGAGGTGGCAGGATCGCTTGAGCCCAAGAGGTTGAGGCTGCAGTGAGCTGAGACTGTGCCACTGTACCCGAGCCTGGGTGACAAAGCGAGATGGCTCTGTCCACCATGAAGACAGGCTCTGGCTGCAGAGATGGTTGAGGTTCCTGGCTGACCTGCTGCAGACTGGGCAAGAGGTGGCTGAGCTTCTATCCTCCCTCCACCAAAAAAAAAAAATTACAAAATTTTTGGCCGGGCGCGGTGGCTCATGCCTGTAATCCCAGCACTTTGGGAGGCTGAGGCAGGCGTATCACGAGGTCAGGAGTTCGAGACCAGCCTGGCCAATGGTGAAACCCCGTCTCTACTAAAAATACAAAAATTAGCTGGGTGTGGTGGCGTGCGCCTGTACTTCCAGCTACTAGGGAGGCTGAGACAGAAGAACCGCTTGAACCCAGGAGGCGGGGCTGCAGTGAGCCGAGATAGCGCCACTGCACTCCAGCCTGGGCGACAGTGAGACTCCGTCTCAAAAAAAAATTTTTTTTACATATACAATATGTAAACATTACGTATAATGTACATATATTCCATCTATGGAGATTGTGGTTAGGGACGGAAGGATGGGTGGGGGTGCCAACATTTTTGCATTTCCAAGGGGTTTTCTGAATTCACAAAGTACTTTCACAACCTCATTTGATCCTCTTTAAAATCCAAGGCACAGTAAACGGTGAAAGCAGGACTGAAATCTAGTTCCTGACCCCAAATTTTAACCTCTTCAAAATCCTCTCCCATGTGGCTTCGTAGTTACGCTTACATTAAAAAAAAAAAATTACCAAAGTTGTTCGCACACTCGAGTGTCTGGTAACCACTTAGGTCGAGGACCCCTGGTCTGGAGTCGACGGGCCTGATCTCGGCTCAGCCACTTCCTTCTGGGGGTGATCGCGAAGATTCAGCGATGACACGAACAAATTCCTAAGCCCGGGAAATACTGTAAGAAATTTTCAATACAGCAAAAAGAAAATGTACATTTCTGAGGCTGTCGAGAACCGTTCACACAGCAGCTTCCGAATCCGCTCTTGAAAGAGCGGATCAGAAAGAACACGCACTCCTCCGCGCAGGGAAATATGCCGCACGCACTCAAGGGACCGGCCGCGAAAGTTAGTGCGTGGGCGGGGCACAGCGAAGGGGGCCAGGGCCTTGCCGGGGCGGGGCTGGCGCCCGGGGCGGTCGCGACGTAGCCCCGCCCCCAGCGTTGGCGCGAGATCCGAACGTCGGCGGCCGCGGTTCTGGCGTTCCCTGAGGCGCCGGGAGCCTGCGCCGGCGTCCTGCCGGCTTCGTCTCCTCAGCGGCCATGAGGCGGACAGGCCCCGAGGAGGAGGCCTGCGGCGTGTGGCTGGACGCGGCGGCGCTGAAGAGGCGGAAAGTGCAGGTGGGACGCTGGGGGATGAGAGGGCGTTGGGAACCAGGTAGGGCCTGGAGGCGTAAGACGGGAGGAGTTTGGGGGACACCTGGAGATGATGAAAGCGAAGTCGGGGACAGAGAAGGGAACAGCGTTGGGGATTCACAGGCGAGAGGGATTGTGGTCTGAAGAAGGTTGAAAAACGGGGCTTGGGGAGGATGGGAGGGACGGAAGGAAAGAGCGTGCTGTTGGGGGGTCTGGAGGAGCGGTGCGCAGGGAGGGGCGGCGAAGGTTCAGGTGTGGGAGAGGCGGAGGGAAAGTTCGCTCGGAGCAGTTGAACTGACCAGGCTCCCTAGGAGGCCACAGTCCCTGCGAGACGTCCTAGTAGAGGCTGGAGCATTGGGAGATGGATGCGAATGCAAATTGGGGAAATTCTCACCCCGGGGTCTGTTTCCACCCAATTTGCCAAGTTGCAGGCCAACTACCTGCCCAGAACCGGTAACTTTGAGGGGAAAAGTAGAAGCTATGGGAAGGGGAGCTGGCCTCCTATGTACTGAGCAGTCACTGGGTGCCGGATACTGCATTAGATACTGAATATGCGTTATATGTGTCGTCATTCTTGCTGGGAATGAGGAAACTGAGGTTCAGTAACTAACCTAGGCCCGCCTAACTAGAAGGAGCTGGAAATCACATTCAGGTCTGTCACCTAGGCAAGATGCTCTTCAGTCACTGTAAAGAAACAAAAGTGCGACATAATAATCATTCATGTTTATTGAGCATTTTATGCTGGTGCTAAGTGTTTTAGGTATGTTACCTTGTTTGGTACAATTCTATATGGTAGATAGTGTAATGATACCCATTTTACATACGGAAAACAGGCTCAAAACAGACACTAGGGGCAAGATTCTTGCTCTCAGGTTGCTCACAGTCTTATAGGGAAGAAAAGAGGTGTATAAATAATAACAACAATACCTAACCTTTATTGAGTGCTTTCTATGTGTCAGGCATTTTGCCGAGACTTTATACACTTTATCAATGGCAGGTACTCACCAAAATTCAGTAAAGTAGATTTTGTCATTATCCTGGTTTTATAGATAAGAAATTTGATCATTTTATTATTATTATTTATTATTATTATTTTTTGAGATGGAGTCTTGCTCTGTCGCCCAGGCTGGAGTGCAGTGACACAATCTCAGTTCCCTGCAAGCCCCACCTCCGGGGTTCACGCCATTCTCCTGCCTCAGCCTCCTGAGTAGCTGGGACTACAGGCGGCCACCACCACGCCCGGCTAATTTTTTGTATTTTTAGTAGAGACAGGTTTTCACCGTGTTAGCCAGGATGGTCTCGCTCTCCTGACCTCGTGATCTGCCCGCCTCAGCCTCCCAGAGTGCTGGGATTACAGGCGTGAGCCACTGCGCCCGGCATATTATTATTATTGTTATTTTTGAGATGGAGTTTCACTCTTGTTGCTCGTGCTGGAGTGCAGTGGCGCGATCTAAGCTCACTGCAACCTCTGCCTCCCGGGTTCAAGCGATTCTTCCGCCTCAGCCTCCCGAGTAGCTGGGACTACAGGCGCCCGCCACTACGCTCGGCTGATTTTTGTATTTTTAGTAGAGACAGGGTTTCACTATGTTGGCCAGGCTGGTCTTGAACTCCTGACCTCAAGTGATCCGCCCGTCTCGGCCTCCCAAAGTGCTGAGATTACAGGCTTGAGCTACCGTGCCTGGCCGATTGTTTTATTTTTTCAAAAATTATCAAAATGGCCGGGTGCGGTGGCTCACGCCTGTAATCCTAGTACTTTGGGAGGCCGAGGCGGGCGGATCACCTGAGGTCAGGAGTTCGAGACCGGCCTGGCCAACATGGTGAAACCCCGTCTCTCCTATAAAAAATACAAAAATTTGCTGGGCGTGGTGGCAGGTACCTGTAATCCCAGCTACTCGGGAGGCTGAGACAGGAGAATTGCTTGAACCCAGGAGGTGGAGGTTGCAGTGAGCCGAGATCGTGCCACTGCACTCCAGCCTGGGTGACAGAAGACTCAGTCTCAAAAAAAAAAAAAAAAAAATCAAAATGTGCAATAGCTATTTATTACTCCTTGAATTAGGAATAAGCCATTTGTACCCTTTGAATACATTCTTGAATGACATGGGATGCGTGGGAAACTTGTATACCACTTTGATTTGTTAGTTAATTTTGGAGACAGGCCTCAGTCCGTCACCCAGGCTAGAGTGCGGTGGCGTAATCACGACTACCTACAGCCTCAACGCCCCCGGGCTCCAGGTGATCCTCTTGCCTCATCCTCCCGAGTAGCTGGGACTACAGGCATAGTGCCACAAAGCCCAGCTCATTTTTTGTATTTTTTTTTTTTGTAGAGACGGGGTTTCGCTGTGTTACCTAGGCTGGTCTTGAACTCCTGAGCTCAAGTGATCTGCCCACCGTGGCTTCTCAAAGTGCTGGGATTACAGGTGTGAGCCACTGCACCCAGCCACCAGTTTAATTTAGAAAGAGAACAGAAATAGAATTAGGAAGAGTTCAGGAGAGCGAGAAAGGGAATATTCCACAGGGAAGAGGAGAGCCAATATTTGTCTCTCTGTCTATAATTCTGTTTTGTTGTTGTTGTTGTTGTTGTTGTTTTCCGAAATGGAGTCTTGCTCTTGTTGCCCGGGCTGGAGTGCAGTGGTGCGATCTCAGCTCACTGCAACCTCCACCTCCTGGGTTCAAGCAGTTCCCCTGCCTCAGTCTCCAGAGTAGCTGGGATTACAGGCATGCACCACCTTGCCCAGGTGAATTTGTATTTTTAGTAGAGACGGGGTTTCTCCATGTTGGTTAGGCTGGTCTTGAACTCCCAACCTGAGGTGATCCACCTGCCTCGGCCTCCTGGGATTACAGGCGTGAGCCACTACGCCCAGCCTAATCTTGTTTTATTGTTTGTTTTGTTTTTTTTTTTTTGAGATGGAGTCTTGCTCTGTCACCCAGGCTGGAGTGTAGTGGCATGATCTCGGGTCACTGCAGCCTCTGCCTCCCAGATTCAAGCGATTCTCTGCCTCAGCCTCATGAGTAGCTGGGATTACAGGCGTGTGCCACCATACCTGGCTAATTTTTGTATTTTTAGTAGAGACAGGGTTTCACCATGTTGACCAGGCTGGTCTCGAACTCCTGGCCTCAAGTGATCCACCTGCCTCAGCCTCCCAAAGTGCTGGGATTACAGGCATGAGCCACCGTGCCTGGTCTGTCTATAATTCTTATACCCCCAAATCCTGCCTTTTTCCCTGGCAATGTTATGGTGAAAACATTTGTCTTGTTGATGTAGTACATGACAGTTATAGAATCCTCCAGGATCTCTAGGCCCTTAACTTATTCTGATTTCTAGAGGCCTGGACCTTATGACCATACTCACTAACACCATTTCTCCTTCTTGTTACTTGATTCCCAAAGATACTTGTTAAAATCTTTGGTTCCTGACTATTAACTATTACTCTGACTTCCAACCCAGAGAAGAGTACTAAAGATTCCCTTTCACAAGGTGCCTCTTCCTAGAGTGGCTATCAAATAGGCATACAGTCCTTTGAGTTTTAATGTCAGGGATGGATGGGCAGTACCTAGTGTCTGTGTTTTTGAAAACATGCCTCTTCCCCCTTGATCTCTAAACAGAATGGTTTGCTATTTTTGAGAGAATGAGTAGTTTGTAGTCTGGCCAGTAGACAATAGTAGTCTATGTTTGGAGTGAGTTTGCTTCTCTCCTAATTTGAACTACCCATTTGGCCTCGTTACTTAGGCCTTGTATGTATACTAGATTTGCTTTCATTTTGTTTTTATATTATGAAAATAATATATGTTTGTTTAAAAAAAATTAAACAGGACTGTGGCTCGTGCCTGTAATCTCAGCACTTTGGGAAGCTCAGCACTTTGGGAAGCCAGGAATTTGGGACCAGCCTGGGCAATATAATGAGACCCCAACTCCACAAAAAATAAAAAAAGTTTATCATGGGCGGAGGAGTGTGGCAGTTTTAATGTACGTCCACAAATTCTTCAGTACTTTTCCTTCTAAAAGAACTTAATTCCCCTTTCCTTGAGCACAGACAGTATTTAGTGACTCCAATGAATAGAATGTGGTAGGTTATAGTGTTAGAATTCTGAGTCTAAGCCTGGCCAACATGGTGAAACCCCATCTCTACTGAAAATACTAAAATTAGCCAGGCTTGGTGACGGGTGCCTATAATCCCAGCTACTCAGGAGGCTGAGGCAGGAGAATTGCTTGAAGCCAGAAGGTGGAGGTTGCAGTGAGCCAAGGTTGCGCCACTGCACTCCAGACTGGGTGATAGAGTGAGACCCCATCTCAAAAAAAAAAAAAAAAAAAAAGAAAGAATTCTGAATCTAGGTCATAAATGACATTGCAGCTTTAGCTTCATTGTCTCTTTGGGAGAAGCCAGCTGTCATGTTGTGAGGACACTCAAGCAGCTCTGTGGAGAGGTTCATGCAGTGAGGAGCTGAGGCCTTTTGCCAACAGTTGTGTGAGTGAGGGAGTCATCTTGAAATTGGATACCGCACCTCTAGTTGATATTTTGAATGCAACCTCACTAGACTGTGAGACAGACCCACCCATCTAGGCTTAACCCAAATTCTTCATGCACAGAAGTTGTGAGATAATAAATGCCTGGCTGGATTTCAGACTGGTGACCCACTTATACCTCTTATCTCCCCCTTTTTGAACATAATGTCTGTAACAGTTATGCCCGTTCCAAATTGTATGTTAGATGTATGAGGGAAGATAATTTGTCTTTAGTTCACAGGCCTGCAGATCTAAAGGAACTGTATTTAAACTACATTTTTGGACTTCACATGTACCTGTTTTAGATGCTAGTATCCTTGATATTAAGCTAATGCTATAAAGAGATGAGATTTTTGTAGAGTTTTGGGAGGGAGGGAGTATATTTTGCATATGGGAAGAATGTAAGTAATTTGGGCCAGAAGGTGGACTGTGATGGTTTCAAAATATGTCCACACTCTTCCCTTCAAGAGGTGGAGCTTCATTCTCCTGCCTTTATGTTTGGATTGGACTTGGTAACTTGCTATTTATTTATTTATTTGTTTGTTTATTTTTTTGAGATGGAGTCTTACTCTGTTGCCTAGACTGGAGTGCAGTGGCATGATCTTGGCTCACTGCAACCTCCACCTGCTGGGTTGAAGCAGTTCTCCTGCCTCACCTTATGAGTAACTGGGATTACAGGCGTGCACCACTATGCCCGGCTAATTTTTGTATTTTTAGTACAGACGGGGTTTTACCATGTTGGCTAGACTGGTCTCAAACTCCTGACCTCAGGTGATCTACCTGCCTTGGCCTCCCAAAGGGATTACAGGCGTGAGCCACTGCGCCGGGCCGTAACTTGCTTCTAATGAATAGAATATTGCGGGAACTGATGGTGTGTGACTTTTTCAGATTGGGTCATAAATGGCTTTGTGACCTCTTTTGATTGCTCACTCTGGGAAAAGCTAGCTTCCATGTTGCTACATGAAGCCTGTTAACAGCCATGTTAGTGAGCTATCTTGGAAGTGGATCCTTTCAGCCCCAGTTAAGGCTTCAGATGATTGTAGCCTGAGCCAACATCATGAATGCAACCTCATGAGAGACCCTGAGCCAGAACCACCAAGCTAACCACCCTGAGAAGCTGTGTGAGATTAATGTTTTTTGTTTTGTTTTTGTTTGTTTGTTTGTTTTTTGAGACAGAGTTGCTCTGTCACACAGGCTGGGGTGCAGTGGCACGATCTCAGCTCGCTGCAAACTTTGACTCATGGGTTCAGACGATTCTCCTGCCTCACCCTCCTTAGTAGCTGGAATTACAGGCGCCCACCACCACACCTGGCTAATTTTGGTATTTTTAGTAGAGATGAGATTTCACCATGTTGGTCAGGCTGTTCTCAAACTCCTGACCTCAGGTGATCCACCTGCCTCCGCCACCCAAAGTGCTGGGATTACAGGCATGAGCCACCACGCCGGCCGAATGTTTATTGTTTTAAGCTTCTAAGTTTTGTGGTAATTCGTTACAAAGCAATACAACACTAATACAGCTAATATTAAGAAAGATTTTGTGAACAATATTTGGAAACTTTAATACCCACTTTCAATCATGGATATCAACAAGGAAAAAAGATTTGAACAATACTATAAACCAGGTAGACCTAACAGACAAAAATATAGAACAGTCTACCCAACAACAGCAGAATACATAGTCTTCTCCATGACACATGGAACATTCTCCACAAATACTAGGTCACAAAACAAATCTCAATAAATTTAGAAAGATGGAAATCATACAAAGTATATTCTCCATAATGGAATGAAAGTAGAAATCAGTAACAGAAGAAAAAGTAGAAAATCCACAAATAGGTTGAAATTAAACAGCACATTTCTAAATAACCAAGAGTCAAAGAAGAAATCAAAAGGAAAATTATAATAGAAAGTACTTTGAGATAAATGAAAACAAAAATATAATGCACCAAGATTTATGGGATGCAACTAACACTATGCTTAGAGGGATATGTATAGCTGTAAATGCTTTTATTAAAAAGAATCTCGGCCAGGCGCAGTGGCTCACACCTGTAATCCCAACAGTTTGGGAGGCTGAGGTGGGTGGATCACCCGAGGTCAGGAGTTTAAGACCAACCTGGCCAACACGGCGAAACCCTGTCTCTACTAAAAATACCAAAATTAGCTGTGCGTGGTGGCAGGCGCCTGTAATCCCAGCTACTCAGGAGGCTGAGGCAGGAGAACTGCTTGAACCCAGGAGGCGGAGGTTGCAGTGAACTCCAGCCTGGGCAACAAGAGTGAAACTCCTGTCTCAAAAAAAAAAACAACAAAAAAAAAAACCTTAAATAATCTAATCTTCTACCTTAAGAAACTAGAAAAAGAAGAGCAATCTAAACCCATAGTGACCAGAAGGAAGGAAATAATACAATTTAGAGTGAAAATAAATAGTAAAGAAAAACAATCAACATCAAAAGTTGGTTCTTTGCAAAGATCAACAAACTCAACACACCTTTAGCTAGACTGATCAAGAATAAAAGAGAGCACAGTGGCTCACACCTATAATCCCAGCATTTTAGGAGGCTGAGGTGGGAGGATCCCCTGAACCCAGGAGTTCAAGACCAGCCTGGGCAACATAGGGAGACCCTATCTCTACCAAAAAATACAAAAATTAGCCTGATGTGGTGGTACATGCCTGTAGTTCCAGCTACTCAGGAGGCTGAGGTGTAAGGATCACTGAACCCAGGGAGGTTGAGGCTGCACTGAGCGGTGATTGAGCCACTGCACTCCAGCCTGGGTAAGAGAGTGACACCCTGTCTCAATCAGTCAGTCAGCAAGAGGCCAGGTGAGGTGGCTGAAAAAACCCTATCTCTACTAAAAATACAGAAATTAGCCAGTTATGTTGGTGTGTGCCTGTAGTCCCAGCTACTCGGGAGGCTGAGGCAGGAGAATCACTTGAACCCGGGAGACAGGTTGCAGTGAGCCGAGATTGTGCCACTGCATTCCAGCCTGGGCGACAGAGTGAGACTGTCTAAAAAAGAAAATAAAGAGATAAAAATAATTAGAATACTATAAACAACTGTATGCTAACACATTTAGATAACTTAGATGAAATGGACAAATTCCTAGGAAGTCACAGACTACCAAACTTGCCTCAAGAAGAAATAGATAAAAATCAACTGACTGTAAATGTAAGGGTTTACTTCTGGACTTTCAGTTCAATTCCTTTGGTCTATAGACCTATAACGAAGAGATTGAATTAGTAATTTTAAAACTTCCTGCAAAGAAAAGTCCAGGTCCAGATAGTTTCTCTGGTGAATTCTACCAAACATTTAAAGAATTATACCAATCCTTCAGACTCTCTCAAAAAAATAGAATAGAAGAGGAGGGAACACTTTCCAACTCATTTTGAGGCCAGTATTACTCTGATACTAAAACTAGACCAAGATATCACAAGAAAAGGAAATTATGGTCTGGTATCCTTTATGAATACAGATACAAAAATACTCAACAAAATACAAGCAAAACAAATTTAGCAACACATAAAAAGGATTATAAATCATGACCAAGAGGAATTTATCTTAGGAATGCAAGGTTGGTTTAAATTTGAAAACCAATTAATATACCATACTAATAGCATAAAAGACAAAAACCACATAATCATGTCAATAGACACAGAAAAAGCATTTTGACTGACATCATTTTGTGATTAAAACACTCAACAGACCAGGAATAAAAGGGAATTTTCTCAGCCTCACAAAGGGCATCTATGAAAACCCAGTTAACATCATACTTAATGGAAGAAGACTGAATGTTTCCACTCCTAAATCAGCAACAAGACAAAGATCTTGCCACTCTGTTTACCATTGCACTAGAGATTTTATGCAGGGAAATTTAGCAAGAAAAAGAAATAAAAGATACCCAGATTAAAAAGGAAGAAGTAAAATTATCTGTTTGCAGAAAATATGATCTTATGTGTAGAAAATCCTAAGGAATCCACTTAAAAAAATTAGAAAAAATGAGTTCAGCAGTGTGACAGGATACAAAAATCAATTGTACTTCCGTATGGTAGGATTTTATCCAAAAAATGAAACTAAGGAAATAATTTCATTTACAATAGAATCAAATAGAATAAAATACTTAGGCATAAATTTAACAAAACAGTGCAAGACATACACTGGAAACTATAAAACTCATTGAAAGAAATTAAAAATGTAAATAATGGAAAGACATTACATGTTCATTGATCAGAAGACTTAAGATAGGAATATGCCCCAATTGATCTACAGAATCAGTGCAGTCCTTATCAACATCTCAGTTGTCCTTTTTGCAGATACTGACAGTCTGATCCAGAAATTCATGACATCCGAGGGATCTAGAAAAGCCAAAACAAGCTTGAAGAGTAACAAAGTTGGAGGAATCACATGTACTGATTTCAAAATTACTATACAGTTACAGTACTTAAGATGGTTTGATACTGTCATAAAGGTAGACACATTATAGATCAAAGGAATTGAAAGTCCAGAAGTAAACCCTTGTATTTATGGTCAGTTGTTTTGTTGTTGTTGTTGTTGTTGTTTTTAGAATCAGGGTCTCAATTTGTTACCCAGACTGGAGTGCTATGATCACACCCAGAGTGCTGATGTGATCATAGCTTTATTGAGATATGATTCATATACCATAAAATTTGCCCATTTAAGTATGTACCCCCGAGAGATAGGAAAACGTATGTCTGCACAAAAACTTGCACACAAATGTTCTTAGCAGCGTTTCTCATAATAGCCAAAAAGTGGAAACAATCCAAGTAGTCATCAACTGATGAACATCAACTGGTAAACAAAATGGTATATCTAGGGTTGAGTGCAGTGGCTCACGCCTGTAATCCCAGCACTTTGGGAGGCTGAGATGGGGCAGATCACTTGAGGTCAGGAGTTCAAGACCAGCCTGGCCAATATGATGAAACCCCGTCTCTACTAAAAAAATACAAAACTTAGCCAGGCATGGTGGCAGGCACCTGTAATTCCAGCTGCTCAGGAGACTGAGGCAGAAGAATTGCTTGAACCCAGGAGGCAGAGGTTGCAGTGAGCCAAGATTGCGTAGCTGCACTCCAGCCTAGGTGACAGAATAAGACCCTGTCTCAAACAAACAAACAAAATAACACAAAATGGTATATCTATATAATGGAATATTATTTGGCAATAAAAAAGAGTGAAGTATTGATACATGCTACAACATGGATGGACCTCCAAGCATTAGGCTCAGTGAAAGAAGCCAGTCACAAAAGACCAGATATTGTATGACACATAAAAGGCCCAGAATAGGCAAATCTGTAGAAAAGAAAGTAAGTGATTTTCTGGGCCTGGGGTGGGATGGGAATGAGGAATGACTGCTAAGGCTAGAGGGTTTCTTTTGGGGGAAATGAGAACTGTTCTAAAGTTAGATTCGGTGATAATTACACAACTTCATAAGTATACTAAAACTTAACTGTATACTTAAATGGGCAAATTTTATGGTATGTGAATTGTATCTCTATTAATAAAGCTGTTAAAATGAAAAGAAAGACGCTTTGTGGAAGAGTTAGACCTTAAATGAAGGGCCAGATTTGGTTGGAAATGGGAGTGCAGTGGGACATTATGAATAGTGCCACAGAAGCAGGAAGTATAAGGGATGTTTGTGAAACACGAAATAAAAGTTAAGGAGTCTTGAAGACCACCATAATTTTTGACAGCAACTTCAAGTTTGGGGGTCCCCAGAACCATTCTCAGGTTTCATAATTTGCTAGAAGTACTCACAGAAGTCACTGAAAGCTGTTATGGTTACAGTTTATTGCAGTGAGGAGACACAAATGAAAATCAGCCAATGGCAGGGGTATAGAGAGCCAAGTCTGGGAGAATCCCAAGCCTAAATCTTCCGGTGTCCTCCTAGTGAAGAAACAGACAATGCCAACTGCTCTCAGCAGTGATATGTAACAGTACACACAGAGTACTGCCAATCATGGAAGCTTAACTGAGCCTTGATATCCAGAGTTGTTTTGGGGGCTTAGTCACATGCATGTGGTTGACTCACCTTCCTGCTGACTTTAGTTTTCAGCCCTTATAGAGGTCATGCTGTTAATGCATGGCCTGAAGACCCCTCCATAAATCACATTGTTAGCACAGATTATTTGGTGTGGCCCAAAGCTCCCAGGTTAAAAAACAAAACAAAACACTCCTATCAGGTGGGACATTCCAAGGATTTAGAGATTATCTCTCAGGAGCTGCCAGGCCTCTCCTTGCATAAGATTCTTTTTTTTTTTTTTTTTTTTTTTGAGACGGAGTTTCAAAAATTTTTGCCCGGGCTGGAGTGCAATGGCACGATCTCAACTCACTGCGACCTCCGCCTCCTGGGTTCAAGCGATTCTCCTGCCTCAGCCTTTCATGTAGCTGGATTACAGGCGTGCACCACCAACCCAGGCTAATTATTTTTGTAATTTTTGTAGAGACGGGGTCTTACTGTGTTGGGATTACAGGCACGAGCCACCGCACCTGGCCAAGATTCTTTACTACATAGGGAATAATTCAATTTGGCTAAAGTGTAGACTATTCCCTGGAGTTGAAGGTGAGCTTAGGAGGGTAAACTAGTGCTATGTTGTTGGAAATTGATGGAAGGCGTTTGTTGTCATGGGAGCTATCTCTTAAGAAGATTAACCCATTAGTGGTTATTTGAGAGTGTGTAGTATCCTGACAGGTAGGCTAGAGGAATTTGGAGGATACTGCTGAAGTTTAGGTAAGAAATAACAAGGGCTTAGTCCAGGATGGCAGAAGTTGAAAGTTGTTTATTTTTAGTTGTTTATTTTATTTTATTTTTGAGACAGGGTCTCACTCTGTCACCCAGGCTAGAGTGCGGTGGCGTGATCTTGGCTCACTGCAACCTCTGCCTCCCGGGCTCAATCGATTCTCTCACCTCAGCCTCCCAAGTAGCAGGGACCACAGGCATGCGCCACTGTACCTGGCTAATTTTTTTGTATTTTTGGTAGACTGGGTTTCACCATGTGGCCAGGCTGGTTTTGAACTCCTGAGCTCAAGTGATGTGCCTCCCAAAGTGCTGGGATTACAGGTGTGAGCCACTGTGTCTGGCCAGTTGTTTATTTTTATTTTGGTTTATTAGTCTCTCTCTATATAAAAGTATAGGTACGCTCAAGAAGGACCTAAATAGGCTTAGTAGGGGATTGCTTAAATGTTTTTTAAGGTCGGGTGTGGTGGTTTATGCCTGTAATCCCAGCACTTTTGGAGGCTGAGGTGGGCAGATCACTTGAGGTCAGGAGTTTAAGACCAGCCTGGCCAACATGGTAAAACCTCATCTCTACTAAAAATACAAAAAAAATTTAGCTGGCATCGTGGCGCATGCCTGTAATCCCAGCTACACGGGAGGCTGAGGCAGCAGAATCACTTGAACCTAGGAAGCAGAGGTTGTGGTGAGCCAATATCGCGCTACTGCAGTCCAGCCTCGGTGACAGAGTGAGACTCCGTCTCAAAAAAAAACAAAACAAAAAAAACACAACTGTTTTTTAAGCTGTAATTTTGGTCCAGTTATTTGGACCAGCTCTCAGTGTCTTTTAAAGCCCTTTTGCATCTTCACATATGATTACATTTAGCAGCTGGAAATTGGTAGCTGAGTAGGTAAAGGACAGAGAAAAATAAAAATAGAAAATGTGACTTGAAATAGTATTTGGAAATTGGGAGAATAGGTATATAGCTGCTGATTGTATCCATATACTACAATACTTCTGTTGAAGTTAACACTTTCCAGGGGGATTCAGGATTTGCTCCAGGGTGAGGATTCTTCCTCCACTGCATTTCAGTTGAGGCACAATGGTCGTCTTTCTTTTATAGGACTGTCATCTCTGTGACCGAGAGAGCCATATGCAGCCACTGCTATAATGGAAGTAGTTAAAATAAGAGAAGATTTAAACAGATCTTCAATAAGTAGTCCTTATTAGAGCAAAACTGAGAGTAAATGTACAATGACCTCTGATATGCATGCATTATGGCCTTTAAGTGAAAAAAATCTCATTAGCAGGGAGTACCCTTTTTTGAGACGGAGTCTCGCTTAGCTGCCCAGGCTGGAGTGCAGTGGTGCGATCTCACCGCAACCACTGTCTCCCAGGTTCAAGCAATTCTCCCGTCTCAGCCTCCTGAGTAGCTTGGATTAGAGGCATCTGCCATCATGCCTGGTTAATTTTTGTATTTTAGTAGAGACAGGGTTTCACCACATTGGCCAGGCTGGTCTTGAACTCCTGACCACAGGTGATCTGCTCGCCTTGGCTTCCCAAAGTGCTAGGATTACAGGTGTGAGCCACCACACCTGGCTTTTTTTTTTTTTTTTTTTTTTTTTTGAGATGGAGTCTCACTCTGTTGCCCGCTGGAGTGCAGTGGCCCAATCTCTGCTCACTGAAGCCTCCACCTCCTGAGTTCAAGTGATTCTCCTGCCTCAGCCTCCCAAGTAGCTGGGACTACAGGTGCACGCCACCATGCCTGGCTAATTTTTGTGTTTTTAGTAGAGATGAGGTTTCACTATGTTGGCCAGGCTGATCTCGAACTCCTACCTCAAGTGATCTGCCTGCCTTGACCTCCCAAAGTGCTGGGATTACAGGCGTGAGCCGCCGCACCCGGCCTGGGAGCACCCTTTTATGAGACTTAGTAATGCCAGTGGATGTAGACATATCAGGTCTCCAATTAGGAATTGTGATAGAAGAAATTTGCTTTTCTCCTTTCCCCGTTGAATTTTCATGAGGTTTAGATGAAAAACCAATACAGAGTGGTGCTCGAGAAGATTCCTGCAATAAATTTGTGTTGTTAGATTACTTTGGGACGGAAAACTTCATAGTTCTCTGTGGGTGTACGCTTCCATCCCATCTGTGTTCTGGACCTTATCTGTGACATCAATTATAGTGACAGGAGCTCATCTTAGCTTGGATCACAGCATTAGAAAAGCCTTAGTGTTTTCTGACAGCACTATTGCTGTTGTGCTGAAAATGTAATGAGTAGCTATAAATAAAATGAAAACGGGAAATCCTTCCTGCATATCTACCTTCCTAAAGTATTTATTGAATTGAGTACCTATTATGTGTATTAAGCTATATTAAGTTCTGTGCAGGATAGGAAAAAGGTATGTGAATCACATGCTGATGTTGGGATTTTGTAGGATGATAAGTTTTCAGACACCAAGTGATAAATGGCCAGTTCAGAAGAGGAAGAGACCACACATGGCTGGGGGAATCAGGAATGCTTGGTGGTAAGCTGAAGAGTATGTTTTGGAGCTGGGTGTAAAAAATGCCTTTCTCTGTGAGGCATACAAATGAGGAGATTGGAGGCCATCAGCAGGGACTGACATGTAGTTCAGTATTATGTTATGGGATGCATGGAGGGCTTTTGGTAGTAGAGAAAAAGGTAAACTGGAATCATCAATGTGTGCAGTGTGAGTCTACACTTTATGCTACAGGTAATAGAGAAACTGTTGACAGATTTTGAGCAAGATGACGTGATCACAGCTGTACTTTGAGATTAATCTAGAAGTTATGTGGGGGATGAATTGAAATAGGTGGTGAATGGAGGCCTGACCAGCTAAGAGACTATTGTCATAGTTTAGGGCTAGGCAAGAGTTTATGAGATCCTAAACTAAGGTAGTGTGTTTTCAGTTCTGCAGAGAACTAAGAGAGGTTTGAAGTTGAAGCAAGTTTTGAATGAATACTTGGTTACTAATTCAACAGAGCTAACTTAAGTTGTTGGAGATGTATAATGATGAGACCCTGATAGCTTTTCTTGGTAACACTTCTTAAACAATCCTCCTTAGGGCATGCTTATGAGGTAGCGTCATCCTTTCAACCTGACTCAGTGAGGCATGACAGTGCTGACTAGAAAGGTTTTCATCCTAAATGTCATCAAATTAATGCTGGGAAAGACTAAAAGGAAAGAGGGACTTGGTGATGATGCTCTCAGTGACTCTAAAAGTGGAGGAGAATGAGTAGGGGCCCTGGGAAGCATAAAGGAAGAAGGAGTGTGGCAAAAGGAATAATACTTTCATGTGTGTCAATGGTGGAACATGAGACTTCATATACAAATTTAAGACCAGAGTGACCATTATGAAAAAAGGAAGTTACATCAAATTATGTACTAGAGTTGAAGGTCATAGTGAATCATGAAAAAAAAAAAGGAATTATATTTGTTTGAAGCAAAACTTTAAGATAAACTTATAGATAAATTATCGGAAGAGTTAAAAGATAAAATAAGAGCTAAACTTAATTTAAGTGCTGTGGAACCATGAGAACATTTTCTAATAGTGAGAGGAGTTATGTATATGATCCCAGCTCTTTTTTGATAATAGATTTGTTGAGCATAAGAAAGGGTCACACTTGGCCGGGCACAATGGCTCACACCTGTAATCCCAGCACTTTGGGAGGCCGAGGCAGGTGGATCATGAGGTCAAGAGACCATTCTGGCCAACATGGTGAAACCTCGTCTCTACTAAAAACACAAAAATTAGCCGGGCATGGTGGTGCACACCTATAATCCCAGCTACTCAGGAGGCTGAGGCAGGAGAATCGCTTGAACCCGGGAGGTGGAGGTTGCAGTGAGCCGAGATTGCGCCACTGCACTCCAGCCTGGGCAACAAGAGCGCAACTGTCTACATAAATAAATAAATAAAACAATGAAACTTGCTGCCTCGATGACTCTTCCTTTCATGGAAGATTTCTCTGCAGCATATGTTGCTGTTTGATAGCATTTTACCCACAAAACTCCTTTCAAAATTGGAGTTAATCCTCTCAAACCCTGCCTTTGCTTTCTCAATTAAGTTTATGTAATATTCTAAATTTTTTGTTGTCTTTTCAACAATGTTCACGGCATCCTCACCAGGAGTAGACTCCATTGCAAGAAGCCACTTTTTTTTTTGCTTATCTATTAGACGCAATTTCTCATCCATTAAAATTTTTATTGGGAGAGTGTATCAATTCAGTCACATCTTCAGGGTCCACTTTTAATTCTAGTTCTCTTGCTATTTCCATCACATTTACAATTACTTCCTTCACTGAACTCTTAAATACTGCAAAGTCATCCACGAGAGCTGGAATCAAATTCTTCTAAATTTCTATTCGTGTTATTTTGACCTCCTCCCATGAATCATGAATCCCTTTTTTTTTTTTTTTTTTTTTTTTTTTTTCAAACAGACAGGAGCTCACTATTTTGCCCAGGCTGATCTCAAACTCCTGAGCTTAAGTGATCCTTTAGTCTCAGTCTCCTGAGTAACTGAGATTATAAGGCAGCACCACCATGGCCAGATAATCACGAATGTTCTTACTGACATCTAGAATGGTGAATCCTTTTCAGAAGATTTTCAATTTACTTTGCCCAGATCCATCACAGGATTTATCTGTGGCACCTGTGGCCTTATGAAATGTAGTTCTTAAATAGTAAGACATAGAAATTGAAATTACTCTTTGATCCATGGGCTACAGAATGAATATTGTGTTAACAGGCATGAAAACATTAATCTTCTTGTACATCTCCATCAAGCTCTTGAGTGGCTAGGAACATTATCAATGAGCAGTAAAATATATATATATATATATTTTTTTTTTTTTTGAGATGGGGTCTCTGTCACCCTGGCTGGAGTGCTGTGGCATGATCATGGCTCACTACACTCCAGCCTGGGCTCAAGAGATCCTCCCACTTTGGCCTCCCAAGTAGCTGGGACTACAGGTGCATGTCACCACACCTTGCTAATTTTTAAATTTTTTGTAGAGACGGAGTCTCACCATGTTGCCCAGGCTGGTCTCAAACTCCTAGGCTCAAGCAATCTGCCTGCCTCAGCCTCCCAAAATTCTGGGATTACAGGTGTGAGCCACTGTGCCCAGCTAATGAACAGTAATATTTTGAAAATAATCTTTCTAAGCAGTAGAAAGTCAAGAGTGGGCTTGAAATATTCAGTAAACCATGCTATAAATAGATGTGCTGTCATCCAGGCTTTGTTGTTCCATTTATAGACCACAGGCAGAGTAGATATAGCATAATTCTTAAGGCCTAAGGATTTTCAGAATATTAGGTGAGCCTTGGCTTTAAATCACTAGCTGCATTAGCCCCTAACAAGAGAGTCATCCTGTCCTTTGATGCTTTGGAGCCAGGCATTGACTTCTCTGTAGCTACGGAAGTCCGAGATGGCATCTTCTTCCTATGTAAGACTATTTCGTCTACAGTGACAATCTGTTGTTTTGTGTAGCCACCTTCATCAGTGATCTTAGCTAGATCTTCTGGATAACTTATTGCAGCTTCTGCATCAGCACTCGCTGCTTCACCTGTACTTTTTATGTTATAGGGACAGTTTTTTTCCTTCAACCTCATGAACCAGCCTCTGCTAGCTTCAAACTTTTCTTCTGTGGCGTTCCTCACCTCTCTCAGCTTGCATAGAATTGAATTCAAGTTAAAGCCTTGCTCTCTGAATTAGGCTTTGACTTAAGCGAATGTTGTGGCTACTTTGATCATTTATCCAGACCACTCAAACTTTCTTCATATCAGCAATAAGGCTGTTTTGCTTTCTTATTTGTGTTTTCACTGGAGTGGCACTTATAATTTCCTTCAAGAACTTTTCCTTTGCATTTACAACTTGGCTGTTTGATGCAAAAGGCTCAGCTTTTGGCCTCTTGGGGCATGTCTTCCTCACTTAAGCATGATCATTTCTAGCTTTTGATTTAAAGTGAGAGACCTATGACTTCTCCTTTCACTTGAACACTTAGAGGCCATTATAGAGTTCTTCATTGGCCTAATTTCAGTATTAAATAGGGCAGCCCAAGGAGAGGGAGAGAGTTGAGGCAGTGGCCAGTGAGTGGAACAGTCAAAACATGCACAACATTTATTGATGAAGTTTGCCATCATATAGAGATGTGGTTCATGGTGCCCCAAAACAATTACAATAGTAACATTAAAGATCACTGATTGGCCAGGCGCAGTGGCTCACGCCTGTAATCTCAGCACTTTGGGAGGCCGAGGCGGGCGGATCACGAGGTCAGGAGATCGAGACCATCCTGGCCAACACAGTGAAACCCCGTCTCTACTAAAAATACAAAAAAATTAGCCGGGCGTGGTGGCCAGCACCTGTAGTCCCAGCTACTCGGGAGGCTGAGGCAGGAGAATGGCGTGAACCCAGGAGGCAGAGGTTGCAGTGAGCCGAGATCGTGCCACTGCACTCCAGCCTGGGTGACAGCGAGACTCCATCTAAAAAAAAAAAAAAATCACTGATCACAGATACAATAATGAAAAAGTTTGGAATACTGCAAGAAGTACCAAAATGGGACACAGACATGAACTGAGCACATGCTGTTGGAAAATGGCACTGACGGACTTGCTCAACACAGGCTTGCCACAAACCTTCAATTTGTAAAAACAAAAACAAAAACACATCTTCAAAGTGTAAAGCAAGGTGCAATAAAATAAGGTATGTCTATACTGTATAAAATACAAACAGCCGCCTTTATTTTGAGGTAGGGATAATCAGCTGAAGGACTTTGTACCTGGGATCTTTCTCAGTTCCAAATAACCTTTTCTCACACAGTCATAACAGTCCACTGAGATAGAGGTAGATCCTTGAAGCCATGGGTCTTCTAAGAGAGCTATAACTGGGACAGTATCAGTTCTGACCGCACTCTGACCTACGGAAGGTACATCCTTCAGCTCCTGCCAACTTGGCAAAAAGCTTTATTCCCAGATGTTTTGCTAATTGAGGTCTTAGTGTTTTCTGATAATCTGTAGTTTTCTGTAAAACTTCTTTATAGGACTTAGCATACTTGTAGTAATTTAAATAACTATTTATTAGTCTATTATTCTCTCTTAAGCTATAAACTTTACTGGAGCAGAAAGTCTATTTTGTTCATCGCTATCTTCCCAGTCCTAGCATATAGGTACTCAAATATTTGTTGGCATACTAACCGCATTATTTTACATATCTAGGATGTGGCTCCTATAAAATTTAGAGAGCCATGTGTCAGCTTGGGTATCCTCAAATGTATTGAGTTGGTCCCAAGAGTGAGCACCTCAAGAGGGCAAGGCAGAAGTGCATGGCATTTTTATGACTTAGTTTTGGAAATCATGTATGGTGTTTGTTACTTCTGTCATACCTTATTGTTCAAAGTAGTCATAAAGTACTTTCCAAGTTCAAGGTGAGGGAATAAGGACTTCATAACACTTGATGGGAAGAGTGTCATAGTCACATAAGAAGAACATGTGAAATGGGAGATCTCGTATTGGCTATCTTTGAAAAAGAATGTTACAGTTGTTTATAATTTTCACAAAATTTGGAAAACTTTTTGGCCCTTATTTCTTCAAACATATTTTCTGTCCCCCTCCACATTGTTTTTTTGAGACTAATTATATGTATGCTTTATATCTCACTAAGACTTTGCTTCTTCCTTTTCAGTTATTTTTTTCTCTCTGCTTCATTTTGTATAGTTTGTGTTACTATTGTCTTCAGGTTCACTGTTATTTTCTTCTGTAGTCTCCAATCTGTCGTTAAGCTCATCTGTTGAATTTTTTTTTATATCTTCTATTTTCTCACCTTATTATGTTCATATTTTCCTTCAAATCCTTGCGCATATTTATTCCAACTATTTTAAGTTAACTGTTAACTTGTCTGCTAATTCTCTTATCTATCACATTTCTGGGTCTGTTTCTATTAACAGATTCACCCCCACCCCAATTACAGTATTTTTCTGCTTCACATATCTAGTAATTTTTTATTGCATGCTAGACATTACAAGTGCTACATTAAGTATCTGGATATTGTTGTCTTTAAAGAATATTGGCCAGGCGTGGTGGGTCACACCTGTAATCCCAACACTTCGGGAGGCCAGGTGGGCAGATCACCTGAGGTCAGGAGTTCGAGACCAGCTTGGCCAACATGGTGAAACCTCATCTCTACTAAAAATACAAAAATTAGCCAGGCATGGTGGCAGGCACCTGTTGTAATCCCAGCTGCTCAGGAGGCTGAGGTAGGAGAATCGCTTGAACCCGGGAGGCAGAGGTTGCAGTGAGCTGAGATTGTGCCATTGTACTCCAGCCTGGGCAACAAGAGTGAGACTTCGTCTCAAAAAAAAAAAGAATATTGAAAATTGTTTTGGCAGGTAGTTACTTGCTAGTCAGCTTGATACTTTCAAAGCTTGCTTTTAAGCTTTGTTAAGGCAAGTGTTTGGAATAGTTTTTGCTCTAGGGCTAGTTTAGCTCTACTACTAAAGGATGATTCTCCTTAGAGCTCTAATGAATGTCCCTGGTATTCAAGATCATCCTATCCAGATAGTGGGAACGCAGATGTCCCCCAGCCTGTGTGAGCTCTGGGAATTGCTCAGCTTGCAATTCCAGTTTGCAGTTTCATTGCCTGGCTTTGTGGGGTTTCACCTAATACATGTGTAGGTTAGTATTCAGTAATGGACTAAAGGGATCCCTATGCAGAGGTCTCCCTTCTGGAGGTCTTTCTCTGCACTGCAAATCTCAGCCACCTCAGTTTCCACAAATTCCAATCTCAGTCTACTCAATTCCTGAAGAAAGATACATTGTGGTCTGCAAAGCACTTCTGGGCAGAAAGCTGGAATGATCACAGGGCTCACCTTATTTGTTTCCCTTTTCTCAAGGATCACAATTCTTTACTGCCTGTTGTCTGCTGTTTATATCAATTTTTTCATGTATCTTTGATCCAGTTTTCTAGTTGTATGTGGTGGAAGAGAAGATTCTGTACCAGCAACACAACATGTTGAAGTATGAATTTACCCCCATGATTTCTTTCTTTTTTTAACCACTTAAAGTACAACTTAGTTTCCAAATGTAAAAATGAAGTCAACTTTGAGTTAGAATAAATAACTCGGCTTCAAGATTCAGGCCTACCTCTAACTTGCTGCATGAATAGTGGCAAATCTTACTTGTTTTTTGGCAGACACAGCAAAATTGAATTGAATATAATCCTATTTGCCCTACTTCTCAGGCATTCTTTAACAAGCAAATGGAAATAAAAACAAATCACATTAAATAAGGATGAGGTTATATTTATAGTTAGTTGACAACTCACTTTTCAAACCTCTCTTGCCTATCTTCCAGTTCCATTCTCTAAAGAATAAAAGCGCCTGAGTTAAAAGTGTAGTGAGACTGGTGCTGTTCCACTGCTCCTCCTCTTAATATTAGCCAACTGCTACTGAATGTTTTCTATGTGCCGGGAACTGTGTAAGCCTTTTATGTGAATAAATTTACTAAATTTTCTTTTTTCCTTTTTTTTTTTTGAAACGGAGTCTTGCTCTGTCGCCCAGGCTGGAGTGCAGTGGCACAATCTCGGCTCATTGCAACCTCCGCCTCCCTGGTTAAAGCGATTCTTCTGCCTCAGCCTCCCAAGTAGCTGGGGCTACAGGCGCTTGCCACCACGCCTGGCTAATTTTTGTATTTTTAGTAGAGACAGGGTTTCACCATATTGGCCAGGCTGGTCTTGAACTCCTGACCTCGTGATCCACCCGCCTCGGCCTCCCAAAGTGTTGGGATTACAGGTGTGAGCCACCACGCCTGGCCTTACTAAATTTTCATAACTGCCATATGGATAGGTACTATTATTGTCATTTGACACCTAAGAATGAGATTAAGCAACTTGGAGAAGGTCACATAGCAAAGTGGCAGTGGCAGAACTAGGACTGATTTTTTTTTTTTTTTGTATTTTTAGTAGAGACGGGGTTTCGCCATGTTGGTCAGGCTAGTCTCGAACTCCTGACCTCCTTATCTGCCCGCCTCAGCCTCCCAAAGTGCTGGGATTACAGGCGTGAGCCACCGCGCCCGGCCAAGGACTGATTCTTGAGCCATGCTCTTAACCACCACTATGTGACTACTTTAAAACTACTGAAAATGCATCAACTGCTGCTGTAGAATCATTAATTATCCTTAAATATAAAAGAGCATCATCTCTGCCATCCTGTTAACAAATCCTGTTTGTTTAGTCAGCCTGATTTCCATGGGGAAGCAGAAAGATTGGGCTATCATTGGAATATGTGATTCCTGAGAAAAACACCGTTACAATGGCTGGAAATGGAAGATGATGTCCAGCACCAACTACCTTGAGAATAGGCTATAAGTGGAGTACAGAGGATCTAGTGTGGTTCTCAGAGGATCACTGGTGTGTACTGAATCTCTACTGTATGTCTTTTAATATTAATAGGCTCATTATTCTTTTTTCTCTCCTTTCTCAGACACATTTAATCAAACCAGGCACCAAAATGCTAACACTCCTTCCTGGAGAAAGAAAGGCTAATATTTATTTTACTCAAAGAAGAGCTCCATCTACAGGCATTCACCAGAGAAGCATTGCTTCCTTCTTCACCTTGCAGCCAGGTATGGTGACCCATATGGGAATACTTCATTATCCAGAGCAAAAAAGGAGTGTGTTCATTTGTCCATGTTAGACCATTTATGAGAAATGGTGAAACCAGTGCATTGTGTTAAACTTAGCCTGTTAGAAGAGGTTATAAAACATAAGTTGTTGCCTTTTGAAAAGCAATATATGTGTACTTTTACAAACATACTTTTCTGGTTCTGTTTTGCTCAGCTTAATATTAAATATTTGTATTTGCTGACAGAGCAGTCAGGAAGGGTGTACTTGGGAGTTGGAGGTGCACTGGGGAGTTGCCCTGCCATTAGTTAGGTGGTATATATCTTGGGTTGGCCACAGTGGGTACTCTGTCTAAGGTTAATTAATAATTGATACTTTTGTGTGACGCTTCTCAAATTAGTGAAAGGTTCAAAGATGCTTTTTCTTAGCCTCACATAAAGTTGGCTTATGTCTCTTCCTTTGGCTGTTCTTTGCTTCCAGGTCCCTGTTCAGGGGAGCAGCTGACTCAGAGCAGGCTGGGCCTTAAACAGCAGGGTTCCTGCCACTTGGAGGGTGTTGGGAAGAGTGCTCTAATGCCGGGTGTGATTCTCAGGATTGCTTTGCCTAAACCTTCAAAATGCCCTCTCCCTCCTCCAAACAAAAACGTACACTCTTTTGCTTTATGTAAGGGCAGATTTAAAAAAAACAAACAAAAAACCCACTTTTTCCACTTACAAATTCTGGTGTATTTTATAGTCTATATTGAATGCTAAGGAAAAGTTGAGAATTCTCACAAAACCTAGTTTCTGCAGTATAATTCTTATTGTAGAAGGAAAGAGGAAATCAGTTATTCTGCTTTGTTTTTATAATTAGATCTTGGAACAATTTGAGCCAAGTTGGGAATTCCATGTCCTCCATCCTTATCTTAAGGCAGAACAGAATCCACTCTATGCCTGATAAAATTAACAGGCTGGACACTAGTAGTTGTTTCACTATTCTACCTACTGATTGACTTAGCATCCTAATTGTGTCTTCACTCCCTTTCCAATGAAATGCCTGGGGAGTGGAGGACCCACGTTTTTCACACTGTCACCAGAAGGTTTCTCAGAGTTGGATAGTTAATGTCATCTTTAAGACCTTACAAAACTAGTATGTGTTTAGCATGTTTCTTTAAGGATAATGTCTAGGAATGTATATTTGACCAGGATCACCATTTAGTAAAAAACCACATTAAATAAAAAACAAAAGCAAAACTGATGTGCCGTATGTTAAACAAACCTACAAATGAAAACTCAGCTGGTAAAGTAGGCTATGGTCTGATCGTATGCGATGTTTGACTTTATTAGGTAGGTGATGGGAAGTATCCATGTATTTGAGTAGGGAATATAAGATCTGATGTTTTAGAGTTTATTCATGATAGACTGGCAAGATTGAAAACAGGAAGATTGGCTACAAAGTTATGTGAAGAGTCTTAAGACTCCTGCACTAGGTAGTAATAGTAGCTGATACTGATTTCAGAAAAAGCCAACTGAATCCTGCTTAGGGCAGTTTTTCTGCAGAATAATATTTGTTCATTCCTGTTTTATTAGGAAAGACAAATGGCAGTGACCAGAAGAGTGTTTCATCTCATACAGAAAGTCAGATCAACAAAGAGTCCAAGAAAAATGCGACCCAGCTAGACCATTTGATCCCAGGCTTAGCACACGATTGCATGGCATCCCCTTTAGCCACTTCAACCACTGCAGACATCCAGGAAGCTGGACTCTCTCCTCAGTCCCTCCAGACTTCTGGCCACCACAGAATGAAAACCCCATTTTCAACTGAGCTATCTTTGCTCCAGCCTGATACTCCAGACTGTGCTGGAGATAGTCATACCCCACTGGCTTTTTCCTTCACCGAGGACTTGGAAAGTTCTTGTTTGCTAGACCGAAAGGAAGAAAAAGGGGATTCTGCCAGGAAATGGGAATGGCTTCATGAGTCTAAGAAGAACTATCAGAGTATGGAGAAACACACCAAACTACCTGGGGACAAATGCTGTCAGCCCTTAGGCAAGACTAAATTGGAAAGAAAGGTGTCTGCCAAAGAAAACAGGCAGGCCCCTGTCCTCCTTCAAACATACAGGGAATCCTGGAATGGAGAAAACATAGAATCAGTGAAACAAAGCCGTAGTCCAGTTTCTGTGTTTTCCTGGGACAATGAAAAGAATGACAAGGACTCCTGGAGTCAACTTTTCACTGAAGATTCTCAAGGCCAGCGGGTCATTGCCCACAACACTAGAGCTCCTTTTCAAGATGTAACCAATAACTGGAATTGGGACTTAGGGCCGTTTCCTAACAGTCCTTGGGCTCAGTGCCAGGAGGATGGGCCAACTCAAAATCTGAAGCCTGATTTGCTCTTTACCCAGGACTCTGAAGGTAATCAAGTTATCAGACACCAATTCTAAATGTTTGAAGCTTTGTTTCTAAAAGTACCTTGAAATGATAGAGATGTAGGAAAATATAGTTGTGGGTGGAGAGAGGAGTGAGTTTGTTTAGGTGGGAAGGTGGCATGGGATGAAGTTGTCATTACTGAGCATCTTCTCTGTGTAAATAAAGGGCAGTACCATTGTTAAGACAGTGGGATTGGCATCATGGCTTTCCCTCAGGAAGGTGGTGGCTGGTAAATTCCCTGAATGAGTCTATGATGAACACTGAGGCAGCACAGTGGGTATTTATCTCTATGAAAGTGCCTTTTACTCAGCCTGCACAGAGCCATCTCTTTGCCCTTCCAGATGTCTGACTGGGACCTTGCTTATGGATGTGTTTTTTTTTTTTTTTTTTTGAGATGGAGTCTCGCTCTGTTGCCAGGCTGGAGTGCAGTGGTGCGACCTCAGCTCACTGCACCCTCTGTCTCCCGGATTCAAGCGATTCTCCTGCCTCAGCCTCCCGAATAGCAGGGACTACAGGCATGCGCCACCACGCCCAGCTAATTTTTTTTGGATTTTTAGTAGAGACGAGGTTTCACCATATTAGCCAGGATGGTCTCCATCTCCTGACCTCCTGATCCGCCCACCTCAGCCTCCCAAAGTGCTGAGATTACAGGCATAAGCCACCGCGCCCAGCCAGATGTGTGAGCTTTTAATCTCTGGCTGATCTTAACCCACATCAGCCTAAGCTTGGGATGATTACTCTTGACCCTTTTTTTTCAGTGATTAGCAAATCTCCCCACAACCCAGGTGTGGAGAGAAGAGAGGTAGAATGGTGCTAGTTTCCTATTTTATTTTTGTGGTAACTGTACAGCACTTTAAAGTTATATACTCTATGTTTAAATATCTCCCTTAAAAAGCCTGAGCTGTACAACAATCTGGATGTGACTCTGTTACCCTTTTCCCACAAGATAGGAGGGAATCCCCTTTGTAAAACTATGAATCCAAATAAATGTTTACAAAGTGGCTCTTGTGATAATTGGTAATTAAACCATTACCAATTTTATTTTTGAAAAGGCAACACTGTAATAGTATATGCTGTCATTGCCCTGAGCCTGATCTGAACCAGAGTCTAGTTTGACCTGTCTTCTACCCAAGGCATTATTCCTTGTTGTTGATGTGGTATCTAAGAGGCTTAAACAACCTCTAAGGGACAAACTTGCAAGGTTATAAGAGAACTGCTTCTTTTTTTTTTTTTAACTTAAATTTTATTTTTTTGAGACACGGTCTCGCTCTCTTGCCCAGGCTGGAGTGTGGTGGCATGAACACGGTTCACTGCAGCCTGGACCTCCTGGGCGCAAGTGATTCTCCCACCTCAGCCTCCCGAGTAGCTGAACTATAGGCACATGCCACCATGCCCAGCTAATTATTTTTAAAATATTTTGTAGAGATGAGGTCTTGCTTTGTTGCCCAGGCTGATCTTGAACTCCCAAAGTGCTGTGATTAGAGGTGTGAGCCACTGTGCCTGGCCTAATTTAAATGTTAAATTCTACTTTTATCGTGTATGTCATCTCTCCAGTCATTTTCCTGGAAGACCTGCTTTTAAGAATGTATGGGGCTTAGTGCGGTGGCTCATGTCTGTAATCTCAACGCTCTGGGAGGCTGAGGTGGGAGGTTTGCTTGAGACCAGGAGTTTAAGACCAGCCTGGGCAACATAGCAAGACCCCATCGCTACAAAAAAATTTAAAAATTTCCTGGGTGTGGTGGTGCATACCTGTAGTCCCAGCTACTCAGGAGGCTAAGGTGGGAGGCTCACTTGAGCCCAGGAGTTTGGAGGCTGCAGTTAGCTAATGATCCCACCACTGCACTCCGGCATGACAGAGCTAGATACTGTTTCTAAAAAAAAGAAAAAGAGTATAGGGCAAAATCTCTACAGAAAGGGGGAAGAAACCCCCTAGAAGGGCAGGACCTTATAAGGAAAGAGGAGAAGCCAGTAGCCTGTTTAAGTTCATACACCTTAAAATTAACAATAATCCTATGCCCCTGAAGGATACTGGGTAATCGCAACTCAAGAGATGGACACAGCAAATGCATTCTCTCTCCAAGTCCTTCCTTTAATGTCAGGTAGTGCTTCAACCCAAACACAAGCAGTATACATACCATAGAGAAAGGGACCTGAGGGCATCTGAGTCATGCATGGTGTGGTACATACAAACCTTGGCCCAGCCCAAAGGAGCAGTCAAGGGCCTGGAAGAAAGATGGTTTGCTCTTTCCCCCTCCTCCTCTCTCTTTCCTACCGGGCTTAAAGTCCGTGGAAGAGAAAGTTTTTAATCAGTGGAACTGATAAGGCCTCAGGGCCGTGGAGGGTAGATTTGGTTGTTCAGTAATATAAAATGTGTTTAAGAAAAAAAACAGCCCAGGCTTCCCAGCAGTAGCCCATGTGTTGGCTGGTTCAGCAGCCTGACCTCTACATCTAGACAAGGAAGTGAGGAGGGTGATTGCTGGGCATTGGTGTAGGTTTATGACGGAGCAGCATAAGATTTTCCGTGCCCTGTGAACATGTATACAAACATTCATAGCCCCTTCCCCTCAGCCCTGCTCTGCTGCAAGGAAGCTGCTGAGTGAGTGACAGCTGGGCACAAAGTGTCTTGTGAGACCAGCTATAGGGTCTAATGCAGTGAAGTCAGTCATTTAGGACCTATTTTCACACAGGGGCAAGGAAAAACCAGAAACAACTTCTCTCTTACCCTTTAAACTAAGATACTTCATTCTACACGATTACCTGAAACAAATGTCTCAGGTCAAATCACAAGCCTTAGCTTCTGCTAGGGTTTGAAGTCTGGGAAATATATAATCCAGCTCTTCTCTTTCAGTCCAAGCTCTAGCTTGTCAGCAAGACTGTTGCAGAAGATCTATCCTTAAGAGGCAGAAACATCTGCGGTGAGGAAGGCAGCTATTGAAGGTATTCCAGGAGCATGAGACTGAGTTTGCAGAGCTGAGGGTTGTCAATTTCCTTTTCTACTGATATCTTCTTCCTTTAGAGCAAACTTCCTCCTTAGGACCTCAGAGATAAGCACAGCAGGGTCTTCCTCCTTCAATAAACTCCGGTTCCTAGAGACACAATAATAGCTTGAGTACTTACTCTTTCCTGTGTAGTGCTGTATATCTTTTGAATACATTATCTCGTTGAATCCTCACAACAATCTTACGAGGTAGGTGCCATTACAATTCCCTTTCACAGATAAGGAAATTGAAGCACAGAAAGGTTATACAAGTTGCCCAAGGTCACTAGTCACTCAGCAAGTAAGCGGTGAATCCAGAGTTCAGAACCAAACTAGCTGGTTCCAGATCTCATCTATTAACTAGAATGCTTTACTATTTCCTGAAATAGCTATAAAGTATGGGCAAAGTAAAGGACCATCAGTCTGTTAGAGTTGGCCTCTGGTGGCTAAGCTTCTGCCTTCTGGCCCTGTTTTCTTAGTAGCATTTCCCCAGAGGGTCAGCAGGGGAAGTGACTGATGACTCTTGGCTATTCTGACCCTTGATAGTTCTGGAGAAAAGGTGTGCTTGGGATTTCCTACCACCGGGTCTCCCCTTCAGGGGAGATGATTTTTTATGAGAGCCAGAATTAGAGCAAAACATTCACATAAGAAACTCATGGGAACAAAACCAACTCCAGACTGAAGTAGGCCCAAGTTATCTGATACATCATATAAGAGGGTCCTAGATACCTGGAAAATAGTTGCTTGAAATCCTAGTGAACTTATATACATTCATCATGAAGGTGTTTTACTGGTGATTAAGCTAAATATAAGAGCCAAGACTGACTATTCAACCTTCAAAGCAAAAACAAGAGGGACTGCGTTTGGTTGGTGACATATCTGAACCTTTGCTGACTGGGGTACTTTCCCATTCTTATTCACTGACCCAGCTCCTTCTGATCTGAGGACACAAGTGGGAGGAGGGGGCTAGCAATAAGGGTCTTGAATCTAATTTGGTCCAAAAGGCAAGTAAGAGAAAGTTTGAGAGTCAACCTATAAAACATTTTGTTCAGAAGAAGACAGCTCAGAGAAGACCAAAAACAGCAGCAACTGAATTTGGGAATGTGGAAGACCAAAGAGATATGGGTGAGTATGACCAACCTGACTAGGGCCAGTGAAGGAAGGTTAAGAGTGACTTCCCTAAATGGGTCAACTGCCAGGAAGCAATGAGGGAGTCACTTAGCCTGGTCTACTTTTCAGAGGGAAATGGATCCCAGGAGACAAAAAGGGATCCAGGGCAAGTAACTTTCCCTTTAACAAGAACTTTATCAACTCAGGAGAGGACCTCGCTTCCCTGTCCCCAAAACAGTTTTTCATCTGCATTAACAAACAGAGCTGCACAAGCTGGGTGCTGGCCATCAAGGTCTGGCTCTCAAATGCCCAGGAACCTGCATTCAAACCAAGCTCCTCTGGTGAGTCCTGTGCAGCTGTTGAAACCGCAACCCACAACTGGAGAAACACTATGCAATGGGGTGACTCCCTGAGGCTTCTTTGCCAGATGAAGTTTTTCAAGGTAGGTATTCCCCAAAGACCCTCATACTCCATCGGAAAAACCTAGAGCTCCACTCCTTGGGGTTCTACTTTAGTAAGTTAAAGGTGTATTTTTAACAAATCTGAGCAATTCTGATGGGCAGCTAGGTTTCGGAACTACTGGTGAGTCTCAAAAGCCTTATTCTCAAATCACTGAATGTGCAGGGTTTGTTTGCACAATGGACCACTGTATTTTAAAGCAGAAATCTCCAACTTTATGAAATTCTCCTCCCACCAAAAAAGTCTACCAATTTGAGATAAGAAAACATAACAAAACATAATGTCATGCAACCCCTCACTTTGAAGGGTGGGCCATGAAGACACTGTCACTAGCAGTATGAGGACTGAAGTGGTAAAGCCACCTGAGGACAGAAGTTGGATTAGATGAGCCTTCTTGTAAAATCCCTACTAGCCTCATATTTGGTTGGGGTGACCAAACCCAATAAATGTAGTGTTGCTCTTTCCTCAAACTGGGGCCCCAGGCACTGGCAAGCAGGTAGTCAGCAAGCTTTATGAATGACATAACATATGGTACTACTAAGAACTTACTATGTAAGTATGTTGCATTACATAATTGGCCATGGGCAACTCTGAGTAAATAGATACCAGAGCTCCTCATCAGATACTTACAGATCTTGACTCTGTTTCATTCGGTGAAAGTCCTTCAGGATACCCATCATGTCTGCAAAGCTGCTGGCCTTGGACAAAGAGACGCAGTCATCCTCTTCAGACGAACTGCAGGCAGCTTTGTGTTCTGGTTTGCAACATTCAGGGCTGGCAGAACAAAGCAGGGGGACTGATGGAAGCTCAGGGACCTCCACCTCTGTCTCCTCGGTGATGTCACTAATGACAAAGGAAGTTGTAGAGTGGAATGAGGATCCAAAACAAGGTAAGGGAGAAGAGACATTTGAACTTCCTGGAGATAAGAAATCTGGCGTTAATGAAGCCGAAGCTGAAAGAGAAAACAATAGGCATGGGTGGACATTGGGGCTAGAACACAGTAGCAATATCTTCTCCCCACAGCCCTGCCTACTGAACATTCATTTCCTGGGCTGACACCATGACAATCTGGGAGAGCCAGGATGGTATCTGTAGCCAGTGGAGGGTCATTCCACTATGCTTCTCACTCGGGGGCTCAGAAAGCTGTAGAAGCACTGGGCTTTTCCAGTGTTCCAGGAAGGCAGGAAAACCCAGCCCCATAATGGCCTTGGCATTTAAAAGCTCCCATTCCACAATAGGCTGTGGAGTGACAGCCCTGTCATAGGCCAAAGCAGCAGAGATAAGAGCTAAGGCCTGAATTTGTCCTTTTCTCTAACTAGACTAGTGCTTTTGACTATGCTCCTTTGAAATCTTGCTATCTGTGAACTAGAAGACATGTTCTGAGCAAAACCAGAATGGTAACAGACCTCCCAACCTCCCCAAATTTCAGTGGAGAGAATTTCCTCAGTTTTTACATTTCTAAAAATACTTTAAAAACACTAAATACACTAAAAACTATGTTTCTAAAAAAGATGTTACTTCTGCTTGTCTCTTGGATGACAAAAAAGTAGCCAAGAAATAACAAAGTTTCAGTACAATTCTTCATAAAACTTCCATGTGAAGAAATTAAATACATGAAGATTTCAAAGAACACCATGATTTTCATGTGTCCTACCAAATGATAAATTTCAGAGCTATGACTCTGAGTCAATGCAGAGTGAAAAAATGAGGATGGGAGGAATATGAAGATAAGCCCTGAGCATCTTGGGAGCGATCCACCTGTTGGCTGTCCATGCCTCTGGTTAAGGCAGGCTTCCCATCCATTTCCAGTGGTTCTGCCTTAACTGTAGACAGAAAGCTGGAGGGGTGGGTTACAGGGCTTGTTTGCATAATAGACCACTGTTTTTTTTTTTTCTTTTTTTGAGACGGAGTCTCACTCTGTCGCCCATGCTGGAGTGCAGTGGTGCAACTTCAGCTCATTGCAACCTCCACCTCTGCCTCCACCTCCACCTTCCAGGTTCAAGGCACATGCTGCGATGCCCAGCTAATTTTTGTATTTTTTATAGAGACAGGGTTTCACCATGTTGGCCAGGCTGGTCTCGAACTCCTGACCTCAGGTGATCCACCCACCTCAGCCTTCCAAAGTGTTGGGATTACAGGCGTAAGCCACAGTGCCCGACCACTGTATTTTAAGGCCAAGATCTCCAACTTTATGAAATTCTCCTTCCACCAAAAAAGTCCACCAATTTGAGATAAGAAAACATAACATAATGTCATGAAACTCCCCACTTTGAAGGGTGGGGCATGGGGACAATGTCACTAGCAGTATAAGAACTGAAGTGGTAAAGCCACTTGTGATTCCTGGTAGAAACAACAAGGCAAGGGAAGATAGGTGCTTAAAAAGGGTAAGTCTCAGTGGTGGTGGGGGGAATGTTTACTTCTTGTATTGAAAAGGAAAGCAGGGCGCGGTGGCTCATGGTTGTAATCCTAGCATTTTGGGAGGCTGAGGCAAGTGGATTGCTTGAGCTCAGGAGTTTGAGACCAGCCTGGGCAATGGCGAAACCCTATCTCTACTAAAAATACAAAAAATTAGCTGGGCATGGTGGCATGCGCCTATAATCCCAGCTACTCGGGAGGCAGAGGCACGAGAACTGCTTGAACCCAGGAGGTGGAGGTTGCAGTGAGCCAAGATCGTGCCACCGCACTCCAACCTGGGTGACAGAATGAGACTCTTGTTTCAACCGCGGGCACAGTGGCTCATGCCTATAATCTTAGCACTTTGGAAGGCCGAGCTGGGTGGATTGCTTGAGGCCAGGAGTTTGAGACCAGCCTGATTAATGTGGCAAAACCCCGTCTCTACTAAAAATAAAAAAATTAGCCAGGTGTGGTGGTGCACACCCGTAATTCCAGCTACTCAGGAGGCTGAGGCACGAGAATCGCTTGAGCCTGGGAGGCAGAGGTTGCAGTGAGCCAAGATTGCGCCACTGCACTCCAGCCTGGGCAACAGAGCAAGAACCAGGACCCTGTCTCCAAAAAAAGGAAAACTGGCTGGGCTCGGTGGCTCACACCTATAATCCCAGCACTTTGAGAGGCTGAGGTGGGTGGGTCATCTGAGGTCAGGAATACAAGACCAGCCTGGCCAACATGGTGGAACTCTGTCTCTACTAAAAATATAAAAATTAGCCAGGCCTGGTGGCACACCCCTGTAGTCCCAGCTACTCAGGAGGCTGAGGCAGGAGAATCGCTTGCACCTGGGAGGCAGAGTGCAGTGAACTAAGATCGTGCCACTGCACTTCCAGCCTGGGCGACAGAGCAAGACTCACTCAGAGGAGAAAAAAAAAAAGCTACTGTGGGCTTATGTAAGATGTGATCTTAAAGACACTTAGAAGAGGGTATCAGTTTGGGGGCTAAGGGAGGGACTCTGCCTGGGGTCACAGGTTAATATTTTGTTCTTAACCAAACCATTCAGCCCAAAATGGCTGGTAGAAACCATCTAAGAGGCACTACTGGCTAGCCAGGCTTCAGGACAACCCCAGGGCCCGGAACCTAAGTACCTGCAAACCAAGGATTACCACTTTCTTTACCCCTATCCTGCCCAAGAGCCAGGGGAAAGGAACAGCCTGTTACGTTCTGGCCCTGGCACAGGGGCTCCTACCTGCATCAGCTGCCACTATCTTTGCAATCTGGCTGCGCAAGTGGCTCAGCTCGTCCTGCAGCTCAGTAGTGCGGCTTAGGGCTGGCAGAGCTGGCTTCTTCAGGGCCAGAAGCCTCTCCTCGGACCCACGCAGGTTGGGAACAGAGGCATTGCGCTGCATGACAATCAGAGGGCTGGGTTTCCAGGTGTGCCTCAGGGGGCGCGTATCACTCCTGGACCAGGGAAAACCAAGTAGATCAGTTAGAGACAGCAGGCCACTGTGCTCCTAAGGTTCCTTCCCCCACTTCTGTGAGAGTAGTATAGTAAGGTTCTGCTCCTCTCTGAGCCCACAGTTCTCATTCCTCTCTCCTTGCTGCCTGCCACCTCTTCTGGGAAGTTCTCCATTCCTTAGCAGACCAGCTACTGCCTCAACTACCTGACCCGGGCATATGTCTCCTCTTCATCCGCAGCAATCCAGGCGATGTCAGCCAGGGTAGGGACTGGGGGCACATCTCTCAAACACAGGTCAGAGATGTTGGGCAGGGTCTATGGAGAAGCAAAAGTCATCAACATTTACAGATGCCATGATGAGCCAATCAGAAACTGCAGAATACACAGGAGGGGTACCTAATCCGGCACTGGGTGTCAGGAAGGCTTCCTAGAGGGGGCAGAAGAAGGTTCCTGGTCGAAAACATTGAACAGAGGCCAGATGACAGTCAGGCATGGTGGCTCACACCTGTAATCCCAGCATTTGGGAGGCCGAGGCAGGCAGAATGCTTGAGACCAAGAGTTTGAGATCAGCCTGGGCAACATGGCAAAACCCTGCCTCTACCAAAAAATACAAAAATTATCTGGGTATGGTGGTATACGCCTGTAGTCCCAGCTATTCAGGAGACTGAGGTGGGAAGATGGCTTGAACCTGGGAGGCAGAGGTTGCAGTGAGCTGAGATTGCACCACTGTACTCTAGCGTGGACAACAGAGCCACATTCAAAAACAAAAACAGGCAAGACACATGAGAGTCTATGGGATTACAAACAGTTCTGTGTCTTCAGTGGAAAAGGCCTGAGTCACCTTTTAGTAGAGATGGCAACTGTCTAAAACCACTGTGCCCTCTGGTGAAAATACAAGTACAAGGTCATCCACAACCTGTTACAGCAATAGGAAATTTTTCCTGACTAGCTTTTTATAATCCTGTATAGCTAATTGAGATCTACATTGTTACAGCAATGCTGTTTTAAACAAACCTGAAAATTTGAATATATTTAGATTTAAATAAAAATAAATGATTATACAAAAGGAACCATAATAGGATTTCTTAAAATAGCTCCTCAACCTAGAGATGTTGAGTAAAGTGAAAAATTAGGATTCAGTCATGTTGACTGTGATTACAACAAAGTAAAAAACATCCATCTAGAAAAAGAGGACTACACTAAGACATTAATAGTTATTGTATTATTACTATGTAATTATAGGTAATTTATTTTCCTTTTACTTTTCATAATTTTAATATTTTCATATGCTTAAATTTTCAAAATAAATTGGTAAGAGTCCCTTAAATAATATTTAAGGTAATTTAATAATAATAATAAATGCATATTTACACACAAGTAAGATTCAACTGTTTCTGCTACAAATTATTTGGTATGGTAGATGGATCCAGGATTGATCGCTCCTGCATTTAGATAGGAAACCTGGGACTCACAGGAGTTAAGTGATACTCCAAGGTCACACAGAGAAGAACTTCCAGTGACCCAGGAACTAGTGCTAAAATAGGGCATTTGGGGGAAGCCTCCATTTGTTTTCCTGATTAGCCCTGAATGCTCCTTTGCTCTTGGCAATTAAATGAGTAAACAAATATAAAGTACAGCACAGTGCCTGACACATAGTATGTGCTCAGTAAATGTTATCTAGTATTACCAATACTGCTCACATACATTCCTGCTCTGTGAGAGCCTGTGCCCTTGATTGTCTCTGCCCAGCATCTGGCCAAAGAACTGAAGAGGGTATAGCCAAGTGTGGGGACGGCCTCTATGCAGTGAGCCACACTCCCTAGCTGTCTCCCTTTTTTTTTTCTGATGCTTCTGAGGCAAGTTAGGACCAGTTCCTGCCCAGGATCTTTAGACAATTCTGGATAGCTGGCAATCTGAATACTGGGACAGCTTTTCCTGCCCCCTACCCCTGCGACACTTCCAACTCCATTCCTGACCCTAATACCAACCCTGACACCTCTTCTAATTCCAGATCCAGTTCCTACAGACTCTGCTTCTTAGCATCTTTTATACAGATTTGGCTCCTTCATTTCTGTTTCTACCTGGGCCCACATCCTTTCATGCACATATTTCTATCTCCTCTGTGTGGGTAGAAAGCACAAGTATTTCTTTTGTATCCCAGCTCTCCAAATGCACACATCTGAACCATATAGTTTGGGGCTGGTGCTTAACCATTTAGTTCCTAGAGGGAGGCAGCTGGGACTAATAAATGCTACTTAGCTTTCTACCACAGAAGGGGTCTCAAGAGACCTGGGCCAGGTAGGAATCTCTGCTGCTGAGTGGGTGCTAAAGGATCCCTAGACACAGAGGTAAGACCAAAGCACCCCAGTAAAGGATGCCCAGATTGGCCAAAAAGAGAAGGCTGAGGAATTATGGCCTCAGAGAAACACTAAAAATAGTGGAGCTGGGCATGGTGGCTTGTGCCTGTAATCCCAGCTACATAGGAGGCTGAGGCAGGAGGACTGCTTGAGCCCAGGAGTTTAAGACCTAGCCTGGGCAACATAGGGAGACCTCATCTCAAAAAATAATAAAATAAAAATACTGGCTACATGGTCAATTCTTAGGGCTGGTGAAGAAAAGCAGAGTTCAACTCAAAAATCACAATAGTCAGTGTCCCATGTGGGGGACCTGTCAGGTTCCTTGTGGTCACAGGTTTGTATGCACTCAGGAGGACACAGTGACCAGGATATCTTATAAGCATTTAACAAATATTTCATAACAGAATGAAAAGTGACCAGGAAACAACCTACTTGGGCAGTACCAAGGGGTTTGGGGCACAGAAGCAGCACTGTCTGAGCCTCTACTCTCCTGCCCTTCCAACATACTCACCTCAAAGGACGCCCGGGCACACGGCTTCAAGGGTAGGTTGGTCCCAATTCTTCTTACTACACTTCGAGCAGCCCCATGTGGCTTGTTTTGCCAGATTGGGATGGTCTGGAGCAAAGAGACGGAGACAGCTACAACCCCAGAGAATGAATCCAACTACTGTCCTTGTCCTCTCCTCTCTAGGTTTGTGGAGACTGAATTCCACAAACCTAGGGACAGGGCACTCTCTAGGGGCAAGTCAACTCTCAATTATAGTGAGGGCAGGTTCCCCAGTTGCCAGCCTACACCCTGGCCAGCCACCCAAGGGAATACCTGCTGCTGCTAAGGCAGTCAATGTTGGGAGGGTCAGGGAAGGGGAGAGGAAGTAGCTGAGTGTAGAGATTATCCAGGCTTTCCTTCCCGTCCTCTGTACAGAAAGGCAGACATACACTGACTCCTGAAGTGCCCCAGGATCATAGTTGGTTCTTCTTAGGGGGAGGGAGTGAAACGGTGGCCTTGCTCCAATTCCAGGCCTCTGGAGAAAGGAGTGCTCAACTGGAGAGTCTCAGAACCTTTTACAGTACTTCAGCAGGCCCAGCACCCAACCTTCCCCACCATACCCCTGCCCTGGGAATGCCCCTTACCACAGTGGCTTCCATTCCTGACATTTGAACCAGCTCCTGCACTTGAAGGACAAGGCAGCCACTGGGCAGCTCCGGGAGGCGGGAGGCGTGACTCCTTCATATCAGGCCATCTGGAGGAGCACCAGATTTCCCTCTTGTGAAACAACCCCCCACAGTGGGGATTTAATGGTCACCACACAAGCCCCAAAAAACCAGGCCCTGCAGAGCCATGACTTCACAGGGGAGAAAACCAGCCCAAGAGGCTGCCCTCACCCAACACTTAGCTCTAAGTCCAGACTCTTAAAGGTTCTGTTAAAGATCTGCGGCCAGGCGCAGTGGCTCACATCTGTAATCCCAGCACTTTGGGAGGCCGAGGTGGGCGGATCACGAGGTCAGGAGAGCGAGACCATCCTGGCTAACACAGTGAAGCCCTGTCTCTACTAAAAATACAAAAAATTAGCCAGGTGTGGTGGCGGGCACCTGTAGTACCAGCTACTTGGGAGGCTGAGGCAGGAGAATGGCGTGAACCCAGGAGGCAGAGCTTGCAGTGAGCCGAGATCACGCCACTGCACTCCAACCTGGGTGACAGAGCGAGACTCCGTCTCAAAAAAAAAAAAAAAAAAAAAAGATTTGCCTAGTGAGCTTGGCCAACCCAAGAGCCTTCCTGGGCTCTCAGGTTTCTTGAGGCAAAACTTCTAAAGATGCAAATAGAATCCTTGGTAGCTACAAAGCTCATCTAGCCAAATTATAAGTACTATCCAAGCCCAGGATTCATTCTTGAAGATGAGATGTAAAAGCACTGCTGGGCCCTTGCAAAGGGAGAGATCAGAGAAAATAGGAGAACGAACACCAGCTCATGCCAATCTCAGTCTCATGAGCTACAGAGAAAAAGAGCCAAAAAAGTTTATCCTGGCTCAGCCACCTTCTGGCTTTGTAGCTACAGGCAAGTTATTTAACTTTTCTGAATGTTGGTTTTTCCATCTGGAAAAAGGAGACAGGAAAAGCTGCCACTGGAGGCTACCTTAAGGGTCAATGAGTGAAATGGGGTTGAGTGCTTAATGAACTGTTAAAACATGACACAGATGGGTGAGGTGACATCTGACTGCTCTTCACAGCAGTCCTTGCATGGTGAGCAGATGCAATCAGTGTGCTCGTTCATTCACTTGTTCATCAAACACCAACAGTACCCACTTGTGCCAGGCCTTGTGCTGGGCACCGTAGGGGCTATGGAAGGAGTAAGACACAGTCATGCTCTCAAGGAACTCGCTGTCCAGCAGAGTGATAGGACATGAATACATACTTCTAGCAAAGGCTGAGTAGCATTAGGCAGGTGGCCAGATGAGGTCAGAGCTCTGGCCCTAGTGCCCTGTAGTAAGTTGCGAGGGAGTAGGAAATGAAGACAAAACAGCAAGAGCACAGGTCCAGCACAAGAAGGTGAAGGACATGGAAAGAGGAGCAGAGCATGATAAAGCTACAAAAGTAGGGGGCAAGTCATGAGGTCCGGGTCACTGGGGAGCCCTGGACAGGCTCTGAATGGGAGATAGACTAGACTGACAAAGCAGCTCTTTCTGGAGACCTCCTGTGGAGGGTCCCCTCTTCTACCCTTGGGAGACGAGGTGTCATTCACTTCACGATACACATGGGGAAAGGAAGTTGGACAGGGGAAGGCACTTGTCTAAGGTCACTCAGTGGTCATGCCAGTGCAAAGCACCCAAAGCCTGGTCCAGGTCCTGCCACCTCCTGCGTGGGCTCCATCTTCTCGGCTCAGTTCAAGCCTTTATTATCAGAGTCCCTCTGTGTGCCAGGCTCTGTGCTGAATGTCCGTGTCGGCCACAAATTGCACTAACGGTGCTTACTGCCACTTCCTCTCCGACCTTACCTCCAAAGACCCAGCCGGGCCTAACCCTCACACACAGCCAGAGGAATCCTTCCCAAACACAGTTAATCACATCGCTCATCCGTTTAAAACTGGCTTACTAGAGCCAACACAGGATAAAATCCACAATCAGTCCCAAACCCATCTTTCTCTGCCGTCTCTAGACCACATTCACTGAGCACCAAGGCCTGCACGCTTCGCAGCCAGCCCTCCTGCTCTCCCCCTTGCCCTCCAGCCACACTGGCCCTCAACCCCCAACACTGGGCCCACCTCTGAGCCCTGCATCAAACACCAGCACCCCCTTCGCCGAGCTCATTCTTCATCATTCCTCAGAGCTCAGCTTAAGCATCACCTTCCTTCCCTGCGACAGGGTCAGGTCCTTTCCTGTGCGCTCCGCAGCACCCTGCCTGTCCCTCGGAGTCCTCGCGAGAGGAACTAGATAACTGTGATCCCCGCGCACAGCACGGTGTCTGCCTAGGACACAGTGAGCGCTTCAACGCGCTGAACTAAACGAATGAAGGGGAACACCAACTCAGCTGTCACCCCCGCCCCCAAGTGTCACTGGCTAGAAGATCTTCCCCCGGTTCGCCGGCAGCACCGGTGGGTCTTGTCACCTCTGCGCCCCGCAGCCCTCCGGAGGCTGCAGTTGCTGTCTGCTGACAGGCGTCCCCTCAGGAGAACGGGAGCTCCTCCAGCGCAGGGCCCTGCTCAGCACCCCTGGTCCCGGGGGCCCCCACGGAGGCCGCCGCGCTCAGTGAAACTTTGCCGCGCGCAGCAGTGGCCGGAGACCCGCGCGGACCCTCTCCCCGCGGGGACCCGCCAGGGCGAGTCGCCCCTCCCCCGCGGCAGACGACCCGACCTGGGCCAAGGTCGGCCAAGTGCTCGCCGCCTGCCCAGCGGCCCTTGGACCCACAGGACCCGGACCCGAGTGCGCGGAAGCCTCCGAGCCGCGGCCAGGTCTCAGAATGCGCGGCGGGGCAGCCCGGCCCGTCAAGCAGCGAAGCCGAAACTAGAAGCCTGAGGTCTGGCTTGGTCACTGTTTGCTGGGGAACTCCGACGAGCAACTACCCTTCGGGGACTCAGTTTCCCCCGGGCCAAGTGAGACGGACAGCTGCGGCTCCCGCGAGAACTCGCGCGGGAACAGGAGCTGCGGGCTCCGCACAGCGCCCGGCACGTAGACCCAGTCTACTAACGGGCTGGAAGGTCGCGCTCCCGCCTCCGCGCCTCCCTAGAACCTTTCTCACCTCAAGCTCGGGCTCCCGGACTCTCTCACCTCACGGCCCCTCCTTCCACCTTGGGCCGCCCAGCCTCAACCGCCCTCACTTCCGCTGACCCGCCCCCCGGAAGCGATCCTCCGCAGCTGCGCACCGAGGCGCACCTCCGCGCACCCTCAGGAGGCGGGTCCAGCTCGGTGGCGAGGGGAGCGCGGCCCCCGAGTGGGCGAGGCGCTGGCGGCTGTAGGCTCCGATACCGCGGAGCACACTCCCCTCCATCGAGACCGTGCCCCCGCGGGGTCTGTGTCCCCGGGAGGAGTTGGCTGCGTTTGGAGATCCCTCGGCCTGGTATTCGTCGCGTCTCCCTGCTTGTTGCTCTCCACGTTTAGCCCCATCCGACTTCTGGAAGCCCAGGGGTGTGTCGCTCGACCCCTAAAATATGCTCCTACCCCTAGGGCAAACTTCAGAATCCTCACCCTGGCCCCCTTCCCAGTTCTTGGTTCCCAGGCAGGTCCCTTTGCAAAGCCTCTCTCCAGCAAGAATGCGCAGAATGGGCCTCTTTCTCCTCTTGACTCCTGCCCTCCAGCACTTTGCAGCTTTCTTCTATTTTAGCCTCTCTCTCTCTCTCTCACACACACACACACACACACACACACACACACACACACACACGGTATATTCAATGAGTTTGCTTATTAGATGGGTACTTGATGTACAAGACTCCAGAGGCTCTGTGGGAAGAGCCACATTCCTTCCAGGCTCACTAACCCACTCCCTCTTTGTGCTCCAGCCCTCACTGTCTTGGTCTGTGGCATGCAGTTCCTGGGTCACATTTCCTTCTCTGCCTTCAGCACAGCCTCGGGCTGTGCCTGGCTCCCAGGCTGGAGTTCCTTGGTTCCAAAGCCTGCAGTCCCCTCTGCCAGAGACAGAGCTGGTTTCATGGGTGAACAGCCCATGCAGTCACAACGGGCCGCATGCTCAGAATCCTGTACTTGGTTTAGTACTTTGCTGTTGCCGTCTTGAAATGATTTTCTAATAGGGGTTCTTGTGTTTTCATTTTGCACGGGGCTGTGCAAATTATGTGACTGGTCCTGGCTAGAGACCTCAGAGGTCGTCCACCCTGATCTCCACCATATCTCAAACGCTGAAGATTGACTTCCAGGTCTGGCCCTCTTCCCAGGATGGCACATTGTGTTTTAATCATTACCTTTCCCTCCTGTGCGATGGCGGATCATGCAAGTCCACGCTGGCTGTCTGTCCTGGGTGTAGATGCTGATTTGGTGTCCCACTCAGATCCCCTTGCAGGAAGAACGGAGCTCCCTACCTGGGAATTTCCTTCACCTCCCAAGCCAATGACTGATAAAAGGTCCAAAAGGCCAGTTCAGCTCTGCAGTGTGGTTTATGCCCCACAGCTCTTCCACTGTGGGTCAGGCCAAGGCTGGGCTGAGACTGTTCCTGCTCAGCATTTTTCCTTTCCCTCTTCTGCTTCCTTCCTTCTTTTACTGGTTTTTCTGGAAGTACACTCCCCCCCAGCCCCACCAAACAAACAAAACAAACAAACAAAAAAACACTTCATGCCTGTCTCAGGCTCTGCTTTTAAGACAATGATTTTAACTCCCAGATCTCTCTCAACAGAGAGCACCAGATTCTCAAAACAGTAAGTCCTACCACTTGTTCTATCGTAAAACTTATTTTGGGCAAGTCACTCAAGCCTTCGATAGGTAAGATAGTACCTGAAAGCATTCCAGCTCAACTCTGCCCCAAGAGGGAGCCACCCCATGGAAGGACGGAGCTGAGCAACATGCCACTCAAAGGAAAAGCACTTAGAACCACTCTAGTTAGTCTTCTCTAATTTTATTACAGGGCATGTTGGGGACAGGGGAGGGAAGTGTTAGAGGAGTGACAGGGCAGCCCGGGGCCCTCTCCCACCCTGAGCCTCGAGGCCTGGTGGGGGACATGAACTGCAGAGGCATCAGATAAGGCCTCAGAAAGCCCAGGCCATCATTTTCCATGGGACCAGGCTGGCTCAATGTGGAACTGGCCCTCCCAGAGCAGCAGGAGAAGGGCTCGCATGGGCTGCCCCCGTCACCTGTGCCTGACAGGATGGGGGGGGAGGCAGAGAGAGAGCATCAGACGCCCTCCCTCCCCATAAGGGGCATGGGGGATGGGGACACTTCCTCCCAGGACACAGGGAGCCTGGCTGAGCTGGCTGGCTCATGCCCCATCTGGTCTGGAGGTCAGAGGGGAGTGAGACACTCTGGTTTGAAAGGCCTTCCTTTCCACTTTGGGGAAAACAGGCAGGGAGAGAGGTGAGGGTGCCATGCCAAAAAACACCCCCAAATCCAGATGCAGACTTTGGAGCCACATGTGGGTTTGAATCTCAACTCTACCTGAGTGACCCTGGGCAAGTCACTTCACTTCCCTGAGACTCAAGTTTCATCAAGATGGGAACAATGAGCATCTGCCTCACAGGCTTGTCGTGAGGATTAAGTGAGAAGGTGCGTGTAATATTAGCGATGACTGGATGATACAAAATTAAGAACAAGGCTGGGCACGATTGCTCACGCCTGTAATCCCAGCACTTTGGGAGGCTGAGGCAGGTGGATCACCTGAGGTCAGAAGTTCCAGATCAGCCTGACCAATATGGTGAAACCCCATCTCTACTAAAAATACAAAAATTAGCCAGCCATGGTGGCATGCACCTGTAATCCCAGCTACTCGGGAGGCTGAGGCAAGAGAATTGCTTGAACCTGGGAGGTGGAGGTTGCAGTGAGCCAAGATCGAGCCATAGCACTCCAGCCTGGGTGACAGAGCAAGACTCCGTCTCAAAACAAAACAAAACAAAATTGAGAACAAGACTGGCTGGGGAAGGCTCAGTGGACACGCCCAAGGCAAGTGGGGTAACTCGGCACATAAAAGGCCCAGGAGTGGCTGCGGAGATGTCTGCCTTCCTTCTTCCTCTGCCAGGCTGAGTGAGCCCCGGGTGGGGTGAGGGGGTGGGGAGAGAACTGGGGGCTGGGGAGGGGGCAGCCTGACTTCAAGACCTTAATGAAAGAGAGTACAGGCATGCCTGTGGGCCTTTGTGGAGGATGGGACAGTGCTGGGGATCATGGATCCTCTGAGGACTGTTTTTAAAAAGCTGAAGAGGAGAAGGAAGAGAGGACTACTTCTTCCCATAGGTGCAGCTGCAAAGACATCAAGCTGGACCCATCGAGGATTTCGGATTCAGCCATCATGGGGCTGCTGCCGGGGAAGCCACTGCCCCTCCTTTCTCCTCAGCACTGGGGTTATAAAAAAATACCTACAAACCATGAGAAAGTTTGTGTAAAAACACTTTTCTGCACATATAAAAAGAGAGACTGGCCGTGGTCAGTGGCTCAGGACGTGGACCAAAGTCCCAAGAGTGGCCAAGGGGAGTCCGTGGTGCCCCAGAGGTAGAAGAGCTAGCCTGGGGCACCCCTGGTTGCCGGGACAGTGCCGGCTCTGGAGAAGGCTGTGGTGTTTGGCTGGGTTGTGCTTCTGTGGATGCAAGGTCTGAGGGGCAAGAGGGGCGGCAGGAGCGCTGGCTCCCGCAGTCCTGCAGAGACCCTGTGCTAAGGTAGGCGGTGGGAGTGCCTTGGCCCTGGGCCTCGGGAACCCCCTTAGTGAACCCCATTGCTAAAGGCAGAAACCCCTTCACAGTAAACTTCCCCAGATAGCTGGTCAGTGGCGTGGTCAGGGAAGCTGCAGGGGGTCCCGTCTGATTTCCACTCTGATGGAGGGTTCTGCCCAGAGGCTCCAGAAGACTGGCTCCTGTTGAGACTGACCCCAGCTGGGGACATCAGGCACAGGAGGGCAGTCCGGGGTATGGCCAGGAACGAAGGCTCTAGATAAACAGGGGAGCCGCCTTGGCAGCCTGGCCCCTCCTGGCTGGGGCTTCTTGATGTTTCCTGTGGGAAGGGCTGAAAGCAAGGAGAGGGTGGTGGCCCCGTCTTCCTAGCCTGCTCCTCCCTCCATTCTTCACCCCACAAGGGCCTAGACTGTGCGGCTGGCTAGGAAAGGTCCAGGGAGTTCACCCAGGCCCTGATCTGGGGGGGCCAAGCAGCTTCCAGAGCCAAATGGGTAGGGAGAGCCGAGTGACAGTCAGAGCTAGAGGTTCCTCTGCCCAGTCAGCCCAGGCATCCCTTGTCTACCCGCCACCATGGAGCCAAGGCTGTGGTGGCCACCCTCAGTGGATCTTGTACCCTCCAAGGCAGCCTAGGAGTGGGGTGGGAGTGGGCGGCATCTGCAGTCTGAAATGGGCTGAGGACCACTCTGGCTCTGAGGCGTGGGGGCCTGTGCATCAGATCCCGTCCAGGCACTCTAGGGCTGGAGGAGGGGCAGGCCACGCCGGAGTCCCTCCTTCAGGAACTGCATGTAGGTGGCCGTGGACGGGTCTTCAAAGGTGGATGAGAAGCTGAAGAGATTGCTCTCGATTTCCTCGGGCTTCACGGAGGTGATGTCCAAGAAGTAGTTGGCATTGATGTGATGGACCTGGGAGAAGGGCCGGGTGAGGCAAGTGGGGCGGAGGGGGGCCCCCAGGCTCCCTGTGCCCTCTCTTCTATGGGGAGAAGCAGGGATGCTATCAGGCCTTGACTGTCCTTGTCTGAGGTGGATGGTGGGCAGGCAGTGCTGCCGTAAGCCCTCGCCAGCACCCGACACCATCTCATCACCCTGTGTCTGACGAGGGGGCTCCTCCCTGCCTTGCCTACCAAGTGAAAACCCAACACCTTCCAACATCACCTCTTCTACTAGCCCTCTGCCCCCGCCCCCCGAAATGACCCCTCTCCTCTGTTCCTGTGACCCCGGACTCCCATCCTGAACTCCGTGCTCCCTTCTCTCACTGCAGCCTCACATTCAATGGGCCTCTCCTTTGGCCTCTCGCTCCAGAGACTGAGCTCCTTCAGCACGGGGCTGTGTCTTTATCTTTGTGCCTGGCACACAGTAGGTGCCCAGTAGATGAACAAATGAATGAATCAGCATTCAATCAACATTCATATGAATGGGAGGCCTGGTTCTCCCAACCAGGCCCAGCCTCATCCAGTTCCCCGACACCATCTCATCACCCTTGCGCCTGGGACAGCAGATGCCTTCCGCCTGGTGCCCTTTCCTTTACACCAAACCCTCACTGGACACCTCTCCCGTGACAGCCCCTGCTCCTGAACTGCTCCCATCCTAAGATCCTGAGGAAGCCGGCCCCCTCCTACAGCCCTGGGTCCCACACTAACCATGCCTTGGGACTTAAAGGATGAGGGGTCGCTTTGATCAGAAGAGCTGGAGATCTGAGGCTCAAGGGCAGGCCTCGGTTCAAAGCCAGCTGCACTTAATTGACTGCAACATTTGTCCAGTCTCTCAACTTTCTGGGCCTCCTTGTTTATAAAATGGGTATTCATGACCATCCATCTCCCAAAGCTGCTGTGAGGCCCCAGTGAGAAGACTTGCTGAGTGCTAGGTAAGGGGCCCTTAGGGAGAGGTGGGGTCTTGAATCTTGGCTCAGGGCCCTCTCCTGGTCTCTGTCACAAGGCCTGGCTCCTCCCTCCCCTTCCATCCCAGGACTGGCCGCCATGGTCCAAGGTGAGCCTTCCCTTCCAGGCTGTGTTTCTAGGGAGGCGCTGACTCTGCCTCAGGACTATGCTCACTGCTGCGCAGCCCCCGATGACCAACACCTGCATCACGATTCCTGTTTCTACACGGGGACAACGGAGGCTTAGACTGGGTAAGAGACCAGCTTGAGGCTTTGCAGCCAGGAAGTGGCAGGGACAGTCCCGAAGCCTGATGAAGTCTGCACATCCACGCCTCCTGCTGGTTGCTCCCGGGGCCCCGAGGTGCCTGGGCCCTGTGGGGTCTGAGTGGGGGTGCCTACCACGGTGCCATTGGGCAGGCAGATCATCATCTCCACGGGGAAGCTGTACTTCTCCAGGTGCAGGCCAGCCAGCTTCTGGTGGGACGAGTTCTCCTGGTTGTTCTGTGGGGACAGTTGCACACTCCTGATGCCGCGGCCCCCACCACTGTTCCGGACGCTCCTGTTCCTGCCACCTGCCCGCTCACCTGCAGTTCCTCCAGCTCCTTCACCAGGGACCAGGTGCTGATGAAGCTCTCGTTGAGCAGGGTGAGGATGGGCGAACTTTCCAGGACAGTCTCCCGGAGAGTCCGCCCTGAACCTGTTCAGGAAGACAGAAGGGTGAGGCGCCCCCACATCTTGCTGGGGTGCAATCTTGCTTTGGGGAGACCTCACGGGCTGCAGGACAGTCTCTGCACCCAAGTGAAATAACAGATTCAAAGAGCCTGAGGTAGAGTAGGTGCTGAATAAATGATAGTTGGAATTAACATCAATAATATACCAGCATCCTGGGCTGAGATTAGGGTTAGGGGTTCTACCTGGCCCTGGGGACTTGCAGACAGTGACAGCTTCTTAAATCCAATGAACGCTCTGTGTCCCAGGGCCTTCACACAGGCTGTTCCTCTACCTGGAACACTCCATCCGGTCACTTGAGAAACTCCTACTCATCCTTCAAAGTCTCAGCGTAAATATCACTGTCTTCACAAAGCCTTCCCTGACCCCCAGTTATACACTCTGGTGCCACTCTGGACTGTCCCCTGTAGAACACTCACCGTGCTTGTACTGACTCATTTGGTGTCTGCCTTTGCACTGTGTCTCCCCCTTTGAGGGCAGGGACCCCTTCTGCCTTCCTCACTGTGGGACGCAAGCACCCAGCCCACTGCTGCACTGACGGTTGACGGGGTGAGGGTGGGGCACTGTTTTGTTCATCTTTGTGCCCACTGCCAGACACCCAAAGGACGTTGCATCTAGGGGGCCTCTGGTGAATTTCCTGAATCAATTAACACAAGCCCAGCCTCTGGCCCGATTTTTTCTCTTACACGTATATAACACTTTACAGTGTATGCGGCACTTTCACCTCCATGTCCACAGCTATGAGAGGTAAGTGTGTTATCCCCTCTTACTATTGAGAAAACTGAGGCTCACAGAGGGGAAGACACTTGGTCAAGGTTACCAAGCTGACAATGGCTGAGTTTGAACCCAGTCTGCCAGGGCCCTTTCTTCAGCATCTGGTAGCTCCCTCTGGGCTCAGCACAGAAACCCCCAAGCCCTCACCCCACGCCCCTACCATGGGCAGTCCCTGAGGCCCTCACAACTCAACAGAAGAGTCCCATTGGTCTCAGAGCCTCTGGTACCCCACAAGGTGTGGACTTTCCCACTGCTCCCCTTAGATCCAGCCGGGCCCCTCACCTCAGCAGGACTGGTCATCCAGGGCCCCCCACAGCAGGATTGAGTGCACCAGCTTGTTCTCAGCCTTGGCTCGGTCGAAGGCCTCAGTGAACGGCAAGTAGGAGACCTGGGGCCACACCGAGACAGAGCGAAGCCATCATCAAAGCGGCCAGGGTCCCACTCGGGCTGAGTCTGTAGTGTGTGCAAGTGTGTGTGTGTGTGTGTGTGTGTGTGTGTGTGTGTGTGTGTTTGTGTGTAGGCATATATATTTGTGTGTATGTCTGTGTATATGTACATTTGTATGTGTATATATGTTTGTGTATGTTTGTATATGTGTGTATGTGTGTGTGTATATATATGTTAGTGTGTGTGTTTGTATGTGTGTGAAGTGGGTGCTACTAAGCCAGGGGATGGATGTCTCCTCCAAGTTCTATTTATTATTATTATTTTCATTTATTTTTTATTTTGAGATGGAGTCTCACTCTGTTGCCCAGGCTGGAGTGCAGTGGCGCAATCATAGCTCATTGCAGCCTTGAACTCCTGGGCTCAAACAGTCCTCCTGCCTCAGCCTCCCCAAAGCTTTGGTACTACAGGTGCGTGCTACCACCACCCCCAGGTAATTAAAAAAATTCTTTTGTAGATATGGGGTCTCGCTATGTTGCCCAGATTGCTCTTGAACTCCTGGCCACAAGTGATTCTCTGCCTCAGCCTCCCAAAGTTTTGGATTATAGGCATGAGCCATTGCACCTGGCCTCTTCCTCCAAGTTCTGAATGGCAGCGGGGAGGCCCCGCTGGCACAGCTGGGCCCAACAGTGAGACAGCCTCAGTAGCAAGCCCTGCACACATACCAGCGTCTGTGCCCAGCTGCTGCTCCACAGCTCCCAGCCTCTGCCCATGCAGCCTGACCCTGGCCTTCACCCCTGCCCAGCCTCACCTTCTTGAAGGGGTACATGGCCACCTCCAGGCGCCGGGCAGCCTCCTCCCAGCTCAGCTCCTGCTGCCACTTGATCTCCTCAAACACAAACTGCAGGGGCTCCCCTGAAGGCAGGTGGCTGTCGATCATGCTGCCATCCTCATCCAGGATCACGGAGGGCACAGAGGGGCCCGTGGCCTCCAGCTCCATCTGGGCCAGAGGTCAGTGGTAGGGGGAAGGCTCAGAGATGGGCAAGAATCCTCAGGGGCTCCCCTAGAGACCCTCCAAAATGCTCCACTCATTGCAGAGGGAGGGCGGGGCCCTGCAGCCGAGCCCACCTGGATGGGAGCCTCCTGTGCGCTCACCTGGGGTATGTAGCCGATGTCCACCTCCATGTTGCTGCTTTCACTGGCCCCGTAAAGCCACTCCATGTCCACATTCAGAGACCTGGGATGGCCAGGGCAGAGTGACACCATCATCAAAGCCCATTATCTGTGTCACACTTTATCTCACATAATACCTGCAACTGTCTCCACTTTCCAGATGAGGACACTGAGGTTTCTCAAGGTGAACACCTGCTCTCAGAGCCACTGGGATTCTGGCTGCAGAGCCCTGGCCCTCTTCCCCACCAGGCTGCCCCTTCCTAAGGCACTGGAGCCACTTCACCATCCGCCAGCCCTGCCCCTCGCAATTCACAAAGGGCCTGCACAGCCATGGCCCGTGTACTCTCCAGGACCCTTTGAAGCAGAGAGATGGCCAGTGCCTCAAGGCGGGTCACAGGGTGGGGCAGGAATGAAAACGAGCACCGTGGTCCCTGCACAGGCCTCTGGCGGGCAGCAGGAAATCTGAGCCGAGCAGTGCAATCTGCAGATCCGCCGCACGAGGGAGCCCCAGCACTGGCAAACCACCACCTCCGCAGCAGGGGGCACAGAGGGCAGAGCTAGGTAACCCCCGGGGGTCAGCAGTCCCTGGTGCCTGGTCCTCAGACATGAGCCCAGGAACAGCTGGTCCTGGAGCTGGCCACTGCCTCTCTCCTCCTGTCCCATACAGTCCAGGCCCCCTCCTCAACAACCCTGCGATGGAGGCAGGTGTGCCCAGCCCTAGGTGAGCAGATGGAGGGCTTGTGCCCTCCTCTTCCTTTTCCCTTTGACCGGGAAGCCCCTGCCCTTCCCACTCTGGGGAGGGAGGGAAGCCACCCCCACTCCTAGGGGCAATTTTCTCTTCCCATGTTATCCCGACCATCCTCTCACGCCTGCCCTGTGGGTGAAGTAGGCCAGGAGTCAGTCTCCCATCCGGCAGATGAGGAAACAGGCCTACAGAGGGCCAGGGCCTTGCCCACAGCCACACAGCCAATGGGTTCCACAGCAGAGACTTAACTGCAGACCTCCTGGCTCCCAGCCAGGTCTCATCCCTGTAGAGCGGTCACTCAGGCCCACTCGGTGGCCACTTGCTATCAGTTAGGAATCTGGACAAACTTGAAGCCAGGGCCTCCGGGGTCCTCTACTCTGCTGACAGGTGGCCAGCCCTGAGGAGGTGAGGCAAGCAGGTGGCTGGTGTAGCACCGTCCCGGAAGCCCCTCTGGGGCTCTGCAGCAGTGGAGGGCCTGCCCTTGGCCTTTGGATGTGCTGTTCCTCTGCCCAGCAAAACCCTCAGAGCCCTGATCTCTGCTGAGATGACCTTTTTCTTCTGGGAAGCCTTCCTGGACCCCACAGCTGGGTCCCTGCCTAGCTGCTGGCCTTCCTCTTGGTGGCGTGCACAGGCTGCGGTTACAGCTCTGCCTGGGGCCTGTCAGCAGTATGAGGGCGGGGAGGCCCAGCTTCAGGAAGGGTCTGCGGACTGCTGCACTGGGTCCCAGGCACAGAGGTGGAGGGCCAGGCCACGGGTGCCTGGGAAGAGCTGGTGGGTGATCAGCTCATTCTCTTGCCTGCCTCATGCCGCCTCCTGCCACGTCAGCCCCATGAGATGGGCTCTGGGGAGCAAAGGAAGGGGCAGAGACAGAAGAGGCCCCTAGGCTCCTGGAGCTGGGGAGCAGGACAAGCTGTAGGAGGGAGCCAAGGCTGGGCCAGGGTCAAGCTCCCACCTGTGGTTGGGCACGAAGAGCCGGAAGTCGCGGACGTGGGTGGCGTCTTTGGAGAGGATGATGTGGCCGGTGAACTGAGCAGGGGAGAACCAAAAGGGGAAGTCGGGCGGCTCACTGAGCTGGAACTCGGCATGGATCCTGTGGGGAAGGGGATCTGCTGCACCAGAGCTGCCCACCTTCTCCCCAGGAGCCCGGGAAGCCTTGGCCAGAATCATCAGGGAGAGGAGGCTGAGTGTGGGGGTGGAGGTGGATGGGCCAGTGGGCAGCAGCGAGGCTCTCCAAATGCTGCTCATCCTTCGAGGCCCGGGTCACATGCCCCTCCTCTGGAAGCCCTGCCTGGACCCCCTCCCCCAGCCTTCACAGCTTCTGGAGGGCATGTGTGACTGGGTGTCCTTCCCACTTCTGTGTGGATGGCACAACCATGGCTACCAGCCCCGTGCCAAGCAAGTTCCACAACTTTTCTTTCTGAACCCTCACGTGCCTTACGAGGAAGTCATCAGCACCCGGATCCACAGGTGAGAAAACTGAGGCTCAGAGAGCCAAAGCTGCTTGCCCAAGACGGCAGTGGGAGGAGAGGTGGAGCTGGGGGGCTCAAGCTGGGCCCTCCCCTCTGGGCGCTGTACCGTCATGCCTCCCCGGTGCTCCAGGCCAGCCAGTGTGGCCCACTCACCGGAACATCACAGTGTAGTAGAAGTCGCTGATGGCAGTCAGGCAGGCCACAGCTCCCTGAGGGGCAAAGCGGGTCTTCACAAAGGGCCGAGGGTGGAACATGCTCAGGAGCCGGTGGATGATGACCTGGGGGCGGCGGGAGGCACGTACTGGCTTGCTGGGTCCCGCTGGGCCTGGATCCGCTGGGGTGGGGGTCAGCCCAGACCCGACGGCCCAGGGGCCCCATGGGGAGGGGGCAGGTCCAGAGGAAGGCAGGAGAGCAGGTGGAGCAGGCCTGGCACTGGGGTCCAGGCGCAGACAGAGGGGTGGCCACTCCTGGGCTCGGGCGGAGGGGCCCCACGTCGCACCCCAGCTGTCCTCACCTCCTTGCCCTTGGGCGGCGGTGGATAGAAGCGGTTGTTGGACAGGTAGCCAGTGAACATGCTCAGCTCACTGGGGATGATCCACCAGGGCTCACCCAGCTCCTGGCCTGGCGGGGGAAGGAAGGGCTGGAAGTGGCGGGTGGCAAACACTGCACTTGGTGAGGCGGCGGCTGTCCAGTTTCGGAGGCCGGACAGGGCGAGGCGGGAGACCTGGGGCGGGGGAAAGCAAAGCTCCAGGAATCTGAGAACCTGACTCCGGGGTCTCCTGTACCATGTGGGTGGAGGTCTCCCTCAAGCCCCGAGCCAGCCCACACCAAGGGAGCAGATGGACCCCAGGGAGGTTCCTGCCCTTATGATGGCCACAAGCTTAGCAATATCCCGCCAGAGAGAGGCTCCTCTCCCTGCTGCAGTGCCTCTGCAGCCCACCCAGGCACAGCCCACCCAGGCACAGCCCACCCAGGCACAGCCCACCCAGGCACAGCCCACCCAGGCGCAGCCCAGGCCAGAGCAGCTCGCTCGAGGGCAAGGTTGGAATGGGGATGGTGGGGCTCTGTGCCTCACATAGTCCCACCTCCATCCTATGCATAAGCCCATGGGCCAGCCTTGGGTGCCACCACCCTGCCTGGCTTCCCTGGCCCTCCAGCAGCCCTACTCTCCCTCCCCAGTCTCCTCTCCAAGTCTCCTCCCAGGGACTAATGTCCCACTGGCCAGCTCAGGGTTTCGGTTTGGAGCTAAGTCCGATGAGGGTGGTGGCCAATCATGTTTGAGGTGAAATCTCTAGGGTCAAGAGCAGGATGAGACCACAGGGAAGGGGAAGGAAGGCCACCCCCAGAAGGGCCCTGCCTTAAGTACAGCCTGCCCCACCCTGGGCAAAAGGCCTTCCCTAAGCCCGAGTCCTCATCGGTGACCTGCCTCGCCTCTGTCTGACAAGCTGATGGCTCGGAGAGGACGCTCAGAGACCACAGAGCTGTCTACACGTCGGCCAGCATTTGGGGAACAGCAGATTCCCTCTTCTGTCGCCACCTCCCTGGCAGCAGGAGCTCAGGCTTGGTGGGAGGTAGGAGGAAAGCAGGCAGGGAGCTCCCACAGAGACAGATTTAACAGGCGGTTCTCAAGGCAGAGCTGGCTGTGCCGGGCCAGGCCGAGCCCGCCTTCCTGGGTCCTGCTTGTAGGCTTGCCACCCCCTGCAGGGGACCTGCCAGCGATGGGTGCTGGGCTTGCTGGGGCTCTGCTCGGGGGCCAGGGCTAGGGGTGCTGCTCCTGCCTCACCCCAGTTCTTGTTGTCTGTGCGGACTTATCTGCTCAGACCAGCCCATCACTGCCAAATCCATGGAGATGGGTTCCCCATCTCCTTTTGTGGAAGGTCAGACCGGTTTTGACCACTTCCTGGACTCCTGCCTATCTGCTGCACTGTCTCCTTGGCTGAGAAGAACACGTTTATTCATTTGTTCATTCCACAAAATGTTTTATGCACCTACTGTATAGGAAGTTTCTATCAGGGTACACTGTGCACCCTGTCTTCTTGGAGCTTATAGTGGGAGACGGCAAGTAAACAGGACCCAAAACGGGCAATGCCCTTCCCTGTGAGCTCCTCCTTGGAATTTCTGTCCCTCCCTGAACCTGCAGCGATGAGGTTAAGAAAGGGGCTCCCGGCCGGGCATGGTGGCTCACACCTGTAATCCCTATAATCCCTGTACGCCTATAATTCGGGAGGCCGAGGCAGGTGGATCACGAGGTCAGGAGATTGAAACCATCCTGGTCAACATGGTGAAACCCCGTCTCTACTAAAAATACAAAGAAATTAGCCGGGTGTGGTGGTGGGCACCTGTAGTCCCAGCTACTCGGGAGGCTGAAGCAGGAGAATAGCTTGAACCCGGGAGGCGGAGCTTGCAGTGAGCAGAGATCGCGCCACTGCACTCCAGCCTGGGCGACAGAGCGAGACTCCGTCCCAAAAAAAAAAAAAAAAAAAAGAAAGGGGCTCCCCAGCACTGCTTCCCTGGGCTGGGCCAGGTGGCAATTCCGCCACAGGTGCCAGCCTCAAGGTCATTCCCAAGTTTCTTTTGCCATGTGGCTGCCAGGCTCTAGAGTTGGGCACTGCCAAGGGGCTGCTGCTGGGCAGCAGACATCCAACATCCCCTGGGGACCTCAACTTCAACATGTGCAGACTGACCTCATTCTCTATCCCCTACTCCCTCCCCGCCTACAGTCCCCATCTGGGCAAGCAGCCCACCATGCCCCTGGTCACAGCCAGAAGCCTGAGTCATCCAACTCCTGCCCACCCACTGTCCATGAGGAGCCGCTCCCTGCCCTTCCTTCCCCAGCATCCTCCAGGCTGCCCTTACTCTCCATCTCCTCCGTCTCCCCTCCAGAACTGGTCTTCTTGCCTCCCACTTCTCCCCATTCTACACATGCCCCGTCCCTGGCCTGGAGAGCCCAGGTCTGATGAGAAAGCTGTCTTATTTAAAATCTGCACGATATTCAGCCACCATAGAATGAAGGCCAAAGGCAGGCAACAAAGCCCTTGGTGGGGTCTGGCACCTTCTCTCCTGGCCCCACTGATTGGGATGCCCCTGTGTGGGTCCTGCATGCCCCCTGGGCCCAGACACACCCACTGCCTGGCCTCAGTGACCAGCCTGGCACTCCTGCCTTCAGGCCTCTGTTCGTGCTGAAGTGGCATTGGCTGAGATGAAAAGGCTGGGTCGGGCTGTGTGGGCTGGGCACAGAGAGGCAGTGTTCCTGGCAGAGGGAACCACATGTGAGAAGGCTCCCAGTTGGAAGAAAGCCTGGGGATTTGGAAGGAAGGAAGTCTGGTGTGGTTGGAACAGAGGAAGCCCACAGAGGGGAGGAGAGAGTGGGAGAGAGTGCAAAAGGGCAGGCAGGGGCTGAGGCAGCTTCATCCTGCAATGCGCTCAGGACCCTGTCCAAAGGGCCTTGGGTTGGGGAGGGGCTGGCAAGGAGAGCATCTGTCCACCTCCTACCTCCACCTTCTCAGGTGCCCTCCCCACCCCACAGCCCTCTGCTGGGGACCAAACCTCAGGTCTAGATCATCAGAGTTCAACAGAGTACCTATCAGGAGCCAGGCATCATGCTATGCCCCGTGGGGAAGAGATGGATGTGTGGGAAGTAATCATCATAGTGTGTGGGAAATAATCATCATAGTATGTGGGGCGGCTGCACTAACAGGGTCTCTACTGCACTGCTGCTTCCTCCGAGACCCCCCCAACCTGTGCTCAGTCACCCTGCTGAGCCCTCCTCATCCTGCAGTCTACCAGATGTCACTTCCTCTAGGAAGCTATCCCAGATTCCCCAGTCTGGGGCAGAAGCTAATGCTTCTCTCTCCTGCTCCCCCAGCAGGCTGTATGCCTGGACAGCAGGGACAACATCACCGCACATGGACCTCCAGGGCCTGGCTCTAGTGGGCACACAGAGGGCAGAGGAAAGATGGATGAATGGAGCAGAAACTCATCTTCGGGATACACACAGATGACCCCACTGCCTGTGGTCCCCAACTCACCCCTAGGAAGCCATCTTTGCTCTTGGTCATGGTCTCCGGGAGCAGAGGCTGGAATCGGGCTTCTATGGTGAGCGTCTCCTCGCTAGGGTCAGGGGGCAACTCCTCCTCCTCGCAGCTGGCCGCGGGAGTTGACCCTATGAGACACAGACATCGGAGAGGCACTGCCCTTATGCTACAGGGCTCACCTCTCCCTCATCATCCACACTAGCTGGTGATTAACGGAGCCAGGCAGGGGGTGGGGGTAGCTGGGGTGTTAACAGTCACCAAAGTAACAACCAGTGTATCGCATTTTAGTTTCAGGATAGCCCAGGGAGGCAGATAATAACATTACCAACTCCATTTGACAAATGAGAAAGTGTTCAGAGAGGTAAAGTCACTTCCCCAGGTCACATAGCTAGATGGTGGGGGAATCGGGATTGAAACCCAGGCCTGTTTACTCGAAACCCATGACCAACCACGACCCTTTTCTAGGTCTTCTGGGACTGAGAGGAACTCAGTCAAGGGAACCGGAGTAATGAATGAAGCAAGAAACAGAAACAGGCTCTTTGGTGTCATAGGGAGAGCACTGGTTTGAGAGTGAGGAGACCCACTTTCCCCTGCTTTTTTTTTTTTTGCGGCGGGGGGGGGGGGGCGGGGGGGGCATTGCCCCAGCTGTAGGAGGGGCTGGACTGGCAGTGTGGCTGGATTTGATTTCTTGGATCTTTTCCTGCTCAGAGATCTGGCAAGTCTATAACCTTCCCAGTATAGAAGGATTCATTTTGAAAGGCTAAGGGACAAATGACGCCTATTTCAAAAGGGGTGAGTAATAGTCACCAGTAACAAAGTGTAGCCAGCGGAGGGCGGGGGTGGGTCTTGCCCTGTCTGCCCTCTCAGGGCAGGGTAGTGGTACAGAGATGATGCCTGGCATTTGCTGACTGACTGGCTAGCAGGCTGAATGATGCATTAAAGCAGTTCTCAACCAGAAGTCCTCAAAATCACCCAGGATGCCTTTAAACTACAGATGCTCACAACCCACCTCAGACCTACTGAATGAGAATCTGCAGGGGTGAGAGTCTGGAATCTGCCCTTTTAATGAGCACTCCCTGCTGCTCCTGATCCAAATCCCTATTCTGAAGAATCACTTATTTCTGTATTTGTAAGTCAATGAGGTAAAACTTTCCAAAACGCAATCTAGAAACCCAAGAAGAAGGGAGCAACAGGAATATGCAGGGTTATTAGTAAGCCTTGCTTATTCAATTATTTTACTGATATCACAGATAAATATTAATAATAATGATTCCCAAGGCAGCTCATGCCTGTAATCCCAGCACTTTGGGAAGCCGAAGCAGGCGGATCACCTGAGGTTAGGAGTTTGAGACCAGCTTGGCCAACATGATGAAACCCCGTCTCTACTAAAAATGCCAAAATTAGCTGGGCATGGTGGTGCACCCCTGTAATCCCAGCCCAGCTACTCTGGAGGCTGAGACAGGAGAATTGCTTGAACCTGGGAGGCAGAGGTTGCAGTGAGCCGAGCACTCCAGCCTGGGTGACAGAGCAAGACTCCATCTCAAAAAAAAAAACAAAAAAACAAAAAAAACAAAAACCAATAATAATGATGATGCCCCCACCACCTAGCTGTATGATCTGGGGAAGGGACTTCACCTCTCTGAGCCTTTGCTTTCTCATTTGTCAAATGGAGTTGGTAATAATGTTATTAATTATAATACTACTACTCAGCATTTTACAGCCCTTTGGCTTTTTAATAAAAAGTTTTATTTCCTGACTTATGAGTAACATTTGCCCATTATAGGTAATTTGTAAAAATTTTAAGGGATAAGGCAGAAAATTAAACACTCTCATAACTCTACCAAATAGAACTAGTTGGCTCTATTTCCTGCTTGGATTTGATTCCCCCTGCCCTTTGATTTCTCAATACTTGGTCCATTTTTGCATTCACAGCCTAGAGGTAATGGGGGAATTCTTTTACCCTGATGGAGAAAAAGATTTCTGTGCAAAAAATTAAAAGTGCACCTCAAGCTTTGCTAACATGTCATTATGAGAGAACTCTCACTCTGGCCACAAAAAAGGACAAAGAGGTAGCTGTGCAAATGCGCAGAAGTGTATGCAAAACAAGAAGTACAGGCAAGGCCACAAGGGGACGACCTGTTTATCTGCCCATCTGCTTTCATGACAGAACTGCCTGCCACTGAGAGACATTGATACACATCCACTCCAGCTCATTAGCATTTTTCATCCAACCTTCCTCCTCTAGCAGTGATCACAGGTCACCGGGCCAGCACGGAACCAACCTACACAATACACCCCTGAAAAACAGCAGGCTAGTGACAGCGCTTTGAAGCTTATGCACCCGAAACAGCCAGCATGTCTCTCTTGCCTTTCCCATCAATGACTGACTTACACCAGGCAATCTGGGTAATAAGTAGGTGTCCAAGATCCTAAGTTCAAGAAACGTCACAAGAAGTTGGAAGAAAATGGGCACAGAGGTTAGGGTGGTGGTGGGGCAGCGAGAGAAGCGTTTTATAATTCATTAGAATGTTTCAGCCCCTCATCTTTAACCAAATAAATAAATAAATAATCACTGACTGCACTAGGCAAAAATGATAGCAAGAATGGAATAGGAGGCCGGGCACAGTGGCTCACGCCTGTAATCCCAGCACTTTGGGAGGCTGAGGCGGGCAGATCTCTTGAGGTCAGGAGTTCGAGACCAGCCTAGCTAACAAGGCAAAACCCCGTCTCTACTAAAAATACAAAATCAGCCCGGCATGGTGGTAGGTGCCTGTAATCCCAGCTCCTGGGAAGGCTGAGGCAGGGGAATTGCTTGAACCAGGGAGGCAGAAGCTGCAGTGAGCTGAGATTATGTCACTGCACTCCAGTCTAGGTGACAGAGGAAGACTCCATCTCAACAACAACAACAACAAAGAATGGAATAGAAATCTGAAAGCACCTAAGCAAAGTTTCAGATTTAGTAATGATAGTTATAGCTCCTGGCTGGGTGCGGTGGTTCACACCTGTAATTCCAGCACTTTGGGAGGCCAAGGTAAGAGGATCGTTTGAGCCCAGGAATTTGAGACCAGCCTAGGCAACGTAGTGAGACTGCATCTCTACAAAAATAGAAAAATCAGCTGGGCGTGGTAGCACATGCCTGTGGTCCCACTTACTCAGGAGGCTGAGGCAGGAGGATCAATTGAGCCAGGGAAGTTGAGGCTGCAGTGAGCTGTGACTGCACCACTGCACTCCAGTCTGGGTGACAGAACAAGACCCTGTCTCAAAAAAAAAAAAAAAGTTATAGCTGCTGTCTATTGGAAATCTACTGCATATTCGTCACTGTGCATTTCTTTTCTCTACTGAAACCTGTGAGCTGGTGCAGGACCCTGAAGCCAGATGGCCCCAGTTCTAGCCCTGGCTCCGCACCTTTCTAGCTTGGGAAACTGGGGAGCCTGCCTGTGCCTTAGTCTCTCAGACTATTAAACATGGGGATCATGACAGTGTCCATCTCCCAGGGCTACTGTGAGGTTTAAAGAGAGAACCCACATGAAATACTTAAATACCTGGCACGGAGGAGGTGGCCAAGGAATGGTTTTTTTGTTTTTTTGGTTTTGCTTTGTTTGTTTGTTTTGAGACAGGGTCTCACTCTGTCGCCCAGGCTGGAGTGCAGTGGTGTGATGTCAACTCACTGCAACCTCTGCCTCATGGCCTCTAGTGATCCTCCCACCTCAGCCTCCCAAGTAGCTGGGACTACAGGTGTGCACCACCACACCCGGCTAATTTTTGTATTTTTGTAGGGATGGGGTTTTGCCATGTTGACCAGGCTGGTCTTGAACTCCTGGGCTCAAGCGATCCTTCCATCTCCCAAAGTGTTGGGATTACAGGCGTGAGCTACCTCGCAGACCAAAGAATGTTAGCTGGTATTATTGCTCACAAGTCTGAGAAAAACAGGCTCAGGGGTTGCTGGAGCAGCTCGCCCAAGCCACCAGCTACAAAGTGTCAGAGCTGGGAGGAGTCCAGGGCCTCTGAGATCCCACGAGCTTCCCTCCACTCCAGACGGCCGCTCCTGCTCAGTGAAGACACCGTTGGCCAAGGCGCCCTCCTCCCCAGCCGCCAGTCTCTCCTGGTACCTGTTAGCTTCTCAGCAATGGGTTTGAACTCCTCAGGGCTGATGTACATATCCCCGTCAGTGTCCAAGGAGGAAAAGAGAAAAAGGCCATCTGTCCCCAGGGTCTTCAGCGCCAGTTCCTGCTTGGGAGGAGAGACTGGGCTGGGCACCATTTGGCGGCCTGGTCTCCTGGTCCCCAACAGGCAGTTGCTTCCGCATGGAGCCCCTTCTCCCACCATCTTCCTGAGCTCTCCCAGTGCCTCCCGGTCCATCTGTGCAAATGTTGCCTCTGAACTGCCCCAGAGCCTCCAGTCCCTCCTGGTCCCTGCTCATCCACTGTCTGGTCCGACTGCCCCCTCCCAGTTTGTCCCCACTCCGCCTTCCGCCTGGCCCTGGCTGCTTGGCCCTGTTCCTCCTGCACCTTCTGTCCTCTCCTGTGTCCCCTCCTCACTGTCCCAGGGCTCCCCAGTAACCCTTTAAGACTCTGCGGGAACCAGCTTCACTGTGTCCAGGTCACCCCTCTGGATAGAGACCCCTCCAGTCTGTCCCAGCCCCACACTGGCCTCCGTTCGCCTTCCCCCCATCAGCCCGGCCCCAGGCACCCCCCACCCGCCTCCCGTGTCCCCTCCTTCCCGTGCTCCCTCCCGTCCAGTCCCCCTCCGCCCTCCGCCTCCCCCGACTCGTCCATGCCCATGTCCCCCCTGCTGCCGAGGCTGGGTCCTTCAGTCCCCGCTCCCGCGCTCCCGCCCCAGCCAGCTCGGGCCCGGACCTGCCGCGCGGCCGCCTGGGCCTCGGCGTGGCGGGCGCAGACCCGGACGGCGGCGGCAGCGGCGGCGGCCAGCAGGGCTCCGAGCAGCGCCAGGGAACGGGCGCGGCGGCGCGGTGGCGCGGGAGGCTGCGCGGCGGGGCCGGGGCTGGGCGGCCCGCGTTGGCCCGGCCGGGCCCGGCCCATGGCTGCGGCTGGCGGCGGCTGCCGGCGGCCCGGGAAGCGAAAGAGCGGGGCGGGGCCGGGGGCGGGGCGGCCGGGGCGGGGAGGGGCGGGGCGGCCGCAGGGGCTGGGCGGGGGGTCGCTGGTTCCCGGCTTCGCAGCCCGGCCAGAGCCCGGGGCGGGGTCAGCTACACCGGAACGCCAAGAGGGGCTGATCGCGTCTATGCGGTCGGGTCCGTAGTCCCGGCCACCCCAGCCTCCCCAGGCCGCTTCCTGCCTCTCCGCGCCCCTTCCCGTGCTTCCGTTCCCAAAGCTAAGCCAGGCCTCTGCGGCCCACTTGCCTGGCCCAGCCCAGAGAGCGATTCCAGACTGGGGACTGGGACAAAGAAGGGGCTGGGGAGAAGCCACACACCCTGTGCTTTCCTGGAGAAGGGGCGTCGGGGGCCTCTGAGGCCTCGTGTCCTCCTCTGCTGGCAGCCGGGCACGAGGCCAGAGACTGCTGAGGGGCATCCGTCCATCCTTATCCCACCAGTTTTCTAAAAGTTCCTCTGTCATCTAGAGCAAGACAAATTAAAAAGAAAGCCCAGCCCCTGTTCCCCTCATGTGCAGTTGGGGGGCCACCTCCGCAGATGCATGGGTTATGGGGATTGGCCTTGTTCCAGGCACAGCAGGTGCAGCTCTGAACCTGCACTTCCCTGGGCCCAAATTTCCTCATCTCCACCAAGGAGTTAAAAGAGCCCCCCAACCCCCACCCTCCGGGCTCTGGTCTGGTGAGGGGAAGGCGAGGCTCCAGCCCCTCAGCAGCTGGAGCTACCAGAGGCCCTGGCTTTTCTGGAGAACAGCATGCGGCATGCTTGGAGGAGGGCCTTGGAAATAGGGGTGGGTGGTGTTGAGGACATATTTTCATGCCTGTCAATCCCCAGGACCTTGGTTCCTTGGGGCTCTCTTCCATTCTTTCAAAGCCCCCAGTTACCATGGGGTGGCTCTAGATGTCTCTACCTGCATTTTCTCAGGCGAGGGTGGCAGCTGCAGAAGCCTCTAGACAAGAATTCTGAGCCCAGAGGTGAGCAGTGCCTGCCTTTGCAGAGCCCCACCAACCCCCCCAGCGCAGGGGCACCTGTCAGGCCTGAGGGATCCAAAGGATGCTGAGCTCTGCCCATGTGCTGGACTTCAGGTGGGGTGATTTACACATTCTCTCACTCTGTTCTCAAGCCACCTTGTGAGGTAGAGACTGCTTCCCTGGTTTTCAAATGAAGAAGCCTGACCTCTGGCACCCAGGTCTATGGGTCCAAATCTCCTGCCATCCTGCCTCCCAGGCTTCCCACGGGATGACCCGGTCGACTGAGTTGGGGGTGGGGTCCTGCCTCCACTGCCCATCCTGTTCTTCTTTGGTGGCCAGCCATGGCAGCACCAGGTGAGGCCTTCCCAGAGCCCACACAGGGCGTGGCACATCGTGGGCACTCCTCAGTGTCTGTCAGATGAATGACTCCCAGGGACCTTCCAGAGTTGTGGGCCCACCCAACCCTTGCCCTGTGCTCTGGCCCCAGTGTCCTTAGAGGGACCCACTGAGAGCCTGACATCTGGCGTTGGCTTCTGAAGGCTTCCAACTGTGCCACTTTCAACTCATTATTGCTACTGTTTGGGGACACCCTGTGTACGATACATGATACTAGAAAACCAAATTCTATTCTATTGGAAGCAAAACTAGTAGAGCACAAAGCAGGTTAGGAGGGGAAGATTGATGAGCTAAGGCTTCTGGAAAATAAACAAAGGAAGTTTTCTTTCCCAGATAACTTTTATTTATTACACTTGCTTTTTCTTAAAGATACAGATACCCCACTGGTCTCTGCTGCCCAGTGCTGAAGAAATGGGTTTCTGGGGCTTGCGGGACTTGGGGGATGATTCTAGAAGCTCGGGAAGGCGCACAGTGGGGGTGGGTTAATGACAATCAGGTCAGATCAGTGTGCCTCTGTGAAAAGGATCAATCTTGGGCCCAGCTCTGGGAGATGTCAGCTCTGGGAGGTGTCAGCTCTGGGACTGGCAGTGGAGCAGGGCTGGTTTCCCACTGGAGGGCGCCCTTCCCAGAAGGGCTTGTCCCAAACCAAGATCCCCGGCAGGGCAAGGCCGTGAGAGATAGGGCCTAGTGGGTGGTTCTGGCTGGGGCAGCCCTGCAGGATCTCTTTGGCACCTTGCTATTGCCTCCCAGTGGGCAAGGGTGACACTTGGGAACTGGCAGCCAATGGGAACCACAGCAAGGTGAGTGACGCACTGGCCACGTCCATGAGGGTCTCGGAGGTTAGTGGGCACTCGCTCATTCATCCTTCCAACACATGTATTGAAGGGCTACTATGCCGTGTCCTGGCGATTGGGTGTCCATCAGAAAACAAAACAGTCTCTGCTCTTCCAGATGAGTCAATGGATACTGCAACCCTCCTCTCGAGGGGTAAGTGCTCTGAGAGGGGTGTGCACAGAGGAGGGTCCCCCTGACTATCAGGAGGGCTCAGAAGAGGCTTCCCAGAGCAGAGGTCTGGCCAGACCTTGACTTCAGGAGCTCACCAGGCATAGCACCCAGGAAGATCATTCCAGAGGGTGGGAACAGCAGAGGTGAAGGCCCAGTGATGTGAAACTCGATGGAGTATCCGTAGCGTCTCGAGAATATAGTCCAGTGGATTTGAGCAGAGGGACCCGGGGGGGAAGTGTGAAGAGGGAGGAGGAGGAGGCAGGAAGGTTGGGCTGGCACGCTGGCCAGCTTGTGAAAAGCCTGGACTTTACCACTGAGACAATGTGGAGGCATCAGAAGAGAGGGACATTCAGCCACTGCAGCACCCTTCAGACTCCCTACTGGGTCCCAGCTTCTGCCTGGGGGCACCCACACCCACCTCCCTGCGCAGAGGGTGTTGGTGTAAGCACTCCAGGCCACTCCATCCACCCATGAGAAGAGGAGGGAGCCTGACCTGCCTGCAGCCACATTTAAGTAGGGGCAGGGTCACTGCCTCGAATCCTGGTGTCTCTCTCTCTCTCCTACACACACACACACCCCTGATGTGTGTGTGTCTCTCTCTCTTTCTCTCTCCTACACACACACACACACGCGCGCACACACACGCGCGCACACACACACGCACACGCGCGCGCGCGCACACACACACACACACACATCCCTGCCTGCCTCCTAGTAGCATCCTCTCTTCTGCTTCCTGTCTCTTTGGGGTAAACTCACCAGGAAAGGCCTTCTTCCCGCAGGGGGCGCTGCTGCCCTCCAGGGAATCAAATCAAATTAGGATTTTCCATTCCAGTTTCACCGGCGACAGTGAGCCAGGAAGAGGGCCATTTGGCTTTGTTTTTTGTGTTTCTTCTCTTCATCTGGGACCCTAGAGAGGCAAGTGATTTTCCCCAAACCCAACCCTAACATCTTGGCAGCCAATAATAGGACCAACATTTGAGAACAAAGGATCACTTGGGGGAAACAGGTGCCACTGCAGGAGTTGCTTAAGCATGCCCGGACCACGTGGGCCTCTCCGCAAACTAAATACCTGCTGTGTGCCAGGGACTGTTCTCAGCCCTGGGAACACAGTATTATAGAAGACGGGCAAGGCACTTCCTCTGTGGGGGCTGAATATTCTACTCGGAGGAAGGAAATGACAGACACACAAGGTAATTTCAGAGAAAGGTAAGTGTGAAGGAGTGAGACAGGGCACTGTGGCACAGTGCCACAGGCAGGCATCAGCACCGTAGCTGGGAGGTGACACATACACTGCGCCTGGAACGGGAAGAAGCAGCCAGCTATGAGAAGAATCGAGGAAGGAGCGTCCCAGGCACGGAGAAGAGGGGAGAGCCGGTGCAAAGGCCTGGGGTGGAAACAAGCTTGGTATGTCCAGGAGACACACAGAAGGCAGAGTGAGTTATGGGAAGAGAAAAGCTTGGTGACAGAGGCTGGGACAGGACGTCGGAATCTTGCAGGCCTCGGCAACAAACTTCATTCAATTTATTTATTGAGACAGGGTCTCACTCTGTCCCCCAGGCTGCAGTGCAGTGGCACGATCTCAGTTCACTGCAACGTTGAACTCCTGGGCTCAAAGCATCCTTCCACCCCAGACTATCAAGTAGCTGGGACCACAGGTGTGAGTCACGGCACTTGGTCAAACTTCATTCTAGATATGATGTGAAACCATTATAAGGTGTTAAGCAGGGTGGTGACAATGTGTGACTTGGTTTTTTGTTAGTTTGTTTGTTTTTGAGATGGAATCTTGCTCTTGTCGCTCAGGCTGGAGTGTAGTGGCGCGATCTAGGCTCACTGAAACCTCCGCCTCCCGGATTCAAGCAATTCTCCTGCCTCAGCCTCCAGAGTAGCTGGGATTACAGGTGCCGGCCACCGAGCCTGGCTACTTTTTGTATTTTTAGTAGAGACAGGGTTTCACCATATTGGCCAAGCTGGGCTCAAACTCCTGACCTCAAGTGATCCGCCTACCTCGGCCTCCCAAAGTGCTGGGATTACAGGAGTGAGCCACCGCACTCGGCTGGTGACTTGTTTTTTAAAAGACCTTTCTCATAGCCCAGATGCAGAAACAACCCAAATTTCCAGCAATGAATGGATAAACAATGCGGTGTATCCATTTGATAAGTATTAGTGGGCAATAATAAACCTTAGCAACTTTAAGCTGGGTGGAAAAAGCCAAACACAAAGACCACGGCTTGTGTGATTCATTCAGTGAAATGTCCAGAATCCACAGATCCAGAGAGACAGAAACTAAATTAGCAGTTGCCTGGGGCTATAGTGGGAGACCGGGAGGAGGGGGCTGGGGAGTAACTGCTAATGGGTACAAAGTTTCTTCTGGGGTGATAAAATGTTCTAAAATTAGATTATAATGATGCTTGCACAATTCTGTGATATACTAAAAAAACATGAATTGTCCATCTTTGAAGTGGGTGGATTTTATGGCATGTAAATGATATCCCAGTAAAGCCTCTTGGTTTTGATGTTTGTTTAAAGATCTTTCTGGTTTCTGGGTAGAGAATAGAGTTAGGGGATGGACAGAGGAAGGAGGGAGACAGGAGGCTAATGCAGTCGCCCAGACATAAGATGGCAGGGATTGGGCAGGCGTGGACAAGATATATGAGTGTAGCAGAGCCACAGACAGGATTTGCGGATGGGTCAGAAGTGGACGGCAAGAGGAAAGACCAGCATCAGCCATGGGTTGAGCTTGGGTAGCTGGTGGCACCATCCTGAGATGAGGCACCCTGGAGGGACCCCGGCTGGGGAGAAGGCTTGGTCCAGTCTGCCAGGTTAAGATGCCTGAGAGCTGGCTGGGCGTGGTGGCTCACGCCTATAATCCCAGCACTTTGGGATGCTGGGGTGGGCGGATCATGAGGTCAGGAGGTCGAGACCATCCTGGCCAACATGGTGAAACCCCATCTTTACTAAAAATACAAAAAATTAGCTGGGCGTGGTGGCGCACGCCTGTAGTCCCAGCTACTCGGGAGGCTGAGGCAGGAGAATCGCTTGAACCTGGAAGGCTGAGGTTGCAGTGAGCCAAGATCACACCACTGCACTCCAGCCTGGTGATAGAGGGAGACTCCAGCTCAAAAAAAAAAAAAAAGATGCCTGAGAGTCACCCTCACGGAGGTGTCAAGGAGGCAGTTGTGTGTGTATGACTATGGGGCTATGAACGGTAGGGAAGGGGGGCGTGGATTATAAATCTGGGAGTTGCCAGTCTAAAAATGGCACTTAAAGCCACAAGATTCAATGAGATCATTGAAGAGAGAGAAGAGAAGCCGCCTTTGGCCTATGTGGCCACAGATGCCGCCGTGTCTTGGAATGTTGAGTGGCTTTGGCTGGATTTACAGGCATGGAGCTGTGGCTGTGATTAGCCAAAAAATAGATTAACGTTAGAGGTCATGACAGGCTTGGCTTGGCTCTCGTACTGTCCAGGCTGGGAGAGAGATTTGTTTCCCGGGGTCAGTAAATGCCCCCGGGACTTTGCCAGATGGACAGATTTAGTCTCAGCATCACGAGTGCAGAGGTCCTGGTTACCCAGCCTGGCTGCCCACTAGTCACCTGGGGCCTTTGAAGGAGACCAATGCTTGGGGCCAACCCCCAGTTGGTTGGGGGAAAGAGGGACATTTTTACCAGCTCTCCAGTGATTTTGAGGGAGAAAATGTAAAGACGGCCAAGTTCCACACACAAGCCACAAAAAAGAGTTTGACATTCGGGGCCTTTCCAACGGTGAGTGTCAGGCACAGGCAGATGGTACCGGATGATCTGGCCTGAATTCTGTTCCACTTGTCTTGTGTGTTTTGAACTGGGTCCAGGGCCAAGGAGGGAACCGTGCTGGGGGGTCAGCCACCCTGGTCTGCTCAGGACTGACACTGATGGAGCACCGAGGATGTGGGATATTCGGTCCTACAAGCAAGAAAGCCCTAACTGGGATGAGCTAGTCACCCAAACAAGGGAGAGGCATAGCTCAGCTTGCATCTGAGAGGCTTTATTTCATCATCTCTGATCTTGGTTGTGCACTTCAGAGGTTTTTTTTTTTTTTACCACAAATGGGTACAAGAGGGCTTCATAATGACCAGACAAGAAAGTGTGAGCATCCTTATTAGACAGGAGCTAAGTGGTTATAAGTTGTATCATATAAATTAAGACAGAAAATGCAGAGGATTTTTTTTTTTTTTTGAGACAAGGTCTCACTGTCACCCTGGCTGGAGTACAGTGGTGCAACTTCAGCTCACTGCAATCTCTGCCTCCCAGGCTCAACTGATCCTCTTACCTCTGCCTCCTGGGCTCAAGAGAGCCTCCCACCTCAGCCTCCCGAGTAGCTGGGATTACAGGCGCCTGCCACCACACCCGGCTAATTTTTGTATGTTTAGTAGAGATGGGGTTTCACCATGTTGGCCAGGCTGGTCTCTAACTCCTGACCTCAGGTGATCCGCCCACCTCGGCCTCCGAAAGTGCTGGGATTATGGTTGTGAGCCACTATACCCAGCCTATTTTATTTTGAGATGGGGTCTCACTCTGTTGCCCTGGCTGCAGTGCTATGGCATGATCATAGCTCACTGCAGCCTTGAACTCCTGGCCTCAAGCCAGCCTCCCGCCTTGACCTCCCAAAGTGCTGGGATTACAGGTGTGAGCCACTATACCCAGCCTCAGTGGAATGTTTATAATGCAAAAAACCATGAAAAGAATGAAATGTCTGTGCCTGAAATTAGGTGATGGTGAAAGAGGTCCACATAGGGTTTGCTCTGGGGATGGCAGGTATTGACTAGAAGCAGCACATGCAAGCCTTCTGGGTGCTGGAATAGTCTTGATCTTGACTGGGGAGGTGGTCATATGAGCGTGCATATAGGTCAACATTCCTTGAGCTGGTCATTTAAGAATAGTGCGTTTTAGGCTGGGTGCAATGGCTCACGCCTGTAATCCCGACACTTTGGGAGGCTGAGGCGGGTGGATCACCTGAGGTCAGGAGTTCAAGAACAACCTGGCTAACATGGTGAAACCCCGTTTCTACCAAAAATACAAAAATTAGCCGGGTGTGGTCCTGTAGTCCCAGCTACTCGGGAGGCTGAAGCATGAGAATCGCTTAAACCTGGGAGGCGGAATTTGCAGTGAGCTGAGATTGCGCCATTGCACGCCAGCCTGGGCGACAGAGTGACATCGTGTCTCAAAAAAAAAAAAAAAAAAAAAAGAATAGTGCATTTTACACATTACTGTATCTACATTATATCTCAAAAAAAATTTTTTTTTAAAGTTTCACTTAAAAACTCAAGGAGAAATAGGACTGGTTTAAAACACTAGAGCCACGGAAAATTAAAGCACAACAAAGGCTTAACACCGGAGCCATGGAAAACAGTAGTATTTTATTTTATTATTTTATTTTATATTTTATTTTATTTGAGACAGGGTCTCACTCTGTTGCCCAGGCTGGGCTTGCTAGGGCACAGTCATAGCTCACTGCAGCCTTGGACTCCTGGCCTCAAGTGAACTGCCTTGAAACACCGGTTTGAAACACTGGAGCTTTGGAAAATTACAGCATGATGAAGGCAGACATGCTGACTGGGCTGGAGGAAAGGAGTGATTTCTCAGGAGACAGCTGGGACACGTGGACACAGATGAAAGGGAAGAGGAGGCAGATAGTTCCTGACTGCTCCAAAGATAGGCTAAGGGGATCGGGAGATATTAGGGATCCAAATGGCTCCATGACCCCTGGGAGGACCTTGAGAGCTATAGTTGGTGGCACCAGTCAAGGCTGTGGGGTGGTCCCTTGGTGATCAGGTGAGCTGTGGACAGGGAAGGTGTCCAGACCACATGGTGATCATAGGTGGGGAACCGTGTGGAGTCAGGACCCTTCAGGAAGCACACGGAGAATGACACAGCAGAAGGTGACCCAGCCAGGCAGACTTAGTTAGAACCTGGGCAGGTGCGGAGCACTCAGTGTCCTGCTTGGAATTACCCATGGAGGAGGGGTGAAGGTAGACAATGTTATGTTTCAGCAATATGTGCTTTTGAGAGACCCAGAACTCCCTGACTTCATACCTGCCACAAATCCTGAAGGTTTCAAAGAAGAATGAAAAGAAGGCCCCAGGCCCCACAAACAGCCTCCGTTGGCGCATGTGCGAGAGAAGGAGCCGGGCCACCTTGGGAAGCAGCTTCCATTTTTTAAAAGCGCAGCTGGGCCCGCTTGAAAGGAGTGGTAGAAACAGAGGGGGCAGCAGCCTGGAGGCTTGATCCACGGCTACAGGGAAGAAGGGTCAGAGGAAAGGTTTCTGGTGCCCTTGAAGTCTCCCAGGCTCCTCAAAACCCAGGGAGTAAAAAAGCAGAGGAGAGGTCATGCACACAGGGCAGAGGGCACTCGGGCCTCGCGGCACTCCTGGGGCACAGGCTTCAGAAGCTTCCGCTTAGGAATCTGAGAATGGTTTTCCACTGAGACAGATGTGAGAGGAAAAAGAATTCCTAGGTCTCTCCACTCAGAAGTCGGAGGAAACTTTCAGAAATGTAAAGTGGGTCATCTCATGTGCTGCTTTAAACTCTTCCTAGCTTCTTGCTGCTCTCAGATTAAAATTAAACTCTGTCTTAGTCCATTTTATGTCGCTATAACAGAAAACCACATACTGGATAATTTATAAAGAAAGGAATGTATTTCTAGAGGCTGGGAAATCCAAGGTTGGGGGCCTGCATCTGGCAAGGGCCTTCGTGCTGCGTCCACTTGTGGCCAGAGGCAGAAGGGCAGAAGAGTGCCAGAGAGCAAGCAAGCAAGCAAGCAAGCAAGCGAGGGCTGAATCGGCTTTCAGAACAACCCACGTTAATGCATTCACAAGGGCAGAGCCCTCATGGTCTAATTACCTCTTAACAAGCCAGGTTCCACTTCTTAACACCATCCAAAGGCAATTGCATTTCGACATGAGTTTTGGAGGGGACATTCAAACCACAGCAAGTACTTACCTGCCCACCAGGCACTGAGGGATGGAACCCCTTCTGCCGACTTCCTTTGACCCCCCAGACCCTCCCACTCGCTTACTGCCTTTCTGTGTCTCAGATGCAACAACACTTCCTGCCTCTGAGCCTTTGCATTCACTGTTCCCTCTGCCTGGAATGCTCTTTGCACAGCCTGTCACAAATGTCAGCTCCCCAGGGGCCATCCCTGACCTCTCCATCTCTAGTGATCTCCGTGCGAACTCAATTCCTGGAGAAGGTGGTCCATGCAGGTCCTAAGACCTGGGAAAGCCACAGTTGAAATTTTGTAACTTGTGCAAGACGATGGAATTATCCCTGAAGGTCTCTCTCTTTGAGAAGTGGCCCAGAGGGGTATGGCGCTGGCCCACATCTTCTCCGTTCTCTGCTGTTTACACTCTGTCCTTGCTCTGGTCCCTGGATGGCGAGGACATCGTGGATCTGGGTTATCTGGGTTCTGGGAGCATGATTTTGCTAGGATAACTGCCAGAGGAAAAGGAGTGTGCTGGTATTTTCTAACCTCGGGCAGCTGCTGGGAATCTCATCTCTATTGAGTCAGACTTTGGAAGAGCAGATGCTCCAGAAATTTGGGCTAGGGTTAATTCAACAGTGGAGAAGGTGAAAGTACGACATCAGCAATGTAGGAGTTGACCCAGGAGGTGGCTAGGGCTGCAGAGCCTGACCCTGGAGCAAGCCTGTTAGGGCCTCAGTTCCCTCCTCTATAAATGGGGGTGCCATCTTTTCCTGCCCATCTCCCTTCCAAAGTTTTGTAGACAGGATTTATCAGGTACTCCATGAAGAGGAAACACTAATTGGACCTCAAACATTCCTGGGCAAGCTCTCGGCATCTTCCTCAGCCCTGGGCCCCTGCCCGAGCATCCCCCACCACCAGACGGGTCCCTGGAAGACCTTGGACAGTCAACAAATCTTCATCCCAGTTTCCCAATTTCTGTAGATTCAGGGCTAGCTAATGGCAAAATGCTTCCTCAATGGGAAAAGCAGAAAACGTTCAGATTTATTGCTTTGAGATTTTGGTCTGTCTCCTGGGCCTGGTTGATGCGGTTTCCCCCAAGTTTCAGAGCATTTTGTTTAAAAAGAAGAATTTTTGACAGCAGTGTTTTGCCTCACATTTACACAAGGTTTTATAGTTTACAAAGAGGTTCACATCATAACAATCACTGCTAGGATGCACTGAGTTCTTACAAGGGGTGGGGTGGGGAGGCTCGATTAACCCTTGAAAGCACTTTCCTTTTCCATGGATGGAAAAGCAGAGGCTCAGAGGAGCTTAACTAAGGGGCTTGCCCAAGGCCACACAGTCCTGGAAAAGGGCAGGGCAGAGCTGAACACAGGTCCACCAGTTTCAAATGTTGTGCTTGTATGAAACCGACATGGGTTGTCCTCTCCTGTCGCACCCCTCTGCCTCTCTTGCCTTCAGCCTACCCACTGCATGCCCTGCTGCAGACAGTGAGTAAGAAAACACAAAACAAAACAAAACCAAACTCAGAGGCTTGTGCAGAAAACAGGCTGGGATGAGTATAAAAATAACCAGGTATGTTCAAGGGAATCCTTGAGTCCCTAAACAATGTATTTTCTGCTAACATGATTTATGTAGTGGTGCAGGTGATGGAGGTCTTTGCAGCACCAACAGGGTAGTTGCTTTCTGAGTTCTAATTCTGCACTGTCCAAAACAGCAGCCAGCAGCAATGCATAGCTCTTTAAATTTAATTAAAATGAAATGAAATTGGCCAGGCGCGGTGGCTCACGCCTGTAATCCCAGCACTTTGGGAGGCTGAGACGGGTAAATCACAAGGTCAGGAGTTCAAGACCAGCCTGGCCAAGATGCTGAAACCCTGTCTCTACTAAAAATACAAAAATTAGCCTGGAGTGGTGGCATGCACCTGTAATCCCAGCTACTTGGAAGGCTGAGGCAGGAGAATTGCTTGAACCCGGGTGCCAGAGGTTGCAGTGAGCCGAGATCAAGCCACTGCACTCCAGCCTGGGCGACAGAGCAAGACTTCGTCTCAAAAAAAAAAAAAAAAATTAGCTGGGTGTGGTGGCGCACGCCTATAGTCCCAGCTACTCGGGAGGCTGAGGCAGGAGAATTGCTTGAACTCAGGAGGCAGAGGTTGCAGTGAGCCGAGATCGCGCCACTGCACTCCAGCCTGGTGACAGAACGAGACTCTGGTCAATTAAAAAAAAAAAAAAGGAAATAAAATTAAAAGTTTAGTTCCTCCATTGCACTTGCCACATTTTAAGTATTCCAGATCCACATGGGGTGACCCTATTGGACGCCACTGTTCTAAGCCACCAGCAGCCTGCTCCTGTCTTATCCTGGCTGTCCTGAAGAATGGAGAGCTGTTGACATAGGTGGCAGGCACACACCTGTTTTAAGGTAGGTCGCTTTGCAGTCAAGGTATCTATAGATGCTATCCTAATACCTGAGCCCCTCTACTCCACTCTGGAGCAGTTACAGCTCCAGGGATGCAAATAAAAGGCAGAAACCAAGGCAGTGGCCACCAACTGGGGTCTTGCTACTCAAAGTGTGGTCCAAGGACTGGCAGCATCAGCATCTCCCGGGAGCTTGTTAGAGAAAAGCAGAATCTGGCTGGGCACAGTGGCTCATGCCTGCCATCCTAGCACTTTGGAAAGCTGAGGCGGAAGGATAGCCTGAGCCCAGGATTCTGAGACCAACCTGAGAAATGTAGCGACAAAAAAAAAATTAGCTGGATGTGGCGGCACACCTGTAGTTTCAGCTATTCAGGAGGCTAGGTGGAAGGACTGCTTGAGCCCTGCAGATGGAGGTTGCAGTGAGCTATGATGGCCCCACTGAACTCCAGCCTGGGTGACAGAATAAGACCCTGTGTCAGGAAAAAAAAAAAAAAAGGCAGAATCTCAGGCTCCATGCCAGAGCCGCTGAACATGAACCTGGATTTTAACAAGCTCCCAGGTGATTCCTGTGCACGTTTGAGAAGCTCTGACTTAAGAGACAGGCTGAGCAGGAACAAAACAGTGCTCCAAATATAGGAAACCAAACTGATATTTTCAGATACAAAAAATAGAATCAGCCCCCTTCCTCCAGTAGGGTGTAATTAAGCATTAGTCACAGAGGGCCGAGCATCTTTGTGCCACATGACCAATGACCATACTTCCAAGGACAGGCCCCCAGGGGAAACGCTGGGGGAAGCTGGCCCATTCATCTCTAGCACTTTCTCAAACCACAGTGGGGTCACCTCCTCAAAGCAGAGGGAACGGAACTGAGCATCCATCTTGGATGCTGCCTTTAAATCAGATTTTCCATTTTTGCTTTTCTTCCCAATGCATTTGGCTGGTCTGACCAAATAGCCAGTCATTTAAAGGGAGGCACCTAGAAAAGGACTGTGCCCTGCTCGTCCCCCTTCCCGGGGCCTTGAGGCTCTGCAGACCTCAGTGCCAGGAGCTGGGTGTTGATGAAGCTTTCTGGGAAGGAGCTGACATCACACCCTTCTATGAGGGAAGCAGGTGCAAATGGTGCTTCCATCCTCAGCGAGGGCGCAGATGAGGCTTAAAATGAGCTTGGCAGCCACAGGCTGACCCCCAGCTGGGGAAGGAGAGGGCTGCTTCAGGGAGAGGTTTGGGTGTTCAGATTCTGTGGCTTGCAAAGCTCTCTCCTACCTTCAGTGAGAGGTTTGGGTGTTCAGATTCTGTGGCTTGCAAAGCTCTCTCCTACCTTCAGTGAGGATGAGTCATCCCTTAATTCCTCTCTCCTCTCGGCCTGTCTTGAGTCGTACTTATTTTTATCCGTGGAATGGAGTTAAGTTGCCAAAAGGATGATATTTCTCCACCTGCAAGGGCCCTCCTGGAGGATACATTTTAAAATATTCATTTTTACAATTTCCTCCCAGCAATACAGCAGAGGACAGGAGAGGAGAGGTAGACAGCCGCACGGGCCTGGCGGGGGAGCCTGGGGCTTGGGGAACTGCAAAGTGGCTTTGAGACAGAGAGACATTCTAGAAGTTATTCTGAGGACATAATTGGACAAAAGTGAAAAGGAGGATGGTTAAGTATGCTCTTCATAACTCTCTGTATAATACTGAAGAAATCAAAGCTAACTGTAAACAGTCCTGCTGTTTTTGCCTGTGCAGCCTGCAGATCCCTTATTTTGGTGATGAATCTCATGTTTTTCTCTAGGGAACAGCCCAACACCCATTGCACAGGGTAATCTTAGGGGGTCTGCCAAGCCAAGATGCCTGGCTCTGCCCTTGGCTGGGGCGGGCATGTGACCCAGGCCAGGCCACATGGAAAGGAGCCACAGCAGGATCTGGAAACATTTGGATTCAGCCCTCCTGATGGTGGTGCCTAGAGAGGCTTCCCTGGTTCTTGAAGGGGTCCCTGGCCAAGTCCTCTTTCTAGCCCTTATTGAGGTTTGGCTGTTTACTCCTTCCTGAGATTCCATAAGCCACCCCATGGCATTTCAGTAAATCCCTTTCTGTGCTTAAGTTGACAGAGTTGGTTTCTGTGATTTGTAACTAAAATCCCAGATGGACACAAACCCAAATGCCTGGCAACAGGGGCTTAGATCAGCAAAGTAGGCTACAGCACACAATGGAATACTCCACAAGCACGTACAGCGATGAGATAAACATGTATTTGTTGACATGGAAAGAGGTTCACAATGTACAGTTAAGTGCAAAAGCAGATTATAAGAAAACAGTGTGCATAGTAGGATACCACGGTGGCAAAATCTATATTCTATATATTCATAGAAAAAGGCCTAGAAGAAAATATAACAGTATTCACCCCAGAGAGTGGGATGGCCAATGAGTCTTCTTTCTGCTTCTATTTTCTAATCTTTCTACAATGTTTGTGTAGTCAGTTTTCCTGGTTTGCTTTTTTTTTTTTTTTTTTTTGAGCACAGGTGGGTCATGGGAGTCACGCTCTCATGCTGCCTGTCAAGAGCATGGTACTTGCTACAGGGGCTACTCCCCAGCAGCTCTGCTTAAGAAGATTCTGGGAATGTCTTGAGTCTCCAGAACAAGGAACAAGCACTTCCTGTGCCCAGGGAACCAGCAGCTTCCCACTTCTTCTCACAGCAACCTTGTGGGGTTGAGGTTTTCTGTCTGCTTGATGGAAAAGAAGAGCCCAGAGAGGGGAGGTACCTGCCTAAGTTCACACAGCAGGGATTTAAAGCCGGGTCACCTGGCCCAGAGCCCCGGGGGCTATTAAAGCTTATGAACAGAGCAAGCAGCTGAGCCCAGGGAAGGGCTCAACATTCTCCCGTGATTTCCGCTGTGTTGACAAGCTGCAAATGTGCCAGGAAAGGACTGGGTGTGGTGGCTCATGCCTGTAATCCCCGCACTTTGGGAGGCTGAGGTGGGCGGATCACCTGAGCTCAGGAGTTCAAGACCAGCCTAGGCAACATGGCAAAACCTCGTCTTTACTAAAAATACAAAAAATTAGCCGGGTGTGGTGACGCACCCTGCTACTGGGGAAGCTGAGGCAGGAGAACTGCTTGAACCCAGGAGGTGGAGGTTGCAGTGAGCCAAGATTGCACCACTGCACTCCAGCCTGGGCGACTGAACGAGACTCTGGGTCTCAAAAAAAAAAAAGGGTCAGGGGAGGAAGAGCTGTCACTTCAGTGTTAGGACCTGAGCTCCTTGCTCTGCACAACAGCCCCAGTGTTTCAGGCCCCCTCCCAGGGAGGGCATCAGGGAGGGTGGGAAAGGGGGCTGGGTTATGGGAAGTTCATTCTTCTGCCAGATAGTCTTTCGGCTGCTCCTTTTTATCTTCTGGGTCTTGGCTTGAAGGTCACCTGCCCAGAGAGGCCCTCCCTGACCCCGTAGGGTAGGTCCTCAGCTGTCTATCTATCTCCTTTGTAGCATTTCCTATGACCTGCAGTCACTTCACTTACTTGTCAGTTTCCCTTACCATCGCTTTCTCCCCTCTTGACCCCTTGACTGCAGGGCTTATGACTGTCTCACTCTCAGCGGTGTCCCTGGCCTCTAGCCCAGTGTCTGGTCCGTTGCAGGCACTCACCAAGCATCTGCTGAATGATGGAACAGACGGACACTCAACTGGGGTGGCCAGGAGACGGCAGGGGCGAGACTCTCCTTTGCCTTTTTTGGGCTGTGTGACCTCAGGCAAGTTGCTGCTCCTCCCTGGGCCTCTTCCCAATCTAAACCTGAGTATAAATAAACAACTGCATCTGAAGGGCTGGCCTCATGCTTCTCGAATATATCAGGACCGATTTCAGGGGAGGTAATAGAAGTTGGAATCGTTTACTAAATTATACCTTAAATCAACTGCTGGCTGATTATTATTTCTGATGGTAACATTGCAATGGTTTTTCTAGGAGTCACTGATGTGCAATGAGCCCAATCATATTTCTTATTCAATAAACTCTTTTATTCTAGTCCACAGATTTTTCCATTACAATAATAATGAAAATAGCACTAGTAATTTGTAACACTGAGGCCCAAAGGGAAACCCCTCCTCAAATTATAAGGTAAATGACACAAAGTTGAACATAGGGTCAGTGTTGGGCAAAAAGCATTTAAAATATAGATAACGGGGTCAAGATTTTGTGTGTGTGCAAACACTGGGTTTTGTTTTTCAGGATGACACCATTTTAGAAAGTGCATGATTTTGAAAACTATATGTGTAATTGTGACAAAACTAAACTGTAGAGAAAAGACAAAATCAAGCAAAAACAAAAACCAAGAAACCAAAAGGAAGCAAATCAAATACAAGGGGCGGATATGCAAACCTCCGGTCCTTTGGCCCTGGAATGGCAAGTGAGTGGGCTTCATAGAAATTCTCTGTAGAAAGGAATGTGTGGGCCAGTGTGGCCATGGCCCTGGCCTGACATCGCTGAGTCTCCAAGTCTTGTCTCCTCACAGAGGAAAAGAAGTTGCTTGTCCGACACATCTGCTGGGGGTCTGCCCGAGATGGGGCCTTCGTTCCCAATCCCTTTGAGAACAGTCTCAAATCCTGAAAAGGCAAGGCATCCCTGCGGCGGCCCCAGGGCGGCGGCAGGAGATGGGGTCAGTGTCTGCCCCAGGCTCTGCCGGAGCTGTCTGAGTGGTTCACCGGGAGTGGGTGGGCCTCGGTGTTGAACACCCAGTCTTCCAGGGAGAGCAAGTCATCTTCAGAGAACAGAAGATAGAGATACCTGTGCCCCACGCAGGGCAGGGAAGCAAGACACAGTCTGTCAGTGGCCTGGGGAAGAAGGGTGGGCCTGGGAACAAGTCTCAGGGCCTTTGTGATAGGCCTATGGTCAAGGTCTGGAGCCTTGCAACCCCAAAACTGTGGGCAGCAGGGTGGGGGTGCTAGTCCTGGGGAAGGAGGCTGTGGCTGCAGAGAAAAGCCTTGAGCTTTGGGGTCAGAAGGACTTAGTTTACCCTGGCTCTGCCATCAGCCAGCTTCACCTGCCCGGCCCTGTATGTGAGCCCTTATGGTCCAGATTCTCTGCAGGGGTGCCTGAGGGCTGCTGCAGTCCAGTTGACTCTCACGTGCCCCGCTGCTGCCCACTAAGACTCTATATTCAGAGTACACATTGGGGCACTGAGAAGAACATGGGGTTGTGACTCTAGAACTCCAGCTTCCAGGTTGTGGGTTTTTTCCTCACTGGAAGGAACTGATCATTCTGACCCACCCTAAAGGGTTAAAGCACAAGGGGCTTGCTTTGGGGAACAGTGAGGAAGTGGGATGGCCAACTTCCATGGCATGAAATCGAGGAGGGCACAGCAGCCACACTGCAGAGGCCACAGGAGGGAAAGTCAATGCCAGCAACCAGCACTGACATCATCATCGTTAACCCTATCCCATTTTACACACGAGGACGCGGTTCCCAGAACGGAAGCAACCTGGGGAGATAAGCGAGAAACTGAAGGAACCTGCGGTATCACACGGTGCGTCCCTAGGGAACTTGGATTCTAGCCCAGTCTCACTCTCCGAGAAAGCGGCCTGGCCCAAGGCTCACACCTGGGGTGCAGCCCTCTGGATCCCAAGCCCTTCACCCCTTTTGGGCTCCCGTCCTGTGACCACAGAACCTGACTGTGGAGGGGAGGGACTGCGGACCCCTACCCTCAACCTCCCACCTGTCCATCCCTAGGAAGAGCCCACACTGCTCACTTTAGTGTCTCCGCTAGAAAGAAGCTCTGCTGCTTGTTGTCGTGGTTGGGGGTGCTACTGTACACGTCTTGGATCCCAGAGAAACCGGCTTCTGTCCGACAGTATTTCTCCAAGGCCTGAGGAAGGGGAAGAGGAGGAGGAAAACAGCCTTAACACGGGACAGGAAAGGCCCCTCAAGACTTGTGCATGCCTGGCAGGCTGGAGCTAGAAGAAAGCAGACAGCACCCCCACCCCTTGGCTGGGGACTCCTGGCATTTGTGGGAACAGAAGGTCAAATTATTCTTTCGGGGTTTAGCCACCTGTCCCCAGGCTGGAGGGGCCACACTCCTTCCACCCACACCTCTGAGAGCTCTGGCCCGATGGGCTGCCTGTCCTGAGCTCTTCACCTGGTTTGAACTTAGAGGAAGCTTCTCTTTGTGTTTCAGGGGACTAGGCTGGTCTTACAGATTCACCCACAGTGGTAGGCAGAGGTGAAGAGAAGCCACGGGTGATGGCCATGGGCTGGGATTTGGGGACGGACTTGGTACTCCAGGGATTCTCAGGAGAGATGGCCCCTGGGCTGGAGGCAAGTGAGCCAAGCCATTCATCTTTCTATATAAATGCATTTTTTTTTCTTGAGACAAGGTCTCATTTTGTCGCCCAGGCTGGAGGGCAGTGGGGCGATCAGAGCTCACTCTGCAGCTTCAACCTCTGCAGTTCGAGCAATCCTCTTGCCTCAGCCCCTCAAGCAGCTGGGACTATAGGCGTGCGTCACCATGCCTGGATAATTTTTGTATTTTTCTGTATAGATGGGGTTTTGCCGTGTTGCCTATAGGCTGATAAATACAATTTCTACCCACGGAGGGGGTCTATGGACTGGGCATAGGAGCACAAGACGCTTGGCCTTTGAAGGCCAAGAACAATGGTCCTGGGGAAGCAGGTGGACTTAACAGGGCCAGTAAACCTGAGCATGCCCTGGACCCCGTCTGAGTGCAATGCTCGGAATGGGCACGGGGGTGGTGGGGGAGATAGGGGCAGAGAAGGCTCAGCATCCACCAGGGAACCTGCTGGAATCCCCACACCTGCCTTTGACACCTCCCCCAAGACAGCCATTAAATTTCCACCTAGGTGTGGGGCCGGAGGCTGAGGGCAGGGTAGGCCTCAAGGGCCAGTAGAGACTAGGGTGGGGGGGTCCCTCAGGCTGGGCTGCCTGTGGGAAGAGGAGGGAGGTGGAGGTGAGCTGCCCAGCTTCGAGATCAGGAAAGCGTCTGTTGGGACAGCGGTGGCCGCGTGGTGCCTGCGTGGTGCTCTAGGCAGCTGCCTAGCCTCTGACCCTCTAAGTTTGCTGAGGCCTGGTCCCAGGCCCCAAGGATATGGGCACTCAGAACCCTCTTCACAAGTCTGGCCTGTCCTGTCTCAGGACAACTTTGCCCAGCTGGGGACTCTTGGCTCTGTAACCACCACCTTGACCCTTTGCACTCTGAACTGTGGTCAGAGGTCAACGTGGCTTGGCCTTCCACTCCAGGCCCAAGCCAGGGCACCTAGCACCCAGCCTGTAAATTCTCAGGGGCATCTAGCACCTTGCTGCCCATCCCTGGGGCCCACTCACCAGCACCACCTCCCAGCCCCACTCCCTGTAGATGGGGTTGTGGGTCTGTCGCCACAGGTACATGTAGCTCTCCACCACCTCTGGCCGGAGGATGTAGTAGCTCTCGCTCAGCTGGGTGGCCACGGCCTCTCTGCCGGAGTTAAACCAGAAGGCCTCAGGCCCAAGTTTGGTGTCTGGGGAAACAGCCAAGCAGAGGGCCCAGGTCAGACCTCCCACCTCCTGCTTTTCGGGATCCAGGAGAGATGTCAGTTGCCTTGAACCCGCGGCCAGGGTGATGTCAGGTGTGTGTGGGTGTGGGGTGCCCCTGCCTGGACTGCTGTGTAAGGCTGCACCGGGCAGATGCACAGCTTCCCTCTTGGCCTGGGCTGGACAGAACAAGACCCTCGGGGACTGGAAATGTGAGCAGCTTTGGACTCTGAGAGTCCAAATGAGCTACTCAGCAGTCTGGGTAGGTGAAGGTTTGGGCGGGGTTCCACAACTGTGTACTTTGAGGCAATAGCTCTGCAAGAGGTTAGCCAGACCTCAGCCAAGAGGGTTTCGGGTTTCAACACATCTGGGGAACCGAGGGTTAAACAAAATAAGTCTCCCATCTGCAGGATTTATCAGATCCTTTAATATGCTAATGTGAAATGAGGCTTCTCCTTGGGACCCTTTGTCTTAGAAAACTGCTTTTAACACCTCCCAGAACAAACTTCGAGAGTTTGGGAACAGCTGAGGTAGAGATGGAGGGAAGATTGCCCAGGAATGCACCTACTCCCACAGAGGGAGCTGAGGAAGGAGGGCCTGAGGGAGCCTGGGTTCTGTCATTGTCACTGTTTGGTTTTGAGGCAATTTGCTGTCATTCTTGTCATATGGCCATAATTATAACCACCTCTGTAGCCACTATTTATGATTTCAAAGGCCGTGCTGGGTGCTTTAATACACTATTTCTATCCTTAAAAAATGTTTCTTTAGTAAGGTAATTGCTACTATCCCTCTCACGCATGTGGAAACTGAGGATCAGAGAGGCTAAGTAATTTGCCCAAGGTAACACAGCGAGTTGTGGCTGAGTTGGGACTTGACCCTGGATGTGTCTGATGCCTCTCCTAGGGCGGTGCTCTTTCCCTCCTGGGTCTAACCCTCATAGGCCCAACATGTAGGGTATGAGGGCCAGATCCTTCTCCCTTTAATGCCTGTCCCTCCTGTCCAGGTCACCCAAGTCCCCAGCTCCATTCCTAATGTGAGCCCTCTTCCCTACTACCAGGGTTCAAAACCCTGAGAGGCCCTAGGTTGCTTTTACTTTAGAGGCAGGGGTTAGAGGTTTGCAGGACTTCCTGCTCTTCCATGGAGGGCTTCAGGGAAGAGGAATTAGCTAGACCCTAGCCTCTCTAACCTTTTCAAATGGTGTAGCGGCTCCTGGCCATCAGAAAACAGTCATTTTGCCAAGTCGCTAGTGGGGTGAAGGCAGGAGCCACTGCTACAGGCGTCCACAGGACAAGCCGAGGCTGGCTAGAACAATATGCTTTATTAAGCGGCTGTCTTTTATGGTCTGGGCTGATTGTCTCAGACAAATAGCGAGCCTTTTATTAGTCCTGAGATTTCTTATTTGTTTATGGCCCTGGCAGAGCAAGCTCTTTGAAGAGAATGGACAACCAGTTTTAAAGACCCATTGCGAATCTCTGACTTCCTGGAAACAGCTCCAGGAGACCCCATTCAGCTGGGGCGGGCACAGACACATCATGATGGGCGGTCAGCAAGTGCCTGCAGTGCTGCTGGCCAAAGGTGGCTGCCAAGGTACTTTCTCATGGGACCCTGTGCCTCACTCTGAGACCTGTGTCATGATTCCCATCGAACAGATAAGAAAACAGAGGCTGCCCATCTGGCCTCTCTAATCTTTTCAAATGGTGTAGCGGCTCCTGGCCATCAGAAAACAGTCATTTTGTCAAGCGCTGCTTGAGCCTGGGATTTTTACTGCAAATCTTGGGTCGTCCCCTCCAACCAACACTGGGATTACCACTCAGAGCGGTGGGCGTCTCCTGGGACCACACGGGGGCTGGGGATTTTTCTGAGGGGTGCAGTTTGCGCACGGGGTGGAACCAGGCATCAGAAGGCCTGGGTTCCAGCCCAGGATCAATTCCTCATGTGCAGTGTGACTTTGGCTAAGTCACTTCCCCTCTCTGGGCTGACTCCACTTCTCTGTGTAGAATGAGGAGCCAGGCTCAGGCTCTCAAATGTGACCTCTGATTCTAGCATCGGACAATTCAGTGGTGAGTGGTGGGTGGGGAGGACCAAGCTCTCAGGCTTTCCGGTGATCATGGGTCAAAGAGGGCGACTAAACAGGTGGGAGCAGGAGGCGGTGAAACCCCCTCTAAGGAGGGTGCCGGGGGAAAGGCAGAGGCACATTTGAAAGTAGGAGACTCAGGGTGGGACATGTGCCGGGCTCAGGAAGCCGCCGTTTCTGCCTCCGGGGCTGGAGGATCCTTTACTCTGTGCCCCTCTCAAGGGACCTTGGCCAAGTAATCTCTGAGCCTCAGTTTCCTCATCTGTGTGGTGAGGTTCAGTGATGTTGTGTCAAGTGCGGAAGAGTACCAGGTACATGCAAAGCGCTTCCTGTGTCTGTACTAGTTTCCCTTTCATTCAGGGTATGGTCTCGGAGCCTGGAGAGTACCTCTCTCAAATTCTACTTAACTTCCAAGGGGAGGCTTCCCTAAGGCCATGTGCTCCCTTCGCTCACTGCTGCCGGTCTTTCCAGTTCTTCCTGGTGTCTAGCCTCAGTCTCTCCTGCTGCCCCTTCCCCTTGCAGGGTTACCTGAGCGGGCGTATGACTCGTGACACGTCTTGGTGATCTGGGCTGCGAGCTCTCGGTAGTGGGCCCTCTTTTCTTCCTTGGCATCCTCGGCGCCAAGGGCGATCATGCCCCCGGAGAAACAGGCCAGGTGCCCCATCTTGTGGTCCAGAATCCCCCCTCGCCACTCGGCAATGTAGGTCAGCCCCCCGGGAGAGACATTCAGCAAGTAGGTCTCTATCGCCTGGGAGCAAGGTGGGGATTGGGCAGGGAGAAGGGGCGTGGGAGGGCACAGAGAAGGGGGGGAAAGGATGGAAAATGAACATTTTGGAGACAGTAGCAAGGGCAGCTCTGCCAAGCCCTCCATCCCAGGCAAAGGAGGCCCATTGATCTCTGCTGGTCAAGATGCCTGCCAGGGCACAGGAGGGGCTGCTATTCGCTGGGAGGCTCAGACACAGGGCAGCTCCCCAGGGCAAGTCTCTTACACAGCCTTTAAAATCTTCCATGTTTTAAAAAACGTTAAAAAATATTTTAAGGTGATCCTCCTCCTCCATTATGTCCTCTGTTTGATCTTAACCAGAAGCCCAGCTGGCCTGTGGATGGGCTTCAGGGGTCCAGGCCCTTAAAACTGTACCCAACACTTTCTGGTGGATGTGCATCTTTATGGGAAGAGTGTCCATCTATTCTTACCAGTTTCTCAAAAAGAACCTGCAGAAAATTAAGAGCTGTTCTCTAGGAGTATCTTGTCACACGTTTCCTCATTTAATGCCTACAGCAAGCCAGGCACCTGGGCTGCCGCGCCCTACACAGACAAATGGGAGGTGTGGCAGCTTGTCCCAGGCCACCCAGCCACACCAGCCTAGAAACAAGACCCCACAATGTCCAGAGCTCTGCTTCTTCCACTACCTGATGGCCATGCCTTTTGGTGGGAAGGGAGGTGATGCTGTTGTAAAGACTCTGGGATGTCGGGGGCGTGAGGGGGTCAGACTGCTCTCACCCCAGGAGCCCTGGGGACCAAGGGGAGGGAGGAAGCTGCTCACACAGTCTCGAGGCCAGACTCCATGGGCTGGTGGGGCCTGGCCCATGGCTGGGGTCCTCTGGGGCCCTTCCAGGCCTCTGCCTCCACTTTCACCCCTCCAATCTACTCTCCAGGGGGTCTCTGTACTCTGCAATTAACAAACCGGATCATATCATCTGCCTGCTTAGAACCTTCAGTGGTTTCCAAGTGCCCTTATGTGAAAACACCAGAGGGGCCTCCAAGACTCCACGATCTGGACCTTGAGGGTGGACCTGATTCTATGGACATGGCTCTGGGGCACAGACTCATCAGGTTCAAATTTCATCTCCACCAGTTCCACGCTGTGTGACACTGGGCAGGTTGTATGTTCTCTCTGTGCCTCAGTTTCCTAACGTGTAAACTGGGGATAAGAGCATTAACTGCCTCATAGGGTTGTGAGAATTAAATGAGATATGCCTGCAGGACTTGGCCTATTTCCCAGCACAGAGCGAGTCCCCACTAATTACTGACCCCTATGATTCCACTCTAGTCTGTCTCCTGCCCCTCCCTCCTCACACCCTACCTCACCTACACTGGCCTTTTTTCACTCAGGTACCCTCCTGGCTTACAATATCTCGGCAGCCATGTAATATTTCCTTGGTGTCAGCGCTGTGCTAGGTACTGGGGCTACAGGTGTGCTGGAGAGGAGCCTGGACTCTGCCTCAGGGAGCTCACCCATTAGTGCAGAGAATTCCCAACAAAACCAAATATATATGAGAGGTGCAATTCGTTTTGTTTTGAGACACAGTCTTACTCTGTCACCCAGGCTGAAGTGCAGTGGCATGATCTTGGCTCACTGCAACCTCCGCCTCCCAAGTTTAAACCATTCTCGTGCCTCAGCCTCCCAAGTAGCTGGGTAATTATAGGCGTGTGCCACCACCCCCGGCTAATTTTTGTATTTTTAGTAGAGATGGGGTTTCACCATGTTGGCCAGGCTGGTCTTGAACTCCTGACCTCAGGGGATCCACCCACCTCGGCCTCCCAAAATGTTGGGATTACAGGCGTGAGCCACCACAACTGGCTGAGAGGTACAATTTGTGATCAGCATTTTGAATAAAACAAAGTGAGAGGATGAGATTAAAAAATGCAGGGGTATGCGGGGAGGGGCTGGACGCAGTGGCTCACGCCTGTAATCCCAGCACTTTGGGAGGCTGAGGCAGATGGATCATTTGAGCCCAGTAGTTTGAAACCAGCCTGGGCAACATGGCAAAAACCCATCTCTACTAAAAATATAAGAATTAGCCAGGCACGGTAGTGCATACCTGTAGTCCCAGCTACTTGGGAGGCTGAGGTGGGAGAATCACTTGAATCCAGGAGGCAGAAGTTGCGGTGAGCCAAGATTGCACCACTGCACTCCACTCTGGGCAATAGAGTGAGACTCTGTCATAAAAAAACAAACAAACAAAAAACCCAAGAAAACAAAACAAAACAAAAAAAACTGGGGTGGGGGCAGTGCTGTACTTTGCAGAGGGAGGTCAGGGAAAATCTCTCTGCAAAGGTGACATTCTTGAAAGCTGCATTTTTCTTCCTGCTTCGGGGCTTAGCTGGTGCTGCGCCTCCTTCCTGCATGCTCCAGCCCTGACTCTGCTAACCCCACCTCCTCCAGAATGTCACTTCCTTGGAGAGAATGCCCCAATTTAAACCAGCACTGCCACTGCCATTACCTATGGGCCCCTGTCACCCTTCTACATGGTGCCATTCCTACTTGGCATCTGTTTCTGTTGTATATCTGTCTCTCTCTCAGACTCTGAGTGCCGTGTGACAGCAGAAGCCACCAGCAGCAGCCTCCAGCCAGTGCCCGACACACAGAAGATGCTCAAGGAACACTCGCTCACTCCTGGGTCTGTTTTTTCCTTTTTTCTCTCCTGTCAGGGCCCAGGGCTGGTGGGCTGGCTGCAGGACCCACACTGAGTGGCAGATGGAAAAGCGCTGACAATGTGACATGCCAGGGCACCTGCTCCACATGGGGGAGTGCTGAGGACACCTGCAGAGCAGCCGGGCTGCAGGCAGGGGTCTGCTCTGGGCCCGGCCTGGCTCCCGGGCAGAGCCATGTCCCTGGCAGCTGCTCGGCGTCACTAAGCCTGCGGTGCAGGGGAGGAGTGTCAGGGCTCAGAAACCTGGGTCCGAGTCACCAGTTGTCAACACTTTGGAGAGAACACAGACATCTGAGGGAGACCTCAGGATGCTGCGCACCAGACCTGGCACCTGCACCTTCCAGACCGCCTCCCACACATTATTTCCACTGGGGGTTGGCCCCAAGCTAAGTAATTGCAGTCAAGAGGAAATTATAAACCACTGCCTCTTTGAAGACACAACTGAGACACGCAGATGCAAAGATAAAAAACAAGGCTTTCTAAAACAAAACACAAGACAGTGCAGGCTGGCAGACGACTGGTAAAAGGTTTAAATCACAGCAAGCAGCGGTGCAAGGAGCTAAGTGGGGCACAAGACCAGGGTTTTTTTTTTTTAATGTATTAACAAAAATATTTGTGCTGTTCCTTGTGGAGCAGGGCTAACCCATAGGCAGTGAGCCCAGCGTGGCGAGAGGCCTGGGTTTGAATCTCAGCTCTGCGATTTAGGAGCTAGATGACCTTGGGCAAGTTATTTCACTTTAATGAAGACTCACTTTGCTCATCTATAAAATGGGAGTAATGATTCCTGGGTTGGTTGTGAGGATTAAAGGAGAGGATATTCGAAGCCTGGCTCAGTGCCTGGCGCTGGCTGTTCCTTCCTTTGCCGCCTGCAGGAGCCCCATCTGAGCACTCGCGGGAGGGGTTTCAGGCAAGCCAGGCCCCTCTGTGATTTGGCTGCTGGTAAGTAGAGGCCAGCCCAATGGATCTGGAGTCAGACCCGTGTTTGTGTCCTGGCTCTGACACTTGTTGCTATATGGACCTTGGGCCTTTCTGACCCTCAGTTTCGTCATCTGTAAGATGGGGGCTAAATAAGATGAGGTACTTAGAGCACTAGCTCAGAGGAGGCCAAAGTGACCAAAGCTCTTCCTGTTCTTCTTCTTTGTCTCCTGCCGTGACACTCAGGGGTGTGCCCAGTCCGATCTGTCTGACCCTCCCCGGTCCATCCCAGCTGGACACTGGTCTAACCTGGTGGTTTTCTGACCCCAGGTGCACAACAGAATTGTGGAAGGAACTTTTTAAAAATCTCAGATTGGGATTTATTGGCCTGGGGTGAGGCTAGACATGGGATTTTTAAAGCTCTCCAGGTGATCCTAAGGTGCAGGCAGGGGTGAAGGTCTTTGGTGGGTGGTTCCCAACCCTGACTATACACGAAATCCCAAGGAGGTTTATGTGTGGCCCGGGCCCAGTGCCCAGAGGTTCTGAGTCAGGGGTGCAGTCTGAACATCAGGACTTTGCAGCTCCCTAGGTGATTTTAACATGGCAACAAGGTTGAGAACCACCAGAAAATTCTTCAAAACCCCAAACTTGCCAGAGGCCCAGCCTTCACCCAGGGTCAAAGATGCTCCAGGCTCTTCACTGGGAAGATCAAATGCAGAGAGCAAAGCCTCTTCTATTCAAAGTTCTCTCCTACAAAATCAAGTGCTCTGAGTTTCCTTAAATAATTCATGGCCATTTCTTCCCTTGATGGCTCAACTACTGTGTGCCCTGAGGGCAGGGAGCCTGGCTGCTCATTAACTTTATGTTTACTCTGCAAGGGAAGGCAGAAAGGGCCTCTGGGCAGCACACTCCGGCCACCACCAGCTGCACACTAATTCTCTGACCGGGGCTCTGGTCTGAGCTCAGCCAAAGACAGGAGTGAACAAGACTGGGACCCAGACTGAGATGGGACTGCAGTCCCAGAAGCTGCTTCATGACTGAGGTCTTGTGCCAGGGAGCTGAGCAGGGAAAAATCATTACTGAGCCTACAGTTTAAAGGGTCCATGGCTCTAGCAGTCCGTTTCAATGTGTGTCTTTTAAGCACCACCATTCCTGGCCAGATTCCTGTGATCAGAGGGTAGTCACAGACCATCTATCCATCCATCCAACTGCCCACACCCACCCACCCATCTATCTACTCACCCATCCATCCTTCCCTCCATCCATCCTTCCCTCCATTCATCCTTTCAGCATTCATGCACCCATGCATTCATTCATTCACAAAACAGTTACCATGGGCCTGCTATGTGCCAGGCACTGTTTTAGGAGCAGACAAGATCTCTGATCCCAGATAACTGATATTCTATTTGGGGAAGATAGAGAATGAGCAAGTAAACAAATATGTGCCTGTGATAATTTTAGAGGCTGATGAAGGTGAAGAGAATAAGCCTGAGTATGTGACAGGCTGGGAATGGTAGTTTCAGTGGCATTTGAATTGAGAGTTGACTAGTGAAAGGGACCCAGCCATTGGAATGATATTCCAGGCAGAGGGGACAGCAAGTGCAAAGGCCCTGAGGTGGGAGTCGCCTGGGGTGTCTGAGGAAGAGCAGGAAGACTGGTGCCCAGGGCCCAGAGAGCACAGAGCAGAGAGGCAGGCGTGAAGTCAGGGTGATCAGCAGGGCCCAGGGAAGGCGGACCCGATGGGTAAAGGAGAGGAGTTGGATTTATTCCAGGTGCTAAGGGAAGCCAGAGAGGAGAGGGATGTGCGTGTCCAGCTCTTCTGGCTTCTGTTCCCCACACAGCATTCAGAGGGCAGGGCAGAGGGGAAGCCAGTTTAGAGAAAATAAGGAGGTAGTGTAGACCAAGGTGGTGGCAGAGTAGATCCGACTTGCTCAACTTGCTTTATGGGGAAACTGAGGCCCAGAACAGGCCCAGTGCCTTTTCCTTAGTTGGGCTCCAAAGTATCTGTTGAGTGGTGGGATTCCTTAGCCCTCTTCCCAATGGCTCAGGCTAACTGATTCCCTCTTTCGTCCTCGTCTCTCCTCTTTGGAAGGACTCACCTCAGCCTTCCAGCCCTCGTTCATTCCACACCCCGCGGACAGACCAGCAGTGGTGCCAGCTTGGCCAGCTCTGTGCTGTGTGGCCTTGGGCAAGTGCCTTCCCCTCTCTAGGCCTTGGTTTCCATCCACACAAAGAGAAGGAGCAAAACTGGATGCTCCACTGAAGGAGGCCTCTTCCAGCTTGGACATACTTCTCATGTCACCTCTACTGTCCAAGGAAGACACAGCTGAGGGTCTCACTCTGGCAGCCACCCTTGGGGGTGCCAGCCCACAGTCTAGCTGCACTCTGGGCTCTGATACATCAGCCAAAGCATAGACACCAAGCAGGTGGTGGTTTCTGAATCAGACTGACGGTCACTTCCCGTGAGACCTTGGATAAATGACTTCACCTCCCAGAGCTTAGGTTTCACATCTAACAAAGCCCCAGTCTTAGAGCATGTGGGAGGGTCGCAGGGTGTAAAATGCCTGGCTGGGAGGGGACTGTCCTGTCAATCTTCTCACCGGTTCATTGCAGGGGGTGGGAGCAAGTCTCGGCCCATCTGGCCCCGCTGCCCGCAGCACCCTCGCTCGGCCGTGAGAGAGCCGGGGGCTGGTGACCAGCGGCCTGTGAATAATCCAGGGCTTGTCTTACCTCCAAGGCTTCGTAGTACATATTTTTAGCCTCCATATCTGTCTTGCCCGACATCAACCAGGATTTGATCAAATATTCATAAAAACTGTCCCCGAGTCCTCCAACTGAGACATGGTCTGTGAAGGGAAAGAGGACAAGAACATTATCTCCATCTGCCGCCGGCTCTCACGGGGCAGGGCCTCGCACACCCGCCTGACCTCAGGGGCCCGGTGCCTGTACGGGTAGGAAGCGGGCATCTCGCCAGCAGCCACCGAACCTGGAATGGGTACTGCGAGGCAGACACAGCCTGCGACTTGGAGGAAACCAGGGCTGTCTAGAGAGCGCTCATCCTGCACAAAAGTGCACGGGCTCATCCGGCGGGTGCTATAAATCACCTCGCCTTAGCAGGCTGGGGACGGCAGGGCCTCTGGTTATTAACTGTAAGTGAGTTGCATTTCTTTACAAAGATAATCTGGTGGCAGGGAGTTCAGAGATTTTTATTACCCAGTGACAAACATGATAATTAATGCTGGGTAGCTTCATAAAAGGCCACGGGAAAGAGGAAGAAAAACCTTAATTTAGCTGGCCAAGCCCTCAAGTAGAGCCACTCTGGAAAAACAGAGTTTAAATTTAGCAAATTGAGATAAATGGAGTTCAAAGGAGCGGGAAAGAGAAGAATTGAGTTGGAACACCCCCTCTCTGCCCTGGTGGCCTCTGCCTGCTGGACAGTGGGCCAGCCAAGGAGCAGGGCCTCACAGGCTGTGGCTGAACCAGAGGTCTCTCCACCCAGGGCCGTCCCAGGAGGAAGACGGGTTGCCCGAGGAACACTTCACCGCAGACGCAAGACAGAAAACACTTCGCTCCCAGGCTTTGAAAATTAACAACAGGGAAACGTAAAGGCATTTGATAGATTTAACAAAGAACAAACCAGTTCTGTGTTCTGATTCACTTAAGCAGAGAGACAGAGAGAAGAAAGAAAATGGGGGTGGACTGAAGGCGGGGCGGGGGGAATGGGCAGAGTGTTTTCAACTCCTCAGCAGAAGAAGGGGGCAGACAGAGAGGGGAGAAGGAAAGTGGGCGGGGGGAAGAGGGACAGAAAGAGAGAACACGTCAACAGCTACCATTTATTGTGGGCCAGGAGCCTCAATGTATTATTTATAACTTAATCTTCCTGGGCACCCTGCAAGGCAGGTGCTATCGGCCCCATTTCCCAGGTGGGAGAACGGCAACTGGGCCTAAATGGCTCATCCAAGACCATCAAGCTGGTGAAAGGCAGAGCCTCACCTTCCACAGCTGCACAAAGTCAACCAGAGAGTGAAGACAGAGATACGTAGAGAAAGAAAGACAAATGTGAGGACCAAGGGACCAAAAGACAGGGCAAAGACAGATGGGACCCAGGAATGGGGGTCGAGAGGAGGCCAGCCACATGGTACACTCGCCCTTCCGGCCCCCTCCAGCCCTGATCCAGAAATAAGTCCTGGCCCAGCAAGTGTTCCAGAGCGGACCAGCATCTGCAAAAATTGGAACAGACAAGATGAAGCATGTGCTTTGGGGAGGAGCTGGAAAGGGCTGGGGTGGGCTGGACTATGCTCTGGTGTGGAGGGAAGAGAGAAGTGGCACCTCTCTCCTTCCTAGGTGCCCCACAGAAGAGAAGGGCTGGGCCAGGCCTGGCATGTTGAGGAGGGGCAGGTCTGTTGCAGAGGAGGGGCCGGGGAGGCTGGAAGTCATGGGTTGTCCTCTGCTCAGAGCCCTTCTCCAGCCCCGTCATGGGCACGGCAGCTACGAGCACTGTCACCTCTCGGTGTGGCGCACCCTCCCCACCTCATTCCCCACGCGGGGGCTCAGGCATTCTCACAAGCCTGCTCCCGGTCCCTCCCCATAGGGTGGCCACGGGGATTAAGTGAAACAAGGCCAGGCACCATCTGAAGCCCTCGGCGGCAGCACTCCCCTTGGGTGGTGGGCCCCCCTTGCCATCGGGTGCCCGCCGGGTGTGCGATGAGTGCCTGCGTACGGGTCTGCCTCCCTCACTAGCTCGTGGGCTCTTTGTGGGGAGGGATTGCATGCGACTCCCGCTCTGTGCCCAGTAACTACACGGCGCACAGAGATGCCCATGGAGTGCTGAGCAGGTGAATGGAAGGGAGGCCTGGGCTCTGCCGGGATGGGAGGCTTGGGCTGTGCCAGGAAGGGCCTGGAATGCCAAGCCAAGGAGTTTAGCCACAATCACGCGGTGGTGGAGTGTGTGCGTGACAAGGTCCAGGCTTCCTCTGGAGGGGCACGCAGGGGAGGGAGCCAGGTCATTAGGGTCCGCGGTGTTGAGATGCAGCTGCCTCTCAGGGGCACTTATGTGGGCATCTCACATGTGAAAGTCCCACTGCTTTACAGCTTGTGTGTGTGTGTGTGTGTATGTATGTATGGGGTGTGGGGTGAGTGTGTATGTGTGGTGAATGAATGTGTGTGGTGTATGTAGGTGTATGGGGGCGTGTGTGTGTGCTGAGGGGTATGGGTGTGTGGATGTGTGTGTAGGGAGAGTGTGTGTGTGTCAAGGAGTGTGGTGTGTAGTGTATGAGGGGACTATGTGTAGTGTGTGGGGTGTGTGCATGAGGCGAGTGTGTGTAATGTGTGGGGTGTGTGTGTGGAATGTGTGAGGGGAGTGTGTAGTGTGTGAAGGGAGTGTGTGGTGTGTGTGTGGGAGGGAGTGTGGGTGATAGGTGTGTGTGTGGGAGTGTGGGTGGTGTGTAGTGTGTGTGGGAGTGTGGGTGGTGTGTAGTGTGTGTGCCTGAGGGGAGTGTGTAGTGTATGTATATGTGAGGGGAGTGTGTGTAGTGTGGGGGTGTGTGTAGGGGAAGTGTGTGTGTGTAGTGTGTAAGGGGAGTGTGTATGTGAGGAAAGTGTGTGTAATATGTGTGTGGTGTGTGTGAGGGGAGTGTGTGTAGGGAGAGTGTATGTAATGTGTGTGGTGTGTGTGAGGGGAGTGTGGATATGTGTGAGCGCAGTGTGTGTAATGTGTGTATGTGTGAGGGGAGTGTGGATGTATGTGAGGGGACTGTGGGTGTGTGAGGGGAGTGTATGTAGGGGGAGTGTATGTAGTGTGTGTGTGTTAAGGGAGCGTGGATGTATGTGAGGGGTGTGTGGGTCTGTGTGTGTGGGGGAGTGTGTAATTGTGTGTGTGAGGGGAGTGTGGATGTATGTGAGGGGAGTGTGGGTGTGTGGGTCTGTGTGTGGGGGGAGTGTATGTAATGTGTGTGTGGTGTGTGTGAGGGGAGTGTGGATGTATGTGAGGGGAGTGTGGGTGTGTGGGTCTGTGTGGGGGAGTGTGTAATGTGTGTGTGTGAGGGGAGTGTGGATGTGTGTGAGGGGAGTGTGTAATTGTGTGTGGTGTGTTTGAGGGGAGTGTGGATGTATGTGAGGGGAGTGTGTGTGGGGGGAGTGTATGTAATGTGTGTGTGTGGTGTGTGTGAGGGGAGTGTGGATGTACGTGAAGGGAGTGTGTAATGCGTGTGTGTGAGGGGAGTGTGGATGTATGTGATGTGTGTGAGGGGAGTGTGGATGTGTGTGAGGGGAGTGTGTGTAATGTGTGTATGTGTGAGGGGAGTGTGGATGTATGTGAGGGGACTGTGGGTGTGTGAGGGGAGTGTATGTAGGGGGAGTGTATGTAGTGTGTGTGTGTTAAGGGAGCGTGGATGTATGTGAGGGGTGTGTGGGTCTGTGTGTGGGGGGGAGTGTGTGTGTGTGTGAGGGGAGTGTGGATGTATGTGAGGGGAGTGTGGGTGTGTGGGTCTGTGTGTGTGGGGGAGTGTATGTAATGTGTGTGTGGTGTGTGTGAGGGGAGTGTGGATGTATGTGAGGGGAGTGTGGGTGTGTGGGTCTGTGTGGGGGAGTGTGTAATGTGTGTGTATGAGGGGAGTGTGAATGTATGTGAGGGGAGTGTGTGGGGGGAGTGTATGTAATGTGTGTGTAGTGTGTGTGAGGGGAGTGTGGATGTACGTGAGGGGAGTGTGTAATGCGTGTGTGTTAGGGGAGTGTGGATTATGTGAGGGGAGTGTGGGTGTGTGGGTCTGTGTGTGTGAGGGGAGTGTGTAATGTATGTGTGAGGGGAGTGTGGATGTATGTAAGGAGAGTGTGGCTGTGTGGGTCTGTGTGTGGGGGGAGTGTGTAATGTGTGTGTGTGAGGGGAGTGTGGATGTATGTGAGGGTAGTGTGGTATGTGGGTCTGTGTGTGTGGGTGTGTGTGAGGGGAGTGTGTGTGAGGGGAGTGTGTGTAGGAGTGTATGTAGTATGTAATGTGTGTGTGAGGGAAGTGTGGATGTATGTGAGGGGAGTGTGGGTGTGTGGGTCTGTGTGTATGGTGGAGTGTGTAATGTGTGTGTGTCTGGGAGGGTGGGTGGGGTGGTAGGGGTGTGTGTGTGTGTGTGTGGAGTGTGGACGTATGTGAGGGTAGTGGTGTGTGGGTCTGTGTGTGGGGGGAGTGTGTGAGGGGAGTGTGGGTGTGTGAGGGGAGAGTAGGAGTGTATGTAGTGTGTAATGTGTGTGTGTGAGGGGAGTGTGGATGTGAGGGGAGTGTGGGTGTGTGTGTATGGGGGAGTGTGTAATGTGTGTGTGTCTGGGAGGGTGGGTGGGGTGGTAGGGGTGTGTGTGTGTGTGTACGAGTGTGGTCTTCCCCAACACTGCGAGGCGGGCTGGGAGAAGCACAGGCATAGGAATGAGAAGACATTGTTCTGCATTAGCTCAGGGTGCACCCCTGCCCACTCTGGGCCTTGGTCTCCCCATCTGCAGATGTGTGAAGGGGGCACGAGCTGGTGTCCGTGAGCCCCAGAGCAGAGGCAGGCTCTGCTGCTTCCTGACCGTGCCAATGCGCTCGTCACACCTGGCAGCAGGAGGCTGGGCCACAAGCCTGGAAATCAGCCGATCTGATGCCAGGGAAGCTGCCAGGCTGCAGCTCACACTCCTGTACCTACCAAGGAGGTCTGGACTTGCCACTTCCCTCCCACAGAAGAAAGTGTGGGATTCAGGCAGTGGACAAGTTACTCAGGTGCCGCACCGAGGGGCTGGTGACCCCTCCTCGGCAGCTCTCAGGGGGTTGGCCTCAGGGTGGTCTCATTTGTGTTGGGCACCATCGGGAGCCTGGTGGATTTATCCTGGATGTGAACTCTTAGCAATAGGACGGGTCTTGGGGCTCCCCTGTTACCCCTGAAGCTCGGTTTCCAGGAGGAGTGGGAAGCCAACAAGAGCAGAGGCCTAGGTAACTGAGATGCAGTCCTAACTCCTCCTTCGTTTCTCTAGGCTGCAATTTCTGTGGTTGCAAATGGGCTACGCAGAACCTGCCTGTCCTGCCTTCAGGCTTGTTCTGAAGATTCAAGAAGAGAAAATGATGTGCGTGCACTTAAGCTTATGCAAGGTGGTAATGCTATCAAGTGCTAAAAGAATACGTATGCACCAAAAAAAAAACCAACAAAAAACCACAGGAAACCTGAGATGACCCCGGGCACCAAGGCCAGGGGAGGAGGAAGGCAGACGTTTGGGCGAGCTGGGCATTATAACCCCCTCTGCTCTTTAGCAGGCCGAGGGCTCAGATTTTATTAATAGGAAACAATTTCCCATATGCGACTGACTTTGCCCAGACCTGCAGGCCCTGACTCTGCCTGAGAAGAAAATTATGCTTCCCGGCAGGGGCTCCCTTATAATTTGCCAAGGTAACTGTTGAGCTAGGAAGCCCACACCCCTTTCAGCCCTTTTCATGGGTTCTGCTGCCTTGCCCTGGAGCAGCTCAGAGGGGTTTATCTCCTTATCCAGTCAGGTCTCGCAATTAAAACCAGCAACTGTTATCGAACTGCCTCTTCCCGTGGCTATAATCTGCAATTCAAGCTTCATTTTCTCCCCGTACTTTTGGATTCGGCAGTGTGTTTTGGTTAAAAATACTCTGCATTTCTCTAAGTGGTTTTTACGGGAGGCCACTTGGGGTGAGGTCGTCCCTGGGGGAAATTCCTGGGTTGAGTTTTCTGGGGGAGGTTCAGGTTGGAAGGAAAGGCCTCAGCTGCTTCGCCACAGTGTCCCCAATGCTGCCTCTCTAGGCCCCACTTGCATTGTTCCCTTTTGGGACAACTTGGACCATCTTTGGCAGATGGAAGTGAAATCTGTTTCCTGCAGCCTTTGACCATTCTTCCTACGCCCCTCCATGGCACACAAAGAATGCATCTCATTCTCTTCTTTCATTTTGCAGGACAGGAAACCAAGGTTCAAAGAGATACAGTGAATTCCCCCCTAAGCCACACAGTCATTAGACTCATACCCACTTTGCCCCTGAGCCCTTGCTGATGTCACAAAAACTGGGTTGGAGGCAGGGGAAAGGGAAGGGGGTCCTTGTTTGCACACAGACAGTGGGGGTGGGGGCTCTGCCAGGTCTTGGGAGGCCCTAGAGGCAGTGCCCACGGAACCTGTCACTGCCAGTTCCAGCTGACCATGACCATGTGACCAGGGCCTGCCTCTGCTTCCCAGAGCTGGGCTTCTCAACAGGCATGCACATTCCAGAGGCCTGGGGGACTTGTCCACACTCTCACACCTAAGCGACCCCAAACCCCATTCTGTTGCAATGGGTAGGGCTGGGGGCTTGTGAATGATGTTCCATGGGTGACTGGCTGTTATCTGGCTGAGAAACAAGTCTCTGAACAGAGACCTTCTGAAAACTCTGGGACTGATTCTTGTAGGTCTAAGATGTATAGATGAATTCATGACGTCTTTTGTTTTTTTTTGGGACGGAGTCTTGCTCTGTCGCCCAGGTTGAAGTGCAGTGGTGCGGTCTTGGCTCACTGCAACCTCCGCCTCCCGGGTTCAAGCGATTCTCCTGCCTCAGCCTCCTGAGTAGCTGGGACTAGAGACACGTGCCACCACACCCAGCTACTTTTTGTATTTTTAGTAGAGACAGGGTTTCGCCATGTTGGCCAGGCTGGTCTAGAACTCCTGACCTCGTGATCCGCCTGCCTCGGCCTCCCGTCAGGTGCTTGGCCTGAATTCATGATTTCTACACTGTTGTATGGTTTTTGTTTGTTTGTTTGTTTGTTTGTTTTTTAAATTAAAGTTGGAGCCAGGCGTGGTGGCTCACGCCTGTAATCCCAGCACTTTGGGAGGCCGAGGCGGTTGGATCATTTGAGGTCAGGAGTTCGAGACCAGCTTGGCCAACATCTCTACTAAACCCCATCTCTACTAAAAATACAAAAAAAGTAGCCAGACATGGTGGCACATGCTTGTAGTCCCAGCTACTCGGGTGGCTGAGTCAGGAGAATCACTTGAACCTGGGAGGCAGAGGTTGCAGTGAGCCGAGATCGTGCCACTGCACTCCGGCCTGGGTGACAGAGTGAGACTCTGTCTCAAAAACAAAAAAACAAAAAAAAATTGAAGTTGGAAGTGGGGAGCCTGATCAAAGAGGCTTGGAAAGGATGCCTGGCCTCTCTTGGAGCCACTTCTAGAATGGATGACTCCACCTGGGACCCTCCCGAGAACCTGGGGTATAATGCAGGAGGCTCCCGCAGCAGCATAAGAGATGGAAGGCTGCGCCATTGATGGGGCCAGAGAAGGTAGGGTTTGGAACGCACAGGGCAGGCCTTCAGTAAACAGCAGCCATCACATCCGGCACTGCAGCAGCAGACAACCACAGGCAAGCCCCCAGGATGCATGGGAAGGCAGGTGGTGTCCAGGAGCACCGAGCGAATGCCTTGCTGGCTGCATGGCTCTGACAGACACATCCTCACTCAGCCCAGGGGCCTGGCAGGGTCTTCCTAGGAAGCCTGGGCAGGAACCCGCTGAATAAGGGGCAGTGGCGTCTCTGTACTCACGTTGCACCCAGTTCCCACTCACTGGGCTGAGGAAGTTGGGGTAGAGGCCAAAGGGCTTTTCGATCTTCCTGAGGACCTTGCGGATGTTCCTGACCTGCCGAGAGACGGACACCAGGTGAGCCTTCATGCTTCCGAAGAAGCCGACTGCACCCAGCCTGCTGAGGATGGGAGGCAGCTGGTTCAGATGCATGGAGGAAACCTTATGAGGAGGCAGGAAGGGAGAGCTGCCCAACGGACTGCAGGCTCCAACCCGGGGATGGTGACGTGGCCTTGCCCTGGTGCCACGTGAAGGGTGTGACAGGGCCTGATCCATAGCCTCTCCACTGACTGCTCTGCCTGGCACCTGGACAGTCTCAACCCCAGAACCACTGCCTGGCCGACTCCTATCCCACCCAACTCTCAACACTTCCTCATTGCTTGCTGCTTTAGGGGTACTTTGAGGGATTCTTTTGGGGAGGGTTTTTTTTTTTTTTTTTTTTTTGAGACAGTCTCACTCTGTCACTCAGGCTGGAGTGCAGTGGCACGATCTTGGCTCACTGCAACCTCTGCCTCCCAGGTTCAAGCAATGTTCGTGCCTCAGCCTCCTGAGTAGCTGAGATTACAGGCCTGTGCCACCACTCCTGGCTAATTTTTGTATTTTTAGTAGAGACAGGGTTTCACCATGTCAGCCAAGCTGGTCTCAAACTCCTGACCTTTTTTTTTGAGACAGTCTCAATCCATCACCCAGGCTGGAGTGCGGTAGCGCAATCTCAGCTCACGGCAACCTCCACCTCCCGGGTTCAAGTGGTTCTCCCGTCTCAGCCTCCTCAGTAGTTAAGACTACAGGCATGCACCACCACACCTGGCTAATTTTTGTATTTTTAGTAGAGATGGGGTTTCGCCATGTTGGCCAGGCTGGTCTCGAACTCTTGACCTCAAGTGATCCACCAGCCTCGGCCTCCCAAAGTGCTGGGATTATAGGCGTGAGTCACTGTGCCTGGCCTAGGGAGGGTTCTTTTAAAGGTGGGGTTAATTGACAGTAGCTCGTTTGTTAGCTTTAGGTAAAATTGCCTTGTTAATAGGTCAAAAATGGTCAAATCCAGCAATCCCACTATTGGGTATATATACAAAGGAAATGACATCAGTATGTTGAAGAGATTATCTATATTCCTGTGTTCACTGCAGCATTATTCAAATAGGCAAGATGTGGAATCAACCTAAATGTCCATCAACAGATGAATGAATAAAAAAAATGTGGTATAGCCAGGCATGGTGGCTCACGCCTATAATCCCAGCACTTTGGGAGGCCAAGGGAGGTGGATCACTTGAGGCCAGGAGTTTGAGACCAGCCGTGGCAACATGGTGAAACCCCCATCTCTACTAAAAATACAAAAATTGGCCAGGCGTGGTGGCACAGGCCTGTAATCTTAGCTACTCTGGAGGTGGAGACACAAGCACTGCTTGAACCTGAAGGTAGAGGTTGCAGTTAGCAGACATGGCGCCTTTGCACTCCAGCCTGGACTCTGTCTCAAAAAAAAAAAAGAAAAGAAAATGTGGTATAGTATAGGTTAGGGGTGGTGGCTCACTCCTGTAATCCCAGCACTTTGGGAGGCTGAGTTGGGCAGATTGTTTGAGCCCAGGAGTTTGAGACAAGCCTGGGTAACATGGCGAAACTGTCTCTACAAAACAAACAAATTAGCTGGGTGTGATGGCACATTCTCATAGTCCCAGCTACTCAGGAGGCTGAGGTGGGAGGATTGTTTAAGTCCAGGAGATTGAGGCTGGAGTGAGCTATAATCGTGCCACTCCACTTTAGCCTGGGCAACAGAGTGAGACTCTGCCTCAAAAAAAAAAAAAAAAAGAAAAGAAAAGAAAAGAAAGAAAATGTGGTATACACAATGGAATATAATTCAACCTTAAAAAAGAAAGAAATTCTGTCATTTGCAACATGTATGAACCCAGAGGATATTGTGTTAAGTGAAATAGGCCAGTCCAGAAAGACAAATACTTGATCTCACTTATAAGTGCAATGTAATAAAGTTGAACTCATGGAAGTGGAGAGTAGAGGCTGGGTGCAGTGGCTCACCCCTGTAGTCCCAGCACTTTGGGAGGCCGAGGCGGGCAGATCACCTGAGGTCAGGAGTTCGAGACCAGCCTGGCCAACATGGTGAAATCCCGTCTCTACTAAAAATACAAAAATTACCCAGGCATGGTGGTGGGCACCTGTAATCCCAGCTACTCGGGAGGCTGAGACAGGAGAATCGCTTGAACCGGGAGGTGGAGGTTGCAGTGAGCCGAGATAGTGCCACTGCACTCCAGGCTGGGCGACAGAGAGAGACTCCGTCTCAAAAAAAAAAAAAAAAAAAAAGAAGTAGAGGTAGAGAGTAGAATGGTGGTTACCAAGGGTTGGGGAGATGCTGATCAAAGGATATAAAATTTCAGTTAGGAGGAATAAGTTCAAGAGATCTATGGTATAAGACATGATGACTGTAGTTCATAACAATGTATTGTATTCTTAAAAACTGCTTAGTGCTAAGTGTTGCTAACTTAAGTATTCAGAATGCTTAAGTATTCTGGCCATTTAAAAAACAGTTAAGTATATAAGGCAATCAAAAAAAGGTCCAATATTGGCAGTTTCATATGGCCCAATCTAGTAATATGCTATTTTATCTGATGCCCTGGAATTATTTCGGGGGAGAGGCTTGGGCTCCTGAATAACCCCATGTCCTAACAGGCGTTTCAGTGTTTTAATAAAAATAATAATAATTATAAAAAGCAATAACAGTTGTTATCCTTTTTCAGTTCCTTTGAGCCAGATCCGTTATATACATTATCTCCAACCCTCATAACCGACAAGGGATTATCTCAGTGTAACAGACAAGAAACCTGAATCTCAGAGAGGTCTGGTGACTTGCTGATGGCCACCTGGTCCTTAAGTGGCAGAGCCAGGACGTGAATGAATTCTGACAACATAAACCATACATATTCCTGCCCAACACAGGGCAGCACTGGGCCAACACAGATCAGGGCCGTGACCATGGAGCACAGCCTGCCCCAGCTGGAGCAGAAAGAGGCTGGGTTTGCAACCTTTGGGGCTATGAAGGTGAGAAGTGGAATTCAAGAGGGCTTTATCTATAGTGCCTGCTCTCCGACAGTGGTTAAATCCTACTCAGCACGTCCTAGCCAGCACAAGACCCCTTGGGAGAGAAAGGCCCTTGGGACCACACTGTCTCATGTTGATAGAGTTATGTGTGTACGGGGCCGGGAGTGCGGGAGAGCCACCTTTCTGCAGGCAGACCTTCCTTTCCAGGTGACAGCACTTGGCTTTGCCACGTCAGATTTCATATCCATTTATGTTAACGAAGTCCATTACGGGGACAGGAATGTGCTTGTACCTGCGTTACTCTCGACTGTCCTGGTGGTGAGCAGTGAAGCAGGCCAAATTAGCTCCCCTGGAGGGTGCGGGCGCTTCTAGAATTTGGGCCAATTTGTTGACTGCCAATAATTGCCTCTGTGGGAGGCATGATTGGGGGATGAAAATAGCCAGAGTATGTAAATGTAGAGGAGACAGAGATAGACGGATGGACTCCAGAGCAAAAGCCTGCAGCCTGCTCTATCAATCTGGTCTGGAAGGAGCCAGCACATCCTGGGCTTGAATCACGGCTTTATCACTGACCAGCTGGAAGGCCCAGGGCAAGTGACTTGACCTCTCTGAGTCTTAGTTTCCTCCTCTGTAAATATGGGAACTCCAGGAAGACCCACCTCATAGGGTTGTTGGGAAGAGTAGAGCCATTATAAAGTGCCCAGCACATAGCGGGTGCTCAGGCAGGGGTAGCTATTACTCCAGAATAACCAGGGACTGGAGTGAGCTCCCTGTCCCACTCCATTCGGAGCTGGTCAGAACCTTCCTAGAGGAGTCTGATTTAAGAGCAATGGCAACAGGGAGGTTGGGGGATGGGACTTGGAGGTGGGAAAGGATCAGAAAATAAGAGCTACCAGGAAGTGAGGTTGAACTCATTCCACGAACTTTCAAATGGGGGAGTTTCAGGGAGGCAGAGTCCCTCTCAATGTAAGGAAAACACTTTTGAAGGAAGGGCTGCCAGGAGGACGGACTGTTTAAGGGTGGCGGCAGTGAGCTCCTTGTCAGAGAAAGTAATCAAGAAGAGGCTGAACAGCTCTTCTTGAGCTTCTTAAGGACACTCAGGTGGACTCCTACATTGAGTAAGTAGTGGTCCCAAACCATGCGTCAAAAAGCACATGAATGCATATTAAAAATGTAGATGCCTGGCCCTGGAGTGAAGCCCAGAAATCTGTTTCCTCACAGCTGTGCCAGGTAATGCTTTGAGGCTGGATGGCGACATGATACTGGGAGCCATGGGGTAGCTGTGGGAATCTATCATCTCCCAGTTGCCTGCTGGGAGCCGTGGCATAGAGGTGGGAATCTATCAGTCATCTCCCAGCTCCCATACTGGTCTAAGAGGCGGGCATTCCAGGGGGAAGACAAGGCTTTGGGAGTGGCACTGCCACAGAGTTCTCCTTGGAGGGCTCCAGAGGATGGGCAGGGCTTCCATCTCCCCAGGCAGCCCTCAGGGAGGGACTGTAGCTGCTGGAGCCTGAGTGCCATATGAGGGAGGTGTGAGCACTTCCCTTCTTTGGATTTGAGGTCAGACCTACAGCGACACTTCTAGCTAGTGGGGACTGCCCAAGGCCAGGTATGAGCAGCTGTCAGGGCTGATTGGTGTTCTAAGCTCCCCATGTGGCCTTAAACAGCAGGAATGAACAGTCAGGGCATCTGCCATGGCAGGGTATTGCCATGCCAGCCTGCTGATGGCATGAGCTAAACAGGCACAGGGAAGAAGGCAGGCAGATCTCACATGGAAAAGCTAAATGTCTCTGGAAAGGGGACTTCTGCAGTGGGTGGCCAATTCCTGCCAATGCAAGGTGGTGCCTAGATTTCAGTTGCACTTTCTCCAGATTTCACATATGGGTGGTTGCCACTGAGCTCACGCAGACCAGTGAGAACCTTTTCCCCGGCAGAATCTTGTCTCTCCTTTTCCCTCTGTAGAATCTTATTGACTCTGCGTGCTCACCTTCCCTGCCACCTGGCGTTGGGGTATAGGTAGCTACTATTTGCTACCTTAGTGGTAGCTTGGGCTCCCGGGCTCCCCACTGCCCTCCTGCTGATCCATGAGGGAGGACCCACTCGCCTCTGAAAACCCTGTGGCAGCCGCACGCTCATCCCTCTGCTCCGCAGGAAGAAGGGTGGGGAGGAGACTTGCCTTTTCAGCGAAGACCTGGTTGCCAGAGAGTTCAGTGAGGTGTAAGAATTCCAAGTGCAGGGATCCAAACTCCGCCAAGATGCTGCTGCTGCCGGCTGTGGCCCAGCCCCAGTTCCCACTGAAAAGACAGAAGCAGCCCCCGTCATCCCCCCTTTGGCCAGGCTGGCTCCTCTGCTGACAGTAACAGCAGCTGCTCGGTGGGGGCACCTACTATGTGACAGGCATGGAACCAGGAGCTTTCGCCGTACAATTTCAGTGAATCCTCCCTGGCCCCATGTCCTGATGAGGACACTGAGATAAAGTGACTCACTGAAGTTCATTTGAACCCAGGCCTGTCTGACTTGGAATATTCTTTGTCTCCATCATCAAGCAACCCCTGTAAGACTTGGGAGCTCGAGACCTGGTACAAGAGTTATGCTGAATTTACAGATGATGTGGATAATGCTATCAGGGGCCACAAAGACCCCACAGAACACCCGGTTGCTGTCCTCTGGCTGAAGGCACCGGATGGCTCACAACCATTGGTGGTTCTGCATGTGGAGGATAAACAGTGCTGTGATTCGGGTGCAAATGGGACCAATGAAAAGCAGAGTCCCCGCCTAGCTCTTTCCCTCTCCCAGCACACTGTCAGTGCTGCCCAAGGACATGAAATGGCCCCGGCCTGGAATTTCATGGAACCTACATAGGACAGGCAGGGAGCTCTGGTGTGACCACACATCTGGAGCTGTGTGCTTTCAAAGACAAAGAATGCAGAGGCAGGATCCTGGTTAATCCTCACAGCTGCCCCTTTTGCAAACGCGGTAAACAAGGCACAGGACAGTGATGTCCCCTGCCTGAGATCACACAGTAATTTGAAGAGCTGGGACCCAGAGCTGGCTCTGATGCCAGAGCCTGTGCTAACTGCTGTGCAGTTTGCTTCTCTTTTGATCATAGGATAGGGAACAAGGACACTGCCTTTCCGGGAGCATTCACTGAAAGTCTCCCTGAGATCTGGAGCCAGAAGGTGCAGGTTCAAGTGTCGCTCAGCTGGAGCCCTCGGGCAAACCACTTAATCCTCGCATGCCTCCGTGCCTGCATCCGTAAGACACAGTGAAGGCGAAGCCTCCATCTCCTAGGTTCATGCCTCCTCCTTCCTGGGCTTTTGTGGGAATAAAGAGGAAAAGAAGGTGCAGAATGGGGGTGGTTCTGGGCAAGCTGCCCCCCCCCCCCGTGCCTCAGTTTCCTCATATGTATCATGATTATCTTTCCTGTGGGATATTTAGGACAACCAAGGGCACAGGGTCTGCAGGAAGGCTGTGGTGGACAGAGGTGGGGCAGAGCAGGGTGGTGTGACCTCCTCCCATTTGTAGACGCTCTGAGGTGTAGTTAGTGTGGAGCAGGTTGAGCGACTGGCTCTGCCAGGGGCACTCTGCTTCCTTGCTCCTGGTCACACTGCCCTCCCAGGAACTGGCCCCTGTCTGCCCCTCCATCTCCACGGACAGGACTTAGGAAGGCAGGCGTGGGGGTGTGGAGGTCACTGTTTGCCACTTGAGGGGTGCTGCTTTTCCTGGGATAGGGCTGGGGATCCCCTGATACTGCTGTTCTCTCTAAACTCCATTCTTGGGGCTGGATGTGGTTTCTGGGAAAGTAGGGACACTTACCAGCCTCCCAGCTTGTGGGAACAGACGAAGGGCTCGGGTTTTGAGATCTTTGGGGTCAAGTGACCTCAACACATATAGAGACAGCCACCTTCATCCTGGCTTGGGGCAGGGGACAGTGGGGGAGGGATGGGTTGCACAGGAGGGGAAACTTGGCTCCTGATCTGAATAAACAAAACAACTTCCATTTATTGAGCCGGTATAGTGTGCCAGGCACGGGGACAAGCAGTTTGCATCACTACTTTCATTGAAAGCCCATAACGTAAAGCATCATTCATACCCCTATGCAAAGGAGGAAACTGAGGCTCATACAGGGAAGTGAAGTGTTCGAGGTCAGAGGCGGAAGACGACGGAGACAGGATTCAAACAGGTCTGCTGGGCCTCCCACCCTAAGACAGCCCCGCACTCACCCAGAGGGAAAGAGAGAGGTGCCACCCTGCCCCATCTCTGTCCCTCTTCCCCCAAGGCTAACTGAGACTTCTCTCTCCAGCTTGTGATCTCAGTGAGTCTCAGAGAGCTTCCTGAATAATTGATTCTTCCTGCATTCTCAGGGAAGTTTAAGGTAGGAAAAAGCCACCAGCCCTCCAACAGTCTTTTGTTCTCCTTTTCCCCCACATGGGCCTCTCCTTCCTCTCTCCCACCCCCACATGCTCACCCTCCCAAGTGGGCTTCCTGTGGTGGAGATGCCCTGGCAGACAAGTGAGCTGGCCTGGGCAGAGGCAGGCAGGTGGCTGGGCGCCTTTCCTCTCCTGCCCAGCTTCCAATGGTGGCTTCTCCGGGTCCCAACAAAGTGACCTCGGGCAGGTTGGTTAACTTCCCTAGAACTCAGTTTCCTCATCCCTTAAGTGACAGCACCCACACTTCATAGTTATTGTGAGGTATAAATTATGCATGTAAGTATTGTCATTTTTATCATTATGTAATTATGCACATGTAAATGTTGTTGTTACTAAGTTTCTGATCTGTGCCAGGTGGTTCTGGTGGTTCTTATTTTACCTTCACAACCAACTTCGGAGGTAGATACCATTGTCTTTATTTCATAGAATGAGGGCGAGGCCACAGAGTAAGTGGTAGAACTGAATCCAATTCCAAATCCTAGGTGTTCTGTGCCCCAAATGCATCTGCTCTGGGCAGCATCCCAGAGACCAGGAGGGCCTCTGCTCAGCCCTGTGAGCCAATGGGCCAGCAGGAAGCTCTGATCTCCTCTCCCAGCCTTTCAAGTGCAAGTGGGCCCATAGCCTGTGTTCTCTCTCCTGGCAGGAGGGGCTGCTCCACAATGCCCCTTCCCACCCTGGCTGTAGCTTCTAGGCAGGTACACTCATGAGTATGGTGTAATCATCAACTTTGGAGGTAGACAGACCTGGATTCTAATTAAGTTTGCTTTGCTGCTGTGTGACCTCAGGCAAGTTACCTCACCTCTCTGAGCCTCAGTTTCTTTACCGGTAAAATGGAGTCCCTGTGGTTGCTGTGAGGTTGAAAAGACAATCCATGTCACGTGCTCACGTGATGCCTGACACACAGTGACTTCTCACCAGACGTTTGCAATTGTGAAGACATGTCTATTTGTGTGTGGCGGGAGCATGCATGTGTAAATGGATATTCGTTTGTGAATGTGTGTGCCCATGTATGGATGCCAGCATGTCTGTGACAAAGGCCAGCTTGTGTATCCAGGCCTTTATGATCTATAAGGGTGGCAGGAGAGTGTCTGCATGTGTGTGAGAGAGCATGAGTGAAAAAGACCAGCTTGGCTGCAGAGGTCCTTGCACAGGCCACCGTCACTCTCCCAGGCAGTCCAGTGTCCCTGAAGGTCCCAGGTCAGGCTGGCCCTGCCTCAGTCTCCCAGGCCGGTCTGTGCAGACACCAGTGAGGAGGTGCAGCTCACACCTGCCAGGGAACGGCCTCTCCTCAGGGTCCTTCCCACCCTGACGAGTAGGGCAGGGCTGGTTACCTACTCTCCTGAAGGGCCCACGTTCTTCCCCCTCCTGTTGGGGCTGCCCACAGCGAGCCCTGCCGGGGGCAGGTGCAACAACAGTAGCCCAGCTCCTGCCAGGAGGCCCCCTCCGAAGAGCAAACTCAGTGCCACATGGGCCCATACAGCCCTGCCACTCTCTGAGCCAGGCATTTTTAGCAACAGACTTTCTTACCAAGAACAAAAAGGCGGATGTTGCCAGGAAATATACATGAATGTACATGCGCACACGGCACGGACAGCAGGCAAACAGCCTAAAAGCAAACGCGCTTCCTTAATCACAAATGTCAGGATTCGTGTCAGATCAGGTCCCTGCTCTGAGAGACCTAGGGAAGGGCTGGGGACAGAAGAGGAAGGGATGCCCCCAATGATGTCCTACCCCAGACCCGGGGAGGGGGAGCCAGAGGACAGTGTGTGTGTGTCTGGGCTTCATGACAGCTGGCTGTGTCTCTCCAGGATCAGTGTTTATGGAAGAGGGATCTGAGCAGAGATCCAGGAGTCCAGCTCTGAGGAGTCAACCCTGGCATCGAGACTGGGATTTCTCCGGCCCCCGAGAGCACCCCCCTCCCTGGCCTATGGTGAGATTCCAATGAGTTCACACCCTGAGAATTCTTCCCAACTACAGGGGAGGACAGTTGACGAAGATGCTGAACATGCCAAGCCCTCTTTTTGCAAGACCAGAGAAAGGTGGTGAAGCCCTTGAGGCCAACACGAAGGTGCAACCTCCCCAGGACAGTGATCGGAGCCATGGGTCCTCCAACCAGAGCCCAGGGCCCCTGCCTCCCCTCCCAGACAGCTGGCTGAAGCTTCTGTTGGTTTGAGAGCCCTGAGATGAGAAATCACTTCAGGAGATGGGATGGGAAGTCTGGTGCAGTGGAACGTCACAGCCTTCCTAGCGTCGGGATTGTTGGAGGGCCTCGAGGATGGCCCCAGAGAGCTGCAGGGTGCCCGGGGATGTGGCTTCTACTAAGTAGCTCCATGAAGCACAGGGACAGTGGCTAGGGCTCCTTGAGAGCTAGGCTCCTGTTTGGGAGGGCTGGGATCCTGAGATCTCCTAGCAGCTTCAGGGACCTCCTCGTGGGAGGAGGATGGTGTGATGTGCCTGCTGGCTCCGGAACCCCAGCGGGGGAAGAGAGTGTTTGGGGCCATTGTGGAAGACTCTCAAGTCAAGACAGCACTGTGGGATGTCCAGAGGAACTGCCCCCGCCCACCCCAGGAGGCTCAGGCTTATGTGGACTAAACCCTGACACCCAGGTTTGGTGACAAACACCTGTCCAGGGAAGTCGCTGGCACTTTCACCGTGCCACCGACTCACTGTGGCTCCCAAGGTAGGTATGGTCCTCTCCCTGTGCCTCAGTTTCTACATCATAAAAGAACGGGTTCAACAGAGGTGGTCCCAAGGGTCCCCCCTCCTGCTTGCCTGCCTACTGCCCCTGGAGCCTCCTCACCAGCACCACCCAGACAAAACACAAATGGTGGGCATGGTCGCAGTAAAGCCCCAGTGGGGAACGCGATGGCGCCCTACCTTTTGAAGCTCACCACGCCCTTTGGGATTCCCGTGGGGGTGTTGAACGCCGGCAGGAGCTTCTCTCCCAGCCTGATGGCCTTTATTCGGAACACCTGTAAAGGAGGGGATCAAAGGGCTTTTGACTCCAGGCTGGGTGAGGGAAGGTCAACCCCAGAACTGCTGCAGGCAGGATGAACCCCCCAGGGCTGCAGGTCTAGAGTAGGGGGCAGTGCTGCAGTCCACCAGCCCGGTTCTTCCAACTGCTGGCCACGTGGACTTTGGCAAGGTACTTCTGAGCCTCAGCTTTTGTCCATAAAATAGGATAATACTGGCCTTCTTAGAGAGTTGTTGGGAGAAATGAAAATTAGATAATTGTGGCAAAGCATCTACCACAGTGTCAGGACTCTGGTGGCAAAGGCTGGATGCTGCTTATTGGGATGGGGCAGCCACTGGGAAGATGAGGGAGAAAGCAGTGAGGTGCGGGGGGTGGGGGGCACCTCCAAGTCCAGATGAAGACCTGGCAGAGACGGGCCGGTCTCCAAAGGTCAATGCCTGCCCACACTGCAGGACTACGATACCACAGGCAGAGGGCATGGGAACAGGTGGTGCCGTTCGGACAGACTGTCAAGAGCACTGAACTGGGAGCCAAGACCACCCTCAGGTTCCAGAGACCCTTCCTCCTGGGCGACAGTTTCCCTCTTCCTGCGTAAGAGCAGTGGACAGGCCTGTCCCGCTTTGACATCCTGATCCTGCCCACTGTTCCCATTTCACAAATGGGGAATGAAGGGAGAGGGTGAGTGGCTTATCCTCAACCACCCACAGGACAGCAAGGGAGCCACAGCGAGGTCCCAGGCCTCACGGCCCCTGCCTGAGGCTCAGACCCCTTCAAACTGTTCTGAGATGTCTGATTAATTCAAAAGGACCTGTGACCTTCTGACCCAGCCGTTTCCTGCCTGGGAATTTATTCTGAGGAAATAAATAATCGAGAATGTTGTAAAGACTTATTTATTCCAGCATTGTTTAGAATAGTGGGAAAAACTGGAAGTGTTCTAAATATCAAACAATAGGAAAGTGGTTAGATAATGGCTCCATGCAACAAAATACCATGCAGCTATTGAAATGATGCTGTGGGCCAGGCACGGTGGCTCATGCCTGTAATCCCAGCATTTTGGGAGGCCGAAGCAGGTGGATCACCTGAGGTCAGGAGTTCGAGACCATCCTGGCCAACATGGTGAAACCCCGTCTCTACCAAAAATACAAAAAATAGCCAGGTGGAGGAGCGGGGACAGTGGGAGGAAACCTCGCTGCACCTTGGTTTCCTCATCTGCACAACACAATGGTGGCACGAGCCTGGCTGCTGCAGGGGTCTTTGTGGAAATCAAATGAGAGGATGTAGAGAAATGAATGTACTTTATAAACTGTGAAGTGCCGTGCCAACCTCACGTGTGCAGCTGTGGTTATACGAGTTACTCCCATGGGCACTGGCTCTCGGTAGGACTGGCCTACCCAGCAGGGGGTCTCCCTCTGAAGCTTCATCTTAAGCAAAGAAAGGCCTCAGCCCAGGAAAAGTGTGGGGTCTCCTTCACCCTTCATTCCACAAACCTTTGTGGGAAATTTTAAGAATGGAAAGACCCACCCAACAGGCACCCACTGCATGTGAGCTCAAGGACTAAGGGAAGAGAGAGGCCTCAGTCTGGTGTGGCTGAGCCCTGGTGACAAGCAGTGACGCCATGCCAAGCTGTGACCCAGGCCCATAGCACAAAGGCCACAGGGTCAGGAGTCAGGCCCAACACAACCCTCAGACACTGTGCGACCCGGAGCCAGTTACTGCTTCTAAGTCTCAGTTTCCTCATCTGCAAATCGGTGATAACATGCACCTGATGGGGCCATCCGAGGCTCCAGTGAGAAAGTACACGAGGTATGCAGCATGGCATCTGGCTCAGGGAGGTGCTCGGGGGATAGATCAGGAAGGTGTGGCCAGAGGGCAGGGGCTGCACTGACTGACACAGGAGCCTGCCTGCCTGCCCAGGGGTTCTGGCCACGTTGGCCCCTCCTTGAGTCTTTTGAGCTGTTTTTCAAGTCACAGGTGCTCCTGTCCACACCCCACTATCTGGTCTATGTTCTGGAAAGCTGGGTTGCTGGTGCCTTCTAGGAAGTTGAGGCCTCAAAGCAAGTTCTCAGAACCACAGATGCCCTTGAAGAGAGAAGGGAGGAAGGGAAGAAAAATGCAGGGAAGATGCATGGAAGGAGAATGATGGAAGGATGGATGGAAGGAGAAAAAGACAGAAGAAAAGGTGGATGGAAGGAGAATGATGGAAGGATGGATGGAAGGAGAAAAGGACAGAAGAAAAGATGGATGGAAGGAGAAGGAAGGAAGGAAGGAAGGAAAGACGAATGGAAGGAAGATAAGACAGAAGGAAAGATAAATGGAAGGAAGGATGGAAGGAAAGATGAACGAAGGGAAGGAAGGATGGAAGGAAAGATGGATGGAAGGAAGGAAGGAAAGATGGATGGAAACGGGGGAGGGAAGGGTGGAAAGATGGATAGAAGGAAGGAAGAACGGAAGGAAAGATGGATGGAAGGACAGAAGGAAAGATGGACGGAAGGGAGGAAAGATGGATGGAAGAGAGGGAAGGAAGAAGCAATGTGTCTCAACAGCCACCAACTCTTTCCTGAATTGCTCACCCCCAAACCGCCCCGAGAGCCCTGAGCTGTGTCCTCCCCTCTTCCTTCCTGCAGGCCATCTCCACTGACCACGGCCAAGTAGGAAGGCTGGGCATATGCCCTGAAGAACACAGATGCTTTTTCTGCTCCTTCTGTCATTTTCCTGTTCTGGAGTTTTCAAATGAAATTCAGGCTCCGGGTGGCTCAAAGCCGAGGGCTTCCATCTACAATTATTTGGGGACAAATTGGTACAAGCGCTAATCTCTGCTGAGGAGATTATGCTCGATGGAGAGAGGCCTGGAGCAATTGGAGAGATAAGGTGCCCGCCTGTTGCTTCGAAACCCTTGACTTCAGCCCCTGGCACCTTCACAGATGAAGGGAAGCGGAAATGACTTTCCAGACAGCAGCAGTGGAGGTGAAGAGGGATTATTCTGTGGCTTGCCCGCCTCACCTCCATGGCTCCTTGGGTGGCGGGGGGCAGGCATCATTATTTGTCTCTGGGTGGTCAGAGCAGGGGGGCGTCCAGCCTCACAGCAGCCTCTCTGAGTAATGGGGAACAGAACTGACCAATGACTGATGTTTTGGGGACTCAGCCAACCTCGCCACCAGATATCTGGGCTGTGCTTTTACCGGAGCTCGGGAGCGGGGATGAAGAAGCCTCCCATTTCTAAGAGCTCTGTGGTTTTCAAAATTCTCTCGCAGGGAGGAGAAGATGGGCTTTGGAGCCATCAGCCTTGGGGCCCCACCCTTTCCTTCCTATCCCATGTCCTAAGAGGTCTTTGAGCGAAGGGGTATCAGAACCATCCATGCTGGGGAAGGAAGCGAGGCCCAGGGTGGGACAAGGAGCTCGCTAAGGCCATGAGTAGGTGAGGGTGGTGTGGAGTGAGGGCCAGGTTTCCTGACCGCACCAGCTCTGCCTTCCTGTAGCGTGCACTTCCCAGCCCTCCTTGTGGAAACCAACACAGCTCACCTGGGGGCAAGGCCTGGCACTGGCAGATACAGCAGTGGCTGCCCCACCTCACCTGCTGCCCCCGTGAGACCTGGAGCAGGTGTCTGGCTGGTGGTTGGCCCAGGAGGGGAGGGCAAGGGGTGGCTGTGGAGGACAAGGCCTGGGGGTCTTGGTCTTGGCTTTATCAGTCCTAAGAACCAACACTTGTGAAAAGCAGCCCAGGTGCCTGCTGGATGCTGAGTGGGATCTGAGTGGATGATGTATGGACCCAGCTGCTGCTCTCAGAGAACATACAAGCACCTGTGGGAGCCAGTTGGGCTCACCTGGGCAGCAGAATGGAGGGATCAGAGAGTAAAGGAGGAAGAGCCATTCTCCTCTTGCTGCCGCTGCTTTGTGTGATAGATTCAGCCCTGGGGGGCCGTCTGGGGTGGGAGCAACATGCCCATGATGAGCAATGACTGATTAAACAGGGAGCGGAGGGATGGTCGGAGGGAAAACAGGCCCTCAGGGGTGGACTTGGGTGGCCCCAGGCCCATCCCTGCCCCCTTAAGTCCCTTTTCCCATGGATGGCATGAGGGGGAAGGACTGGATATTCTCCAAAGCCCTTTCCAGCCTGGACAGTTCAGGGGTCATGAAAGGCCAACCCACCTCTTCTCCTGTCAGGTAGAAGGCTGAGAGGAGTCCCCCGATGTAGCGGATGTTCACCTCAAACAAGGATGCTTCTCCGCTCTGCAGGACAGAAAGAAGGAGGGGGACAGTGGGGACACTTGTAAGATGCAGGCCCTTGAGACAGGTCACCCTGGCCACTGATATTCCTCCCATACCTGTCCCCGGCTCTGGTAAGCCAGGCAAGGTGACGATGGTTTTCATAACAAAAGTCAAGAGGAATCTGCACCTGCCTGGCAGAACTCCTGCAATTTCTAGCATTCCAAATAAATGCTGGGCTTGGCTTCCTTCCCCAGCCCTTGCTGAGATGATGGCAGCAAAGCGATGCCTGGTTGTGCTCCAAGGAGCGCCAGAACCTGCCGGGAGAGCTGCTGGCTGGAGCTTAGACTGAGGGGAGGTAAATCCCACTCTGGCCAGGCTACTTCACCTTCTTGGAGGAGACCCCAAGGCTCAGCAGGAAGACAGCAAGGCCCTTTCCTGGTTCTCTGAGGAGGCTGTGGGGCAGACAGGGAAAGGCTGGGGCTAAGAAGGAGGGAGCCAGGCAGCCAGGCAGCTACGTATTCAGTGAACAGCAGTTTCTTGGGCCCTCAGCTCGGAGCGCACAGGGCATGCCCACACTTGCCTTAATCATTTCTATTTTCTTTCTTAAGTTGGGATTGCAAATCAGGGGTGCTGGAGCATCATGCCAGGACCAGATCTGGGGTAAACCCCACCTGAGCCACTGACCTGGCTTTGGCACCTCAGAAAAGATGTGCAGCCTTTCCCTGCCCCATTTCCTCAGCTGCAGAAGGGGGCTGCCAACCCCTCCCGTGCAGGGTGAACACAGGACACAGGGGAGCTGCAGAGAGAGGCCTGCCCACAGCCAGACATGCCTGTTGTCACCCTCCTTGCCCCAGAGGGTTCCCTCAGCATGCTTTGCACACCATCGTCTTTATTACTGAGAACAGCAGTGCTCATCTGTTAACCTGGGGGAGCTCTTCATCCACAGAGCACCTGCAAAACCGCTCCCCTTCAGCTTCCCAGGGCTCGGTGAGGTCAGTGTGGCGAGGGTCATCATTCCCATTTCTCAGATGAGAAAGTCAAGGTTCGAGGTCGAGTGACCCCACCTTGCTTTCTTCCAGGGACATTTCCTCACCTGCCCCACCTGCCTGAGTGTCCCCCAGCTCCTAAGGCACTGTGGGCAGCTGCCTGAGCCCGTTCTGTATCCCAAAGAGCCACTGTCTACACAGGGAACGAGGCAGGCCTATGGGGACACTCCTTCCTTCTCCTTCCTCCACCTTTCTCCAACCCAAAGAGGGGTAATGGGGGGATTCTCAGCTTCCTTGGCCTCACACAAACAACCAGAAATGTCAACAAGCCTCAAAATCATCCTAACAATGACAAGGGTGACCTCACTTTACATCAGTATCAGACTTCATAGTGTTATAAAATGCGGTTACAACTCTCCACTGTATTTAATCCTCATGATAAGCCTATGAGTTAGGCATTATTAATATTGTTGCTGTTGTCATCATTCTCATTGTATAGTTGAGGAATCTAAGGCTCAGGGAGGGTCAATGACTTTTCCAAGAGACGCAGGGCAGCCAGGACTCCAGAGGTCTCTGTCTCCAGGGAAGCTCCCCTAAAGTGTTGCGTTCCCAGGCTCTCCCAGACTCTCTCTCCACCCTGCTCTGTGCTGGCAAGCTGTCTCTCAAGGAGGCAGGGTCCTCGCTGCTGCCAGGAGCTGCAGGAACCAGCCCCAGACCTGTCTGCAGCAGGACCTGGCACTCCCGGAGCCCACATGGAGCCTGGTGTGTGCTTGGATGCGGCCCCTCCCGGTCTCCACTGCTTACTCCCCAAGTCTATGTAAATAGCCTCTCTCCGTGGGGAGCTCCCCTCTGGGATGCATGCCTTGCTTTAGTCTGGGCTGAGAGATCAACATGGTGGGCTGTGGTGTTCAAGGCTGTTGTGCCATCCAGACACACGACCATTCCCTCTGAAAGGCTCTGGTCCCTGACCAAGTGTGCCTGCAAGGCTGGAGACCAAGAGGTCCCAGGCCTGGCCATGGGTCTGCAAAGGGATATGCACCACCCACTCCACGCCCACCCCACCCGGCCATCTCAACAGGCCAGTGCAGGGCGGGCTCAAGGCTGGAGCAGCTCTCAGCAGATGAGCCACGTCCCCCCTCCACAAAGCCATTCCCCACTTGCTGCAGCTGCTGTGTGTGATAGATCCAGCCCCAGGGGCCGTCCAGGGTGGAAGCAATGTGCCCCAGATGAGCAATGACTGACCTTGCAGGGAGGGGATGGATGGTCGTGGCTGTGTCCCCTCCCCAGGGAAGATGCTAGACTGGGGAGGATGTCCCCACCTCAAGGCTGTCTTAAGGAAGGGACTCAGCACAGACTGCACGGCAGCTCCGGTTCCGAGACTGCTGGGCTGTGCAGCCGTGGGAGAGACCCTCAACATCTCTGGGTCTCAGAGATGACAGGGTGAAGCTGGCTGTTGGGCCTCTTCTGGCCCCCGCCCCCCTCCCCCGCCGAGGGCCTCTGACTCACCACGTTCAGGTGGAAGCTCTCTCCCACCCAGGCCTTGGCCTCCTGGAACTCCTCCTTCAGCTCCATGAGGTAGAGGGTATCGAGGGAGTCAATGACTGTTGCCCCGCTGAGGCCTCCTGCAGGCACAGAGCATTGAGGGTGTGACCCAGGGCCATCTTTCTCTTTTCCCCAACTGGACAAGCCACCGTTCTCAGGGCCCCTCCAATGCCAGCGCAGGCTTGGTGGCAAAGGCTGGCCTCAGGCACCATCCGGGGGACTCCAGTGCCACCATCGAAGGTGACGCCGAGACCCAGAGTCCCCGCCATGGGCTGCTTCCTCCTCAAGGCAGCAAACAGCGGCCAGAGAGACCGAGGGCCCAGGCTGAGCCACTTCCCAGACTCGGTCCACTCTTCTGTTGGTCAGCGGGTCAACTATCAGTGCCAATCAGCCACCCACTTTTCTCTGCTTTGGCATATAAAAATCTTTGTTTGTTTGTTTTTGAGACAGGGTCTTACTCTGTCACCCAGTCTGGAGTGCAATGGTGCGATCTCGGCTCACTCCAACCTCTGCCTCCCAGGTTCAAGCGATTCTCCCACCTCAGCCTCCCAAGTAGCTGGGACCACAGGTGTCCACCACCACGCCCAGATAATTTTTGTATTTTTAGTAGAGATGGGGTTTCACCATGTTGGCCAGGCTGGTCTTGAACTCCTGGCCTCAAGTGATCCACCCACTTCGGCCTCCCAAAGTGCTGGATTACAGGCGTGAGCCGTGAGCCACCTCATCCAGCCTGGCATACAAAAATCTTTTTTTTTTGGAGACAGAATCTTGTTCTGTCGCTCAGACTGGAGTATAATGGTGCTATCTCAGCTCACTGAGACCTTCATCTCCTGGGTTCAAGCGATTCTCGTGCCTCAGCCTCCCAAGTAGCTGGGATTACAGATGCATGCTACCACACTCAGCTAATTTTTGTATTTTTAGTAGAGAGTGGGTTTCACCATGTTGGCCAAGGCTGGTCTCGAATGCCTGGCCTCAAGTGATCTGCCTGCTTTGGTCTCCCAAAGTGCTGGAATTACAGGCGTGAGCCACTGCACCTGGCCCAAAAATCAACCGTGCCAATCCTCTGTCTCTTCAAGATTAGTTGTAGCTAATAGAGGGTGAACTATGGCTCAAATATAAAATAGGATACCATGCAGTCATCCACGCAGGTGAGGTCGACCTGTGCCTATTTACCTGGGGAGACATCCACGGGATCTTTTTCTTTCTTTCTTTCTTTCTTTTTAAGTAAATTGCAAATAAGAAAAAAACACAGTATAATTCTTATTGTACATCAAAGTGTAAGTGTACAGAACTAAGTCTGGTATGACCCACTGACTACCTCTGAGTGCCGGGATTACAGGTGCCTTTTGATTTCTTCAGCTCATGGGTTACTTTCTTATAACCAGAAACTTATTTCCATTAAAAAAAAAAAAGGAAAGAAAATTTGGGCAAAGAAACCAAACAAATACACAAAGTAAAAATTTGCGGCCATTCTCATTCTAGTGCACGAACCAGCTACGAGGCCTGGCCCCTACCACTGGGCATCAGGCACCTGTCCTGGGAGTAAAGGCTGAGATAAGTGCAAAATGATAGTTTTCCATCCCATGAACCAGACAGAAGAGTAATGAGGAAGACACCCTCTGGCACAACCAGAGCCTTTTGCACTCAGTGCAGAAAACTGTGAAGGTGGAGGGGAGGGAGAAAGGGACATGCCTGCTACTATCTGAAAGGCTTCCTGAAAGAGGTGGCGCCTCCCATCAACTCCTTACAACTATGGAGTCATTGCAGGCAGCAGTAGTTTCCTTTAGGGACCAGAGTGTAACCCTAAGAGGAGTAATTGTTCCTTCAGTGTCCTCCCTGCAGAGGCTGAAAACATTGAGAGTCACAGGCTCCACCTTCCGCAGTGGAAACTCTGGAGCCTGTTGAGCCCACTTGAGTCTGCAGCGTGGGCTTTGCGGCACCTCCTGAATTCAGAGTTAGCCTCTAATCTCCTTAATGAGTGCTTCCTAACTGCTCACTTGTGTTGACTGAAGGCAGAGAATCCTTCTGAAATTCACACACTTAACCACCTCTCTAGGCTGGGCAAGGTCTGAAAAAGGATACAGCCTGGAAAAAGAATGGAAGTGAGGGTGAGAGGGAGGGAGAAGTTAGGAGGAAGATGAGGCTGGAGGTCAAAGAATCTATTACCAGAAGGGAGGGCCCGCCAAGGAGGGAGCAGAGGGCTGGAGGCACCCAGCCCTGTGTCCTGGGATGGGCTGGAGGTCGGAGAATCTATTACCAGAAGGGAGTTCGCCAAGGAGGGAGGAGAAGGCTGGAAGGACCCAGCACTGCGTCCTGGGATGGCTTCCCTGTTTGGGCTGAAGTGAATTTCCAGAATGTCAGCCCCTCCCATGCTTAAGAAGTGGTAGGAAAACACATCCCAAAGCCAAACAGACTTGATCCTTTGCCGGTTCATCCCAGCTGCTTCCCCTGTAGGTGGCAGGGCTGAACAGAGTTCCTGGCCCGTATTCACCCTCTCGAGGTGCTCAAGCAGGGAGGCACTGAGGAGCCCAGGCAGACTGAGCAAAGCAGATCGTGCCCAGCACACAGGGTACAGGCCTGGTGTCCATGCTCCTGGCTGTAGCTCAGGCCCCTTCCTGTTCTATCACAGGACCTCAAACCAGACGTTTGAAGGGCCTGGAAGAATCTGGGGGATCCTGCTGCCCCTACCCCTTCATTGTCATAGATGAAGACCTCAGAGAGGGGATGGGACACACTCAAGATTAGACCAAGGGGGGACTGGCCCAGCCCCAGGCCAAGTGGAATGTGTTTTCCACGCATCAGGCATTGCAGGGCCGCTCAATTCTCTGTGAAAACAGTTGCAGATCTGATTGCTCACCCCACCCCACCCACTCTGATCAGTTACGGATCAAGAGAGGCCCAGGCCGTATGTCCTTCAAGGCCAGGGGAGAGGCAGCCGCAGTGTCTGATTTCTGAATCCTGCCTTGAGCTCCCTGGTGTTTTCACCCCATGCGCCCTTCTTCCTCTAGATCAGGCTGGGAGGGCAGCCAGGACTCCTCGTGACCAGCTCTGCCCCGTGACGTCCCTGGGGACGCTCTATGAGGCCAGCTGAGAAAGCAGCTTGCTAAGAGATTTGTTGGCAAGTTCCTGCCCCTGCTCTCAGGCTCCTGAATCCTTCTCTTGGTTGGTCTCCCACCCCCATTCCCACCTGGCACATGGCTGAGCTGCAGTCCAGCAAGGCACTTACTGGAAAGCCTTTCATTCCAGTCCAGAGGCTACTCAGCGGTCAGGCTGGGCAGGAGAGAAGGCCCTATCCTGAATTCAACCCTATTTGCACCTGCAGCCACCCTGGGGCAGCTCCCCAGGAGGAAAGACACACTCCCTGTTCAGTAAACAGACCATGATTTATACACAAAGAGCCAGCTTGGACGCTTCCCTAGGGCTGTGGCTGGGGCGGGCTCCATGTTGGTCCACTTTCCTGTTCCAGTTCTGAAGCCATGGGGTTCACCCCTTCCTGCTAGTGCAGAAGGCAGTGAGGTGTCTTAGAAATAATACAGGCCCAGAAATCAGCAGCCCCGCGTTCAAATGCCGCTATGAGCCAGCAACACATCTGCTCTAAGCATCAAAGTTCTCATCTATAAAATGAGGTTAAGACCACTGGACCAGGGCACTGGGGAGCCACTGCAGGTTCCTGAGCCAGGATAAATACATCACATACACACCTGGCCTAGATACATCTGATAAATACAACCTATATGCTTGGCACAGACTAAGTGCTTGATAAATCAGTTCATTGAACCGATTGTTCATCAGTTCTGGGGTCCCTTAGTTCACCTTGAAATAGCAGCCTGGCCAGGGAGTGAGGAAGGGCAACGAGGTCAGGGAGACCCTCTTGATCCTTTCCTTTGGGAGGGTTCGGACCTTTGGCTACTGAATAAAGCCTTTGCAAGGCAACCTCACACATAGCTAAGAGGCTGGCTTTGGTGTCAGGGAGATGTTCAAATCCTGGCCTCTTATACCCTAGCTGTGCAATAGGGCAAGCCATTCTACCTCTTTGTGCCTCGTTTCCCTCATCTGCAAAATGGCGGTGACACTAGGACCTGCCTCATAAGGCTCCTGGGAGGGTTAAATGGGGTAGGTTGATGGACAAGGGCTGGCATGATAGTGAGTACATGTGGCCCTCCTTGCCCCTACTGGCACTGGGCAGCCCCTCCACAAAAATCTTCTTGGGTCAGTGAGGCCTTGGGGTGCAACTACATTCCCGGCCCTCTCTCTCACCCTGCAGGGCAACGTGAGCGTGAGATTGCAGCTTGCAAAAACCCTTGGCCCAACTTAAAGGAAAACCGCCCCACAGGTCCCATCTGTATCTGCTGCCGAGGCCATCACTACCTGATCTGGTTGTGTAGTTGCCTCCAAAAGGGTCCTCCTATCTCCAAGACCCCTTCCCTTTACCTCTTATTCACTCTAAAGCCAGATCCAACTTGGGTCTCTCCCCAAGCTCAGGAACTGCCAATGGTTCCTCAGTACCCATGTAGGAAGGGGTGCAAGCTCCTGCTTCCATACCTTGGCAAGTGTGGTCTTCTCTGCCAAGAAATCTTCTCTGTGCATCTTGGCATGTTCAACACTAACATGTTCTTCAAGGTCTACCTCCCAGGGGCAGCCTGAACTGGTTCCACTAGCTAACCTCTTCTTGCCCTGAGAGTGCCCACAGCACTTTCTTGGGCACCCACCACTACCTCCCTGCACTGTGGGGCTTTGCCTCCCTAACTAGACTGTGAGCCCCTTGAGGTCAAGGGTCCCCACTGCCTCTCTCATACCCCTCCCCACCAACCTTCCAGCCTTGTCTCCAAGCATCCCAAAGGTCAGAACCCCCCAACCCAAATGGGCCACTTGCCATTCCCTCCTTACATACCGATACTTTTATGACTCTTCTACAGACTCTGCCAGAACTGCCTTTTCCCATCCCACCTTCTCCTGTGGAAATCTAGGGCCCACCTCTAATGGCTCATTGCCCACAAAGCCATGCATGCAATCTCACCCTCTGATGTCCGGCTTAGAGCCCTTCTTCTGTGAGAGGGTCTTCCCCAGCCCCAATGTCCACATTCTAGGCCCCTACACTGTGCACCTCCACCTCCCCCCATTCTCATCTCATGCTAATGGACTCATGCGTTTCCCTGTCCCTGTCACTTTATAATAGTGGGGACTGTAGTCTGCATCTGTGTCCTCCCCACAGTGGGACGGCAGGAGGGCAGGAGCCAGGCTGGTCTCCGGGTGTCACGGATCCTGGCTCCTTACTGGATCTTGGCCTTCAGGCTGCCATTCTTCCTCTTGCTTCTCCTTCTACCCTGGGATGGCTTCTTCCCAGTCTCCTGTGCTGGTTCCTCCCCATCTCCAGACCTCTAAAGACTGGGGTGCCCTGGGGCTCTGCCTTTGGGCTTCCTTTCTGTCCTCCCTCATTCTCTTAGTGATTTCAAATCTTAAAATCCATCGGCCAGGCACAGTGGCTCACGCCTGTAATCCCAGCACTCTGGGAGGCTGAGGCAGGCGGATCATGAGGTCAGGAGTTTGAGACCAGCCTGGCCAACATAGTGAAACCCTGTCTCTACTAAAAGTCACATATCCAACTCTGCATGCATGTCTCCACTTGAAGGTCTTTGGGCATCGCATGTTTCACTGTCTGAAAGCCAATCCCATGCCTTCCTCCAGACCTGTTCCTTCCAGTCTTCCCCATCTTGATTAACACCAATGTCCTCCTCCCAAGAGCTGTGGCCCCCAACCCTTGACCCTGTCTCACACCCCCTCATCCAGTCCTGCAGCAAATCCTGCTGGCCGTCTCTGCGAGATTTCCAGACACTGCCCACATCTCACCTTCTCCGTGCTACTGCCCTGACCCAGCTACCTCCTCTCTCTTGCATTTATTCCACTGGCTTCCTCCCCGCCCCCTTGGCATCTACCCTTGCCCTTCCCTCTTCCCCGATCCACCCATCTGTCCTCAGCGTTGCAGCCAGAGAGATTTTTTAAAAAATTCAAGTCAGCCGGGCGCGGTGGCTCACGCCTGTAATCCCAGCACTTTGGGAGGCCAAGGCGGGTGGATCACGAGGTCAGGAGATCGAGACCATCCTGGCTAACACAGTGAAACCCCGTCTCTACTAAAAATACAAAAAATTAGCCGGGCATGGTGGCGGGCGCCTATAGTCCCAGCTGCTTGGGAGGCTGAGACAGGAGAATGGCATGAACTCGGGAGGCGGAGCTTGCAGTGAGCCGAGATAGCGCCACTGCACTTCAACCTGGGTGACAGAGCGAGACTCCGTCACAACAACAACGACAACAACAACAACAACAACAACAAAAATTCAAGTCATATCATGCCACTCCTCTGCTCGAAACCCCCCATGGCTCCCATCTGACTGAGAGTTGAAAGCCTTAGTCCTTCCCGTCCCTGGGGCCCTGTGATCTGTCCTGGTTCCCTCACTGCCTCTCCTCCTCCACTTTGGCTGCACGCTGTCCCTTCAGCCTCCACTTCGGCCTCCAAACCTGCTCCTTGCCTAGGCCCTGGTAGCTGCGGGCTACTCTGCTGAAACTGTTCATGCCACTCACTGTCTCCTTGTCTTCTCTGGTTTTCCCCAGCCTTCATCACCAGGGGCATCACGCACGGATCTGCTTTCCCAGCCACTCTGTCTTCTCCTGAGGGGTTGGCTCCTAGGGAGAGAACTCGGTTCACCGCCACCTTCCACTGCCCAGAACACTTTCCAGCCCCCACGGGGGCCCGTAAGTATTTAGGAATGAAAGAAAGGCCCCCTCCAACTGGATGGGGAGGGCTTCAAGGGGGGCTGTGGCGCATTCACAACTCCCAGTGCCTGGCTACAGTCTGACCCTAGGAGGCATTAAAGGTAAGGGGTTCGGCTGAACAAAACGAGCCCACAGCATGGGCGTCTGTGGTGACTACGTCCAGAGCAGGGTTAAGTGTCTACTCCAGGGGCTGCCACCACTAGACAAAGACCCTCCCACCAGGCTGCCCAGAGTGACAACATGTGCCCAAAGCCTCGCCCTGCACAAAGCTTTCTGTGAAGAGCGTGTCAATCTCTACAAGGAAATGAACCTCCAGCTCCCAGAACCTCCTCCCCAGGAGCTGCTGAGCCAGGAACCAGCCTGCCTCCCTGGATCACGGTCTGTATCCCACCCTGCTGACTCTGCCATATTAATGATGATGATGTTTTTATGTGATATCATATTAGCAAAGAGAAATGGTCAGGCTGGCAACACAAACTCCAGGAAGAACATTTAGAAGAAAAAAAATCACCCAAGGCATAGCCTATTCCCACAATATCCCCAGAGCCACATACTAATGGCTGCATTTAATTTAATGAGACAATGCACAGACTTTTCTTAATCTGTAAAGAAACAACACACACGTTTTTCTCAGCATCCACAGAAACCCATGTGGCTGTGTGGCAGACCATCTTTTCAAAGGCAGCTGCTGTGGTGTATCTTATCCCACAAGAAGAACGAAGCTTTTCTTGTGACACTGACACACCTCCCATGGCTCCTCCCCTTGAACCTGGGCAGACCATTGTGATCATCTGGACCAACGGAATGAAGCAGAAAGGATGAGGTGCTATTTTCTTTATTTTTTTGAGACAGGGTCTCTTGCTCTGTCATCCAGGCTGGAGTGCAGTGGTGTGATCATAGCTTACTGCATCCTTGAACTCCCGAGAAGCAGGGGCTACAGGAGTGCACCACCATGCCTGGATAACTTTTAAAATTTTTTTGTAGAGATGGGGGTCTCACTATGTTGTCCAGGCTGGTCTTGAACTCCTGGCCTCAAGCGATCCTCCCATCTCAGTCTCCCAAAGCACTGGGATTACAGGTGTGAGCCACTGTGCCTGGCTTGACCTTAAGGCCCAGACCTTAAGAAACTGGCAGCTTCCACTTCCTGCCTCTCAGAATGTTGGATCTTGGAACCAGCCACCATACTGTAAGGAAGCCCAAGATAGCTAGCTCTCAAGGAGAAAACATGTAGAGAGCCATGTATCAGTTTTCTGACTGACAGTCCCATCTGAGGTTCTAGCCAACAGCCAGCATCAATTGCAACGCATGACTCAAAAAGCTTCCAGATAATACTACCACCCAGCTGTCGAGTCAGCCTCAGCCTTCAAGCCTTCCCAGCTGAGGGTCTATACATGACTGCACAGAGACAAGCTGTCCCCTGTTGTGCCCTTTCTGAATTACTGACCCACTCAATCTGTGAGCATAATAAAATAATTGTTTTAAGCCCCCAAGTTTTGGAGTAATTTGCAATGTAGCAATAGCAACTGGAATGTTTTTGCCACATGGGTTTTTTAGGAAGATGAATTAAAGTGACATCCCCATTACCCAAAGTTTATTGTTTAAAACCAGATCGTCTAATATGATGAGGTCTTCTGGCGGCATAAAACCCATTTACGGACTGGGACCTCTCCATTTCTATCTGGTCTGTTTCTCGTGTGTCGTGTTTTAATTTTTTTTCCTTGAGCAGGAATATTTTCCTTGAATTTTCCCATGATAGCTATTTCCTGGGTGACATAGCACTGTGCTCTGAGGCTGAATATTTCCAGGCAAAGGTTTCTTGAAGCCTCTGGAAGGAAAGATATTTTTTAGGGATTCTTCCTGGAACCCAATAGAATGCTCTTACTGGAGGCTGATACATGAAAGATGAGCATAATGATCACATCACCGCCCTGTTTAACAGCCCTCAACCTCACCCCTGCCTCAGTTCTCCAAGTTCAAACTCCTGGACACAGCGTGCAGAACCCATGGTCCCAGCCGTGGCAAGTTCTCCAGCCTCACCTCTTGTCCTGCTCTCTTTGCAAAGTGATGCTTGACCCACATCAGACCACCAGCAGCTCCTCAGACTCCCTGGCGTGCCTGCTGATATGGGTCCCTCTGCCTGGGATGCCTTCCTTTGCAGAGATGGCTCGGTAAACACCTACTCATCTTTCTGGCCTTGGCTCATACATTCAGCCTTTTCCCAAGACGTTCCTGAGCCACCAAGCAGAACTGACCATGCCCATTGATGCCCACCAACTCTGCTGCATGTGACTTTGTCCCAGCACTGTGTACACGATATTGTATGTCTCTGCATAGGTGCCTGTGAATCCCAGGGTGCAGTGGCTGGGTCTAACATTTCCCAGTGGCCCCAGCATCCATCCTCAGGCTGGGCACAGAGAAGGCAGAAACGAGTGGTTGTTGAATGAATGAATGAATGGCGATTGGAAATGCCAACAGCTCTTTCTTGGGGCTCTCCAACACTTTACCAGGCCCCTGGGACTCGGAGAAGACACAGCACACACAGTAGTGGCCAGCTACCAAGGAAATCCCTGTCGGGGGGGCGAAATGGGCAGCCACAGACGTCAGGGCCCTGGTGGAACTAATGGCTTCCTCCACCCTTCCTGAGCAGATGCCACGCTTTGCTGCCACAGCTGGCTGGAGAATGATTACTGCAGCCAATGGCTGGAGAAGGTTCCCTGTGACAAGTGGCTGGACACAGTTCACTGAAGCAGTCTGCTGGACACAGCTCCTCATTGGAAAACAGGGTGTGTTTGTAAAATGTTAATGTTTGTTTTTAAATAAGAGCTGAGGGTGCTGTCTGATCTGGAAACCTGTGTTTAAAAACTCCCTCTGACCGTGCTGTAGAGCAAGCTCTGAACTGCTTTCATCTCAAAACTGAAGCCCAGAATTCTGGAGTGATATCTCCAAAGTCACAAAACTCAGGGCAGAGCTGTGACCAGAAGCCACCTTCCAGAGCACGTGAACTTTATGTTTCCTGCGAGGCCTGGATAGGGAAGACAGCGTGGGCTTTGAAGCCAAACAGACCCGGTTCTGATCTCAGCCTCATCCATCCTTGCTGTGTGAGCTTGGGCAACTGACTTGACCTCTTGCACCCTCAGTGAAATGGGATAATGAGCCGGGGTGCAGTGGCTCAGGCATGTAATTACAACACTTTGGGAGGCTTAGGTAGGTGGATCGCTTGAGCCCGGGAGTTCAAGACCAGCTTAGGCGACATGGCAAAACCCTGTCTCTACAAAAAATGCAAAAATTTGCCAGACATAGGGGCATGTGCCTGTGGCCCCAGCTACTTGGGAGGCTGAGGTGGGAAGATTGCTTGAGCCCAGGAGGTAGAGGCTGCAGTGAGCTGTGATGGCGCCACTGCACTCCAGCCTGGGCGACAGAGCAAGACCCTGCTGCAAAAACAAAAATTAAACAAAGTAAAATGGGACAATGAGGTCTCCCTTTTAGGGTGGTATGGTGATGAGTTTGGAAGAATACATATAAAGAACCCCCATACACTGTCCAGCACTCAGCAGGCACTCACTACAGGAGAATATGACACACCCAGCATACCAGTAGGTACTCAATGCATGGGGCTGTTATCACAAGGTTCAGTTCCAGCAGAGAAAGTCACCCTCAGGCTTGGCAAAGCTAAGAGCCCTGGCAGATGATTGGCCCAGCAGAGAAGGTACTACCTTTGTGCCAGGCAAGCAGAAAGTGTGAGCCATGGGGAAGTCAGGACAGAGCTGGGCAGGGACTGGGGCATTTTAACTACCCAATAGGACTGCAGTACTCTCTTTGCCTCAATGGGGAGAAGGGCAAAAATCAGAGCCCTTTGCCGCTCATCCCACCAGACATCAAAGTCCAGCTACTGCTCTGGTCAGCTCCTAACAGCAGACACAGAGACCCTTCACACTCTGGCCTCTACTTGCCTGGGGAAATTAGATGGTTGTTCAACAAATCTTCACTCCTTCCCTCTCCCTCCTTGGGAGGAGTAAATATCCCTATCCCATTAACCTTGTGCTTTTCCATGTAACTTGCTTTGGCTTCATAGTGGGTGGGGAATTAAACTCTGCCCTTGATCTTACGTTTGGCCATGAGACTTGCCACAGGGATTAGAGGACATGATCTGAAACATGCTTGCATGGCTGGGCTTGCTCCGTTAGGCTCCCACCCTTCACCATGAGAAGAATGAACCTCAAATGGCCACTGGTCCAGGAAGGATGAGATATGTGCAGAGCAGACTTGGATCTAGCTAGATGCAGCCTAGATAAACCAAATTCCAGCCTATCTGCAGTCACAAACAACACTGTGGTCTGCCTCTCACTGTGGAATACTTTGTTATAATACAACCCTATTATGGAAATAGATGACTGATACAATGTTCTTACAGTCCTATGTCATATATATACATATATACATACACATATACATACACATATATATACACACACATACATACACACATATACACACATATATACATACACATATATAGATACACACATATATATATACATACACATACATACATACACATTTTGAGACACAGTCTCGCTCTGTCACACAGGATGGAGTGCAGTGGTGTGATCTCTGCTCACTGCAATCTCCACCTCCTGGGTTCAAGTGATTCTCATTGCCTCAGCCTCCCAAGTAGCTGGGATTACAGGCATGCGTCAGCATGCCCGGCTAATTTTTGTGTTTTTGGCAGAGGTGGGGATTCGCCATGTTGGCCAGGCTTGTCTCAAACTCCTGGCCTCAAGTGATCCACCTGTCTCGGTCTCCCACGAGACAGGCCTGGGATAACAGGCGTGAGCCACCGCGACTGGCCGCCTATGTCTTAATCGTCTTTTCATGTGTTCCACATTCTAGGCAAACTACTGCTTCCATGTGGCCCACTCTCTCCAGCCTCCAGCCCTTTCTTCAAGCTGTTTTCTCTACCTGGCATGCCCTCTTCTAACACACAATGTCCCCACACGTCTCAATCCAATGTCTACTTTAACTTCTAGATAAAATGTTTCTTCCTCCGTGAAGACATCCCTGACTCTCCCACGTGGATCTGAGGTTTTTCTCCTCTGAACGTTTATATCAAAGGCATTGTTTCTCAACTTCTATTACAGTAATTTGTGTCCTTTTCTCAAGTCCATTCCAGGCAGGGAGTGTCTTCATGGCTAGATCTAAGCCTGGTTGATTTAAGCCTACACAGACCCTGCAGGGTCAAGGTGCCTTTGGGATCTGCGGAGTGAAGGATTGGACACCCTCCCTGCACTGCCTCTATGTGAGGAGGCCACCTAGACAGCCAGTGCCCTGGCCAGAGGCAATTCCTCTGTGGTGTGAGGTGCTGGGAGCCAGACACTGACTCCATGAGGCTCTGAGATCCTAGCCCAGGGTGGACACCCCCACAAAAGCTTCTTGTGGAATGTGGAATTCTAAATGCCAGCCAACCCTTCCTTATCAGAAGTTAAGAACAATCCTTTTTTGCCTGGCACTGTGCTGTTTGTTTCACATCCATCTTTTAAAAACTCTATCATTGGGCCAGGTGCAGTGGCTCATGCCAGTAATCCCAGTACTTTGAAAGGCTGAGGTGGGTGGATCATTTGAGGCCAGGAGTTCGAGACCAGCCTGGCCAACATGGTGAAACCCCATCTCTACTAAAAATACAAAAGTCAGCTGGGCATGGTGGTGCACACCTGTAGTCCTAGCTACTTAGGAGGGTGTGGCATGAGAATCGCTTGAACCCATGAGGTGGAGGTTGCAGTGAGCCGTGATTGCGCTACTGCACTCCAGCCTGGGTGACAGAGAGAGACTCTGTCTCAAAAATAAATAAATTAAAATAAATTAAAAATCAAAAAAATAAAAGCTCGGCTGGGCGCAGTGGCTCACGCCTGTAATCCCAGCACCTTGGGAGGCCGAGGTGGGCGGATCACGAGGTCAGGAGATCAAGACCATCCTGGCTAACACGGTGAAACCCCATCTCTACTAAAAATATAAAAAATTAGCCGGGCGTGGTGGCGGGCGCCTGTAGTCCCAGCTACTCAGGAGGCAGAGGCAGGAGAATGGCGTGAGCACGGGAGGCGGAGCTTGCAGCAAGCCAAGATCACACCACTGCACTCCAGCCTGGGCGACAGAGAAAGACTCCGTCTCAAAAAAAAATAAAAATAAAAATAATAAATAAATAAATAAACAAAATAAAAACTCATTGTCCCCCTCTTACAGACGAAGATTGAGGCTTAGAGGAATTAAGTCACTTGTTCAAGATTCATTCATTCATTCATCCCAAATGTATTTTTTGGGTACTCGGGGTGTGCCTGGCACTGGAGCCTAGTGGAATGAGGGGAAAGACACACAGAGACACATCTAAATGTAACGTGTGTGATGCAGAAAAACAGAGTGGCTAAGGAGGAGCTCCATTTAGGTGTGGCGGGGGAGCACAGCCAGGAGATGGGCAGCGTTCGGGCAGAGGCTTGAAGGAGGCCCAGGAGAAAGGGGCCAAGGGCACGGCGGGCAGAATGCACAGCACATTGAAAATCCCAAGATAAAGGTTGTGTGCAGCGGGAAAGGGGGAAAGTAGTGGGCAGTGAGGGGGTGGAGGCCAGATCACACATGGCCCTGGGGCTTCAAGAAAGGGGGTCTGGATGGCTTAGGAACTGGATCTGACTGGCTGCTGTATGATGAGTGGCTGGGCCCAACGGGACTCCAGAGCTACCCATCTTGGTTTGGTGAATTGTCCTCTAGGCACTTACGGATGAGGAGGACGGGGGCAGGAGCACCTGGGTCTGTGCTTTGAGACCCTGTGAAGGCAGCTGGAGATGCTCCCCAGCTGTGGGGGTAGCTGTTTACCAGTCCAGGAACAAGAATTCAACAAGACCACAGGGCATGTGAGCCAGGTGCCTCACCTCAGCTCCTGGGGGAGCCTCCAGCTGTCTTTGACAGTGCCAGAGCCTCCCAGGCCCACGGACACAGGGTTGCAGTGCTGTCTTGGGTATACATTGTGGCCACACAGAGCTATGCATTGATCATGGCAAACACGGCCTGTGGACCACAGCCAAGAGGTGCAGATGCATGGCTCTGATAACAAGATTAATGATGATTATTGGAAAGGAGAAAAGAAAGGAAATCAAAGAGGTCCCATTCACCCCTGTAAAACATTAAGAGATAGCAGAGGCAGTGCCAGGAGAGCCTGGTAGGGAGCTGAGCCCCAGGGAGGGTCTTTGTAGTTGCTGGGATAGCTTAGCTGCAGGCAGTGGGCCAGCAGAATGGGTTGAGTCCTGGAAACCCACGCTTGGATCCACCACTTACTAGCTGCCTCAGTTTCCTCATCCTCCACAGTGGGAGCAAGACCTCCACCTTGCAAACCATCCTGAGGGCTAGAGATCATGCAAAATGCCGGACGCCGCAGACGCAAACCTGCGTGAAGGCCGACACCATGTTGCTGAGCGCACCACAGACAGCACCTCTTTTAAGTCTCACAACACCTGAGGAGGAGGGTGCAATTCCTGCCCCTGTTTTACAGATGGGGAAACTGAGGCTTAGAGAATCATCTAAACCTCCCAGGGCTGATGAACAGGGAGCCAGGACTCAACTCTGGCCATCTTCCCTGGTTGCTCTGCCCTTCACTGCTGTGCCATTCCATTCCTGCACAACTTGGGAGACTGGGCCTGGTTTGGAGGGTCCAAGAAGGTCCCAGGGAAGTACTCTTGGCTTTGAGACCACAGGCTACCTCCTGAAGGCCTGTGGCTTAGCCTGACCCTATCTCCCACCTCTGGGCTGGAGCAAGGCCCCCCTGCAGCAGGCACTACCTTGCAGAGAGCTGCCGCCTCTCCCTAGGAGCCTGGGCACCCTCTGCAGGAGCCCCCCCAGATGCCCTCGAGGGATGGCTCTTCTTACCTACACCATTCTGGGCCCCACCACTGATCCCCTGGCCCAGGCTCACTCATAGGAGGGTCTGAGTTGGTCTTTTTCTCTGACAGATGGTAGCCCTGGAAGGAAGAGATCCTGCCAGATGCATCTTTGGAGCCACCAAAGAGCCTAGTGTGATGCCAGGTGCATGGTAGGTTTGGAGTAAATATATAGTAAATTAACCCTGACATAGAACAGAGCAGGAGCCGAGAGCACACATGACCACAGGCCAGACAGGTGGCCTTCTCTCCATCAGGCCATGACGAATCCATCTGGTTTACTCCCAGCATCAGTAAAGAGGAGACCAGCCCACACTCCTATAGACCAAGGGCCTCCCTTTTCTTTGGTCCACAGGCCCCTTCCAGAACCTCACAGAAGCCACTCAGGCTTCCCCTTGCCAGACTTACCTGTGTTAGAGAGGGAGGAAGGAGCCTGAGACAGATTCCTACAAAGGACAGAGTAGGGCAGAAACTTTGGAATCAGGTAGACTTAGAATAAAATCATAATTGTCCTATTACTAGCTGTGTGACTTCTGGTCAGCTACCTTATCTCATGAGCCTCAACATCCTCCTCTGTGAAATGCAGATAATGTAGACGACTGAAGCCACTGATGCTAGTGGATACACAATGAGGTTTGTTTTCCTTAAATGTAAATGGACTACAGAGGATACCTATGAGTTGCCTCTCATTTGATGATGATGATGATGATGATGATGATGATGATGACGATGATGATGATTATTGTTATTTTTTGAGTCAGGGTCTCACTCTGTTGTCCAAGCTGCAGTGCAGTGGCACGATCACAGCTCACTGCAGCCTTGACTTCCCTGGGCTCACGTGATCCTCCCACCTCAGCCTCCTGAGTAGCTGGACTACATGAGCATGCCACCACGCCTGGCTAATTTTTTTGTACAGACGGGGTTTCGCCATGTTGCCCAGGCTGGTCTCAAACTCCTGGGCTCAGGCGGTCTGTCCACCTCGACCTCCCAAAGTGCTGGGATTACAGGCATGAGCCACCAGGCCTGGCCTCATTTGATTTTTTTAAAGCAGCAGCGATTGTGGGGGAAGCACAGGCTTGTGGTCAAACCATGTGCCTTGGCTCTGTGGCTTACCAGCCTGTGACCACAGCCAAATGACTTAACCTCTCTGAGCCAGCAGCGAGTCTGCATCTGTCCAAGGTACTAGCAATAACCCTGTCGCAGATGTGGGTGGCCTGAATCAGGTGAAGGGTGCAGGACTCCATGAACAGAGTCTGGCAGGAGAGTGAAAAGGAGGAGGAAGTGCCCACACAGGGAGAACCCCCTCCCCGCTTGCCCTGTCCACCCACCCACAGCCAAGCCAGGCCTCATCCAGTCGTGACAGCCCTGAGCATGCTTCTGGGGCAAGAACTGCCTCTGTTTCAGACCTCAGTGCCCAAACAATTCACAAATGCAGCAAACGTGCCACGGCCCAGGAGACAGCTCTCCGCTTCAGAGAAAACACACAGTTCAATTTCCTAAAGATCGAAGCCCAGGAGCATTTCAAGGCTTTCCTGGCGAGAGCAGTTCTCAGAACTCAGGAGGCACCACCCTCATGTGACTGAACAATTAAAGCCCCTAGTATTTGTCATTCTCAGCTAAGGTTTTCGAGGATGGCTGAGAAAACTAAAAAAAAAAAAAAATCTGATTTTGGCAGTGTGGCTTTCAGAAATATATGGTAATCCATTTTTGTCAATTCACAGAAGGCACAGCTCAAATCATTAAAAAGCCATCGTGCTTAATCATGCGTGGAGAAGGCCAGTCTCTGCCTCTGAGATCATTTTAAAACGGTTTCAGGGTAACTGTCAAAAACTGACAGGGAAGCAGGGAGGGGATTATGACAGACCATAATCTGAGGAATTTCTCTTTCTGGTTCTCAAAGGGTAAGGGATTTATCTGAGAGGAAATCACCACCCAGACCTTGGCCTTGGTGCTGGTGGGGACAGTGGTGAGGAAGATTCTAGGATGCATCAGGCCTGACCTCTGTCCTTACGGAGGCTGCAGCTGCTTTCTCAGAAAGACAGTAAGCAATTTCCCAGCAAAACAGCAAGTAAATGAATGATTATGAAGCCTTGTGACAGGTGCTAAGAATAGGTGGAAGTTTATGCAGCTGTTAAGGCCTGGCTGTGAGCCACGGGGACCTGGGTTTGGAATTTGACTTTGCCACTCTGCAGCTGTGTGACCTCACACACACTCCTCACAGACCTGGGTTCCTCATCTAGAAAATGGGATGCCTGGCCAGGCACGGGGGCTCATGCCTGTAATCCCAACACTTTGGGAGACCGAGGTGGGCAGATCATGAGGTCAAGAGATGGAGACTATCCTGGCCAACATGGTGACACCCTGTCTCTATTAAAAATATAAAAATTAGCTGGGCGTGGTGGTGGGCGCCTGTAGTCCCAGCTACTCGGGAGGCTGAGGCAGGAGAATTGCTTGAACCCTGGAGGCAGAGGTTGCAGTGAGCCGAGATCATGCCATTGCACTCCAGCCTGGGTGACAGAACTAGATCACATCATTGCACTCCAGCCTGGGCAACAGAGCGAGACACCATCTCAAAAAAAAAAAAAAGAAGAAAAAGAAAATGGGACGCCTGCCTTGTAGGCTTGGGAGCTCAATGAGTTAATTCCTGGGAAGCTTTTATTGCAGTGCCTGGTACACAGTAAGCTCTCAATAAATGCTGGCCGAGTGGCTAACTCTGCTCAGGAAGCCTCATGGACCTGTGATGGATCGGGAAGGATGAGCAGGAACCCGCAGGGTGGAGAGCAACAGGGGGGACATTCCAGGCAGAGAGCACAGCATGTGCAAAGGCCCTGAGGTAGGAAGCTGGTCAGGGAGGAGCATAGGTTTCGGGGGAGGGAATAAGGGGAGCAATGTGGCCAGTCAGCTGGAGCCATCCTGGGAAAGACTTCAAATGCAGGCCAAGGGGTTTGGTCTCTATGTTGAGGGCCATGAGGAGCCACAGAGGGGTGTCTCAGGGCTGGGCCATGAGCAAACCATGTACATTAGAAGCTAACGAAGGGGCAAGAGGCTGCCGAGAAGGCTGGAACAGCATTTGGAGATCCAGAATCCTTCTGGGGTCAGAGCCACACAGCGAGTCTTCTTCCAGGTCTCAGACCACACTGGGCACTTGTTGACGCCTAGGTGACCAAACTCTCACTAGGGGTCCCCAGCCTTTATTTGAGGGTAATATCCTCTACTGTGCCAGCAACGATTCTGCACCAGTTCCCCTTCCTTAGACAGAGCCGTTGAAGGGAAATAGCCGCCCAGGCAGGCACTGCGTTTCCCAGCCTTTCTGCATCTAGGTGGAGCCGCAGGACCCAATGGGGTGTGGGCATAGGCTCCATACACCACTTTGAGGCCTGGCCCATAAAAACCATTCATGGATATTCCAAGGCCGAGGCAATCTTGGGTGTTACAACCTGAAGATGATGGCGCCTCCATCACCCTGAGTGCCTGAGTCATCAGAGGGAACAGAGCTCTCCCCACCATCAATATGACTTTACATGAGCAAGAAAGAAATGTCTGTTGTCTCCAAGCACTGAAGTCTCTGGGTTTATCTGTCACAGCAGCCAGCATTACCCTAAACAGACCCACCAGGCAGAATGACCTTGAGCACTTCACCTCCCTGAGCCTGTTTCTCTCAAACAGATTGTTGTGAGTGCCTAATACGATGACAAGTGTGAGTGCTTTGCAAGCAGCGAGGAACCACAGAGATCCGTCTGTCATGGGGTTACTGGCTTTGGTCCCTCTGAGAACCCGAGGTTGCAGAGGGGAGGGGACTCCGGCCAGTCCCTGCTGAGGCAGGGGAGTGCAGCAGCTAAGGCCCGGAGAAGCTCGCAGCAGGGGCTCAAGATCCACCAGCAGGTCCTGGCCTAGGCTGGGGACTCTCACTCCAGGCTTTAGTTCAGCCCTTTGAGAGATGCTCCTCAAATAGCTGAGCCGCCCAAAGGGAGGAGGCTGGGGCCTGGCTTCCATCTCCTGGAAGCTGCCCCGGGAAGCAGTCCTCCCAGCCTCTCTCTGATAACTTGTTCCAACCTCTCACAACTCATTAACAGGAAACTGCATTCCCTGCCAGGAAGACGCACGCCTGATTTTTCAGACATGGCAGGTAGACTGTGTTATCAAAGCCTTGTCATGTGTCTGCACGGCCCCCACGCTCTCCTGCTCTCTGGTGTCCTCGGCCAGGCTCTGTGCTCAGAGCATGCATTGCCTTTGGATGTGGCTGGGCAATCTGCCAGCTTGTCTGGCCAGGGCCAGGGGCCCAGGATGGATTCCCGTGAGGGTGGCTGAGGCTCAGCCTGTACCCCGCTCCTAAGCATCCCACACTCCCTGCCCAGAACTGGGGCTGAGACCCCACAGGGGGACAGGGTGGGGAAGGCCTGAGCAACACAGGATGTGAAGAGCTGTCTCTGGCCTCAGTGACTTTCACACAGAATACCATGGGCACTCCGTGTCCTTTTGCTGCAGGGTTCCTCTGCCATAGCTTTGGGATGGGGGTAGAGAATGCTCACCCCCAGCCTCTGGAGCCTGGAGTCGGGGGCAAGGCCATTTTGTCCTGCACGTATCCCCCACTGTCCCGTTCTCGGGCAGGGTGGGTGCAGACACCAACCTCCTCCACCTCCCATGCTGTCTCATTCCTTCACACAGTCGCTCACCGCCTCTCACTGGGGACCCGTGAGGAGTTCTCAAATCACCTGGCAGAGGAAATACCACCAGTGCCCTGGACTACGACAAGGACATGAAGTATCCATTTCCAAAGTCTATCCACAGGCAGGACTTAGTCTGTTTGTTCCTTATCCCCACCCTGAGCAGTGTTGTTAAACCCGGTTCACAGAGGAGGAATTTAAATGACTAGTGCCTAAGGTCATCCAGCTAGTCCACTGGGTAGTAATCTGAGCTGGGTCTAGCAGCCTCCATGATCATCATGGTTATGTGTCTAATACAGCCTTCATGCCAAAACCTAAACCAAGAATTTTACTTTTTTTTTTGGAAACAGGGTCTTGCTCTGTCAACCAAGCTGGAATGCAGTGGCGCACTTTCAGCTCACTGCAACCTCCACTTCCCAGGTTCAAGCCATCCTCACACCTCAACCTCCTGAATAGCTAGGAGTACAGACACATGCCACCGCAGTTGGCTTTTTTTTTTTTTTTTTAATAGAGATGAGGTCTCACTGTATTGCCCAGGTTGGTCTCACACTCCTGAACTTAAGTGATCCTCCCACCTTGGCCTCCCGCAGTGATGGGATTACAGACGTGAGCCATCATGCCTGGCTGAGAATTTTATACTCTTAATCTTCATAATTATACTGCAGTGTAGGTGGTTATATTATCTCCATTTCCAGATGACAAAACTGAGGCTCAGAAAGCTAAGAAGCTTGTCCAAAGCTGCACAGCAAATAAGCAGGAACCATGGCCCGAATGCCTACTGTACTTGTGCTCTCTCCCCACACCAGCGGCCTCACAGGTGAGATGGGGCCCACCTGGGGAAGGCAGATGATGAGGCTTCAAGATCCTACCAAGCAAAAAAGCAGGGTATAAAATGCACACATGCTGGTCACCACACCCCATTACGAAGTGTGTGTACATGGATGACATTGGATGGGATCTGGTAGTCAGTGGCTGTGTGTCTCAGAGGGAGGCAGGGCCTGGCAGCTTCTATTAGTGCCTGGTCACTCTTGGCTGAATTCTTCCTTGTAAGGATGGCTAAGGGTTAAGGTAAATAGGAACGAGTTGGGCAGAGGTTTGGTGGGTCTACCTTGCCGTGGCCCTGGAGACCGTGGTCGTGGTGGTCCTCCCTCCCTTTCCCTTTCCCCAGGTGCAGGAGCCACCTGGTCAGATAACCTCTCCACCTCACTGCATTCCAGACAAGCTCTGCCTTAGGCAGAGATCCAAGCAAACCAGAGACCACTGCTCTGAGCACTGACCTCTTTTGAAGAAGTGAAGACTTGCAGGAGAGGGGCTACAGTCGGAGCAGTGTTAAGAGAGTCCCCCATCATAGAGGCCAAGGCCAAGGAGCTGGTCTGCAATGGCCTGTAAATGGCCCTTTGTGATCCAGCCCATGCCCAGCTGGGCAGCTCACTCAGATGAAAGCCTCACCTTTCATTTCATGCCACAGCCACACTCAGCTCAGCATGCCGTACCGCTGAGCCTCAGCCCAGGATGGACCTTCTGCCCCGAGCACCCTCTCATTCTTCAGCTCTACCATGTGCATCTGTTGTTCTCAGGTGCCTTGAACCCAGCCCCCGGCTTTCAGATGGCGCAGTCTCCCTCAAATGCCACACGCCTTCGACTTCCATTAAAACAAACACTGGGAGAGAATCCTTAATAATGCCATCTAGAGGGCAAAGTGGGAGGCGAGGCAGGATCCCCAGGCACTGAAAAGTTGAGGTGGGATGGCCCAAGGACACTTTATTCTAGGAGGAGCTAGGATAACCCAAGAAGCCCTCAGCAGGCTTGCTCTAGTGGACCCCTAACAAGTACTCCTGTACTCTCACGCCACCATGCCCTTGCACGTGCTGTGCCCTTTACCTAGAATGCCCTCCTCACCTGGGAGACTCCAGCTTATTCTTCAAAGCCCAGCTCAACGTAACCTGCTCTGTGAAGTTCCCAGAGGCAGAATCAGTGGCTCCTTCCTCTGTATTCCCGTAGCACTTTGACCACATAATTACGTGTGAATCCCTCCTCTAAGAAGAGAACTCTTTCGAGGCAAGGGACGTGGCCAGTGCACCTTTGCATCTCTAGCATCCATCCCAGAGCTGGCCTAGAAAAGCCTCTGAATGAATGAATTAATGAGCTTCCTTTTGCTAAGATCCCAAGATACCTATTTTCCCACCTCCTGCTGGGCCTTCCCTCTCCAGTCACAAGAGGAGCAAACTGAGCCTTTTGTCTTCACACCACATTGGTATTGACCAGAGCTGGGTTTTAATGGTGCTTTGACAAAAGGCAGCTCCCACATTCATTTTCCTTGGCTAATTACATTTCCCAATTGAAATGCTTATCTCTGGGTTGGTGTTATAGACATAATCAGTTTCCAGAATGGATTCAAAAGAGGTGAGAGCAAGAAAATAATTAAGCCAACTTCTGATTGAATCAAATAATTAAGCAAATTTCATCGGTTGCCTGTGATCTACAGCTCCAGCCTGGGCCTGGAGAGTGTACTACTCTATCAGAGAGATCATGTCTGATTGTTTTAGAGATGGGCAGCATTTCTTCCAGTAGCAAGTAAAGGATTAGCTCTTTTAACTGAATGCAAATCAGGGTGGCAGAACCCCAGGTTCCTTGTTTAGGCAAAATATTCTGTGTTTGCAGGAAAATAATCGAGGCTGGGGTGTGCTCTGTTCCGGAGCCATGCCTAGACACTCATGGTAGAGTTTGCACCAATGGTCCCAATTCCTTACCCCTTCCTGCATTCATGTCCTTTGCACTGAGTAGGATGCCTCTCCCCACTCTCTTCCTCTGGGCTCAGACACGTGTGGCTAACTTCAGCCAATGAGAGCAAATGTGACACACGCAGAGGCTTGAAAAAGCACTTGCATGTTTCTGCTTGCTTTCTTGTCCTTTTGCCACCTCCATGGGAATACATATGAACTAGAGCTGAGATGCAGAGATGCGTGGAACAGAGCTCAGTTGGCCCAGTTGTCCAAGCCAAGGATCTCTTAGATCATCCGACAGTCAGCTGCCCCCAGGCACAAGGGTGAGCCCAGTCAAGATCTGCAGTCATAGGCTAGGCGTGATGGCTCATGCCTGTAATCCCAGGACTTTGGGAGGCCAGGTGGGCGGATCACAAGATCAGGAGATCGAGAACATCTTGGCCAACAAGGTGAAACCCCATCTCTATTAAAAATACAAAAATTAGCCGGGCGTGGTGGCGTGCACCTGTAGTCTCAGCTACTCTGGAGGCTGAGGCAGGAGAATCGCTTGAACCCGGGAGGCGGAGGTTGCAGCGAGCCGAGATTGTGCCACTGCACTCCAGCCTGGGCAACAAGAGCAAAACTCTGTTTCAAAAAAAAAAAAAAAAAAAGGTAGGCAGTCGTTTGGCCTGCCCAGCCTGGATCAGGTGAACTCTGAAGACTCCTGAGTTACCTAAACACTTATTGCTGCATGCCAGTGAGGTCTGTGGTTGTTTGTAACTGATACAGTATCCCGCAGCCCAGGCTGGCCTTTTCTCCAGTCCCAGCCTCTAGAGGGTACCCCTCAATCCTTTAGTCCAAGCACCACTTAGAACAGACAGTCATACATCCCGCTGTTTGAATGGTAAATCTTTATGCAAAAACCCATCTAATCTTCACAAAGTCTCCTGGGCAGACATCAGGAAAGGGATCTTTTGTCCCACTCTACAGATGATGATGTTGAGGCTCAGGGAACCCAACAGAAGAGCCAGAGATCGTGGTTAAAGATTGTGAGTTCAATGAATGCACTAGCCCTATTTCCACCCAGAAACTCCACTAAGACAACGGTATAATTTTTTAAATAATGCATCAATCCACAAAGATAGAACAACCAGGGAAGAAGATGATAGTAACAAAGTTTGGCAGCTGGGAAAGAGATGTGGAGTGCTGACTCAGCAAAGCCAAGAAAGCCGAACCCTAAGCCATGATGATGCAAGCAAACAGGCACTCAGGTTTGTGCTAGAAAACCCCAAAGGCTCTGGGATTGGTGGCAACACCAGGTATCTCTGGAAGTGAAATAAGAGGAGGGCTTGTTGCAAGTCAGCCTAAAGGCAGTAAGATCCCTAGATTCTCTTCCTACTTCTGCCAAGAAAATGTTTCCTCTCATCCCAGCAGAAAACCAGAGGCAGAGTCTCAGAAAGGAGTACGACAGAGGGCCTCTTGATGCCTGGCTGAGGCACAGGGTGCCATCCTGGGAGCAGAGGCGGTAAGTGAAGATTTTTGGATTGCCCACCTTTGCCCTCTTGCCCACATGGATCTCAGAAGGTCCATTAATTTCCCGGCACAGTGAATGAAAAGAGACCTACACTGAGGTATATTGTCATGAAATACTACACTGAGGTATATATGTCATGAAACATTGAGGACAAAGAGTACGCCCTACAAGCTTCCACAGAAAAGACAGGTCACAATCAGAAGGCTGTGATCAGGAGTCCATTTGCTAGGTAGGAGAATGAAAACATTTTCTATGCAGAACCAGACTAGCTCTAGAGAACAAACACCTATATTGAGTTCCCATTGGATTATCCTACTGGGATTATCAGTCAGCAGAGCCCACTCACCACACAGATCCACAACCATCTTCTCTTCTGCCCCACATTTAACTTGAAGACACAGCCAAGGAGCCACAAACATTTAAGGGAAACCTAACACGAGAGATGGACAAATACACAAACAGGAAAGGTAACTGGAAGGACACAGAGACTCTGCAGGAAGAAGAAAACTTCAAAAACAAAATATCATCAGAGACTAAAGAAAATGGTGCGTCTGTGAGACAAGAACAGAATGCTCAACAAAAGAACATTCACAAAATAAAATGGAGCTCTTGGAAATAAATACACAGTCTGACAGCAGAAATGCAAACTCAATAAAAGAGTTGGAAGACAAACTTGAGGAAATTTTGTAGAGTAGAACCAAAAATGAAGAGACAGATAGAAAACAGAAGATAAATTGGAGGACCAGCTCAGGGATCTAACTAAAAAATGTAGGAATTCCAGAAACAGAAAAATCGGTGGAAGGAAATAATCAAAGAAATCATTCAAGGTGTCCCAGAACTGAAGGCATGGATTTCTAGACTGAGAAGGTCCATTAATTTCCCAGCACAATGAATGAAAAGAGACCTACACTGAGGTATATCGTCATGAAATTTCAGAACATTGAGGACAAAGAGTACGCCCTATAAGCTTCCAGGGAAAAGACAGTTCACATACAAATGACGAGATATCAAAATGGCATCAGGTTTCTCATCCGGAATGTCGGAAGCTAGAAGCAATGGATCAGTTTCAAAATTCAGAGGGAAAATGACTTCCATCTTATAATTCTTTATTCAGCCTAATTATCGATTAAGCGTGAGAGTAGAATAGAGTTTCAGTTTTCAAAAATCTCAAATATTTTACCCCTCCCCTATGCACACTTTTCCAGGAAGCTACTGGATGGTGCTGACCAAGAAAGAGACAAAGGAACCAGCAAATAGGGGATGGAAAATGAGAGAGATTCACAGCTCACATCACACTTATGGGGAAAGGCCAAAAGCTTTCCCCCAGGATCAGGAATAAACAAGGATATCCACTTCTATTTAACCTTGTAATGGAGGTTCTAAACAGAGCAACTGGGCAAGAGAGAGAAATAAAAGGCATCCATATTAGAAAGAAGGAAGTAAAACGATCTGTTTGCAGATGACACATCTTGTAAATGAAAAATCCTACGGAATCTACTAAAACACCATTACAACTGATGAATGAGTTCAGCAAGGTTGTAGGATACATCAATTGTAATTTTATATACTAGCAATGAACATTCCAAAATGGAAATTAAGAAGACAATTCCATTTACAAAGCATCAAAAAGGAATAAAATACTTAGGTATAAATTTAACAAAATAATTGCAAAATTTGTATACTCTAAACTATAAAATATTGTTGAGGGAAATTAAAGAAGATCTAAATAAATGGAAAGACATTTCATATTCATGAACCGGAAAACTTAGTATTATTAAAATGGCAATATTCCTCAAATTGATCTATAAATTCAGTGTAATCCCTATCAAAATCCCAACTGGCTTTTTCGCAGAAGTTGACAAGCTGATCCCAAAATTAATATGGAAACTGAGATTACACCTGTAATCGCAGCACTCTGGGGGGCTAAGAATGAAGGATTGCTTGAAGCTAGGAGTTTGAGACAAGCCTGGGCAGCACAGCAAGAACCTTGTAAAAAAAATTCATATGGAAATAAATATAAGGGACCCAGAATAGGCCAAACAACCTTGAAAAAGAACAAAGATGGAGTACTCACATTTCGTGTTTTAAAAACTACAAAGCTACAATAATCAAGACAGTGTGATACTGGCATAAAAATAGACATAGATCAATGAAATCGAGAGTCCAGAAATAATACCTGATACTATGCTCAACTAAGTTTTGACAAGGATGCTAAGACAACTCAATCGGAAAAGAACAGTCTTTTCAAAAAATTGTGCTGGAACAATTGGATATCCACATGCAAAAGAATGAAGCTGGAGTCCTACCTCACACCACAACCCCAAATAAACTCGAAATGAGTCATGGCCTAAAAGTAATAGCTAAAACTATAACACTTCTAGAAGAAAACACAGGAATTATGTTCATGACCTTGGGTAAGGCAATGGATTCTTAGACGTCAAAAGTACAAGTAACAAAAGAAAAAAATCGATACACTGGACTACATCAAACTAAAAACTTTGGTGCTGAAAACTATTCCATCAAGAAAGAGAAAAGATAACCCACAGAATGGAAGAGAATACTTGCAAATCATATGTCCCATAGAGAACTGGTATCCAGAACAAACGGAGAACTTCTACAGCTCAACAATAAACTACCCAATTAAAATATGGGCAGCTGGGTGTGGTGGTTCACACCTGTAATCTCAGCACTTTGGGAGGCCGAGGTGGGTGGATCACCAGAGGTCCGAAGTTCAAGACCAGCCTGGCCAACGTGGCAAAACCCCATCTCTACTAAAAATACAAAAATTAGCCGGGCATGGCGGTGCGTGCCTGTAATCCTGGCTACTTGGAGGCTGAGGCAGGAGAATCACTTGAACTCGGGAGGTGGAGGTTGCAGTGAGCCGAGATTGCACCACTGCACTCCAGCCTGGGCAACAGAGTGAGACTTTGTCTTGAAAAAAATTAAGAAAAAAAAAAAGGATTTGAATATATATTTGAATATACATTTCTCTAAAGACAACACACAAAGGATGAAAAAGCACATGAAAAGATGTTTAACATCATTAGACATTAGGGAAATGCAAATCAAAACCACTACGAGGCCAGGCACTGTGGCTCGTGCCAGTAATCCCAGCACTCTGGGAGGCTGAGGCAGGTGGATCACTTGAGGTCTGGAGTTTGAGATCAGCCTGGCCAACATGGCAAAACTCTGTCTCTACTAAAAACACAAAAATTAGCCAGGTATGGTGGTGGGTGCCTGTAATACCAGCTACTCAGGAGGCTGGGGCAGGAGAATCGCTTGAACCTGGGAGGCGGAGGTTGCACTAAGCCAGGATTGCGCCACTCTATTCCAGCCTAGGTGACAGAGTGAAACTGTCTCAAACAAACAAACAAACAAACAAAATAACAATGAGATATCACTTTCCACCCACTAGAATGGCAATAATAAAAATGTAGGTCAGGTGTAGTGACTGACACCTATAATCCCAGCACTTTGGGAGGCCAAGGCAGGAGGATCACTTGAGGCAAGGAGTTCAAGACCAGCCTGGGTAACATTGTGAAACCCTGTCTCTATAAAAAACTTAAAAATAACTAACCGGGAAAGGTGGCATGTGCCTGTAGTTCCAGCTACTCAGGAGGCTGAGGTGGGAGGATTGCTTGAAACCAGGAGTTCGAGGCTGCAGTGAGCTAAAATGATGCTACTGCACTCCAGCCTGAGCACAGAGAGACCCTATCTCAATAAATAAATAAATAAATAAATAAATAAATAAATAAATAAATAAATAAAAGATAAAAAATAATAAGTATTGGGGCTGGGCACAGTGGCTCATGCCTGTAATCCCAGCACTTTGGGAGGCTGAGGCGGGCGGATCACCTGAGTTCAGGAGTTTGAGACCAGCCTGGCCAACATGGCGAAGCCCCCTCTCTACTAAAAACACAAAAATAAGCCGGGCATGGGGGCGTGCACCTGTAGTCCCAGCTACTCGGGAGGCTGAGGCAAGAGAATAACTTGAACCCAGGAGGTGGAGGTTGCAGACAGCCAAGATCGCGCCACTGCAGTCCAGCCTGGGCGACAAGAGCAAAACTCCGTCTCAATAATAATAATAATAATAATAATAATAATAATAATAAGCATTGGAAAGATATAGAGAAAATGGAAACCTCATATATTACTGATAGGAATGTAAAATGGTGCAGCCTCTTTAGAAAACAATTTGGCAGTTCTTCAGAAAATTCAATGTAGAGGTCCCAAGAGAAATAAAAACATATGTTCATAGAAAAGTCTGTACACAATGTTCATAGCAGCATTATTCATAGTAGCCAAAAAGTGGAAACAACCCAAATGTCCATCAACTGATAAATGAATAAATAAGATGTGGTAGATTTATAATGAATTATTCATCAATGTAAAGAAATGAAATACTGATGCATGCTACAATGTGGATGAACCTTAAAAAACTTATGCTCAGTGAAAGAAGTCAGATACAAAAGACCACAGGTTTTTGCTTCCATTTTTATGAAACATCCAAAAAAGGCAAATATATAGAGACTGAGGGAGGATTACTGGCTGCCTGGGGATGGCAGTGGAAATGGGAAGCGACTGTGATGGGCACAAAGTTTCTTTTTAGGTGATGGAAACATTCTGATGATGTTTATACAATGCTGTAAATATACTGAAACCTACTGAATAGTACATTACAATTGGCAACCTTTTATGGCAATGTAAATTATGTGTCAACAAAATTATTTAAAAACAAAATGAATAAGAGAGAGGTAAAAATATCCCAGGGACAGCAGCTGTGCAGCAGGCAGAGAGTCAACTGTCCAGAACAAGACAGGTCAGAAGCCTCCAGGAGAGACGTCTTCAAGAGGATGAAGCTGACGTACCACCTAATGCGCTGGGACACACTGTGAGGAGGTTTACACAGGTAGTGGGGACCATGGAGTTAAGAAGTGATAAACATGTGACAAACTAAGCATCAAACAAACACGACGATTATTAACTCTACAGAAAACAAACAGTTACTTAGGAAAGGGAAGGAAATCATACTATATGAGAATCAGCCATGAAGAGTGTGTACACAGCCATAGGAAGTTACACCCCGAACAACCAATATTTTGATGTAACTATAATGGAAAGAATGGGGGAATGGCTATGTGTGTGTGTGTGTGTGTGTGTGTGTAAATAAAGCTATAGTGTGATATCAACACACATCTACTAGAACAGCCTTAAAAAGAAAAAGACTGATTTTACCAAGTGTTGGTGAGGAAATGGAACAACTAGAACTCTCACACACTGCTGGTAAGAACGGAAAATGGGGCCGAGCATGGTGGCTCATGCCTGTAATCCCAGCACTTTGGGAGGCCAAGGTGGGCAGATCACCTGAGGTTGGGAGTTCAAGACTAGCCTGACCAACATGGAGAAACCCCATCTCTACTAAAAATACAAAACTAGCCAGGGTGGTGGCACATGCCTGTAATCCCAGCTACTCAGGAGGAGAATCGCTTGAACCCGGGAGGCGGAGGCTGCAGTGAGCCGAGATTGCGCCACTGCACTCCAGCCTGGGCAACAAGAGAGAAACTCCATCTCAAAAAAAAAAAAAAAAAGGAAAATGGTACATCTGCTTTGAAAAAGACAATTTGGCAAATTCTCTGTTTTTGAAACAGGGTCTCACTCTGTTGCCTAGGTTGGACCGCAGTAGTATGATCACAGATCACAGCAGCCTTGACCTCCCTGGGCTCAGGTAATCCTCCTGCCTCAGCTTACTGAGTAGCTGGGGCTACAGGCATGCACCACCATGCCCAGCTATATATATATAATTTTTTCTTTTTTTTGTAAAGACAGGGTTTCGCCATGTTGACCAAGCTGCTCTTGAACTGCTGGGCTCAAGTGATCCACCCACCTCAGCCTCCCAAAGTGCTGGGATTACAGGTGTGAGCCACTGTGCCCAACCAGCAAATTCTTACAAAGTTAATAAATTTAACATATGACCCAACAATTCCACTTTTGGGTATATACCTAAGAAAAATGAACACATACATCCACATGAAAACTGCTTGTGAATGTTCAAAGCGGCATTATTTTTAATAGCCTCAAACTGGAAACAAATCAATTGCCAAATGGAAAAAATAAACCATAGCATATCCATATGACGGAATACTACTCGACAATACACAGGAGCAACTATGGACAGACAAAACACCATGGAGGAACCCCAAAAACCTGATGAGTGAAGGAACCAGACACAAGAATACACACTGTGTGATTCTAAGGAACTCTAGAAGGCTCAGGCTAATTTAGAGTGACAGCAGATTGGTGATTGCCTAGGCCAGAAGCTGAGGAAGGATGAATGGCAAAGGGGCCTGAGGAAACTTTTAGATATAAAAATGTTCAGTACCTTGATTTTAGTGGTGTTGAAATACATTTTATTGCATTAAATTAAACTTTAATACAGTGGATTTAAAAATTTAGAAAGGGTAAAGCTATTGATTCCAATTGGGATTAAAACCCAGGAGGCTCCATAAAGGAAGGCAGTCTGTAAGCCTGGTCTTTAAAACTGAATTTGAGGGCCGGGCACAGTGGCTTATGCCTGTTTGGGAGGCCAAGGTGGGCGGATTGCTCAAGCTTAGGAATTCGAGAACAGCTTGGGCAACACGGCAGAATCCTGTGTCTACTAAAAACACAAAAACAATTAGCCAGGTTGTGCCTGTGGTCCCAGCTGCTCAGAAGGCTGAGGTGGGAGGATGGCTTAAGCCTGGGAGGTGGAGGTTGCAGTGAGCCGAGATCATGCCACTGTACTCCAACCTGGGTGACAGAGTGAGACCCTGTCTCAAAAAGAACAAAACTAAATTTGAGAGACACACAGAAGAAAGAGCAGGGACCTGTCAGGCAGATCTGAGTATGGCCAAGTCTGCTAGTTGCCCCTAATATCCATTCTCCTTCAATTTCCATAGAAACAGAAGCAACAATTTTAGCTGAGCACATGGCCATGGGAATAAAAACTACATTTCCCAGCCTCCCTTCCAGCTACGTGTAGGCATATGACTGAGTTCTGGCCAATGGGATTCAGTTGAAGTGCTGCATGTGACTTCTGGAAAAATATGTTTAAAGGGAAGTGACATTCTCTACTCTTCCTCTTTTTCCCTTCCTGCTGGCTGGAATGTGGACACGATGACTGGAGCCACAGCAGCAATTTTGGACCGTAAGGTGGAAGCCAGTACTGAGGGTAAACAGTGGAACCTAAGTCCCTGACGATGGTGGGGTCGCTACTCCAGTCCTAGACTAACTACCTGGACCTGTAAATGAAAAAGAAATAAACTATTTGGTTAAGGCTTGCTATTTTGGGTTTCCTGAGTTCCAACAGAATCCAATCCTACCAGATAAAATGAACAGTAGCAGAGAAAGATGTGAAGTGCTAGCATCCTTAGTGCCTCAGGCTCTCCTGAAACCACCATCGTTCTTCTGCTCTATACTGCTCAAGGGAGAGGCCCTGGCTTTCCTCATCTTTCTGTTTCCAGGGCTTGGCACATAGTAGGTGCTCAGTAAAGACATCTAGTCAGCTGAAAGACCATGGCATGGTTCAAGCCCTGGCACAAGACCAGCTAGATGCTCTCTGAGGGCAGAGCCTGGACCTTTCTGTTCACCACAGTAACTTTCACACCTAGGTCCACAAAGTCTGTTGTGAGTGCTTAGGTATTCGTTGAGAGAAGGAGTGAAAGGCTGATGTGGCAGAAATCTAGGGTTTCACAGCCCAGCATCCACCTATACTTTCTCTAGTTGACGGGTCCCTGAATCACCTTCTACACCTCCCCTCCTTCCCAACTCCTAGTCCATGTTCTGCTTGAGGTAGAACTGCCTTGACCCCAGCAATGGGAATGATCATGTGACCTAGGCCTTGGTCAGTCCAGCCCTTTCATCCCTCTGGACATGAGGATGAGTTAGGGATAGGCAGAGCCATGGGCCCAATTAAAGCTCACCAGCACTAATTTTGGGCTTAAACTGAAACAGAGTGGCACTAGCTCTTCTGCACCAGACACAGGTTGGGCAGGCTAAAGTTGTTGTACCAGCTTGTTCACATCAAGGAAGAACAACCTGAGAATGAAGACAGTGAAAACAGGCCACAGGGAAGAGAAATAAACAGAGTGTCCGTCTTCATTTGAGACGTGGATCAAGCTGTGCCTGAAGTCTAATCCTAGTGACTTTCAATCAAGTGATCTAGTAAATTGAACTTAAATGGGCTTGAGTTTTTTTGCATCTTGCAAACTGGAGAGTGCAGACTAACATAGTTGACCTTGAGGGTCAATGTCACCCTTAAAATATGTCATCTTAGGTGTAGTGCTAGCACTTAATACAGGTGGGAGCCAGGGTACCACCAGCTTGTGGCATTAACTCCACTTCCTTTAGAGTGTAGCTGACTCTGAGAGCTCGAACAAAGCTTCATTGATTCTACCTGGTATGTGACATTGTAAACCAATCTCACATTATCAGCATTGCAAAAATTCCCCTATAAAAACACAGGAGTCTAAAATGTTAATCTGAGAATTAGTGGACATTTATCTTCTTTTGGATCGGTATAATTTCCTCCCATTTTTTTTTATCTGCTTTCTGAGCCACCTCATTTATCTAAGCTTTCAAAAGCTCATGCAGAACACATAATGCACTTCAGCTACAAAAATCAATGCTTGAGGATGCATTTTTACCAGGGTTGGTAAAGAAATTCTTCTACTGCTTCTCAGAGGCCTTACTGCAAACATTTTTATTCATGAATAAGAGCCAGAATAGTTTTACTTATAAACAAAGCTTTTCCCTAATTATCAAATCAAGGAGTCAATGTCACTTAGAAATATATTCTTTTTTATTTTTGAAGGGATAAAAGTGTGTATTAGTTTGTGCTTCAAACCCCTCTCCTCCCCTAACCATCCAAGACAACTGACTGACTTTAATTAAAGACCATTTACCCTGGGAATGGATTGCTTGCTGCAATTTGTACCGAAGAGACACATTTGCAGACAAATGAATCGCAGTCCTCAGATTTCGCCCATATGACAAAAGAAGTGATTATGTTCCCTCATCACTTCCTCACTCTGAAGAACTCTATTAAGAGAATAATTTGAACTGACTCTCTGCTACGCTGCATTTTAAAGTGTGATCTATTTCAAAGCCACCAACATTTTTTTCCCCTTTTAAAAATGAGTGGTATTTAAGGAAAAATGCCAGCTGGTGTGTCTATTTGAGGAGGGGCTACAGGAAACACGAAGGTTGATTTAACTCCCTCGGAAGCTCCAGTCACTTGCAAGTGCATGAGGAACCTGGAGCCTTGGTTCCCGGCAGCAAAGAGCAGACACTGGGCCCAGCGAAGTCCAAACTCTGGTGCTGTGTTAAACTGAGCCCAAGGAATGCCTTCTCCATGGCCCTCTGATCACCTGTGCAGGCTGCATTATAACGATTTATGTGTCTGTGTACCCTAGTCTGAACAGAGGCCGGAGATGAGGCACATCCATGGGCCTCTTTTCAGACCTCATATGAATCAGGAAGGCTTAGGGCCCAACAGTCCTATATAAACTCCATGTCTCGGGTTAGACAGCAGCATCCAAACACCTCTAGCAAAATAGTTCCAGCCTCCAGAGAGCTGCTTTCAAGAGCCTGTGCCTAGATTGTGCACTGTCGTGTCCTGCTTATCTGTTTCACCCACTAGACTGGACCCTAATAAACTCTTTCTAGAAAGTAGGTCTCTGCCTGCTGCTGTGGAGACTCAAAACCTGCGTATGAATTTTGCTTTGCCATTTGGTATGCTTATGCTGGGCAAATCACTCAGCTTACCTGGGTCTGTTTCCTCATCTATAAAGTGGGTATGGCACCATCTCACCTGACTGTGATGAGGGTGCAATGTGGTAACACAAAAGCACCCAACACATCCCTCCATCTCCTTGTTCCCCACCCCCACCTCATTATGAGAGGACATGACATATAGTAGAAAGAGCACTGGACTGAGAGGCAGGCAGGAGGCCTGTGTGACCCCAGGCAAGTTATTTACCTCATCTGTAATGACCTCAGTTTCCCCATCTGTAATGGGAAAATGGGAAGACTAGTTCCTAACTCTGGCCAGCCTCAAAGGGGTAAGGTTAGAAGGATTATGCAAGAAGATTCATATCAAAGTATTTCTAAAATATAAAATATTGGACAACTGCATAGATGATCCTAGTATCTGAGGCAGTGGGGAGTTTAATCCCAAGTCAATATCAAAAGGCCACTGGCTTGGAAAGTATCTGAGAAAGTCCCTGGTAAATTTCATTCCATTCCAGCTGGGGTCTTGGCACTTGCATTTTCCTGAGCCCAGCCCCAGGGACCGTGGGAATCCACAGATCTGCAGGGATGAGACACAGCCGATGCCCACCGCCATGCAGGAGCCTAAGACCTACTAGGCTGAAAGTCACCCCAGGGCACTAAGCCAGGGAGGGTTGAAGCGGGTGGAAGATCATCAGGGAGAGAGTAGGTTTTCCTATTCGAGAAGTGAAAGGCGGTTTGAATGGCTGTCCTCCATGCCTTGGATTGTAGGTGGCATTTACTGCTCAAGGAGAAGGGACTCAAGACAGGTAAGCAGTTTCACAAAGACCTCTAAACATGCTAGAACCATCAGGATAGCTCACCTTTCTGCCACCTTTACAAACCCTCCCAACAGGCCAAGGCCCCTTCTCCCAGGAAGCCGCCCCAGATTACCAGCATGAGCCTATGTGCTCACTCACTTCTTCTGCTAGGCTGGGGCTGCTGTGGAAAGCTCCATAAGTGGCCCATCTCCTCTCCAGACCCTCCCTGAGAGCAGCCCACCCAGGGGCTTCCCCAGGGGCTTTACAGCAAGTGAAATCAACAAGGTGCCTAACGGGCACGTTAGTATGTGCAAACCACCCAAAAATGTCTTCTATAACTGGAGGTTAGACGTGGGGAGCCAGACAAAAGAGCTCCCCTGCCAAGACGCCGGCCGAGCATAGCAGAACGCTGGTTTGATCCAGTACTGTTACTTTCCACAAGATTCATTCATTACTTCTGCAGACATTTATTTAGCACCTACTATATGCCAACATTGAGGGCCTGGAGCTGCTGTTGTTATGACTGCAAAATAAGTAGGTGGCCCTGCTGGACTTTCCTAAACTCACCCAGCTTAGCTGGTCTTGTCGCCTCCTCTGTGGTCTGCATCAGGATGAGCAGGGCCTGGGCAGAGGGATGGCGCTCCCTGACACACTCACTGTGAGTCCATTTAAACAAACATTCCTGAAAGCTGTTTACACATCTCTTCTTAAAGACCAAATTTTTAAATTTCCCAATTCTGTCTCATGATCTGAATGAAAGGAATCTTTTAGTAAAATAAAGAAAGTATCCTCTTTCACACACAGGACAGCACGGCTTGCAAAGACTGATCACTTCCTCCCACCAAGACAAGCAGTGGCCTGGGCTGCGCACCCACGGAGGAGGGGAGGAAGTGGGGCCCGGGGCAGGCTTGCAGCACGCAGGGGAGGGGCGGGGCCGCAGGGAGGAGGGGCGGGGCCGCAGGGAGCAGGGCCTGGCACACAGTGGTGCTCAATACATGCAGAATGAGTGCTTCAATAAAAATATGTCCTTTAGTTCTGTCCTTTTGATCAAACGGAGCTGAGCTCAGCACCAACAGGGACCAGGTATCTGGTCCATTTATCTCAAACCCAGGAAAGGCATGTCCAGCTTTGGCCTGAGGAGATGAGAATTCAACTTCTTTCTCCCACACTGACCCATCCATGAGCGATTTGACTTTAGAGATGTCTGAGTGGGAAGGAGTCTGGTGTGATAGAAGGCAAAAATGTTCCTGGTGTCCTACTTCTCCCTGTAGCCCTGACTTTGGCCATGAGACTTAGCGGTTGTTCCCATCAAGAGATGGAGTCTCTCTCTTCACTCCTTGTGTCCAGGCTGGCCAATTAACTTACTCTGACCAACAGGATGCAGAGGAAGTGACTGTGTGCCAGTTCTGAGCCTAGGTCTTAAGAGACTGTGTGCTTCTGTCTGTTCTTTTGGACCCTATCTCTGCCATGAGAGAAGTCCAGGTCCACATGGAACAGAGCTGAGTCATCTAACCAAAGCCATCCTAGACCAATCCTGGCCTAGCTAAGACCCACAGACTCAAGAAATAATAAATGGTCTTTGTTTAAGCCATTAAGTTTCAGGGTGGTTTGTTACACAGCAACCGTTAGTTGATACAATGAGTTCAGCCTTCCAAACAAGTGAGGACCCCGAGGCCTAGAGAGGGGAGAGACCTTCCCTAAGACCACAGCTGCCAACGCAAGAGTCCAAGTAAGAAACCACTCACCCAGGGTCCCATCAACTATACTCAACCTTGACCTTTCTTTAAGAATTCATTGTTTTCATCTTTACTAAGTCATCAGCCTTCAGGTTCTGAACAAAGGGCAGCAGCAGGTACTTGAAGGTCACTGAGCAGCCACGACAAGGGAAAGTCTATCTCGCTATTTCCTATCCTGCTACCTCTGAGGTTCTAGAATCATGCTTCCAGAAAGCCACTGGGTCCCCGCAATTTACAACCAAGTGTTTCCATGAAAATCAAACCATAGTAGCCTTTCCCCACTCTGTAAAAAATTACAGAAATCAATAGGATTTTTAATATTAATAGTAATCTATAAAAGGTACTTAGAATAGCACTTGGCACACAGTACATGTTCAATAAATGTTAGCAACTATTATTATTAAGGTCTGTTCTGACACAGCTTTCTTAAACCTTTGGTGCCTGTTACCATTTGTCAGCCAGCAGGCAAGATGAATGAACAACAACAAGCACAGTGAACATTTACTGAATGCCTGGGCAGGCCAGGCTTTTACATATGACATTGCAGTTCATCTTCTCAACACTTGTTTGAGGTACCAACCCCATCTTACAGATGTGGAAACAGAGGCTCAGTGAGATTAATTTACCCAAGGTCAATAAATCTAGGAAGTGGCAGAGCAGGATTCCCACCCCAGCTGTCTGACCCATGCCAGTGGGAGAACAGCAATGATTACTCACCTCTGTTTTCTCCAGTGCTTAGCAGAGTATGGATTGAACAAAAATGCAGAATGAGTATATAAATAAACTTCCAGGGGCTCAACAAGAATATAGTGTTTCCAGCTGGGCTCAGTGGCTCATGCCTGTAATCCCAGCACTTTGGGAGGCCAAGGCAGGCAGATCGCCTGAGGTCAGGAGTTCGAGACCAGCCTGGCCAACACAGTGAAACCCTGTCTCTACTAAAAATACAAAAATTAGCTGGGCGTGGTTGCGGGCGCCTGTAATCCTAGCTACTCGGGAGGCTGAGGCAGGAGAATCGCTTGAACCCGGGAGGCAGAAGTTGCAGTGAGCCGAGACTATGCCACTGCACTCCAGTCTGGGCGACAAGAGTGAGACTCCATCTCAAAAAAATAAAATAAATAAATATAGATAGATAGATAGATAGATAGAGTTTCCTTCTGCTAGAAAGGCTAACGTTACGAAGACTGACAGTATCAGGCATTGGTGAGGAATCTTCATGCATTCCTCTACCCCTGCCACCCCAGGCCCTTGCAACTTAAAGGACATTTACTGTAACCAAGACGGCGGGGAGGCAATGCAGCCACATCTGATTAACACAACTGAATAGGGCTCACAGAGCCCTGGGTAAGAGCATGGGCTTTGGAGCTGGAGAGTTAGGGTGGACAAGAAACATCTGCGTGCCTGCCTCCCAGAACACTGGTTTGATTCAGTACTGTTACTTTTGACAGGACTCATTCATTGCTTCTGCAGACATTTATTGAGTACCTACTACATGCCAGCATTGAGGGCCTGGAGCTGCTGTTTTTATGACTGCAAAATAAGTAGGTGGCCCTGCTGGACTTTCCTAAACTCACCTAGCTTAGCCGGTCTTACTGCCTCCTCCGTGTTCTGCATCAGGTCTCTGAGTGTCCCTTCTCCTTGAGCAGTAAATGCCACCTACAATCCAAGGCATGGAGGACAGCCGTCTATACCGCCTTTCACTTCTCAAATAGGAAAACCTACTCTCTCCCTGATGATCTTCCACCCCCTTCAACCCTCCCTGGCTTAGTGCCCTGGGGTGACTTTCAGCCTAGTAGGTGTTAGGCTTCTGCATGGCGGTGGGCATCGGCTGTGTCTCATCCCTGCAGATGTATGGATTCCTGCGGTCCCTGGGGCTGGGCTCAGGAAAATGCAAGTGCCAAGACCCCAGTTGGAGTGGAATGAAATTTACCAGGGACTTTCTCAGATACTTTCCAAGCCAGTGGCTTTTTTTTTTCTTCTTTTGACAGCGTTTCGCTCTTGTTGCCCAGGCTGGAGTGCAGTGGTGCAATCTCAGCTCACTGCAACCTCCACCTCCCAGGTTCAAGTGATTCTCCTGCCTCAGTCTCCCAAGTAGCTGGGATTACAGGAGCGCAGCAACTGCCCAACTAATTTTTGTATTTTCAGTAGAGACAGGATTTCTCCACGTTGCCCAGGCTGGTCTCAAACTCCTGACCTCAGGTGATCCGCCTGCCTCGGCCTCCCAAAGTGCTGGGATTACAGGCATGAGCCACTGTGCCTGGCTGCAACTCCATCTTGAATAGGGACTGGGTAAAATGAAGCTGAGACCTACTGGGCTGCATTCCCAGGAGGTTAGGCATTCTTAGTCACAGGATGAGATGGGCGGGGGTAGCTGAAGATACAGGTCACAAAGACCTTGCTGATAAAACAGGCTATGGTAAAGAAGCTGGCCAAAGCCCACAAAAACCAAGATGGTGATGAAAGTGACCTCCCATTGTCCTCATTGCTCATTAGGCACTAATTATAATATATTAGCATGCTAAAAGGCACTCCCACCAGCGCCATGACTATTTATAAATGCCATGGCAACATCAGGAAGTTACCATATATGGTCTAAAAAAGGGAGGAACCCTCAGTTCAGGGAATTGCCCACCCCTTCCCTGGAAAACTCATGAATAATCCATCCCTTGTTTAGCATATGGTCAAGAAATAACTGTAAGTATATTCAGTCAAGCAGCCCAGGCTGCTGTTCTGCCTATGGAGTAGCCATTCTTTATTCCTTTACTTTCTCAATAAACTTACTTTCACTTTATGGACTCGCCCCAAATTCTTTCTTGTGTAAGGTCCAATGAACTTTCTCATGGGATCTGGATTGGGACCCCTTTCTGGGAACAAAAGGAGCAAACAGCTGCTCTCCTACAGCCAGTTCATGACTTCTGACAGGGTCCATCCTGGGGGTCCATCCCAGCCTCCCCCAGATAGGAACAGAAGCCACAATCCTTGCCCCAGGCAGTTCCTCATAGAGTGACTAAACAGAGGCTACAGGCCCTTCCTTTCTACTCCCAATATTTGTTTCCCACGCCTGCATCTTAACTGTTTGCAGCTGTCTTCCATTTGACAATTACAAGCAATGTAAATGCAGATCCAGGTCGGGTTTATCTCTGAAATCTCCAGGGCCTAATCCACTACTTGGATTTCTGTAGCGGTTCAACAGTGGCTCACTGAATGAACAAATGAATGAATGGTAAGTCCTGTCCAGTGGCTGGTTCATTGTACCAGGGACCCTGATGATAAGGAGGAAGAGGCGAAGTTGTTCAAGGTTACAGCAAAGCTCAGAGCAGAACAGAAGCTGACCTTCCCAACCTCAAGGCCTGAAGTAGCCTTTCCCAGTTGGTCTGCACCCTTTAAAAGCCCTCAAATGCATTTTCTCCTCCAGATCAAGTTACTTCAGAGGCAAACCAATTCTCTTGTTAAGTAAAAAGAATGTGAAAAGATTACGTATTGATTGCCTTCCTCCCTGGGTTTTACAGATAAAGCCCCCCTACCTGGGCTCTGCACAGAGCACTGATGGGCCAAGTGGCAGCTTGACGGTAAGTCCAGGGGCCAGCACTTTGAATGGTGTGATTTTAGTGCTTTGGAAATCTCTGCCTCGTGCTGATGGCTTTATACGTTGGCATTTCCGCTCCCTGAGTTTTAAAGAATAAGAAATCTGTGGCTGATCACATATTCAGCAACCAAGTGTACTTATTTGAAGACCCAAATTGCAGAAATAACTCATGTGATTAGTTGAATGAATATGAGTCTGGATCATCAAGCTCAATCTATGGATAAATCGGGAAGAGATAACTGGGCCAAGTGGAGGGCAAGCCCTCCCCATTCTGTCTCTTCTGCTGGACCAAGACATTCCCTGCAAGGCAACTAAGGTGGGAATCCTACAGCCCCTGCTGCTTGGAGATGGTATGCCCTATTCTGCCTGTGTACTGGAACCAGCCACACCCTGTTCCCCATGGCACAGGCAGCTGGAACTCTGATTATCCCCAAAGGACAGAGCCACTGACAAACAGCCAGGCCTAGTAGGGTCATGAGAGGAGGGCTCTGCTCTTACCTCTGGGCCACAAGCCTGTCTTAAGTGCTTGCAGGTGAGTAGTCTGTGCAAAACAGGTGGCCCGCTTCAGGGCCCTGGCCTTAGATTTGCCCAGTCTAGGGGCATTCTCACCAAGTAAATCACCCACATCCCCTGTCTAGCATTGTATCTCACTCAGCATTCTTCTTTTCCCAGAACACTCTCTGCTGAGGACTCAGACTCCCAGGCTGCCCTGCGCATGTCCAACTCTCCCTAGAATGGCCTGCAAGGATTCCCCCCCGCCAGAGTCCAGTCTCTGTAAAGAACCTGGTCTAGGGAGAGCACAGACTCTCCCAGCACAACTTGGCTGAGCCCCGACCAACACGCCCACAACTCCCCTAAGGCAGGTCTCCAGTGGCCACATGTTCCCGTCTCTGGATGGTTCCCTAGAAGGTACCTCCCAGGGACTGAGAATCCAGGAAGGGGTGCTAGATGCACATCTGGGTCATGTGGGACAATGCTTTGTGATCCTTCAGGCATGGCACAAACACTGCCGATTCTTCCTTCCCTGTTCCTGTTATGCAAGTGTGGGTGTGAGAGGACTCCAGGAGACCACAGGGTAAAGAGCTGGAAGAGAGGAAGCAAGGGACAGGCATCCTTATACCATGCAGCAAGGCTAAACAGACCTAACCTTTTGCATCAGAAGCTTCTGGGGTCAGAGAGCTTGGGTTCCAATACTGGCTCTGCAGTTTGCCAGCTGTGTGACCCCAAACAAGGTACCCAACCTCTCCATGACTCAGTTTCCTTATCTGTAAAATGTGGATATTTCTGTATAGAATCATGTGTAAGATTCAATAGATTATTTATTTATTTATTTATCTGACATAGGGTCTTGCTCTGTCACCGAGGCTGGAGTGCAGTGATGCAATCATAGTTCACTGCAGCCTCAAACTCCTGGGCTCAAGTGATCCTTCCACCTTAGCCTCTTGAATACCTAGGACTACTGGCATGTGCCACCATACCCAGCCAATTTTTAAATTTCTTGTAGAGACAGGGTCTCCCTAAGTCGTAGACTTTCCAGGTCTCCTGGCCTCAAATGATCCTCCTGCCTTGGCCTCCTAAAGTGTTGGTATTACAGGCGTGAGCCACCATGCCTGACTGATAATATACTTAAAGCCCTTAGCAGAGTGGCACGTGGTAAATGCTTGAAAATGTTAGCTAGTCCTGTTCTAAAAACTTATCCTAAGACAACACTAAGGCAAATGTGTAAAGATTAGTGACCCAAATTAAGACACTCATCTCACCAGTGCTTAGATTGGCCCAAAATCAGAAATAACCTAAATGTCCAGTAAATGCAATATAATAGACTATATAACAACAGTCCATCCATGTGATAGAATACTGGACAGCCATCGACTATGACACTTCAGGTGTTTACCATCTGACAGCTTCAGAAGATCCCAAAATACTGAAAAGTGAAACTGCAGGTCACAAGACGGCATTTATCAAATGATTCTGTGTATGCAGAAATACATATCTTCTCTTTCCTTTCTTCCTTTTTTTCAAAATACAGATTTATATCTGTTCATCTGTATGGGAACGCATCTGCAGGGATACACGGTAGTGGAACTTCAGCAACTTTTCCTTCTGGTTCTTGTTTGTAATTTCTAATTTCACTATAATGGGCATGTATTAAACTGATCATTTAAAAAAGAGAAAAAAACGGATCGAGTAATTTTAAGGGCAGAAAAGGATTTTCACACTCAGATACTTCCAACATAAATAAAGGGATTTGTTCAAACTTTATCACTCTCCAACTGAGAAGAGGCATGAAGACTGCAGCCTTAACAAGAGGGAAAATCCCACGCATTTTAAGGCTTTGCATTGGAGGAGAGGAGCTTAAAAATGCAAGTGTCTCCAGCTATCCTCCTGCATCCTTCTCCATGGCTCCGTCCCACGGAAACCAACTGGAAAATCAGCAACAAACCAGATAGGAAACATGCCTTCCTCTCAGATAATGCTAAATCAGAGTATCTGGATGACAACAGATTTTTCTTTTTTCTGGCAAAGAGACCCTGCCTGCTGAGATGAGAAAATTTGGGGGCACAAATCAGCTCTCTGTAAGGAGAGACATTTTAACAGGATCAGCCGGAGTTCGGGGAAAACTGCAAAGTCTAAGCATTCTTGGTGTCATAACTTTGTCAGCTGTGTTAAAGTTGACAAGATGCTTACCCAGCACCTCTACACATGTACCAAAGGGAAGTGGTTAAATGTGTAAGCCATAACAGCCATCAGGGATTCTCTAGCAAGCACGTGCTGAGCAGCCAAAGCCACGCTGCCAAGTGATGCCCAGATGTCGCTACTGCTTCCCTCTTATCTCCACATTGGGAGCCACATGGTCCTGCTGTCTGGGATTGGGTCTAAGGATAGGATATGGCTTGGTTCTGTCGGCCGCCCATTCCCAGCATCTGTACTGCAGGCCCCAGGCTGGCTTGGAGGCAGCTCAGAGGCAGCTCCTGCCTTCAGGAAGCCATTTCTATTGCAGAGCTGTTCTCCAAAGACAGAAACACAAGTCCAACTTACCTCACAAAGGCAGCAGCAGGACTGGGGGCAGGAAGGAAGTTTAATAAAGGGGCTGGGTGGCTAGAAAGAGGCTGTTCTCAGCCTCGGGAGAGATTAAAGGAGTGGGCCTGAAACACTGCGGGACTGCTTTCCTGGCTGGTTGCTATTGATCAGGGAGACGAGGAGAGACAGGAGCCGGGATGAAGGGACAGGCAGCCAGAAGCATGTGGCAGGGGCGTCTGTGGGCAGGCTGGATGATGGGATGGGCTTGGGCAACCAGGAACTGGGCAGACAGATCCCGCCAGTGCCCAAGAAGGTGGGCCCTTTGTGACCCAAAAGCTCCTTGGAGGTTTGTCCTACCCAAAGCATCCAAAAGCTTCTGGGTGGCCATGAAGGAAAGCAGGGCTGACATCCATCCACACCTCAGCCCCTTTCAATCACACTTCAGAAGCAGTGAGGAGAATCTCCTGTGATACCTTGAAGGTAGGATTAGCCCCCAGGCATCACATGGCCAGAGGACACCTCATTTTCACAGTTGTTCTCCTCCCATCTGCAGATCCCACTTTCATTTCTTTTTTTTTAGACAGAGTTTCGCTCTTGTTGCCCAGGCTGGAGTGCAATGGCACGATCTCGGCTCACTGCAACCTCCACTTCCTAAGTTCAAGCAATTCTCTTGCCTCAGCCTCCTGAGTAGCTGGGATTACGGACATGCACCACCACACCTGGCTAATTTTGTATTTTTAGTAGAGATGGGGTTTCTCCATGTTGGTCAGGCTGGTCTCGAACTCCCGACCTCAGGTGATCTGCCTGCCTTGGCCTCCCAAAATGCTGGGATTACAGGTGTGAGCCACCGCGCCCAGCCTACAGATCCCACTTTCACCAAACATCAGCTGAATGAAAACTCCTAGATGTGCCGGCTCCACTCACGCCTCAGGGCTGTTCTCCAGCCACCACTGCTTCCTGTGGAACTGGTGACCTGCCACACCTAGTAAAGTGGGACCCCCACCCAGGCAACAGCCTCAGCACCCACAGAGAGGGCAGGAGCTTCCCCTTTGCTAAAACACCACCTGAGCTAATGGGAGTGAGGGAAGGGGACCAATCACTTCAGGATCCTAACCCGGTTAACTGTGGCTCCCAACCTGGGTTGTGCATCAGAACCATCAACAGAGATGCTATTTTTAATGCAGATCCCTGGGCCAGCTCCAGACCCAATGAACCAGAATTTCTGGAGACGGAACATGGAAGTCTACATTTGCAAAAGCCCTGCAGGCAATTCTGATGCTTCCTCCTGGCGAAGAGCAGCACAAATTCATCCAAACTGTTCAATTCACAGAGTCTGAGTCCCAGGGAAGGGTGAGGAAAGTGATTTGTCCAACGCTACATAGGCAGTCACTGGCACGCAAAGATGCCACCCAACTCTCCTGCTTCCCTGGGCAGCTTTGACAATACTAATGGTAAAGATAATGGTAATCATGATGACAGCCACTGCTATTTATTGGTACTACTTTAAGCCCTTCACAGTGTATTAACTAATTGGATTTTCACAACTACCCTATGAGGTAGGTACTATAATTCCTATTTTTCCAGAAGAAATTGAGGCACAGAAAGGTGAATTCACTTGCCCCAGGTCACACAGCCAGAAAATGGTGAACCAGGCCCCCTGGTGCCAAAGCCTGTGCTTCTGTTTAACTGCTTCAAATCCCTGGGATCCTCCCTCCAGGGTTTTGCTTCCTCCCCATTTCAGTGAGTTGAGCTGTAGACTCTGGTATGTTTTGGGGGGATGGGCCCTGAGGAGCTGCCTGGCTTTGCTCCTTGGAGGAGAAGGAAGAGCTGCAGCCCCGACCCTCAGAGCCTGGGAGAGCCCAGGGAGCGTGCCTCTCCACTGACTGTGGGACCCACTTTTGTACTTACATCTGGATCTGGGCGAGTTTCATGTCCTGGGAATTCAAGGCCCTTCGGATGAAGCCACACTGCCAGGGGCGATGTGGGCCCTGCTGTCAGCTCTGGCTAAGAATGAGAAGCGGCTTGCCCTGGTCCATCTGGGTGCTCAAGTTCTTTCTAAGCAGCCCCACGGGGACATCCTCTTAGGCCGGCGATCGTCATGCATTAGCCTCCTCTCGGGTGTTTGGGATTTTATCCTTCTTGGTTTGGGGGATGTAACTAACTAATTTGGCTTTACTTTTATTTACTTATTTATTTTTTGAGACAGCATCTAGCTCTGTCACCCAGGCTGGAGTGCCGCGGTGAGATCTAGGCTCACTGCAACCTCTGCCTCTCAGGTTCAAGCGATTCTCCTGCCTCAGCCTCCAAAGTAGCTGGGATTACAGGTGTGCACCACCACGCCCGGCTGATTTTTGTATTTTTAGCAGAGTTAAGGTTTCTCCATGTTGGCCAGGCTGGTCTTGAACTCCTGACCTCAAGTGATCCACCCGCCTGGGCCTCCCAAAGTGCCGGGATTGCAGGCGTGAGCCACTGCTCCAAATCATGGCTTTATTTTTAAAGCCTAACAAGGGAGGAGGGACACAAGGGTGAAGATGAATAGGGTCAACAGAGGCACATCGCACGCCCTTTGAATCAATGGCACACACACAGACCCTGTTTTGCTGTTTATCATCTCCAAATACCCCAAAAAGTGCCACCTGGGCCAATACCATGTGTTGCTGCACAAGGTAAGTTGAATAGGAGGTCCTGCCTGTTGGGCAGTTCCCAGTCCCTGAGGCAGAGGAAACAGGGAATGTGGGCGTTGGAGGCAGACAAGCCTGGCTGTGACCTGCTGCACACCTCTTTGCCAGGTGTGCAGGCCTGAGCAAGTCACCTCCCTTTCAGCCTCAGTTTCCTCATCAGAATGACACCCACTTCAGAGTTACTGTAAGCAACACATGAAACTCACAGGAAGGGGTCTGCACTAGCCGGTGGGCACCCATGGCTATGCCCTTCCTGCCCAGCACTAGAACTCGAGTTCTCAGTGGGTTTATTTGCCAGCTTTTGTGACAACAATGCAAAGGGACCCTTCCCATGGTGCCTGAGCAGGTGCAGGCTTTCAGGCCCCTGGGCTGGGGAGGAAGCCAAGGACCAAGGGCAGGGCTGCACAATGACTCCTCTGGTCCCGGCAATGGTGCCTTTGCCGCCCCTTCCTCCATAAACGAATATTAAAATGATCCTTGACAACTGCATTGGCATAAAGATGGATATAATCCAGGCTGGCTTCATTATCATGTTCGCTTTTTCTCCTCGGATTTTAAAAGAAATTAAAATGAAAACATTTTTGTGGGCCCTAGGCGCCAAGCCTAATGGCGAAGTCAGCCCTGTGCAGACAGCCATCTGGGGGGTGCCTGGCTGGTGCCGAATGCCCCAAGAGGCCTCTTCCTTCCAAGCCTGCATTCCCCGCCTCCCACCCCAACCCCATCTGCAGCACCAACACTGCCCAGCAGGGCCTCCTACGCTTGGCCTGGCCTGTCCCCCGACCTGTCACAGAGAAATTTACTGATGTCTGTCAAAATCTACCACCCCAGCCTACCTCCTCCCAGCCTCCATTCAAATTCTAGTATCTGTGTGATTCCCTGGCACTGAACTGTGGGGAACTTTATGAAGACACTTAAAGAGTTCGAGGAGTATGACAAGCCTCTCTTCTTAAATGCCCGCTTTCTCATAGATGTGTTCCTTAGGCCGGCATCATGTCTGGTAGCACAGGGGGATGGCCTGTGTCTTCTCTCCGAGGAGCCCACTGTGTTCTGCTCATTTTCACATCCTCTGCCCAACTCTGCTCCCAGCTCCCAGCCTGGTAGAGAGAAGGTCCTCAGGACAAACTTGCAGAAACTGAAGAAATTATTCAAATAAATTCTCCATGTCCCCAAGCACTGTCAGTTTCTTGTTGCAAAACAATCTCCAGATGCATTTCTGGGCAAGTGCTATTTCAAGAGGAGCATTATCTGGGAGCCATGCCCTGCGTGCTAGAAGGAAGGCAGGGAGCCAGGGTGACTCCTCTCCTCCGGGTCCTAAATATTTGCGCAGCCATTGGAGGGATTAGACAGCAGCAGTTATCCCTACATGGTCTATTCCCAGAATTCAAAGTTATTGGGGGAGAAAATGCAATTGTGCTTTATCCAGTCATTAAAAACAAAAACAACAACAAAAAAACAAGGGCAGTGGATTTCCAACTGCCTTTCAGACTTTGATGAAAAGAAAAACAAACTTGAGTATTAGCACCAAATTGTGCTGACAACATACTTCCGGGGCTCTTTGTCTTCCTCCGGGCTCTCTTTTCAGAATTTTTCAACAATTCCTATTGATCCCTGCATAGTTCTCATGCTGACCGTTTATGCTTGGGAGAACAGCTGTCTGTGGAGCTTGGAAACAGATCTGCCTGCCTCAGAGGCCCCGAGTGGCAGCGGGAAGTGAAGCCCTGGCTCCCACCTTCCAGAGAGGTGGCCATGGCTCAGTCTCCACTGGCTGTGGGGCCGGCATGGGGCCACTGTGACCCATGAAGCACCTCTGTCTCCAGGGCTGACCCTGCTGTCTGCCTGGCTGCACCAGGCTGTCATCAGCCAGGATGAAACACACCCAGTAGTGGCCCAATCACCTGCTATTTTAGGACCTAGAAGTAACTCAAGAGACCATATGCCAGACGCCCACGCTCTGTGATGGGGATCAGGCCTCATCTGGGTGGCAGAGTCGACTGACGGCTGAAAAGCAATTAGAAGGCAGGTATCCTGGCTCTTGGGACCTAGAGTGGGGAGGAAATACCAGGAGCTGCATTTATGACCCCATTTATATGCCAGCACCACTCACAGATGGTCTCTTACCATGGCCCCCACCCAGTACAGCCACACTGAACATCTTTTAGACCCCAAGGGGCCGAGGTCTTGCCACATCTCCCATCTAGGACTTTGCCCATGTGTTTCTGTGCCATAATCCCTCTCTCATGCTTCTTCTTCTTCTTCTTTTTTTTTTTTTTTTAATTTAAGATGGAGTTTCGCTCTTGTTGCCCAGGCTGGAGTGCAATGGCGCAATCTCAGCTCACCGCAATCTCGACCTCTCCGGTTCAAGCGATTCTCCTGCCTCAGCCTCCTGAGTAGCTGAGATTACAGGCATGTACCACCAAGCTCAACTAACTTTGTATTAGAGATGGGGTTTCTCCATGTTGGTCAGGCTGGTCTCGAACTCCTAACCTCAGGTGATCTGCCTGCCTTGGCCTCCCAAAGTGCTGGGATTATAGGCGTGAGGCACTGCGCCCAGCCTTTCATGCTTCTTCATTCATGCTTCCAGTCTCAGTATGGAGGTCAGCCTTCCCAAGAAGCTTTTTTTTTTTTTTTCCAAGACAGAGTCTTGCTCTGTCTCCCAGGCTGGAGTGCAGTGGCGCGATCTCCACTCACTGCAACTTCCGCCTCCAGGGTTCAAGCAATTCTCCTGCCTAGCCTCCCAAGTAGCTGGGGTTACAGATGCATGCCACCATGCCCAGCTAATTTTGTATTTTTAGTAGAGACGGGGTTTTACCATGCTGGCCAGGCTGGTCTCAAACTCCTGACCTTGTGATCTGCCTGTCTCCACCTCCCAAAGTGCTGGGATTACAGGCATGAACCACTGCACCCGGCCCCAGTAAGCTTTTTTGAAGCTCACCCCTCCAAGAATGAGTTGAGGAGCCCTTGGTGTAAGCCTGTACCTCACAGCACTCGCACGGACGGTCTTCACTGGAAGTATGATTCATGCGTCTGTCTCCTCACTGGCCGGGGAGGGTCACAGAGCGTCTGTCTTGCTCCCTGCTACTTGTCTTATGCCTAAACAGTCTGTAGCGCATGGCAGGCACTGAACAACCACCCGCATGAAGGAACGGTCTCATGAGATCCCAACACCAATCCTGTAAGAGGGCATTATCATCCCCATTCTACAGGACAGAAAACTGAGGCTAAGAAAGGAAACGTGATCCCTGCCCAGTGAGTTAGTGGTGGGGCCAGGGTTTGAAGAACCCAAGCCTCCTGACTCCTAGGTCAACACTTTCTCCATTAATACCCCTATCCTGGTACCAAACTGGAGAAGCTCTACTTCAATAGAACCTTAAGCCTGTCACACCAGAGCTGCAGTGGAATGGGAAACAGAGGCCACCCCATGGCACCAGGGAGTGTGAAGAGAAGAGGATGAAGGAAGACTTCACTGATTGCTCCTGCTGCTGCAAGAAGCACTTGAGGCAGCTGGTGTGGGAGCCCCAAATCACCCGTAAGTGAAGGCAGGAAGAGCAGGGACCATCTCTAGACCAGCGCTTAGCAGGCAGTGCAGGGGAGCTCTGGGCCAGGAAGCTGGGGCTTTGAACATTGTGGGGTTTGATGATGAGAGAGGCAGCATTCAGCAGGAGGCGAAAGTTAAACATACTGACAATAGCAAGCACTGGCAAGGATAATGGGGCAACTAGAATTCTCACACACAGCTGGCAGAACTACGAATTGGTTAACTACTTTGGAAATCTGGCAGCCTCCAACTAAAACTTAACATACCAATACAGTATGACCCAGCAATTCAAATCCTAGGTGTATTCCAACATAAACGACTCCTCATTTCCACCAAAAAACATGCACTGAAGTGTTCGTAACTCTTAAACACCCCTGGTGGGAATTTAAAATGGTGCAGCCGCTATAGAACAGTCTGGCAGTTCCTCAAAAAGTTACATGTAGAGCTACCAAAAGAGCCAGCAATTCCATGCCTAGGCATGTACCCAAGAGAAATGGAAACCTATGTCTACACAAAAGCTTATACATGAATGTTCGTATCAGCATTATTCATAACAGCAAACAAACGTAGAAACAATCCAAACGTCTATCAGCTGCTGAATGGACAAATAAAATGTGGGATATCCATACAAAGGAATATTCCTAGGCAATTCCAAATAACACTAGGAATGAAGTACTGATAATACATGCTACAATGTGGATGAACCTTGAAACCTTATGCTTAGTGAAAGAAGTCAGTAACAAAAGACCAGATACAGTATGATAGCATTTATATGAAGTGTTCAGAACAGGCAAATCTATACAGAGACAGAAAGTAGATTAGTGGTTGCCTAGGGCTGGGGAAGGGGGGAAAGAGGATGAGAAATGAGGAGTAACTGCCATTGAGTACAGGTTTCTTTCTGATATGATACAACCAAATCCTGAAAATAAAAATGTCCAGGAACAGAACGGAAAGAAAAACAGGAAAAACAAACTAGTGTTCATGATACAATAACAAGGAAAAAAGCACGCCATAAAAGAGTACATGCAGTATAATACAGAATTTTAAAGCAGACAAAACTAATCTATGGTGATAGAAGTCAGAATAGTGGCCACTCAGTCAGGCATGGTGGCTCACGCCTGTAATCCCAACACTGTGGGAGGCTGAGGCAGGAGGACCCCTTGAGGCCAGGAGTTTGAGACCAGCCTGGGTAACATAGCAAGACCTCATCTCTACAAAAAATTTAAAAAATTAGCCAGGCGTGGTGTCCCGTGCTTGTAGTCCTAGCTACCCAGAGGCTGAGGTGGGAGGATTGTTTGAGCCCAGGAGTTAGAGGCTGCAGTGAGCTATGGTCACACCACTGCACTCCAGTCTGGACAACAGAGCTAGACCCTGTCTATATTTAAAAAAAGAAGGAAAAGAAAAGTAAAAAAAGAACAGCAGCTACCCTTGGGGAGCTACAGACTAGGAGGGACCTGAGAGAACCTTTTAGGGTGATGGAAATGCTTTTAATCTTGACCTGCATGGCAGTTACACAGAGGTAACTATATGTAAAATCCATTAGACTGTGCACTTAAGATTTGTGCAATTTAATGTAGACATGTTATAAGTTATACCCCAATTTTTAAAAAGTAATTTTAAAACAAAAAAAAAATAGAGGCTCAAGTTAGAAGACCAGGGTTCGATCCTGGCTGTCTGACCTCAGGTAGTCCCGGCCCTCTCAGGACCTGCCTCCCGGTCCTCAGACACTGGACCACAGGCTACAAAGGATCCAAGTGGCCTGGTAGTCTGAGATTCTGGGAATGCACATACCTATTTGTCACAGGGTTTGCTGGGAAACTTGGCAAGTGCTGCCATCAATGCGGTGAGAAGAAAAGGAGGCTCTTGCTGTAGGCTCAGCCTTGTTTCTAAGGAAGGAAAGGTCTTCGCAAAGTGGGCGGAACACGCTGCCACCAGGAGAGAATGTCAATTTCAATATGAATCATCTCCTACATCCCCAGCAACTTGCTCTGGGAATAGACACCCTGACTCACTCCTCTCCTGACAGGAACAAGACTTGTTGCTGAAATCTCAGATTCCAAGAAGACCAGCCCAATACCCCCTTCGAAATGAAAAAGAAAGAAAGACAGAAAGAAATCAACCTAGTAACCAACCAGCAGTCACAGAACCCTGGGCAGAGACAAAGCAAACCCCTTTGTACTGATGAAGAGACGAGGCCCAGAGGAGGCCGGCTCACTCGGCTGCTGGCGCCAGAGCGGGGACACGAACCCAAGGCTCCTAACCTCCAATTTTCTTTTGACAACAACTTGCTACTATATTTTCTAGAGAAATAAATTATGCTCTGTGCTAGTGGAAAGCCTTTTAAAGAACAAGAAAATGGCCAAGATGCATCTTAATTAGAAACTGCTTGGCAAAAACTCTTTGAAGAAGGAAAGCGCAGAGTGTGGAGCGGTGAGTGGTCGGTCGGCGGTGTGAGTGCACGACACTGCAGCAAGCTAATTTCGAGGCGTGCTTTGCTCTGATGATCACCCCTTGGGCCCCAGGAATGTTCTGATCATCAGAAGGTGGCCGAGGAATTGTGCACATGTCACTCAAGGCCACAAGGAGACCACCATGGGGCCGTAGCATCTGTCTAACAGCAGGTTCTCTTATCTTCCTTGGGCTAAGGGCCTGGCTATCAGTGACCAGTGCTCCTAAGCCATTTCCTCCGACTTTTATATCCTCTGGCCTCCGGATGGCGCTTTCAGGGCTCTCAAAGCATGTGACTACCAGGAAGGTTTGCTTGCTGCCCTTAAGCCTGACCCATTCTATCCAAGGAATTGCAACATCACCACTTACAAAGCTGATGACAGCTTTTTCTCAAAACAAACTCAAAGCCTGGGTCAGGAATGTGCACCGCGGCCTGCCAGAATCAGTGAGCAACATAGCCCAACACTGAGTTTCCAGGAGCTATGGATTTTTTTTCTCCAGAAAAAAACCTCCAAAAACCAAAACTCATCAAGTAGTTATGGTATTTTCAGCCAGATAAGTCAAATGTATACACCGGGAAGGGTGTGTATACCTGCAGGGAAGAAAAAAAATGTAATGTTTGGTGAAGGCTTACTATGTGCTAACCCCCCATTTCACAGGTGAGTAGACTGAGGTTCAGAGAAGTTTGTGACTTGCCCAATTTCACTCAGCTGGTAAGTGCTAGGGATGGGATTTAAACCCAGGCATATCTCTGAAGTCAAAGCTGCTACCTCCCAGAAACATACGTGGAGATCCACGTACTAGGGAAGCAGCTGGTTTTCACAAACTATCTATCTGGCAACATCTGCAGTTCCCAAGGCAGCCACACTGGTGGAGTAACTCTCACCCCGACAAAAAGACCCACCAAGGCTGGTGTGTGTGTGTGGAGGGGGAGAGTATGAACAGTTTGCAGAAGGCACTACTAAGTCACACGCCAAAAAGCAATTGTAAAAATGACATCTTGGGGCCTGGATTTATTCCCTCTTCAACATCATATTTGCTCCGTTTACAAGGCAAAGATGATTTTTCTCTCTGCCAAGGCTGAACATTCCCAGCCTGTGATCTGAAAATCATGCTGTGTTCATTTTGCCTCTTAACTCACCCAAGGCCATAAATCATCCCTCAAAATGGGGATTTGGCTGGCAGTTCTATTGGGGATTTGCGAGGCAGAGGCGGAATCCAATTTGGGGCTCCTCATGGTCATCCTGGGGCTGGCTCAGAGCAGGGAGATGTTACTTTTGGCCACACAAGCACAGAGAAGAGGCCTGAACATCAGATCTGCTGACTAAGCAGAACTGCTACTTTTTACAGGGTCTGTCTGCTGATTCGGAGTGTACTCTGTGACGAGAGGTCAAGGCAGCTGCAGGGGATGAGAGGAATAGAGAACACAGCAAGACCCAGCCCTTACCCAGCCAAACCCAGGCCGAAGGACATGAGGGAAAATAGGGCACTCAGAGACTGCACTAGGCAATTTATTTATTCTACAAAATGTACTGAAAGCCTACTCTGCACCAGGCACTGTTTCTTTCCTTGGACTATACTTATTCTCATTATTACTTTTTACAAACATAATAATCACAGCAGCCTACATTTTATGAATGTATATGGGCAGGTACTATACACCAGGTGTTTTACACCCATCAACTTTCTTTAATCCTTACAGCTGTTGAGTGAAGTAGTTGTTATCCCCATTGTACAGATGGGGAAATTAGGTGCAGAGAAGTTAAGAAACTCGCCCAAAGTGACAAGACTACAAAGTGGCAGAGACAGGATTCAAACTTAGGCTGGTCTAGTTCTCAAATCCATTCTCCTCTCTGTCCATCACACTGACAGCCAATGGTATGTTTTGCAAGTACATTTGGCCTTGATCAACATGAACTTGTAATGCGTGGGTCCACCTAATCGCAAATTTTCTCTTTTTTTCCGAGATGGAGTCTCATTCTGTCGCCCAAGCTGGAGTGCAGTGGGGCAATCTCGGCTTACTGTAATCTCCACCTCCCAGGTTCAAGCAATTCTCCTGCCTCAGCCTCCCAAGTAGCTGGGTCTACAGGTGGGCGGCACCACGTCTAGCTAATTATTTTGTATTTTTAGTAGAGACGGGTTTCACCATGTTGGCCAGGCTGGTTTCGAACTCCTGACCTCAGGGGCTCTGCCCACCTTGGCCTCCTAAAGTGCTGGGATTACAGACATGGACCACTGGACCCAGCCAACGCAGATTTTCTTCTGCCTCTGCCATTCCTGAGACAGAAGACCAACCCCCACTTCCTCCTCCTCAGCCTGCTCAGCAGGAAAATGATGAGGATGAAGACCTTTATAATGATCCACTTTCACTTAATGGACAGTGAATATATTTTCTCTTCCTTTATTTTCTTAATAAGATTTAATTTTCTCTAGCTTATGTTATTATAATACAGTATATAATACACAGAACATACAAAATATGTATTAACTTTTTATTATTGGTAAAGCTTCCAGTCAACAGTAGGCTAATAAGCAGTTAAGTTTCTGGGAAGTCAAAAGTTATACTCAGATTTTCAACTGTGCAGGGGGTTGGTGCCTCTTACCCCTGTGTTGTTCAAGGGTGAACTGTAGATGTTTTTAGGTTATTAGGCACGCATAAAAGATGTTCCTATGGTGGAAGAAAAGAGGGAAATCTGAGTCTTCTGTTCGACCCCTGAGTACTCAGCTGATGTCTAATAAATGATGATGCCTAGAGATGGGAGGCTGCAGACCCTGACCACGAATCACATGCCTTCCCTGGCCTTCCACTGGGGGCAGTGGTGTACAGGACGTGGCACACACCAACCCAGAGACCATTCCCCTACCCCACTGTGTTCTTGGCGGCCACTGTATGTGGTCACTGGGAGACATGGCAGCATGGTAGTTTATGGCTTGGGTTTTGAAGTCCAGCGGAACTGGGATTAAGACTTTGCAAGTCCTCAAACTTGCCAAATCCCAATCTCCTCATCTGTGCAATGGGGATAAGATGGGTAATTTAGATTTTATAAGGGCTGTGAGGCAGACAAAGGGAATACAGCTATGGGCTGGACGCAGTGGCTCCCGCCTGTAATCCTAGCACTTTGAGAGGATCACTTGAGCATGGGAGTTCAAGATCAGCCCAGGCAACACAGCAAGACCCCGTCTGAATTAATTAAGAAATATATATATTTTAGAAAGAGAGTGAATACAGCTATGGTGCCTGGCATAATGTATGTGCAAGGAATGGGTTCTTGGGCCCGAAATCATACACCTCCTAAGAGACAGTTTCCCCCTGCTAATGCTCTGAGGATTTCTAGTTGCTAGTGGTGACTTGGCCATGATGGGCAGAGCTCTGTTTTGACAGCATGGCCTTGAACGATCTAGCTGATCTCAGAGTGTGCGGCGCAAAGAGCGCTGCACTGAGACTCAGGACACCAGAGTTCCAGTCCCGGTCCCCCAGTTAACATTCTGGATCACACCAGGCAAGCCCTTTCCCCTCTCTGAGCCTTGGTTTCCTCAACTCTAAATGAGGGGGTTGGACTCGCCATCAAAGAACCCTTCTGGGGTGACATTCCAGGACTCTGTGCCCCTTGACAATTTCCCCTGCTGCCAAGGGAGGATGAATTTCTCACGGACTACACAGATTTATTGGAAAGATGGATATCTGTTAAGTACTTTCAAGGCTGGCCAGCTGACCCCCATTGGCCATTGGCAGGAGGCTGATTTATTCCAAGATTGTGAACCCTAACCTTCCCCACCTCCTCCTGTTAAAAGTTCCAGTGTAAGCTGCTTAAATGAAGTTGTGAGAGGTACACAGCCTACCAATGATTGGCTCACCCAAGATTTCTGCCATGGGCATTTGAGGGCTGGGGGAAAAAACAGGGGGAATCAGGGCTGGGAAAGCCCTGAAGTCCTCATGTGGCTTCCTGGGTCCAGGGGACTTGGACGCCCACCCCAATCAAAATGGGAGCAGCACACACTGTTCTAAGGGTTTTGCAGCATCCTCATCGCAGCTGACGCTTGATGAATGCTTCCTATGTGCTGTGCATGAATATAAGCACTTCATGTGTGTGAACTCATTTTGTTCTCAAAACAATCTTGTGAAGGCGGTACCATTATTGTTCCCACTTTATAGATGGGAAAACTGAGGCCCAGAGAAGTTAAGAAACTCGCCCAAGGTCATGCAGTGGCAAAGCAGCATGCACATGCAAACCATCTGGCCCCAGAGTCCAAGTTCTTTTTAATTGTTGTTGTTGTTGTTTTTGAGACAGAGTCTCTGTTGCCCAGGCTGGAGGGCAGTGGCGCGATCTTGGCTCATTGCAACCTCCACCTCATGGGTTCATGCGATTCTCCTGCCTCAGCCTCCCGAGCAGCTGGGATTATAGACACATGTCACCACGTCCAGCTAATTTTTGTATTTTTAGTAGAAATGGGCTTTCACCATGTTGGCCAGGCTTGTCTCGAACTCCTGACCTCAAGTGATCCACCCGCCTCGGCCTCCCACAGTGCTGGGACTACGGGTGTAAGCCACTGCACCCGGCTGAGTCCATGTTCTTTAGCTAGCTTATTTAATATTCCCCCAAAGCCTAGCGGCAGGTGTAACATCTGTACCCTTTTACAGGCGAGGAAGCCAGGCCTCAGGGTACTGAGCCACTTTACGGCTGGTTCCTCCCCTGCCTCCCCTGACTCTGCCATGCATTCTTCAAGCTGCAAATTCACCTCTGTGACATAATGGCAATAATAGCACCCCCCGATCAAGTGCCTGCTCTGTGCCTGGCACGGGGCTAAGCCTTTGCAGGTCTCCTCTCTAATCCTCACCACAGACTGGAGGCGGGACCCCTGCCCCACTCCACAGCCCCTAAGCAGTAACCCAGAGTTTCCACCCAGGCCTGTCTGGATTCAAAGCCCATGCTCTTTCTGCCACCCAGCCAGACAATAACTGCCCTGTCTGGCCACCTCTCAGCAGAGGAGAAAATGGCAGATATGCGCCGGGCGCAGTGGCTCATGCCTGTAATCCCAGCACTTTGGGAAGCCGAGGAGGGAAGATCACAAGGTCAGGAGTTTGAGACAAGCCTGACCAACATGGTGAAACCCCGTCTCTACTGAAAATACAAAAATTAGCCGGACGTGGTGGCACACGCCTCTAATCCCAGCTACTCAGGAGGCTGAGGCAGGAGAATCACTTGAACCTGGGAGGCAGCGGCTGAAGTGAGCTGAGATCGCACTACTGCACTCCAGCCTGGGCGACAGAACAAGACTCCATCTCAAAAAAAAAAAAAAAAAAAAAAGAGGCAGAGATCAGCCTTAGCCTGAGCCACAAGGCGAGGAACGGGCTGCATCCTCGTTGTTGGTGGCCACTGGGGTTTGGGGAACATCTTCTGACAGGGCCTGCTGAGCCGGATGTGGGTAAAAAGAAAGCCACTTTGACACTGACTTGCTTAGGACACAGAAACTGGCTTCAGAGACGCCTCACCCAGAGATCTTGTCCTTAAAGTAAGAATAGATTCAAGGAAGGGCAAGTGGGCGACTGGGAGGGGGATTCACTTGGTGAAGTGCCACACCAGGAGACCAGGCTTGGGCATCCGACTGCCCTCGCTGCAGCTCCTGTAAATCTCAGCAAAACTAGGCACCTGTGTGAACTCATTACCCTTCCCCGCACACAGCCCTGCCAGCCCTGCAGGCCAGGGACGAGGCCGTAAGAGCCAGTGTCCAAGCCGAGCACCAGGAGGCGGGGCGCTGCTCAGGGTCTCCTCGTATACCCTACTCAGCCAGCACAGCAGAATGGGCACAACCTGCCACCTGACTGCACCCAGTGTCCCATGTCTGCAGGGCTCAGCCTATAGGGAGGACATTAAATGTCCAGGAATGATGCAACCCAGCAGCCCCCATGAGTCCAGAAAAGAAGGTGGGTGACAAGCTGCTTCATTCAGGCCAGTTTATCTCCTACCTTCAGGAATAGTCTAGCTTCAATGCCCCTCATGGGTTCACCCCAACTAGAACCCCTCTCAGGCTCCAAGAATGCCCCTCAGCCCTCCTCCTTTGGGTGTGTACCCATAAGCCTTCGTGTCCTATGACCCATTTGTGGTGACAGTAATCTGAGCTACTACCTACGAACAGGTTCTATTTGTCAGGCAGTCCCTAGGCCAGGATTTGAGTATATCATTAGTTCCAATTTACAGAAAAACTCAGCCTTGGAGAGAAATGACTTGTCCAAGGTCACACAACCAGGACGTAGTAAAGTCTGAATTTAAATCAGGTCTGCCGGAAGTTCCAGCCCGTAAGGACTGCCCATGTCAGCACTTGTGGTCACCCCCACTTGTCCCTCTCTCTGAGAGCACCTAGACAGACCCCCAAGAGGCTCCAGGAAGGGTTGCCAGTGCATGTCTTGGCAGAGTTGGTAGAACTTTCGCTGTCCCATTTATCCCTGTATCCCCAGCAGTCAGCACCAGGCACTGGCACCTAACAAGTTACATATGGAGTGAAGGAGTCAATCAAGACCGGCTTTCCCCACCCAGTGCCTGGTCCTCATGCATCTCCCTTTCCCAGGTGCCAGCCACCCACTGCGGCTGATCTGCTGGCTGCAGAGGGAAGGCTCTGCCTCACTGCTAGGAACGCTACATGTACTGGATGACAGGGCTCCCTGGGCCCTGCCAAGGCTACTCCTGAGACAGACAACCCAAGGGACCTCAGAGCCTGCCACAGGCTCACTGGGACAACTGCCAACCTCATTTATTACAACAGAAATCATAAATCACTCATGTAGACATGGCCCTTTGCTTGTTCGTACATACTCATTTATATCCTTATAGCAGTCCCATATGAATGATGAACTAACAGGGACCAAGAGAGGTTAAGTGCCTTGGATTTGGCCACATAGCTCAGGACAGAGTGAGGACTTGCGCCCAGGTCATCTGATTCTAATTCCGGGTTCTTTCCACCATTCCAGACGGCTCAAGCATGCGCCACCAGGCTTGATGACTGGAAAGGGGCCAGAGGGTTGAGATTTAAATCCCAGGCCCTGAGGAATTTTACAAAATGGAATCCCTCCCAGAAGTGTTTCCTGTGATGGTATAAGCAATAGCTGCGCCCATGCTGTGTGCAGTTTCAGGAATCATCAGCCCCTCCCACCCCACCACCAATTCCCTGAATATTTGCAAACTGTGTTTAGAGAGAAGGAGGAAGCTTTCTTGATAATGTCCCTGTTTATACTAACAGCAAAAGCTCCACAACTTTGATGGGATCTGCACCAGCAATCTTTCCCCAGGGCTGATGTAGGTTATGTGGGGAAGTTCTGTGTTCTAGGCAGGTAAGACAGCCAGGTTCCTAATGGGAATCAATACATCTCTTTAATTCATATTTGAAGTAAAAGAAACATCTCTCTTCCTCCCATTTGACTCAGGAATTCATCTCTAAAAATCCATCCCAAGACAAAATTTTATGCACAAAGATAAGTCTTGCATTATTTTTAATAGCAAAAAAATGGAAACAATCTTTACCCAACATTAGCAAGATAGTTAAATGAATTATGGCATATCCATACAATCACAGACACCGTTAAAACATTCTTTATGAAAACATTTAGATGACTTCGGGAAACACGATATAACATGAAGTCAAAAAAAAAGCAGAAAGGACATAAAATGGTATATAAAAGGAAGAAAAAGCAGAAAGAAGAAAAGATTGAGAATAAGCAAAGATGTCAATGGAGGCTGCATCTACAGAGCAGAACAGATTTTTTTTTTGCCTGATTTGCACTTTTTTGATACTTTCCTTTTCCCCCATACACTCCTAGGATAATGAGAAAAATAAATACATAAAGCTGCCCCAGTCCACACCCCACTTCCCACAAGGGGAGTGAAATGTCTGAACAGTCAGACAGGTGACGATCTGACTGGTGAAGGGGAGGAGGGCAGATTCCTGTCACTCTTTCCATAACATGGACATCTCTGATAGGGCTGCACACGATGGGGGTGATGGGGGGATATCCCTTGTAAATTTGCCTTGAAGATTTTCCTGGGAATTTCCATCTCAGACTCAGTTATTTGGTTCCTGACTTCAGGAGCCTGTATCTGTAAGGGGTGAGGAATCCAGGTATGGGACTGCCCCTCTCCAGCCCCACACCACTCCTGTCCCTCAGGGGAGATGGAGGCCAGGCTGCAGACAAGGGGGCTGGCAACTTGCATGGGTGTTACTGTTGGAATCTGAGCCCATGCCCACAAGAAGGCACCCTGCAGTCCCTCTGAGCCACAGAGAGAGACTCCCAAGGCTCTAGGTTAGGAGAATCCTGTGGCTGGAGGAGGACAAAGACACCAGCAAGTGCGGCTGCAGATAAAATACGAGTTGCCAGGCAGTAGCAGGCCCCATGCCCCATGCCCCCGCTCCTGATGTGCGGCTGCTCCACTTGGCTTCCGAGTAGCTTGTGAGCCATGACTCTATACCCTTTTGTTTTTGCTGCTGTTGTCGTTTTGAAATGGGGTCTCAATATGCTGCCCAGGCCGGACCTGAACTCCCAGGCTCAAGGGATCCTCCCACCTCATCCTCCCAAGTGACTGGTACTACAGGTGAAGGCCACCACGCCCGGCCCCCAGCCCCGACTCTAAATAGCATGTACCCAGCCCCATCAGATATGTGTTCAGCAATCTACGAAAACATCCAAGACCATTTCACAGCCACACTCCAGAGGAGTGGATTTAAACCTGGTCCTCTGTGTCCTTTAGGTCTCCAAACCTCCACGGAAACAAATCTCCATCCTTCACTATCCCTACTCCCATTTCCAAGTTTCTTCACTCTAAAAAATAAACGATAATTTCATACAAAGCAGTCTCTAAGGCTAGAGAGAAGCATATAGGATTCCCCCTAAATCTAGGAGGACTCAGAAGCCTGAAAAGCCCAGAGGAAACACAGACTTGGAAGGCCCCAGATCTGGAGAACTGTGGAGCCCCCACAGCTCAGGAGGTGAAAAGCCAAAAGTAAAATTCCACTCGGCCACTGGCGGGGCGGTGGGTCCCTCCCAATATCAAAGTGGTTTGAATCGACTCACCGAACATGTTACCCTCGTAGCCATCTTTTGTTAGTGGACGGAGTTCGTTTTTCCCCATTGCATAACGCTTATAGCTCTGCCAAGCAAACTGCATCATCTGCAAGAAAAAGCAGCATAGAGAGAACCTCAGTGTGACGATTCCTGGCAGTGCGCACTGGCCGCCTGGCTTTGCCCCTTGCAACGTGTTTTTAAACTAAAAGATAACCTTCCAAATTTTCCAAATTGGAGAAAGTGACTTCCTCGCAACATGATTTTATTTGTACAGTTATAGCTGCTGGGAAGGTCATTCTTCTTAGACAACGCCATGTGTCTAGGGCCTACCCACAGATTTCTTAGAGAAGACAGAAAAAGCACTAAATTCTAGATATCCTTCAGTGCCAAAGTGAAAAGTCACCTCTTCCAGGAAGCCTTCCCTGTTTTGCTCTGGCTTAAAGTCATCCTCCGAAGGGAAGGAAAATGAGTGCTTGCTATAATGGAACACTCCGAGCTAGGTATTGTTAACCCATTTTATAGCTAAGGAGACGGGTTGTAGACATGAGGTAACTCATCCAACATCGCTCAGTGAGTCAGTGAGAATGTTGGGAATTGAGCCATCCCCTCTGGCTCCAAAGCCTTAGGTCTGTCCCCAAAGCCTTGGTTTTGTCCCCTAAAATCACCATACGAGTCTCTTTGAACTCCTTTGACCTGCCCTGGCCTCCCATGCACTCCAGCTCACCCCAGTTACTTGTTGTTCCTCTGGCTCTGGATCATAAACTCCTTGAGGCTAGAAACAACACTTGCCTTGCCTCAGTTTCTCCCACAGCAACCAGCACAGGGCTTGGCACAATGGATGCCTATGGACTGTCACCCAGAGTATGCACAAGTTCTTCCTATGTGGACTGTCACCCAGAGTATGCATGAGTTCTTACTATGCAAGGCAGCTGCATCAGCTCTCAGGAGCGTCACGCCAGCACCTTGCTCCCCAGCTGCCCCAGGACCTTCAGGCTGAAGCAGATGCAAGGTCACAGTCCACCCCCAACCCTGCGCTGCAGCCCCCAAGGTCTCCCTCACTTGCCTTTATGGTGTGCCCCTTTTCCCTTGGCATGGCTGGCTGCAGAGGGAGCACAACACAGCAGAGTTCTGGGGTGACCCGTGGAGCAGAGGAGGAGCCGGGGCCCGCGGTGGCAGCAGAGCTGAGGCGCAGGTGGATGGGGAGGCAGCCTAGTGTGCTGGGAAATACTCAGGCTCCCAGATCAGAGATGCCGAGGTTCTAATCCCACCTCTGCCGCTATCTCTGTGACTTTGGCGTGAAATCAGTTGCATCAGCTGAGATCTGCTTTAGCAAGGGACAAGGCAGGCCTTGCCACCATCCTGATAGGTTTAAATGAAAGAGTGTAGTGGGAATGCCCAGTTTCCGACCAGACACAGCAAGTGATTGACAAGCACTAGCTCGATTTCCTCCTTGACCTTTAAAATACTGGCTCTCCAAGCCTCATCTATCCACCCCTCCTTTCATCCAGTCTCTTAGTTCTCAAATGTTAGCTTGCATCAGAATCACTGGGGGGCTTGTTAAAACAGACTGTTGGGCCCCACCCTGAGTTTTTGATTCAGCAGGTCTGGGGTGGGGCCCAAGAATCTGCTTTTCTACCAGTTCCCCTGTGCTGCTGCTGGCCCAGGGGCCACATGTGAGAAGCACCAATCTGTTATATTGTTTGTATCACTCACCTCACGCCCAGACAGTCCTGCGTCCGCTGGCTTTCCCCTCCTCTCTCCCAGCCTGTGTTTCCCGCCTTAGCGGCCCACTTTCTAGGATATCACCACCTGTATTCTCCATGCTCGGCCACTCCTGGTGCCCGCGCTTAGGAGACGTCTCTTCCAGGCACACAGGGATAGTAAACAGCTACTCTCACTGCTGCAGCCCAAACGCACAGACCAGGTGGGCAGGAAGACCTGACAGGTGCATGGCCTGGACTCTCCGTGAAATGGCAGAATAATCTAGCACCACTGCCCCATTTCACAGATGATGTAACTGAGGCCCAGAGATGAGAAGTGGTCATGGCAGCACAGCAGCCAGGCCAGAACCCCGTTCACTCATCTCCCAGGGCAGCTGACACCCCCCCAGGCTTGGCCAGACATGTGGCTTCCCATGTGACACACAAGCAAACGTCATGGTAACACAGCCAAGGGCTTGGCATGGGCTTTGAGTCCTGGTTCCATTCCTCTGTTATTTTCTACTTATCTTGAATTGGCAATAACAACAAATAATTGCCAGGCATGAGTGCTTGAGAGAGAATGGCCTCCTCCTTCAGTCTCTCTTATCTGAGGGCTCTATTAAGTCAGTATCGGGGGAGAGAGGCAGGTGGCTGGGGGGCTGGCGGGGGCAAGCAGCAAGCTGTTAAAGCATAAATGACAGCAGAAAAGGAGGAGAGGTCTAAGCGGGGGGCCACACCCTACCCTGAAAATTCCCCCTACCTAGAGAGAGAGAAGTGGGTGTTCCAGAGTAACTACGAGAATCATAGGTATCTACGTGGTCTCAAAGAAGCTGTCACTGCAGGAATGTGAGGTTTGGAACGTGGCCCGTTTTCATAGTTATCCAAACCAAGGGAGGAAATGAAGGCACAAAACATCCCAGCATCGCTGGGGACTGAATTCACAAGGCAATCAGAGCTGCCTCTTCTTGCTTTCATTCCCTCAATGCACACGTGCCTCCCGACTCCGGCCATGGGTGGCTCAGCCTAGGTGCTGGGTGAGCAGGGGACAGGGGATGAAGGGGACAGCCTCCTATCCAGGTGGTCCTTCTCTCTCTCCCTAACACACCCTAAGCAAGCCCCTACCAGGTATCCTGTCCTGTGTCTGGGCTATAGCCATGGTGGTAATGCACTTCCAGCCCCTACCCCCCACCCCCCTGCCAACTGCCCATCTTCCTTCAGGTCCCAGCTGAAAGGGCACTTTTGCAGGGAGACCTTCCTCCCAGTCTGAAGTCATCCTTCCCACATTCCTGATGCAGACCCATGGTGGCCTGCAGTCAAGCTTTTATATCTGCAACTATTTGGTCAGACCCTCCACCCCCATTCACTGCTACATGCCCCACAATGCATCCAAGGACTGGCACAAAGAAGGTGCTTGTTAAGTATTTGCTGAATTGGCTCTGGAGCTTAACACGTGGCTGGAAGACTCAACGTGGACCACACGCTTCACAGGCAAGACATATAACAGGCAAACAAGCCAGAGGAGGGGCTGCTGGGCAACAGGTGTTCAGAAGGGGGCAAGTGTGTGTCTCAAGGGAAGCTTCGTGGACAGATGAACAAGAGTTCTGATGGACAGGTAGGACTATGAGGGGCACAAGAAAGGGTGACCTACAGAAAGGCTAATGTTTTCACTCTGGAACTGGTGATGTGTGCCGTGGGTAATACCTGGACTTTAGAGATGGACAGTTCCTGCTGTCATGCTTAGGCAGTTCTAAGACCTCAAAGGTCTCCTGGGAAGTTCCTTAATAGTAGTCTCTTTTTTTTTTTTTTTTGAGATGGAGTCTCACTCTGCTGTCCAGGCTGGAGTGCGGTGGCGAAATCTCAGCTTACCACAACCTCTGCCTCCCAGACTCAAGCAATTCTCCTGCGTCAGCCTCCCGAGTAGCCGGGATTACAGACACGTGCCACCACGCTCAGCTAATTTTTATATTTTTAGTAGAGATGAGGTTTCACCATGTTGGCCAGGTTGGTCTCAAACTCCTGACCTCAAGTGATTTGCCCGCCTCGGCCTCCCAAAGTGCTGGGATTACAGGTGTGAGCCACCGTGCCCAGCCAGTGGTATCTTTTTGAACACGCTCAGTGATGGGCTGCTCTCCACCTTCCCAGGCCCATTTGATTGTGGAGTTTCACAAAGTTCTTCTTTAATCAATTGAAATCTGTTTTCCCTTATGGGCCACAGGGGAGACAATTCTTCCTGCTTCCATACCACAGACCTTCAGCCACGGGGAGCCAGCTCTTGAAGTGCACTCACCTATTAAGCCCTCTGAAACTGCAGACCCACATGACATAGTGTTCTTCCAGGAGCCCCACACCTCTGTCACTCATTTGTTGTGGCTGGCTGTTCTTTTGGAAATGGGCAGAAACCAAAGTGCACAGTCGCTCTGGTCACCTCTGTGCCAGATTGTGTAGGTGTGGACTTGTCATTTGTCCCTAATAACTTCCATCTCTTTGGACTCTGCCTATCATTCCATGCTGTAAGGATCTCTCTGGTTCCAGATCCAACCTTTCTGGAACAAGATCTTATTCAACACGTGTGTCTGCCTGCTTTGCATAATCTGCAGACTTGATGGGACTGCTATCTGCATCTACCCTCAGGTTTTGAACGGAAACATAAACAGCCAGCTAAGGACTAAGTTGGGAAAACAGCCTCAGGAGTCTCTCTCCTGGACCCAGCTCTGTTCTTTGTTTGTTTGTTTTGATGTCATTCATCAGCAAATAAGAAATCTGCCAAGCAATCCGTACAACCCCCGATTCTCCATTTTTGTACACCAAGATATTGTGAAAGACAGGCTGAAATATAAAGACACTCTGCCCTAGTACAGCTAGTACAGAAAAATAAATTGCTTTTTTTTTTTAAGGCAAATAGGGGGTTAGACTAGCATGATTGTTCTTAGAGAACCCATTTTGGCTCCTACGGATCATCATTTTTAATCCTAAATGCTTGCAAATCACTAACTTAAAAACCTATTAGTCCCACTAGGATGGCCATACCAAAAAAGATGGACAATGAAAAGTGTTGGCCAGGATATGCTGAAATCAGAACCCTCATACATGGCTGGTTGGAATGAAAACGGTGCGGCCACTTTGGAGAACAGTTTGGCAAAAAAAGTTAAATATGGAGTTACCATATGACCTAACAATTCTAATTCTAGGTACGGACCTGTGCAGAAAAGTTAATGCAGCAGGTCTTAGACGTCTGTCCTCAGAAAGGCCTGCTTGCGAGGTGGGTCCTCAGCTGGTGTCTAGGAACCTGGGTTTTGCGAGTGCTCCTATCAGTCTCTAACTGATAAAGGTGGTGTCCTGTGTCTGGACCATTTGTACAATGTGGCTTATGCTAAACAGCTACTTTCCTTCTGGAGTGTGGAATGCTGGTACTTGTTAGGAAGGGGGTGCCTACCTTGGGCACCGAGTCTCTAAAGAGCTTCCCTGGTCGATAACACCTTACACATCTTCACTGGGAGAGAACTCTTGGAAGCCTGCACCTGGTTTCCTCCGGGTTGTCCCCATCCACTGTTTCCTTTGCTAATTTTGCTCTGTAACCTTTCTTTTTTACTTTTTCTTTTCTTTTCTTTTTTTTTTTTTTGAGACGGAGTATTGCTCTTGTTGCCCAGGCTGGAGTGCAATGGTGCGATCTCAGTTCACCGCAACCTCCACCTGCCGGGTTCAAGCGATTCTCCTGCCTCAGCCTCTTGAGTAGCTGGGATTACAGGTATGCTTTTTTTCTTTTTTAGTAGATTTTTTTTTTATTTTTAGTAGAGAAGGGGTTTCTCCATGTTGGTCAGGCTGGTCTCAAACTCCTGACCTCAGGTGATCTGCACGCCTCGCTTCCCAAAGTGCTGGGATTACAGGCATGAGCCACCGTGCTCATCTGCTCTGAAACCTTTCACTGTAATAAATCATCGCCATGACAAGAACTATGGGCTGAGTCCTATGAGTCTTCCTAGTGCATCACTGAACCTAGGGGTGGTGTCTTGGGAACCCCTGACACATACCCCAGAAAGATAACAACATACAGCCACACAAAAACTTGGATACAGATGTTCACAGTGGCACTATCTGTAATAACCAAAAAGTGGAAACAGCCCAAATGTCCATTGATTGAATGGATCAACAGAATGTGGTATACCATGCAATGGAATATTATTCAGATGGAAAAAGGAATGAAGCACTGTTGCAGGCTACAGCATGGATGAAACTTGAGATACTACGATTAGTGAAAGATGCCAGATGCACAAATGCTACCTGGAGTATGATTCCATTTATAGGAAATGTCCAGCATAAGCAAATCCATCCGAGCAGAAAGCAGATTAGTGGTCGCCAGGGACTAGGGGAAGGGAGAAATGGGGAGTGACTGTTCATGGGCATGGGGTCTTTTCAGAGTAATGAAATTTTTCTACAATTGATTGTGGTGATTATTCACAATTTGTGAATATATTAAAATGACTGAGGCTGGGCATGGTGGCTCACACGTGTAATCCCAGCACTTTGGGAGGCCCAGGTGGGCGGATCATCTGAGGCCAGGAGTTCAAAACCAGCCTGGCCAACATGGTGAAATCTTGTCTCTACTAAACATACAAAAATTAGCCAGGTGTGGTGGCAGGTGCCTGTAATCCCAGGTACTTAGGAGGCTGAGGCAGGAGAATTTCTTGAACCCGGGAGGCAGAGGTTGTAGTGAGCCGAGATTGCGCCACTGCACTCCAGCCTGAGCCACAGAGCAAGACTCCGTCTCAAAAATGAAATAAAATGACTAAAATTTATACTTTAAAAGTCAGATATTATGGTATATGAATTTTATGGTATGTGAAATATATATATGTGTGTGTGTGTGTGTATATATATATATATATATATATATATATTTTTTTTTTTTTTGAGACAGAGGTCTTGCTGTGTCACCTAGGCCTCTACCCAGAGGTAGGCTCTATCTCAAAAAAAGAAAAAAAAGAAAAAGAAAAATGTCATTCTTTTTGGAAATATACAATGAAGTATTTAAGGGTAGAGGACATTATATTTGCAACTTTCAAATTGGTTCACAAGACAATATGTATGTACATGTGTATACATATATTATACATACAGTGTGCATATATATGATATATATGTAAAGCAAATGAGTGAAAAACAGAGAGAGAAAGCAAACAGGGTAAAATTAATGTTAACGTTTGCGGAATCTGGGTGAAGGTAAACGTAAGATCCTTGCTAGATTTTTGTAACTTTTCCGTAAGTCTGAAATGCCTTTTTTTTTTTTTTTAACTCATTTAGGAAATTTTACTGGAGGCTGTTATTTTCACCCAAATTTATACATTACACAATTCTATTTTCCTTCACTTTTTATAAATTACAACAGAATGTGGCCATTGTCAGTCTCCCTGAAGTTCTTCTTAGCCCCCAGTTCCTCAATGGCCTGGATGGGTCTTCATGTCCGTCTCACCAAGCCTGTTCCCCACGCTGGTCAGAGAAGGAAGAAGTCTGGTGAACAAATTAGGAACTAGCTATTTTGGTTTCTCCTTTTATAATTATATTAGCATGCTCAAAGGAGGTGCCTGTTTTCTTCCTACTCCAAAAAAATTAAAAGGCTCCTTTGGTGGTTCTGAGAATTTTCTACAAGTCTCAGCTCAATTCAGGCTTCAGCCCTCATGCCCGCTTCTCCCACTTCTGGGTCACTCCCTTCTCTTGAACTCAGCTCTGTGCCCCTTCCTTCTCTCTTCTGCATAAATCCTTTCAGGTAATTTTAAAAACAAGGTTCACCTCTCTCTCTCTTGTCTCATCTCTCTCTCTCGTCTTGTTTCTCTCTCTCTCTCTCGTCTCCTCTCTCTCTCTTCTTGTCTCTGTCTCTCTACCTTTTAATGTATCAAAGGCACACAAGCTCGCTGAAGAAAAGCAGAAAAAGAGAAGGAAAACAACTGCCCATTATTTAACAACCACCATTCCCATTTTGGCGTCTTTCTCTGCAGGTACCTTTGTTTTTCCCTCTCATATTGTACCTTTGTTTCTTCCCATAATTATGACATATTCCAATTTTATTACAAAGGCTTTGTAAACATCACTTTTAATAGCTATATAATAGCTTAGAAAGTGGGTTCATCATCATTTACTTCACCTCCTTCCCATATAATTAGACATTTTGGTGATTTCTAGTTTGGGGCTATTGTAAATAATGCCATAGTGAACATCTCTGTGCACATAACATTTTGAATAATTTCCTTAGACCAGAGTTTCTAAGAAGTTGCTAAGAAAAAACTTTTAAAGTTATTAATATGTAACGCCCTTTTAAGAGATTACAGCCAGACAGCATGTTTTGCCCACCACTGTGCAAAACTTGGTGAACAGGAAACTGTTTAACGATTTTGAGACAATACGGTAAAGTAGTTCACTTGGGGAGATAAAACTAACAAAATGAACAATCATCACTTATATTTGTGCAGCTCTTTGCATATTTTATCTCATTTGATTTGGCCAGTTCAGTGGGCTGGACAAGACAGATATTTGTTCCATTTGGAAATAATTATGCAAGGGCTAAAGTAGGAGATGTAAAGTAGTAAATAGGTATTAAAAATTGTGTTTACAAATGTTTCATGATAGGCAAAAATGCTCAGTATATATTATTAGGTGGAAAGGCAGAACACAAAATTACATAGTATGAAATTCACTGGCCTATGTATGAGTGTTTACAAAAAAGACTGAAAGAAAATATACCAAATTCTTAACAGCGGTTATGTCTGATAGAAGTTTAGTGATTTCTATCTTTTTCTTCTTATTGACCTATATTTTCTGAATTTTCTACAGTGAATATCTAGAAAGGTTTTGTGATGTGAAAAATACAGGTTGTTAAAATGAAAAACAAAAAGAAGACATCGTATGGTGCTACCCTTAAGTCAAAAGCAAGTGCCTGGGTGGTCAGCCATGGGGTAGGTCGGACCAAGTTAGGTTTTGATTAAAAAAAAAAAAAAAAAAAAAAAAAAAGGAGGTCTTTACAGCAGGGAGTCAGAGAGAAGGTCACCCAGCAAGAGAAACAACATCAAACAGAAGCACAGATCCAGAACTCCAGAGTCAAAGAGAATTTTAAGACCAGAAACATCATCTATTCTCAAAGCCACATTTTATAAGAATATAGACTCAGAAAGGGAAGGGACTTGCCTCGGCCAGGACACAGACACTAATAGCACAGAGATAACCATGTCTCTAAGAAACATGGGCCAGGGCAGTGCAGTAGCTGACTGGGGAAAGGGCCAGAGCTACAGCAAGAGATACTCAGGACAGGTGCAAGAACATGACAGTCGGAACCAATCAACATGAGAACTATGCACCAAAAGAAACTGTACCCCTGTCCCCACTAGGTTCTAGAAACGCGCAACAGGCAGTCATTGTGTGTGTGTACGTGTGTGTGTGTGTGTGTGTCCCTGCTAGAGATAGAGGGTGGCTCTAGATGGTCTCTGGAAGCCCCTCCCTTCCTGTAGCCTGTGATTTATAGATTCAAAGAGCACCTAACAATAGACCACAAAGCCTTCCCTTCACTCAAGTCTTGCAAAGGTGGAAAACAAAGCTCCAATGATAGAGAGATACAGGCAGAGCCATCGGAGCTGAATCCCAAGAAATCTCTTCAGTTCTTCCTCAAACAAAAGATGTTCTTGTCTACCTGAACAAATCAAAATGACACGGAATTTTTTAGTGCAAAATATTTACTAGTGTGAGGCAGAACATTATTATTTGGTTTAAGATTTTCTTTCTACCTGTCTCAGAGCTCAAGAGTTCTCTCCTGCAGAAAAGAGACTAGAATCGATCACCCAGGCACAGATGCCCACTCAGCTGAGGACCCCAGAACAATGAGATCAAGAGAGAAAGGATGCATTAGAGGAGGGGAGGACACGTGGGTGCCAGCAGACCACTCCCAGAGTGGAAAACTCCAAAGTTTGTGTTGGACAGTTCTCTGGGGGTACAACTTGGAAGGAAGGGGGTGAGCATTGAATATTGAGACATTCTCCCCCACTTTAAAAAATCACACACATACACACAAGGCTGGCTCTGGCAGTGACCCAGAACCACAGTTGCTACATTCAAAGCTGCCAAGGAAGGAAATGGATTTTCCCAGTCATTAAAGACAAGTGCTCACACCATGACGTGCAGCCTTACTGGCGTCTCCCAGCAGTGACACCTGGCCCCATTTGCAGGGGCCAAGTGGGAAGGGATTTGGTCTCTAACGATCCTGGGATCTAATGACTATGTAGACAGAGAGCTTAGAACATTGGGTTGATTTTTTTCTCCTCTTCCACTTTCAGCACAGTCCAAGGGAAGAGCTGACAGCTTGGCACCTAAAAACTATCCACGTTGGATTTTCTGATCCAGTTCCATTTATTGGGGCAACACAACATGACCTGGTTGGTGACCCCAGTGAGGCTCCTGCAAATACACAGCCCAGGTCTATCGCTCAGAAGCTGGGCACGGGTGGGGTTTGGTTGCCCGGGGAGGTGAAGCGGGGGAGTAGAAGGGGAGATGCTGCCTCCAACCCTCTCAGTTTCGGGTTTACTCAAGCTATTGAAAGGCCAATGTGGGAAATGAGCATATGATACAACTCCCACCCACCTGAGGTCCAGACAGCTCACCCACATCCTGCCCATGGGGTTTCAGGTTTGAGCAGTCTCAGGAATCGCATCCTGTCTGCAGCTGTTTCTAAGGCATCAGGGTCGAGAGTGTGGGCCATACAGGCAGAGAAACTCTCGCTGCTCAAAGTGCTCCAGGGACCAGGAGTAGGGCCACCCAGGGGGCACGTCAGAAACAGAGTACCTCAGTTCCACTCTCCCACCTGCTGAATCTGTAGCAGCAGTTTAACAAGAGCCCCAGGTGATTCAAACGCACATTGAAGCTTGAGAGGCTGCTCTAGGGCTCTGCCACCTTACTGGCTGTGTGGCCTTGAGTGAGTGACTTAACCCCTGTAAGTCTCAGTTTCCTCATCTGTAAAAGGACAGAAATACTTAATCCTTAGAATAACCCTAAGAGTAAATAACAGATGTAAAGTGTTGAGCACAATGGCTCGTATATAATATGTGCTCAATAAAAAGCAGCCATGGCATGGATGTGGTGAAAAGTGAACACTTTTACACTGCTGGTGGGAATATAAGTTAGTACAACCACTATGGAAAACAGTATGGAGATTCCTTAAAGAACTAAAAGTAGAACTATCATTTGATCCAGCAATCCCACACTGGGTAACCACCTCCCCCCCCCCCCGCAAAATAAGTCATTATATGAAAAAGACACTTGCATACACATTTATAGCAGCACAATTTGCAATTGCAAAGATACGAAACCAACCCAAGTGCCCATCGACCAATGAGTGGATAAAGAAAATGTGGCATATATACACCATGGAATACTACTCAGCCATAGAAAGGAATGAAATAATGTCCTTTGCAGCAACTTAGAAGGAGCTGAAGGCTCTTATTCTAAGTGAAGTAACTCAGGATTGGAAAACTAAATATTGTATATTCTCACTTATAAGTGGAAGCTAAGCTATGAGGACACAAAGGCATAAGAATGATATAATGGACTTTGGGGACTCAGAGTTGGGGGAAAGACTGCAGGGGTTGAGGGATAAAAGTCTACATATTGGGTACAGTATAAACTGCTCAGGTGACAGGTGCACGAAAATCTCAGAAATCACCACTAAAGAACTTATCTATGTAACCAAAAACTACCTGTACCCCAAAAACTACTGAAATAAAATGAATCAATCAATCAATAAAAAGCAGCCACAGGATACTGCTATCCTATTAACGTATCCACTAAAAGAGAAGTATCTCTCCATCCACTTCTCTTTGTACCACCACCATGAGCACCACCCTAATCCAAACCACTCCCATCTCTCCATGGAACTCCTGCGACTGCCTCCTGACTGGCCTAGATGGGTCCTCCCTGGCTTCCTACACTGCTCTCCACATTGCAGCCAGGGTGGTTATTTGAAGTGCAAATTTATTCATATCGCTCTGCTTCATCCCAAACACACACTTAAATAAACTCCTTCTTGAGGCCCATCAGGCCCAGGAAGTCACCCACTCACGCCTTCAGTCAGCTTATCCTCCCCATCTCTGCCACAGCCACACTAGCTTTCTCTCTCTTTTCCTCAAGGAACCATGCCTCCCCCTGCCACAGGGCCTTTGCACACAATAGTCCCGCTCCTTGGACAACTCCTCCCTCCTCTTTTTGCCTGGTGAATTCCACTCATCTTTCAGTGCCCAGGCTTGGTTGCCACTTCCAAGAGAGGTCTTCCCTTCAGGTTGAATCACCCTATTATGGAGGATTATTAAAGTCAAAATTTTACATTAGTTGTGTGATTAATTAGTATCTATTTCCCTGCATGATTATGCAGGCTCCACGAGGCTCTGTTGGCTCCATTGCTCATTACTGCTCCCTAGCACCTAGGAGAGTACCCAGCACATAGAGACTTTCCATAAAAATATGTTGATTAAATGACTAAGGATGGTGACAACACGAGGCAACCTCTAGGGCTGCTCATGTCAAAGGATTAAGGAGGATGCCTGGGACAGAAGCACTCACTGCCCAGTGGCCTTGACTCAACAAGGATTTATCAAAGGCCCAATAAAGGGACAGCTCCAATTGTGAGGCCACAACAGCAAGAGCAGGTGAGACCCTTCCCAGCGAGGCTTTGGTCTTGGTGCAGCGTGCAGACAGACAAGAGCAGCTGCACAGAGAAGGCCACCAAACCTGGGAGCCACTGCATTGGGACAGGTCCCCAACCGCTCTGTTCTATCACAGATTGGGTGTTAGGTGGGGGCAGGAAGACAGCGTGTGGGGGACAAAGATGAGTGACAGTGGGAAAGATCTTAGGTCACCCACAAGTGAAATTCCAATGCGAAATGGTTCAACAAAACCTGCCCATGTGCAAGTGTCTCTACCATTTCCAAAATGCTTTGCCTTTTTCATTTGAGCCTTACCGTCACCTGTGAGTTAGGCAGGGTAGGGGTAATCACCCCCATTTTACAGCAAAAGAAACCGCACTTCCACATACAGACATTTATGGGACATATTGTGTCATGCACACTGCTAAGTGCTTTTGTATGCATGTGCACATGCCGTTTTCACCACATCTCTGTGACGTGCTCCTGGGGAGGAGGTAAGGCATAGCAGTTCAGAGCCTGGCTTTGGATCCTGGCTTTACCCAGCTGTGTGTCTTTGGACAAGATACTTAACCTCTCTGTGCCTCAATCTGTTCATCTGTGTAAAAATAATGATACTGTTATATTTACCTAGTGTTTTCCATGAGTCATCAGTGCTTTACATATAAACTCATTTAATCTTCACACTAATTTTATAGGACTGGTATAACATTACTCTCATTTTCAGGTAAGGAAACTGAGGTACTTGCCCAAGTATCATAGCAAGTAAGCAACAGAGCCAGGATATGAATGCAGGTGGTCTGTGCTCACAGCCACAATACTCCACTGCCTCACAGAATGGAGCAGAAACCGTGCCTGCCTTCTCTGGGTGCTGCAAGGATCAGTTACAATGCCAAGGCCCTCGGCACAGCACCTGGGCACAGCATACTCCACTAAGTGTTCGCAGGTGCTCCGCCTGCCCCGGGCTTCCCATTCATCGTCTTCCCTGCATCGGGAGACAGCGCTGTCATCCTGCTGCTGGCTCATATCAGAAACCAAGTCCTCTCAAGTCTCCTTTCCTCCCCACCCAAATCTATTCAACAGGATTTCTGGCGATGACATCTCTGACTCACCTCCTTTCCCCCTCCCCGTTCACCTCTGGCTGTCATCTGACTGTCTGTAATGGTCTCCAGCTGCCCTCTCTCCCCGCATGTCACCCCCATCCTTTCTCCAAACAGCTACCAGGGCCACCCTTTGAAAAGGCAAACCATTAAATGCCATTCCTCTGTGTAAGAGCCTCCAACCGCCAGCCCCATGGCACTGAGCCTCAAAACACCTACCTGCCTCTTGGACTTTCCCCACCACGCTTCAGCCACAGGGCCTTTGCCCATCACCTCAAACACACACAGCCCCCCTTGCCTAGGGCAGGAAGATCAATGGCCCCCAAATGTTCTAATCCTCAGAGCCTGTGAATGTTGGGTTACAAGGTAAGATGGAATTAAGGTTTCAGATGGAATTACAGTTGCTAATCAGCTGACTTGGGGAGAGGGAGATTAGCCTGATTATCGGGGTGGGCCCAGTACAATCAGAAGGGTCCTTATAAGTAGGACAGAGAGGCAGGAGAATCAGTGTCCAAGTGATGAGATGTGAAAAAGACTCCACCACTGCTGGCTTTGAAGATGGAGGAAGGTGGCCATGAGCCAAGGAATGCAGAGATGCAGGTGGCCTCTCGAAGGGATTCTCCCTGTGATGGTTCATGGTAGATGTCAACTTGACTGCACTAAGGGATGCCCAGATAGCTGGGAAAGTATTCTTTTCAGGATACTGGAAAGGGTATGTCTGCAAGGGTGTTTCTGGAAGAGACTAACATTTGAGTTGGTGGGTTGAGTTAGGAAGGCCCGCCCTCGCCCAATGTAGGTAAGCACCATCCCATCAGCTGAAGGCCTGCATAGAAAAGGTAGAGGAAAGGGCAAATTATCTCTCTCTCTCTCTCTTCTGGAGCTAGGGCACCTTCCTCTCCTGCCCTTGGAATCAGAACAACAAGTTCTCTGGCCTTTGGACTCTGGGACTTGTACCAACTGCCCCTCCACCCCCAGGTTCTGAGGCTTTCAGCCTTGAGCTGAGAGTTAGGCTGCTGGCTTCCCTGGTTCCCAGGCCGTTGGGCTTGGACTGAGCCATGCTACTGGCTTCTCTGCTTCTCCAGTTTACAGATGGCCTGTTGTGGAACTTCCCAGCCTCCATAATCATGTGAGCCAATTCCCCTAATAAGTCCCACCTCTACCATCTCCTACTGGTTCTTTTTCTCTGGAGAATCCTAATTAATGCACTCCCCTAGAACCTCCAGAAAGGAATGCAGCATGGCCTGGCCAACACCTGCATTTTAGCCCAGTGAGACCTGTTTCAGACCCCTGACCTACTAAACTGTAAGAGAACGAATTTGTGTTCTAAGTCACTGAGTTTTTGTGATTTGTTACTAGAGCAAGATAAAACTAATACACTACCTCACGGCCTTCGTACATGCCAATGAATAACCAAATGAACAAACCAACCCACCAAATCTCCAGTGCATTTTCCATTCCACCACAGCACATTCCTACATGAGGCGTTCTGATGTTCTGGGGCACAGGCAACAGCATTCTGAATTCACTATCCTCCTACGGCCCCCTATTGTCCATCAGTGACAATACCTAACACCTCTACGGGATAATCATTTATTTCATGTCTGTCTCCTTTGCCCTTGAATGCTGGAACCTATTCCCCTCTGTATCCCCAACCCCTAGCACAGAGCTTGGCCATAAAGAGGGAGTCAACATAGCACATCAATACAACAATGGCTCATGCATTACCTCTATTATCCAGTAGTGGACATCCACTGAGCACTTACTGTGTGCCACCCACTGGGTTAGGCCCTTCACGAGCATTTAATCCTATGCCAGCCCGTATCCTTATTTTACAACATGAAGCAATGAGTCCTGGAGGGTGAAATAACTTGCCCAAGGACATGGAACAAACAGCAGCAGCGACCAGGTGTTGTGGCTCAAGCCTGTAATCCCAGCACTTCTGGAGGCCGAGGCAGGTGGATCGCTTGACCCCAGGAGTTTGAGACCAGCATGGGCAACATGGTGAAACTCCATCTCTACTGAAAATACAAAAAAATTAACTGGGCATGGTGGCACGCACCTGTGGTCCCAGCTACTTGGGAGGTTTAGGTGAGGGGAATGCTTGAGCCCAGGAAGTGGTGGTTGCAGCGAGCCAAGATCACGCCACTGCACTCCAGCCTGGGTGACAGAGTAAGACCCCATCTCAAAAAAAGTAGTGGCAGAGGCAGGCAATGGATGCAAGAGGCTAAATCAGAGCTGCAGTCTTAACCATGACAACAAATTACTTCTTACCCAACCACCCTCAGAGGTAAGACCAGTCTCTCTCCTTTTGCCAACATTTGGGCTCTGTAGCTGGCAGGTGGCAGAGCCAGTGTTTGAAGCTGGGGTCTGGCTGATTCAGAAAGCTTTGTCTCTTCCATCTCACCAGGCTGCTCTACTGTCTAATGAATGAACCAACACGACATAGACCCAGCACCTCTGGACAGCATGTGGCACACACAGCATCAAACGAAGGCCGGCTGCTGCCCTGTGCCTGGCTCAAGTGGCCCATCCTTATGTCTGCTTCTCTTTGAAAATGAGAAATGTCCAAATTCCCACCCCCTGAAGGCTCAGTCTGCTAGAAGGAATGGATGACCTGCTTTAAAGCTGCCCCAGCAGAGCCTGGAGCCTTTGGAAACATGAAAGAGGCGGAACCAGTTCTTTTACCCAAACTTTAACAATTTTTTTTTAAAGAAACAGGTTTAAGTGAAAACAAAGAAAATACCAATGCAAGTGGCAGAGAGATCCTGCAAGGCACATGGAACGCAGGAATCTCCAAGTGCTGGTTTCCCAGGGAGGTGATACTATTTGAAATCTGGAAGTTCAGCCTTGATAATCTCCATCTAAAGACTGCTTAGTGGCGTCTCTGCATCCACAAGGGGATTTGGGTGATGGGTTTCAGAGCCTTTGGGGCTTACAGGGAGGCCCTGGGCCAAGCACAAGAACAAAGGCTCCAGGAGGGCAGGAGTCTTGTTTTCCAGGCAGTGTTGTCATTTCTGGAGAAACCAGCTGTGGGCATAGACTGCTTTGGAAATCCATTTAGAATCATGTGAAACCATCTACATTTTCTGGTAGTTCTACATTTTCTGGTAGTTCTTGGAACCGAAAGAGGATCAGCAACATTCTCCTGACAGATTCCTTTCCTGGACTCAAGAAGGGGGCCTGAGAACTACCAACATTCATGGGTAGTAAAGGGCCTTGTTTCTTGTCCTGTGAAAGGATTTCAGTTAAGAACTGGAGAATAAGCCAGTATTTATTTGTATCTGTGTATTTTTAGAGACAGAGTCTTGCTCTGTCATCCAGACAGGAGTGCAGTACAGTGGTATGATAGTAGCTCACTGCAGCCTCAAACTCCTAGGCTTAAGTGATCCTCTCACCTCAGCCTCCCTAGTAGCTGGGACTTCCAAGTAGCAGGTGTGTGCCACCACACTTGGCTGATTTTTACAATTTTTTTTTAAAAAAGATAGGGTCTCGATACGTTGCCCAAGCTGGTCTTGAACTCTTGGCTTCAAGTGATCCTCCTGCCTCGACCTCCCAAAGTGCTATGGTTAAAAGCACAAGCCAGTGTGCCCGATGGTGCCAGTATTTATTGAGCACCTCCATGTACCAGCCCTTTTGCCAGATGTGATCACATATTTTATCTCATTTAATCTTCCATTGCTACTCCCAGAAGCAAGTATTGAGCCCATTTTATAGATAAGAAAACTGAGGTTCAGAGCGGTTCAGTAACAATTCCAAGGACACACAGCTAACTGTGTGCCCAAGAACTGAATACACCTTCTCTAGGTCTGCTGCTCTGATTTCTAACAAGAGACCAGAATTTTCTCATTCCTATGCTGCCTCCAGATCTGGGACTTCCTGCTGGGGCCTGTAAACCAGCTACAGGAAACGGCAGCTCCCGTCAGTGGGCAAAACAGACCTTGCCATACGCAGGGCACAAATGAACCCACGGCCCATGACAGGTGTTTCAAAATCTTCACAAAATTCCTCTCTTCCCTGCACTTGCTTTTGAGGTACAACTATGGGTGATGGTGGCTCACCCGGACTCTTTCAAAATTTCAGAGACAGGCCCTTTCAGTTTCTCCCCATAAAAGAAAGGCCTAGCTGAGATTTCTGTCGCTGATGGCTGTATGCTTTGTATAAAGGAGGAAACCATCAGGTTTTCTCAATTCTGAGCACAGCAGCTGAAAAGTAGAAGGCTTGGGCAGGGTGCGGTGGCTCACGCCTGTAATCCCAGCACTTTGGGAGGCCGAGGCGGGTGGATCACGAGGTCAGGAGATGGAGACCATCCTGGCTAACATGGTGAAACCCCGTCTCTACTAAAAATACAAAAAAAAATTAGCTGGGCATCATGGCGGGCGTCTGTAGTCCCAGCTACTCGGGAGGCTGAGGCAGGAGAATGACGTGAACCCAGGAGGCGGAGGTTGCAGTGAGCCGAGATCGTGCCACTGCACTCCAGCCTGGGTGACTGAGCAAGACTCCGTCTCAAAAAAAAAAAAAAGAAAGAAAGAAAAGTAGAAGGCTTGGATTCAAACCCAGGTCTGTCCGATTCCAATCTCTGCATGTTAACCGTTCTTTTCTCTACCTCTCCCCACCTGACATCCATTCAGAAAATATTTACTGAGCATCTACTATGTACCCCATGTTCTAGTACATATGGGAGTAAACAAGATAGGAATGGCGGCTGCCTTCATGGCCTCTACATCCTAGTGTGGGGAGGCAGCCAGCAGCCAGCAGGAGAATTCTGAATGGTGACAAGCACCGTGAAGGAAAGTCAAGCAAGGTAAGGGGGTGGGGGATAACTGAGTGGGTGGGGTGGCCAAGGAAGGCCTCCCAGATGACAGCTGAGCTGAGAACTTAATAAATATCTGAAAAAAATGCACCTCGTTTCCCATTTATAGCCTGAGAAATGCATTCGGCTTTTCTTTGTTCCTCCAAGCCCCCATGAGAAGAGATTCCAAAGTACATATTTTCTTTTCTTGGCTAGAAAAGCTTGTAAAACCCACTGATAAGGTTACCAGTTCACCCCAGGAGAGAGAATTCCAAAGCAGTAAACAGACCGGCCTAGCCTTACAAATGCCACATAAAATAACTGAGGTCCTGGAGTCATTCTTCCCATGAAGCCAAGTAGCTGCCACCCCATAAGCACTCCTTGAGTTTGCATTAATCAGGCAGCTCAGTGTGGGTTTTCTTTTCATTTTTCCAGGTCTGTGATGATGGGTGATGTGTGGTGGCACTTCTGGGTTCATAATAGGGGCTGGTGGTGTTTTCTCACTCCTACAAGACTGAATTTCAGAGGCCACTTAGGATATTGTCTTTGACACTGCTGAGCTAAAGCGCTGTGTTCTTGAAAGGATTATTGCAGCTGTATTATAAAAGATAACCTAATCACACAGGAGAGAGAAAAGATCGAGCAATTTGATTTCAAAACCCTGAAATAGAATGCCGAAGAACAATTAACTATGAAAATCAAAAGGCTGTAATCGTGATGAACTAATGGGGACAGAGAGAAAACTCAGATCTTCAAGTTTCATTGTTTCTTTTTCTTTGAATTGCTTTTTTTTTTTTTTTTTTTTGAGATGGAGTCTCACTCCATCGCCCAGGGTGGAGTGCAGTGGCCCCATCTTGGTTCACTGTAACTTCCAGCCTTCTGGGATCAAGCGATTATCCTGCCTCAGCCTCCCAAGTAGCTGGGATTACAGGCACCTGCCACCACGCCTGGCTAATTTTTGTATTTTTAGTAGAGACCGGGCTTCACCATGTTGGCCAGGCTGGTCTCAAACTCCTGACCTCAAGTGATCCGCCCGCCTCAGCCTCCCAAAGGGCTGGGATTACAGGTGTGAGCCACCACTCCCAGCCTCTTTGAATTGTTTAAATGGCCAAAATTAAAGCTCACACAGGCCTTCAACTGGTGGGATTTTGAGCTCTCTCCTCCTACCTCCCTCCCATCCTCACATCCTCCTCCCCAAGAACTGAATACACCTTCTCTAGGTCTGCTGCTCTGACTTCTAACAGGAGACCAGGATTTTCTCTTTCCTATGCTGCCTCCAGAACTGGGACTTCCTGCTGGGGCCTGTAAACCAGCTATAGGAAACAGCAGCCTCCTGCCAGTGGGCAAAACAGACCCTGCCATAGGCAGGGCACAAATGAACCCACGGCCCATGACAGGTGTTTCAAAACCTTCACAGAATTCCTCTTCCCTGCACTTGCTTTTGAGGCACAACTATGGGTGATGGTGGCTCACCGGGACTCTTTCAAAATCTCAGAGACAGGCCCTTTTAGAATATCCCCATAAAAGAAAGGCCTGGCTGAGATTTCTGTCGCTGACAGCCGTATGTTTTGTATAAAGGAGGAAACCATCAGGTTTTCTCAATTCTGAGCACAGCAGCTGAAAAGAATCTATTACATAAAACGATGTCGGCTCAGCTGCCAGTGGTGGGGGGAGTGGGGTCCTTTCCAGCTGCTGTTAATTAAACACCAAGTCTGCCTTTTCTAAGGAGGATGGCTTCTACTCAACCTGCTGCCCTGAGAAGCTGCTCTTTTTGTCTTTCTAAGCAAGAGGAAGAAATTCCTCTCCCTTTCACTATGGACTTGGTGTTCCGTTTGTGAACCTGAGAAAGATGTGTGCTACCGTTTGCTCTCAGATTTGACTCCAGGTCTAGCTGGGACCACTTAAGAGGAGTAAAAAGATGAGGCTCATTAGCTGGAATTCAACAGCCCCCCTCCTGGATGTGAAGTCACTAAGTGAAAAATGGGGTTGGGGATGAAAACGACGCAAAAAGACAGAGAACCGAAATGCAAAAATGTTTCCTGGGTGGATAGCTATGGCTATTTAAACCGTTAAAAGTCTAAACCCTCCTGAGGTCAGGGGAAGAGCCAGAAGAAATCAGAGGCATAATTCCTCCTTCCTATGAACCCAGTAAAATTTTAAAATGCAAAGCATCTCTAAACAGCTATTTGATTAGAGGGTTTTTTTTTCTTCCAACTAGGCTATGATAATTAGCAAATGCCTGAGAGATGAGATTTAAATATGCCAATCAGTCCATCTCAAGAGTTTAGCATGAACAATGTGGAATGTAATTATCTTTAAGCGATAGCCACTTTTGTGGAGTTACAGCCATAACTTGAGATCTGAAACCCAGTAGATGACCTCTCCCCATGGCTGGAGCAGCTGCTTTCCTGCAAAAAAAAAAAAAAAAAAAAAAGCCAATGCCAAGTATTACCTGAAAATTCCACTAGTGTGACCTTTCAAGAGAATGATTTTGAGTACTTCTGGTGATAACTCTGACACCATTTCTTCTACTAATGGGCCATTTTCAAAATCAGCAGGATGATGGAAATAACCTGACTTCACAGAGGGGCCAAACAGACTCCACCTGCAATATCTAATGCCCTGTTTTCTCCATCAGTGATCTTCTTAGGTGGGAAATCATCAAAAACCTAAAGACTCCCAACTTCTCATGTCTCGTGTGGTCCACAGCGGTGTGCAAAATGGGTCTCGAGGCAGAGATTGGTCTGTAATGGGACACAGCGTTATCCAAAGATGATGGCAGAATGCAGCTAACTATTTGGAAGCGTTTTTCCGTCTTGCTACTGGGGAATATTGCATCGTGTAAGAACTATTCTGGTTAAAATTAAGTCTTTTTGAAGATGTAGGCTGTTATCACACCGAGTCCATTTTTCACCCCATAGATTGGGCACTCTCAATTCTTAAAATAGCTTTTTATAATATTGTGATGGCAAATGGCTGAGAGGAAGGTATCAATTCAACAGCCCGTAACTACAGAGACATGTGTACGTGTGTCTCAGGCACAAAGGGACGTTACCAGGCAACATTGCAGAAACGAGTAACATTGATAGTCCATTCCATAGTAATAGCCTCTATAATTAAAGATTACTGCAAATACAATAGATCGTAACACAAATGGAAATAATGAAGAGACACAACCATCTCTCTGCCTCTTTGTCAGAAACCGTTTCTACACAGGCCGTGCACCTTTGTGGGAATGGAGGGGCCTATAATTAACCACCTGCTAGCGTCAGTGGCCATAACTCTTAACCAGGCTAGCACTTTCTTGACTAAGTTCTCACAAGTGATAATTAAAGCCGCCAGCCTTGCTTGTGAGGTCTGCTCTCAACTGAGCAGTATATATATTTGTTGGCATGTCTAACAGTGACGGATCCTCCAAGTAGCAATGGCTGGAGACTGGGCCACCAGCATGTCCAATCGTGAGATAATTGCCTCCTTATATGAGTGCCTTGAGTCACAGCCCCCGCCCAGCGAGTCTTCCCCTTTTCTTTTAATCGAACAATGCTTTGCAATTTCAGCTCCATCTATCAGATGCTTCCATTGTCTGCTAATAGAGTTTACAGAATCCTATTTCCCACTCTGTAGCCAAGGCCAAGAAATCTTCCGTCATTCCTGTATGTCCGAGAACATTTCAGATGCACTGTAAACTCAACTTGAACTCTGTCCACCATTGGCTGCCGAGCTGTAAAAGTGCCAGCCAGGGCTTTAATTCATAATTAGATGTTGGCTAGACAAATTATCTGTCTACAGTACCTTTGCCTACCACTATTATATGGCAGAATAATGTTCAACGTGGGGATACATGGAAAGTGAGCACTCTCCTGGGAGGAAATGTTTTGCAAAATCTATTTCCTTGACAACTGTTTTCCAAGCAAATTCTAGTACTGTAAGGTTTTCTCCCCCATGGTTTTGAACTATTGTGGTGTCTAAAAATCAGCATTGCCAAATGCCTCATATGAAAAATAGGGATTAAAATTAAAAAAAAAAAAACTAGTAGGGTTGAACATTTTAAAAGCCAGGATTGACTACTTTTTGGGGTGGTAATGAGCAGCATGGGGTGCCACTAACGCTCAGGTCCCCCAACACAGGCGACCACAGAGCGTGTGGAGGGCAGATGGGCTGCCATACTGGGCCCCTCTACCCAGAATAACCTAGTCTCTATGGGGAATGCAGCCTAGTCCCTGATCATCCCCCTTCTGGGGAGGCTTAAAGAAGCACCAAGAAGAACCCTACCACAAGAAGAACCCTACCAGCCTCAGGAAGAACTAAGTCATGTTTCTTTAAATTCATATAACCCCTGGTTTTGTGAGACAGGCCCAATTTCAAATATTCTGTCCCATTATCAGACAATGTGTCAGACACCATGTTCTAACTTTTTATTTGGAAAGTGATCTTATGGACTTGGTGGGCCTCCTGGGTATGGGGAGAACCCGCAGGGCCAGGACAGAGCAGTGATATAGAGTGCTACCACTCTGCTCAAGTGGCCCTCTCCCTCGCGACTTCAATGGAATTGTCAGCTCAGCTCTATGTAGGCCATGGCAAACCCAGACACTTTTTTACATACCCATCTCCCCATTCGTCCCACTGTGCCCTCGACACAGTAATCCCCGATGCAGTAATCCCCCCATATCTGCAGTTTCACTTTCCGCAGTTTCAGTTACCCACAGCCAACTGAGGCCCAAAAATAGGTACGTACAGTACAACGAAGTATTTTGGGAGCAAGAGAGACCACATTCACATAATTTTTATTACAGTAGATTAATTGTTCTAAATATGTTGTTAATCTGTTACTGTGCCTAATTTGTAGATTAAACCTTATGGCAACATATGTATAGGAAGAACATAGTATATATAAGGTTCAGTACTATCCGAAGTTTCAGGCATCCACTGGGGGTCTTGGAACATATCTCCTGCAGGTAAGGGGGAATTACTGTATTACACAATAAGTGCTCCCATATGCTAAGAACTGTGCTAGATATTGGGGCTATAGAGGAATAGGAGGTGTGTCTGCTATGGAGATCATATTATTTATTTATTTATTTTAAATATACGTATTTTATATATATTTAAAATAATATATAAATAAAATATATATACATGTATTTAAAATAAATAATATAAATAAATAAATAAAATATATATATGTATAATTTTTTTTTTGAGATGGAGTCTCACTCTATTGACCAGGCTGGAGTGCAGTGGCATGATCTCGGCTCACTGCAACCTCTGCCTCCCAGGTTCAAGCAATTCTTCTGCCTCAGCCTCCCAGGTTCAAGCAATTCTTCTGCCTCAGCCTCCTGAGGAGCTGGGACTACAGGTGCCTGCCATCACACCCAGCTAATTTTTGTATTTTTAGTAAGACGGGGTTTCACCATATTGGTCAGGCTTATCTCGAACTCCTAACCTCGTGATCCTCCCGCCTTGGCCTCCCAAAGTGCTGGGATTACAGGCGTGAGCCACCGTGCCCGGCCTAAATATATTTTTTAATAGAGAGGATCTTACTGTGTTGGCCAGGCTGGTCTTGAACTTGGGCTCAAGCAATCCTCCTGCCTCAGCCTCCCAAAGTGCTAGGATTACAGGTGTGAGCCACCATGCCCAGATGGGATCACATTTTTTAAAGCAGAGTTCTTGATTTGGAGTTTACGGATGGGCTTTAGGGAACCGTGTTTGTGTGTGTGTGCGCATGTGTGCACGCCATGAGCATTATTCTGGGGAGGAACGTTTATAGTTTTTATCAGGTTAGCAAGGAGTCTGTGACACGAGAAAATGTTAAGAATCATGTATAAGCTGTAATACAAACTGCTGTGCTCTGTTCTAGAGGTCTCTCCACAGAGGAATATGACTACACAATGGAGGTGTTGTCTAGCCGCACCTTGACAAATGCTGAGGAGTCTGGATTCACTTGCCTGATGTCAAAGAATGAAGGCTCGTTCTCCAGAACACCCCTGAGGCTTCTCACACCATCTCCCTCCTCCACTCTCAGTCCTCCCTGCATTTGCTTATTCAACAAGGTTTTCCTGAGCATTTCCTCATGCCAGGCTCAGTGAACAGGACAGACATGGGTCCCTGCCTCCTGGAGCTGACATTCTTGTGAGAGAGATAGACATCAATCAAACACAAAAACAGATGCAGAATTATAAACTGAGGTCAATTATAAGTGAGGGGACAACAGAGAGAGAGGAGGCTGACTACCTGCAAGGGCCTGATGACTCCAGAGAGATGGGGAAGGTTTCCAGAGCATTCTGACCACTGTTCGCTGGCCAGCAATCTGGATTATAAATTGCCCCCAAGTTAAAAAAATTCCTCAAGGGGAGAGACCGTAGATCATTTGGCTTTACAGTTTATAGAGCTTATAGCACCTGATGTGGGGTAGGACTTGTATTTGCAAAACAAATAGATGAGGGAATGAGCAGGCTATCCTGTGATATTTCTTTCATTACATATTTTTAACTCCTTGCAGGTGCAAAGGTTTCATCTTAGATCTCCCTTCAACCCCACACACAGCACTGAGAACAATTAGCAAATCATTACATTGGGAGGAGACATCCCATTTTCACGAACTCTAATAAAACTGTGGCTCTGCTTCCTGCTTCCTGCCTGTCTTCCACAAAGCCAGGCCTCAGTCTCGAGTTCCCAGCTATGCACACATCTCTGCTCAGACCCTGTGCTCAAGCTAAGCCTTGTCTCCTTTGGTGTGAGGTTGAAAGATCCTGCCACAATGGAGGCAGAACTCACCCTCGGTGGGGGAGAGCAAGACACAGAGGGGGACATTTGTGCTCTGGGGAAAAGAGGGAAGAGTTTGAAACTGCATACCATGCCGTTAACATATTTATTTTGCTTATTGTTCCTCTAACTCCACTAGAACAGAATTTGTATTTTGGGTCTGTCTTGTTCATTGCTGTGTCCCTGGTGCCTGGCACATAGTCCACACTGGATACTTATTTGTTAAATAAATGAGTCAGTGAATGAAATGGGACTCGGGCAAGACAGTAAAAGGAAATAGCCAGGAGCAAAGGCATAGAGGTGATGAAATACATGGGCCACGCAGCACAGCTGCATCCAGCAGTGTGCGGTTTAACAACTAACCCTCTGCATGTAGCTCCAACATGGGCGATGGTTGATATTTTCATGTACCTTAACAAATAAAACTGAAATTAAAAAAAAAAACAGAATTTCATGTGTTTATCAATGATGTGAGCCACTTCTTTGCTGAATTGGATGGTAAGTTTTGAATACTGTCATTTACAATGACACACTTTTGGCCAGGCATGGTGGCTCACACCTGTAATGCCAGCACTTTGGGAGGCTGAGGCAGGAGGATCACTTGAGCCCAGAAGTTTGAGACCAGCCTGGGCAACATGGTGAAACCCCATCTCTACAAAAAATAAAAAAATTAGCTGGGCATGGTTGCATGCACCTGTGGTCCCAGCTACTTGGGAGGCTGAGGTGGGAGGACCCCTTGAGCCCAGGAGTTCGAATCTGCAGTGAGCCATGACTGCACCACAGCACTCCAGCCTGGGTGATAGAGTAAGAGTCTGTCTCAAAAATGGAGTTTCAGGCCGGGCATGGTGACTCACACCTGTAATCCCAGCACTTTTGGGAGGCCGAGGCGGGCGGATCACGAGGTCAGGAGATCAAGACCATCCTGGGCTAATGCGGTGAAACCCCGTCTCTACTAAAAATACAAAAAATTAGCCAGGCATGGTGGCAGACACCTGTAGTCCCAGCTATTCGGGAGGCTGAGGCAGGAGAATGGTGTGAACCTGGGAGGCGGAGCTTGCAGTGAGCCGAGATGGCACCACTGCACTCCAGCCTAGGCGACACTCAAAAAAAAAAAAAAAAAAAAAAAAAAAAGGAATTTCACTCTTGTTGCCCAAGCTAGAGTGCAATGGCGCGATCTCAGCTCACCGCAACCTCTGTCTCCCAAGTTCAAGTGATTCTCCTGCTTCAGCCTCACGAGTAGCTGAGATTACAGGCATGTGCCACCACGCCCAGCTAATTTTGTATTTTTAGTAGAGACGGGGTTTCTCCATGTTGGTCAGGCTGGTCTCAAACTCCTGACCTCAGGTGATCCGCCCACCTTGGCCTCCCAAAGTGCTGGGACTACAGGCGTGAACCACCACACTGGGCCATATATAAACACTTAAGTTTAATCTGATTAGCATTCTCTCTATCACTTTCCTAAGTCTAGGCAATTATCAAAACAATAAATCAAACCCAAGTTTATAGTGTTTGCCAATTTCTGTGGCAAACAGAAATATTCCCACCAGGGCTGATTTAGAGCTACCAACATGATGTCACTGAACATGGATTTGGTGTGGGCTGCGACATATCATTATACATAGATACAACAGGTGAAATAGATAAATAATACAGTAAAACAATCAGGAAGGGATGAGTTTTGAGTATTGGCTACCCTTGTTTTTAATTTATTTAACTATAATTTTATATAATTTGTTTTTAAAGAATGGCTATTATTAACCATTGGCACACAACATTTCTGAAAATTTAACAACTGGCTCTCAGGAGTCATCCCTGAGTGCATCCTACAGGCAGACCAAGCCTTGCTTTGGGCACTGGCAAAGCTGGAGTCCAGGAGATTCTGCTTCAATGGACTCACCTGGGACTGCACAATTAGAAATGCTAGAAAGAAGCTACATCAATGTTTGTACAACATGTAACTTTTATCACTAAAAAAGAAAGATTTCTTTTGAATTATATTTTAGGCTCCATAATCTCCCCCAGGTTTAGGGATTCTAAAAGTCATGTTCTGGCCACATCCCAGGCCTGCTCAGTTCCTGGAGGGAAGAGCTTGAGAAAGAGGTAGCCAGCACTGTGCTTTTTACATAAGGAAGTATGTAATGTAGGAAACTGCAGTCTGAGGACCAAAGCAGCAGCTCCCTGGAGGTCATCCAGGTGAGACGTATTTCTAGGTCTGACGTAAGGGTCGGGGGCAGAGCCAAGGCTGCTACAGAAATAGAACTGTAAGCCCCAGGGAGTGTGGGGAGATAACCCTGGAGACAAGCCACCTAGAACCAAACAGCCTTGACTCTGAAGGCTTCCCAGGATGCTGGCTCAGCAACAGGACAAACCAATCCCCAACCCGAGTCACATCCAAGTCCCAGCTGGGTACAGCTGGGCTTAGATCAGGGAACATCCGAGGCAGGCGGGTGCCTTCGCAGCTCCAGTCCTTCCTCAGCCTTGCAACAGCCTCCTGCTCTTCCCAGTGCATCCCCTCTGGGCAGCAGGCTCAGGCACGACGCAGGGGTGTCTGGCAGGGCCAGGGCCACTGATGCTGCTGCTGGCCAGGACTGAAAAATGCAGACTGCAGGCAACATAAGCAAGCAGGACAACCCCGCTCAGATTGTGTGTGTGTGTAAAGTTTGATGGAACTGCACGGGCTGGGGGCGTCTGGGGAAGTATCTATAAGTGGCAATCGGCTGAGCAGCTGGGAGGAACTTCAGAGAAGAGACAGAATATTAAGAGGTGAGTTTGGGGCTGGGCGCAGTGGTTCACGCCTATAATCCCAACACTTTGGGAGGCTGAGGAGGGCAGATCACTTGACCTCATGAATTCAAGACGAGCCTGGGCAACATGGTGAAACCCTTGTCTCTACATAAAACACAAAAAAAATTAGTCAGGTATGGTGGCATGCGCCTGTAGTCCCAGCTACAGGGGAGGCTGAGGTGGCAGGATGGTTTGAGCCTGGGAGGCAGAGGTTGCAGTGAGCTGAGATGGTGCCACTGTATTCTAGCCTAGGCGAGAGAGCCAGACCGCGTTTAAAAAAAAAGAAGCAGCAGCAAGTTTGGATGTGTCTCCTTACTAGGCTCATTCCAAGCCTGGGGCCACCTGCCTTCACTCCCCATGAAGCCTCGAGTCCCCTCCCACTCATGCTAGCCCTTAGGGTCTATGGTTTGGGATAACCAAGGGCTTCACTCTAGATTCATAGCCTGGCTCCAGGTTCACAACCTGACACTGCCACTTTCAAGCTGTGTAACTCTGGGCACGCTGTTTAACACCTCTGAGCCTCAGCTTGCTCACCACTGTGAAGGTGAACAGTTTATGGGAAAGGCCCACCCTCTGCAGCAGTCACTGAGTTTTGATTTTGAATTTCTAATATCTACTAGGCCACCCTGCACAGGACCAGGGGCTCCCAGAGAGCAGGAAAGGTGGTCTCATCTTCAGACAGGTCAAGGCCAGGGGGCAGGGCAGCAGGCAAGGAGATGGTGTAGAGCACCACAGGGCCTTGGCTGGAAATGCTGAGGTTGGTGAGCCCTGAAAGTGAGCAGTGGTCCGGCTGGTGGGTCACGCTGTGTGTGTGTCCATCCACTTCCTTCCATCCACACACAGGCTCAGCCTGGGGTTCATATCCCTGGGGCCTCAATGCAGAGCAAGCAACTCACTAAGAGTTACATGGGTGTTTTCATTCTAGTGAGGATGATATATACAAGGCGCTGGTAGCCAGTAATAACTTACTGAGGCCAAAGCCCCCATGGGTAACAGGGCATGACAAAAGGTTCCCATGTTCCCAGGGCCTGTCATCTTGTTTGTCTATGGCTCCGGCTGTATCAATCTCCTTTTTGTGTGTTTGTCAAAGGGCAGCCCCCAAACCCCCAAATGGGACATAAATAGAACTGAAGTACAACAAGCTACTATATTCTCAGCACAGGGAGTGTGAAGCCCTTAGTCTTAAAGTGACAAATGGGTAGGAAATTATTTCTTGCTAAAGAATAATGAGGAGCATAAATTGCTTCTGTGTGCGGATGATTCACTAGAAGGTAGGCACCTCCGGCTGCAAGAGGAAGGCACCACCACTTCAAGCCTCAGGGCCACGCTTCATGGCTTTCCCCCTACATCAAGCACCACCACCCAGCTGCATCCTGGCCAGGCTGGCCTGATAACCCTTGCCCTTCCTTCTCCCCAGCCTCTGGGGAAGAGGCACTGAGAAAGGCGTGGGGAAGGGCAGTCTGCTCAGTCTGAAAGCTCCTTTACTCCTAGAAAAGGGTTTTCAGGACCCAGAACTGTGCCCTGGGTAATGGTAAGCATGGCTGTGGCAGGCTCTCCTTAGAAGGCTGAGGGCCCCAGGCAGGAGACCTTTCCCCTGCTTGGTTAAGACCCAAGGTTGGGGCTGGGCGCGGTGGCTCACGCCTGTAATCCCAGCACTTTGGGAGGCCAAGGAGGGTGGATCATGAGGTCAGGAGATCGAGACCATCCTGGCTAACACGGTGAAACCCCGTCTCTACGAAAAATACAAAAAATTAGCCGGACATGGTGGCGGGTGCCTGTAGTCCCAGCTACTCGGGAGGCTGAGGCGGGAGAACGGTGTGAACCCAGGAGGCGGAGCTTGAAGTGAGTCAAGATCGCGCCACTGCACTCCAGCCTGGGTGACAGAGCAAGATTCCATCTCAAAAAAAAAAAAAAAGACGCAAGGTTGGTCTATCTTTCCATCTCTCTCTCCATCTCTCTCCCCTCCTTGGCTACTCCCTGAATAGCAAACCTGAACAGCTAGCAAGATGCCAGCTTGGGCAGGACCCAACATGTGTCTTCTCCTTTAATTTTACTTCTAACAGCACTTTCAAGTGAACCACTGCAATTAAGCAGGCTTAAGCACAGCCTGACATACAGCAGAAAGACACACACAGAAGATTAACCACAGAAGGTAGAGACCCCGGAAGGAATTCAACACTCAGGCTTATTTATCCAAACATGAAGCTGACCCTGTAACATTGAAGAAAGTATTTCAGTGAACACTTGGGCAAAGCACTATCAAAGCAGGCAACTCAGCCGCCCAGTGCAGGCGCCAAATGTCTCCGTAGCCTTATTATGAAACGACGTCTTTAAAAGTACATTATAGGCCCGGCGCAGTGACTGATGCCTGTAATTTCAGCAGTTTGGGAGGCCAAGGTGGGCAGATCACTTGAGGTCAGGAGTTCGAGACCGGGCTGCCCAACATGGTAAAACCCCGTCTCTATTAAAAATAAAAAAATTAGCGGGGCATGGTGGTGCATGCCTGTAGTCCCAGCTACTTGGGAGGCTGAGGCAGGAGAATGGCTTGAACCTGGGAGGCAGAGGTTGCAGTGAGCCGAGATCATGCCACTGCACTCCAGCCTAGGCGACAGAGTGAGACTGTCTCAAAAAAAAAAAAAAAAAAAAAAGACTGATAATCCCAACCTAAGACATACATCAGCTTTGGACTGCTAGTCCATTTGGGGCCCTCCCAAAAAGAGGAGGCAGCTCCTGAGCACCCTGAATCCAGGGCCTATACTCACTCCCTCACTCACAGCTCCTGAGCACCCCCAGTCCAGGGCCTGCACTCTCTCCCCGACCCACAGCCCTGGGGGAGTTATTCCACACTGTCAGCCTCAAGGACAAGACTTTTCTTCTTTAAATCAAACTGCAACAAGAGAAATGGAGGTTTGGGGGCAAAAGTGAATTTCTCCTATTCACTCTCCTATTAACTCTCCTATTAACCCCCAGAACAAGTCCCTGAGGAAAAACTGGCATCTTTTTCCGGAGGAAAAAATGAAGAATTTCATCCAATAGACTTGCAAGTCAGTACCCCTAATTAGAGGCCGATAAGAGACACAAGGAGAGAAAGCAGGAGTTGGAGAGGATGTCGGAGGAAGAGTCTGCCTTCTAAAAAGCTAGACTCTGCCCCAGACATCAGTCATCCACTATCCCCAAGGGCCAGAGGAAAGAACCTGAGAACAGTTTTCCATTTGTGCTTGTCAAACTCAGCTCACTCCCTTGAAGCCAAGGAAAGAGATTTAAACTACAAGTGTCCACCAGTTCCCTGTAACTAAACTAGTTATTTGGTATTTTGAGAGCATCTGAGAATCACAATCACAGAGGCAAGAGGGGCTCATTTCTTCAGCTCGCCCTCACCTTGCAGAAGGGGAACTTTAACCCTGGAAGAGCAGTGTTGGACAGCAGGTTCCCTCCCTGAGATCCACGGACTCCAGGAGCTGAGTGAGAGGCTGCAGCAAGGGAGCTTGGAGATCGAGTTTTATCCCCACATTTTGTAGTTGAAACTCAGACCTGGAGAAGTTGAAAGGACTTTCCCAAGATCACACGGTAAATAAATTCCTTACTTAGTCCGGATCTCTGGGGGTGAAGGAGGCTGAAGCTCTCAATTGGAGATATGGTGTCAGCTTTGCTTTTGTTTTAAAAAAGCACAAGCACACATGATGGTTTGTTTCAAACCAATAAAGACTTGTTTTGTTTTAAGCCACTTCAATTATCAGAGGACAGCATGTGTTCCAGTGAACTCTACAGCACTTTGGAACCATGGAAAATTTACAGCCTAGGCCCGACACGGTGGCTCACGCCTGTAATCCCCACACTTTGGGAGGCCGAGGTGGGCAGATCGTGAGGTCAGGAGATCGAGACCATCCCGGCCAACATGGTGAAACCCCGTCTCTACTAAAAATACAAAAATTAGCTAGGCGTGGTGGTGTGTGCCTGTAGTCCCAGCTACTCGGGAGGCTGAGGCAGGAGAATGGCTTGAACCCAGGAGGCGGAGGTTGCAGTGAGCCAAGATCGCACCACTGCACTCCAGCCTGGTGACAGTGCAAGACTCCATCTCAAAAAAAAAAGGAAAAAAGGAAAATTTACAGCCTAAACATGAGCAGATTACGTTCCACAGCATCTGCCATAAAGTTACCCTTTCCAGTGCAGCCACACACAGATTAAAGTAAAAGCAAAGCATAAAGAAAGCACAGTTATTTGGAGAAGAGAAAAGCTGCTTCGGCAACAGCTAAGTCCTGGGACCTGGCAGGCTTGGGGGTGAGCACCCACTTGGCGTGAGACAGTTTCCTCAACTAGGGGCCTGGATCTCACTCAGCAGCTCAAAGTCAAAACTGCTTTCCTTTTGTAAAGCCTTACCCTTTGGAAGGGGTCAGATGCCTCATGGATCGGTATAACAGCCTGGGGTCCTCTAGGACCACATACACAAGACTTCAAATCTTTGATAGATCTTCATCTGGAAGGCAACCCCAGGACCGCTGTGTCTAAGAAATGAAAGCCAAGGCTCTGGTGAGGGGAAGGAATTTGTCCATAATTACACAGCACATCAGCAAGGATAAGTGACTCGGGTTGGGGGATGAAGGGATGAAGGGCCCAGGCTGACCCATATAGGTGATACTCCTTCTATAACCCTGGGAGTTCCAAAACTTGTCTCAATGTGCAACCAGGAATAGATCAGGGTTTCCCAGTCCCGGCACTGCTGACATGTTGGGCCAGATAATTATTTGCTGTGGGGTCTGTCCTGGATGCTATCCTTTGGTTATCAGCTTCCCTGGCCCCTATCCACGAGATGCCCATAGCATCCCCAGTGTGGCAGCCAAAAACGTCTCGAAAAACTGACCTTTGACTCCCCTGGGGGAGCAAAACTAGCCCAGTTGAGAACTGGAGAAGATGGATGGCAAGTTTTGAAGCGTGCTGCTCCCCGCCCCGACCTGGCCCTGCTCTGCCCTCCCAAACATGCCTGATCCCCTGCCCTCTAGGGAAGAGCTGGGCTACTCAGCAAACTTCCTGCAGAAGCCAGACTTGTGGGGAGCCAAGGCCAAACCACAGCAGCCTCGTTCTGGGGAAAGCAGCTCTTAAGACCAACGGCCTCTGTGATGTGACCCCTTGGCCCTGGACACTGATACCTACTAGGTCCGAGAACATTCAGAAAAATCAGGGAATCCGTGGAGCACCCCACTTGAGAAGCCAGAGGTCCTCCTCCAGGGTGGGATGACAAGACACCTAATTTGGCTTAGGGCCACACGAGTAGTCACAACACAACACAAAAAGATGGTTTACCATAAAGGCCCCTAATAAGGGACCAGCAGTATTGGGAAATGGTTGGGGGTTTCAACAGAGGAGGTACAGCTGTGCATGGTGGCTCACACCTGTAATCCCAGCACTCTGGGTGGCTGAGGCAGAAGGATCACTTGAGCCCAGAAGTTTGAAACCAGCCTGGGCAACTTAGTGAAACCCCACCTCTACAAAAAATTAATAAATTAGCCTGGCATGGTGGCATGTGCCTGTAGTCCTAAATACTTGAGAAGCTGAGGTGGGAGGATGGATTTGAGCCCAGGAGGTCAAGACCGCAGCGAGCTTAGATTGTGCCACTGCACTGCAGCCTGGGAAACAGTGAGACCTTGTTTCAAAAAACAAAAACAAAACAAAACAAAAAAACAGGCTGGATGTGGTGGCTCATACTGATAATCCCAGCACTTTGGGAGGTCAAGATGGGCAGATCTCTTGAACTCCAGAGGCCAGGAGTTCAAGACCAGCCTGGGCAACATGGCGAGACCTCATTTCTACAAAAAATACCAAAAAATTAGCCAGGCATGGCGGTGCATGCCTGCAGTCCCAGCTACTTTGAAGGCTGAGGTGGGAGGATCGCTTGAGCCTGGGAGGTTGAGGCTACAGTGAGCTGTGATCACAATAAAGCCGACATTGATTAAACACCTCCTACGGGCCAGGCACCCTGCTGAGCACTGCAACCCCGAGGGTGATCCCACTGTCACCCATTGTGCAGAAAAGGACATTGAGGCAGAGGTTGAGTAATTTTGCTCCGGGCCCACCACTGATCCTGCATGTCGGTGGGAGGGCACCCACGCTCTGCTTCAGGAGGAAGCAACTTCATGCCAGTGCCAAGACCCACCAAGGCAGGGGAAAAGATGACACGGCTTCAGGTAGGCAGCAGGCTCTGGTCTTTGCTAACCAGCCATGCACCAAGGGCTGCCAGCAACTCGGCCCCATGCCTGAGCGGGTGCTGGGGGCCTCCAGCCTGTGGGGTGGGAAGGGCTGGTGCCAGCTGGAACAGAACTTGAGAACACATTTGCAGAGTCTCACTTCCCGGGAGAGCGCCACTGCCACACTGAGCAGACTCCTTGGCAGTGAGTGATCCTTACAAGAGTTCCAGCGTTACTTGGAGAAGCCATTTGTTTCCCAACAGCAACCAAGAAGGCAGCAGCTGTCCTGCACAGGAGTCCCTCCTGCTTCCTGGACCTCTGGTCAGGGAGGCCTCTTCCAGGAGCTACACAGGCCTTCAGGGCCTGACATGCGGCAGCAGGAAGGCTCCTCAGCTTAGACCCCAGGACAAGAGTGTCCACACATGTCCTCAGGAAGTGCCTGGAGGCCTTGGGGTCAGACTTTTAGGAGTCAAGAGCTGCTATGAAGAGGCCAATCAGAAAGATCAAGCACTTGGCTTTGAGTGGCCATTGCTGGGCAGCAGGAGAGTTTGGGTTCCCAAACTACTCCACCATCCCTGCTCAGGCCAGTCTCTGGCCCCGGCAGGCAGGCAGGCAGCAGGGTCTTCTCTCCTCATTCACAAGCACCCATTATAGTCACGTGGGAACATGTTGCTAACACCCTACATGGAACAGGACTTAGTTGCTTTTCTAAACCTTACAACCTATCAGTCTGAGGAAACACCTGAAATCAGCCTGATATAACCCCCAATGCATAGATTTTTCCCATGGGGAACATCTTATTTTCTTTCTGACATTTAACCTCAGGTCATAGCCAGGGTGGGGATTATAACACCTTTGAACAGGCCAGAAAGACCCGCGTGTGGTTACAGAATAAGCATGTTAATTCTGAGCTCCTGCTCCGTGCAAGGGCAGAGGAAGGCAGCACTGGTCTCTCCCTGCAGACAGCATTTTCCTCTAAGAAAAGGATTTTCATCTTGGGTCACGGCCCCTCCAACAAGGGAAAGGCTGGATACTTCTTTGAGGAGACTTGGTCCACAGTGCTGGGCTGCCCCTTCCTTCCTGCCTGTCACACATGACCAGGGCAGAATGGAAACAGGAGTCCATCCCACTCATACCACTTGCAGGGCAATGAGCAGCCCAGGCGCCAGCAACAAGGCAGTGAGCTCAGGAGAGGCTTACAGGCCAGCTGAAGAGCCGTGCAAGGCCAGTGCAGGCCGGGACCAACCAGGGCCTTCCTGCCTGTCACTCAGGGAAGTCTGTCTTTCTGGCCAGCTGAGGCTGGTCACTGTCAGGAGTCTCCAACCAGGGCCAGTCTGCCCGCTTCTCCTCTGGGACAGAAGAAAGTGTGGCAGAGGATTCCCCACTGGTGCTCTAGAATTGCAGTAGCCGTCCCGGGTCCTCAGGATCTGCTGATTTCCAGAACACCTGTTCAGTTGGTGAGCGGCCCCTATTGTGAGTGTTCACCCAGTGGCAATCTCTCCTACCAAGCTTCCACTTACTCACCTTCTCCCCTTCTCCTAAGCCAACCCCCTCCAGGTCTCCTTGGAGGAGTTCTTACTTACTGAATGAATAAGTAAAAAAAAAAGTTTAAAAATAAGCCTGGATAAGAGCAATAAAGCCTCCCTTTAGCCTTTGCTATTAAAACTGATTTGAAATAGGAGAGCTAGATTTTCCAGGTGAGAATTACAGGGTTTGTGGATTAGGGAGACAACCAAGTCTCCTTTATTCTCCTTCTGTAAGGACTAAATTGATATTTACTTGCACAAGCCAAGAGTGAAAGTGGGCAGCCAGCTCTCCTAATAGCCATTTATACATCCAAGTTTGGTAGATTTATCGGTGTCTAAAACAGCAGAAAGAAAGAATGAGAACACACTATGTCAAAGCAAGTTCTCTATTATCCCAAAGAGAATTTACTATTGTTAAAAGCCCTGTCCCTTGCTGGAGAGATTTGGTTAGGCCATGGAGAGGCCACAGAGTCAAGCAGGCCATACCTGGACCTGCTCTCTCTGCGGGGGGTCGTGAGCTCCCCAAACAGGACCCCAAATAACCTCAGAACAACCTCAGAAGCAAGAGTTACGTGGAAGTAGACTGGAGCAGTGGCCACCTGCAGCAGCCTCAGAAGAGCAAACACTGGACACTGTATTTGGTAATAAAAGGCTCTGAACCCCTACGGAGTTGCTGGTACGATTTCCTCAGCTCTTGGTCAAATTTACACACATTCATTAAGGTCACAGCCCAGCCATGAGCCAGATGCCTCGATTAATCCCTTTAGAGCCAGAGAAATAAACACTGGGTAAGAAACAATGTTAAGGACCTGATTTATAAAAGCAAGAAGGACATTGTCTTTTGGCAGAAATGACCTGCTGCTTGACCCACAGTAAGTGGAGACCCACACGCCCCAGTCAGTGGTGCAGAGCTGTGGACATGGGAGTGTACAGAATTTATAGCCCCTGCTTTGAGTGTCAGAAACTGGGTCTGTGCACTGCCCCCTCCCCCAACTTTGGCAACTCAGCCAGGCCAGTGGCTAAAGGTCTTCTCGGGAGCCAGTACAACCACAGACAAGATGGAGCATCCTAGAGTTTTCAATACTAAAAGCAACAAGGCCAGGCCGGGCACGGTGGCTCACTCCTGTATCCCAGCACTTTTGGGAGGCTGAGACAGACGGATCACTTGAGGCCAGGAGTTCCAGACCAGCCTAGCCAACATGGTGAAACCCTGTCTCTATTAAAAATACAAAAATTAGCCAGGCATGGTGGCACACACCTGTAATCCCAGCTACTCGAGAAGCTGAGGCAGGGGAATTGCTTGAACCCGGGAGGGGCAGGTTGCAGGGAACTGAGATTGCGCCACTGTACTCCAGCCTGGGCGACAGAGTGAGACCCTATCTCCAAAAAAGAAAAAGGACTGCTACCCAGCCCCAAAACTGGGGAAAGGCAGCCCAGTGACCCAGTCAAAGGGTCCGCTAATATGGACAAAGGATCCCCTCAGAGACTGCTGGTAAAGTCCAGAAATATGAGGACCTCATTGCCCACAGAAAGGCTCAGTTAAGAAAGTCAAGAGGACAAGTGAAAACAAGAGTGAGGGTGAGGATCAACCTGAGCCTGAGCCGGGAAGACCAGAGGCATCCAACCAGCCTTAGGTCCCACACTGTGGACTCACACCACCACTAAGAAACATTTGGGATTTCCGACACTCAAAAAGTGACTTCGTATTGGCATGCTCTATATGCTGTCACATCATGCCCTTGTCACAAAGACAAAAGCTCTGGTGGGAAACACAAAGCCTCTTCAGAAGCCCTATTCAGCCTGCACTTGCCACAGAGAAATGGTGCCAGGAGTTCTTCTGAGTACTCATGCGTGGCAAGTGCTAGACAGTCCAGGAAGGTACCTTCTAAGCTTCTAGGTGCAAACTCAAATCAAGAAGACCTGGTGTCCTTCCTGGTACGTGCTTGACATAAGTGTTAAGAACAATGCTTGTGAAATTCCTAAGGAAATGTGAGAGACCCAGTCCTGCACACTGATTTGCCTTCCCCTGTTCAGTTGCTGACAGGAAGTAGAAGACAGGTAGTCAGGGAAGAATGACAGTTTGGGGATTAGTGTGATGACTATTAGCCAAGTTCTGCTCTGCTTTTCTTTTCAAAGAAAACTTCCCTTCTCTTTGCTCTTGGAATGCCACGTTAGAAGACATTTCCATGGCAACCACATACACATTTGGTGATGTCTCACTAAATTTGTGTGTGCACAAAGGCACATGAGGAGATTTTTTGAATGTGTAAGAGAAATAGATTTTCATAATTGAATTATGCCCTCAAGTAGAGTTTACCATTTGCTGAAAGCCAGGGCCAGAGCAGAGGATGCTAATTGTGTCTCATCAGAATTGAGGCTCCACTCAAAGATTTCTGCCAACTCCAGGTGAGGGCTTGTCTCTTGGGGAGGCTGCTGCCCAGTAAAGGGCAGGGACAGATGGGGCAGAGCCAGAGGTCAAGATGGCCTTGACAGAGCTGGGTAAAATAGATCCATTTCATATGTGACCAGAGCCTGGGGAGGAGAAAGCACCCTACATAAGAATCAGGTGTCACCCTCCTCCTCCTCCTCCAGGTTCTTGGCAACTTATGACCCCAAGACCATCATCTGCTCTAACAAAGAGAGGGTGGGAAAAGATTAGCACCAATATCAGACGGCTTCTGCAAGAAGTGCAACACAACAAAAAGAATGCTGAATCTAGAGCCAGAAGCCTCAGATGTGTGTTCTAGTTCTGGCTCTTCCTAATCATGGAACTTAAAGCCACTCCTTTTCTAAAGCTCAATCTGTCAACTGGGAATATGCTCCCTGATGAGCAGATGCTTCCAGGAGGCAGTGACTGTAGAAGCGTCACCAGGAGATGGTAGCACTGCTAAACCCTAATGCTGCTTATAAGATGGCACTGACTTGGCCCACATGCCCCAAAGGAAGCCTCTGCCAGATGCAGGCGGGGCTCCCAGAGCTTGGGCACAGCGACAAGTGCCCAGCCGACACTACTTGTGCTGATTGGGGCTGCTGTGGGCTCATGGTGGCCTGGCTCCAGGTCTTTCCAGCAAGGGGTGGGAGGATAGCCCTGCAGCACCTGCCCAGCACCCCAGAGGCTTTAACGTCAGCCTTTCTGGTCCTCTCAGACCCCTATCCTACCCTAGGTCCTAAGCCATTAGCCAGCAGCCAAGAGAGCCTGGGGACTCACAACCCACATGCATTCAACTCACACATATCCCATTCCATCTGTCTGTACCCCTCATCCCAATTTCTATTCCCCCATCGCTCTTCCCCACCCAAACCAGACCTTGGCCTTTTCTGCCCTGAAGAGAGAGAAGCTACCACTGGGAGCAAATAAAAGCAGCCAAATCTTGGCTCTTGAGCTTCCAAGGGACTGGGTCCTGGCCAGAGATTTTCGAGGGTAGTTTTGACCATGTGTGCTTGATTCAGAACCTAACCCCCAGGTAAGAATCAATCACAGTTGCCTTGGCCTCAGGAGAGGGGCATTGCTTGGAGTTAAGACGAGGTACCTCCATACTGGAGCCCAGTGAAGCACCCCCAGCGCCATCACATATCAGCCTAATCTGTGGGCTGGGCTTGGACCCACCTCTTCCTTTGGACTCGTAACCTGTCTTCCCTGGGCGAGCCCACACTCTGCCATTATCCCAGCCCTAGGGTCAAACACCTTGCACCACAGGCACCACCTGGAACAGCCCTCCCAAGCTCCCATGCAGCCTTTCACCACCCTAGTCCCCTGGCTTCCCACCACATGCTCCCAAAAAACTGGAGAGGGCTCAGCCACCCCTGAGGACCAGACCCTGGCCTACCCAGCTGCACTTGTGAATGCCACCTGACTTCCCCAGGCCCCACGTGCCCTCCCTGCTCACTCCTTATGCCACTGGTCCCAGCAACCCTCCACTGAGGGTCACTCCAGGTAATTCTGGTTTATGCTAGAGAGGGGCTGGCACTCTCAGCTTCCAAAGTCACCACCTCCCCTCATACACTGCTATTGAGAGTGTAAAGCGGTGCAGCCACTGGGAGAAACAGTCTGACCGTTCCCCACCAAGTTGAACAGAGTCACCATATGACCCAGCAATCCCACTCCCAGGTATATGCCCTAAAGAACTGAAAACATGTCCACCCAAAACCATGTACACAAATGTCCACAGCAGCATTATTTATCACAGCCCAAAGGTGGAAACAATCCAAATGTCCATCAACAGAAGAATGGAGAAAGAAAATGCGGTCTACCCATACAATGGGATTTTATCCGGCCATCAAAAGAAACTCTCGCACACACTACAACACAGTGAACTTCAAAACTGTCATAAGACCTCATATTCTATGGTTCCATTTATATAAAGAATCCAGAATAGAAAAATTCAGAGGCAGAAAGCAGATTCGTGGCTGCCAGGGACTGGGCTGGGGGTAGTGGGTCTGGAGTGACTGCCTAATGGGTATGGTTTTCCATTTGGGGAGACAGAGTTGTGAAACTAGGCAGTGGTGATGGTCACGTAACACTGTGAATGTATTATACCTAGTGCCATTGAGTTGTACATTTTAAAATGGCTAACATATATTTTTATGTTATATGTATTTTACCACAATTTTTTAAAAGCCACCACCTCCCACAGCCATCTATGCAGTTCCTCAGTGCTCCCCGCACCCTCTGCAGCCTGGAAGGCCCAGGACGATGAGGGCACCATCTCCAAGCGGCCAGGCCTGGGCCCAGCAGGGAGGCTGCACCGCACACGGGCGTGGCGTCAGAAGTCAGATGCGTTTCGGTGTAGTTGGTGAGATGGCCACAGGGTCCTCCACCACAAGCCCTGCGGGGACCAGCACGGAGGAAGGAACAGGAACTCCGGTTAGCTTTCCGCACCTATGCAAGAAGGCTAAGTGCCCAGCACTGGCTGCTGAAAACGCAGCGAACACAGAGGAGAAAGTCCCCGCACATTTCTCAGTTCTGCAACAGTGAACTGGAATAGACATGCACCGGCCCCATCTCACCTGCTACCCTGGGGGATAGGCAGACCTCAACATTCATTCTTCAAGATGCTCACACCACTGAAGAAAGCTCAGAGTGATTTGGGCAAGACAGCAAAAGCCAAGGCTACTTGTTGCCAGAGACAGGGACTGCTGTGGCATCGAGCCTTCAAGACCTCCTTAGACATGCAGCCCAGCTGAGGAGCTGTCTTCAAACCCAGGCAGGGCCAAGAAGCAGGGCGGCTCTGGTGGCAGCAGTGAGGGCTCAGATATCGGGGAAATCTGGAAGGATGGCTGGAGCCAGAATGCCACTTAGACATAAGTGGATGGCAGTTTCAGCAGGAACTTTGCCAAATGACTCTCCCTTCAATGGTCGGGGCTTGGTTTCAAGTGAATGCTACCGTTCAAGTCGAGGATTCCAGGCAGAAACTGAGAGGAACATGGTGTTATCTATTTGGCCCCTGTGTGCTTGTGGTCACTGAGTAAAGACAAAATACATCTTCACCACTCTGCAATTTCTTCCTTTCCTCGAGAGCAATGAAGATGAACTTCTTTCCTGATGAAGGAGCTAGCCTGTGAATCTTCAGTGTGTGGCCAGGCCAGAGATGCATCCTGTTTCCAGAAAGGCGATGGAGGAACCACTCTGGGCATTCTGCTGGGATAAGGAATGAGCTACAAGCCTGGGTTCCTGCAGCACAGCCCAAGAGAAGAGGCACAGGACAGTCCTCAGGTGAGCTCTTGCACTCTCAGTGGGAAGCCAGAAAGCAGACAGCTCAGAGCGCCTGGAGCTCCTTGGCAGAGGTGGAATGGTGAGCCTTGACCAACGTCAGAAGATGGGGGAGAAAGAGGCTTTCCAATCCTTGATGCCAGCAAGGGAACAAAGCCCAGGAGCCTGCAGCCAGTGAAGACGCCCTCAGCACACCAGGCGAGGGGAGAGGACAAGGGGAAACTGCAGGAAAGCCCCCCAGTGGCTGAGGCATGCTCACCAGGGTCAGCAGGCAGTCAGGTTTGGCAGAATCAGCTAGTAAAGGGAAAAGCAGGCTGGATGTGGCACTTGGTCTTTCTGCTACCTGACTCAACCTTCTCCCCCAACCTCTGGTTGTTCTTTAAAACACTGGTGTTCCCAAAGGCTCTGAGCCCTCTCCCTTTCCATCCAGGTTTTCCTCAAATGGCTCTGTGCTCAAGCCTTCAAGCCCTGACTCGCTAAACTAGGACCTCTAAATCTACATCTCTCGGCCGGGCGTGGTGGCGCATGCCTGTAATCCCAGCACTTTGGGAGGCTGAGGCAGGAGGATCGCTTTGAGCCCAAGAGTTCAAAACCAGGCTGGGTCACATGGCAAAACCCCATCTCCACAAAAACGCAAAACAATTAGCTGGGTGTTGGTGGCACGCTCCTGTAGTACCAGAGAGGCTGAGGCTGGAGAATTGCTTGAACCCGGGAGACGGACGCTACAGTGAGCCCAGATCGCACCACTGTACTCCAGCCTGGGTGACAGGGTGAGACCTTGTCTCAAAAAAAAAAAAAAAAAAAAAAAAATATATATATATATATATATATGTCTCTGGTACCATTACCCCAATCAGTCCTAAGCCCATATTTCCAACAACCCATTAGATGTGTCCACCTAGATTTCACAAGCATCTCATTTTTATCACGCCTAGCATTAAACTCCTCTCCCCCTTCCAAGATGTCTCACAGTCTCCCACTTCTTTATGTCACCTTGTGTCCCAGGTAGAAGCCTTGACCTTTCCAAGCTGCACCTATATCCACATGCACAACACCTCCCACGACTCAGTACACGGAGCTTTCTGCTAGTTTGCAAACCCACTACCCCCAGGATTGCCCACATTCTCCTGAAATGCCATTCTTTCCCCCACGCCCATGGCTCACGTCATCTTCAGGTGACTCCGCAGCCCTTTGCTCACACCTTTATCTAGCATCTCCATGGTGTTACCATGGTGCACCCGTAAGACCTTTCCATCCTCAGCATGTCAGGCATTGCCTGGCACACAGTAAGAACAAAGTAAGGCCCTGAAAAAGCTGAAGTGGAACAAAACAGTTAAGCAGCACTTAATATTCCTCTCACTGCGTATCAGTTCAACTACATTATTTCATGAAGTCTGGTTTGGACCTGTTTGACAACTAGATTTCCAACATGAATCAGTTCTGCAAATTCTAGCAGCCACATGAAGGCAATTTTTAGGACAATAATGTTAGGGGGTAGAAAACAGCAGATAAAAGGAGGTAGGGCTGGGCACGGTGGCTTATGCCTGTAATCCCAGCACTCTGAGAGGCAGAGGCGGGTGGATCACTTGAGCTCAGGAGTTCGAGACCAGCCTGGCCAACATGGAGAAACCCCGTATCTACTAAAAATACAAAAAAATTAGCTGGGTGGGGTGGCGGGTGTCTGTAATCCCAGCTACTCGGGAAGCTGAGGCAAATAATAATAATAATAATAATAATAATAAATATATATATATAAAAGGCCAGGCGTGGTGGGTCAGGCCTGTAATCCCAACACTTGGGGAGGCCGAGACAGGTGGATTATCTGAGATCAGGAGTTCGTGACCAGCCTGGCCAACACAGTGAAATCCCATCTCTACTAAAAATACAAAAAAAAAAAAAAAAAAAAATTAGCCAGGCGTGGTGGCGGGTGCCTGTAGTCCCAGCTACTCAGGAGGCTGAGGCTGGAGAATCGCTTAAAACCAGGAGGCAGAGGTTGCAGTGAGCAGAGATCGTGCTATTGAACTCCAGCCTGGGTGACAAGAATGAAACTCTGTTTCAAAGGTAAGTAAATAAATTAATTAATTAATTAATTAATTAAAAGGGAGGTAGGACTAAGGACTGCAGCCAGACAAAATAAGAGGATAGAGGGAGAGGATGGAGAACTAGAAGGTCCCTCCCCAACCCCGTCCCTCTGCAATCTAAGAAATGGCGTCCACCTGGGAGAATGGGCAGAAATGGACCCATGCAGAAATGTCTCAGCGTCTAATTAAACATCTTAGACTCTGCTGCGCATGAGAAGGGAACCTACGTCCCCCACAGAACCCTGACAAATGAGTCATTTCCAATCAATCTATCACCATAGCATCTGGGTACCTCAGGAAGATGAAAATAAGACCAATACATAAATGAAAACCAATATACAAACAATCATCTCCCCACACAGGCCTCCAGGAAACCACAGCTACAACCATCTGCCAAGCTCCATCCTCGTCACTGCTTCCTGCAGCCAGCGGCCTCGGAGCAAGCTTGGTTTCATATACGATTTAACAGAGGGAAATATATTCTCTGAAGTCTGACTCTCTATGAATGCTCTTAGGCTAAATGTCCACCCCTTGAAGCTGGAATGAAATAAGTCTGGGACAAATAGGATGTGTTTTCTATGCTGTATTAGCCAAAGAATTTGCTAGAAATAGTTGGGGCAGATTGAAGAACGATTGCAAGTTGGCAAAGGTTGAGAATTCACAGGTTTCTTGCATAGAAACAGAGCTCTCCAAGGGACCATCATTAAGCCCTGGGGAGGATTCTCACACTAATCTACAGCATATTCTCACTTTCTGCTGCTCTGCCAGAGGTGGCCTGGATAGATTTGATCTGATCAACCCAGGTCAGCAATTCTCAGGTGAAGTCACGTCTAGCACCTGGCATGGCTGAGATGAAACAGCAGAGCACGGCTGCAGAGTCGGAACCACCTGGGACTGGGTTAGGCTCTTTCACTTCTTCAGTATCTCCTATTTCCTGAGCATCAATCAGTTACTGGATTTTACAGATGACCACCGGCTTTGTTGCCCTCAGGATCTCTGTAAGGCCCTCAGGATCTCTGTAAGGGCAAGGCTGCTTAGCTAATGAGAATAGCAGAGGCAGCCACAGGAGGGAGGGCGATGGCCTGTGGGGAAATCGACTTCGGGACAAGCAAATATTTTCATTTCAGCTGTTTATGTCCTGGCTACTTCCTCAAAAAAGATTTAGGTGGGACAGGCAAATATTGATGCAGCCAAGTAATATTTCCCTACATCCATGCATCTGTATGTGGTTAGAAGTGATTCCAGTACATGCCAAGATTACACAATAAAATTCCTTAAAGCCAGAGACTCGTCTTTGTCTTTCCTTCAGCTCTTGCAACTGAGACTCAATAGATGGTAGGTGTTTTCAATATTTCTCTTAAAGTTTTAATAAATTCATGGCTTATCCGTATCATGTAAACAGTGTCTGCTCTTAACTCTGGAAAACTCAGTTTTGACTCTTGTCTCCAGCTTTTTTCTCACTCAATTTCGGTGCAGGTCTTAATAAATACAGAAAATTTCCAACCTCTTCCATAAGTGGGTCAAAGGGAACTACAGCCAGAAAAGAGATAAGTCGAGGCTAAGACAAAATTGCCATAGGTTCATTCTAAAGATTTTTCAATCCCTGTGCTCAGGCTACACCCAAGACCAATTAAATTTGCATCTGTGATTTAATTGGAGGAACTCAGGCATCAGTATTTACTAAAATGCCCCAGATAATTCCGGACTGCAATAAAGGGTAGATACCCTGGTCTAAAGATTCACAAGACCGGTTCTTTTACATGCCTATCCAGGCTATGACAGTTTCTACGCTCTTCCATTCCAAAGTGAAAACTCTTCCTCTAAGTTATCACCCACTAGCCTTCAAATGATGTCACAGAAAGAACATCACCCTTGGAGTGGGGAGGGGAGGTTTAAGTCTAGGCATCACAATTTAAACTGGTGGGACCTGGGGTTGGTCACATCCCTTTTCAGGGTCTTCAGCCTCTCAGCCATAAAACAGGATGACAGCCCATGCTCTGTATGCCGCAAGGCTGTTGGCTGGATCAGCTAAACTCTTAAGAGGATGTGTGGGCTCTAAGAATACCCCGCGCACTGGGAATTTTTGACCTGATCTGTCCAGGAAGCATTGTTCCAGCCTAGCCCCGACTACCCTTCAAAGCAGACTCCCTGAGGATTCTTACATTTAAAAGACTACAGGCTATACAGAATCCAAAACCCCCTTCTCTAACAGGCAAGTCGACTTCGAGTTCCAGAGCTCACAAACCTGAATCCCGCTCCTATTAGCGCCAAGTTGAACAGCACTTCACTCAGAGCACAGAGAACCTTATCATGCTATAATCTACTCCAGTGCCTAATCACAGAAATGTCTAATGTTGGTCTCCCTTGGCTCGATCTGGATTGATACCTTTCTGGCACCATTTTTAGTTACTCAAGGATCAACAATCAGGCATAGATATCCTAGCATGATTATAGGGAAGTTATTACACAATACCGCCTCTGAGTGTACATTAGTGTGGGGTCTCTACCCCTCACTTAATTATACACACAAAAATGCCAGTATCTGAAACTGCTAGAGAAGTCTCTAGACTGAGCTATTATTCTGCCAAAACATGAACCTTTCTCTACAAAGGGTTTCCTTATAATCTGAAGTAGCAAAATTGATTCTATTTTATAGGCTGTTCTCTAAGGTCCAGTTCTGAAAGGAAGAAACTAAAGTCTTCTTTTTCTTATTGATTCTTATAATTAAAAAACAAGACTACTCCAGAGCTCTGTAAGGTATGTGACAGACATGGAGAATGGCTTCTGGGAGACTTGGAAAGGAGGAAGATTTGCTAATTTAGGTCAAGGAAGTGCAGAAAAACAGAAAAGGTGCTGAAATGTCTTCCCAGGAAATCAGCATTTACTTGGCAAAGTATAGGTTTAACCTCTCAAAAGTTCATTCCAAGAATGAGGATGGGGGAGAGGGATCTTAAGTAAGAGACTTAAAACTTTTATTCAACACCTTCACCCATCCCAAATCAGACAAATGAAATTAAAGGCAGCCTTTGCAATAAAATATGATATTTACTTCACATTGAAATTTTCTGAATGAGGAGAGACAAGAGATCAGACCTCACAGATGGTGCCTTGGAAACTCCTTCAGCTACTTAGCATCCCTCTGATTAGTAATTCAGCAATTTGGCTTATGTGAACGATTCTCTTTTTAAAAACTGTTTTAATGTGAGAATTTACAAACTAAGTTTTAAAAAGCAGTCATTAGGCTTAAGGTAAAAAGCCCAGAGAAAATATTTGACAGGTTATAATATACTGAAATTCAAACTGATAGAGGCTACTAGAACACGACAAATATCAACAAACATTTTCTTCTAACAGCTAAAAGCAGATGAGCAAAAAATACACAAATAACTTGAGATGACATCAGCCAGAAATTAGGAGCCCTTTGGAGAACTGTTGTCTCTCTTCAGGTCATAGTTTCAACACAAAATTATATTTCACTCATCCAATGCCAATTACAAAAAAATAAGTAAGAATCTTTAAATATCTAAATTATGCAAAAACCTGTACACTGAAGTTCATGCATTTGATTCAGGAGTCTTTAGAGATCTACTCAATGTCTGTTTATTTGTACTTTACATATAAGGCCAACAAGCTAGATTAAATAGTTTCCTAGCCAACCGCAGGTTAGAAAATAACAAAGGAAGGGTGGAGAATATAGTAGCCAGAGGCAAGTATTCTGACAGCTACAAGAAGTAACAGCTGACAGCCCAACAAAAAGAGGGGAGAAAAACTGTTTCAAAGCAGATGAACCTAGAATCTCAAAAAAGTAGCATCCACAATGTGTAGCATAGAATAAAAAGTGTCTAAACACGTTAAGATGTAGGAAGCTGTGACCCATACTCAGCAGATAAGTCAGTCAATATAAACAGGCCAAATGATGACAAAGATGTTGGAAATAGCAAACAAAAACTTTTTTAAAAAGCTATTATAAATATGCTTTAGGATTTAAGGAAAATATGGAAACAATCAGTGAACAGATGGGAAATCTCAGAGAAACAAAAACCATTAGAAAGTCCAAATGGAAATTCTAAAAGTAAAAACTGCCTGAAATAAAAAAGTCATTGGGTGAGCTTACAACATATTGTACATTACAGAAGCGTTCAGTGAACTTAAAGATAGGTTACTATAAATTATCCTCACAGAAGTACAGAGAGAAAGGAAGACCAAAGAAAAAAAATGAGCAGAGCCTCAGTGACCTCTAGGATGATATCAAGCAATCTAACTTATATGTAACTGGAGTTATAAAAGAAAAGGAGATGGGCTGAGAAGAAATATGGGCCAAACTTTTTCCAAACTGATGAAAAAATATCAATCCACAGACAAAATAAGCTCAAGAAACCCCAAGAAAGATCAACAACGACAATCACACCTAACTACAATAGTCAAATTGCTGAAAACAAAGATAAACTGAAAATCTTATAGCATCCAAAGGGAAGGAGAAACCAGCACATGCAGGGGAATATCCTGTAACTTCTCATCAGAAAGAATTCAGGCTACAAGACAATGGAATGACATCTTTGGCGTAAAGAAAGAGTCAACCTAATATTGTATATCCAGCAAAAATACCCTTTTGAAATAAAGGCAAAATAGAGATGCTTTCTGATAAAACAAAAGCTGCAAGGATTTGTCACCAGCAGATCTACACTACAAAAAAAATGTTAAGAAGGATTTTTCATGCTGAAGGGAAACAATACCAGATGGATATCAGACATATAAGAAGAAATGAAGAATATTGGAAATGGTCAGTATATGGGTAAATAAAAGGAATCTAAGTTATTAATTTATTTAAGACAACTGACTGTTTAAAGCAAAAATAATACCAATGTATTGTGAGGTTTATAACATACATAGCAGTAAAACACATGACAGCAACAGAATGAAGACTGGGAGAAGATAAATGGAAGTATATTGTTGAAAGGGCTTACATTATACATGAAATGATGTATTATTTCAGTGTAGATTGTGATAAGGATGAAAATTCTAATCATCAAAACAATAACTTAAAGTATGTTTCTCTGTGTGTGTATGCGTATAACGGATGACATAAAAATAGAATCTGAAATACTTGATTAATTCAAAAGAAGGCATGAAAAGGAAAAACGAAACAAAGGATATGAGACTAATAAAAAATGCTATACAACAGATTTAGATCCAGTTATATAAATAATACATTAAATATAAATGGAATAAACACTAATTCAAAAGCAGACTGTCAGACTAGATTCAAAAAGCCAGACCCAATTATGTGTTCTTTATAAGAGGTACATTTTAAATACAAAGATACAAATGGGTTAAAAAAAAAAAGGATGGAAAAAGTTCTACCATACAAACACTAATCATATGAAAGCTGAAGAGGCTATATCAATCAGGTAAAATATACTGCAAACAAAGAGAATTATCAGAAATGAAGAAATACATGTATAATGTTAAAAAGGGCCAATTCTTTAAGAATAATCCTAAATGTGTACATATCTAATAACATAAATATAAAAAATACGAAGCAAAACCTGACAGAATGAAAGGGAATCATGGAACAAATCCATAATTAGAGTTGGAAAGCAATATTTTTTTCTCCATAAAAGATTTTAAAAGTAGACCAAAAAAAAAAAATACATAGTTTTGAACACTATCAACCTATCTGACCTAAGTGACAGTTATTGAACATTCCACCCAACAACCATACAATACACATTTCTTAATTCAATGTACATGGAACATTTGCCAATATAGACCATATAGCTGGCCATAAAACAGGTCTCATGTTTCAAAGGCTTCAAATTAGAGTATGTTCTTTGAACATAAGGGACTTAAATTAGAAATCAATAATTAAAAGATATCTGGAAAATTAAATCCCAAATCAAAGAGTCCCTATCTTAAGTTAGAAAAAACAAAGTGAATTAAGCTCAACATAGGCAGAAGGAAGGAAATAAAGACTGAAAATTAATAAAATTTTTAAATGGATATTTTTAAGAAGACTAAAAGTTGATTCTTAGAAAAGATTAACAAAACTGATAAAGTATGACCTAAATTATTTTTTAATTTAATTTTTTTTTTTGAGACAGAGTTTGCTCTGTTGCCCAGGCTGGAGTGCAGTGGCGCGATCTCAGCTCACTGCAACCTTCATCTCCCTGGTTCAGGTGATTCTCCTGCCTCAGCCGGCCAAGTAGCTGGGATTACAGGCACATGCCACCATGCCCGGCAAATTTTTGTATTTTTAGTAGAGATGGGGTTTCACTATGCTGGCCAGGCTGGTCTCAAAGTCCTGACCCCAAGTGATCCACCTGCCTCGGCCTCCCAAAGTACTGGGATTACAGGCATGAGCCACCATGCCTGGCCGAGTGTTGTGGGAAGTCAGGGATCCTGAACGGAGGGACCAGCTGGAGCCACAGCAGAGGAACATAAATTGTGAAGATTTCATGGACATTTATCAGTTCCCAAATAATACTTTTATAATTTCTTATGCCTGTCTTACTTTAATCTCTTAATCCCGTTATCTTCATAGGCTGAGGATGTACGTCACCTCAGGACCACTGTGATAATTGTCTTAACTGTACAAATTGATTGTAACACATGTGTGTTTGAACAATATGAAATCAGTGTACCTTGAAAAAGAACAGAGTAACAGCAATTTTCAGGGAACAAGGGAAGACAACCATAAGGTCTGACTGCCTGCAGGGTTGGGCAAAATAGAGCCATATTTTTCTTCTTGCAGAGAGCCTATAAACAGACGTGCAAGTAGGGAAGATATCGCTAAATTCTTTTCCTAGCAAGGAATATTAATAATTAATACCCTGGGGAAGGAATGTATTCCTGGGGGGAGGTCTATAAACGGCCGCTCTGGGAGTGTCTATCTTATGTGGCTGAGATAAGGACTGAAACACGGCCTGGTCTCCTGCAGTACCTTCAGGCTTATTAGGGTGGGGAAAAAACTCTGCCCTGGTAAATTTGTGGTCAGACCGGTTCTCTGCTTTTGAACCCTGTTTTCTGTTGTTTAAGATGTTTATCAAGACAATACGTGCACAGCTGAACATAAACCCTTATCAGTAGTTCTGATTTTGCCCTTGTCCTGTTTCCTCAGAAGCATGTGATCTTTGTTCTCCCTTTTGCCCTTTGAAGCATGTGATCTTTGTGACCTACTCCCTGTTCGTACACCCCCTACCCTTTTAGAATCCTTAATAACAACTTGCTGGTCTTGTGGCTCAGGTGGGCATCACGGTCCTACCGATATGTGATGTCACCCCGGAGGCCCGGCTGTAAAATTCCTCTCTTGGTACTCTTTTATTTCTCAGCCAGCTGACACTTACGGAAAATGGAAAGAACCTACATTGAAATATTGGGGGTGGGTTCCCCCAGTAGCCGAGCTAAATTATTTTTAAGAGGAAACAGAAAAAGCAATTGCCATAACAGGAATTAAAGAAGGAATACCACCAGAGATCTCACAAACATTAAAAAGAAAATGAGGTGGGGTATAGTGGCTCATACCTATCATCCTGGCACTTTGGGAGGCCGAGGTGGGTGGATCACATGAGGTCAGGAGTTTGAGACCAGCCTGACCAACATGGTGAAACCCTGTCTCTACAAAAAATACAAAATTAGCCAGGCGTGGTGGCACATGCCTGTAATCCCAGCTACTTGGGAGGCTGAGGCAGGAGAATCACTTGAACTCGGGAGGCAGAGATTGCAGTGAGCTGAGATCGCACCATTGCACTCCAGCCTTGAAGACAGAGTGAGACTCTGTCTCACACACACACATAAAAAAAAAAAAAAAAAGAAAGAAAGAAAAAAGAATGAGAATCTTAGGAACAATTTTAGACCAATAAATTTTACAACTTAGATGAAATAGACAAATTTCTTGAAATACATATTGAGAAAAATGCCGCAAAAAATTCTGACTACCCTATATCTGTTATATAATTAATAATTAACCCCCCCCAAAAAAACTTCTTGGCTTTATATAATGCTCTACTGATGAAGTCTATGAAATATTTAATAAAGAGAAAACATTAGTGTCCCACAGACTCTTTCAGAAAACAGAGAAGCTGAGCATGGTATATGGTAGCACACATCTGTAGTCCTCGTTACTCTGGAGGCTGAGACAGGAGATCACTTGACCCCAGGAGTTCGAGGCCAGCCTAGGCAACACAGTGAGACACTGTATCAGGAAAGAAAGAAAACAAAGGGACATTGAATACAAGTCAACATACAGTTTATTTTATGATGTCAACATAATGTTGACACCAAAAACCAGACAAAGGATTTACAAAAAAAAAAACTATAGACCAATATCCCTCATAAACATAGATGCAAAAATCCTTAACAAAAATATTAGAAGATCAAATGCAAGTTTGATTTAGCATTCTTTTATTTTATTTTATTATTATTTTTTTTTGAGACAGAGTCTCGCTCTGTTGCCCAGGCTGGAGTGCAGTGGCACAATCTCGACTTACTGCAACCTCCGCCTCCCTAGTTCAAGCAATTCTCGTGCCCCAGCCTCCTGAATAGCTGGGACTACAGGCGTGTGCCAAGAAGCCCGGCTGATTTTTTGTATTTTAGCAGAGATGGGGTTTTACCATGTTGCCCAGGCTGGTCTCGAACTGCTGAGCTCAGGCAATCCTCCCACCTCAGCCTCTCAAAGTGCTAGGATTACAGGTGTGAGCCACCATGTGTCCAGCCTAGCATTCTTTTAAAAATATAATTCACTGTATTGACTGAATTAAAGAGGAAAACAATATAATCTCCATAGATGCAGAAAAAGCATGTGACAAAATTTAATCCCAATACAGATAAAAACCTCAGCAAACTAGGAATAAAAGTGAACTTCAACTTGATAAAAGGCATCTACCAAAAACCTACATCTAACATCATACTTAATGATGAAAGACTGGCTGCTTTTCCCTCGAGATCAAGAACAAGGCAAAGATGTCAGTTCTCACTACTTCTTTTTAACATTGAACTGGAAGTCCCAGTCAGCGCAATGAAGCAAGAAAAGGAAATAAGAAGCATATAAACTGTAAAGGAAGAAGTAAGACTGTCTTGACATAGACAACATGATTGTATACATAACAGATCCTAAGAAAGCTACCAAAAAATATATATACATAATAAATTGGTTCAATAAGGTCATATGATACAAAATCAATATACAGAAAAAACCCTATTATATTTCTATGTACTGGCAACAAACAATTGGAAAACAAATATTTAAAGAATATCATTTACATGGTGAAGGAACTTGTCACTACCAGACCAGCCCTACAAGAAATGCTAAAAGGAGTTCTAAATATTGAAACCAAAGCTTGATATGCACCAAAACAGAACCTCTTGAAAGCATAAAACAGAGCCTATAAAACAATAACACAATAGAAAAAAACCAAGCATCTAGGTAACAATTAACATGATAAATGGAACAGCACCTCACATCTCAGTATTAATGTTGAACATAAATGGCCTAAATGCTCCACTTAAAAGATACAGATTGGCAGAATGGCAGAATACGAACCAAATATCTGCTGTCTTTAAGAGACTCACCTAACGTATAAGGATTCATATAAACTCAAAGTAAAGGGGTGGAAAAAGATATTCCACACAAATGGAAACAAAAGCAAACAAGAATAACTATTCTTATATCTGATAAGACAGACTGTACAGCAACAACAGTGAAAAAAAAAAAAAAGACAAACAAGGTCATTACATAATGATAAAAGGATCAATCCAACAAGAACATATTACAATCCTAAATTTATATGTACCTAACACTACTCCCAGATTCATAAAACAATTACTACTAGATCTAAGAAATGAGTGAGGGACTTTAATACTCTACTGACAGTGCTAGACAGATCATTGAGACAAAACATCAACAAAGAAATAATGGACTTAAACTACACTCTAGAAAAAATGGACTTAACAGATATTTACAGAACATTCTACCCAAGAACTGCAGAATACACATTCTTCTCATCAGCACATAGAACATTCTCCAAGATAGACCATATGATAGGACACAAAACAAGTCTCAATACATTTTTAAAATATCGAAATTGTGGCCAGGCACAGTGGCTCATGCCTGTAATTCCAGCACTTTGGGAGACCAACGATGGTGGATCATGAGGTCAGAGATCAAGACCATCCTGGCCAACATGGTGAAACCCCGTCTCTACTAAAAATACAAAAATTAGTTGGGTGTGGTGGCACGCACCTGTAGTCCCAGGTACTCGGGAGGCTGAGGCAGGAGAATCACTTGAACCTGGGAAGCAGAGGTTGCAGTGAGCCAAGATTGTGCCACTGCACTCCAGACTGGTGACAGAGCAAGACTCCGTCTCAAAAAAAAAAAAAAAAAAAAATCAAAATTGTATCAAGTATCTTCTCAGACCGCAGTGGAATAAAGCTAGAAATCAACTCCAAAAGGAACCCTCAAAATGGTACAAATACATGAAAATTAAACAATCTGCTCCTGAGTGATTTTGGGTTAACAATAAAATCAAGATGGAAATTCAAACATTTTTTGAAATGAATAACAGTGACACAAGTTATCAAAACTCTGGGATACTGTGCTAACAGGAAAGTTTATAGCACTAAAAGCCTACATCAAAAAGTCTGAAGGATCACAAATTGACAACCTAATGTTACACCTCAAGGAACTACAGAAACAATAACAAACCAAACCCAAAGCTAGCAGAGGAAAAGAAATAACAAAGATCAGAGAAGAAGTAAATGAAATTGAAACATAAAAAAATACAAAAGATGAAATAAAAAGCTGGTTCTTTGAAAAGATAAACAAAATTGATAGACCATTAGCTAGATTAACCAAGAAAAAAAGAAGATTCAACTAAGCTCAATTAGAAATGAAACTGGAAGTATTACAACCAACACCACAGAAATACAAAAGATTATTCGTGACTACTACAAACATCTCTACGCACATAAACTAGAAAAATCTAAGAAAACTGCTAAATTCCTGGAAACATACAACCCTCCTAGATTAAATCAGGAAGAAACAGAAACCCTTAACAGACCAATAACAAGCAGCAAGATTCAATCAGTAAATTTAAAATTGCCACACACATACAAAAAAGCCCAGGGCATGATGGATTCACAGCTGAATTCTATCAGACATTCAAAGAAGAATTGGGGCTGGACACGGCAGCCCGCATCTGTAATCCCAACACTTTGGGAGGCCAAAGTGGGCGGATCGCTTGAGGTCAGGAGTTCAGGATTCAAGACCAGCCTAGCCAACATGGTGAAACCCCATCCTACAAAAAATACAAAAATTAGCCGTGCGTAGTGGCATGCACCTGTAGTCCCAGCTACTCAGGCAGCTGAGGCAGGAGAATCACTTGAACCTAAGCAGGCAGAGGTTGCAGTGAGCTGAGATCGCGCCACTACACTCCAGCTACTGAAACTATTCCAAAAGATTAAGAAAGAGGAAATCCTCCCTAAATCATTCTACGAAGCCAGTATCACTTTCATAACAAAACCAGGAAAGGACATAACAAAAATAAGGAAAACTACAGACCAATGTCCCTGATGAATACAGATGCAAAAATCCTCAGCAAAATACAAGCTAACAAAATCCAACAGCACATCAAAAATGTAATACACCATGATCAAGTGGGTTTCATAGCAGGGATGCAGGGATGGTCTAACATATACAAGTCAATAAATGTCATATATCACATAAACAGAATTAAAAACAAAAACCATACGATCATCTCAATAGTTGCAGAAAAAGCATTCAATAAGATCCAGCATCCTTTTATGATAAAAAAAACTCTCAACAAACCAGGCATAGAAAGGACTTATCTCAAAATAATAAAAGCCATATATGACAAACCCATAACCAACATCATACCGAATGGGGAAAAGTTTAAGGCATTCCCTTCTAAGAACTGGAACAAGACAAGGATGCCGACTTTCACTACTTCTATTAAACATAGCACTGGGCTGGGTGCGGTGGCTCATGCCTGTAATCCTAGCACTTTGGGAGGCTGAGGCGGGTGGACTGCCTAAGCTCAGGAGTTTGAGACCAGCCTGGGCAACATGGCAAAACCCCGTCTCTTCTAAAAATACAAAAAAAATTAACCAGGCGTGGTGGTACATGCCTGTAATCCCAGCTGCTCAGGAGGCTGAGGCACAAGAATCACTTAAATGCGGGAGGCGGGGGTTTCAGTGAGCCAAGATCGTGCCACTGGACTCCAGCCTGGGCGACAGAGCGAGACTCTGTCTCAAAAACAAAAACAAACAAACAAACAAACAAACAAAAACATAGTACTGGAAGTCCTAGCCAGAGCAATCTGGCAAGAGAAAGGAATAAAGGACATCCAAATTGGGAAAGAGGAAGTCAGACTATCACTGTTCACAGATGATATGACTGTATACCTAGAAAATCCTAAAGATTCCTCCAAAAGACTCTTAGATTTGATAAATAAATTCATTAAAGTCTCAGGTTACAAAATCAGTATATACAAATCAGTAGCACTGCTATACACCAACAACAACCAAGCTAAGAATCAAGTCAATAACTCAATCCCTTTTACAACAGCTGCAAAAATAAAATAAAATAAAAAACTTAGGAATATACTTAACTAAGGAGGTGAAATTTCTCTACAAGGAGAACAACAAGACACTGCTGGAAGAAATCACAGATAACACAAACAAATGGAAACACATCCCATGCTCATGGATTAGAAGAATCAGTATTGTGAAAATGACCATACTGCCCAAAGCAATCTACAGATTCAATGCAATCCCAAACAAAATAACAACATCATTGTTCACAGAATTAGAAAAAATAATCCTAAAATTAATATGAAATTTTTAAAAAGAGCCTGAATGGCCAAAGCAAACCTAAGCAAAAACAACAAATCTAGAGGTATCACATTACCAGACTTCAAATTGTACCACAAGGCTATAGTTACCAAAACAGAATGGTACTGATATAAAAGTAGGCACATAGACCCATGGAAAAGAATAGAGAACCCATAGATAAAGCCAAATATTTACAACCAACGGATCTTTGATGAAGCATATAAAAATATTTATTTTTTAAATAGGGTAAAGGGCACCCTATTTAATAAATGGTGCTGGGAAAACTGGCTAGCCACACATAGAGGAATGAAACTGGATCCCTATCTCTCATCTTATACAAAAAAAACTCAGGATGAGTCAACGACTTAAATCTAAGACCTGAAACCATAAGAATTCTAAAGATAACATCAGAAAAACTCTTCTGGACATTGGCCTAGGCAAAGACTTCATGACTAAGACCCCAAAAGCGAATGCAATAAAAACAAAAATAGATCAATAAATGGGATCTCGTTAAACTAAAAAGTTTCTGCACAGCAAAAGTAATAATCATCAGAGTAAAAAGACAATGCACATAATGGGAGAAAATATTTGCATACTATATATCCAACAAAGAACTAGTGTCTAAAAACCACAAGAAACTCAAATCAGAAAAAAAAAAAATCAATTAAAAAGTGGGCAAATGGCTGGGTGCAGTGGCTCACACCTGTAATCCCAGCACTTTGGGAGGCCGAGGTGGGCAGATCACCTGAGGTAGGGAGTTCGAGACCAGCCTGACCAATATGGTGAAACCCTGTCTCTACTAAAAATACAAGAAATCAGCCAGGCATGGTGACACATGCCTGTGATCCCGAGGTAGGAGAATCACTTGAACCTGGGAGGCGGAGGCTGCAGTGAGCCAAGATCGCACCACTGCACTCCAGCCTGAGTGACGGAGGGAGACCCTGTCTCAAAATAAATTAATTAATTAAGTAGGCAAATGACATGAATAGACATTTCTCAAAAAAGATACACAAATGGCCAAGAAACATATGAAAAATGCTCTACATCACTAATCATCAGGGAAATGCAAATTAAAACCACAATGCAAATTAAAACCACAACCTTACTCCTGCAAGAATGACATTACTAAAAAGTCAAAAAACAATAGACATTGGCATTGATGTGGTGAAAAGGGAACACTCATACACTGCTGGTAGGAATGTAAATTAGTACAGCCTCTATGGAAAACAGTATGGAGATTCCTTTAAGAACTATAAGTAGATCTACCATTCGATCCTGCAGTCCCACTACTGGGTATCTACTCAAAGAAAAAGAAGCCATTACATGAAAAAGACACATGTACACGCATGTTTACTGCAGCACAATTCACAATTGCAAAGATATGGGACCAACCTAAGTGTCCATTGGCCAACGAGTGGATAAAGAAAATGTGGTATATATATGCCATGGAATACTACGGAGCTGTGAAAAGGAATGAAATAACATCTTTTGCAGCAACTTGGATGTAGCAGGAGGCCATTATTCTAAGTGAAGTAACTCAGGAATGGAAAACCAAATATTATATGTTCTCACTTATAAATGGGAGCTAAGTTATGACTATACAAAGGCATATAAAGTGATATAACGGACTTTGGAGACTCAGAAGGGGGAGGGATTAAAAAAATCCTATATACTGAGTACAATCTATACTACTTGGATTAAGGGGGCACTAAAATCTCAGAATTCACCACTATATAATTCATCCATGTAACCAAAGACCACTTGCACTCCAAAAGCTATTAAAATTTTTAAAATGGCTGGGTGTGGTGGCTCACACCTATAATCCCAGCACTTTGGGAGGCAGGGGCAGATGGATCACCTGAGGTCAGGAGTTCGAGAGCAGCCTGACCAACATGGTGAAATCCCGTCTCTATTAAAAATACAAAAATTAGCCAGGCATGGTGACATGCACCTGTAATCTCAGCTACTCGGGAGACTGAGGCAGGAGAATTGCTTGAACCCGGGAGGCGGAGTTTGCAGTGAGCTGAGATCACGCCATTGAACTCCAGCCTGGGCAACAAGAGCGAAACTCCTTCTCAAAAATAAAAATAAAAATAAATGAAATTTTAAAAATATTTAAAAATAAAAATAAAGAATATCATTTACAATATTTAAAAAGTAAAATAGAGATAGTTAATAAAATACATTAAAGCTCTCTTGAACATAAACACTATTCAAAACACTGTTGAGAGAAATTAAAGAAAATCTAAATAAATAGAGACAGATACCACATTCATAGAATGAAAGACCCAATACTGTTAAGATAACAATTTGATCTATGGATTCAAGTCAAACTCAGTCAAAATCTCAGTTTTTTAGACAGTGCCTCACTCTGTCACCCAGGCTGGAGTACAGTGTTGCAATCATGGCTCACTGCAGACTCAACCTCCTGGCTCAAGTGATCCTCCCACCTCTCAGCTTTTCCAGTAGCAGGAACCATAGGTGTGCACCATCATCATGCCTGGATAATTTTTGTATTTTTTTTTTTTTTTTTTAGAGATTGGGTTTTGCCATGTTGCCCAGGCTGGTCTGGAACTCCTGGGCTCAATCGATTCACCCATCTTGGCCTCCCAAAATGCTGGGATTGTAGGTGTGGGCCACCATGCCTGGCCTCCCAGCAAGATTTTTCATGGAAAGTGACAAATTTGTTCTCAAATGTATACAGACATGCAAAGGAACTACAATGGCCAAAGCAATTTTGAAAAAGAAGATCAAAGATGGAGGAATCACACTACCTGTTTTCAAGACTGACTTACTATGAGGCTATAGCATCAAGAAAGCATGGATTGGCTGGGCACAGTGGCTCACGCCTGTAATCCCAGCACTTTGGGAGGCTGAGGCGGGCAAATCACTGGAGGTCAGGAGTTTGAGACCAGCCTAGCTAACATGGCAAAACCCCGTCTCTACTAAAAATACAAAAATTAGTTGGGCGTGGTGGCTCATGCCTGTAGTCTCAGCTACTTGGGAGGCTGAGGCAGGAAGATCGCTTGAATCTGGGAGGTGGAGTGAGCTGAGATCACACCACCGCACTCCAGCCTGGGCGACAAAGCGAGAAAAAGAGAAGAGAAGAGAAGAAGAGAAGACAAGAGAAGAGAAGAGAAGAGAAGAGAAAAGAATGGAATGACATAAAAGATAAATCACTAGAGTGGAAAAATCCAGAAACAAAACCATATTGTATATAGTCAATTAGTTCAGCGAAGGCATCAAAGCAATTCAGCAGGGAAAGGAAAGTTTTTTTCAACAAATAGTGATAAACAACTGGACATCTAAATAGCAAATAGTGAACTTTAACTCCTACCTTACATTATATACAAAAATTAACTTGAAGTCAATGAAAGACCTAAATGTAAATACTGAAATGATCAAGCTTCTGGAATTAAAAAATATTCATAACCTGGGGTAGGCAAAGTTTTTTTTAAACTAGATACAGAAAGCACTCATCAAAAGGAAAATACTGATACACTGGCCTTTATAAAAATTAAAACTTCTGCTCTTTGAGTGACACCATTAAGAAAATGAAAAGACAAACCATAGACTGGGAACAAACATTTATAATACATATATCTGTTAAAGAACTTGTATCTAGAATATATGAAGCATTCTTGCAATTCAATAAGACAGTAAATAGACCAGTTTTTGACATTAAAAAAGAACAAAAGTTTTAAACAGACATTTATAAGAGAGATACAGAAACAGCAAATAAACGGCCGGGCGCAGTGGCTCACACCTGTAATCCCAGCACTTTGGGAGGCCGAGGCAGGCGGATCATGAGGTCAGGAGATTGAAACCAGCCTGGCTAACACAGTGAAACCCCATCTCTACTAAAAATACAAAAAATGAGCCAGGCGTGGTGGCGGACACCTGTAGTCCCAGCTACTCAGAAGGCTGAGGCAGGAGAATGGCGTGAACCCAGGAGGCAGAGCTTGCAGTGAGCTGAGATCGTGCCACTGCACTCCAGCCTGGGCAACAGAGCAAGACTCCATCTCAAAAAAAAAAAAGAAAGAAAGAAAGAAATAGCAAATAAACACATGAAAAGGACATTCAATATCAACAGTTAACAAGGAAACAAAAATTAAAGCCACAACAAAATATCACTATAAACCTAAAAAGGCTGACAATAACAAGTGTTGGCAAGGATGCGGAACTCTCACATATTGCTGGTGGAGTATAAAATGGTCTAACTACTTGGGGAAAGCGCTTCCAGTTTCTTATAAAGTCAATCACACATCTGCTCTATGGGCCAGTAATTCCACCCCTAGTTATACAGAAGAAATGAAAACATATGCCCACACACAGACTTGTACATAAAATGTTTATAGCAGCTTTATTCACAATAGCCAGAACAACTCAAAAGGCCAACAGGTGAACGAATAAACAAATTGGGGTATAATCATACAATGGAATACATCTCAACAATAAAAAGGAATGAAGTACTGATACGCACAATATGGATCAATTTCAAAAACTGTCTTCAATGAAGGAAGCCTTGTCCACAGGGCATGGACTGTACTATTCCACTTATTTTGTACTTTTTTTTTCTTTGAGACAGGGTCTCCCTCTGTCACCCAGTCTGGAGTGCAGTGGCCTGATCAAAACTCACTACAGCTTCAGACTCCTGGGCTCAATGAATCCACCCACCTCAGCCTCCTGAGTAGCTGGGAACACAGGTGTACACTACCACGCCTGATTATTTTATATATAGAGAAAGAGAGAGCGACAGGGTCTTGCTATGTTGCCCAAGCTGGTCTTGAACTTCTATCTTCATGTGATCCTCCCACCTCAGCCTCCCAAAGTGCTAGAATTACAAGCATGAGCCATTGTACCTGGCTTACTACTCCATTTTTCTGAAGTTCTAGAACAGGCAAAACTAATCTCAGCTAATAGAAATCAAGACTGTGATAGGGGCTAGGTGAGAGGTTGATGATGGGGGAATCGTCTGGCAAGGAGCAAAGGAACTTTCTGAGATGATGGAAATGTTCTGTATATGATACAACTGTGGTCTACACGGTTTTCTGCATTTCTGAAAATACAGCAAACTGTATATTTAAGATCTGTGCATTTGGCTGGGTGCGGCTCACACCTGTAATCCCAGCACTTTGGGAGGCTGAGGCGGATGGATCACCTGAGGTTAGGAGTTCATGACCAGTCTGGCCAACATGGCAAAACCCCATCTCTACTAAAAATACAAAATTAGCTGGGCATGGTGGCAGGTGCCTGTAATCCCAGCTACTCGGGAGGCTGAGGCAGGAGAATTGCTTGAACCCAGGAGGCAGAGGTTGCTGTGTGCAGAGATTGTGCCACGGCACTCCAGCCTGGAAGACAGAGCAAGACTCCATCTCAAAAAAAAAAAAAAAAAAAAAAAAATCTGTGCATTTCGCTATATGTATTAATAAATTATACTTAAATAGTAGCTACAACACAAGGTTGTTGTATAAAAAATAAGATGAGATCACAAAGAACAAACATTGGGAAGCAAACAGTCTTAGTGATACAACCCATCAGCCCCAACAGGACATCGCTGCATTGCACAGTGGATTTTATGGCGACCACGAGGCCAGCAAGAATGATTTGTGTTTAGCATGATGCTTAAGAAGATGGCAGAGGTGGAAGGAGGAGAGAAAAACTTCCTTTTATTTGGCCATTGAAAATGGTTGCTATTTAGTGACAATTGTTTGCCCAGAAGGTTCACCTTGGCAGCAGCTGACTCCCAAGAAGATGCCAGATAAAAGCACAATTATTGATCATCTATCAAGGCGGGCACTAATCAATATAGCAAAGTTTCTTCTGTAAAAGTTACCACTAAAACAGATGGACAATTGCCCTGGTTGTAGCCTTTAATTAAAGAAGATTCCAAGTTAAGAAATTCAGACCCCCTTGTGAGTAAGAACTGTTTTGACCACCTGCCTGCCAAGTGTGGGGAGCTCTCAATCAAATCTTAGGCAACAGCCTTCTAGGGGAGGAAACACCCGCAACTGAGTCCCCACACTGAGGCTGTGGTCTCTGTGGCTTCTATTCTCTTTGAGGGTGGAGACACCAAAGCAGGTCTGACTTAACAGCAATCTCAGTTGCATCAACTCTACATTTAGGACATCCAAAACCCTGCTGTCTGAGCTACTGACCAGCCCCCAGAGTGAAGGGGGAGTGAGGAGGAAGACGGAGGGGCCTAAGTTCCTTGAGTCCTTGGAATTCTTTGAGGAGTCTCCCGTTTGGCTTCTTACCATCATCTGCATGGCAATACAGAGCTAAGAACATTTGTTGTTTCTTTTCCCCAAATTATGCAAATGTTTATGCATAAAGGCCTTGCTTGGCCCAGGAATAGCAGAGAATCAAGAACCAGGGCTTATTGTTTGAATGATCCTGGTCTTTTTGGACTGCAGGTGCACAGAACCGGAAAGACAACAATCCTTGACTCATGACACTTGTCCCTGCTCCATGCATGGCCCCTATTTTCAAGAAATGTAATCATAAATCCATGAGCTCGCCTGAGGCAACTAGCCTACGTCCATCATTCCCTTGGGAAATCCTTCCCAATTTTGCCACTGAAAGCAACGCAGGGAGAGCCTAAAGCTCCCAACACTTCCTCTAACACAGATTCAACTTAGGATGCAAAAAGAGGTTTCTTCTCCAAGCCAGCGTCAGTATCCACAAGGCTGGGTGCTCACCTGGATTACCAAGCAGCTTCCCTACACAGGGGCTTTACAATCTGCAAGACTGATTTATTTTTTTCAATAAGAGAAAAGATGTAAGTCCCTTTGAGCAAAGTATGCCTGATATATATCACAATATTTATTTTTGGTGGAGTAATGGATCTGTCTTCTGGGAAAGCTAGAGAAAAAGCATTTCTTGAACTCGGATGTAAATCAGTCACTGTGAAAACCACAGGGGAATCTATATTCTTACCCCCCCCCACCACCACTAACTATACTGTGAAATAGGCAGCAGACTTTTAAAAATCATCCTTCTATTTGTTTCTAGCCCTGACACTAAAGACAGAGTTAAGAATATGGGGCCTAAGAAGCAATTGCTCCTGGAATGCCTAATTCCCTCAAATGGTACAACTAGAAATGAAAGCAGAGACACAACCAACGTGTGGGAGTTAAGTTGTATACCTGGTAGGGACAAGTGCTAAGCTTTACTCAACTGCACACTTGGTCCTACGGAAGGAGGAGGCGTATGGCTGGGCTGAGGATGTAAGGGTTTTCCAAGGGGCCTGTCCAGTTATTACAGGCCAGTCTCCACCTATGTTAAATGCATGGTAGAGCAGGACAAGAGGGAAACGGAAGAGACTGAAGGGCCAGGGAGAAGGGAAAGGATCTTGAATGGATTTACAACTCAAACAGAGCTCTTGGAAGGAAAGCTATTTAAATCTGAGCTGTTCCTAATATTAATTATCCTGAACATCTCACAGGCTCAGATTCACATGCTACAAAGCCTTTTAATTTTCCTACCTGTCCCTGGCACTAGTGACGATAAATCAGATATACAGAGAAAACAGAAAAAAATCACACATGACTAACGAACCAGCCCGTTAATGGGGAGCAAAGATCATTTGCCAAGATGACTTATTCAGACACTGTCACATATCATAACCAGCAATACCCTGGTGGTTGAACACAGCAGGCACAGAGGGCAAGAGCTGGGGTGCTCCCTCCCTGCCAAGTCACAGGCACCCTCCGATGCCTGCTCTCTAGGCATGAGAGATTTTACTCACGAGTGTCACCTCCACTCCCTCAAGTCAGATTTACCCTCAGAAAATTGCTGCAACTTCTAAAAGGCCTCTTGGGTCACTGAGCCGCTAAGCCCCTAAACCTGACTACAGCTCTTACTGTGAGGGTCCTTTGAATTCCAGGTACCCTAAGGGAGAAGACCCAGCCTTAGCCACTAGCAATCTTAACTGTTAGTTTATGGATCTTTAATGTAGCCATTCATTAAAGTAGGTGAGTTCCAACTAAATGTCAGACCCTATTCTAGGTGCTTGGGCAGATCCATAAACAAACAGTAAAGAGGTGGAAGAGAAGAGAGAAGGGTCCCCTAAATGCCAGCCTCTTGGTTTACCATGAAGACTGAGGCCCAGTAATAAACAGGAATTTCCAATCAGAGTTGATGGAACAGCTAGGACTTGACCCAGCTTGGATTCTTAACAGAACTGCAGCATACAGTGGTTTGTAAGAACACTGGGCCAACAGCACAGGGAAGGTGGGGAAATTCAATCCACATTCTCCTCACCCAGCCCTGCACTCTGGAGTGATGCTGGTGCTGCACCTAACCAGAGGAAGGAGCCCTTTCTGTGGTTTGTTTGAAAACACCATATGGGCAAGGGCAAGTCCCAACTCCAGTACCGCGTTCTCAGTGCCCCAGCCAGCCTAATTCCCTTTTATAAAAAGCCCCCTTCACTGGAAGGAACTGAGGTTCCCCAGAACAACAACCAAGCACTGGCCAGGCGCGGTGGCTCGTGCCTGTAATCTCAGCACTTTGGGAGGCTGAGGCAGGTGGATCACCTGAGGTCAGGAGATCGAGACCAGCCTGGCCAACACAGCAAAACCCCGTCTCTACTAAAAATACAAAAATTAGCCAGGTGTGGTGGGGCGCCTGGAATCCCAGTTACTTGGGAGGCTGAGTCATGAGAATCGCTTGAACCTGGAACCTGGGAGGCGGAGGCTGCAGTGAGCCAAGACCACGCCACTGCACTGCAGCCTCGACGACAGAGCAAGACTCCGTCTTAAAAAAAAAACAAACACAAACAAAAAAAACAACAACAACAAAAACACAACCAAGCATCATGGGTAGGACCCAGAGCAGTCTGAATTCTTCCACTGAGATATAACCCTGAAAAGCTGTACATTCCCATGTGTGAGACAAGTCTGTTTGAACTTGAATCCATAAGAAACCCGCCTATGAATGACATCCCCCATTTCCTATATTATCCTCAGATCTGAAAGGCAAGGCTACTACCAAGCCTTCACCCCTTTACATTCCAGCCAACACCTTTACTCTTCGTGATTCCAAGCTGAGGGTAATGGGAATAATTAACTTAACCAACTGCCTGAATATCTATTCTTGGATAGGTGCTAGACAGAGATACAGCAGTGAACATCACGACCCCATCAACACCACCACTACCACCACACCATTGTCCCTGATTTCCAGTACAAGATATCTCAAAACAGAGTTCGGAAAGCCCAACCGCTATGGAGTCCCTGACCAGACTGCCAGTTCACTTAGGGGCCAGGGCCAGAAGCAAGAGGGTCTATAACCAGCTTATTCTCCTCTCCCTCACCCCATTTTACAGGAAGGTCCAGGAAGGAGAGGTGGGTTGCCCAAAGTCAGACAGTTGAGAGTGTGCTGAAACTCCAACCCATGTTCTGTGGGTCTCCTCTCTCCACCACATTGCTTTTGCCAAGGTTCCAAAATTGGAAAGTGAGGAAAAACAGTTGGTTCTAGTGACAGAGTGTTTCCTGACATATGCATGCCCAGAACCTGCAGCCTCAACCATCTTAACAACACAGACCTGGTGACCATGTCCATCTCTCGGGATGCTCATGAATGCACAGTATTGATCTAGAGTCCAAGTGTCCAGTTTTCATTCATGCTCATTTATCACCTTCTCTCTCTCCTGATATTTACTTTCACTTTAAAATCTTATAAGAACAGGGCCTTTTTTTATCTGATGCCAGCTCCCCCTCTGTTCCTTGGATTTAATCAATCCATGTCTGGAAATAAACAAACCAGGGAGGAAAGCAACAGTCCCTTTTGTGAAAACAGGCACCTTTCTAAAATGATCTACCCCTGGGCATGACGCAGATAGAATTTAAATGTGAAGGAAATAAAGACATTCTCCAGCAACCATCATATGCGTTCTTCCTGGGGTGGGACAGCAGGAATGGTAACTGTTAACAACTAAACCAAAACCCACTCTACATCTTTCAGGTTGTCGTGAGAGCGTGGTCAGTGGCAGGAAGCCTGAAGAGACAATAGGTTTCAAAACAACAGAAACCAGCCCTCTCTTCTTCAAGATTAGTAAGAGAGGGCTAGCTGAACACCAACTCCAAGTATATGCAGCATGCCTCCAGCTAGTACCAGGGGTGCAAGGAGATACCAGCTAGAAAGATCCAGACATCTGGTCACCAACTTAGACCTTCTCCCATCATGTTATTTTATACCCACCTGCAAAGCACAGAATCCTCACCCCTCTTCCCACCCTCCAGCCACTCCAGCAAGCATCATCCCAGACTCTGCTGGCAAAATAAATTGTCTTACACAGAGAGGGAGAATCAAGTTCCCTACTAGCCAGCCCTTCCTTCCTGCCATGACTCTCCAGCCCCTGGCATTCGGAAATGGACCACCATCTAAATGCAAACACAGAGAGTATCTCTTCTGAGGAAGATGATAGTTAATTCTTAATCCTTTGGGGGATCAGTTTGAAAATCTGATGGCACCTCTGGATGCCCCATGAAAAACTGCATGCATGCAATTTATATGTAATTTCACTGGGGGTCACTGCCCTACTGGGAGGTCGAGAGGGGCAAAAAGAGCCACTGTGCTCAGAAGCAGCTTTGAGAAAGAGCTATGGGTGGTCCAAGTGAGTATTCAACAGCGTAGTTCCTTAACAAGAAAGGGAGAAATGAATGCCCCTTACTTAGCTACTGCAAGTTCCAGCTGTCACTCAACCTGAGATTTCAACAGGAATCTGGAAACTGAGAGCACACAAACATGCACACACACATACACACCAAGCACTCAGTTTCCCTGTGGCTTCCTACTGTAACTTCACAAAATGTCCTGTGATTGCTAGTTAAGTCTCCAAACAGAGTAACAGAAAAGATAAGAAGTGGAAGAGAGGTGGGCGCTGGAAGGGAGGATGGTTCAGACAAGGAGAAGGGGATAATCTGGCTAAGCCCTCCATCGGCTCTGAGCAGGTCTTGACAGGGCAGGTCCTGATCCTTGCTGCCTGCTCTTCCTGGAAATCAGGGTCGAACTGCTGACTTCTTCGCAGCAAATCAAGAAGTCCAGGCAGAAGCAGCCCTTTCTTTCCTTTGAGTCCATGGGGAGGGGAGAGCATCCTCTCGTTTCTAGGGAGGAGACCCTGGCCCACAGCTTGCCCACGGCCCCCTCGTGGCCTGGGGGTGTCACTGCAGCCCCCTCTGCATTGCTGGGCACCATCCGCACGCAGGCAGTTCTAACAGTGGTCCAGCAGAATATTTAGTGGCAGTGGCAAGCTGGCAACTGTCTTCAAGCCTTGTGAGGCTGTGTTTGCTTTTGATTTCTTAAACTAAGACTCAGACTTAAAGTGATCCTTCTAAATCCCTCCTGGTACAATCCCTACAGGGAACCAGCTCAAGATCTGCTTCATTATGCCAATAACCTCGGAGCTTCTGTAATATGACCACTGCTTTATCATCTCTTCCTGCATCATATGCAATTATGTACAATTGTGTACAATTGTTCTGAAGCTCAATAAGCTCAATAGAAACAGAATGCACAACATCCTCTGGTTTGTAGGTTGCTTACTAGATTACAAAATATTTGCAGGACACCAAATACCCCCTTAAATCCTGGGTTTTTAGGTAAGCAGGTCCTATAGGGGTTTTGGACTTAAGGTCACACAGTGAAAAAGAATGGGACCAGTGGCTCTGTGTCCACAAATGCAAAAAGAGGGTGCACTAAGGAACCTGAACTCCACTCTCATTAGCAACTCCACAAAGGGAAGGAGTGGAGCTCACTGGGCCTGGGGGTTGGATACGACATACCAGAGTCTGGGAGTGAGGGGGCAGTTGGTCTAGGGGTTCAGCTGCCATCTGTCACGGTGGGGACGATTAACTGACCCGAGTGGTGGGAAACTGTGTAGGGAGGAAAGAAGGTGGGACATTTGGGAGGAAAGGGGAAGGTGCAAAGTGCAGTCTGCAGGGCCAGAAGTAGACCTGGGACCAGGAGTGACTGAGGCAAGGGAAAGGGGTGGGAGCGCCAGAGGGTCTTCTCTCCTTAGAGGGGGCAGTTGGTGGGAGGAGTTTGGGGGCTGAGTCCATACCTCCTTGATTTTCTCCCGCTGGGCTCGCACTTGGCTCTGGGGCTCCTGACTCTCATCGGCCCTCGTTCCCAGGACCGGGTGGCGGAGACGGCTCCGGAATGCGTTGAAGTCAAAGCGGAAAGGGACGCCCTCGTCCCCGGGCCTGGAGGCCGGGATGCTATTGCCCCGGGCCGCCGTGGCCTCCTCGCGGGGTCCAGTGGGGCGGGTGCGCCGCAGCCCCCCTTTCCTGCGGCGGGGACTGGCCCAGCTGCTGGGGTCATCCTCGCCCGGGGCCGGCGCGGCGGGGGCCGGGTTGGGAGGCGGCTCCTGCTCGCGGGCCGGGGCATGGCCGGCGATTTCAGCCACCACTTCCAGACCAGGCTGCTGGGTCCGGGGGGCCAGGAAGAGGCGCTTGAGGCGAGAGGAGTGGGGCAGCAGGAAGAGGGCCCCGAAGCACAGGGTGACCAGGCCCGAGAGGAAGAGGAGGAAGAGGAACTTCTGCGGCAGCCGCAGCCCCCACGGGGAGGCCGGGACGAAGCCGGGCACTTTCCTCATGAGCATCGTGGCCCGGCCGGTGGCTCCAGAAGCCCTCGGAGTCCAGGCACGTGTCTGCGGGGGCGCGGTGAGGGGAGGGCGTCCGGAGCGCCGCCCGGGATGGGGGTCCCTGGGCAGGGTTGCCAACCCTGAGAGTTTCGCCGCTTCGGGGGACTGTCCCCGAAGTTCAGGGAGTTTGGAGCGAGTCCTCCCGCGAGGAGGCGGGGGCGCAGCGGCCTCGGCGGGGCCCGGGCGAGCGGAGCGGCACGGCTTGGGGCCCGGGCCCGCAGCGACCGGCCGCGCGCCGCAGCCTCCCCTCCGGCCGAGCCCTCCCCGCCGCGCCGGGGCCCGCGCCTTCCCGCGCTGCGGCCGCCGGGACCGTCACATGCCGTCCGCGGCGTCCCGGCTGTCCGCGCCGAGGGGCGCCCGCAGGCCCGCACCAAGCCGCCCTCCGCCCCCTAGGCTCCCGCCCGCGCTGGTAGGCGCCCAAAGTTTCAGCTTCAGAAGCAGTTTCCGGAGGGGACCGAGGCGATGGGGGGCTGGCGTGTCAGCGCCGCCCCGAGCGCGCGCACACCCGGCCCGGTCGCGACAGCGCCCGGGCTCGACTATCGGGACACGTCCACAACTTTCTCCGCCGCGGAGAGGGCGCCGGGAGCTGGGAGCCGGAGTGGCCAGGGAGCAGGAGCAGGCACTTCCGAGCCTGCGGGGGCAGGGGGCTTCCCCCGGGCCCCAGACAGCGCAGGGATGCCTGGGTCCGGAGCCGCGGCTGGGCGGCTGCAGATGCGCCCGGGAGCGCGGGCTCCCGCCCCTCGAACTCGGCAGGGCGCGGGGCTCCCACTGGGATCACCTGTTCCCGGCCCCGCCGGCTCCGCGGAGCGCGCAGCCCTGGCCGCGCCTCCCCCGCTGCAGCTGTCTTCCTCGCAGCGGCCGCTCCAGACCGGCCGCTGCCGCCGAGCCTGCGCCCCACACGCGCGCACAGCCACCCGGCCGCCTCCACCGCCGTCCCCGCCGCCGCCGCCGCTCGGGCTTTCACTGCGACAGCGCCCGCCGCCCCGCCTCCTGCCGCCCGCCGGCCACGCCCGCCGGCCACGCCCACGCGCGCGCCCCGCGCCCCCTCCCGCCGCCGCCGCGCCGCAGCCGGCTGAGGGCCGCGCGTCCGGGGGCGGGGCAGAGGCCGAGCGCGGGCGGGAGCGCAGCCCGCTCCAAGCCCCGCCCTCCCCGAAGGGCAGGCGTCGCGCGCACCCCCCATCCAGCGGGCGCCAATGGTCCAGCGGCGCGGGGCAGGCGAGGGCGGGGGCGGAGAGCGCAACGAGGGCATTGGCTGCATCCGAGGGATCCCCGTTGGGCCACAGTCGTCCATTGGTTACTGCCCAGCCTTCGCTGGACCCCAAGCGACAGAGACCACCCCCCAGCCCGCCCGCGAGGCTCGGGTTGGTGGCCCCCGGAAGCGGGCCGGAGACGGTGTTGCTCTGGAGGGGTGTGCCCGTCGCTGGGTGACCTCTCTCGCCCCCGAGTGCCAGCCCGGGGTTGTCAGGGAGCTGGCAGCCCGCGCCCTGGCGGCTGCCCCGGGCTTCTCAGCGCTAACGCCGGGCTGCAGGGGTGCTGCTGGTGGCTGGAGCCAAGCCAGAGAGCTGTGACCGCGGCCGGGTCGGCGGAGGTGATGTTTCCACTGGCCCCCTCGCAGACCACTGGCGTGCCTTCCTTTTCCCACAACCCTAAACGGGGCCAGGGCTCCTGGGTGGAGCACGGAGGGAGGCTGACCGCAGCCTTGAGAAGCAGCGAAAGGAAGAGAGCCCCGGGCGTGTCTACAGAAGACCACACACATAATGTGACGGACGTCTACCTTGATGCCTACGTGTGTTTATATGCACATGTGTGCGTCTGGGCATAGATCTATATGCACACAGAGACTGGCATGTGGGTGTGTACATGCACTCAAACATACACTTAATTTGGGTATGGACACCCAAGTGATTATACCACAGTATGCATAGACATATATGTAAATTAGTACAAACATGGACATGTGCACCCGCATACCCACAGACACTCAGGCAACAGATAACCTCCAAAAACAGCCAGGCATCAACTCCCAGACACGCGTGTCCTCAACCCCAAGGCCCTCACATCTTCCTCCTTGGACTTAGTCTCTGCATCTTCCCTTCCTGTTAAACCTAACCCAGGGTGAAGCAACATTGTGCTGTGTGGGTCTTTCATGCAAAACACTTTATAGAGACAAATAACAGCAGAGGGAGAGACAAATTAAGAGGTTTGTAATAGGCAAGAGGGAAAATATCTACTTTCAGCTGCAATTTAAAATGAAATGCAGTGTTGACGAGACAGAAAATACTGCAGGGAAGCCTTTCCCGACAGAAGAAGCGGGCCAGGCAGGCTCTCGCCTCGTAAATCTTGCTTCTTCCCTGAGGCCTGCTGGGGATGGGCGGCTGGGACTCAGTCATCCTTCTACCTCTGGCCAGACCACTGACAGCAGACCCACCCTCGATGTTTAAATATCCCTGGCATGCAACTTTCTCTCAACTGAAAATGAAAGTGGGTAACAGGTGCAAACATTTTGGTCACTGGAGATGACTAATCCTTCCCAATCCCACAAATATATGCAGCTTAAATATAAAATTCTAATTCAGATATTTCAATCTCTTGTGAGTTTCGTTGGCAGGTTGATGTGGAGCCAGCTGTGCAAATCAGAGATAAGCATGTGACCCATTTGGGTGCAGGAGCCCAGAGACCTGGCCTGGCCTCACCCATGTCTCCAACACCCAAGCATCGCCTCACTGGGTCCCACTGCAGGAAAGGGCAACCTTGTCTTTGGAGAACCAGGCAGGGACCCAGCATTCATTAGAGTCATCATCTGTGTTGTTCCTCATTGAGAGTGTAGGGGAATCACTGTTCAGTCCCCTGTGAAGGTAGGATCCAGAAAGGGAGAAGAGCAGAGCTGAATCTCAGAAGGAAATGTCTGTTTGAACTAGATGCTCACTGTGATGTGACACTCTGACCAAACTCTGGTGTGCTCTGTGAGCCAGGGTGGAAAGTGGGGCTGCAGCAGGACTGACGTGCCTTTCACACTCAGGCTATGAAAACCAGAGGCCCCAGCAGGTAACTCCATTGCAAAGTGATGTGATGTTGGTGATCACACCAAGTTGTTGATACCATCACTTGCTAGGGAGATACCAGTCTCTCTAAAAAGCTCTCTGAAACCCTGGGTGTCCCCTTGCCCCACACCTCTAGCCCCCAGAGACCTCATACATCCCGTGGCTCTTCTCCCACTGACTTTTAAAGACTATTGGTGTGTTGTCACAAAGCAGATGCTCAGTTCTTCACCACGGCTTCCTCACTTCTCTAACTCTCTAACTTCTCTAACTGCCCCGGGTCTTAACCACAATGCCTTCCACATGGGCACTGTGTTTGCTCAGTAAATGAATGAAGAAATGAGTGAGTAGATGCCCATTTCACAGATGTAGAAACTGAAGCTCGGGGAATGGAAGAACAGTGAACTAACATTTTCTATGTGCCAAATACATATTGTCTTATTTACTTTTCAGAATAATCTTTGTGGTAGATAATTATTAATAGCCCCATTTTACAGATAAGAATACCAAGGCTTAGAGAGACTTGGGATGAGTTATAAGTATCTATATTAATCAGAGTTCTCCAGAACAGAACCAATAGGCTATATATAGATATATAAAAAGAGATTTATTATGAGGGATTGACTTCTGTGATTATGGAAGGCTGAGAAGTTCCACAATCTGCCATCTGCAATCTGGAGGTCTAAAAAGCTGGTGGTGTAGTTCCAGTCCAAGCCAGGAGGCCTGAGAACCACAAGAGCCGATAGTGTAAATCCCAGTCTGAGTCTGAAGACCCGAGAACCAGGAGAGCTGATGTCCAAGGGCAGGAGAAGATGGATGTTCCAGCTCAAGCACAGAGCATGGATTTGCCATTCCTCTTCCTTTTAGTTCTGTTTCAGCCATCAGTGGATTGGATGCTGCCCACCCATACTGGTAAGGGCAGATCTTCTTTACTCAATTTACTGATTCAATTACTAATCTCTTCCAGAAATTCCCTTACAGACACACCCAGAAGTAATGTTTTACCAGCTATGTAAGCATCCCGTAGCCCAGTCAAATTGACACACAAAATTAACCTTCACAGTATCTTTCTCAGTTTAATTCAGAAATTCAAATGGAACTGGGAACAGAAACAAACAGCTATTTCTAAAAAATCTATTTATTCTGTCAACAAATATTTATTCAAATTAGATGCAAGGTATTGCACTAGTTTTGGACACAAAGGTGAGCAAAGCATGGTCCCTTGTTACTATTGATTCATTCATCCAGTGAAAAACTACTTATTGAACATCTACTATGTGCCAGGTACAGAGAGGCAGGGGATACAGCCCTGACACAGACATGAAGCCCACCTTCATGGAACTTCTTGTCTAAAAGGCAACAAACACAGACCAATCCGGCCCATCAGGAAGGGAACCCCCAGGCACCAGTGCTAGTGCTTCACTCACATCCTATCTCACCCTCGCAACAGCCCTCTCTGAGGTAGGTTTCAAGACCCCAGTTTAGCAGATGGGGAAACTGAGACTCAGGATGTGACATGACTTGTCCAAAGCCACACAGGGCGAATATGAGAAGAAATCAGGCCCATCTAATCACAGAATCTATGTGTTTTCTGTTAATGCTATTAGCAACTACTAAGATGGATGGAGAACTTATTATGCGATTGAGCCCTTTTAAAAACAAGTTAAAGACTAAACTGGCCAGGCACAGTGGCTCATGCCTGTAATCTCAGCACTTTGGGAGGCCAAGGTGGACGGATCACCTGAGGTCAGAAGTTCGAGACCAGCCTGGCCCACATGGTGAAACCCTGTCTCTACTAAAAATACAGAAATTAGCTCGGCGTGGTGGCATGTGCCTGTAATCCCAGCTACTCAGGAGGCTAAGGCACGAGAATCACTTGAACCTGGGAGGTAGAGGCTACAGGGAGCCAAGATCACGCCACTGCTCTCTAGCCTTGGTGATACAGTGAGGCTGTGTCTAAAAAAAAAAAAAAAAAAAAAAGACTAACTTATTTGATCCTTACAACACCCCATGTGAGGGGTACCATTAAGCACAGAGATGTTAAGGAACTTACCCAAAGTCACACAGCTAGGAAGTGGCAGAAGAGAGATTTGAGCCCAGACAATCAGGATCCAGAGCCCTCTATGCCTGTCAGAGTCTACTGTCTCCGTCTTGTAATGCTGTGAGAGCAGGTTCTATACGTAGTGAGAGCAAGGAAAGAGCACTGGCCTCAGGCAAGATCATCACAGGCTCATTGGGAGGATTATATAAGTTCATTCAGTCATTCAACAAGCAGGTACAAGGTGCCTGATGTATATACCCAACCCAAGGCAATACACTAAGCTTTAGGGATACAGTGGTGAGGAAAAACAGACACATTTCTCCTATCATGAAGCCTACAGTCTCATGGGGAAGATGAGTTTAAACAAATAACTTCCAAAGGAGTATGAGCTAAGATCAGAGAGAGGAAGGAGAGTGAAACATTGCCCTAAGAGCAGGCAACAGTGGACCTGGACCCAGGCTTCACTGGGTGGGCCAGGGGAGGCTCCCCCTGAGGATGAGTGCAGTTACCTAGCAGAAGGAGAGTGAGAATGCCCAGGCTGAGGGGGCAGCACAGGCAAAGTGCCTGGGTTGGAGGGAACATGGTGCTTTTGAGAATAGAAATCAGTAGGTCTGGAGTAGAGAAAGTGATGGAGAAAGACAAGAAGTGACACCGGATGAATTAGGGTAGGAGTGGGAAAGTGTAGGGGGAGGTGGGTGGGTAGGTTCAGATGAACACTTTTAAAGGTTACTCTAGCTACAGTGTGGAAGACAAAATGGAAGACAGGGGTGAATGAAGGGGGTACCTTTCAGAGGATATTGCAATAGTCTGTGCTAGACTATTTGGGGAGTGGGAGATGGATAGCACCACAGGATTCAAACCATATTTAGAAGCCAAAATTGACAGGATCAGGTGATGGCTTGAACTTGGGCAGTGATGGAGAGGGAGGTATCTCCAGGGTCTCTTATTGCCTGGTGGGGGTATTTGCTGAGATGGGAGCAGTGAACCAGGCTGTAAGGGATTCCCCTTCAGCTCCTTCACTGAGGAGGCAGCTGGGCAGTTGGTGCAGAATCTGAATCTCAAATGGTCATTAGTCTCATTTAGAATCGAAGACTAGAGATAAAGCCAAGCTTGAGCCAACGGATAATCATCAGGCAGCTTCCTTAATAGCCACCAGACAAATTTGGCACTGGGCAGAAGAGACACTGATGACTGTGGGAGGGGCTCCACCCCCGAGAGCACACCAAGTTAGTCTTGAGAGACAAAAGGCCCTCCAGCCATCCTGGGCTCACCCCAGCAGGCTGTGGGACCCAGTCAATACCTCACTGTGCAGTGGTGGTCAATTTCAGGGTCATAGAGCCAGGAACACCTGGCATGAGGCTTTTAAAATGACAGCGTAAAGGTTTTATTTTAACTCTTCTTACCCGAGACCCCGGTCCTGCAGCAGAAGCAGCAGTCAGCTGGGGCTTTGCCATGGGTCCTAGCACTGGGTGCTTAGTGGTTAGAGCAGGGGAGCAGGGGTTGTCCACTGGGGGCAGTTTTGCCCTTAGGGAATATTTGGTGATTTCTGGAGATAATTTAGATTGTTGTAACTGGGGGCAGAGTGCTACTGGCATCTAGTGGGTGGAGGTCAGAGATGCTACTGCACATACTGCAATGCACAGCACAGTCCCCTACAACAAAGAATTATCGGGCCCCAAATATCAATGGTGCAAAGGGTAAGAAACCCTGGCTCAGAGCCAAGGCTGAGGTCAGACAGGTTCGGGTCTGAAATCCTGGTTTTACCACACATTTGGCTGGTTGATCTTGGGCAACTTGTCTGACCTCTCTGAGCCTCAATTTCTCCATCTGTCAAAAGGGATTAATAGTGATACTCACCTCAGAAAGATGATGTGAGGATTAGATAAGATCACTGACTGTAAAGAGCTTGAGGCAAATGTTTACTCTTCCTTCGAGTGAGCAGATCTACTCCCAAAGCCAAGTCCTTAGTATGCTGGAGAAGGGAACACAGAGTGGTAAGAATGAGGACCCTGTAGCCACAGTGCCAGATCTAAGCCTGGACTCAGTCACCTACTAGCAGTGACACCTTGGGAAATTGCCCACTTTTTGAAGCCTGAGTTTCCTCATCTGTGAAATGAAGATGATCATAGTACCCACGAAGTAGGGTGGATATGAGGACTTAGGAGCTAATTTTTGTAAATAGCATAGTGTCTGGCACACAGCAGCACTCAATAAATATGAACTAATGTTACAAAAGACAAAAAGAATCAGCACTGCCTCATTTCCTAGTGGCAGGCAAGATAGCAACCCAAACTGCTATATTGTAACTCAACGCTTCCAGAGATGCTAGAATCTCAAATACTCTGTCCATGGCCCTATGAGAACTTTCACTTGTCAGACTGTACACACCGCTTTTCATTTCAGAAGACATGTTCCCTGTTTGGATGATAATAGTGGCTGTTTAGGAAGCCCTGTTGTGCTGAGCACTGCTCAGAGAAGCCCCTCCTCTCCGGGAGTTTCGAGATCATTCAGCCCAATGGTGGAATGTTGCAATTTAAGGATCAGAGCCTGTAAGTAACTTGCAGCTGGAGGCAGAGCAGACGCTGGCTAGCAGTACTTGAGAATCCCAGCTGATGCCGCTTCCACAAGCACAGGAAGGCATCAAGGTTCTTCTTGTTTCCATGGTCCCGGGTTATGTTTACCTCACTGACATTGTGAGGCTAAAATGAAATAATCCATTTTAATGTTTAAGCAGTGTGCCTGGCATATAGTAGGAACTAAATGTTAGCTATTATTATTTACAGTCCTGGCACTTTTTAAAGGGCATGTAAAATAAATATCTTTGATTATCATAAAAATACATTTCTAAAAGCTTACATCAAGCACCATAAAGCCAGAAATAAAACAGTCTCTTTAAAATGCAACCCTGACATAATTTCGTCACCTGGTTACCTTTGCTAATATCAAGGAGTTTTTGTTTGTGTGTGTCTGTTTTTTAAATGTCCATGAGTTGAGGCTCCAGGTTCTATGCAGGGTGTCAAAATATCTGCCCTTCTAGGGTTAGGATGGTAAGAAGGGCTGAAGGCATCAGGCAGGTGTTGCTGGGTGAACACCACCTGGACCATACAATCATGGGAAGTCCCCTTAAAACTTATCCCCTATGCCATTCAAGTTTTTTTCTAGAAGCAGGTCAATAAGCCAGAGTGGCAGAAGGGCATTGTGGTTGTAGCTTTGATTCTCATAAATCCACATTCGAATCCAAGTCTTGCCTCTTCAGGGACACGTAACCTTGGGCAAGTCTCCTCCTCTGAGCATTAGTTTCCTTAGCAGTGATGATAGTACTCAGTATGTTAAATGTTAGTGTTATTAAACGAAGTAAAGAATAGCAAGCTTAAGATTTGAGGTTGATATAGGAAAGAGAAGAAATATTGGGGTTTGAAGAAGAAGTCTCATGGGTTATCTTACTTGTTCCCAAGTCCCACTTCTGCCACTTGATTGGGTGACCTGGGGAGGTCACTCATCTGTCTTAGATCAGTTTCTTCATCTGCAAAGAGGCCCATAATACCTTAAATGAGATGACCCCCGGGCAAGCACTTTGTTAGTAATAAAGCCAAAAAGTCATATTCATTATAGCTGTGATCCCTTTTCAGAAAGAACTGTCAACATTCCACAAATATTTATTGTACCTCACACATGATATAAAAAAAAATTAAACATAACCTAATATTTAAAGTTTTAAATTAAAAATTCTAAACATACTATATTTCTTATTTTATTCCGTTCTACGTTTTAAAAATTATTCTATTCTATGTATTTTAAAGAAATAAAAAAGCTGCACGGAGCTAGTCATTTTGCCCTGTTCGCCAAATAGTTCCAGATCGCTGCCTTTGGGGCACTTGGTGAGATTGCCCCGCCCCCTTGTGGTTGAGTGGAGCCGTGTGACTAGCTGTGGCCAATAAGCTGTGAGCAGAAATGACAACTGTCACTTCGAGTCCCAAGCATTTAATTGAGGGTGCCATATCCTCTAGAGCTGCGACTGTCCCACTAGCAGGGCGACTGACAGTGATGAGATGGCAGCTGCACCCTCCGCCAGGGCCCCGGTGACCAGCAGAGCCTTCTGAGGATCCGCACTGGCTGCACCGGCATGGGGCTTAAATGAGAGATTAATGTGTGTGGTGTAGACTTCTGAGTTTTGGAGCCACTGAATTTTTAACTTTTCAAAAGTTTTTTTTTAAGGTAAAACTAATTTTAATAATATATTTTATTTAATCCCATACATCCAAAAGATTATCATTTCCATTTTTTTTTTTTTTTTTTTTTTTTTTTTTTTGGAGTCAGAGTCTCACTCTCACCCAGGCTGGAGTGCAGTGGTGCGATCTTGGCTCACTGCAGCCTCCGCCTCCCGGGTTCAAGCGATTCTCCTGCCTCAGCCTCCTGAGTAGCTGGGACTACAGGTGCACGCTGCCACGCCCGGCTAATTTTTTGTATTTTAGTAGAGATGGGGTTTCACCATATTGCCCAAGCTGGTCTCAAACTCCTGAGCTCAGACAATCCACCCGCCTCGGCCTCCCAAAGTGCTGGGATTACAGGCGTGTGCCACTGTGTCCAGCCAAATCTTTTTTTTTTTTTTTTTTTGGTAAATCCTTCGTGAGGCCAGGCGCAGTGGCTTATGCCTGTAATCCCAGCACTTTGGGAGGCCCAGGCAGGTAGATCACTTGAGGTCAGGAGCTCGAGACCAGCCTGGCCAACATGGAGAAACCCCATCTCTACTAAAAATACAAAAATTAGCCAGGCCTGGTAGCACAAACCTGTAGTCCCAGCTATGCGGGTGGCTGAGGCAGGAGAATCTCTTGAACCCAGGAGGCGGAAGTTGCAGTGAGCTGAGATCATGCCACTGCACTCCAGCCTGGGCAACAGAGCGAGACTCCATCTCAAAAAAAAAAAAATCCTTCATGAGAAAAGTTATATTCTTTTTTACATACCAAGTCTTACAATCTACAGTGGGTTTTACATTTATAGCCCATCGCAATTCAGGCGAGCCACATTTCCAGTGCACTGCAAGCCCCAGTGGCTTATGGCTGGTTCCTATGGACAGCTGTGCTGTCCAGCAACTTATCATCCCCTAAAACTGAAACTCTGTACTCATTAAACACTAACTCCGCATTCTTCCCATCGCCCAGCCCCTGGTAACCACTATTCTACTTTCTGTTTCTATGAATTTGACTACTTTAAGCACCTCATATAAGTGGAATCATACAGTATTTGTCTTTTTGTGACTGTCTCACTTCACTTAGCGCAGTGTCCTCACAGTTCATCCATTTGGTAGCATGTGACAGAACTTTCTTCCCATTTAAGGCTGAATAATATTCCATCGTGTGTATCTGCCACATTTTCCCTGTCCATTCATCCATCGATGCACACTTGGTTTGCTTCTATGTTTTCGTTATTGTGAATATGCTGCTATGAATATGAGTATGGGTATATAAATGTTGACTCGTTATGATATGTGTGTTGTTGTTGTTAAAATGGAATTGTACCATGCTCACTGCTTAGGCAGTCTGCTTTTTCTAATGTACCAATATGTCAGGAGCATTTCCATGAAATTAAATACTCTTCTACTTAATTGTTCTGAACAGCCAAATAGTACTTCTTATGTGGCTCTATGATTATTTATTTACCCAATCTGCTACCGTTAGACATTTAGGTCATTTCTAATTGTTAATTACATTTGACAAATAGTTTCTCCTTCTCATAATGCCTCATCTCTAACACAGCAGACAGTAGGAGGATACATTCAGATGGAAGACGGCGTGGTCACCCCAGGGCATCCACTGTCACCAGGGTTTTGCCACAGAAGACCCAATATCTTTGTAGCTGTGGAGGGCATAACCTTCTCTGGGCATTGCAAGGAGAGCTGTGCACAGCTGTGCAAAGAGTGTTGGAGTCACGGGGCCGTGAGCAGTTCTGGGTCCTGCCACATTCAAGCCCTCAGACATCCACTCTGAGCCTGTTTTCTTATTTGGAAAATGAGGATAATGATACTGGCCCCTTGGCATTTTTTTATTTTTTAAATTGACAAATACAACTTGTATACATTTATGGTGTACAGCACGATGTTTTGACATCTATGCACATTGTGGAATGGCTAAATCAAGCTAATTTATATATGCATTATCTCACCTATTTATGGAGAGAACACTTAAAGTCTCCTCTCAGCAGTTTTCAAGTATATAATACATAGCTATTAACTATAGACACCAGGTTGTACAATCGATCCTTGAACTTATTTTTCCTGTCTAAGTGAAATTTTGTATTCTTTGACCAACATCTTCCAATCCTCTCCCCTCCTCGCCCCTGATAACCACCATGCTGCTTTCTGCTTCTATGAGTTTGACTTTTTTAGATTTCAGTTTTCAGTGAAATCACACAGTATTTGTCTTTCTGTGTCTGGCTTATTTCACTTAACAATGTCCTCCAGGCTCATTTTCTTTATCCGTTCATTTGTTGATGGACACTTAGGTTGATTCTGCATCCTTGGCTATTTGAATAATACTGCAACAAAATGGGAGTACAGATATCTCTTGGACTGACTTGATTTCATTTCCTTTGGATACATACCTAGTAGTGAGATTGTGGGATCATATAGTAGTTCTATTTTTAGTTTTTTGAGGAACTTCCATACTGTTTTCCCTAATGGCTATTTTTTTTTAAGTCAGAGTCTCACTCTTGCCCAGGCTGGAGTGCAGAGGTGCAATCTCAGCTCACTACAACCTTTGCCTCCCAGGTTCAAGCGATTCCCCTGCCTCAGCCTCCTGAGTAGCTGGGACTACAGGCATGCACTACCATGCCTGCCTAATTTGTGTATTTTTAGTAGAGACGGGGGTTTCACCATATTGGCCAGGCTGGTCTCAAACTCCTGACCAGCCCATAATGGCTATTCTAATTTACACTCCCACCAACAGTGTATAGGTTTCCTTTTTTCCACATCCTTGCCAACACTTGGTATCTTCTGTCTTTTTTATAACAGCCATTCTAACAGGTATTAGGTGATATCTTGTGGTTTTAATTTGCATTTCTCTGATGATCAGTGATGCATTTTTTCATATACCTGTTGTCCATTCATATGTCTTTTTTTGAGAAATGTCTATTCAAGTCCTTTGCCCATTTTTTAATTGAGTCATTTGTTTCCTTGCTATTAAGTTGAGTCACTTATATATTTTGGATGTTAACCCCTTATCAGATGCATAGTTTGCGAATAATTTCTCCAATTCCATTGGTTCTGTCTTTACTGTGTTGATTGTTTCTTTTACTGTGCAAAAGCTATCTAGTTTGATGTAGTCCCATTTGTCTATTTTTGCTTTTGTTGCCTATGCTTTTGGGATCATATCCAAAAAACCATCACCCAGACTGTCACGGAGCTTTCCCCCTATGTTTTCTTCTAGTAGTTTTCTTCTAGTGTTGAAGTCTTTCATCAATTTTGAGTTGATTTTGATGTAAGAGAAGGGTCCAATTTCATTCTTCCACATGTGGATATCCAGTTTCCCCAACACCATTTCTTGGAGAGGCTATCTTTTCCCCATTGTGCATTCTTGGCCCCTTGATGTTGTTGTGGAGGTTAAGTTAGACTGACTGTGAATTCTGTTAAGGAAGTTAGGCTGAGCACACAGACAGAGCTCTGCCTTCTCCCGATGCTCCACTAAACTCGAAGGCAAAAAGGATTATTTATTTATTTATTTATTTATTATTTATTTATTATTATTTTTTAATTGATCATTCTTGGGTGTTTCTCGCAGAGGGGGTTTTGGCAGGGTCACAGGACAATAGTGGAGGGAAGGTCAGCAGATAAACAAGTGAACAAAGGTCTCTGGTTTTCCTAGGCAGAGGACCCTGCGGCCTTGTGTCCCTGGGTACTTGAGATTAGGGAGTGGTGATGACTCTTAAGGAGCATGCTGCCTTCAAGCACCTGTTTAACAAAGCACATCTTGCACCGCCCTTAATCCATTCAAACCTGAGTGGACACAGCACATGTTTCAGAGAGCACAGGGTTGGGGGTAAAGTCACAGATCAACAGGATCCCAAGACAGAAGAATTTTTCTTAGTACAGAACAAAATGAAAAGTCTCCCATGTCTACCTCTTTCTACACAGACACGGCAACCATCCGATTTCTCAATCTTTTCCCCACCTTTCCCCCCTTTCTATTCCACAAAACCGCCATTGTCATCATGGCCCGTTCTCAATGAGCTGTTGGGTACACCTCCCAGACGGGGTGGTGGCCGGGCAGAGGGGCTCCTCACTTCCCAGTAGGGGCGGCCGGGCAGAGGTGCCCCTCACCTCCCAGACGGGGCGGCTGGCCGGGCAGGGGGCTAACCCCCCACCTCCCTCCCGGACGGGGCGGCTGTCCGGGCGGGGGGCTGACCCCCCCACCTCCCTCCCGGACGGGGCGGCTGGCCGGGCGGGGGGCTGACCCCCCCACCTCCCTCCCGGACGGGGTGGCTGGCCGGGCAGAGGGGCTCCTCACTTCCCAGTAGGGGTGGCCGGGCAGAGGCGCCCCTCACCTCCCGGATGGGGCGGCTGGCCAGGCGGGGGGCTGACCCCCCCCACCTCCCTCCCGGACGGGGCGGCTGGCCTGGCGGGGGCTGACCCCCCCCACCTCCCTCCCGGACGGGGTGGCTGCCGGGCGGAGACGCTCCTCACTTCCCAGACGGGGCGGCTGCCGGGCAGAGGGACTCCTCACTTCCCAGACGGGGTGGTTGCCGGGCGGAGGGGCTCCTCAGTTCTCAGACGGGGCGGCCGGGCAAAGACGCTCCTCACATCCCAAACGGGGCGGCAGGGCAGAGGCACTCCCCACATCTCAGACGATGGGCGGCCGGGCAGAGACGCTCCTCACTTCCTAGATGGGATGGCGGCCGGGCAGAGACGCTCCTCACTTTCCAGACTGGGCAGCCAGGCAGAGGGGCTCCTCACATCCCAGACGATGGGCGGCCAGGCAGAGACGCTCCTCACTTCCCAGACGGGGTGGCGGCCAGGCAGAGGCTGCAATCTCGGCACTTTGGGAGGCCAAGGCAGGCAGCTGGGAGGTGGAGGTTGTAGCCAGCCAAGATCACGCCACTGCACTCCAGCCTGGGCACCATTGAGCACTGAGTGAACGAGACTCCGTCTGCAATCCCGGCACCTCGGGAGGCCGAGGCTGGCGGATCACTCGTGGTTAGGAGCTGCAGACCAGCCCAGCCAACACAGCGAAACCCCGTCTCCACCAAAAAAATACGAAAACCAGTCAGGCGTGGCGGCGCGCACCTGCAGTCGTAGGCACTTGGCAGGCTGAGGCAGGAGAATCAGGCAGGGAGGTTGCAGTGAGCCGAGATGGCAGCAGTACAGTCCAGCTTCGGCTCGGCATCAGAGGGAGACCGTGGAAAGAGAGGGAGAGGGAGACCGTGGGGAGAGGGAGAGGGAGAGGGAGAGGGAGAGGGGATTATTTTTTAAAGACATAAAATCATGAGGATAATTATCACAAAAGAGGAGATGACATTAGAAAAATTTGGAAGAGAGAAAAGCAGATCGATGGCCTATAACTTAGCAGAAGCAAGAACCCTGAACCCACCGGGTGCAGTGGCTCACACCTGTAATCCCAACGCTTTGGGAGGCCGAGGCAGGTGGATCACTCGAGGCCAGGAGTTTGAGACCAGCCTGGCCAACATAGTGAAACCCTGCCTCTACTAAAAATATAAAAATTAGCTGGGCGTGGTGGCATGTGCCTATAATCCCAGCTACTCAGGAGGCTGAGGCAAGAGAATCGCTTGAACCCGAGAGGCGGAGGTTGCAGTGAGCCAAAATCATGCCACTGCACTCCAGCCTGGACCACAGGGTGAGACTCTGTCTCAAAAAAATAAATAAATAAAAATAAAGAACGCTGAACCCTAAATTACCAATGGGGAAAGATGAAAGTAACCCAGTTTATGCTGCAGAACCCCCAATGGCTCAGTGATTATCTGCAGATACCGAGGTGAGGCGGAGCTGATGACAGCAGAGTGCTTCCCTTCCCTTCTTTGCCTTCCCTGCGCCCAGTTACTGTGTCTGATGGAAACACTGGTGAGGTCTGAGGCGCAGGGGTGAGAGAGGCTGTCCCCTCTATGGGCACATGCAGCTGCTGTGGTGCCAGGCACTCTGATGGGCTCCAGGTGTCTGGGGTGGGGGAGGGTGGCAGACACAGAAGGACAGCCGAAGTGGGTCTGGCCCAGGAGATGGACTCTGCCGGGCCTAGAAGAAAGCCTGCAGAGGCAAGTTAGAGACCAAGACAAAGGGGATGCAGGCAGGGAGGTCTGGCGGGCTGCCTCACCCCAGAGCATTTGCTCCAACCACCCACATTAAGACAGGGACTTGGAGGCCTGAGGGGACAAAGGCCTTGCCCCAAACTCATACTTAGCCTGGCCCTGCCCATCACTCCAGCCCTGGCTCTCTCCCTGCCTCCTTTTCCTCCGCCCAGGCAGACAATGGCTTCCTCCAGACCTCTGCTCCAGGTTCTTTCTCTTCAGCCCTCGCTTGGAGAGGTGCAGGGGACGTCCTGCCAGTAGCTAGGCACAGAGTCCCCCGTGTGGGGCCTTCCCACTCCCGCACGAGACCATTCCTGCCCTCTGTTAGCACCATAACCCCTTCTAGGAAATCAACCCTGAATCCTGCTCTCAGAAACTCCTGCTCCCCATTGGTTGTCACATCAAGTGCTCGCTAACTTGCCTTTAACCCTCCCGAGGCACATGTGCTCTCCTAACCATCTGAAAAGAAACAAGCCTCCAGCAGGACACAGTGGGTCACGCCTGTAATCCCAAAACTTCGGGAGGCTGAGGCAGGCAAATCACTTGAGTTCAGGACTTTGAGACCAGCCTGGCCAATATCATGAAACCCCATCTCTACTAATAATACAAAAATTAGCCGGGCATAGTGGCAGGTGCCTGTAATCCCAGCTACTCAGGAGGCTGAGGCGGGAGAATTGCTTGAACCCGGGAGGTGGAGGTTGCAGTGAGCCAAAATTGTGCCACTGCACTCCAGCCTGGGTGACAGAGCAAGACTCTGAGAAAGAAAACGAAAGAAAGAAAGAAAGAAGGAAGGAAGGAAAGAAAGAGAGAGAGAAAGAAAGAAAGAAAAGAAAAGAAAGAAAAAGAAAGAAAGAAGGAAGGAAGGGAGGGAAAGAGAGAGAGAAAGAGAAAGAGAGAAAGAGAGAGAGAGAAAGAGAGAGAAAAAGAAAGAAAGAGAGAGGGAGGGAGGGAGGGAAGGACGGAAGGAAGGAAGGAAGGAAGGAAGGAAGGAAGGAAGCCTCCAAAGGTCAAAGGGTTGTAGTTATAATGGTGGATACCTAGGCAATGGGACCAGTCATTTAGACAAAGGAGTGCTGCTCCAATCTCACTGGCAGGCAGCCAGCCTTCTCCCATGGAGGTAATGCCCACTATACTAAGGGAAAGTAGGGGGAAGGTATTCCAGCTCCTGTTTACCCACATGGAGTCAAGCGCCTTTAGCCAAGGCAAACACTCCCACAGGACAAGGGCCAAGTCATTTCAGGGCCATGTCCTCTGCCCCTGGGGTTGCTAGATTTAGCAAATAAAAATACTGGGCAGGGCTGGGGTGGTGGTTCACGCCTGTAATCCCAGCACTTTGGGAGGCCAAGGCAGGTGGATCACTTGAGGTCAGAAGTCCAAGACCAGCCTTGCCAACATGCGGAAACCCTGTCTCTACTTAAAACAAACAAACGAATGAACAAAAAAATGAAAATTAGCCGAGCGTGGTGGTATACGCCTGTAATCCCAACTACTTGGGAGGCTGAGTCAGGAGAAGTGCTTGAACCTGGGAGGCAGAGGTTGTAGTGAGCCGAGATTGTGCCACTGTACTCCAGCCTGGGTGACAGAGTGAGACTCTGTCTCACAAAAAAAAAAAAAAAAAAATACTGGCCAGGAAATCCAGTTAAATTTGAATTTCAGATAAGCTACAAATAATTTTTACTAAGTACGCTCCATGCATTATTTGGGGACATACATATACCAAAAGGACACTGATTATTTATCTGAAATTCAAATTTAACAGGCTTTCCTGTATTTTTCCTGATGATTCAAGCCCTTAGCTGACTATACCACACACAGGGGCTGGCACACAGTAGGTACTGATTGAAGGAGGGATTTGTTTCACCTTCTAACTGGAGGCGAAATCAAAATTTTACATTTCACTGGGTCAGAGTGGACTTTCTAGTTACTGCCGTGAGTTTTAATTATCAAAATGAAACTGTTTACTTTGACCAAAAGGGAACAGAAAGCCATAGAACTGCCTGAATTATCAGCAGGAGTCAAGAAGGGAAATCGGTTCTTTATAGAGCAAGTTTGCAGGTAAAGGAGACCATTTCCTCCTTGTCCCCCCTCAATTCCAGCCTATTCAATTCATTTATTCAACAAATATTTATTGAGTGCCTACCGTGTGCCAGGCACTGCTCAACAAATCAATGAAATTATTATTATCATCCTTCTTATGGTCCCATTTGATTGAAGAGGAAAACTGAAGTCCAGAGAAGTTAGGTGACTTGCCCGAGGTAACACAGCAGGTGGGTGTTGGATATAAGATTAACACCCAATATATCCGATACCTGAGCCCTTGCTCTTTCCATTGTGTGACTCTGTAGAGGTACGAGGCCCTTAGAAGGAACTAGGCAGGTAGAACTCACACAGAGAGCCTGCAGCCCCTCAGCCAACACCCAGTATTATCCTTTTATCTCTGATGCATCTACCTGGCTCCCCTTCAACCACTACCCCCTGTCCCAAGCCACACTCAGCTCTTGCCTCAACAACAGCAATAATTTCCAGGCTGGTCCACCTCTCTGGCTCCCTGCAATCTGTTCTCCATACAGCAGGCAGAATGGCCCATATGAAAGGTAGATGCAACCATGTCACCTTTCCACTATGTCATTTTCCCACCTTTCTTTCTTTTCCTTTCTTTCTTTCTTTCTTTCCCCTTCCTTCCTTCCTTTTTCTATCTTTCTTTTTTTCTATCTTTCTTTTTCTTCTTCTTTTCTTTCTTTCTTATTTCTTCCTTTCTTTTCAGAGTTTTGCTCCTGTTGACCAGGCTGGAGTGCAGTGGCACAATCTCGGCTCACTGCAACCTCCAACTTCTGAGTTCAAGCAATTCTCCTGCCTCAGCCTCCCGAGTAGCTGGGATTCCAGGTGCTCACCACCACATCCAGCTAATTTTATATTTTTAGTAGAGACAGGTTTTTGCCATGTTGGTCAGGCTGGTCTCGAACTCCTGACCTCAGGTAATCTGCCCACCTCAGCCTCCCAAAGCCCTGGGATTACAGACATGAGCCACCATGCCTGGCCACCTTTCCACCTTTCTACCTTTCTATCTCCTCGGATATCCATAAAGCTGCTAACCATGGCCCGGCTAATAATCCACCTTTGCTGACTCCTCCAGCTGCCTCTTGCTTCCCTGGCCTGTAGCAGTCAGTGTTTTGTTATCTTTTACTGCATATCATCCCAACATTTAGTGCCCTAAAACAACTGTTTA